>NC_000007.14:25240242-26490242 GCF_000001405.40 Homo sapiens | reverse complement strand
ACAAGCCAGAAACTCCAGGCCCTGACAGAGCTTATAGTCTAGGTCATTTGTTTGTTTTTCCCCTCAATACACACACATACATATATATATATATATGCGCCCTTGGGCAAGACACATCTGTCGTGCTCTGAGAGATAGTATGCGGTCACTGTGTCATACCATAAAATAAAAGCCCATTGACCACACCGCAGACACAAAATGACAGTTGCAGAGGGAATAAGAAGGAAAACTGTTTCAGGTTAGGTTTTCAAACAGTGTGCCACACCCCAAGAGCCTCAGGGGTGGGCTGGAACTGGGTGGGATGTGGGCACTGGCAGAAAGAGGAAGGGACACTTCATTTGTGTATCACCTGCGGGACTCTCCTGTTCTCAGCACCCCCCTGCCCCACCTCTCCAACCAAGCAGTTCTTCATCATTTTCTCCATGGCACTCAGGGGCTTCTTAGTAAGATCTATTACTATTTGAACAGAATGTTCTGTGACTGAAAAAGTTTGAAACCACTAGTTGTCTCAAGGTTCTTAAAGTGCTTCTATATTTAGTCTGGAAATCTTCCAGACTAGAAGATTTCCAGCCCCCTGCTGCCCCAATTCCCTTTAAATTCTCTAGCTTTTTATGTTTCATTAATGGGCTTTAGTGATATCTGATACATGTTGGGTGTGTAATTCATGGGCAATAATATATGGACATGGACATGATAAGTAACAAAATCTCATCAACCGTGCAAACATGCTAGACACTCAAAGTCCTCAAACAATTCTGCTCAATATTTAGCAGAGGGAAAAACTAGCTTAGTTAGGAACACAACAAAAACAGCAAAAATGTTAGCAGTTTTAACAATTTGACATGCAGCCTAGATGGTGTTATTTGGCATTTTATATACTATTTGCTAAGTTTCCACAATGTGCTAGATAGCAAACTCTCTGCTCTGATTCTGGAGCCAATAGATTTTATAACCACACTTTCATCATTCACATACCACCATTGTGATTTTTTTAACTGAAGGCCACTTGTACTACTATATATTTAATTTAAGCAATTATTTTGTATTTAAATAAATTTATTTTAAAAGAAACCTTTTTATCACTACCTATACATAGAAGACCAAAAACATTTGCCATAATAGAAGGTAACTGTAACAAATTCACAACGATGAAAACAGTAATTTTTTTGTGTAGCATTTACTATCCCCTTTGGTTTCACCAGGGATATGGGCACTGCATTTTGGGAAACATTGTTTGAGCTCATACCATCACAGTATTCAGCTAAGAAATTAAAAACAGGTGTTGTTTGTCTTTGTCCCCGCCACCTCATCCTACAAACCCCCTGCTCCCGCACACCCACATCCCCGCTCCCCTCTAAGCATTCCCTTGCTCTAAGCTAGCCCACAACCAGTCATTGATAAGGTATTAAACTATCACCTTATCATTTTTGCATATGGATAACAGACGAATTTTTCAAAACTCAAATATCAGATCTTTATTGGAATTTTGGATATAATGCAAGAGAATTATATCATTTAATTCAAAGCACATACAACAGGTGATCGACTAACCACTCCTACTCATAAACCAGTCCTCATGCCTCTCCACAGGCTCATTTTTAGATTTCCCCCAAAACACAGAAATTTGCCCAAGAATGGATTAAAGCCTTCAGGGTCAGACAGATAATGGTATTTTCAGATTGTGATGACACTCTAGAAAAAAAAAATATGGCTCAACCATTTCATTAGCCTATACCTTATTGTAACCACATCTATAGCTACCTTCTTCCCCCAACCCACCCAGGAGAGCAGGAGGGGGAACTGGTCATGGAGACTGGAGATTGAATTTACATCAGTGGTGTGGTTGTCACGCATTGTTCTCTCTTACATTCTGAAAGTCTTTCCTCCCTGGCTGTTCATTATGAAATCCTCCACCCAAGGGACTTTGGGAGCATTGTGGCATGTCAGATTTTCCAGGAAGCAGACTCTGAAATAAGATTGTGTCCAGGGGGCCTATTGGAGAGTTGTCCAATAGGAACCACACCTGTGAGTGAATGCGGGCAGCAGCCTTGGGCTGCAGGAGAGGCTGAACTGGGCTGCAGTCACAGCAGAGGCCTCAGCTGGCCACACAGGGGTTGGGATGGCCCCTAGAACTGGCCCAACTGAGGCAAGGGGGTCCAGCCTTTGTATCCCCCACAGTGGCCAGTCATTGAATGCAAGATACCCCCAGGAGAGGTCATATCCTTGAGCAAGGCAGCCCTCTTTGGCCAAAGGCCAAGAGCTTCCACTGTAAGCCACCAGCAGGCAGTGCTCCTGGTAGCCGAGGGAATGATGCTTTGGTCCTGAAGGAGAATCTGGGTAGAGCCCCACAGCATCCACTGCAAGAGTAAACCCACTAGCGCCTGGCTCCCGGGACCCTCCAAGTAGTGGCAACATCAATAAACCATAGGGCCTGATTTCTAGGCAGCACCTCACAGTGATAAATGATGGATCAGTAGGCCTGCTGGCTGCAAGAGAAGCTGAGAGGCAGGTAGTGTTGGTGTGTATGTGGGGGTAGGGCAAGGGAGCAGAACACCCCTCGTGGACCTTGATATTGTGCTCTACCTTTCCGCATTCATCCCTCCTCCCCTGAAAAAGTCCTGGGCAGGAAACAAATGTGGTCCTGATGCCTATTGGGCCATCAATCTTGAGATACAGCATTCAATTTCAAAGTTATTTGACCAAAGCCAAGTTACAAATCTTGAAGGAAGCTGGCTTTGCAGAGAGACAAGGGCATTTGAAAGCATGAACTGGGGTGAACCTTATAAGCAAAAATCTCAGAAGTCCTTGGTTGCCAACAGTTAGCCAAGCACTTGCTGGACTTACTTTGTTTCCTGGGCCTATGGAAATTTTACCTACAGGTAGAATTGCCCATGCAAAAGCCCGAGAAGTAACCCTGGGGGAGAAGAGTGGCTCACACTGCAGATTTCCTCCCTGGTCTTCTTTCTTCCCCTAAAGCCAGACCATGCAAGAGAGTGATAAAGCCAAGTTCACGGCTTGTCTCCATTCATTTTGTTCTTTTTGGGAAACGGGGAGGAGCCTGGAGCATTTCTCCTTCCACATTTCCTTAAATGGGTCTGACTCAGGTAGAGAGGAGACCACCATCATTGTGTAGTAAGACAGGGGTGGGAGTGACGGGGCTTCCATAGTTACCATTTGCTGAATGCTTAGTGTGCTCGGCACCATGCTGGGTCTGCATGTATCTTCTTATTTAATCCTTACCAGCACCCGCAGAGGTAGATCAGATTATTCTCTTTTTCCCTAGATGAATCAAAGATCAAAGAAATCAAGTAATGTGCCACAAACTCACAGGCAACCACCTACTGAAAGGCAAAATTGGGACTGAAACCCAGGTCTGCCTGGCTCCAGCCCATTTCTGTTGATGGTTAAGAAGCCCCTCCCAGCACTTTAGGAGGCCAAGGCAGGTGATCACCTGAGGTCAGGAGTTTGAGACTAGCCTGGCCAACATGATGACACCCCGTCTCTACCAAAAAATACAAAAATCAGTCAGGTGTGGTGGCGCACACCTATAGTCCCAGCTACTGGGGAGGCTGAGGTGGGAAAATCTCTTGAACCCGGGAGGCAGAGGTTGCAATGAGCCTGGGTAACAGAATGAGAACCTTTCTCCAAAAAAAAAAAAAGAAGCTGCTGTTCTCCCAGGGCCATGGTGCCACACTGCAGTTGTCTTTTCACGTAAATAGGACATTTAATGGCAACTTTTGGTGCACCCGGAATTCTGTTCATCTCCACGCCCAGCTCAGATCCCCTGGGCTGAGTTTGCCTCAAGGGGCTTCTCTGCATCTCCTCAACTTGCCCAGTCACCCACTGCAGTGTCCTCAGCACACCAAGAAACCTGACAGTGTCACTCACTGACTGACAGGCTGATGCACAAGCGGTGCTGAAAGATAAATCAGCCAAGAAGAGAGCCGGCCCGTATCTTCACAAACCGGCAGCATGTCATTCCAAATCAAATGCTTGTATGTACCCTGTTGGTTCGCTGGGCCCAAACCTCCTATACTTGCTCTGAAAATCTGGATCACCATTGGGTTGTGTTATGCCAATCATTTATTTAAAACAACACAAAACAAAACTTTTCTGAACTCAGGGAGAAAATGCCACTGGTAATTAAGCCTGAGATGATAATTTAATTCCTATGACAGACGAGGCTCTTCATCCTGGTGGAGGCATGCTGGCCCATGTAGACCCGGGTGCAAGTGGTCATACCTGTTTATGTATTGCTTGTCCTTCTCCATATTTCACAGATGATAGTATACAGCTCTGCATCTCTTCATGTTAATTCCATTTGAAATACTCCCACCAACATCTTAGGGCTCTGCCATCTAATAAGTGCAGCCAATTTATTGATAGTAAATCTAGGGCAAGACAGACTCACATTGATGTGGGCCACAGGGCATTTAAATTAAACAGGAACTCTCCAGCCATCTGTGTTTTAACTTTTTTATGCCTTGATAATAAGCCCTGTTTAGAATAATTTGCTGTGGAAACTGGGACTTCGTGACTGACAGAGAAAGGCCGGGGATAAACAACCCAAGCAGGCCCCTGAATTTGCGAGAATGTCAGGCGAATTTAGACTCATCATAAAAGAATTCTCAGTGACTGTATTTCAATATGACACTTTTATGGTTTTTTATTTTCTAGCCCATTGCAGCCCCAGAGCCCTGGCATGATTTATATAGCCTGGCAGTGCATAATCTTTTGTATAAGATATACAGGCCTCCGGAGGTTTAATTTCTTTCCTCACCGCCACTGACAGCATTTGTGCTTCCCTTCTCTTCTATTTTCATTTCTAATGAGATATTGGACTTTGCTCAGTGAGAGGTGATATTTCCACATTTGCAGCCTGACAGGCTAAATCACCAGATCTCAGTGGTGAGGATACAAACCCATTTAAACTGTGTCAAAATATTCATGGAGCCCCATTGATTTGGGCAGCGGTTATTAGGAAGCTATTTGGAAAGTTCAGGTTTAATTTTTGGAGCTTTCTGCTGCAAAATCACTCAGTTACATCACAGAGAAAATGGTATCAAAAGGATAAAGAAGAGCGGGGGTGTGGTGTGTTGCATTTATTTTGTTGCGATTATTTTTAGTACACAGATGAACTTTGTTAAAAACAACAACAACAAAAAAAGAGAAATCCCAGAACGATGCAGTGGTAAATATACAGCATGAAGCAAAGTAAATTCTTCCTATTGCATATAAATGAATAATATGTCAAGCTATTGAAATGTTTTTTTAAAAAAGCAACAGTGAAAGCATCTGACATAGGAGATTAATGCTTTGCATTGCTACACTGACTTTTACCTCTGCCTTTGATCTTAAATCTAGCTGAAACTATTGAGACAGGAGTTTAGCTTCTAAGTGGGATGGGTTCAAAAAGCACTGTTCACTTAGTGTTCAGAAGTGTCACAGAGGAAAAATCCCATGAACAAGGGAGGCAAACGTGGCTCTCCCTGGGAGGGGTTGTCAGGTTAGAAATGCAACAAATGGTCAATGGAGGGAATTTAGGAGCTCCTAGCAGAACTCAGGAAATACATATGGCTGAAGGAACCTTTGATATGGGGTCATCGGAACAAAGTATTGGGATATCTTTGGACACTGCAAAAGATCTAAGTTCTTTGACGGGACCAAGCACATTTGACCTTCATATGGTAAGGTCATTTGCAATAGTTGCTTGATTTATGACCTGGGACTTCATATGAATTTTATATTTACTAGGGTTTCCGAGTTCACAGGGACCTCATTAAATGATACACACAACATACATACACACACAGGGAAACTGCTTTGCCAATTTATGGGCGATAAAGTGTTTTCTGTACCACTTTACAATAAGTGGACATTAATGAATGCTAAATTACAGTGGAATTCCTATGGAACGGCATATTACATTCACATTAATACCAAATGAGTTCATTGTGAGACACATTATGGCAGCAAATATCATAGGAATCAGTGAGGAATAGGAAATACCACTGCAATTAGACCCGTATGGGGAGAAGCAGCCACCCATCCAGATGGTGGGCTACTCACACACCGACACTTTCTGGCCTGGCTTGAGTGAACACTTGGGTGCCAGGGTGCCAAGGAGGCTTGCAGAGCCCTCTGGGAACACAATATTTCTATACTAACACACTTGAGAACGTCTCATAACCCAAGATCCACAAAATCCCCAAGGACTGAGGCAGTGTGAGTCCTCTAATCTGGGAAATGCACTCAAACACAGTGAGAAAATCAGAGCAGATATAAATTGGAAATTCCTGGAAGTAAAATTTTTTAAACAGTGGAACAAGCCACTTGAGGAGCGTTCCAGAGCCTCCTTCTCTTGGGTGTTTTAAGGACAACCTTGGCACGCAACAGGCTTCCTTCTGAGCCCCTCTTTCTCCAACGCCTGAGGACTTGACCTCCGTGAAAGAAGCCAGGAAAATTCCCAGCACAGGCACCATTAAGCCGTCTCCAGAACAGCAGAACCCTGTAGCAACTCCAGAAAAGTCCCCAATGTACTGGTGACACAAACAGCCTCAAAAAAAAAAAAAAAAAAAAAAAAAGCCCAAATATCCCCTTGGGGTAGGCTCGTATACACGTATACCAAAATATAATCCCAAACATTATCCATGACCAGGATTCCAGGGGCCATGAGAAAAGAAAAGTCTACATGGTTGCCAAAGCTCATTCAGTCACAGAAGCGGGCACAGCCAGCGCCAGCCCTCCTTTGGGCATCCTAGCTCTGCTACAGACTTGTCTGCTTATTTAACCTCTCTAAGCCTCGATTTTCTTAAATGTAAAATGAGGTTGATAATATGGCTTCACAAGGTTGATTGTGAGGTTTAAACAAAATACTATGTGTATAGTATGCAGCACAGTCGCTGGCACCAGACAAGGAAATGAGCTAGTTATGTGACTAGTATCACCTCCCCTGCACCTTCTCATCTTTCTTGTCTCTCCTTCTTCATTCCAGCTGCAGTCTTCACCATGCTCCAACACACTGGCACTGCATACCGAACACAAGGTGACTTTCAAAGACTGCACCATAAATAGAAAAGATGGCTGAGGGATGGAGAGCCAGGCTCAGCTATCATCCCAAATGTAAACAAGCAGAGAGCTTCTTGCAAATGAAGCAGCAATTGCATCTCAGCAATTGCATCCTAATTGCTAGTCCCAAATTATAACGGACCAGGGATCCTACGTGTTTTACTCTTGCCATGGGTATTTTATGGAATTAACAATTAGTTGACATGCTCCTATTGAGATACACTATGTGTTCAGCATTTTTAGCACTTACTGAGCACAGGCTCTGTGCTAGGCAAAATAGCAGACAAAGGATTGAATCAGACATGGGCTCTTTACTCAAGAAGTCCCTCATCCAGTAGGTGAGATAAGACCCTGAATAAGTTTGCTCCCTACTTGGGATTCATTTGTAAATGTAATTAAGGCAGTGATGGGCTAGCAAATGTTTAATAATTGGCATGGGGAGGGGAAGAGGCAGGAAGAAAGAAGCTGTCTGTATGTAGCAGCTATAAATTTATGTGCACATAAGTTTATTATGAATTTTACTTATTTGAAGGATGTGTAGCACATAATTTACAAATAAAAATAAAATTAGTGGACTCTCTTTATTGCAATTCCATATAGCCAACTGAATCTCTTAAAAGGCTTTCGCAGATTTTTGGCAAACTCTTATATCCATACTAATTGTAGGCTGCGAGTGATAAACAAGTATAATTCTGACATGAATAGTGGTTGATATTTTCATTTACATTAATGAGTAGAACAAAAGTGAAAAACAAAGACATGTGTTAGAGCTACATTGTTTCATCAATGACATGAGTGACGTCTTTGCTGAATCAGATAATAGTTTCCATATACTGGAAGAATATTCCCTCAAATTTTTGTGCTACTCCTAATGTAACAGCTACAGACATGACACCCTTTTAAGCTTAATCTGCATCATTAAACATTTTCTCCATCGCCTTTTTAAGTCTAGTCAACAAAACAATAAATCAAGCACTGATTCGCAACATATGCTGATTTCAACAGTGTAAATACTCCTACCATGGTCCATCTCAAGTTGCCAAGGTGATGTCACTGAATGCAAAATTGGAATAAGACACATAGTAGCCCACTATTGTATATTTCCACTGTACAAATATGATAGATGTAAATAACCTCTGGACACAGATGAAAGTAACATACAGTACCATAAGTGGAATCAATGAGTCTGGGGTATTTATTATCTTTGTTTCTAATATAATTTATTTATTTGTAGGTGTTCCATGAGTTTTCTTCCCAGTTCCCATTGGGTCCTCATGGATCTGCCCTATTCTCTTCAGGGCCCACCTTTCAGTGGGTGTTACCCGAAAGCAAAGGGAGTCTGTGGAGCTGTGAACCAAGGGAAAGCGCTTCCCATGGCAGCATCTTCTTGCATCTGGCCCTCCCTGGGTGCCTCATGGCTTCTCCCCGTGTCCCAGCCTCACAGAGGTGAGTCTGTTGCTTCCTTGAAAACAGCATTTTCCTCAGGCCCTGGAGGGCTTTGTTACTGAACGATGGTTTGCATATAGTTTTATTCTAGAATATTTTTCTTATTCCTCCCCTCTCCCTCCTGTCTCTTCACCATAAAATTGTATTATGTGGCTAATTCTTTTGGAAGGAAGAGAGCAGCATTAATATCATTTCTGATTTGGGCCTTTCTCCTAAGTGGTTATGTTCTCATCTGAAATACCTCTTGATAGCAGAGCCAAAAAGAGACAGTATGAGGGGAGAAAAGACTGGGCAAGGGAGGAGCCAGGAGACAGCCTGGAGGGAGGAGAGTGGAGCCTGGGTCAAGGAACACAGTCTGTGGCCTCCTGCCAGTTCCCTCATTGCCAAGCACCTGACTCTACCTTCACTCCCATCCCATGCCTTATCCTGAGCATCACCCAAGTGATTATTTAAAAGGCAGCTTCCTGGGCCCCAACCCTACACCTGCTACATTTCTGGGGTTGGGGCTCAGGAGTTTGCCTTTCAACAAGCTCCTGAAGGTAATTCCCATGCACACTCAAATTAAAGCCACTAGCTTAAGACTCTATGTTCAGAGACCATCTGACTTCTTGTGACTTTGTAATTTGGGAGTTTTCATATGGCAAGTGAAGACAGGCTTGATTGGTTGGTTCACAAGGTATCAGGCACCTTCAAAAATTAATAGTACAGAATGATGGGGCAACTCTATTTGTAGGCCAAAATTGCAGATAAAAGTAAGAAAACCTGGCCTAAATGACAGGAGAAGGCAATAATCAATATACTAACATAAAACAATAATGCAGCTGGTACAATAAAGCAATCCCGTCGGGAGCCGTGGAGTGCATCATTAGTGTCCCGTCGTAATGAAGCCCGCAGAATGCAGCTCGCATTAGCCAGGGCAAAGCCTCTTCAATGCTGAATATTCTGCCATGCTGCAGGCACATTTATTTTATTGGAAAAAAGAATGGTCCTGTTGCCAAGCCATCAGATGGTAAAAAGAGATATATTTGATGGATAATAAAAAAGGGTCTGCCACAGTCTCACAAAATACGTTTCTAGTGGAAATGTTTCTAGTACGTGGAATTCATACCCCTGGTGTGTAGATACCTGCAGACAAGGTAAGCAGGGGTGAGGAGAGCTGTGTAGGGTGAGTCAGGAATATGGCCACAAAGATGGGGGGACCGTTATTTTTAACAACAGCAAACAACAACAAAGAGCAAACTCGACAAACATCACTCACTCTTTCTCAAACTGTTCCCTTGATGCAGATTGACAGCCCTTTTAATATGAAATAAATCAGGCAGGAGAAGGAGTGTCTGGAAGAACATACAGATTGAGGGCTGACTGACACAACGCCTCCGAAATGCGCTCTATTTGCATTTGCCTTTGTAACAGCGAACTTGAAAGGATGTCAGACGCTTTGAAAGGCTGCAAGGATGCGCTTTGAACTTGGAGAGTGAATGTGCAATGCCTCATGATGCTGGAGCCCTGCTGTGTGCTGCCAGAAACGGGAGCAGGCTGACCCTACAAATACTAGTGGCCCTTCCCATCTCCCTCCCAACCTTGGGGTAAAAAGACATTTTATCTAATAACTGGTTTCATACTTAGTTAGGACCAACAAGTCCTCCTGAGGCAGTGGGCTCACACCAAAGCACTAGGATCAAGTCACTTCTCACCAAGAAAACCAGCTGGTAATGAGCCACGACACCTTTCAAGGAGGTGTGTGGTCAGTAGCCACCCCTGTCAAGTACACCCCCGCCTCAGTCCAGTCTTCCAGATGCTGAAGTCCCTTTGGTTAGCTGCCTTCTTGGATTTCCTGGACTGTCTGGTGTTCACAGTGACCCTGCAAAGCAAACGCCAGTCCCCATCAGTCCTGAGACAGCAAAAGTCAGTTTCAACATCTCTCCTGGCACCGAGGCAAGTATTTCCACTGTGAGCAAGAAAATGCTTGAGAGGCATAGGGTGCATCTAGAGTAAGCCCAGAGGAGAAATCAGAGAACAAGGCAGTAGACAAGCACAAAAAAAGCAAGCTCTATTGGAAAGGTGTCTTCCTTCTGAAGCCCACACTTATCCTCTTCAGCACCTTTGCTCCCTTCCACCTGGAGAGCCCACCCAGGCTACACACCTGCCAGGCACCCCATCAGCAGTTTTGTTCCTACTAGCTTGGCTCCTTGAACATTCAGCAGTCGTGGTGGAGCATCTATGAAGCATTGGTCACTGTCCTAGGTGCTTGAGCTAGAGTGATACTGAAGTCAAAGCTGTCCTCTAGGACTTACGTTCCAGTGGGAGATAAACAAAATGCTATTGCAAACAAGATAGGTATAGATTGTGAGAAACGCTATAAAGGAAGGAGATTTGACATAGTAAGTGGCACTAACCCAGCTAGCCAGGGGAGGAGGCCTACTTTCCAGGGAGTGATCAGGGACAGCCTGCCCAGAACGGTGGCATGTGAGCTGACATCTAACATGTTAAAAGAATCCAGCCACATGACAACGAGCAGGAAGAGTGGGCCAGGCAGAACAAACAGCAAGTGCAAGGGCACTGAGCAGGGGAAGCCCCTTGGAAGGGTGGCAAATCAGCAAGAGGCTGTATGGCTGGGATATGGGGGAGAGGGAGAAGAGGGGGAAGGCCAGGTGGGAGAGGAAAATGAGGCAGCTGTTGCAGGGCCTCTGCTGGGCTTTGGAGCCAGTGTGTCTGCCTCCCAAACACCTATGTGGCCTTGGGCAATATAACTGACCTCTCCAGTGGTCTCCAACTAGGCCAGTAACACGTGCCTCATAGTACCTGCCCCATGGGGCTGTCATGAAGATTACAGGAGCTGAGGCTGGTGCATGCAAACTGTTTTACACAGTGCCTGGCGGAGTCAGCATTCAAGACATGTTAACTGCTACCATTATTTTCCAAGATGGGTTCATGTGGGGTAGGATGGGAGTATTAAATCAGCTTCTTGGGGCCCTACTGAGCCAGTGTACCTGAGTTCCCTATGATGTCAGGCCACCAAAAGCATTCGAGTGCACTTATAAAGAAATTACTTTCCCAGCAATTAATCACCAGTATAAGATTGCCAATACATATCATTGTGGCGTTATGACACATTGCATCATGTGATCAGAATGTAGAGTAGAAAGGGGACCATTTGTAGCTGACCTTATTCAAGTCAAATCAGCTCAATCAATTGAAAGTCAGTAGGAGTTTTGCCTGAAAAGGGTCAAGACCAATTATCAAAAGGCAAAATAAAACAAAAGGATGTTTTTAAAGATATTAGATCTTATAGTAATTTTTCACAGTTCAGGGATACGTTGAGATAGTGCATCTGTAATTCAGGAAATATGTTGTTCATAAAGGTTTTCTGTCTAGTCCTTTATTTCAAAAGAGTCTATCCACATCTTTTTTCTTTTCTTTTTCAGATGGGGTCTCGCTCTGTCACCCAGCCTGGAGTTCAGTGGCGTGAACTCAGCTCACTGCAACCTCCACCTCCTAGGCTCAAGCGATCCTCCCACCTCAGCCTCCTGAGTAGTTGGGACTACAGGCACATGCTACCATGTGCAGCTAGTTTTTTGTATTCTTGGTGGAGATCGGGTTTTGCCATGCTGCCCAGGCTGGTTTTGAACTCCTGACCTCAAGTGATCCTCCTGCCTTGGCCTCCCAGAGTGCAGGGATTACAGCAGTGGCCACCACACCCAGCCCTGCATCTTCTTTTTATAGACTCAAAAATATGGTAAAAAAATACAAAATGGCTGAGATGTGTATCTAAAACAGAAGACTTCTCGCCAACCACCAATTACACTACTAACTTGGATTATCTGTGCCTCTCTGGTAGTCAGATAGCAGGAAAATGCTGGAAAACTCTACAACCTAATTTTAGCCATCAGATTTCTGCTCCATCTTGCAAGTCCCTCTGTGCTTCAGAAACTGACTGTAATTTAATCGTAACATTGGCTTAAACAAGTTTTAAGATTCTAAGTATACCACTAAAAAACAATTATTCTGTATATTTCAGAGCCAACATTGTCTATGGGATGGCTTGCCATTTTTGTATTGTGTGTGGCTCTGCCCCCTTCAAGTCTCCTTAAAATAGCAGCCAGCCCCGAGAGAAAAAAGCTTCCTTAAACCTGCTGAGGTCTCTCACTGCCTCCAGCTACTGCCTCCTTCCTCCTCTGCAGTCTCCAAGCTTGGTTTGCACCTGCTGGCTCATCACTACCAAGATTTGTAATGGCTCCAACCAGAGCATTCGAATTTTGAACATGTGGATCAATAGACCTTATAAAATTATTTCAAATGTCTAATTTGGTAAATATATTTTCAATTTGATGAGGGAACTGAAAGCAAAAATACTTGGTAGACTGTGAGCATTTTGAGAGCAGAAATTATGTCTTGTATACTTCATATCCCTCACCATGCCCTGAACTTACAAATTTTCCAATAAATAAGTGCTACATAATTGGTCAGTTACAAAGTTAAATTGTTTTGTCTAGACAGAGAGGATTGATTTGGGCTACGTGAGTCAAACTGACAAAGTTAAAGTTCAGATTCAATGTACAAGTGGTAATAATAGTACCTGACACTGAAGCTCAGGACATAATATACAACTGGTTTTTAAAAGGTCAGAGGGAAGCAACTGAAACGTTGCAGTAAGAGGATCTTGAAATTATATGAGTGCAAAGTTGGGAGTGTGTATTTTGTACAATGGGCTTCTGGCTGTTAGTCAGATTTGAAAAGGGGTTTTCAGGCTGGGTGCAGTGGCTTATACCTGTAATCCCAGAACTTTCAGAGGCTGAGACAGGAGAATCACTTGATCCCAGGAGTTTGAGACCAGCCTGGGAAACAAAACAAGACCCCATCTCCACAAAAAAAAAAAAAAAAAAAAATTAAATAAAAATTATCTGGGCATGGTGGTGTATGCCTGTAATCCTAGCTACTTGGGAGACTGAGGTGGGAGGATCACTTGAGCCCCAGAGGTTGAGGTTACAGTAAGCCATGATCGTGCCACTGCACTCCAGCCTAGGGGACAGAGCAAGACCCTGTCTCAAAAGAGAAAAAAAAAGGGGGGAGGGGGTTGCTAGTTAATAAGATATAGTAGGCCAAGTTCCTAGAAAAATGAAGCCTGAGGCCAAAGTTTATGTACTGAAGCTTTGTTGCATCCCAGGGATGCAAAAGTGAGGGAAAGAAGGAGTGAGCCAGGGAAAAAGGAAAAAAAGGAAGGTGAGATATCAAGCTGGGCTCCATTTACATGCAAGCACAACCTCTTGCTCAATTGTGCAGGTGGTCTTCAGAGCGGCCATAGGAATTACTGCATTTCAGCCCATCCAGTAGGGCAAGGGTGACTGGTGGGGTGGAGGACAGGGGAAGACAAGAAGGAATATCCACTAATTCCCATACCTTAATAGTGAAAATTTTGTTTCAAAGGGTATTAACCCCTTGTGATGGTTAATTTTATGTGTCAAATTAAAGGGTGCTTTTGGATGAGACTAATATTTGAATCAGTGACCCTCTGCCAGCCTTTACACTGTAACTGCACCATTGGCTCTCTTGGGTCTCAGCCTGGTCCACATTGCAGATTTTAGACTTGCCAGCCTCCATAATCACATAAGCCAATTCCCGAAAATAAACCAGACTGTACAGGTAAGAGGATCTCAGGTGATGCCTTGGGAGTGGATAATACAGACGGAAATGCCAAGACCAGGTCCTGACCTTAGAAAGGTATGTTTATTTATATATACCTTTTATTTTATAGAATAGTCTTATGAATAAAATGAAGAAATGTGTGCTTATTTTATAGTGAGATGAATTTTCAAATAACGAGACAACATATACTCAAAGAGCATTTGTGGTTTAATGCCACTATCTTGATGTATGACTTTGGGAAAGCGATTTGGCCTGGCTAGTTCTTAGTTTATTGATTTTTTAAAAGAGAGCATTGGATTGGCAATGTGCAAGTTTTCTCCCAGCTCTGGAATTACTATTTTTCTCTATGATTTGGACAAAGATACAGAAATTTAAAGAATATACAATCTGACACATCAAATGTCAGGTTCAAACTTTTAAAATATTTTCATTAATAGAAATAATGGACCAAAATCACTCTGATGAAATTTAGCATCACTAAGTAATGGACCAAAATCACTTTGATCAAGTTTCATCACTCTGATGATATTTAGCATCACTAAATGTCAGGTACTACATTTGTGTCCAAGCAATCCATTCCATAAGTACTGATTTTGGGAGACGTTTGGCTTGAGAGTCGTTCATATTACACAACGACAAAAACAACAACCAACTCTGGGGAATTCTGTTGATCTTAAAGTCAAAAGAATGAATCAACTCCTAAATAATCATGTCCTTTTTGGGGTTCCTTCACTGAGAGGGAGGCTGTAGAAGTCAGACCAGGTGGCCTCTGATGATCTACCTGTAGACTCCAAGTTTCATCCATTCTTATCCCTTCTCTCCAACCTTTGCCTGGGCACAGTCAGACAGGGAACAGGACATGATCACCACAAGGTCATAGTGACACAAGGTCACTCAGAGAGCCTCCTGGCTTTTACTTCTCCTCACCCTTACAGGACGATTGTTCTGGACTGTGGCTCCAATGCCTAGTGTATAAAATTACCCAAACACAAAGCTCGTAGGCAGAAGGCAGCTTCAGGATCCTCACTCAGCTCTTCAAGAGTTATAGGCATTAAAAGGTAGCCTCTGGAGTGTGCCGCCACTCTGCTGACTGGAACCAAATCTATCTTAAAGTTAGAAATATTATCCAGTTGGGGACAGACTGTGATTTAATGCCATCCAAGTACTACAGGGTGCACTTCTTAGAGAAACCATTGTAAATTATTTGTGGCTAATTCTGCTGGTGGATGGAGGGCATGGGATATTCTCAAGTACAAGAGCCCAGCTTGTATCTAATAATTGTTATATCTTCTCTGAAATTTACTGCCGATGTCTCAATTTTAACAATTTAAATAACAAGCTTAACCAAGTGGAACGAGGCTCAGGCAGGCTGGCGCTCTTGATGAAAGCAGGACAACTCTTATGTCTGAGCACATTTTTACTTTGACATGAGCAGTGACACACAGAGATGAAATCTGGTTAAAGCGGCAGCCTTCTCAACCCCATGACAGCTTCTTAGGCTAAGCAAAACAATTTCAAGAGAGTGCACACATATACTTGTTAACTTTACTTAAGAAGACTGATTAGAGGCCACACTTATGAATATGATAATAAGAAGTGGGTGCTAGGAAGGTAAACCAAGGCAGCTGGGTAAATGGCACTGCTGTTGTCTTCACTTTTAATGGGCTGCTCAGTGGTCTGAATCTTTGGATCCATCAGTTTGTTCAGAAACTAGGTGGACCTCCTCCATGCTCCGAGGATCCACGATGATAGCACATTTTTATTTTACTTGCTGTTGCACTGATGTTGATACGGTGAGTGGTCAAATATGATTTCCTGTAGATTATACTTATTACCCTTTTGATTCTCTTTACTCCAGGTCTTGACAAATTCTCCAGTTTCAAAACATGTTTCATGCCCAAAGTTGTGTAACATGCAAGGTGAAATCTGTGCCCTTGTGGCCATAACACAGGGCTATGTTGGGAAATTGCAACATGATGGTAGCATTGCTCCCACACTGAAAGGTCTTATAGAAGAGTAAAGAGACTAGCCTTTAAGGTGAAAGACCTTGGAAAACTCACTTTGCTTCTGTGGATCACTGTTTCCTCTGTAGTAAAGCAAAGAACTGGATGTACACTCTCAAGTACATTCTAGATCCCCTGTCCTATGATCCTACGCTCTTAATCTAAGGGCACTTTAGACTAACGCAAATTCACTTGCATTATTTTAAATTAAATATCAAAACTTTTTTTTTTTCTTGAGAGAGTCTCACTCTGTCACCCAGGCTGGAATGCAATGGCGTGATCTCCCCTCATTGCAAGCTCCATCTCCTGGGTTCATGCCATTCTCCTGCCCCAGCCTCCCGAGTAGCTGGGACTACAAGCGTGTGCCACCACCACGCCCGGCTAATTTTTTTATTTTTTATTTTTAGTAGAGTCGGGGTTTCACCGTGTTAGCCAGGATGGTCTCGATCTCCTGACCTCGTGATCCACCCGCCTCGGCCTCCCAAAGTGCTGGGATTACAGGCGTGAACCACTGCCCCCGACCAATATCAAAACTTAATATGGTGCAATGCTTTATCTGCTTGGCAGTTTCTTAAGAAGTTAAACATAGACCTTGCCATATGACCCAGCCATTGCACTTGTAGGTATTTACCCAAGAGAAATGAAAGCTGAAGTCTACACAAACTCTTGGACACAAACGTTCATAGCAGCTTTATTTCCAATCCTCTAAATCCAGAAATAACCCAAATAGCCATCAACAAGTGAGTGGATTAATAAATTGTGCTCTATTCATACAATTGTTGATAAACTCAACAACGTAGATGAATTTCAGAATAAGTATACTGGATGAAAGAAACCAGACAAACAATAGCACATACTGTGTAATTCCATCTATATAAAATTCCAGAAAATGCAAAGTCATCTATAGTGGCAGAAAGCAGATCTGTGATTGCTTCAGGACACAGTGGGTGGGCCAGGAGGAAGGAGGGATTACAGAGGGACACAAGGGTGATGGGTATGTTCACTATCTTGATTGTGATGATGATTCCATGGATGCAAATATATGTTAAAACATATCACAGTGTACACTTTAACTATGTGCGATTTATTGTAGGCCAATTACATCTCAATAAAGCCTTTAAAAAAAAAAGTCTAAATATTATGCATATACCTTAATTCCAACTCTAAGATTTTATCACAAATAATCAGAGATGTATACTAAGGTCTAAAGTATAAGATCATTGATTGCAACACTACTTGTAACTTTTTTATAAACTGGAAACAGACTAAATTGAAGAAGAGAACTGGTTAGGTAAAGTATAGCACATCTTCATGTTGGGTTAATGCAACCATTAGAAGTCATGCTGTAGACAAAATAGTTATTGTCATGAAAAAAGTGTTTGTGATTTATTTCTGTGTGAAAAAAGCAAGGTACAAAACAACATGTGGTAGAATAGTGCAATTCTTTAAAGTCTATGTTGGAGGTTGATAATTAATCACACTTCTTTCTTCATCTCAGAATTAGAAACCAGTTGAGACAGACTAAGGAGTTGGTCAGATGGAGAGCAACATGCCAGCTTTGTTACTAAGAGATCTGACTGGAAAATCGTAATTTGGGGCTAAGGCAAAGAAACATCTTGTTTCTAGGGGGTGCTGGAACAGAGCTGGGCTGTTCAAATCAGTCCCTCCCTATCTCAGGATGTTCCATTCCCAGCACATTCAGCAGTTATGCTTGAGAACTGTAAGCAAGAAAGGGAGGAGAGGACAGGCGCGGTGGCTCATACCTGTAATCCCAGCACTTTGGGAGGCCGAGGCAGGCAGATCACCTGATGTCAGGAGTTCGAGACCAGCCTGGCCAACATGGTGAAACCCCATCTCTACTAAAAATACAAAAATTAGCTGGGTGTGGTGGCACACGTCTGTAATCCCAGCTACTTGGGAGGCCTAGGCAGGAGAAGCACTTGAACCGAAAGACAGAGATTGCAGTGAGCCGAGATCACACCACTGCACTCCAGCCTGGGTGACAGAGCAAGACTCCGTCTAAAATTAAAAAAAAAAAAAAAAAAAGGGAGAAGAACTGACTCAGTCCAAGGACACCTGGAGAACTGTCCTGCAGTCTGCCTGATAGTCCTGAAACACAGGGAGAAGAAAAGAATGATGCCCCTTGCAATCTACATGTCTCTGTAAAGATAAAGAGAAATAGACTGCAAGGGCGTGTGCCGTGCCGCCACTGATGGCCGCCCTGCCTGGCTGGGTACTGGGACTGGCAGCCCCAGTCAGAGAGAGAGAAAGAAAGGGTTGTGGGTGATTATTTTTTCTTTTTCTTTGGCTTTGAATTATTTTTAGATTTTCAAAGTTTTCTGAATATATGACTTAGAGTAGGAAAAGATTCTTTTTTAAAACAGATGAAGTAAAGTAAAAGGAGAAAGAATGTCTGAGCTTTCCAGTGCTGCTGTGGTGGGGGGTATTTGGCTTGAGGCTTCCCCTCCCCACCTCATTATTTCATATACTTTGTGAAATAATGTCATATACTTTGTGTCATATACTTTGGGAAGTGTCATATACTTTGTGAAGATGCCATCTGGGGACATGTTGCCCATCATCTGTTACAGTGCTACACTGAAAATGTCGGAAGCACTCGGTAAACAGAATTACATTTTGCTTTTACCTTTTCCTTAGCTGACGAAGAGAGTGGCGTGAAATGATTTTTCTAGAATAGCCTCCACTTAGCATTCTCATGGGATTGACATTCAGGCATACCCTGGATCCATCTTCTCAAACTCATCAAACCAAAGCCTCATTGGCCTTGGTCTATTACAAAACTAAAGTTACAAAAAATTATAGACATTTGACCATCTAAAGCTTTTAACACCAAAAAATAAAATGCAATATAACAGAGCTATTTAGAATATAATTACATAATTTTTAAGGTATTAATTTATAAAGACCTATCAGTAGCTTTGTTCTATAATAGGAAACAAAGTTATGTGCAAACTATCTCCCTTCCATCCTATTATCTTGTAACCTCACTTTGAAGATAACACCAAACGTCTAAATTTGAGGCCCTCTTTGAATGGAAGGCTGGCTCCCATATCCCTTCACACTTTACTGCACCCCCAGTGTTATCTCAGATTCAAACTCCGGCTCTCCTCCAGACTCCATCCCTATGACAAGCCCAGCACTTGGAGTGGCAAGGATCCCAAAGGAAACTTGGGAGACGTCGCTAAAAATCCAGCCAAGAAACACGGGGAAACTCTCCTGCAAGGTCCCCCGACACAGTCATCACCAATCCAGAATTTCTGAAGTCAGAAAAACAGAAGCTTTTTCGTGTTACTGCCTTTCCCATTTGTGATTGTAGTAAATGCCACAGAGACCATCTGAAACTATCCAAGGGCTAAAAACAGTCTTCATAAGTACTACTTTTAGAAATTCTGGCCGGCCCACCCCACAGAGGATCTCACTGATTCTGGGCACAAAAATGTCTTCCCCAGACAGAGACTTGTCTGAGTGAAGGGGTTCAAGCCCACCATCATTTGGCTTGGAGGTCCTGATGTTTGTGTGCTACCTGGGTCCCTGCCACCTAAGTCTGTGACTGCCTTCTCTTTGAGCCATATGCTTCCAGATGCCTAGCCCCAGCCTCTGTCCCCCAGGGAGAAGGGCAAAAAAAATCTTAAAAATCACATACGCTGAATCCTGCCCAGCAACCACAGGGCAACCAAGAGCACTGAAAGACCAGAGCTGAGAGCCTTGGAGCCAGAGTCAGTCTCAGGTCCTGGAGAGTGCTGGGAATGACACCTCAGATTATCCAAGATATTTTACATCCATCTACTTCAGAGATAGATTTTATAACTGTGATCCAGTAGACATGTACCTACAAGTGGACAGAAAAACATATCACTGAAACCAGCTCATTGAACTCAGTCTGCTACAGAATAGCTATTCAATAACTAGCTGTTCCATGAACAAAACAAAACAAAACTCCTTAGCAAAACAATACTTCCCTTCACCATGCACTCTGATATTTTCCCTTCTTTTCCCTTTCTTTCTTTCTTTCCTTCCTTCCTCTTTCTTTCTTCCTTTTTCCTTCCTTCCTTCCTTTCTTTCCTTCTCTTTCTTTCTTTCTTTTTCTCTCTCTCTCTCTCTCTCTCTCTCTCTCTCTCTCTCTCTCCCTCTCTCTCTCTCTC
The DNA here is from genome assembly GCF_000001405.40 of Homo sapiens. NCBI lineage: Eukaryota > Metazoa > Chordata > Mammalia > Primates > Hominidae > Homo > Homo sapiens. Next base: position 26,469,919 of record NC_000007.14, on the reverse strand, counting down.
TCTCTCTCTCTCTCTCTCTCTTCTGGTCTCCCTGTGTTGCCGAGGCTGGAGTGCAGTGGTGCTATCATGGTGCACTGCAGCCTCGACCTCCCAGGCTCCAGCAATCCTCCCACCTCAACCTCCTGAGTAGCTGGAATGACAGGCAAGTGCCACTATGCCCGGCTAATTTTTTAATTTTTTTATAGAGACACAGTCTCCTGTATTGCCCAGGCGGGTCTCAAACTCCTGGGCTAAAGGGCCCACCTGCTTCAACCTCCCAAAGTGCTGGGATTACAGGCGGAAGCCACTATGCTCAGCTTCTTTTTCATTTCTTAAAAAAAAAAAAGAAGTCTTGAGTTGCAACCCACTAAAGTGGTGTCAGTACCACTAACATGTAGCAAACTTCAGCTTGAAAAGCCCTGGAACCAGGAACCCAGAAACACCCCATTCTGAAAGGAGTTATATGCACAGCCTATCCCTCATTGCAAATGACTGAAACTTGTTGAGTAGGAAGCAGGGATTTGGGGACACTGGGGGCAAGCAGGCTAGCCCTGGGCAATAACTGGGTCAGGCAGAGGAGGACTGTGGAGTGGAGTGAGGCCACCACAGAGCAGAGGGGAGCAGTGTCATCAGCCAAAGACAAGGGCACTGCTCTCGAGATGCAGAGCCACATCTGTGTCTGGGCTCCAGTCCACACACTGGCCCACTGGCCCCCCACATGAACCCATTCTTCAAACTAGGAAGATTCTGCAAATGGAGTTGGAAGTCAGGCTGGCAATTGCTTTGCTCCTCTATCAGTCAAAGGATTGGGAAGGGGGAAGACAAGGGTTGTTTAAGCAGCTGTGAAAATCATGGAGAAATTTGGTAAACGAAAAATCCACTCAGGCCCACAAGGACCACAGAAGTGAGGAATTAAACAACTTTGTAAATAAAGGGATCATTACTCTCGTGCATTAATACACACTTAAGACCTACTGGAAACTTCCCATTTCAAGATAGATGAAGAGCATTATCAGCTCATTTCCCAAGCTGAATGGTCTGTTTTCACAGCCCAGCACTGGGGGGACTGAGTCTGGGTCAGCGGGGCTGGCTCACGTGGCATGCTGGTGGGCTTACGCTGGGGACCACAAGGCGACAGTCCCCGTATCTCTGCTATCATGAAGACTGGAGTCACAGCCCAGTTTTTCACTGAGGGGGGTGCTTCATCAGTGCACACCTGATGAAGTTGGAAGGAAAGTTCTATGCCAGGGCATTTGCCTCCTCCAAGTTTCATCATCATTCACCAAATAAGCATAATTGCTCCGTGTTTAAGAGGTGCTGGGAACAGAGGCACTGCTGGTAATTGCCTAATGGGCCAGTGAAATGAGGTGTGAGGCACATCGGTGTGAAAAAAGCAATAGCCACAAGTTTATTAACATTGAAAATTAAAATAAGCTCGGCCCCAGCCAGGCAGTCCTTGCTGAAATGAATCCCATTATCCCTCTAATAACTGTGCGGGGCTCAATTTGATGGCACCTAGGGGGTAGAGAGACCTCAATACGGGTCACCTCTCTGCCAGCTTCGGGAAGCTGAAGATTCTCTGGTTCACCGATAACTACCACAGAGGAAATACAAACACCCCCGGCCTCCCTTGCAGCCCCTCCGATTCCGCTTAAATCCATCCAGTGTTTAAAGAGCTGCAAAAGGGGAAGGCTAGAGAGAATTATATGTTGCTCTGACCTGGGTGCCTTTTTTTAACAGCTGCTGAATGGAATTTGCAAAGGTGCAGTTGTGCAGTTCTGGCCTTGAACATTACCAGGTCCATGAGAAGGAAGCCCTGCCCGGGCCTCAGCAGCCAGCCTTGCCTTCTTTTTCTCACCTTGGTCAATTTGTCAAATATTTGTAGATGCCCAGTGCTAGGAGGAGAGCTGCCCTTGACCTCACGCTCATCCAATCTATGGAGGAAACGAGGCTGTCTCGGTAAAATAATCAGAAAATAATCCACTGTTCAGTGTGTGCTACACCTAAAGCATAATGAAAAGGCAGAGACAGGAGAGCAGGGCAGTCAGGGGAAGATGGAGCTTAGATAAAGGAAAAACAAAGGAAACTGAGTGAAGAAACTACAGACTTCAGAGGCGCTGGAGGACCCAGAGGAGACCGCCCAGGGCTGAGCTGGGAGCTGGTGGGCAGGAAGCAGGGGTGGGTAGAGAGAAGAGCAATGGGAACACCAGCTGCTTGGGTTTGGGTTTCATCATGGATTTAAAACGAATCAGTGGAAGTTTCAGAAAAGAGGAATCATGTCACTAAAGAATTTAAATCATTTTACAGTGAATTCACTTTACATTTCAAAATATGTTTGAAGTTTACATTTTAATTCACTTTAAACTTTGTAACTTTCCTTCATTTTACATAGACTGTCTCTTCCTTCACATGGGCACTCGCTACTTCCCAGAAACCCAACTGTCTTTCCCTGGCCCATTCACTTCCTTAGTTGTGGGATGACTATTTGTACCTTTTCCTCTCTTCTCAACCTTCCAGCACCTCTGCTTCTGTTCTGCTCTCCGCTGCTGGCCTGGACTCCAGTGCACACTCCTGGCGCTTCTGCCCCTGCCTACCTGTGCCTGTCCGCCCTGCCTCCCGCCGACTCTGCCAGCAGATCTCCCACTGCTATCCAGGCCGAGCCCCTCCTGTGCACCAGGGCTTCCCCCTCACCGCCCCCAGGATGCTGTTTCAGAACTTCTTCCCCTACCCCCTGACCTGTGAAGCATACATTCTTCATTGTTTGCTCCTCTGTCATATCAATCCCATCAGCATACAAACCTGCAGCAATTTCTCTCGTCTTAAAAAAAAAAAAAAGTCTTTGCTTAATTGCATTTTTCAACTCCTGCCCCATTTCCCTCTCCTCTTTGCAGCACCCTTCTTCAATGGTGTCTACACTGGAAGACCCCATTGCCCCTTCTCCCATCCTCTCTTGAACCTGCTCCATTCAGGATTAGCCCCATCCCTCCCCAAAACCGCTCTAGTTGAGGCCACCAATGGCTGCTGTGTTGTAAATGCAGTGGCCAAGCTTCCATCCTCATATGGATTGAACTCTCAGTCTTTTCTTCACTGGGTTCCCTGGACTTTGCTCCTTCTCTATCTCCAACTGTTTCCTTCTCATTTTTTCAGCCTCTAAAAATTACAGTGCCCAGGGCTGAGTTCTCGGTCCTCTTTTCCCTCCAAATTATATCCCCAGTTGATCTCACCCAGTCTCATGGCTATAAACACCATCTATTTGCTAACAAGTCCCAAATTTATATCTCCAGCCTAGACCACTGCCCCAGATTCCAGAGAGATCACTACTTGGATGTCAATAGGCATCCCAAACTTAGTAGTTCCAAACCTGACCTCCTGATTCCAGCCCCACTTCCCATCCCAACATAAATACCCATGCACCCAGGCCTGCACCTGCAGCAGCCCTCTCAACCAATGTCAGCTCCTCCTACCCTTTGCTCAGAAATGCAAGCTTACTCCTTCTTGGCCCCTGGCATACTCCATATTGCAATCCACCAGCAAACCCAACTGACTCTATTTTCAAATTATCCAGACTCTGACTACTCCTCACCACCTCCACTGCCATCTCCCTGCTCCAAACGACCATCCCTCGCCAGGCTGGCTGCAACAGCCTCCTAACTGGCCTCTATGCCTCCACCCTTGTCCCAGTACAGGCTATTCTTAACACAGCAGCAGAGCAACTCTTTTAAAATAAAAGTCAGATCATGTCGTTGCTCCACTCAAATGCTGTACTTCTTATGATTTCCCTGACAACCTCAGCATAAAAGCCATCATTCTCACAAGGCCTAAAGCCCTATGGTCTCCGGCCCCAGCTACCGCTCTGACCCATTTCCTCCTGTCTTCTCCCTCTTTCCTTTTGCTCAGACACACTGGCCCCTTGCTGTGCCTCAAACACACCACGCACACCCTGCCTTGTGATCTTTGCACTTACTGTTCCTTCTGCTGAAATACAATTTCCCAATAGTTACATGCCTTGCTCCTTCTGTTCCTTTAGATCCTGCTTGGTGTCGCCATATTAGTGAAGCCTTCCCTGACAACCCTATACAAAACACATCTGCATCAGCCCTCAAGCTCGCTTATTGTACTTTACTTTTCTCCATTCAGCTTATTGCTGTCTGTTAAACCAGGTTTTACTTGTTGATTTGTTCACTGTCTCCCCACTAGAATATAAGCCCATTTGGGGGAGGGACTTTGTTTAGTTTGTTCCTGTGTCAGTGCCTAATAGGTAGTAGGAACTCAACAAATGCTTATTGAGTGAATAATATTTATTTGAACCCACTTTTTAAAGCACCTGCATGAACAAGAAAAACAAAATGTATATCTGCTCTAGCCATTCATTGCCAGGTGGCTCAACATTAAAGGCCTTGATAATGCCCATGGTTAACAACAAAACAACTTTGAACACATGGTGTTGCTGGCATTCGCCTTTCATCCATCCCCCTGCCTTCAGAATGACCAAGATGAGTTTATTTCTGCCCTCTATTCCCTTGCCTAGGAAAAGAATTTTCTCATGCCAGCCACTGCCTGGTTGCCTCTTTCCAGAACAAAAGTAATTGACGAAAGCCCACAGTTAACTTCCATCAACCTGAGAAAGCAGCAGCTCGGATGTCAAGTCTCAGCTCTTCCATTTGGTTACTGTGTGATCTTGGCCAAGTTTTTAAATCTCTCGAATCTCAGTTTTCTTAGGAATAGAATGGAAAAGTAAAATTGTCTTCTACAGTTATTGTGAGGGTTAAATGAAATGAAGAATGGATGGTGCTTGGAACGTAGTACTTGCTCACTAAATGTGGGTTTCCTTTCTTTTCCCACAAGAAGGTGACCCTAGAATCACTCTGAAATCACAACATTTTTTTTTAGACAGAGTCTCACTCTGTCACCCAGGCTGGAGTGCAGTGGCGCGATCTCGGCTCACTGCAAACTCTGCCTCCTGGGCTCAAGCGATTCTCCTGCCTTAGCCTATACAGTAGCTGGGATTACAGGTGCCCACCACCTTGCCCAACTAATTTTTATATTTTTTATAGAGATGGGATTTCACCATATTGGCCAGGCTGGTCTCAAACTCCTGACCTCAAGTGATCCACCCACCTCGGCCTCCCAAAGTACTGGGATTACCGGTGTGAGCCACCGCGCCCGGCCTAAAATCACAACTTTCAAGGTGACACTTGACCATGGCCCCCAGAGATGCCTGGTCAGGGCTTAGTAGTAATGGAGACCAGCATAGGCTGTCTGGACCTGTGTAAGCCGTCCCCCATCCTCCCCTCCTCCTCCTTCACACAAGCCCACAGAGGGACAGGGTGCCCTTGGTACCCCTCTTGCATTTACGGCAGTCCTTCTCCGTCCTGCAAGGGTGGTGAACTGAATTCAGAAAAATGACAGGTCGTTACAAATATATTGCATGTTGTAAAATGAAAGAAAATGTCCTTGTTGGAAAGCCAAATGACTTACTTTGGGAGCAACTTTAAATGATAGGCATAGGATAGCACAAACGCAGAATGCACGTGTCACACTTTGGTATAATACTTCAAATAGGCATGTGGCACTCTATTGATTGATACACATGGGCTCTGGCATTCACCCTTTAACTGGATGCTCTCTGACAGTAACTCTCTATGACTCTGCTCTCTATTGATTTGGATTCATCTCTAAAAGTTCAGATTTGGAGGATACTCAGGCCAGGTCTGTACTGAGAACAATGCCTTGGAGAGTTGGTTGCTATCCAATGAATTCCAGTAATTATGCAATGAATTACAAATTGTCTATACCAGTGTTTCCTGGAATGTTTAATTCAGCAAAATACCTGTGAACATTCCACGATACCTTTCTGGAAGGAGGTCAGGGAAGAGGGTAGAGTGTCCAGTGGGAGGGGGTCTTTGTCCAGTTACCACTATCCTAGTCCTTGTCCATCTCTATCTCCTCACCCCAATACATTCTTATAAACACATAAAATTTACATGACTTTTGGTTTCTGTCTGCCATCACCCACTTCTGCTTCTAAGGTTAAAAACTACTAAAAAGACTTTTAAGGAAGCCCTAACTGGCTATGTGACCTTGGGTAAGTCACAAGCTCCACTAGATAGTTCAAGTTCTCTGCGCATTTATTATCACTGCATTTATTATCTTTAATTTTTGTGAGTACATAGTAGGTGTATATATTTATGGGGTATATGAGATGCGTTGACACAGGCACAAAATGTGTAATAATCACATCATAGAAAATGGGTCTCCCCCAGCCATCCCATTACTGTGTATATACCCAAAGGATTATAAATCATGCTGCTATAAAGACACATGCACACGTATGTTTATTGCAGCACTATTCACAATAGCAAAGACTTGGAACCAACCCAAATGTCCAACAATGATAGACTGGATTAAGAAAATATGGCACATATACACCATGTAATACTATGCAGCCATAAAAAATGATAAGTTCATGTCCTTTGTAGGGACATGGATGAAGCTGGAAACCATCATTCTCAGCAAACTATCGCAAGGACAAAAAACCAAACACCACATGTTCTCACTCATAGGTGGGAACTGAACAATGAGACATTGTTCAGTGGACACAGGAAGGGGAACATCACACACCGGGGACTGTTGTGGGGTGGGGGGAGGGGGGAGGGATAGCATTAGGAGATATACCTAATGCTAAATGACGAGTTAATGGGTGCAGCACACCAACATGGCACATGTATACATTTGTAACAAACCTGCACATTGTGCATATGTACCCTAAAACTTAAAGTATAATAATAATAAAATTAAAAATAAAAAGAAAATGGGGTCTCCATCCTGTCAAGCATTTATCCTTTGTGTTACTGGTTACTGCTTTTAAATCAGGATGCTGATTCAGGTCACGGACCTCTTCAAGAGTTCAGAAATGCCAGGCTCTACCTCTGGAGCTCAACTTAGTCTGTGTAGGTACCTCTGCCTCTCAAACCATCACAAGGGTGAGAAAGATACATAGCGGATGGAATTATCCCAAAGGTATATTGGATGTGGTTGTTCCCAGGCTCTTCCAAACCTATTGTCAATAAGCCCACGATCTGGCAGAGTTGAGCACAACAGGAACTCTGCATCCTTTGTTGGAGAAGTAGTTTTCCTTATGTTCATTTTAAACTACAAATTTAACAAAGTAAGTGACCGTGAGAAGCTGTGTAGTTTTGATGATGAAAGAGTCTGGGAATGAAGAAGAAATCTCCAGATACTTCAGAAGACAAAACATCTCTCCCAGTTTCCATAAAATGAAATAATGTCCTTGTTGGAAAGCCAAATGACTTACTTTGGGAGCAACTTTAAATGATGGGTATAGGATATAGCGAATACAGAATGCACATGTCACACTTCAGTATAATATTTTAAATAGGCATGAGGTACTTTCCTTTGTACCATGAAAATGAAAGATATTCACTGCATTTTCTTCCAAGTTAGATTATGACACATGTTTATTGGGCGCCTGTTATGGACCAGCCCTGTGCTAGGACCTGGGGTGCAGCGGTTAATAAGGTACACATTGCTGCTGCCCTGAGAGTTGGCTTGGTGGTGAAGAGAGCCCTTGGCTGGTGGTTAGAAAGCCAGCTTTTGGATCTAGGCTCCCCCCTTGACCTCTTTACATCTCAATTTTCCTTCAGCAAAATGAAGGCAATAGCCCTGTCTACCCACCTACCAATCTACTTCACAGGACCAGATAAATATGTTACAGGCCTCACAAACCATAGCACACTATGAGAAGATCAAGTATTACTACTGCAGAGATTTAAAATTCTTTCTCTCATACTCAAAAGAATGGAAAGCAGGGACTTGAACAGGTATTTGTATACCCATATCACAGCAGCATTATTCACAACAACGAAAAGGTGGAAATAATCTAAGTGTCTATCAGCAAATAGATGAACAAAATGTGGTTTATACATTCAACAAAGTATTATTCAACCTTAAAACAGAGGGAAACTCTGACACATGCCATGACATGATGAACCATAAGACATTATGCGACATGAAATACACCCCACACGAACGGACAAACATTGTATGGTTTCACTTATATAAAGTACCTAGAATAGTCAAGTTCATAGAGGAAGTAGAATGGTGGCAACCAGAAGCTGTGGGGAGGGGACAACAAGGAGTTGTTGAATGGTGCAGGGTTTCCATTTGGGAGAATGTTCTGGAGAAGGAGGAAGTTCTGGAGATGGCTGGTGGTGACGGTTGCACAATAATGTGAATGTGCTTAATGCCGCTCAACTGGTCACTTAAAACTAGTTAAAATGGTAAGAAAAAACCGCTTTCAGGATAGCAACTGTGTCAAGGTATACGCTGAGGTGAAGCAGCAGCAGCTTTTCTGTGGGAAGCCTCCTTAGCAGGCACCAGCTTGCTGTGTTCCCACTGTCCAGGGCTGGCATTCAGCTCTAAGTCAAAGGCTCGGCACCCTGCACTTGTCAGCAGGGTGACAACTGGTAAGAATTGGCCCAGCTTTTCATGGGTACACCTCAGAAGCACAGCATGTATGTATAAGATCAAAACACAGCATTGACATTTTTAATAAGAAATCACTATCAGAGATGGTCTACAACAGTGTCAGCATCCTGTCTACTTTCTGTTGGCAAATGTTCAGCAGCAACAAGGCAACCTGAAGACAAGGTTTGGTGAACATTGAATTGAGACAGGAAAACTAAGTGTTTAAGTGGCACCATGATAGGATGGGATGTTCTTCCCAAAGGGGACCTGAATCCTTGAAATCTGTTGATTACAGACTTGTGATATCTATGATTTCTGACACCGTATTGGAGATGCATCTTTCAAGAGGCCTAGAAATTACCCGTCGATTGACTTCAGCTCCTTCTCTTTTGGACAAGGTTTGGGCAGTCCCTGCTAACATTTGCCTTTGAGTCCCTTTTTTTGTCCTGCTTCCATGCTGAGTAAACCCTCTCCTTTCTGATCAAAGCATTATTTCTTTAGATTTGCTAATAAAATTGCTCAAACAAGTTGCAATTGAGGGTGTGGGCTTGGAAAATTTTCAGCTCCTTCGGATGACTTCCAGCAGCTGCACTGTGATCCATTTTGTGCTAAAGGTTTAAATCTCAGAGAAACAACAGCCCCTCTTTATGGAGTTCTTAGGGACACCTTCTGGAGCCCCCAAGTACTTACAACAACCATGATTACCCATCTTTTTCAGTTTTCTCCACATATGCGTAACTAGGGAGAAGCTAGAATATCTCTTTTCTGTGCAGTTAGGCTGGGAACAGAAACCAGAGATGTCTCTAACAGTGACTGATGCAAAGATGATGATCTCACTAGAGAAGCAGGGCCTTCCCTCTCTTGCTTCTCCTTGGCTTCGTATGCCAGTAATTGCCCAGTGTCCATGAAAAATTGCAGCTAAATCCCAGGCTGAGAGCTCAAAATGGACTTTGGACATTTCTCTTCCTGGCAGACTTCTGTGGAAAGAGTTGAAGGATTGCTGGCAGTGAGAATGTCTCCATGAAAAGTCACCTGGTGGAGGTCAGGGGCGAGGGCCCAGGGTGAATTTTACCTTAAACAGGACAGATCTGCAGATAAACAAAGGGAACCATGGTTTTGAGCCTGGTTAGTTTCTTAATCCTTTGTAAGCACATACATCATTCCCTGCAAATTCTTCCTCCAAACTGGAATTCACCGGAAGAAATCAACTTATAGAGGCAGCTGTTTCTTCTCTTGCATGTCTTCTGTTAAACAAAATAAACTGTACAACTAGCAAGATTGATGGTAATAATATTAAGTCCAAATAATCCAAATCGATTCCATCAAGACCTGGAAAGGTAAGCTGGGGATAACGTTACAGTAAAGGCATGGTTCTTGGGAGACGGTAAAAGTGTTACATTCTGTGCTACCTTTAACCTACAGAACATGTTCTTAGGAGTCAGGCCAACCTGCAATTAAACCCCAGCTTTGCTGTCAGGTCATTCTGAGTCAGGTTGGGCCATTTTCCAAATCATAAAGTAGGCTAAGGTTTGATGGAAGAATTCAATCAGAGAGCATGTATCAAGAGCCTGGGCGAGTGCTTGGCACAAAATGGGTGCCGAATAAGTGGTGGTTTCCAGCTCTCTTTCTTCCACTCTAAAACAAGCACAGCCTAGCCTGTGCATTTAACAAGTAGCTCCTGCCACAAACCCATGTCCTTAGATGATACAGCAAATCCATACCCTTGATGAATGGCTTTACAATGGGCTACCCTTGTGCTGTATATCCTAAATGGACAGAGAAGCATCTAAGAAATCTAAAAGAAGCAAACTACCTGTCTCCATAACTCCAGAGCAAATCACAGTACCAAGGGCTGATTTGATGGGAAATCCCCCATCCATCACCACAAGGAGCAAAGCTGTGCCTGGGTCAGCCCAATAAGTAGCCATCCAGGAAATCCAGGTGTGCAGGGGGTTGGGAGAGGAACCAAGAAGAAGAAGCTAGAGGTCATTGGCTTTTCCCTGACCTCCGGCTACATTTCAGGGCCACCTTTAGGATGCCCCAACCTCTCTTCACACCACAGAAAGAGGACTTTGAAGATGTAGGTGGTGTCCCAGCTCCAACAAGGCAGGTTGTTCAGGGACTAACCAAGAGAGGGAGGTTGGAAAGTACTGGGGGTGTCCCATTGCCTCCCTTGTCCTTTCTTGACAGCCCCAATACAATTATAGATCCCCTGAGACCAAATTGTTTCCTTTTTAAGCTGTCCTTACATTTGGAACTCCCATAAAGAAAGCAATAAAATGAGAGGTACCCTCACACTGCCATGTGCAGGTGTTCCAAGTCGCAGCGAGTCATTTGAATCCCCACTTAGGCCAGCAGATTCATTCCATCTGTGCTTACAATTCAGTTGAGATCAGAATTTTCTGATGCACAGCTTTCCTGAAATGTCTGTTTCTCCATTGTTTTTCACATTCCAAAGGAGAAAAATCATCATTTCCATCCACATTATTAGAAACAAAACTAGCCCCTTTTCTCCCCAGCCCATATTATTGCCTCATTACAAATATATTTTGTGCATCAACCTTAAAGGTTATGTTTCCCTCCTGCTTCCTCCTTTCATTATACAAGATTTCCAGTTATCCAGTATTTTGTTCTCATTAGAACACTGCTTGTCACATGTTTTCACCAGAGACATTCATCACCAAGGTCAAAGGGTGAATATCGTGATCTATTATGCTTAGAGGAATCTAATGAAAAGCCACATAATTATCCAATTTAAAGAGAAGCAAGTAAAAAAGAAGGGGAGCACTTGCTATAATTTAAATTGTTTTGTTTCCCTGAAGCAAAATTCAGCACCTGATTGACAGGACCTAATGATAATTCTTATTGATACGGTGATGTTAATTGTGGAGAGATATTTAATAAGTCCCATATTCTGGAGGTAAATGCGTGCTCTTAACCTGCACCTGAACCTGATTTTTGATGCAGCGTGGGGATGAGGTACAGATACAGATAAGTGAGCACAAGTGGATTTTCAGTCTTGTGTGGCAGAATGGAAATTGGAATCTTCAGAATCTATTAGGAGAACAATTCCACAGTTGCTCACACTTTTATAAATTATACTGTATATTACAGAAAGACACAAAGTCAGGGGAGTTGCAAGAAGAGGATATTGTCATGACTTTACAGAGAAGTTTTTAGGGTAGCATTTGGTGACGGTGGTGGTGGTGGTGTTTTCAACTAAAGACACACATCAAAGAACGTGATCTGTATTCATTTTTAAACAAAATGCACTAATGAAATCCACATCCTGAATCATCTCTCTGCCACCCCCAGGTAAAGCTGACCTTGCAGAAAATGAGGCCAACTCTGAAACATAGGTAGATTCTTGGAAGAAAATGACTTCTTACACCGTGAACAAAACCATTTGAGAAGGCCTTCATGGGTCTAAATTACAAAAGGAAGTGATCCGTGCGGGCTGAAAACATCAACTAGATCTGCATCCCATCATGAGATGGCTGGGAGGCAGGAAACAGCTGCTGGAGCTGTGGACAGGCCTGAGGTCATCTCTGACTTTCTGAGAGGCCATTTCAAAGCCACTATCTGGACAAGAAACGATGGGTGACCAGATCCAGCTCTGTGTGATTCAACTCTGTACACCAGTGAGCCATCCCTCACAGAGAAGCTGTGTGTTCCTGGTGTTTTTTATTACGTGCTAAATACCAGAACTTTAAAACTGCATCTGTGATTGTCATGAGACAATGCCATCATTTTGGAACTAATACTCACACCGCCATCTTTGTGCAAATAATACAAGGTTAAAAAAGAAATAAAGAAAGAAAGAAAAACAAAAGAAAAGAAAAGAAAAGAGAGCTGCTCTAAAGACAAATAGACTTGAAAAAAATGAGTCAACTTGGAAAAAAGAAGTAACCAAAGTGGCTTAAATCTGAGGGACGGCAAATTGTTCAAATTAATTTCTTTCAACTCCAAGTTAACTCAGTCTTCCATTTTTACTTATGAGAAAAGAATATTACATGGTGAGTATTCTAATATAACCTGCTTAATGTAATTATTCATGCCAAAGCATAATTAACTTCAAAATAATCAAGCCACAGATAGTTATAACCTGAGTCACAGTGGGTCACTGTTACTAGAAGAGAAAGCTCTCAATCTACAAATAGGAACATGAGAGTAAAAATGTAATCATTAAAGGGTGTCAAGGAAAACAAGAGTAATTTTTAATGAAGAAAATGTTTAAAATGTCCTAAACATTTCAAGATAAGATTCTTCTTGAGCTTAGTTAGCAGCTGGGGTCTGGCACATCGGGGGTGATCAGTAATGAGCAAAGACCAGACATTCTTTTTTGCTTCCTGAACTTGCTTCATTTTTTTTTTGCTTTTAATACACACACACATACATATATACATATCCTTGGAATAGTTCAGATATAAATTATATTGACTTTGAGCCATGTACTTACCTTCACTGAAAAAAAAAGTCAAGTTAATTGGAGACGACCAAATTGATCGCGGGTTATGATACCAATAGCAGCTGAAATTGCTGCTGTGATTTTCAACTGCCTAAGCCAAAGCATTACATCATGCACAGGAGATTATAATTTCTCTGAAGAACACTTCTGGTATCTCACCACCCGAAAAGTGATATGCCAGCAAATTGATGAGAGTTCAGAGAAAAGCAATAAAAATAATTAAGGATTGACTGATGGAAAAAGATGAAAAGAATTGAATGTGGGCTGCCTGACCCAAAAATGACCTGGGTGGTTATAGGAACATTACCCAGGTATCTGGAGGGTCAAGATTCCTGTCTGTCCACACAGCAAAACAATGCAATAATAAACAAAACAAAGCTGTTGGATAATTCACTCCATGATTTGCTCTGGAAGCTGGTGCTGCTCTGGGCCAAAAACCAGGGTCATGTCTACTCTGAGCAGTCACCAGCAGTCACTCTATGCTTCTGTGTGTCTCTTAGTGTGGGCTCAAGGCTGACATGGAGGCTGGGATGCCACTGATGTTCCCCTATTTCCACTCTGGTGCTGTCTAACCATACACTCATCCTATGCCAGACACCTGGGTCCTTGAAATGGCCTGCAACCCAAAAGAGAAAAGGTAAAGACTGGTTAACATCATGGTTGAGAGTCTGGGTTCAACTCTCAGCTCCAATACTTTCCAGCTGAGTGACCTTGGGAAAGTTACTCAACCTCTCTGAGATTCTGTTTCCTCACTTGTAAAATGGAGAGAGGAATAGTGCCTTCCTTCTAGGATTGTTGAATGAAATTTTTCACATAAAGCACTTCTCAGTGCCTGGTGTGTAGTAAGTGCTCAACAAATGGTCGCTACTGTTCTTATTTATTATAATTAGCAGCAAGGGCCAGGAACACCTGAAGGGGCAACAAAGATCTGACTCTCCTAGTAGGGGTTCCAGGCCCTAAGACATTCACCATGACTTGCCTGGCCAGTGCCTGAACAGATGTTCACTAATGTTATCGATGTGCCTCTCCACCCCCCACCACCCAAACATGCCAGTTTCCTTTATATCTATTATAGGCTGGGGGACCAAATGTCCTAATTTGCCCAGGACAGTCTTTATGCCTGTTGACCTAGGGCAATTACTAATAGGACCCTCTTTCTGTCAAATCAGTTATGATGATGAATGATATGGTCAGCCTAGTTATGAATCTCTCAACATCTTTTTTTCTAAACCTTTTCTATCCTGCATCATCTCTTGACAATGAGTTTCTTAAGTATATTGAAGTTACTGTGAGAAAGTATTTTTACCAGTCCTGACCTTACCGAGGTCAACAGTTTTGCCATCTCAGGAGCTGGTGAATGGATCCACGGTCACCCTAGTCCCATATTGTCCACACTTCACTGTGCTCAGACTAAAGAGCCTAGCCAGTTAGTCTGTCCCACACTGATAAGCCTTCTGCATTCCCACTTTCATTTTAGTTGATTTGCTCTGGAAAATGTCCAGTGCCACTGGATCTTCTTTAAGAAGCATAACTGAAACTTTACTTTAGGTTTAAGTGAATGAAATAGTCCCTCTTTTTATTCCAGGGTTTGGAGTCAGGGGATCCAAGTTTGAGTGCTAGCGCCATCCTTTATACCTGCGTGACCTCAGGTAAATCACTTCATCTCTCTGAGCCTCACTTTCCTTATCTTCATAATGGCAATAATGTGTAGATAGTCATGCAATCTACAAATAGTGATAGCTTTACTTCTTCCTTTCCAATCTGTGGGCCCTTTTTTTCTTGCCTTATTGCACTAGCTAAGACCTCCAGTACAATGTTGAATAGAAGTGGTAAGAGTCAACACCCTTGCCTTATCCCACTCTTATGGGAAAAGAGTTTAACATTTTACCACTAAATATGTTACCTGTAGATTTTTCATAGCTGACCTCATAACAGGTTGAAGAAATCCCCATCTAGTCCTGGTTTACTGAGAGTGTTGAGTTTTGCCAAGTGCATTTTCTCTACATATTTAGATGATTACATATGTTCCCCATATTCTGTAACTTATTAAATGATAGTAATTAAATTTCAAATGTTTAAAGAATCTTATATTCTTGGGATAAATCCCATCTATTGCTGGACTCAATTTGCTGTATTTTGTTAATAACTTATGTGTCTCTTATTGATGTGATGCTATAAGAAAAGTATCTTTTCTCTATTCCTGTATCTGAGAATCAAATGAGATTGTGAATGTTAACATGTTTTCTAGACTGTAAAGTTTTGTCTACATGTGGACTCCAAAGCTGCTGCAGCTGCTAACGATGATGGCAAGGAATAGCACAAAGATGACCCTTGCCAAGGCAGCAGCCCACAGGCCGGTCAGGAATCAGCCTCCACAGCCCATTCCCACTCTTATAAATTCAGTCATAACCAATAACTCAGAACCCTCAGCCTGCGAGTCCAGCAAGGATGCCTCCTGGATTTTCCAACAAGGCCTCAATCTTAAATAATTCCTTCTATTGTCAACCTCATCAACCATGTGTCCTGATTTTAAGAGTATTTTTCCCTGAGTGCATTGACTTATTCTTGCCCACAGGAAGCTCATCTGCCACTTTCCTGATGACTCAAGTAGACTCAAAACATTTTCCCACAATCTGGCCAAACTCAGGAAATGGTAGGGCTTGTGATATGTGTATTGTTTTAATACATCTGTAAAGATTTTAGTCTCTACTTAGGAACTTAGGAAATTTAAAGTCAAGGACGGTATCTCAATTTTGACAAAAGTCACTGAAAATATCCGATGTTGTACATTTCTTGCATAATCCTGCATGTTCTCTCTTTCATTTATTGGCAAATCTGGGTCTAAGTGCAGGATACATAGAAGAAAGTAAGCTGGAAAAGGCACTGGCCCCCTCAGTCCAGTCTAGTTTTGTTCAGATTTGTTCTTTGTTTGTTTGTTTGTTTTTAGAAACAAGGTTCTACTCTATTACCCAGCTAGAGCACAGTGCTTCTATCTTAGCTCACTGCAACCTCAAGCTCCTGAGCTCAAGTGATCCTCCTGCCTCAGCCTCCTGAGTAACTGGGACTACGGGCACATGACACCATGCCCGGCTAATATTGTATTTTTTTATTTTTTATATTTTTAACGATGGAGACTCTCTATGTTGCCCATGCTGGTCTTGAACTCCTGGCCTCAAGCAATCCTCCCACCTCAGCCACCTAATGGCTTATGGATTACAGGTATGGGCCACTGTGCCCATCCCTGATATCTTCTTTTAAAATGCTACCTCTGGGAGGAGGTAAGAAATTAACTGAATAGCTTTACTAAATGTCTTTTGTCAAATATAGTAGAGCCGAAAAATATACCAGAACCTAAGTCAAAAAGTTCATTGTAAAGGAGGAAATATTTTTCCCCAAAATTAAAGCCATAACTGGCAATTCTTAGAAAAATCATTACTCCCAGCTAATATACTCCCCAAAAGTTTAATAAACAAACAAAACCACCCATCATTGTGGACCAAGAGTTTCAGAAAAATTTATCTAACATTAGAAGTTCAGGTATGAAATGTCACAGATACTAACTTTGGAAGTAAGTATAGCACTATTAAGTGGGCAGAACTCTCTGCTATGATGTGGGTCACAAACTGCCACAGTCTATAAGATGGCATTTCTGTTTCACACAAGATCTTTCATAACAGAACAACTTAGAATCTTCACATGAAGAGTGTGACTTACATGCTGCATGCTTCGTGACATCCTTTCAAGTTTGGTTTCTTTGGGATGGCAGAGAAAAATCCATCAACAGTGCAGTGAGACATCACTTCAGGCCACAGGGAGCTTTCAGATGGGAAAAGTTGAAGACACCCAACCAGCACAGAAAAGTTCCTGGTGAATGTTTTCCAGTACGTGGCAGGTGCTCAGTAAATGATTCCCAGTGATGACCACCTCCCCTCTTAACCCTATGGTAGTGAAGGCACCAGGTAAAATTGGCGAGCCTCCGATGATTCAGTCATTCATTCAATAACTATTGATTCAACCGTCTGGCTGAAAGTTAAGCCACATAACAAAGAGACCAAGTATAGTGGCTTAAAGACATGCAGGTTTATTCTGCACTCATGGAACATTTCAAGGCAAATGGTCTGGGCTGGGTGAAGCTCTGCCACATGTGGCCATTTAGGCCCATGTCTGTCCATCCAGTTGCTCTGCCACCCTCCAGAGTGTGTCCTTGTCTGCACAGTCAGGCTGATCATGGGCACCGCCACGCTCCTGTCCTCAGGAGGGAAAGGTGGGTACACATCTAGGGCTGGGGAATGCATTCCGAGCAAATGAGGCAGAAGCTAAACACATCACTTCCTCTCCCACTCTTCAGGTGATGTCTTAGCACTCAGCAGCACAGCCGCAAGGGAAGCTGGGACGTGTGGCCTAGCTGGGCATCTAGCAAAGCCAGCAATACCAGCTTAGAGCAGGGCCTCCTGCAAGGCCCAGATGACTGAAGTACCTGCTCCCATGGAGTTTATAGTCAGGTGGGGAAGCACAGAGATAGGTAAAGAAGTCATGACCAAATGTAAAGGCCCAGGAGAGAATGAAAATGGTGCTGTAACAAAGACTGATATGGAGTGAGACAATACAGAAGGGTTTGTGGGGAACAAGTGTAGACCAGGTGGTCAGGTGAGGGTTAAGCTGAGACCTAAAGGGGAGGAATGCATGGATGCATGCCAAAACAAACAAACAAACAGAAAAAAAAAAGAATGCACTAGACAGAAATACCTGATGCACAAAGTCCCTGGAGGCTGAAAGTTGGGCATGTATGAGGCCAGACCAGAGAGCGGGGCTGGAGCAGAGCGAGGTTGGGAGGGGAAGAGCAAGGCTGGCAGGGGAGGAGCTTCAAGCCAGGCATGTAAAGGGAGCACAGCAGGATCCCAAAGGCCCTCGAAGGCCTGGATGAGGAACCTGGATATCTGAAGTGCAATGGGAAGGCAGGTTATGGGACATGATTTACATTTTTAAATATCCTGTGGCCGCTGTGGGGAGAATGCAGCCATCGGTGTAATCCACCTGTTATTCTGAGAAGGGAACTCTAAGGCCTAGAAAGTGAAGGTTTAAATCTTGTCTCTAAAGAATAATTTTAAGATGAGAAATGAATCCCCTGGTAGCCAAAGCTTCTTTGGGTTTTCAGAGGGTCTTCTGAGACCAGCCATCCAGGACAGCGGCCCGAGGCCATGATCAAAAGTCCAGAGCCTTCAAACCAGCTTTGCTGGAAGAAAGATGAGGTAGGAAGCAGGTTGTGGGAGGGGTAGTGATGGGGTTTATGTCTAAGCCACTTCTTATCTCCAGCAGAGGTGCTGCTTACACTTTTGGATTCCAAGTTTGTTTACTTGACTTGAAAATGCAGGTAGCTGCGATGCGAAAGTTCGTTTCTCTCCAGGATATGGGATACAAAAAGCAGAAATACAAAAAGTAGAAACACATTTTCTGGTTTTGTTTATCTTAACGTGAAAAATAATATACATCACAATAAAAATAATATACATCACACATCACACGCTGGGGCCTGTTATGGGATGGGGGTGGGGGGAGGAATAGCATTAGGAGAAATACCTAATGTAAATGACGAGTTGATGGGTGCAGCAAACCAACATGGCACATGTATACCTATGTAACAAACCTGCACGTTGTGCACATGTACCCTAGAACTTAAAGTATAAGAAAAAAAATTAATTAAATAATTAAAAAAAGAAAAAATATATATAGATTTACTTGTAACAGAATGGTAGGCAAATACATCTAGATTGTCTACATCTTTTAAAATGCAGTCTTGGATTTACAAATACGTGCAGATGTCAATAATACCTGACATAATTTTTACTAGTTTACAAAATCATTGCCTACATTACCTTATACAGGTACTTGGTTGAGTTGAATTTTCTATAAATGATTCTTAATAAGTAAATGAGATTAATGGACTAAAAATTGAAATTTGTAAATGCCTCCATTACCTATTCATGCATCATAAGCATTTAGTCTTTTAAAAAATTTAGTAGGCCCTGATGATTCAAAAGGCCTTGATTTCTTGAGCCCTTTGTTTGTAAAATGGTGACAAATTTGGATGAAATGCTGCATGTTGGTAATACTGAAACCTTGCAGATAAAGGGTTATTTCAAACCTTTCTTATGAGAATATACATGCAAACTGTGTTTGTGTTAACTCAAATTCTAAATTAGTTGCAGTGTGAACTAATCATTTCAAGCATTAAAGCTTGGCCTTGGGATGAAATTAAAGGAGAAACATTTAGGCAGCATCATTGGAGAATTACCCTCAAAGTAAGATCACTAAATCCTTAAACATTTTCCTAAGGGAAAAAGTGGAAGTATCATCAGTTTCTAATTCTAAGTAGAAAAAAAAAAATTAGCCTGTGGACCAGAGGAAACAGCCTTGTGTCAGAACACTGAATTATGTTGTTTCTACCTCTCCTTTTCATTGTAACTAATGAATCCTAATATAGGCAATAAAGACATATAAAAGAGAAATCTACATTGTAGGTCTCTGATTTATCATCCACAGAACAACTGAAGTAACTGTTCTGGGATGGGGGTATTACCTGGGTATCTATGCCCCAAATATACAAACCCCTGCATGGCAGGTATTTCTAAAAATTTGTGCACAAAAAAATCGGCTGGGTGCAGTAGCTCATGCCTGTAATCCCAGAACTTTGGGAAGCCGAGGCAGGAGGATTCCTTAAGCCCAGTATTTTAAGATCAGCCTGGGCAAATTAGCAAGATCCCATCTTTATTTTTTTAATTATTAAAAAATTTTTTTAAAAATTTTAGAAAGATGTATTTTAAAAATGAGTATAAGAGAAGCAATGCAGGAGGGAAAGAATGAAAGAAAAACAGCAGAAGACAAAGCAGTAGAGGATAGCACTTACAGATCACTCCTGACTCACCCCTGGAAAACATTCACTCAGTTGTTTGCTGGGGAGCACACCTCCCTTCCTCCCAGGCATCCATTCAATCATCTAAAACATTTACTGAACTGGACACAGAGCTGGGCCCTGAGACTACAGACATGAGTCAGACATGGTCCCTACCCTCCAGGAAATCACAGTCTTGCCAAAATACAAACACAAAAAGTGAACGTCTGAAAAGAGCTCTAAGAAGAAAGTGTCGAGTGCTGAGCGAGCCTAGAAGAGGAGGCTGTTCCTCTGCCTGTGAGGACAGGCGGGAATTGGCTGACCCTGAATGAGGAGTATGCTTTCCCCAAGCAGCAAAGAGGCAAGGACCTGGAGCTGCTGAGGAGAGTCACAGGAGAGGAAGCTCAGGCGAAGGTGAGGGCTGGGCTGTGAATAACCTGAGCAACGGACTGAGCAGTTAGGCTACATTCTGCAGCCAGAGAGGACCCACGGCAGCTTTTAAATCAGAGGAGTGGCATGATGGTGTCTGGGTTTTGGAAAGGCCAGTGGCAGCAGCATGAATCGTATGACCTTGGGACGTGCCCTGGGCAGATGATCCTCTTCCCCAGGGCAGCTGTCCTCAACGTGAAGGCTTTTCCCTGTTCTAGATCAGTGACTTCATCCTGGGATATAACAACTTCCTGTACTCACAGATTCTAGGAATCATTTAATGGGCGCAGTGAGGATGGCTCATCCAGGACCTCAGCAGGAAATATCCAAAGTATTTTGATATTTGACTGGAGTGACTCCATGACTAGGAGCTGGAATCATCTGCAGTCTGGCCTGGATGGCTCAAAGTCCAGGACTGCTGGCTGGAGTTCCTCACAAGGGCATGCTCAAAGCTCATGCCCAGTGCATCTCACAGGGAGTCGGGAGTCAAAAATATGGAAGCTCAGTGTCTTTTAGTATCTTATGTCTGAGAGAAGGATCTGTAAAAGGATTGCTTGCCATATTTACGTATTTTTGTTTTATTTCTTACTGCATCATTTAGCTGTGACCTCCATAAAAGAGGTCTCCAAGATGTGACCTGGTCATCCCTTTTCAACCTCAGCTCCCACCCACATACCCCAAACTCTGCAGCAACCAGTTGCTTGGAGTTGCCCATAAACATTCTCTCCTTTTTCCCGTCTTGCCTTTTCACAGACTGTTTCCTCCACCCGGAATGCGCCCTACATGCCTGGCAACCTCCTACTTCCCTTTCACGATTCAACCCTAACATCTTCTGGTCTCAGAAGCCTTTGCTGAGTCCCCAGGCACAGTTGTGCCTTCCTCCTCCCCACACCCCTACACCTGGTGTTCCATTATATTCTATACTTAGCACTCTGCTGCAATTAATTGTCTTCACAACCACCTCTCTCACTAGCCTATGAGCCCTCAAAACTCTTGAAGGGTGGAGAATCTGTTATTCTTCTTTGTCATCTCTCCAGCTCACAAACATAGTAAGCACATTGGAGATGTTTAACCAATGTGGACTTTTCATAGTGACTTTCAAGTTAACCTTCATGTTCTTACAGCATTTTATAAGGCTTATATTAAGAAAGCCCTCTTCAGCCTGGGCAACATAGTGAGACTTTATCTCTACAAAAAAATTTAAAAATTAGCCAGGCATGGTGGCACATACCTATAGTCCCAGCTACTCGGGAGGCTAAGGCAGGAAAATTGGTTGAGCCCCAAGGGTTAGAGTCTGTAGTGATCTATGATCATACCACTCACTGCACTCCAGCCTGGGCAACAGAGCAAGACCCCATCTCTGGGGGTTAAAAAAAAAAAAGGAAAGAAAAGCCCTCTTAACATCTCATCATCTACATGCAACAATCCTGCATGTATTGGCCCCATTTAGAGATGAGAAAACAGAGATTCAGAGGCATGTGGTGATTTGCCCAAAGACACTGACCAAGAAAGTGACAGAGCTAAGACTTCTCTTCCTCTGCCGTCTGATCTACTCAGAGCTCTTGGATAACATGGTGCCACAAAGTGCCCAACCTCAAGTTCAAAGACTTACTTTGGACATAATTTCTTTCCAGTGTCTAGGGCTGTACCTGCTCCTCTGCATACTCCAGTCCCATTGGTTTCTGTTTGAGCACCATGTGTTGGGGCAAGCCCAAGGGCAGGACTCTCAGAACAAGGGCAAGGGGGAACTGCGGGAAGTCATTCAGGATGGCCTCGGGAAGCCTGACTTAAGTTCAAATTGTGAACAAGTCAGTGAGCTAAGGCTGCAGCCGGGACTGCAGTGGAAGGGGGAGGGATGAGATCTTGAATTATTTCTTTTGCAACCCTGTCCCTGGCATCACTTTGTGTAGCAAAGCTTACCTTAGAGTCCATGTCCTACTGAAATCACCATAAGATCAGATCTATCAGAGCCCAAATTAATGAGATTTCTAGGTGTTTATGAGTTGTCTTCATTTCAATTTAATTTTTCGAACAGGAAATATATTTACAGAGTTTGAAATTCCAAAGGCACAAGAGGATATACAGTAAAAAGTTTTCTTCCCACTCTTGTCTCTCACCACCAATTTCCTTTCTACAAAGGTATTTCATGAATATTCAGGGAAATACAAGCATTTATATATGCATACATACATACACACACATATTCTTTTTCTCTCATTTTCATATGAAGGGCAGACTATTTATACACTGTTCTACATCTTGATTTCTTTTTCTGCTTAACAATATGTCTTGGGATTCCCTCCATACCAGCACACAAAGAGGTGTCTCCATCATTTTTACAGCTGTACTGGATCCCATTGTATGGCTGTGCCAAAATTTGTTTAACCAGTTCCCGGTTGAGGGGCATTTATTTTGTTTCCCATCTGTTGCTATTATAAACAATGTTGCAGTGAATAACCTTATAGATACATCATTTTGTTCACATGGGAGTATATCCATAAGCCAGATTCATAGACTTGGAACTGCTGGATCAAAGGGTGTGTGTGTTTGTAATTTCAATGGGGAGTGTTCCAAATGACTTTCCACAGACTTTGTACTAATTTAAAATCCTACCGGAGTTGTACAAGAGGGTCTTTTTTTTCCACAGAAACCTCTTTTGTACATAAACCATCAGGGATAGTCTAAGGATTCAAAGAAGCCATGAAGACCAAACAACTCTTCTGAATTTAAAAAATAAAGGTGGGGTGGGGCGAAATGCAAATCAAAACCACAGTGAAAAAAGGGGAAAAAACATGCAATGAGATACCACTTCATACCCGCAAGGATGGCTATAATCAAAAATAAACAAAAAGTAAGTGTTGGTGAGCACGGAGAAATTGGAATCCTTCGCATTGCTGGTGAGAATGTACAATGGTACAGCTGCTTTTAAAATCAATTAGGTGGTTTCTCAAAAAGTTAAATATAAAATTACCATAGGACCCAACAATTCCATGCCTGGGTATATACCCAAAAGAATCAAAAGCACATACTTAAGCAAATACCTGTACACAAATGTTCATAGCAACGTTATTCACAATCGCCAAAAGGTGGAAAAAATCCAAATATCCATCAAGGGATGAATAGATAAGCAAAAGTGGTAAGTACCTACAATAGAATATTACTCAGCCATAAAAATGAATGAAATTCTGATAAATGCTACAAAATGGAAGAACCCCCCCAAACCAATTTCATTTACATGAAACATTTACATCAGGTAAATCCACAGAGTCACATGCAGATTGATGGTTGCCAGGAGCTGAGGAGTCAGGGAAATGGGGAGGGATTGTTTAATGGGTGGACAGTTTCCTTTGGGGATGATGAAAATGTTTTGTAACAAGATACAAGTAGTGGTTGCACACACTGTGAATGTACTAAATGCCACTGAATTGGAGTTTAAAATGGATTACAGTTTGTGTCATGTAAATTTCACCTCAACCAAGTAGAAAAAAGGAAAGAATAAAAGTGGAGGTGCGTTTACGTCCTTGTTCCCAATATTCTTGGTTGCTGACTTTCTGAATCCCCCACTTTGTGATCCTCTCCCAGTTCAGTCTGTCTACAGAGGGCCCCCTAGGATGGTTACAGACATCCGCTAATAGCATATGCCAGGCAATGAGCCTGGGGCTTTTATGCATTTTCCCGTGAATTCTTCACCACAACTGAGCGAAGTATCATTATCTTCTTTTTTTTTTTCTTTTGAAACGGAGTCTTGCTCTGTTGACCAGGCTGGAGTGCAATGGCATGATCTCGGCTCACCACAACCTCCACCTCCTGGGTTCAAGTGATTCTCCTGCCTCAGCCTCCTGAGTAGCTGGGATTACAGGAGCACGCCACCACTCCTAGCTAATTTTTGAATTTTTAGTAGAGATGGAGTTTCACCATGTTGGCCAGGCTGGTCTTGAACTCCTGACCTCAAGTGATCCGCCCACCTCAGCCTCCCAAAGTGCTGGGTTTACAGGCGTGAGCCACCATGCCTGGCCCATTATCTTCATTTTACAGATGAGGAAACTGGGATTTGGAGAGTGCAAGTAGCTTGCCCAATGTTACTCAGCTGGAAAGTAGCAAAGGGCGACTGACTCCAAAGCCAAGCTCTTTCCATTAAGCAGCCAGCCTAAATGTTTTACCTACCTCAGCAAGAGTCAAGAGACAGCAGGCCCTTGCCACCCCCACAGGCCATTCCTAATAACTCAGTGACCTGGGCTCTGGGCCAGGCTACTCCTCTGGGAGGCACACAGCTTCTTCTCCTTCTGGGACCCTCTGTATCTAGCTCACTACAGGCATTTCCCTGAAGCCCAGCTCTGTCCCTTTCTTGCCCTCCTATTTAACATAGTGAATGAGTTCAAGGCACCCCGTAAATGCGACATGAATTAAATTGATCTCAGTAGGTTGGAGCCAGTGAAATAAAAAAAAATTCATAGTGCTCTGGCTTTGGCCTAATCTGAATTACATTGTTTGAATAAAGTAACTTCATTTATTTCTGCTGTGACAGAAAGAATGAGAGCTTTGGTGCTACACAGACCGAGCTGCAAATCCTGGGTCTGCCACTCCCCTGCTTTGTGTTCTTGGAGCCACAATTTACTCATCCACAAAATGGGGTTGCAAGCTTGTAAGGAGGTTTTGACAGCACACTATAAGAAAATGCCTAGCATACTTCATTCAAAAAATATTCATTAAGGACCTACTATGTACAAGGCAGCATGCTCTGTTTTTCTTTTAAAGTAGTTTTTTAATGTGATTATGACAAACACAACCCCTGAATTCAAGAATCTTCCATTTTAATGGAAGAAACAGACATTACATCACTACATAACTAATTGTGAATGAGGGGCCTGACCTATCTGGAAGGGGGTTGTCCAGAGGCTTTTTGAGGAAGTGACATCAGAGCCGAGATTGAAGGGTAAGTAGGTGTAGGCTGGGGGTGGGGGAGTTGTTCCAGCAAAGGGCACAGTGGGTGCAAAGGCCCTGAGGGAGAAACGAACTAACAGGGGACCAGTGTCCCTGGTCCTAGACATCCAAGGGGAGAGGGGGAGGAGATGGTTATCACTCATTGCCAAACAGAGTAGCCCACCTAGCTTTCCCCATCCCTGAAACCACCCTTCCATTTCTCAGTGACCTCCCAGCTGGTCCTCCTGCTTACTTCGGTGTGCCCCTGCAGCTCATCCTCAGGACACAGCCACATGGATTCTTTAAAGAAGCAATCCAGGAGCCAAGTGTGGTGGCTCATGCCTGTAATCCCAGCACTTTGAGAGGCCAAGGCGGGCAGATCACTTGAGGCCAGGAGTTCGAGACCAGCCTGGCCAATATGGTAAAACCCCGTCTCTACTAAAAATACAAAAATTAGCCGGGCATGGTGGCACATGCCTGTAATCCCAGCTACTTGGGAGGCTGAGGCACAAGAATCACTTGAACCCAGGAGGCAGAGGTTACAATGAGCCGAGATCACGCCACTGCACTCCAGCCTGGGTGATGGAGTGAGTCTCTGTCTCAAAAAAAATAAAAAATTAAAAAATAAAGAAGCAATAAGGGGCAGGTCACCCTCCACTTAATGCCCTTCAAGGGCTGCCTATTATTTCTAGAAGACTCTCAGACCAGCGTCCCTCATGTGGCTCTGCACGTAAGAGTACCTTCACTGCCAGCCCCAGGAAGGCTGCAGTGCCTCAGGCTCTTCTAAGGAAACCTGCCCCACCCACAGGCGGAAGGGGAGGGAGACAGGCAGACTGGGGCAACAACTGTTCATACAGACCATTTATCTACAGGCAAATACCCCTTAGCACTTGCTCAATCACTACATTTGGCTGATGATCATTAGCATATCACACATGCGACATGCACCTGGCTTGAGAGTCTACAATTTTCCTCTATTTGGTTAGTGCTGTCCTTTCCTTAAATAAAACATTTTCAACTTTGCCTGAGGAAGGAACTTCCCACCATAATGTAGTTGTGCCCTTCTTTTCTTGCTATGGCCTGATGCTCCATTTTTCTGGTTATTACTATTTTAACCACGTGAGCCCCAGTCACAGTGTACCCCTCTATTCTTGGAGCACCTCCAGCTTGGCAGCACCCTGACAGGGTCAAGCTATAACATTTTCAGATGGAGACAGGCAATAATCCCTGTGCCTTTGACTGTCATAGAAACAAAGCCTGAACAGTGGTCATGAAGCCCTCTGGGATCTTACCATTAACCAGAGACAGGGTTCCAGCCATGTAGGAAACAACCCACTGGCATGGCAAAAAAAAGAAAAAAGAAAATAAAAAGAGGAAAGGAAATGGTCTGGTTGTCATTTTCTTATTCTGCACAAATGACCAAAGGCCTTCTTCCCTGGGCATTCTCTCATGTTGAAATTCATGAGACAATATGCACATGGGGTAAGAAGCAGCGTAGAAACAATTCGTGCTCACCAGATAGCCACATGCTCCGTTCATTTCCCAGCCTGCCTTGCTGTCAGGGGGTCAGGTGACTCATTCCAGCCTATGGGCTGTGGGAGAAGTTCTGTAGGTTATTTCTAGGCAGAGGCAGTCAAAATACAACCTGTTAGTGGATCTCATCTCTCTCTCTTCCCCCGCTGTGGTCTCTCTGAAAGCCACCCACTCCTGAGAGCATAGCTGCAAGATGGGACAGAGATGCCCAACACACATCCGACTTTACAGGAACAAGAAATGAACTTTTACTGCATAACGCTGCTGAGATTTCAAGGCTTATGTGTTACCACAACACAGTCTAGCCTAGCCCGATTCATTCCTACTCTGGGCCTCACGCTGCACAATTATAGGTTGCAAGCACTGAAAGGTAAGAAACGGTTCTGCTTTCAAGACGTTTACAGTCTGGATGGGGAGACCAGATAGGCAGAAATTCCATGCTAAATGCTAAAGTTCAGGCCACAGGCATAGACAGCATTCGAACAGAACCAGCCCCCAGTGCAAGGGAAATTTTACACGGGAGGTAAAAGCACAGGATGACAGGCAAACAGGTAAGACCTTCAGAAATACAATTTTATTGAACAAGAGGTATAAGTGTAGTGATCAGGCAATCCTGAGTAGACATGCTAACTTCTTCTAACTTTGCAATAGAGTATTTAGAAATATAAAGAAAAATAGAGAGAATAACATACTGAACCCTTATTCCAGTGATGACCCAGCTTTTACAACTATCATTGCTTGCCAATGTGGTTTTTATTTACTCCCTGCCTTTCTTTCCTGTAATATTTTGTCAATTATCTGATAACCAGTTGTAGGCAAATGTCCCCAGTTATTTAAATATATATCACACATCTTTTCAGTTCGTTTTTTCAAATTAGGACCTAAACAAGTTCTGAACATTGAATCTTGTTGGTATGTCCTTAAAATCTGATTTTGGCTATAATACTTTACCCACACACATGTTTTTAAATGCCATTTATACACATTAACTTTATAAACACAAAGTAATCTGTTCTTAAGGCCCTGTCTACTCTGTTCTCACAAAAGGGCAAAAGAAATCTTGTAAAGATCAGCTGAAATATCAAGAGTCACAAAATCGTGTTGGGTTTGCAGAGGCCAGGCAATAAAATGTATTGTCAGACTACATGTGGCAAACAGACATGACATGTGGCCTGCTAGGGGAGTCAGACCTGAGCCCAGATGGGCCTTTTTAGAAAGTGCCTTCCCCAAAAGGAGAGGTCACACAGGACATGTGTCCATCTGCTTAGCCACTGTGATACCTGTAGGTGCCATCCCAAGAGGGAACTACAGGGAAGGTTGTGATCTATCAGATAAAGTAGAGACTGGCCTGTGACTCTGATCCCTATCTTTGACGTCTCACCAGGAAGACAGGGCTTCTGTGAGGCAGCAGCCAGGAAAGGTATTTGGCCCATGAATCTGGAAAGGAGTGACTGCGCCCAGGCTTGAGCCTGTGCATTTGGTATCACAACTGCCACACTCCCCACCGGGGGAGCAGGCGCGTCCCAGAGGTCCCTCACACAAGACTGTCCACAGCCAGATTCCAAATTCAGATGATCGCCATTTACTGTTTTTGTAGAATTGGGGAAGACTTTGGAATCTGAGAGCAAGAGAGAGACAAAGAGTGAGGGACAAACAGAGACAGAGACACAGAGGACAAGAGTCAGGAAACATCCATCCACCCTGACCCGCCCATCCTCACAGAAAAAAGGCAAAGGCGGCAGGAAGGAGCCAGAGGAAGGGCCAGGCACACAATGAGGACGCAGGAGACAGCAGAGCGAAGCAGAGGGGAGGCAAACGCCGCCTTTTGAAGTCTGACAGCTCTCTGAATGCCACCACTCCAAAAACAAGCCGCTCCAAAAGAAACTAACAGGTAAGCTGCAACCTCAGCCTTCGCTGTTACACAAAGAACACTTCCCAGCAGTGCTGCTGAACTGCCTGTGCGGCGCTCCCAGGATGGGTTTGAACAACCAGCCTTTGTTCTATTTTCCCCTGCTACAGTGGAAATGAACAGGAGCAACTGACACAACAGCATGTCAGATGTGGATTATTGGTTTAGAAGGAGGCCCGGATTCCAGAAACCCCACCAAAGAGACAGTGGAAATGTCTGAGAAGACAACAGAAGGCTGCAGCCGGGTCACATGCCAATTAAGTGGGCTGTTTGGAGCAGCACGTAAATGATCAAAAGCATTTGGGACCTTCTCCCATCAGTCACAAAAGATGCTTAAGGCCGGTTCCTTTGAATGCTGTTTTAGTAGTGGTCTCATACA
Organism: Homo sapiens; assembly: GCF_000001405.40. Lineage (NCBI taxonomy): Eukaryota > Metazoa > Chordata > Mammalia > Primates > Hominidae > Homo > Homo sapiens. The sequence continues at coordinate 26,440,926 of NC_000007.14, read as the reverse complement.
ATACATCTTAAGGAACATTTATACTGTGTTCACTGTGCATTCAACTGTGGCCACTTCAAAGGTTTAGCCAAGTATTTTATGGCCATGGTAAAGGGTTCTTATTGATTTAAATTACAAGCTTGGCTCCTGTCAGCTCCACTTGAGGGCAAAAATGCAATAAAATATCCCACAGCACAAGAGACAGACATATCACATTGAAAATCTTAAGAGATCCTTTTCACTATAATCACTCTAAATGACATTTATTTATACAGGCAAGCTTATCAGAGAGATTTGTCTACAATCTTTAGGCTTTAAGGGTTTCTCTCGGTTTGGGCATTTGCTTTTTTAAAAATCTAATTCTGACCTGGGCCATGAAAAGGTCAGAAGTGCATGCTGCCTCCCCTCGCTTAGAGTCTCCCACCACTCCCCAGCTACTCACAAAATGGCTTGTTCCAAGAATAGTGACGTTGACGCCATCACGGCTGAAGGATTATGATTTTCAGTCCTCCTATCATTTGCATATCCAGCAGGCCAGACTCAGATGAATGAGAGGTGTCAAGGCATGAATGACAAGCCTATCAAGGCAATGGAAGGCTGTCTCAGGATTAACTGTCAGGGAGACAAACTTCACTCTGGAGACAGAGACAAGAACAAGCTTTCTATTGGAAGACTCTAAAATTGAGAGGGATTCAAAAGCTGTCAATATGAAACGTTGCTTATGCTACTTGCTAATCCCTGTGATGATCAGCACAAAAGAAGTTGCTTTATGCTAAGAAGAAGGGAGAAAACCAAAGCAGCAGGCTCTGGTCTGCTTCATTCCTGCTTTCTTCATAATAATTTGCCTGAAACATACTCAAGATGGAGCTAACCCCCAGACATACACAGAAAACAGCAAATGACTATTAGGTATCTGACATTTGAAATAACATGCTTCTGGAGGGTTGGCATTACAAGAGTCATTTCACTTCAAAATGTTATTCCTAATGTAATTTTTTAAAATTCATAAGAGGTACTTGCTAGAATTCAGTGTAGTACTAAAGTCACTCAAAAGACAGAGGTCAAATTCATTTCATTTCTTTTATGTTTTCTTCTCTCTGCTAGATGAAATAAATGATTAAGCCTAGAACACTTGGCAGTTCAGCGAATGTGCTCCGTGGCACCATTACAAGATCGATTTTCTCAATACAGGAGTCTTTCTAGGGTGCACATTGCTTAGCTGACATCTGTCGCCGTTGTCATGGCAGCGCTCTCTCCAGCATAGTGAGAGGTCAGGCCTGACAGGGAAGGCCTCGCCAGCCCTACCCCAGTCACTTCAAGGTTAACAGCCAATGGACCAAAGAAATAGGCAATTATAGTACAGTCAATTCCAGTTAAGGAAATATCTGAGAAGTAAATATGTCTGATAAGTGAATGGAAATGAAGCAGCCAATGCTATTGATGCAATCCCATAATATCAATGCCTTTTTCTGGTTCAGTTTGGTTATTCCTTGTAAAATTCATGCTCAAAGAAATCTAGCAAGAGAGAGGATAAGCAAAACTTCATTATGCAGCCATTAGCCTCTGTACTTGAAGAATAGAATTCCCAGAGATGAGTAGATGAATGTCAGAAGAGCAGAACTTCTTCCCAGAAAAAATGCAAAGAAAATCCCCAGGGTCTCCATCCCCTGTTGGTTTAGTCCCTGCTATTTCCAGCTGCATGTCTGTCTAAAGAAGATTCTTAGGATTTCAAAGGAAGTTGACTTTAAAATAATATTTCTCATTGCCACCTCATCCTTACTAAATTCATTACTTATCAGAATGAAGGCCCTTTGTATAATTTCAACAACTCTGAAAAACAGCAAATTATTCCAAAAAATTCCAAATCACCAACATGTTGAAATTGCTAATTTCTAATGATACACCTTTCCTCTAAAGCATAACTTTTGATAGAAAATATATTTTTATAACAGACATTCTTTGAACAGAATTTAAAAAATGACAGGTGGAACTAAAACATAGATTTTCAATTACAAGTTACATACCCTAGAAATGCAGTTACTGACAATGTCTGAAGGTAGTAAAACTTGAAATTCATTATGGTAGATACATTCATATTATCCACTCCTGATTAAATCTTGCAGTTAGTACAAAGAGAGCTTTAGATTTCATCAGACGCCTGAAAGAATGGCAATGACTTTTCTTTTCTTCAACTGTAGGATTTTGTTACTCACAAAAGGAATAAAAAATTAAGAGTTACATTTATATTAGAAAATTTATAATATATAATATGGGCATTTTTTATATATATGTAACTCTTAATAATAACTCAATAATATATATACGTAACTCTTAATTTTTTATTCTTCTTTGTGAGTAGAAGAATACGTAGTCACTGTGTTTACTCACCTCAGCTCTTTGCCAAAACATTCTCAGCTGTGGTCAGCGTAGACCATAGTGACTGCTGAGGTCTATAGCCCATCATTGGTCATATTGAGAGGCAGAATCTCTTCCAACATTGGTCAAGTTGTACTTGCTACCTTGTTTCCCAGAGTTCCCATTAATAAGCTGAAGCTATCCATGCCTCCCTCTTGCTTCATGAGTGGAAGTTGGTTTAGCACCCAAACTAATGAGCTGACATTACTCCCTTCAGCCCAACAGTCTCTTGAGAACCAATGGCTTCATTTGCAAACTCAGCATTACTTTAGAAAGGTCATGTGTGGATGCAAGAAAAAGTAAGCCACTCAAGTAAGCTTAAGTGTGGAAGATTTTACTGTAAAAATACAGCGGGAAATCCTGCAGAGGATTAGAAACAGACAGGAAACAAATTATATGCAGACCAAATTGGAACTAAAATTGGAATTGGAAAATGAGAAATCAGGGTGATTCTCTCTACGTGTATTTCACCTCTGCCATGCTTTTCTTCTTCTCTCTTCACCTCTGTCTTTCGACTAGCTTTCTCTGCATTCAGCGTGGGTTAATTTGGCATGACCTTTCAGTTCTAAAGCCATCTTCATCTTTCTCAGTTTCTCAGTGTCCAAATTCCCACAAGAGCGAGTCTGATTAGCTCAGCCCAGACAATGGATTGGCTCTCCCAAGGTCCGGTGCCAGTTGGATTTAATCATCCAGGGTGGGGATAAGAGTGGGTAAGGGGCTCTGACCAGGGTCATGCAGTTTACATGTGACTTCCCAGCTACAGCCTTCAGCAAAGGCAAGGCACACATTAAAAATATGTCTTCTACAAAAATCAAAGATGATACATGAATTAAAAACTTCCCATGTGCCCAGAAACTTTACAGGTAAGCAAGAGCTCTTCAACAAAATGATGCTAAGATAGTTATTCAACAATATTATCATGACTTGTCAGCATGTCATGACTTGCAGACATATCTGCAGCCTTGTCAGAATCATCTCCATCAGTATAAAATGACTACCCCAGCAAAAAAAAAAAAACAACGCAGAAACACTCCCTTCCTAATTACAGGGGATAAAACACAGAGAAAAAAAAAATGCCTTGTCCTTCACAATAGGCCATCGCCAGCCTTGCATCCCATGCCCCACTACACCCTGCATCTCCTGACCTGTAGTTAAACTGAACTATTTCCTGTTCCCTCTTGAAGCCCCACACTTTCTTTTCTCATGCCTCCCTCCACACAATGTTTGCATTCCTTCTTCAGTCTGCAGCACACTGTAATTAAACAGAACTAACACACAGAGGCTCTCAAAGAATAACCAGGGAGTAATGAATGGCCTCTGGAAGCGGGGGATTTTTATCAAGCAGTTCCTTTAAGTGGACACTTGATAAGAGAAGGCACACAGGGTCTGTCCTTGAGGGCCATCTAAGATGCCAGCTCCCTCAGAAAGCCTTCCCTTGCTTGGCTCCCCAGATGAAATATCACTAATCCATCCTCCGAGGAAGCATTTCTTGTTTCTATCACTGTTTCCCAAATGTAAGAACTTGTAGATCCTTAAAATTACAAGCGCACACACCCCAATCTGAGAAATAGTGCATTACAAGTTAAACTCTGTCACTTAAGGGGCATGTGAGCCATGCTGAGTCATAAAGTCGAGACCCGAAATCACATGGCAGTTCTAAGTTTTTTGTCTGACCTCCAGATGACCCATAATATTCCTCTACTAATTATTTAGATGATCATCAAAATAAAAACACAAATCATCATCATCATCATCATTAAAACTCAATTTTAAATACCTAATTGTTCAGACCTGTGTAGCCTGGCATATCCAGAAGGCTCTCATTCCAATTTGCTGGGCCCACATGGAATTAATCAGATGCTACTTCCACCATTTTGATTTGACTGTATAGCTCTGGCCTCTGAAACCACCAAAAGCTCTCTACAGCTTGATAAATTATATGCCTTCTGTTTACACTTGGTCAAAACCATAAATCCAAAGCTTGTTTTGGATAGTGATAGATTTCCACCTTGTTCACCTGTAAACCTAGTCAAAACACCCCTCCTACTCAGTTATAGACTCTGTTATTCTAGATACACCATCTGAGCAGGAATGCTTATCATTTGCTAAAACAAGAGTGCAAAGAACTGGTTTATATGTCAACATGTGGTGGAAAAATACAGCATTGACTCTATCTGAGTCATTTATAATCTCTGGTCAAAATTGAGAATTACTTTGGCAAAGATAGAGATGGCTATTTTTTATCCTTTGTCTGTCTTATTCTTCTCTGAGTGATTTTTACAACTTGTGCAGTAGCTATTTTTTTCATTCTTTATCCAATATGTAAGATGCCAAGGACTGTGCCAGACATCTGAGAATACAAATATCTCATAGTCTAATGGAGGAAAAAGATATGTAAATAGGTAATGCAGTGGAATAAATCCTGCAAACGACGTACATATTAAGGGCAATAAAAAAGAAGAAAATTATTAACAGGCATTTCAGAAGACTATCATAGAAAAGAATCTCTTTAGTGGGTATCATATTGGTTATATATTGCTGCATATGAAATTACTGCAAAACATAGCAACTTAAAACAACAAACTTTTTTTTTCCCTCACAGTTTCTGTCGGTCAAGAATTCAAGAGCTGGCTCAAGGTTTCTCATGAGGTTGCAATCAAAATCACTCACATGGCTGTTAGCAGGAGGGCTCAGTTCCTCTCGTGTAGCCTTTTCCATGGAGCTGCTTGAGTATTCTCATGAAATGTCAACTGGCTTTCCCCAGAATGAGGAAACCCATAATGCTTAATGAATAAGAGAGAGACAGAGAGAGAGAGAGAGAGATGCCACAATCCCTTTTATAGCCCAAAGTCCTCCAAATCTTGGACATCAGACACCATCACTTCCTGTACATTCAACTCATTAAAAGTTACTAAGTACAGCCCACACTTAAAGGGATGGCAATTTGGTCCTATCTGTTGAAGGAAGAAATATGGAAGAATGGATAGGAGCTTTGCAGAGAAGTGGAAAGAGAGAGCTAGCTAGCTAGCTAGGCAAAAAAGGATAGCATGCCCATGTGTGGAAGACCATGGGTCCCAGGAAAAGTGAGGGGTTCACTATAGGTTTTCAACTTATTTCCACCTTTCAATTAGACAAAATCTTACAAGGAAGCCTAGTATACAACACAAATAAAAATAGCTCTGCTATGGCTGAAGCTATGTGAAGGAGAAGAGGCCGGAACTCCACCCCAAGGTGGCCTTTATAAGAACCCACTGCAGGTCCTAGAACTTCACAGAGTCAGCTGGAAACCATTGCTATATGCAATAGCTATGAGTGCTTATCTATAGGTACAAGCCATACTCTCTGTTAAGCTTTATCTGATCATGTAACAAATTATGCTCTTATCTTAACTGTGGGCTGAAACCAAATAAAAAACACACAAAAATTCTCATTAAAAAGAGAGTAGGGATCTTGTTGAAATGCAAGAAAATCTCAACGTACCAACCGGTTATATTCCAAGAGTTCACTTGTAAGAGGGTTCTTTAGAACTCTGTGTATCAGTTAGTTAAGACCAAAAAGATGTTGTGTAACAAACGATCTCAAAAAACAGAGTGACTTAAAACAACTATCATTTGTTCTCACATATCTGCACATAGGCTGGAGATCAGGTTATTTAAGCTGGTACTGGACTTCACAGCTCTGCTTCAAGTTGCAGGTCAGCTAAAGGGGTAACAGCTACCTATGGAAAGCTTAGCTCATGGAGATGGCAGAAACACAAAGGAGGACAAGAGGACAAGCAGAGAAAGACAAAGCCTCTTAAGGCCTGAGATCAGGACTGGCACACTTTTGCCCACATGTGGTTGGCCAAAACAAGTTTCATAGATGGGCCAAAGACAAGGGTTAGGAAAATATACTTTGCTCAATTGAGGCTAAAGCAAAGGGGTAAAGAATTGGAGCCAATTATTCAATCTACTACATTCTGAATGCATTTTTCCATAAAAACAAATTTCAAGTCATAGTTGAATATCATATTAGCTCTCCAAAACCAACTTAATGTTAAGAGAAATAACAATAACAGCCTAGCATCAGGTGATGCTGGCACATTTTTAAGTAAGCCAAATTTGTCTTCCCAGCTCTCTTTCTTCACCCGCTTTCAACAATGCTCATATCTCTCTCCATGAGCTCAGCATCTTCATGGTTGCTCTAACCCCTCACCTCTGTGTCACTCATCCCTCACTTCCCTCCCCTCAATTGTTTCAGCCCCTAAATTCAGAACTCTGGATCCCTCAATGTAGACCCTCCCAGTTGGCTGCCAAAAGGAAAACCATCTGATTAAATCAACTTACGCTCACATGTAAATGGCCCAATGCTTCTTTACAGTCTCTAAAACAGTTGCCTTTTTAAAGGGGGCTGTCCCACAGCCCAGTAATCCTCCCACTAGTGAGATGTGAGATAGTAAATACATTGATGAAATCCTTAAAGTCAGGAATATTCTTAGAAAAGGGGAATATGTCTTAGGCAGGTCTGCCTGTTACTCTCATGTTGTGAAGAAAGTGTCATTTATACACGTGAAGCCTGCTGTATTGACTTTATTACTCCCACTTCCAATATTTTCTTTCCCACTCTGTACTTCTGTGAGGAATTGAATTCACCAGGAGAAGACAAATGTCAGAGTTATGATTTACATCTCATTACAGGGCAAGTGTTGTTTCCCATTTTGGAATTTATTCTTCAGGCCAAATCTTTAAAGACTTTCTTTTTTTTCTTTCAACATTAAAATGGCATATTTCAGCATGAAATATGCCTACTCTGGCTTAGGAAGAGCTTAATTATTTGGACTTTGTATTGAGTTTTCATGTAAATATTTCTGTTTTAAACAAACAAACAAATTATTATCCTGAGAACATTGCTATGAATCATAATAATGTGTTTACTTTTAAAGACAGATCATAAAGAAAGATTCCAAGTATTAAGTTTTAGTAACACCACTTTTCTACCCTGTTCAAATGTATGTCTACACAGACAAAAAGGGAAGAGGAAAATTGTGAATTAGAGATACCACGTAAATGACTAATCTGAAAAATATGGACCAAAAAATATAGTTTTATTGATCCTAAGGTATAAATATACATATGGTTCTTCATTTCTGCTGATGTTTTCCATGACAAAAATAGCTATGCCTATATGCCTATGACAATATTATTATGTTATATTTTAGTCATTTTGAACAACCTTTGAAATAGTTAATATCCTCCCCCATCACTTTGCCCAAAAAACAATGGTACCTATCATTAGCTATGTGAAGATGAGCTGTTACGAAAAGTTATTTCTCTTCCAGTCTTGTCAAGTGCCAGTAACCATAACATTGATTTCAGGTAGATTACGTTAAGTTAGGATTTGAGAAGTTTTGGTTTAAGAACACCTCACATTTTTTTTTTACATTAGCCAAAGTGGTCATCCAAATTCCATGCTATCCGAGAAAGAATGCTTTTCCCTTGCTTCTTAAGAATCAAATTGTGATGAAATCTAAATACAATCAAAACTCTCAGTGAAGAGAGCTGTAAAATAGAGTGTGTAATAAGGAGTATGATTAGAAAAGTAAGTCCCCCACTTCAAATGGCAGAGTGACCAGTCATCCATCAGTCATGTAGCTGCTCTTATTACTGGTTCATTTAGCATGAACTCATAAGCGATTGGCTAAAATGAAGCAAGGACAATGTATAGGTGAATCAAAATACCACATTGTATGCCACAAATGTATTCAATTACCATTTGTCAATTAAAAAGAAAATAAAATTAAAAGATAAAGTCCATGAATGGTAATGCCAAGAAAAACTAAATTAAAATTTTTAACGAAGCATGTAGTTCAGAGCAACCACTCAAATTCCAGCTTCGACATTTATCAGCCATAACTTAAGCAAGTTTCTTAACCTCTCTGTGTTTCAGTTTCTTTACCTGCTAAGTGGAGATTACAGTACAAATCTCTTAGAGTAATTGTAAAGATTGAATGAGTCTTTACTATGTGCCAGGCACTGTGCCAGATGTGTGAACTGTTCAGAACAGTGCCTGGCACATATTAAGCACTATGGGTTTGTTGTTCTTGTCCTGGTCATTGTTATTATGGTAATCATCATTATGTCATTGTGATTACGGTAATCATCACCACCATCATCATTGTCTGTGGATTTCTGTTAGCCATGCAGTCTCTCTTTCCTATTAACTTTTCCTCTTAGTTGCGAGGAGTTGAATCAGCTCATAGTTGATAAAAATTTCTTGAGTTCCTTCATGAACATTGCTGTTGGGAGTACAGATTGGACTAAGATCTTGGCAAGATCTAATAAAGTTGAAGACACCCCTTTCTTATGAGCTAGCAATGCTACTCTCAGGCAAATACAATGGAGAAACTCCTAGATCTGTGTACCAAAAGACATTTATATTAGAATATTCATGGCAATGTGGTTTGTAATTTAAAAAATGGAGACATCTAGATGATGATCAGTAAGAGAATGGATAAGTCTTAGAGTAATCATACAACAAAATAGCAAACCGTAGTGATAATGAATAAAATAGGTTATAAGTATCAACTTGAACAAATCTCACAAACATAATATTAGGTGAAGAAAACCAATTCATAGAATATATCAGTATAATTCCAATTGCATATGGTTCAAATACACGCAAAATTTGTTTTTAAAAAGCGGAAGGACAATATGCACAAAATCATGATAGTGGTTACCTTGGGACTAAGAGGGGTATTATTGGAGTTTCAATGATAGGAATTATATATTTCTTTTTTTTTAGACAAAGTCTCACTCTGTCACCTAGGTTGGCATGCAACGGCATGAACTCGGCTCACTGCAACCTCTGCGTTCGGGGTTCAAGCAATTCTCCTGCCTCAGCCTCCTGAGTAGCTGGGATTACAGGTGCACACCACCACAGTCAGTTACTTTTTGTATTTTTAGTAGAGACGGGGTTTCGCCATGTTGGTCAGGCTAGTTTCACCCTCCTTGGCCTCCCAAAGCACTGGAATTACAAGCATGAGCCACCACACCTGGCCAGTAATTACATATTTCTTAATTTAGGTGGGTAGATACATAGACATCCATTTTATTGCAAAGTCTTAAAATTCATATATATTATGAGTTGGTAAGTATGTTAACATTTTATTCAAAAGTTATTCATTGAAGAAAAAAATGAATAAAAGCACCCCCATTTCTCTCAGGTGGCACTTGCAGCCCCAGTTTCTCATCTTCAGTGTGCCAGGGCACTATTCTGTGAGTATTTCTCTTCAGGGATTTGCAGTGGGATTAGGTCATGAGATGTTCTGCCTCTATTGACATTTTTTTTTTTAAATTTAGAAATGCAATATCATGCCAAAATGATATGGATGCCTCTTCTCACAAACATTACTCTACCTGTTACCTCACACAGCAGGAGGTGGGTTTGCTTTCCCTATTTGACAAAAAAGAAATGGAAGCACAACCATGAGCCTATTACCCAACTGTTATGGCCACTCTGGTGCCTGGAAGCATCAACATGTCCTGCTTTCTTCAGATGGCTTCTCTTCTGTTTTCTCTCATTCACCACCTTTGCTGCTATAAAACATCAGCAAGTTCTTTTGGAAGTTGGAGAACTATAAATCTTAAATTTAAAAAACAATAAGGGAACGACACCTCTGGGATTAAAACCCACCTCTCCTGATTACAGGTTCCGTAACTGAACATCCTGTAAATGGGATTTCAATCCATACGTGGTGTTCATTATGCACCAACATGCAAGATGAGTGCTGGGGAGCAAGAATTGAACCACTGAACGCTCCAGCCCAGGACCCGATGTAATAATGGAAGTGAGTCCTCAGTGAAGGCCACAGACACCCAGCCACTGGCCCCTCCCATGCAGCCACCCAGGGCTTTTCTTTGCATTATTTATTTATTTCTAAGACTTAGGGGTGGAGAGGAAAGAGGAAGAAAAGGAAGTGATTTTTCTTCTCAATAGGCTTGCTCTTCTTGCTCTGGGTAGAATCAATGCAAGTGGGATTGAACTCATTCCCTAATATCCCCTTCCCTCCAAACTGCTTCCTTCCATTGTAAATAATTCAGACAAAATAAAATAATCATGTGCTGGTAATTACCACTACCCCTACCCCAAAAACAAATGCTTGCTGAAATGCCGCCCTTCTGATGTTGCAGCGACCGTGCCTGGGACCACCGTGATGGCGAGTTGAAGCTGAGATGTGTGGTGTGCAAAGGTGAGGGCAGGAGGGCTGTTTGGTCGTCTTTCCTGAGCAGAACGGCACTGAAATGCTACCACTGTGCCTCCCTGGAAATGGCTGGCGCTCTGCAAAGGGGCCTGGAAACAGCACAAATTTTAAGAGGCTGCTCTAAACCCAATTCCCCTTATTTTTCATTCTGATTTCCATATTTCTATCTTTGTGTATGAGAAGAAAGCTTTGACAGGCACCTCTAAGACACACGCAGGCACATACACACAAACACACAAGTATGCCTTTTCTCCTAGCTCATCTCTTCATATAATTTTTATTTAATGGGTTTATTTCTTCATACAAACACCTTGCTCACCTGTGCGCACCTCATTAACTGGAATCTTTAGGAGAGGAGTAAATGGTTGTTTTGCTTCAAAACATCAATAAAGTTCAGGGAGAGATGGCACAATGTACAATATGAGAATTAACATTGTCGATCCTGTAGAACAAAATGGTGGCAACTCACCAAAAAAGCAGGGAAGAAAAGGCTCCCCCAACAAAACAACACATGTGAGCAGAATAGGCTGTGTGGTAAAAGGCATCTCATTTGGGTACTGGTAATTTACGCAGAGATCTCTGCTTTTTGTTCTTTGCAAAAAGATTCTCCACAGACTCATCATCTTCATGGAGAATTAAAGAAGCTATAAACAATAATTTAGAAAACAGCATGGATAGGACTGTTATGATCCCAGCTTGTTATTGATACTTGGCATGTGGCCTTTAAATAAGATGCTGGAAATAAAGAGACTGAACTCACACACATGTAGACAGAATCTTGGCTCTTCCTTCTTGCCCTCAGTCACGCCTCTGAAGCCAGTGGGGAAGGCCCTGGGGAGCAGAGGGAAGTGGTCTTCGAAGCCCAAGTGTTCTCCAGGCTGCCCCAGTAGAATGGGAGAAGTCCATTCCTCTCTATGACTCATTCTTTTGTCATAGTCAACAGTGGCAGAAAGAAGAGTTTCTAAATTCGACCTGTCCAGTATGCTGGCCACTAGCTATGTGTGGCTATTGACACTTAATTAAAGCTAAAAAAAAAATTCAGTTCCTCAGTCACACTGGCCACATTTCAAGTGCTCAATAGCCACACGTGGCTAGTAGTTGCCGTATTGAATGGTGCAGACATAGAACATTCCATCATCTTAGAAAGCTCTATTGGACAAGGCTGCTCTAATGTCAACACACTGGAGAAATTTAGCAGGTGTGCTGAGCATCTAGGGAAAGTCTTTCTGAAGACAAGGTGTATTAGTCCATTTTCATACTGCTATAAAGAACTGCCCCAGACTGGGTAATTTATAAAGAAAGAGGTTTAATTTACTCACAGTTCAGCATGGCAGGGGAGGCCTCAGGAGACTTACAATCATGGCGGAAGGTGAAAGGGGAAGCAAGGTCTCTTCTTCACAAGGCAGCAGGAAGAAGAAGTGCCGAGTAAAGTGGGAAGAGCCCCTTATAAAACCATCAGATCTCGTGGGAACTCACTCACTATCACAAGAACAGCATGGAGGATGCCCTCATGATCCAATTACTTCCACCTGGTCTCTCCCTTGACATGTGGGGATTATGGGGATTACAATTCAAGATGAGATTTGGGTGAGGCACAATACCTAACCATATCAGAAGGGCATTAAAGGAATCCAACACTAAGTCACTTCCACATTTGGAAGTGGAATTTATTTGACTGTAAAAATAAGTAAATACACATGGGAAATAGGTGCAACACCCAGGGTTTAAAAAATCCTGCTTCTACCCCTTAATAAGCCTTAAGATATAACAGCAGGACATTTTCAAGTGTTTAGTAAATATATCTCTCAGTTTGGTTAATTTTCCCCTTCTATTTAATTGCTAACATGAGGAAGTTTTTGGAGAGAGAAAAAAGACCATATTCTGGGTGAAATTTTTTAATATTCTAAACAGAGAGTAGTAATTGCAATGAAAATATTTTAAAATTGTATTAAAATATTGCAAAATAGATTATGTGGAATAAATTCCAAAATATCAACATTTTATGAAAAGCCAAGATATGGTTCCTATGACTGTTCCACCAGCAAGAGGATCAGGGCCAGGCCTGAGGTTTTCTGTTCCCCACCTTCACCTCTGATTCTAAGGTGACTCCATCAGGGGCCAGAAACTGGGGCTGAATCTAGGGGTACAAATGACCCAGACAGAAAATGCCAGCCTCACAATTAACCCCGGAAGTGGGAAGAAAACCACTGGATGTACTGGAAGGGCTTTCAGCAGGGAGGGTGTGAGCCCAGGTGAACTCTTAATGCCGTGTATAACTCACTGGATATATTTCAAGATCAAAGCAATTCCTGGGCCAGGCATGGTGGCTCACACCTGTAATCCCAGCACTTTGGGAGGCCAAGGTGGGTGGATCACCTGAGGTCAGGAGCTTGAGACCAACCTGGCCAATATGGTGAAACCCCATCTCTACTAAAAATACAAAAAAAAAAATACCTGGGTGTAGTGGTGGGCTCCTGTAATCCCAGCTACTGGGGAGGCTGAGGCATAAGAATCACTTGAACCCAGGAGGTGGAGATTGCAGTGAGCTGAGATTGCACCACTGCACAGAGCAAGACTGCAAGACATGCATCTCAAAAAATGACAGAGCAAGACTGCATCTCAAAAAAAAAAAAGATATAAACAATTCTGGACCTCATATTTGTTAATGCCATACTTAAATATTAAAGTTACTGATATTTAAGTTATCAGTACTTAAATATTTTAGATATTTAGGTATCTAGTATTTTAGTTGTTTAGATACCTTAAATATCAGTATCTTAAATATTTAAGATACTGAAAAAATCAGTATTTTTACTTTAAAAATAGTATGGAATATAGAATATTAGTATATCTCATTTAGTATCACCATCACTAGGGGAAAAGAGGCATTCATGTTTCTTATTCTTATATTTGAATAAGAGCAGAAATTTCAAAAGCTCTCATCAGACATCCAGAATGTTCTCATTGGTTTCAAATGCTATTTATCCAGAGTCCTTATTTATTTTATTTTATTTTATTTTATTTATTTATTTTTGAGATGGAGTCTCACTGTCACCAGGCTGGAGTGCAGCGATGTGATTTGGCTCACTGCAATCTCTGCCTCCTGGGTTCAAATGATTCTCCTGCCTCAGCTTCCCGAGTAGCAGGGATTACAAGCATGTGCCACCACACCCAGCTAATTTTTATATTTTTAGTAGAGACGGGGGTTTCACCATGTTGGTGAGGCTGGTCTCGAACTCCTGACCTCAGGTGATCTGCTTGCCTCTGCCACCCAAGGTGCTAGGATTACAGGCATGAGCCACCACGCCCAGCCCAGAGTCTCTTTTTAAAGAGACTCTTTTTAAAGAGACTCTGGTATCTGGCATGACTTGTGTTTACCTTGATTTTCCACCTCAGTATCCCAGACATTTGTTCAATCATTCTTTGTTCATCCACTCTTTATGCCTTTGTTCATCCACACAAGCTTTTTTTTCTTTTCTACAGAGCCACACTGAGCACCTGCTATACGTAGGGCACTAAGGGTGATGCTGTGGCGGACAAAAAGATCCGTCTGAAATCACCCCCGCTAGCCAGGTAGGTGAGATGCTCCTTCCTGCGTTCATCAGTCACTTTCCCAGCCAGTGCTCACACTGAGAATTGCCATGTGCCAGCACTACGCTAGGGTTTGATAAACTTTCTTTTAAGGTTTTGCAGTCTCAAAGGAAAAGAAAAAAAGCATGATTATTACCATAAAGGCAGTGCATGGTGAGGGCCATAAGAGAAGTACAGAGAGAGAAAGTGCTTGTGGATTTAAAGGCAAGGGAGCCAGGTCCAGCTGGGAAAACAGGACAGCCTCACAGCAGGGGTGGCATTTGAGCTGGACCCTGGAAAGGAATGTCACTGGAGGTGTGCCAAGTCAGAGAGACAAGAAAAAGGGGGCTACGTTTGGAGAACAAAAACCGGGTACCCCCGTTTAGCTGGATGACAAACTGAGGAAAGGGAAGTGGTAGGGGAAAAGGCTACAAAGGCAGGTCATAGGGGTGGCAGAGGATCTGAATGCCAGGTGGGGCCAGAAATACTCACACTGATACTGTCCCAGTTAACAGTGGAAGGCGGACTCCAGCGCCTGCTTGAACTGATGAAGGGCAGTCACTTTATCCATACTTGTAAATACTTAAGAGCCTCTGTCTATTAAACCCACTCTGTGATTGGTGCTCCACGTTATGGGAAGTAATTACGCCATCAGTTATAATGCCAGGCATCTACTTACATTCCAGCTTAGCTCCTCTACTTTCCTTAAATGTTTACCTGATGGTCCAATTCACCTTCAGAGTGATGGATCTTTTACAAAAGCCACACAATTACCCCAGGAAAGTGAAACAAAGGATTCATCCTCAATGAGCAGAGAGTTGGAGCATGTGGTGGAAAGAACCGTGGATTTGAAGCCAGAAGACAACTTAGGCCTGGTTATGTCATTTAGCAGCTGGGGACACTGGGCAAAGCATATGCATGCTCTGAACAGCAACTCCTTATCTTTCTATAAAATGGAGGGAGATAGTGATGTCTGCCCTCACTAAGCTACAAAACACTGGGAAAATAGAAACTATAATTATGCTTAGATAAGAGTTGAGAATAGTTAGCATTGATTCATCATCTGACAAAAATAAATCCAGGATTACTTTTTCTTTGTGAATAATGTACTTTTCCTCTTCAAAGTCCCAATATTCTTTCAAATATAAAGCTACTATTTCTTTGGTTAGCTTTTAAAAAAAAAATGAATACATAATAGTTGCACATATTTTAAAGCTACTATATATTTAAGAACAGTTTATATGCACATAGAGATTATATCTTCTGCTTTTTTCTGATTATTTCATTCCTAGTTTATTTGTTATTTAATTTGGGAAGTAGCAAATGATTTATTTTGTGATTTAAATTTTGAAACTGATTATGAATTTCTTGAGTACCTACTTACTGTGTGTTTAAAATCTTATTCCTGGCCAGGCAGTATACAGAAGCAATGTTGGACCTGGGCCCTAACCAGAAAGACATTACAATCTAATAAATTCCTTAAGGTAATTTATGTTGTTGCATTATGTATGGAATTAGAAAAACAAAATAAAAGAATAACTGTAAGTACAATAGCAGTTGAGACTACCTATGCTTGGGAGTATAGAAAAAGAGAGAGTTCATCCAGGCAACCTACAGAATGGGAGAAAATTTTTACAATCTACCCATCTGACAAAGGGCTAATATCCAGAATCTACAAAGAACTTAAACAAATTTACAAGAAAAAAATCAAACAACCCCATCAAAAAGTGGGCAAAGGATATAAACAGACACTTCTCAAAAGAAGACATTTATGCAGCCAAGAGACACATGAAAAAATGCTCATCATCACTGACAATCAGAGAAATGCAAATCAAAACCACAATGAGATACCATCTCACACCAGTTAGAATGGCGATCATTAAAAAGTCAGGAAACAACAGGTGCTGGAGAGGATGTGGAGAAATAGGAACAGTTTTACACTGTTGGTGGGACTGTAAACTAGTTCAACCATTGTGGAAGACAGTGTGGTGATTCCTCAACGATCTAGAACTAGAAATACTGTTTGACCCAGCCATCCCATTACTGGGTATATACCCAAAGGATTATAAATCATGTTGCTATAAAGAGACATGTATATGTATGTTTATTGCAGCACTATTCACAATAGCAAAGACTTGGAACCAAATGTCCATCAATGATAGACTGGATTAAGAAAATGTGGCACATATATACCATGGAATACTATGCAGCCATAAAAAAGGATGAGTTCATGTCCTTTGTAGGGACATGGATGAAACTGGAAACCATCATTCTCAGCAAACTATTGCAAGGACAGAAAACCAAACACTGCATGTTCTCACTCATAGGTGGGAATTGAACAATGAGAACACTTGGACAAAGGGCAGGGAATATTACACACTGGGGCCTGTTGTGGGGTGGGGCGAGGGGGAAGGCATAGCATTAGGAGATATACCTAATGTAAATGACCAGTTAATGGGTGCAGCACACCAACATGACACATGTATACATACGTAAAAACCTGTACGTTGTGCACATGTACCCTAGAACTTAAAGTATAATAAAAAATTTTAAAAAAATAAAAATTAAAAAAATTTAAAATTAAAAAAGAAAAAGAGAGAGTTCATCAAAGGCAGGAGTGGCTGGGAAGCCTTTCTGCAGTGAGTGAGTTTCAGGAAGGCTTCCTGCAGCAGGTGAGCTCCAGGTGAGCCCTGACAGCCAACCAGGGTTGAGTGGAGTGGAGGGCAACCAGGACACTGAGAAGTTGTGGTAATGGTTAGAAATGGTACGGGACTTGAGGGACAATGAGAAAAATGACAATGTCTAGTGGAGAGAAATGTTGGAGAGTCCAGGGAAATTAGACTGGGTCAGATTATGAAGGACTCAGAATTTTATCTCTGTTCAACAGATGCCTTTTGACAATTTATACTATTTGGGGCCACTCACTGCAGTGGATAGACCATAAGTAAGATACTCTCTCTACTTCAAGACACTAGTTGTCTGGAACAGAGGACTAAGTCTCTTGAGAATTAACTATTTACAGCCACCAGTGTAAATAGGAACTGAGCTGAGGAACCTCCTGGGGAAAAACCAAACAAACAAGTCAATCAACTTGAACTTTGTTTTCATAGCTGTTGGTCAGACAATTGCATACATGTCTCAAGGCACCAGAAGCCAGGTTGTGAGAGAGATGAGAGATGGTAGGAGAGAGTTCGCCATGTGGCATGGGGTCTGGCAGGACAAGCCACTCTTTGCAGAGGGCCTGAGAGCCAGACATGAGTGGTGATCTTGGAAAACTGGCAGGCCTGGTACCTGGAGCACCTGCCTCAGCTAAGCTGATGGTGTCTACATACCTGTGTAGGAACTGAGGGGGGGGTCTCAAAACAATTCTATAACACCTCAGTGTGCAAAATAGTGTTCTAAGACCCCACTCGTACTGTGGAGGGAGCATTCTCACTTTGGGAGACCACCAAGCAGTCATAGCCCTCATGAAACTGAATCAGATCAGTCGGGGCAAGCCAATCTTTCAATATCTGCACTTAAGCAAGGAAAGAGGGCCCAGAAAGCAGGCCAGAGAGAGGCAACATAGGCCAGAAGTATTATGCTAGATTAGATACATCCACAAACAAATGTACTGCATCCCCACCGCCCTGACTTTTGGGCTTGGTCAAGTGAATTGCTTGGACTAACAGGATGTTAGCAGGCAGGACGCAAGCTTAGGCTACAATGTGCTTGTGTAGTGGCGCCTGCCCTCTTGAGTTTCTGTTCTCACCTTGAGAAGACTGTGTCCCAGTTAGATCCTTGATCTGAGAAAGAGCAGACCCAGACCTGCAGGATGAAGCAGAGCCGACCCTGGCCAGCCTGCAGATGCATGAGAATAACTAACATAGTATATAATTCACACAAACTGGGAATCCAAGTCACACAAACTGGAATCCCACATTCCACAAACTGGGATTGTCTCCGCCTGCCTTACTGAATGCACTTATCAATAAAGAAGTTATTCACAATAAGAAACTGTGAAGAAGGACCCCACACAAAGAAAAGTTGTTTTGTTTTGTTTTTCCATCAAAAGCTATGGTTTACTCAAGCTTTGGCCAAAATCAAGCATAACTGTGTAAGATAAAAAGTTCAAATTAACCCAGACTACAGGCTTGGTTCTGCAGTAGAAGCTTCTGGAGCTTATGCAGTATTTTTTCTTTCAGTGCATCTTTCCCTTTGTTTAACTTTTTATCTTGAAATAACTTTAAGAAAGTTGCAAAAATAGTACAGACAGTTCTGTATTCCTTCACCCAGCTTCTCCCAAAGCTCATATCTTACACAATCATAGTTTCTGTATTAGGCCATTTTTGCATTGCTATTAAAAAAATACTCGAGGGTGGAAGCGGTGGCTCACGCCTGTAATCCCAACACTTCGGGAGGCTCAGGCAGGTGAATCACCTGAGGTCAGGAATTCGAGACCAGCCTGGTCAACATGGTGAAACCACATCTCTACTAAAAATACAAAAATTAGCCTGGCGTGGTGGTACGCGCCTGTAGTCCCAGTTACTCGGGAGGCTGAGGCAGAAGAATCACTTGAACCCAGGAGGCAGAGGTTGCAGTGAGCTGAGATTGGGCCATTGCACTCCAGTCTGGGCAACAAGAGTGAAACTCCATCTCAAAAAAAAAAAAAAAAAAAAAAATACTTGAGACTGGGTAATTTATAAAGAAAAGAGGTTTAATTGGCTCACAGTTCTGCAGGTTTTGCCGGAAGCATGGTGCTGGCATCTGCTTCTGGTGAGGCCTCAGGAAGTTTAAAATCATGGCGGAGTGCAGCAGGGAGCCAGCATGTCACATGGCGAGAGTGGGAGCATGAAAAAAAGAAGACCAATGTCCCAGAGTCTTTTAAACAACCAGATCTCTCATGAATTAATTGAACAAGAACCTACTCATCATCCGGGGGATGGTGCTAAGTCACTCACGAGGGATCCCCTCCCATGAGCCAATCGCCTCCCACCAGACCCCACCTCCAATACTGGGAATCATATTTCAACATGAGATTTGGAGGGGCCAAAGCATCCTGACTATATGAGTATCATTACCAAAGCCAGGAATTTAACTGGTACAGTACTACTGACTAAGCCTCAGACTTCATTTGCATTTCACCAGTTTTTCTACTAACTTCTTTCATCCAGCTTCCTACTAACTTCCTTTTTCTGTTGTAGGATTCAATCCAGAATCCCACACTATTTTGTCTCTTTAGTCTCTTCCAGTCTGTACCAGGTCTTTAGTCTTCCTTGACGTTTATGACCTTGACACTTTGAAAGAGTACTGGCCAGTTAGTGTGTAGAACAGGTTTGTCTGCTGTTTATTCATGACTAGAGTGAGATTATACATTTTTAGTAAGAACGCCACAAAAATGACGTGTGCCCTTCTCAGTGCATCGTGTCTGGGGAAGGGGCCGGGGGTCTGGGGGACACCATCTGGTTACTAGTGAAGTTAACCTTGATCACTTGGTTAAGGGGCTATCTGTTGGGTTTCACCATTGTAATGGTAGTGTTTTTGTTTTGTAATTAATACATATCTTGGGAAAGATACTTTGAAGCTATGCAAATATCCTGTTTCTCCTCAAACCTTCACCACTGATTTTAGCATTCAATGGTGGAATTTGCCTGCAACAATTATTACTGTGGCATCTGTCTAATAGTAGCTCACACATCTGAACCTAGAGGGAAGCAGCTAATGAGCCATCCCTTCGCTTCACAACCCCAACCTAACCAATAATGAGATGTGAACTAGTGCAAAGGGGTAAGAAATGTCCAGTTCCTGAAACTAAGGAGTCTTAGCCACTGTTTCTGGGCTGCTTTGCGGGGTTGAGTGAACAGCAGTTGACAGATTTTGCTTAGAAGGCAAAGAGGAGAACAGCTGGGGAGCACAACCAACTTCCATGCTAATCAAGGTGAATAAAGCCATGACGTAGAACAGAAAACCACAGGACTCTGTTTAACACAACGAGGGATTCAACTTTTTCAGCCAACTACCTTGTTTTCCATTTGTAATTAGAGTCACAAAGCAATAGCCTCCTCCTGTGCTACCCCACAAGCAGAGCCCCAGACAACATCCTCATTTTCAATAACTCTTCCCCTTTATCTCACTCTGCCTGATGCTTAATAAGCTATTTACTTTGGACCAACAGCTAATCTGTTAATAACTGATTTTAAATTTTTACAGTCATTTGTCTCTGGCAGGACCTGGGACCACGAAAAGCAGTCCTTTCCTACCTGATGAATTGGCTTTTTCTTTAGCAAAAAAAAGAAAGAAGAAAAGAAAAGAGAAAAATTTAACTCAAAAGTCTTCATGGTTGCATTCTGCTGACAATTGGCATTCAATAAGAAATTTCAATGCAAAAAAAGAAATGGTAATGCTTCCTGTGAAATTTATCTGCCTGTGAAATCGTCAGCAAATAATATAAGTGGACGTTTTTCTAATGGTGGCATGGGGTAAAGACCCTCTTCAATATGAAGTAAAGTGTAATTGTACTATAAATTTACAGAGCCTAAAATTCTTAATTAACAAAATTGATGCTCATTGCCTGACTGGAATGGGATATCTAAACTAATGCCATTACAGCCCTTTAAAATGATCTAAATTGCATACCATATGATATATGTATTTTTGTAGGCTATATGCAGAAAAGTGAATTTTGCTTTCCATTAAAAAAAAAGACAATTGAATCGACAATGGTTATTGTAATTGGTATCACACAGCAGTGCTCTGCAATTTAATCACTGCTTCTAAAAATGGAACCGTGGATAACTACTGTGTTCTGAAAAGTGGCGGCCACCCCGTGCATGAGAGTGCTGTGCGCATTTATAAACACCGCCTCTTCCACGAAGTTAAGCTTTCCTAAGAGATGCCATCTCTAATTTTGTAAATAAGAATGACCCCCCAAGGCTAGCATTCCCATCAAATATTTATTAAAACGCACCCCAAGACCTCTCATCTCAAACTGGAATTAAACTCCTCCAAATGTCTCTGAAAGATGAGCGTGATTTAAAACGTGAACCAGCACACTGACGAAGTGAAAAAGAGGGACTCTGGGCAAAGTGGTATTTTGGTATCCGTAAGTGGTGTCAGGTCTTCCTGGAGAGCTAGTATTATAAATTAACAGATGAGACATTGTGCAGAGCCTCTAAAAGGAAAGGCTAAACTGTTTGAAGGATAAAAGCCCTAATCTTATTAATATTTTAGATCCTGCAAGACATTGAGGCTCCATCTGCTGTCAGTAATACCTGAGAAAGAATCAAGGCAGCTGGAGGACAGAAACCACGGCCTCCCAATGGTCTGCTGACCTTCTTGAGAGGCAGATATCATGTGACAGCAATTGCCTGTCTCAGCAGACATGCTGGAAACAGGAGAAAGTGTTAAATATAACCAGGTAGACAGTGATGAATTGACATGCTGAAAAATCGAACGCTTCAGTAATCAGCCTAAGGATCTGATATCAACAACATTTTTCAGTTTTGTCCAAATTCATTGAAAGGTGTACTTTAGCAAGTTCACTTCTCATTGGTAAGACCTTTCATCTTTATGCTGCTTTTCTGATTGGATTCAGTGTCATGATCGGTTTGGGTGGCTCTGTGCGCAGAAAGCAGACGGGCTGCTTGTGAGAGAAGGAGGGCTGGGATGAGCACAAATAAAAATGGGTTTTACCCCAACATTAATTTTAAAACTATTAAATATCTATCAAAATGCTTATTTAGAAAGAATTATTGAAGCCATGGTATATGAAAATGCATCAGGTACTGTGCTCCAACAGCACAGTAAACCTGAAATATTGAAATATTACCCTCTATTTTGCAGCAAGAAGCTTCTATAACTATAATTCTAATTACAGAACTCTAATTAATGTCTATGTGGCTTCAGATAACTTCATTAAATCTTTAGAATATTTATATTCTCCAAAGACAATCTCTATCCGTTAGAATAAAAAAATCCTATAAAATAACTTTTTTTAAACGCTGCTGATACGCCTTTCTTTTTATGAGACATGTAAGTCATAAAATTTACTTTAAGGTTTCATTCATCTCTGTAACAGTATTCCAAAAATGTGTTAACTCAAAAACACTTTTTTTCCTGGTACAAATGTATAATACAGCTATCAGCTGAGATCACTCTCTGCTTTGAGGTTTAAACAAAAACTGGCTGAAGCCTCCTTCCCACATCCTGTGAAGGGCCAATGTCTTCCCCTAGATGTCTGAGAATTCCTGACAGCTTATATTCTCATGGTCACTTCCCTATCTCCAGTGGCTTCTTTTGGCTGGATTCTTGACCTCACTTGTGTCTCGTCTCCCATAGCTGCCCCATGCCAACCTAGATTTTGAATGTAACCCCTTTTACTTGATTTATCCCTCCACCCCCAGAAAACCCCTCAGTTCTCGTGAAGCACAGTCTTTCCATCTGCTTAAGGCTCTCATTAGGTCCCAGGGTCTGCCGCCATCTTGCCTTCTCACTCACTTCAACCCTCTCCTCTCTTATTTCTCCTCTGCTCTCCACCCGCCCCCAAATTCCTGTAAACATCTTCCACAGAGTAGTGTGCTCTCTCTCAGTCTAGCTCCAGACTGTCCAGGCTATCTCCTGAGGGCCTTATCTTCATAGCCAAATGCTTCCGTTAAGGTGGCAGGCAGTCTCCTCCCTGAAAGGAATTGTTGGCTGGCTCGTAAAGTAACACCATTTTCCTCTAGGCTCCCCATATATTACAAGCAAGATCTGACTCATTCCTGCAAATACTCAGGAAAAGAAACACAAAGGACAACTGATTTTGTGATAAGCACTATAGGAAAGCATGGAAAGTCTACAACAGATAGGAATATAAAGTCAGAAATTGGGTGCACTATAACTTGAGGCCAGGGCTTTGAAAGGATCCTGCTTTCAAATTCGCCCTGGTTGGGGTCAATAAAAGGATTGATTCATAGAAATGCCAGAGAGCCATGTTAAGCTGGTCATGAGCCTTCATCCTGATGTCTTCCTAGGAGTAAGCTCCTGGCTTTTCCCAGAAAGTTCAGTGTAGGGGCTCCATCAATAGTAGAACATAAATTGAGACAATGCCCTACTACTTGCATGGGTAGAAAAAATTCCAGGAACTGACAGCAAGTAAGTTGCTTTCCCTTCACTCCCAGCTTGAATATAGGAGATAAAAAAAAGTACCTCTCCAATATCCATACGATTCACACTGCTCAGAACTATGTGGATAATAACACAACATGTGACACACACCTACATTAGAAGAACAGCCTTAGAGTGTTAAAGCCTGGAATCCATCAACACAAATAGAGTGTGACTCGATTCATTAGCAAACTCAGACACAACCGGACCTCTATGGGGATAATTCATGCAGAAGAATTGTATTTTAAAATGTCTAAATAGGTTGCTATTTAGTGCAATTTTTTCCAGCTCTTAAAGCAAAGAAATGACAATTTCTAAACAAATGATAGAAGTTAAGTCAACTAAGTTCAAGCCTAAACAAACATTTTTATCTTAGTTCAATGCTATAAGTGTATATTCAATGTCTGTTATGTTTAACACAGTGGGAGGCAGAAGTGAGAATGCCCTTCAGTATACATTGAAATAAAACCATTGCAAACTGCCTCAGAAGGAATTGAGTAGTTAATTAATAAGCTTTTATTTAAATGTTGCAACCCATAAAACAATTCCTCTGCTACAATATGGCTGCTGTATTAGAGGCAAGCTGGGCAAAACTTCCCTGGGCATTGAAAAAAATGTTGCATTTCTAGGGACCTGGAAAGAAAGTGACTTGTCACAGGCTTTTTTGGGTTTTTTTGGGTTTTCTTGAGATGGAGTCTCACACTGTCACCCAGGCTAGAGTGCAGTGGTGCGATCTTGGCTAACTGCAACCTCTGCCTCCCAGGCTCACACCATTCTCCTGCCTCAGCCTCCCGAGTAGCTGGGACTACAGGCGCCCGCCACCACACCCGGCTAATTTTTTTATATTTTTTAGTAGAGACAGGGTTTCACCGTGTTAGCCAGGATGCTCTCGATCCTTGTGATCCACCCGCCTCAGCCTCCCAAAGTGCTGGGATTGAAGGCATGAGCCACCGTGCCCGGCCAACTTGCCACACACTTAATCATAATTGACTAAACAATTCCTTTGAATCATAACATGTATGATTCAATTTATTTATATCAAATTTATATATATGATATGTTATTAAAATAGTAAACATTTTTATAATATAATAAATACCAACCATGTTATATTACGGTACTGTCCACTGTTTCAGGAACTTAATGTATACTAATTCAAGTACTTATCACAACAACACTATAAGGTAGGTACTACTATTATTCCCATTTACAGATGGGAAACTGAGGCATGGAGAGATAGTATCTTACCCAAGGTTTACACAAATAACCACTGGCCAAGCTGGGGTGTGAACACAGGCAGTCTGGTTACCCAGGCTTCACGCTTGGCATCTGATGTGTCATATGCTGGTTCCACTAAATGTGGGCCCACAGCTGAACCTCAACAGTGTCATAGTAGCAGCACCAGAAACAAGGACAGGCTTCCTGTGGTCTGATTACCAAGTACCCTGAGCTCTGGAGATTCAAGAAAACCTCAGAAATTCAAACTAACTGCAGGAAGGGTAATGGCCAAATTAAGGGAATTTGCATTTCAAAGTATTTTAGACTATACTGGTGTGGTTAATTCCAAATGCATGTAGTGCCTTCAACCACAGGCCATTAAGTGTGCCAAGGATAGGTTCCAGGGGCTAGATTAAATAAATAGATATGTTTCGCACATGAGGTTTGATAAGCCAGAATATTAAAAATCATTTAACCCATTCCCTGTACTCCTACTTGGACTATCTGTTTCCTTTGTAAACCATTTCTCCCTTAAAAAGACCAGAGTAAACAACTAGCCTGGTCAAGTGAACTAGTACATGCAATGAATTAGGAGATGCATTAATGAGATTATTCTGCAACTGTTATGGTGGGTCTGAATCCCCAACTTAATCCATAAGCTATTATAGCACTGCAAATATAACTTATGCTACATCATCTTGCATTTAAGCACCCCCTTTTATTAGCCAGTTGTCAACTCTAAATACATTTGGGCTTGAATCAGGCAGCTGGGAAGGGTGTATTTTCTCCCCCAACTCCCAAAATGCAATTCCTTCTACACTTATTATTCCCAGTTCTTTATTTGCATATAACATAAACATTTACTGATTCACACACATACTTAATTAAACAAGTTTAATTTTTGCTTAATCTTTTTTTTTTTTTTTGAAACAGAGTCTTGCTCTCTCGCCCAGGCTGCAGTGCAGTGGCACGACCACGGTTCATTGCAGCCTCAACCTTCTGGGCTCAAGCAATCCTCCCACCTCAGCCTCCCAAGTAGCTGGGACCACAGGTTCACACCACCACACATGGCTAATTTTTTTATTTTTTTGTAGAGATGAGGTCTTGCTGTGTTGCCCAGGCTGATCTAAAACTTCTGGACTCAAGCAATCCTCCCGCCTTGGCCTCCCAAAATGCTGGGATTACAGGCCTGAGCCACCATTCCTGGCTCTTTTTTTTCTAAGACTCCAAAGAGTAGGTGGATCTGACATTCTTGGTTGCCCTCTCTTCTTCCTTTTTGACAAAGGCCAGAACTTTTTAGGTATTAACTTTCCCACACGTAACTCAGGGTTAATCCTTACTGGGCCAAGCTTGTGATTGCCTAAACCAGGAATAGGCAAGCGAACAAAAGTCAAGTAGAGGATTTTGGGAACAGATTTCTACATTCTTGAAAAGATACACAAGGAAGAGAGAGTCTCTCTCTGCTTCAACCTGATGTCACTGTCTATATGTGATGCCTGGAACTGCATCAACTGTTTATGACTCTGAGGGCAACCAGCCTGAGAAGGACAGGGTGGAAAGGTGGGAAGGACCTGGGCTAGAGATGATGCTTATGGGCCATGAAACTAACCACCCACAGAACCTCTCTACTTCCAGACTTCTCTGGTTTATGGAATAATCAATATCCTCTTTGGAGTCAGGGTTTTCTGTTGCTTAGAGTTGAAAATATCCTAAAGGAGACACCAAGAAATGTGAGTGTATAACTCATTTTAATTAATTTGTTCAACATATGTCAATAAAGCATCTACTGTCACCAGGCATTATTCTAGAACTTGGGATAGAGCAACAAATAAAATGGACAAATCTCTGGCTTTATGGAACATATATTCTAGTGAGGAATTCCCTTTGTACAATGCTTTGTAGAGTAGTCCCCCTTATTCTCAGATGAAATGTTACAAGACCCTCCAGTGGATGCCTGAAACCTGGGATTATAGCCAACCCTATATATACTATGTTTTTTCTGTATATATATATATATATATATATATATATATATATATATATATATGATAAAGTCTAATTTATAAATTAGGCACAGTAATTTATAAATTAAAGATAGTAAATTAACAACAATAAGTAAAATAAAATAGAACAACTACAACAATATGCCAGCATCACTGCTCTGCACTCTGGGGACATTAGTAAGTAAAATAAGAGTTCCCTGAAATAAGGCAAAATGAGATTCAAGGAACCCTTATTTTACGGTCCCCCAATCATCTCTCCTGGACAAAGTGATGATTCCCATCGTGGGTAGGACAGAGTGTGACAGCTTGAGGTTTCATCATGCTACTCAGAATGAAGCATGATTTAAAACTTATGAATTATTTATTTCTGGAATTTGGACCAAGGTTGACCATGGGTAACTGAAACCATGGAAAGCTCTGATAAGGGAGGACTACTGTACACTTAGCACAGCACTAAGAGGCAGAGAGAAGATCAGTGCTGGCAGGATGGAAAGAAAGTTGCATGTGTTATGCACTAGAACACTTTTCAGCGGCTCTCATTCAGTCACCATACTCACAGTGAGGTTGGTGTTACGGTCCCCATTTTACAGATGAGGACACTGGGGCTGAGGGGCCATAAGCAGCAGAGCCAGGATAAGAATCCAGATCCTCAAACACCAGCTCTGACCCTCTTTCTGCTCTCCCCCTCCATCAAGCCTGCAAGGTAGGGAGTGGGTCAATAGCAGTAGCAGAATGGGGGTCCCAATGTGCCAGGATGTTGACAGGACACGTCATGGATATACAGCTTCTCCCTGGGCTCAGGCCATTGTGTGCCCATGAGGACTGTAAACAGGACAGGGCAATAAAATTCAGGACAACCTCAAAAAGACAGACATCTGGCAACTGTGAGATAAACAGAGCTTTTGATGAGCTGGTGACAGTGCAGGAAGGAGTGGAGAGGGTGCTCTAAAGGGTCTGTGATTTCCTGGCCTGTCACCTCTAATCCAGGCTGCCCTGCAAGGGATGCGGTCCCAACCTGTGTAGAAGACAAACACCAGCTCCTGGATCACAAATAGGCTGATAAAAAGAGGGGAATGCTGCTTCACTCAAGAGCTTTGGGTTTTGCAATAATAACAAATAAAGGAACCCTTCCACAAACTGCTGCTTGCATGATGTTTAGTGACATAGTAATGGTAGCTTCTATTTACTGAGCACTTGATACATACCAGGCAATATGCCAAGTCCTTTCTCTGTAGGATCATATTATGAAGTTAATTCTATTGTTACTCCTGTTTTTGCAATTGAGGAAACCAATACACAGCGAGCTTTAGTAGTCTGGCAAAGGTCTCAAAGCAAATAAGAGGCAGCACTGGAGTTTCAACCATATCTGTCCCTTAACTACTATTTGCAACTCTTTGCTCTAAAGGTTTTAGGAGTTTCGTGCATCCTCCACTCTTCTCAGTACATCTCAGGTGTAGAACCAGTTGTTTGTTTTCTACAATTTACATGGGCTGAATCAGAATCCTAAAATGCCCACAGAGTCCCACTACGTAAAACTCATGACCTGATCTGTTCTATACACTGCAAGACCATCCCCTGACCACTTCTTGGATGCTACAGCAATGTCAAATTGCTATGAAGGTTTCTAAATATTTCCTCGTGATTTCTGTATTTGTCTCATTGTGGATGAGTAGCAAATTGTTCACAGACGGGCACTGGCCCAGAGACCACAGTTTGCACAGCCCTGATCTAGGATACTTAAACCTGCAGACCCCTCATCCTGAAAAGGCAAGAAGCCCCCTTAATAATGATGACTGTTTTTATGCACAGGCATATCTCAGAGAAGGAAAGCCCAACTTTCAAAAATCCAAAGGAAAAAAGGAAGCAAAGCCATCTATAAAAGGGTAGTTCACAGACCTAACAGTATCTTCCATGTTATAAACCAATAACTGTCCAACAGTGGGAGAACAGAAAAATAATTCCAGCCAGGGCATTCATCAGAATAGTATGCAGCCATTGGAGGGTATATTGGTCGGCTCAGGCTACCATAACAAAATACCATAGACTGGTATTTATAAACAGAAATGTACTTTCTGACGATTCTGGAAGTCCCAGATCGAAGCTCAGCACGGGAAGTTTCTGGTGAAGAATCTCTTCCTACCTTGAAGATGCCTGTGTATTCTCACTGCAGCTGAGTGTCTCTCTAGTGTCTCTTCCTAGAAAGATACAAATTGTGTCGAATCAGGGCCCCATCTATATCACCTCCTTTAACCTTAATCACTTCCATAAAGGCACGATATCCAAATACAGTCACATTTGTGCTTAGGGCTTCAACATATGGATTTTGGAGGGAACACAATTCAGTCCCTAACAGAGGGATAGTATCAAAGACTTTTTAATGAGAAAATACCTATGCTATAATGTTAAATACAAAACAAGATTAACATACAAAATTATATATCCAGTATGATCCCATCTCTAATACATCAAAATCTACTTTCAAGAAAAGACTTTATAAACCATCTTATTCTTAATCGTAAATTGTTAGAATATTTTAGCTAGCAGCCTGCATTTTTTTTTAGTACTTAATAATATCTCCTTTACTTACTTTAAGAAAGCTGTTATAAATTCATTCTTACTAAGGTGTAAATGGCCAGTAACCTTTACTACTTCCCAGGAAACAGTTGGAATTTAATGAGAGATGTAGTTAGCTGACAGGAATTAATTGTCAGATTTTAACTATCCGCTATACAGTAGGCATAGTATTTTGAATCAGGCACAAGATGAGGCTTTTTGGAATTCCTGATATTATATAGCACAAGTCTCTCAAGCCTGGTCCCAGCTCTTCTTCCAAATGAAAAAACAAGAGTCCTCGCCTATACCAAGAATATAGATTAGCTATTTCACTCACCCACTTAGTAGGTGTATATGTGGAACCTTTTAGGATTTAAAACTCATCTACTTCCCAAAAGAATTTGAAAACATTTAAGAAAATTAATTCAATTAAAAACAAAACAGAAGCAGCTAACAATGGCCAAAAGCTAGATACAAAGATACGCAGCCAGGCACAGTGGCTCACGCCTATAATCCCAGCACTTTGGGAGGCCGTGGCAGGAGGATCACTTGAGCTCAGGAGTTCGAGGCCAGCCTGGGCAACATGGTGAAACCCCATCTCTACAAAAAATACAAAAATTAACAAGGCATGGTGGCATGCACCTGTGGTCCCAGCTATTCAGGAGGCTGAGGTGGGAGGATCATTTAAGCCTGGGAGGCAGAGGTTGCAGTGAGCCCTGGGTGACAGAGTGAGACCCTGCCTCAAAAAAAAAAAAAAAAAAAAAAAAAAAGATATTGCTATAGTGAAGCAACACGTGTGATTTACATCACCCTCTGAGGGAACAGCATTATCTTTTACTCAGTAAAAGTGTGCTGACTGATTGTATCACCCATAGCACTTCCCGTAGTAGGTGTTCAAAATGAACAAATTTAATCAACATGCATCAACTTCAAGGTTTAGCTATCCTTCCTAAGGAAACCAATGTCCAAATAATGAAGTATTTCATAAATTCCAAAGCAATAGCTGATCCGGATCATTTTATTTTTCTGCTAAGCCATTTACAGCACCCCAGGCCTAAAGTATATTATGTGTTGTCGCTTTATAATGTATTTAGAAGTCAACAGACTCCCCTTCCCCTCACCTCACCATTATATGATCCACATAGGTCAAATTTTGTGTCAAGCAAATTAAAGTGTTACTTTATTATCCAAAGTAATTGTTTCTGGATTAAAAGGCTATTATGCTGAAATGGTTATGTTGGCGATTATGCCGTTAAAAGTGTGGGGCTAACTATTGGTTTAGCTGAATGCCCATGTTCCTGAAAGTCTTCTTTCAGCTCTCCTGTACGTGGCAAATCATTCTTAACTGGGTACTCCAAATGGTCTGAGTGCCTCAGATGTACTTTACTAAGCCATTAACACATTGAAGTCCCTCCCCTAATTCCCCAGTGGACCATTAATTAACAGTGTAAGAAGAAAGAACCAGGCCCCCCATTGCGATGTGACTGAGATGAAACCTTTCAGCAGTGATGGTGCTCAGAACAAGACAGTCATTGCATGAGCTCTCTTTGTCACATCAAATATGCCATCAGAGGAGGGGAGAGGGCACTATTAGAACAGTGCTTTTATTACAAGCATTTTTTAAAACTCTGCCAAGTATAAATACTTTTTTGAAAGCATCAAGGAATCTCAACATTGCAAGGAATTTTGAGACTGACTTGGCCTTCAAACTGCTCCCATATCTGATGACCCACTATTTGCTAAGCGCTATGTTAGACAATTCAATGCTTACAAATCCCTTCAAGATTTCCTATTGTACACATGTGGGAAAAGAAGCTTAGAAAGAAGAATCTATCCAAAGCCTCATGGCAACTTGTAAACTACGTTAAAGATCCATTTGGGTTTATCTCTAAAACACAGTCTTCTATCACATACCAATTCCCTAAAACCACAGCAATCTAGCTCCAGGCTTACATGTTAGGCCACACATAGGTCTACGCACATACCTTAGAACCATATGGTTAATCATAAGCCAACAAAACCCTGTAAAATTCCCAGAAATAAACCTTACAAGAAACAGGCAAAATCTATTTGTGATCACACACACACACACACACACACACAGAGAGAGAGAGAGAGAAGGAGGTTTCAACAAAGTTTTGAGCTATTTGAGAAATCATGTCTCTTCTTATATTATCACATAAGGAGACTCAAAATTGCAAAAAAGCCAGTTCTCCCCCAAGTTAATTTATAAATTTATGTAAACATATATTGTATAAGTTACATAATTCTAATGAAAGTCCCAACAGGATCTTTCTTGAAACTTTGAAAAATAATTCTAAAGCTTATCTGGAAGAATAAACATTCAAGAATAGCTAGCCAAGAAAATTCTAAACATAAGAGTAATGAGATATTAAAATGTATGGTGCTGACACAGAAATACACAGACTGACCAAATTGCCATGGTAGGGCCAGAAAGTATGTTTAGACATTTAGTACATAATCAAAGTAGCATTTTACATCAGTGGGAATAAGATAAATTATTCAAGAAATGGGAAATGGTCTTCATACATAACAAAAAGAAATGATCTTGAAAAAACTAGCTAGCCATTTGGACAAAATAAATAGAGCTGGATCCCAGCTTTATTATTTATACTGCGTTAAATTCCAGTGGGATCAACACTTTAAATGTAAAGATTGGAAAAATGGAAAAGTATAGGAGAAAAACACATGAAGATTTTTATTATCCAGGGAAGTAACAGTCTTTCTTATCATAAGTCAAAGGCCAGAAATGAAAAGAGAAAAATTTTATTTCATAAATTGTATTTCATAAAAATGTAAATTGATAAATTTTATTTCATAAAATTTTATTTCATAAAAAATTTATTTCATAAAAACTATAGGTAAAAAATAAGCAAATGACAATCTGAGAAAAATATTAGCAACAAATATGATTTTAAAGGGTTAATATCACTAATCTTAAAAAGAGTATATAAAATACTTTCTCATATATATATATATTTATTTTTTATTTATTTTTTTTTTCAAGACGGAGTCTTGCACCCAGGCTGGAGTGCAATGGTGTGATCTCAGCCCGTTGCAACCTTCGCCTCCCGGGTTCAAGCAATTCTTCAGTCTCAGCCTCCCAAGCAGCTGGACTTAACAGGCATGCATCAGCACGCCCAGCTAATTTTTGTATTTTTAGTAGAGATGGGTTTCACTATGTTGGCCATGCTGGTCTCAAACTCCTGACCTCGTGATCTACCACCTCAGCCTCCCAAAGTGCTGGGATTACAGGCGTGAGCCACCGCACCCGGCCTCTTCTCTATATGCTAACATTTTTTATTTTTTTATAATGAGCATGTACCATTTTTCTATAGAGAAAAATAATAAGGCTGTTTTAATTTTTAAAAAGAAATATTTGTTTAACCATGCCTACTTCCTCCAGCATATAATTCCCAATATTTAAAGGAACTAACCAAGAACTTTAGATCTACAATCACAACCCTAATCAAAGTTCTAAAAGTTATCGAAGTTCCATGTGCTTAAGAATCGCCCAGGGGGCCAGGAGCAGTGGCTCACGCCTGTAATCCCAGCACTTTGGGAGGCCGAGGCGGACGAATCACGAGGCCAGGAAATCTAGACCATCCTGGCTAACATGGTGAAACCCCGTCTGTACTAAAAATACAAAAAATTAGCCGGGCGTGGTGGCGGGCGCCTGTAGTCCCAGCTACTCAGGAGGCTGAGGCAGGAGAATGGCGTGAGCCCGGGAGGTGGAGCTTGCAGTGAGTTGAGATCGCGCCACTGCACTCCAGCCTGGGCAACAGAGCGAGACTCTGTCTCAAAAAAAAAAAAAAAAAAAAAAAGAATCGCCCAGGGAGGTTTTACTGCTGATTTCAAGGGTAGAAAAATTTGCCTTTGAAACTGAACAAGCATCTTGATGTATCAAGTCTGCTAACCTCACTTTGAAAATTATTGTAGTAGTATATTCAATCATGGAATATTTAAACCTGCAAAACAAAGTACACTGGGAGACTATCTCTGAATTTACCAGATACAGAAATACCCAGTGCTTCTGCAATATACCCATGTAACAAACCTGCACATGTACTCCCTGAATCTAAATTTTAAAAATAAGGAAGAAAGAAATGCCCAGTGCTTCTTAAAGCAGCTACATTGGCGACTGAATAGTTGCTTTCTCTGTCTTACAGTTTTGGGGGTCCCTTAAGATCGGATGCTAAAATGTTGATGCCAAATGAAACTTACTGTCTTGAAATTTCATCCTCAAGATGTCTTACATTTTGTGCTGAGAAAATAATTATTTGATATGACACTGAACTTTCTGCAGCTCCATGGTATAAAATATGTGGTTGTGTCTTTCCCAGTTAAGTGACTTTTACAGGAACTCAATCTTTCATGTGCAGTTTTAATTTCATTTGCCAAAGATGTTATGTGTTTTCTCAGGTAGAAAGAAAATCTGATTCTTTCTTGGAAACTTCCTGCTTCACTTCAACAATCTGATTTTTTCATAAACTTGGAATGACCTTTGCAAGTGTCTATGGGGCTCTTCTTCTCCATTCCCACCTCCATGTTAGGAGCTTCACAGGCTTTAAATATTGAGACACTAGTACAGTTCATTAGGTATATATGTGACATATTCAAAGCTATCTCTTTAGATTCAAAACTTATGATTTCAAGTTAATTGATAACATGTCCAGAATTAAATGCAGTTTACTTTGAGAGATCTTCCTATGACTGTGTTTTTCAAAGGACATGAAAGAATTAGAAATTGATCATTTTTTTCTTTGTTTTCTCTTTTTACAACTTCTGGTGAAAAGTAGTTAAATCCTATCACCTACATGTTTAGGCTTACAATCATTTCTCTCCTTGTTTACAGGTACCATCAAACTAGATAAAAACAATTCTGGAGCCATTTTACTGTTTATATAATATTAGGTCATTCCTTTCTTCCTTCTTCACTCATTCATTTGATCGGTCCTTATTGAGCATCTGGATACGGTCCAGTTACTTTGCAAGATCATAAGCCTAGAAACACTTTTGGAACTCTAATTCTGATTGATCCAATATTTTCCTAAGTTTTGCCAAGAAGGACTCAAACTCCACAACTGCAGCATAGCTCCAGAAATATCAACTAAACAACTACTGTGATATTAGTTTCAATAATCTTGGTAAATGGCCAGGCAAATGTCTCGCCAGCTGGGGACTATCAACCATCATTACTTTCATCTGGTGCTTATGGCTCCACATGGGTCTCCTGGTCTTTACTGACATAGAAATACTTAAGTTTCCTGACACCCAATGATATGTATGACATACTCTGCCAGTAGCTCTCTTGATACTGGTAGAGGGATATGCTCTTTCACAATGACCATTCTTCCAAAACAATCTTTACTCTGGGAGTATCTGGGAGTGAATCATGGATGAAGAATTCCACTGTCTGAACAAAGACTGCAGGTCCCCAAAATCCTGACAGTAATTTGGGATTGGCACCTCCTCACCCACACAGTAAGATCCCTCTCTTGTCATACTATCAGTAACCCTGTGCTGCCCTTGAATTTCTGAGGAAATCAGAAATTTGTTTTCACCGGCCAGTCCTTGCTCCATGCCAATGAAAATATCACATTTGGTTCCATCAGGAGTCCCCCTGGAGGTGTCTGCCATGGATTCCACATGCAAGGTGATCTCATAGGAAGCTATTTTGGAAATCCCCAATATCAATGTGGGACAGATGGCTTGACTCTCGGAGGTTTTAGCAGAGCCTCTTAGACCTCTCGCTTTCCTTTGTAAAATCCAAGACTCTAGTGACTGACAGGGCTGGCAAGGCATCCTTCTTCAATAATTCAATAAATTCAGCAAACTCCCTCATCTTAGGTGAGTCACTGGTCACAAGAG
Organism: Homo sapiens; assembly: GCF_000001405.40. Classification (NCBI taxonomy): domain Eukaryota; kingdom Metazoa; phylum Chordata; class Mammalia; order Primates; family Hominidae; genus Homo; species Homo sapiens. Next base: position 26,405,934 of record NC_000007.14, on the reverse strand, counting down.
ATGTTATGATGGCACATGTTTGGTCTTATGGGCTATCTGCTTGTGTTTCTTTTGTTTGCTTCTAGATAGCCTCAAATACCACTTGGAAAAGTCTGAGTCTAAAAATTGGGGGAACTATGTATAGTTCATCTGAAAGTCAGCACAAACTTTAAACAAGTCCTTCATTCTTTTGGGCAAGGTGGGCTTGGTAATAATTCTCAAATAGTACTGGTGTCAGCTTGAAGGGAGGTCTCTAATCAATAGGTCCCAGGGTTCTCTCTATCTTTAGACACTGCCTCAGTCAGAATGTTTCCCTTTGCCACAGAGGAGGACATGATGGCAAGCTTATCAAGTCCAATAAAATTCATTCAGCGTGTGAATCCCAAGAAAGAGGACACTTGACATCCAACTCTGCAATGTACTTCAGAGAAACCATTTAAGCAACGTCTGTTCAACTTCAAGACTGGAGATAGGATTCAGCTGCATATAAAGAGTAATTACCAGAAGATTCCTATGTCCCGCTTTTCACTTTTCTTCATTTTTACTAGTATCCTCTTCTCTTCTTTTCTTTTATTTTCTTGTATTTCTTTCTTTTTCTGTTTTGCCAAAAGGCATATAAAGTATTTGAGGTCACAGTAAGTGCCCCTGGTTGTTAATTCCAGCAAATTATAAGCAGCCCCTTACTACCATAGTAAAGGAACACTCTTAGGTATCACACAATGCTCTGCAGTATGCAGATTGGAAGATAAAAACCTTTCAGGCAAGTTCAAGTCCTGTGGCTCAAAAGCCAAAAGATTTTTGAGCTGATAAAAATATTAGAAATGATCTAGCCATTTTACAAATGAGGCACATTAAAGCTATGGGATGTTCATGGCTTACCAGTGCCCCACTACAATTCAGATATACAGCCTGAATGGGAACACCCACTCCTTCCCTAAGTCTCTCCCTTACACTCCTGGCACCTTGTAAGTAGGAAGCACATGCCCTTCTGCTCTCCTTTCTCCCTGACACACAACCCCTGTGCCATTCACATGGGCATTCCACAAAGCTCCACCTCTTTCATCGTGGTTTCCTCTGTCTAAAAGTCCTTCCTTAATCTGGAAATCATTCCCTACTCATCTTCCAAGACCCGGCTCAAATATTGAACTTTGGGGAAATTTATGTACTCCGTGCAAGTCAGTTGCTCAATGTTTACTTTGCCTGTACTCTGTGACTTTTCAGACTGGTTTACATCCCACTGTCTCTCCTACCCGGAGCTCCTGGAACCAAGAATAACATGTCAGCCATCTTGAATCCCCGGCTTTACACAGAGCCAGGCACCTGGTACACAGGAAGTGGCCAATTAAGCAAACAAACAACACCAACAATAAAAACAACTCTCAACCAGGCCGCATTCTACAATTCTGTGGAGGCCAAAGCTCCTGCTTTCAAGGGGCTTATTCAGTGGAGGAGTTGCTTATAACCTCACAATAAATATTTGCTGAATCATGAATTAATGTGCTCTAATTCTGATTCTCCCAGGTTGATAGGTTATTACCAAAATTCATCTGCTCTCAGTGTGATTTGTAGCTCAACCATTGTTTTATCTTGGCTAACAGGACTTACTACTCTGTAGTCTGGCTTCTGCAGTTCACTGAACTTATCACTGTCCCCAGCACTGGACTCTCACCATAAAGCTATGCAGAGAAATCGGCGGGAAATTCACTGTCACACATTAGAAGTGTCTTCCACGATAAAACGTTAGCCTGGAGTGGGAAACTAAGCACACATACTGTTAGTCGGTGTGTAAGATGATCAGCTTGGCAATATATATCAACATTTTTAATGTACGTCTTTTTAGCTCCATTTCCACTGCTAAAAATTTATTTTATGAACATACTTGCACAAATTTTCAAATGTGACTTATAAGGATATTCACTGCAGTAATGATTGAAATAGCATACATCTAAACATTGTTATATCCATACCCTGGAATTCCATGCAGTTATTTAAAAGGACGCCACAGATCTAAATGTGCTAAGAAGGAGTAAAGTTCAATAGACATGCATCACTTAATGATGGGGATACTTTCTGACAGAGGTGTCGTTAGGTGATTTCATCATTGTGCAAACATCATAGAGTATACTTACACAAACTTAGATCATAGAGCCTACTACACACCTAGGCGAGATGGTGTAGCCTATTGCTCCTAGACTACAGACCTGTACAGCATGGTACTGTACTGAATACTGTAGCAATTGTAATACAATGATGAGTATTTGTGTATCTAAACATAGGAGATGTACAGTAAAAATACAGTATAAAAGATAAAAAATGCACTTTGGGAGGCCGAGGCTGGCAGATCATGAGGTCAGGAGATAAACACCATCCTGGCTAACATGGTGAAACCCCGTTTCTACTAAAAACACAAAAAATTAGCTGGGCATGGTTGCACGCACCTGTAGTCCCAGCTACTCAGGAAGCTGAGGCAGGAAAATCGCTTGAACCTGGGAGGCAGAAGTTGCAGGGAGCCAAGATCGCACCACTGTACTCCAGCCTGGGCGACAGAGCGAGACTCCACCTCAAAAAAAAAAAAAAGATTAAAAATGGTACACCTGTATAAAGCACTTACCATGAATGGAACTTTCAGGACTGAAAGTGTCTCTGAGTAAGTCAGTGAATGAGTAGACAGCGAATGTGAAGACCTAGGACATTACTGCACATTACTATAGACTTTATAAGCTCTATACTCTAGCCAGGAATGGTGATGCACGTCTGTAATCCCAGCTACTCAAGAGGCTGAGGCAGGAGGATCACTTGAGCCCAGGAGTTCTAATCCAGCCTGGGTAACATAGAAAGACCCCATCTCAAAAAAATAAAAAGTGAAAATAATAAATAAACTCTGTATACTTAGGCCACACTAAATTTATTAATTATTTTCTTTCTTCAATAATAAACTTAGCTTACTATAACTTTTTACTTTATAAAATTTTTAATTTTTTTAACCTTTTGATTCTTTTGTAATAATACGTACCTTAAAACACAGATTGTATAGCTGTACAAAATTATTTAATTCCTTTTTATCCTTATTTATATCAGCTGTTCTCTATTTTTAAAATTTTTATTTTTTATTGTTTTTAATTTTTAAATATTTTGTTGAAAACTAAGACACAAACAGATACATTAGCCTAGGCCTACACAGGATCAGGATCATTAATATCACTGTCTTCCATCCCCACATCTTGTCCCATTGTAAGGTCATCAGTGCATAGAACTGCCATCTCATTTTTTTTTTTTTTTTTTTTTTGCTCTTATCACCCAGGCTGGAGTGCAATGGCATGATCTCCACTCACCGCAACCTCTGCCTCCTGGGTTCAAGCGATTCTTCTGCCTCAGCCTCCCAAGTAGCTGGGATTACAGGTGCCTGCCACCACACCCAGCTAATTTTTGTATTTTTAGTAGAGATAGAGTTTCACCATGTTGGCCAGGCTGGTCTCGAACTCCTGACCTCAGGTCATCCACCCACCTTGACATCTCAAAGTGCTGGGATTACAGGTGTGAGCCACCGTGCCCACCCCCATCTCCTCTATTAAAATTCCTTCTTCTAGAATCCTTCTGAAGGACCTGCCTGTGGCTGTTTTATAGTTAACTTTTATACATATATGTGTGTATAAATATGTGTGTATGCATGTGTAGAAAGTAGTCTAAAATAATAATAAATAGTATAGTAAATGCATAAACTAGTAACAGTTGTTTATTGTTATTATCTAGGATTATGTACTTGATAATGTGGCATACTGTGGTATGTGGTATACTTTTAAATAACTGGCAACGCAGTAGGTTTGTTTACACTGACACCACCACAAGCACACAACTAATGTGTTGCATTAAGATGTTACAAGGGCTAAGACATCACCAGGCGATAGGAATTTTTCAGCTCCACGGTAATCTTACAGGGCCACTATCGTATATGCAGTCCATTGCTGATCAAAACATCATTATGGGGCACATGACTGTATTATTAATTGAAAATATAAGATGTTGAAGATTAACATTCAGCATTAACCCATTTGTGTAAACAAAGAGTAGATATACAGTCATGCACCACATAATGACATTTCGGTCAACAATGGACCAAATATACAACAGTGGACCCATAAGATTAATATGGAGCTGAAAAATTCCTATAGCCTAGTGGCAATATAGCCATCACAATGTTGTAGAGCAATTACCTTTTTAAATATAAATTTAGTGTAGCCTAAGTGTACGGTGTTTATAAAGCCTACACTAGTATACACAATGTCCTAGACCCTCACATTTACTCGCCACTCACTCCACTCACCCGAGCAACTTCTAGACCTGCAAACTCCATTCATGGTAAGTGCCCTATACAGTTGTATTTTTTCTTTTTTTACCATTTATACTGTATTTTTGCTGTACCTTTTCTACATTTAGATACATAAGTACTCACCATTGTGTTACAGTTGCCTACAGTGTTGTTTTTTTTTTTTTGAGATGGAGTCTTGCTGTGTTGCCCAGGCTGGAGTGCAGTGGCATGATCTCTGCTCACTGCAAACTTTACCTCCCAGATTCAAGTGATTCTCCTGCTTCAGCCTCCTGAGTAGCTGGAACTACACGTGTATGCCATCAAGCCCAGCTAATTTTGGGGTTTTTAGTAAAAACAGGGTTTCACCATGTTAGCCAGGCTGGTCTTGAAGGCCAGCCTTGGCCTCCCAAAGTGCAGGGATTTACAGGCGTGAGCCACAGTGCCTGGCCAATTGCCTTCAGTATTCTGTTACAGTACCATGCTGTACAGGTTTGTAGCCTAGGAGCAATAGGCTATACCATATAGCCTAGGTGGGTAGTAGGCTACACCATCTAGGTTTGTATAAGTACATTCTCTGATATTCGTGCAATGATGAAATCGCCTAACGATGCATTTCTCAGAACATATTCCCATCATTAAGAGATGCATGACTGTATATATTTGCATGTGTTTTTAAGTTACTGGAAGAATATACAAAAATATTAATAGTGCTTGTAACAGTGAATGGTATAGAAAGAAGGAAGGAAGGAGTGGGAGGATTCTGTTTTTTATTTCATACACTTCTACAGTGTTTGAATTATTTTTATTGAATATGTTACTTTCATTATTTTTAAAAACATCTTCTTCCCACCTTCTCATCTTGTCTATTTCAGCCTAGCCAACTAGGTTTTCTCAGGACTGAGGTTATTTATTCCATATTAACTCTGTCTCAAGCTCATATGCATCTCCCACGATTATTTTTCCCAAAACACTTTAGGTTTAAGAATGACCTTTCCTAGGTCTTTAGCTTATGATTAACCAAATGAAACCATCACTAGATGGACTCCCTAATTCAGGTGTTGAATTACAAAAATGAATTTTCAGGGGGAAAAAAATGCTAACTCAATTATGTTAGTTAAAATATCAGTAAAATTAGCAATGCCACAGTGTCATGAAGCAGAAGGTCAAAGACCCACACACCCTTTACTGGGCGCCATGGTGGGACTTAACTGGGGCAGTTCCGGTTCTGCCATTAGGACCATGAGCACTCCAATCTCAGTGAAATTGTATAAGACACTGCCATTATCCCCGGATCATTGCCACGATAGACCCAAACAACTCCAGTCTATCGTGTCAATGTGTATTTGGGGAGTCTTTAACACACGGATCATTGGCGAGCTGCACCATAAAAGCCCTGTAGGAGCCGTGGCCGTGTGTGGAATCAATGCACACTCGGGGACTTCCCCACGCCCGGATCATTTGCAGCGCATCGTGTCAATGCATACTCCGGGAGCCCCTACTCCGAAGCCTGTGAGTGCTGAGGAACAGTGTACACCAAAAATACTTATGGAATAGTTGTTACAGTGCGTACACAGTATTCACTTTTCTAAATGGCATGTCAGCAAGTTTAGTGTGCCACAAATAACTCCTAAAAGGCACAAAACACTCCTAGAGGCCCACCTTCACACATGAATGGTTGGTCCATGGAATTGTGGCATGGCTGTGGGGGAGTGTAAGTTTTTCTTTACAGTGAACAAAGGGAAAAGAAAGAGACATCTGCTATTCAGTGTTGTCAGGGTTTTCAGCATAATCCCAAACACCTCCTAATTATTTTCCTGGGCATTTGATCCCTAAGATACAAGGACCTTCCCTCCATCCCTGCCCTGTTCCAAAGTACCTGTAGAGCAAGCTGAGAGGGCAGAGTTAGAGGATGGGTGGGGTTGGGTCTTAAGTGCGATCCCACAGAGATATAATGTGAACCACATGTGTAAATTTAAATGTTCTTTGTGGCCACATTTTTAAAAAAAGATTTAATTCATGATACTTTATTTCACCCCATATACCCAAAATATTATCATTTCAATATGCAATCAATGTTTTTAAATGATGAATGAGCCAGTTCACATTCTTTTTTCCATACAGTCTTCTTTACAATGGGGTGTGTATTTCCCACTTGGAGAACATCCTGGTCTGGCCTGGCCACACTGCAAGCCCTCGGCAGCCTCTTGTGGTCAGTGGCTGCCCCAGTGAGCAGCACAGCTACAGAGGTTCAGGAAAACCAACCCCAGGAGCGTGGATGTTCACTGCCTTCCTTCAACCACTCCAGGCAGGTGCGTCCACCTTTCCTCCTCATTGCCTCACCAGGGCTGCAACTGCCGAACAGCCTTTTCTCGGCAGCCTGACAGAATAGCTGTGTGTTGGGTTTCTGCAATCATAAAAAATGACCACAAATATGCATTCGGAAAGAGGAACGAAAACTCCTCTAGGCCCAAACGGTAATGGCAGTACTAGGTCATCTTTCTTGGAGACGGAGGTGAAGGGAGGGCAAGGGGCCCCTGGGGAAGGAAAGAGGAGGCGGGCGTGGCGTCGAGCGCGAGGGCGGCGGCCTAGCTGCACCCGCGAACTTCCCCACACCTGCGACCAGCTCACCTCGCGGCGTGAGGGATCCCTGGCAGTCGGACGCGGCAGGGTGGCTGGTTTCTGGGGCTGAGTCTGGCCCGACACAAAAGAGGAGGGAAAGGAGAAGGAGACGGAAACAAAGGCGCGGGGGAGGACGAGGAGGCGCGCGCGGTCGCGGGGCAAAGCGGCGATGCGGTGCGGGCGCGCGCAGCCTGGGGCTCCCGGGACCAGCGGGCGGGAGCAGGCGGAGCGGGCAGGGCGATTTGAATATCAGGCTCTGCCACACTCGGGGCGCCGCTGACAACTTCATTACCTCCGCATATAAAAATGACTGCCGGGGAATGCAAATAGCTCGCCTGTCTCAGCCGCCTGCCCTCGTTCCGCCGCCGGCTGCAGGCGGAGGCCCCGGGAGCCGCGGCGGCCGGAGGCGCAGACGCGCCCTGTCCAACATAATGAACTGCCCGGCCGCGGCTCCGCCCACCCCCCAGCCGCCGAGCCGGGCCGGGAGGGGGAGCCGGCCCGGTGCTGGAGGAGGAAGGGGTGGGCGGCCGGGCGCGGCTCAGAGGCCGCGCGTTGCTAGTCAGTGTCGGCGCAGGCCCTGCCTCTTGACTCTGTCATCCAATTACTGCCATGAAAATACCAGGAAACTAGAGTGCTCAGTGGGTTCCACTCGTGACCGCGAACTCTGACGGAAAAGCGGGACCCCCGGCCTCCGTCCCGTGCGCCCTGGTGGTTAAATTGGACGCCAGCATCCCGGCGCCCCGCTCTCGTCTCGCCTGCAAGCGGGCGGCGGGTGTGCTGCGCCCTGCTCCCCAGGCCTGCGGCCACCGGGACAAGGCTGCGTCGCTGTGCAGGACCCGCCTCCCGAACCCTGGGCCTTGCTGAGCTCCCCGTGTGGCCACCGAGGCAAGCCGCGTGCGGGAGGGAACGCAGGCTTCACGGCGCCTCTCTTCTTGCCCTGGCTTGCTCCCTGGCAAGAAGTCACCTCCCGCCTTCTGATAGCTCCCCCTGTCACATTTGGGCCCCTTGTGAACTTCTCGAGGAGAGGAGCTAGGTCACTTTTATTAATAGCAACAACGACAGTAGTAAACATATGCTGAGGACTATTCTACGCAAGGTACTATGCCAACTGCTTTACCTACATGTTTATCACAGCGATCTTATTGCACTCCTGGAAACCCAGGCTTAGCAAAGCCTTGAAAGGTTCCCAGCATAACCCAGCTAAGGTGGGAGGGAGCACAGGTGAGAACCCAGGCCCCTCTACACTCTCAATCACTCTGCAGTATTTTCCGGGTCCTTCTTACAGCTCACACAACTGTCCAGCACTCCTTTGTCCCCCGAACGCATCACCCCCAGCCATCTTAGGCCGGGCCAGCCCCCCGCCCCCACCCTCACCCCCTCCCTCACCCCCTCCCTCACCCCCTCCCTCACCCCCTCCCTCTCCTTGGCCCAGAAGTAAATCCTAAGTAGTCTAAATCCGTTATGACCAACCCCTTCCCTTGCCCAGGCACTGGCTTAGAAAAGAGCATGTGACCAGTCCTGGCCAAGGCCAAGCCAGGGGACATCTGTTGGGGTTTTCTGGGAAATGCTTCCTTGCCCTAAAAAAAGACACCTCTAGCGATTCCAGTTTCTTCTGTTGTAGAATGTATATCCACCACCTGGCAACCACGGAGGAGCCAGGGAACAAAGTTAGTCTTTGCAGAGATTTACAGGATTAAGTGAGCTAACTCCAGGGTTAAAGTTTAGGAGAATCATGTTTTAGTCCTATCTCTACCTGCGATGGAGTCATGCTGCCTCGTGTTTATTCAGGGACATATTTAAAGTTAACTCCTTTTTGAAACGAGACAAGATAAAAAGATGTAAACAAAGGAAAACTCCAGAAATTTGGTCTTGTCTCCATTAAAGAGTGTCTGTTTCTAGGCACTTCAGTGGAACCTCTCACTTCCAGCTTCTCTTCCTGGGCACTCACCTCTAACTCATTCAGCTTTTTTCCCTCAAAGTAGCTCTTTGCCTACACAGGCAAGGCATCTCTTCCCTCCAGGAACATCAGAACCCCCCTTCTAACCCTCCTGCACCCACACACCCAGGCGTCTGAGCTTGACTGCCTTTGAAATGTTTACTGGCCTTCAAGTAGTCTCTTTGAAGAATTTGCATCTAATTTTGAACTTAGGGAAAATCGGGCATAACCAGTCACTTACTAGTTTCCTTGGCAACTACTTTAAAACAGAATCTAAATTGGAATGAAAATGGATTTTTATGGTTTCACTAAAATCATACACACTTTTCATGAAAATATACCAAAAAAACTATAAAAAATATATACATACTATATGCTTTATTCGTTTATCTGGAATCAATACACAGTAACTAACTCAAATATCTCTGTTCCCCACTGCTGAGGAAAGGCACTCCACACTCCCTTAGCAAGACATTTAAGACCCTCCACAATCTGCACCTAACCCAGCTCCAGCCTTATTTGTCTACTACAGTACATCCCCAAATCATGCTATTGCATTTCCTCTCCCATGACATTCTCTAGAATGCCCTTGAACTTCATGTCCAACTGTTCAAATATCACCGATCTTTCCAAGTCCAGATTAAATATCACCTCTTCCAAGAAGCTTTTCCCATTCCTCACATATAATGACACAAATTGAGTTACTTAGTGTTTATTTTCAGCAATATTTAGCATATTTTATTTACTGATACCCAGTATTGTTAAAATAATGCACATTTCCTAACAGTTGGGGGGCTTCAATATTACCATGCAAACAATTAAAATGAGTAATAAATATTATCAGCAGAATTGTATAAATCTTACTCCCAACTTAAGGCTGAGCTGTTCTGTCAGATGTGATAAAATAAAGCTTCATACGCTGCTTGTTTTTCTTAGGATAACTTTGATTTCAGTAATAGAAAACCTGTCTGTAGTAGCTTTAAAAATGAAGAAAATGTAGTATCTCATGTAGGAAGTACCAAGGTAGCAGATGCTAAGTTTGGTTAATTTAGTGGGTCAAAAATGTTTAATGTTGTCAAGTTTTTCTCGTCTTTCTGAAATTCTGCCATCCTCAGCTTGCTGACCTTGTCCTTAGCTAGTTCTCCTCAAGGTCTCAAAATGGCTGCCATAGTTCCAGGCATCACTTTAAGACATGGCAAAGGCCAGCCAAAAAAGTTGACTGTTCTCAAATTTTTTAAGAGTGGAGAAATTATACCAAAGATCCCTCAGATCTTTTCTCATTGGCCAGAACCAGGGCACGTGACTATCTCTAAACTACCACTGGCAAGAGAGGCAAGATTATCAGAATTGATAACTAATCAGGATTTAGTCTTGAATTATTTTGAGGGTAAGGGGAGCGGTGCAGGAGAGCAGGGAATTGACAGGACAGGCAATGCCAAAACAAAAGCTGAATTTTAGTCCGTTTCCCAGTCATCAATTTCTGCAGCCAAACTATCCCAAAGCTTAGTGGCTTAGAAACTTTTTTATTTTTTCTCTAGAATCTGGACAGGGCAGCTCCCAAGGAATAAGGAATAAGGGAGGATGGCTATTGAGTAGGCACTAAAAGTATCAGCAACTTTTCTTTTCTTTCTTTTTTTTTTTTTTTTTTTGAGATGGAGTCTTACTCTGTTGCCCAGGCCAAGCTGGAGTGCAGTGGCACCATCTCAGCTCACTGGAACCTCTGCTTCCCTGGTTCAAGGAATTCTCCTGCCTCGGCCTCCCAAGTAGCTGGGATTAAAGGCGCATGCCACCACGCCTGGCTAATTTTTGTATTTCTAGTAGACACGGGGTTTCACCATGTTGCCCAGGCTGGTCTCAAACACCCAACCTCAGGTGATCCTCCCACCTCGGCCTCCCAAAGTCCTGGGATTACAGGCGTGAGCCACCACGCCTGGCCAGTATCAGCGACTTATGATGGCTTTTTATTTGAAGATCAAAACCAATCACACTTTGATTATTCTTATATTGGTTCTTTCTACCAAAAAATAGTGTTTGAAAAAATGGTATATATTGATTTAGTCGATAGCAAACTGCTTGGCTGAATCCAATTGATATTTTCTTAGGGTGCAGTAAAATATTTGCTCTTTTGCTTTGCTTTCTCCCCACTAAATAACTAGCCATATTATGGATCCCACATAGGATTTTTCCTTTAACAATATGAATTCTTGACTGAATTAAGCCATTTTTGCCCTAAGTTCTTTAGTTTGTAGACATCTGAGAATTAAGTCAGGAGAATAGCAAATAATTATTTTAATTTAGCAAATAATGTAATAACTGGATTATTCACCATCAGAATATTCCTCTTTGAAAACGTGTAAATCATAGAAATGTTTGAAGATAAAATTATTAGTCATTCCCCTCTCGAAGGCAGATAGGAAAATTGTAACATGTAGTCTTTGTTTTGTAATGTCACTTCATTATCCTAAATAGGCCTTCTAGTTCTCTTTTAATTTATATATATTATAAATAATATTTTTATATATTTTATATATTTATATTATATAAAAATTATATAATATAAATAATATATATTATTTATAATATATTATATATATTTAAATATGTATAATATATATTTAAATTATATATATATATATATATGAGGTAAGAAAGTTCTTAAGTAGTGGCTAAGTCATGTCATTTATCTGGAGTCAATACACGGTAACTAACTCGAACGTCTCTGGTCCCCGCTGCTGAGGAAAGGCAGCCCACACTCCCTTAGTAAGACATTTTTAGTCATGTCATTTACTAAAATACCACATGGACTTCCTTTTGTCATCGTATCTTCCATCTTCTAATAAATGTATAAGTGTCTCTAGAACAATACCTGGTCAGATGATGAATGTTCGTACCATCATACTCTCCCTTTCTTTTCAAGACACTCATGGAACTGCTTGCACAAAATCTGATGTATTCCAATACCATCTCTGTGAATCATAGACCTTTAAAGCCAGAATGACAGTCCTCTAATTTGATAGGTGAAGAAACTAAGGCCCTAGAATTTAGAGAATTTTCTGGAAGTTACCAGACTAGTTAGTGACACAGTGGGATCTCATTATCTTGTTTCTGGTTGGTTGCCCCTTAGACCATACATTGGTATTAATGATTAACATGAAGTACAGACCTAACTCTAACCAGGTTATGAGTCAGATTCTTTAATATGGAGTTGGTGGCACCCACTCAACCAGGTCCCTGTAATCTCCACGCCAACATACTCAGCGATCCCATCAAGTCTCATTCCCAGGTACCTGAGGTCTCCTCAAATCCCTGTTTCATCACCTGTGCCAGCAGCCCAGGCAAACCTGGGGTTCACGGAAGGTACTTGACAAGGTGCTTCTTTCTGTCCCCATTGAGCTGGGGCAGGCAGGGGAAACAGAGACAGCTGGTGATGCATCGCCTCCTGTCTATGCACCTTCACAGCGAACTTAAAGCTGAATCTTCAGATTCAAATCTGACAGTTTAATCATAAAAGAAGGTTTTTCTTCTCAAATGTTAATTGAATTTCCCCCCTTAAATAATTGTTTGGATTTAGAAACCCTGAGGCCTGTATTTTTTCAGTGTGGAATTATTCCGTTGGCAGCATGCATTCGAATCCACAACTCCTGTTTCAAATCATACATTTCTAAAAAGAGAAACCAATGTGCTCCAATTCACTAATACTTTTAAACGATTAAAAGACAACTAAGAAAATGAAGCCTAACCACGACTATTTGTAGCCTTCTTTTTCTTCAGCCAACAATTGCTGTAATCCACACTAATGAGGTAGACGGTGTTAAGAATTTTCTTCACTTAACATTTCTCATTATTAATAAATTTTGCACTGACAACTATAAAGTGAACACTTTGGATTTATGCACCTAACCTAATTACATATGCTGCATGTACGCATTTCATTATTTACTTGACAGATTCATTCCTTGATATAATAAATAATTAAACAAGAATCAAATATTAACAATCAGATACATGTTAATTCTCCTCAAATCTGTAGAAACAAACTCTATTTTTATCTTCAGTTCAACAAGCACTGATTAAAATTTCTTCATTAGGCAAATTTCATAAGCAAAGTTCTTGATCTACTTTTCTTACTTTCACTGAAAATTAAACCAGAACAAACTATTCCAGGATTACTTCATGGAAAAAAAAATGTAACAGTATTTCTAGCAAAGCCATTGGATTTGTAATCTTTCATGAGCACTGCTGTATCTTATATATGAAACATTAATCTAAGTGTTTGTTAGGAATTCTCAAAGATGGTCTTATTATAAACCAGAAGCCAATACCAAATTGGTTGCTAGTGGTATATTACCAGAGATGTCTTGTGGGATAATGGTTTTAACCAAACAATTATTTTATAACTTGTTTAAAGAATAATTCCGTGACATTATGGATAACGGTAAAACTCAATTTGGGCTGAAAATTTACACTGAGGTCAAAGTATAGCTGTTGCTTTTTGCACTTTAATGAGCTAGCTTTAAATTTTTTTATTCACATATATCAACATCTTCATTGATCAAACTATTCTCACACTTTATCAAATTTGCTTTGGTAGAGGATACAATACAATTTCATCATTTAAAAAATATTAAAGATTCATAGATAGCCACATTATTCATAATGCAAGATTAATGCCAGGCTGACAGGTTTTTGTAAAGATCTGACTCTTTTTTTCTAAGTGCCTATACCGTATCTATGTGAAATATACCTCTGATGTTGCATATTGATTACTCCCTTCTCTTCTCTTCTAATGCTAAAGAGAGAATATTATGAAATGATTGTCAGGGTTAGTGTGTCTCTGACCTACACATGTACTATTAATAATTTATGAGCTGATTTGAAATACGGCACCAAGAAATCAACTGAGGACCACAGCCGCTCCCAGGATGACATAGACTCTGGGTTGACAGCATATGCGCCCAGATTTTGAGGTTCTATTTGTTAAAATTCATAGAGAGACACAAATTCTTTGAGTGCCAGAGTTAACCGAATGGAAGGAAACCACGCTTCTTTGTTAGAAATTTCAAGTAGCTACATTTATCTCTTTTCATCCAATCCTTTCTGTGACATGAAATTTCCTTTTTAAATTATTTAATCAGGTTGTCAAGTTAACTCATAGTGTCCATAAACACTGGAGAAGCTAAATTCAAATAATATGGAGGTATATAAAGCAAAAGATCAGGTCTTTCGTCTTATTTCCCCCATGCCTTCACACTCAAAGGTTGTCCGGTGTGTATCCTTCCAGACTGTTTTCTGTGTTCCTACGAAGACAGAGGAGGTGGGGAGAGAGAGTTCCCACTGTTCTCAGAAATGGTCTCACACTCTACACACACTGCTGCAGGCTGCTTTTTCCACTCAACAACATATCAAAGACACCGCCCACATCAGCACATACATTTGTAGCTCAACTTTTAAACAACAATGTAGTGTTCCACTTTAGAGGTGTCCTTTGGCTCATTTATCCATTCCCTTATTAATATATTCGTAAGCTGTCTCAGATTTTTCATGATTTACAATGCCGCATATACTGAACATACATACTTATGCACTTGCTCAACTGTTTCACTAATATAGAGTCCTAGAAGTGGAGTTGCTGGGTCAGTAACTGATCGTTAAATATCCTTAATCCATTAATTCGGCAAGGATAAATAAATATTCTTACTTAAGATTTAAATAATGTAACATTACATTAACATATATGCTCATGATGTTTAAGTTCATTTCTTTAAAAAAGTTGGCTGGGCTTGGCAGCTCATGCCTATAATCCCAGCATTTTAGGAGGTTGAGATGAAAGGATCACTTGAGCCAAGGAGCTCAAGACCAACCTGGGCAACATAGCAAGACCTGCCTCTATTTTAAAAATACAAAAATTAGCCAGGCGTGGTGACATTCGCCTGTGGTTCCAGCTACTTGGGAAGCTGAGGTGGGAGGATTGCTTAAGCCCAGGAGTCTGAGGCTGTAGTGAGCTAAGATAGCACCACCACACTCCAGTCTGGGCAAGAGAGTGAGACCCCATCTCTTTAAAAAAAAAAAAAAAGTACATTTTTGAAACTTTAATAAAATAGAGTAATTTTAAAAATTAGTTATATTAATTTCATGTTTGAGTAGCTTTATACAAAGCAAACTAAAGTCTAAGTTTTTTAATGCTTTAGCAATATGTCGTCAAGCCACACATCTATATATTTTATTTTTAAATCATTGTCCAAAGCAGCCAGTCTTCATTTTAGCAATACTACAAATAACTAGCACTTGAAAAGTGTATTTATAGAGACTGACAACTGTTAAACTACTGAATGCTTTTCAAAATATATTTTAAAAATTTTATGTGTGAAAACATTTCATGTAAGGAATCTAATTATAAACAATGCTGTTATGTTTATTTCAAACCATCCCAGGCAAGTATATTTGTAAAATTCTCTTCTTTTCACCTAAATTGTTTCAAGCCTTCTACAGAAAGTGTAATGGTTACCCAGTGTGTCTGTCAAGTTCTATTATATGAACTGGAATATGCTTTCAGAAAAGATACCTCGCATCCGATGACAGGCACTTCCTATCTGCTAGGATTCATAAAAATTGGAACACTGATCATTTCTTGTAGAGATTTTCTTTAGCAAGAAGATAAAGGGAAACCTTGTTATGCCAAATGACTTACTAGTCAAAAGTAGCCAGGACATTGAAACCTGGAAACTAGTTAATGGTTTGTAACAAGTCAGAAATAAAGATGTTCAACCAAGAAAATGACATTAAGCAGCACTGGCTACAAGAGAAAAGAGCAGCCTGTCAGAATCATGCAAGGGCTGTGGTGACAGGTAGACAATAAAATGGGATGACACGGGTTCCTCTCAGCAGGGGGTTTTAGCTTTCTCTTGGGAGTTTCCATGCACTTCCTTTGTAGGAAACCTTCTCTCTAAAAATGGCAACAGGCCCCTTGGAGGTCTTATTAAAATTCTCTCCCTGTGTTATGAAGTGTGTTGGATAAGGCAGATGACAGTACCTGAACAGTTAATTCTTCATTGTATAAAGGAAAGTAGGAACAGCGGTCACACCAGGAAGGTAGCTAGGTGGCTGACATAGCCCAGTAATATTGCACAGTAGGCATTGTGGAACAGGAAATGAGTGAGAGGGGAAAATCCATCCACAATCCCACCTAGAATGGCAGACAGCAGGAATCCAAACAGAAGCAATATCATACATATGAATATTTCATATTTAGATTGGTATCCATTATATCTGTAAATGAATTTCATATGCTAGTTTAAATCTCCATAGTGGACAGTCCAACAGCATCATTAGGATGAATATTGTTTTCATTTTTAAGAGAAATTTTCTTTCATTCACTTTCTGCCACTAAACTGCAGCTATAACAATGTATCTCTACCTACCTCATTATGGGCCATAAACGATATGCCAAGAAAGAATGAAAAGAAAGCAAAGAACCCAGTGATTGCCCAATGAGTTCCTTAATATCCGTAATTTCAAGGGTTTGATCTCTACTTTATCCACAATAATGCTATTTCAGTTTTTTACTTAACCTTGTTTCAACACAACGTTATATCATTTCATATATGTTTATTTAAAGAGTTTTAATGTCACTAAACTAATTTCCAATAAAGTAATAGCTGTTAGAACAGTCTTTTTTCTTATAAACCATTTCTCTCTTTTTTATTCTATTCCCAACATATTTTAAGCTGTCTAACAAGATAAGCATTTCATAACCTTTTTCAGCTAAATTTTTTTTTCTACTAATGTGTTTTCAACCAGGGGGAGGTCTGTATTTTCCACACTGCACTTCTACATTTAAAATTATTTCTGCTATAGATTAGCTGTCCCTTAGTGAGCTATGAAAGACAAAATCCTAGCCTCTTTAAGCCCGTCTTGTTTGATAGCATGCGATATTTGCATGAAATAAAAAACAAATATTTGTTCTTTTTATACAAGCTGTCAGCACAAGCTTAAGTTGTTTAGAAACCTATTCAGACAAACAGAATTGGTGTTTACCACATGATATATGATGAAAGGTCAACAATAGGTAAAATCAAAATTATTTTAAAAGAAGAAAAGAATTGGCATGCTTTTTTTTAGACAAGGTCTTGTTATATTATCTAGGCTGAATTTGAATTCCCGGACTCAAGGGATCCTCCTACCTCAGCCTCCCAGGGAAGGGAGCTGAGACTACAGGCATGCACTAGTGCGCCCAGCCGATACGCATTTCTTAAACCAAAGGTGATCGTGTTGTGCCATAAAGTACATAGTACACTGACAATTAAAACTTCTTTGTTTACTTGTTTGTTTAAGAAAGCATGGACTTAATTCGAATTGCTCACTTACCAATGTATTAACTTTAGGTCCACCACAGGGATAGGTATAAGAAAATGTTCTTTGTTACCCTAAAAAGTTGCCAATTAAAGTTGCATTTCAGCTCTTTTCTCCAGGGAGCTTTCTGATAGCCAATAGGAACATATTCTTAAGTCAGGCAAGCTGAGCATTCCTGCTATCACTGCCACCTAATCAGAGCCACTGAGTTACCACCTCCAGTTGCCCAACAGAGTCACGCTTCTGCTTATGAAACTGACGACTTCTGAATATGCAAGAGCGGTGATTTACCACAGGATGCTTTCAGGGACAAATGCACTTTCACTCCACCTCTAGAATTTGCACTGTCATGGCTGCCCTGGGGAATGCCTCAAGCCTGGGGACAAATTTCACCCACCCCTAGATCCACTCTGTCCTGTAGCCACAAGGACAGAACTTGTTCTGCTTCCTGTGGACGGTGTCCCATCTGCTGAACACACATTTTAATACATAAACTCTATTTCCAGGAATAATACCTATTGGTATTAACAAGAAAATAGCATTTCTACAAGACTCTGTGAAAAGAAACCCTGTCAGTGCCACTCATTCTACCTTCAGAGACAAGTCCCTGTAATTACTTTCTCCTTATTTCCTTGTCTGGCTAAAGCAACAAGATCAAAAGAACCTATCCATTTTCCCCAGATACCTTCCAAAATGTGCGTTTGCTTTGCAGTCTGGGATCAGAAATTTCATTATCTGTATTTGTATTAGTAATTCACTGCACAAAGAGAACAGAGGGCAGAGAAAGAGAGCACGAGTGGAAGCAAACATCACAGACAATTGTATATATGCAAATACTTGCAAATTTCTGCCAGCATCTCCCTATCTACAACCAAGCAACATGGAAGTCTATTCATCCCTCCAGCTTCTTTGCTGCCAAATATGGTTGTGGTTCTGGGGAAAACATTCAGAAAATGTTCAACTTTCAGCCACCAGGACTAAATCTAACTCAAAACCTACAACATAAAAGGCTAATGCATAAATAAAATCAGTGATTTTCTAGAAAGACTTGGGATATGCAACATTCTGATACAAAGGGTAAAAAATAAGATTGGCTTGCGAGGGGGGTGGAGGAAGGAAGGGAATGGTTGCATGCAGCTCTCCAACCTAATTGACAGAGAACTGAAATGTTGCCTCTTGTCTGTCTGGGATTGTGCATTTGCATAAATAGCCTAAGTAAGAAGGGGTATAAAAAAGCCGGGAACAGTCCTGATAAAGAAAATGCCCCAAATTCAAATTCATAAATGCAAATGCTCATTTTCAAATATATATGCATAGTGTTTGAAAATGACAGCAAGAATCATCATGTATTTTGTTTTGTCTTGAAATCAATTATTCCCAAACAATAACGGTTTATCAAAATTTTTCATGACTTCCTTTATTTGTAGATATTTATTCTACCCACTGCAAATCACTGATAATGGTAATAATTCACACATATACATGTCTTTCACATATAATAATTCAGTGCATCCTTAAAATTATGCTTTGAGGTAGGGTCAGTATTATACCCATTTTACAGGTAAACAGACCAAGCCTCCAAAGTTTAGAGAGTTATTCAAATTTACATAACTAGTAAATTAGTAAATGGCAGGACTGAAATTCAAACCCTCATGCTTAACTCTGAATCCCAAGAGCCTCCACACCATGATGCTGTGTAACATTACCAAAGATGTAATGGCCTCGGCCATATTTTGCCCCTCAGCAACGTTTGACCCTGCTGGCTGTGCTGCTCTGGAAGCCCTCTGCTTTCCTTATTCTTGGGAATGGCTCTTTGATTTGTCTTCTGCCTCTTAGATTGTCTCAGTCACTTCCAGGGTCTCCTCTTCTGAGGTCTTCTGTCTACCCTTCTTTTTCTCTGCCATCAGTGAGCAATCTCACTCAATTCCACTCCTTCATTTATTAATTCAACAAATATACTTTGAGCACCTCCTATGTGCCAGGCACTAGTCTAGGCATGTGGGATACCACCGTGAACAACAGCCTGTCTCCCTCCTCAAATAAAGCTTATATTGTCATGGGGATGCAGAGGACATAGATAAAAACAAACAGATATCTATTTAGATACAGGTGATTGATGCTATGAGAATACAAAGCAGGGAGGAGAGATGGGGAAGGTAAGGAAAAGGGAATGAAGAAGGAGGTTGCAATTTGGGGTCCAGGAAGGCCTCACTGAGATAACATTTGTGGAAAGATGTCCTTCATCAATTCTCCTCTCAGAAAATTTCTAAATGTTCCTCTCTACCTCTCGCCCTATTCCAACCTCACATTTTCACCTCTGGACATATCATCTCTTCCTGTACCCACATCCTGGCTGCACCTGAATTCATCTTCCCCTTCTCTTCCTCCTGCACCTCTTCCTGTGCTTCCCACTCTAAGTAACAGCACCACTATTCTTTACACCATGAATATGCACCCAGTCGAGAAATACATAAGGGGCCCCTTCTAAGTGAATGCACTCTTGTATTCTAGGTGCTAAGAGAATACATTGGTTTTATAAGAGCTATTTTCTCCTTGAGAAACCATATAGGGTATTAGAAACAGATCTGATTCTGTGTTCAATCCCACCTTTTCCATTAATTAGCAGTAGGTTCATCTATACAATGAGAATAATGGTACCCACTTTCTATTAATGTTAAAGTAGTCCCCCCTCATCCAGTGGGGTATATTCCAAGACCCTCAGTGGATGCCTGAAACCTCAGACAGTCTGAACCACGTATACACTATGTTTTTTCCTATATGTGCATACCTATAATAACATTTAACTTATAAATTAGGCACACTAAGAAATTAATAACAATAATAATAAAATAGAGTGGTTATAACGATATACTGTAATAAAAGTTATGTGAATGTGGTCTCTTTCTCAAAATATTTTATTGTACTGTACTCACCGATTTTTGGACCGCAGTGGATGGCCAGTAGCTGAGACCTCAGAAAGCAGCTGGGGAACTACCGTATAGGGATTAAATGCAACTGCGCAGGTAAAGTCAGCAAGTGAGCGAATGAATGAATAAAACAGTGAATGATATGCTTACTGCAGTGCTTGACATGGGAAATACCCGACAGTTTTAAAAGATGTCATCAGGACCCACTCATTTCATCTCTCAGCTCAATTACCTTTGGTGTGGGCTCCATTTTCAGGCAGTGGCAATATGGGCTTCCCAGAGTTCCAGGCTTTCATCCTATCCAGCCATCCCAGAGGAGGAAAGAGTTTCTTTTCTCAACAGTAGCACAAAGGTCATTGGTTTTGACTGGGCATGTGACCACTTATGAACCACTCATCACTTGGGCCAGGAAAATACAATTGCTCTGATTGACTAGACTTGGGTTACACCCCCTTGTGGGGATGAAGGTTGACTCAGCTCCACTCAAACCACAGGGACTGAGAGTGGAGAGGGGTGGTCCCTGAGAAATACCAAGGGTCTTGCAGGAAGAGAATGGATATTGGGCAGGTAAGATAATGGATGTCCACTACACCCAACTATGGCACCTGATTCATTCTGTCTTGCATTATAGTTAGATGTTTTCATGTTTGTCTGCCCTCAGATTGAGAGCTTCCAAGAACAGGGGCTGAAGGTTTGTTATCATCTATCTGCTGGAGTACCCAGCTCAATCTTCTAAATATAGTACATGCTCAATAAATGTTTTTAACATGAATTGATTCATTACACTAGTGTAAACTATTTCTTCTTTTGCATATTTTAAGTTCTGTGGTGTCTTTTTCTCTTATTACAGGAAAATACATAAAGTCTAAAATACACATATACCTTATAGCACCTTAAAAGACGTTTCCAACAGCAGAAGCACATAAACCATCTTCATAATTTACACATATATTGACTTTCTCCCCTCTAAAATCATTAACTCAGCTAAGTTTACACAGGTGAGAAAAAAAGCAAGAGCGGTAGTGCCTTTTTAAGCCACTTCATCTTGCTATTCTGTTTTTGTCTGGCAAATGCTGAATTTGCTGAAACTGCGAGTGCATAAGATTTTCAAGACTTGCACTGCAGCCCTCACAAGGTGTCAGTATGCACTGGGCATCAGTTGGATTTGACTACAGTGTAGAAATGTCCTTGATCTTCCTCTGGGCCACGTGATTTCAACCTGTATGGCCTTTTTCAAGGCTACCTCCTCAAATCCTGTAATCCCAAGTGTGGCATTCTCTCCTTCTTCCTGGGTACACGGCTGCCCAGCTAGAGACATGTCCCAGCCTTGCTTGTGTCTGGTGTGATCATGTAACTGAGTTCTCACCAAGTGATGTGGTGATGTGTACAACTTCCAGATCATCTTCTTAAAGATGTCTAAGATTTGCTTTTAAATAATGCAGCGAAGCGGTGGGGGACATATTTGGGGGATATAAATGATACAAGTTTGACCATACAAAGGTAACTGTTTAAGCTCAGTGATAGGCGCATGGGAATATCTTATACTGCATTATCCCTACATTTGTGTATGTTTGAAAATTTCTATTGAAAAATAAATTATGCTGCCGGGCACGGTGGCTCACGCCTATAATCCCAGCACTTTGGGAGGCTGAGGTGGGCTGATCACAAGGTCAGGAGATCGAGATCATCCTGGCTAACACGGTGAAACCTCGCCTCTACTGAAAATACAAAAAGCCGGGCATGGTGGCAGGTGCCTGTAGTCCCAGCTATTTGGGAGGCTGAGGCAGGAGAACAGCATGAACCCGGGAGGCAGAGGTTGCAGTCAGCCAAGGTGCGCCACTGCACTCCAGCCTGGGCAACAGAGTGAGACTCTGTCTCAAAAAAAAAAAGAAAAATAAATTATGCCAGGCATGATTGCTCACACCTGTAATCCCAGTGCTTTGAGAGGCTAAGATGGGAGGAAGAATGCTTGAGCCCAGGAGTTTGAGACCACCCTGGGAAACATAGCAAGACCCCCATCTCTACAACAGACAAAATTAGCTAGGCATGGTGGTGTGCACCTGTAGTCCCAGGTACTTGGGAAGCTAAGATGGGAGGATTGCTTGAGCCCAGGAGGTCAAGGCTGCAATGAGCCAATATTGCACCACTGCACTCCTAGGTGACAGAGTGAGACCTTGTCTAAAAAAAAAAAAATTAAAAGGTGCTTTCCCCAGTTATGTTCTCTCCTTTCCTATCCTGGTTAGAAAGAGGGCTGACTGGAGCAATCAGGGAAAGCACGTGTTGAGGATGGCAGAGCCACTCCTCCAGTCCAGGTCCCTGGGCGGCCCCCTGGAGCAGGGCTTGCTTACCTGCTTTGGAGAGTTACCTGAAAGAGAAATTGATTTCTCCCTCATTGGAGCCATTGCCATCTGGGGTGTCTTTGTTACAGCTACAGTGTTGTCCAGGTGACTCTAGCTCCTTATTTATTTCCATTTTATTTCAAACTGTCTCCTCTACTCTAACAGGCAGTAATAATCTTGCCTGGCTTCACCAAACCTTTACTTATTTCTGGCTCTCTTATAGGTCAGCACAATGTTAGAGCTCAAGAAATATTTACTATGTTTACATTTTTTGTTGTTTTGAAGTCAGGCTGAACCACCAACTACAGAAACAAGTAGACTCCACTAAGACAACTTTAATTAAACTGCTCACAATACAACTCACTGTCAAAACCTTTACACCAATTTCACATTTGAGTTTGGAGGTCATTATTTAACATAGCTATGTACAAACCTTTGATTCAGAAAAGAACCATAAATTAAAGCAAAACTTAGGTTGAAATGCTAATTCAACTAGAAAATAAAAGGTTCAGGAAAACTTAATATTTTTCAAAAAATATAAAATACAGTTCTGTTATAAACCCTGCAGGCTGACTCCAACCCACAGACACATTTTATCTTCCCCTCTCCAAATGCGGCACAGTTCTACACAGCATTTCAGGAGTTTTGAATGTCAACGTGCTTAGAGGGCACCACTGCGTCCTCCCTCCCTGGTGGCCTTGCACAAGGCCTCCTTACACATTTATCCTGAGGCCTGTGATCTGCCCATAGACTGGACTTAATGGGAGCGTGAGGCATGTGGACAAAATGGTTTTCTAAAAAGAGTGGTTAATCCTCGTCATGGATTACCAAAGAAGGTCATAGACCTTAGAAATATTCTTAGAAATAAGGTTGGTTTTCACACAGTGGCTTTGGGGTGAGGTCCCCTGAAGGTCAGGGGATAAACTTGGTAGGTAGATCAACAAAGAGGAAAACAAAAATTGGATGCAAGCTGGTGTTCATTACTACTAAACAAAATCAGGAGTTTCAGGAAAACCTTTTACAGGGTTAGACTGCAGGCTTGTCTCTGATCACCACTGTGACAGCCAGTGTGCCCACCTGCTCCCACCCTCCACTCTCCCTCCCCTCCTCCACTCCCCTACCTCTCCCTCCCCCTACCTCCACCCCCTCTGCCCCAATGCCCCCCACCCCAGACTCCTCAGGAGAATCCCATCTTTGTCAGACTAGTTCCTAAGCTATGGCTGCAAAAGTTGGAATTCGAGTGGGGAGGAGCCGAGAGGGCCAGGGACTGCCGTGTCAGATTTACTCTGAGAGCTACTGGGAGAACAGTGAGGAACAGATCTGGAGGGTTAAAGAAAAGGGGGAGAAAGACAAGAGCCAGTGTGGGCTGGGTCTGGAAAATCAGAAAGAGGCTAAAGTTGTCAGGAGTTTGAAAGAAGCTGAAGAGGAATGGGATAGAGAGAGATACGTTGTTATGTGCTGCATAGTAACATCTCAGTCAACAACAGACTGCATGTGCGACTGTTGTCCCATGAGTATCATGGAGCTGCCCTCTACAGGTGTACCATTTTTTATCTTTTATACAGTATTTTAAATGTACCTTTTCTATGTTTAGACCACATATATTCACCATTGTGTTACAACTGCCTGCAGCGTTCAGTACAGTAACATGCTATAGAGGTTTGTAGCCTAAGAGCACTAGGCTGTAGCCAGAGTGTTTAGTAGGCTATGCCGTCTAGGTTTGTGTAAGTAAATTCTGTGATGTTCACACAACAAAATTGCGTAACGACACATTTCTCAGAACATGTCCCCATTGTTAAGCAATGCATGACTGTATATGGTCCCCAACTTAGGGTGGTTTGACTCATGACTTTTTGACTTACAATGACATGATAGCAATATACATTCAGTAGAAATAGTACATCAAGTTCACATACAACCATGCTGTTTCTCACTTTCAGTATCGTATTCAATAAATTACATGAGGTATTCAACACAAGATTATAAAATAGACTTTGTGTTAGATGTTCTTGCCCAACTGTAGGCTAAAGTAAATGTTCTGAATATGTTTAAGGTAAGCTAAGCTAGGATGTTCAGTAGGTCAGATATATTGAATGCATTTTTGATTTACAATATTTTCAACTTACCATAGATGTATTGGAACATAGCCCTATCATAAGTCAAGGAGCATCTGGTAGGGTGAGAAGAGAGAGTGAAAGAAACAGAGGCTTTTAAGTTTGAGAGGCCAGGCAAGGTGGCTCACGCCTGTAATCCCAGCACGATTGCCTGAGCTCAGGAGTTTGAGACCAGCCTTGGCAACATGGCAAAACCCTGTCTCTGCCAAAAATATAAAAAAAATTAGCCAGATGTGGTGGTGTACACCGGCAGTCCCAGCCACTCGGGAGGCTGAGGTGGGAGGATGGCTTGAGACTGGGAGGTTGAGGCTGCAGTGAACCATGATTGTGCCACTGCCCTCCAGCCTGGGCAACAGAGCAAGACCCTGTCTCAAAAATAAATAAACAAACAAACAAACAAACTGAGTACCATACTCCCTGCCTTTCTGTAGAACCTGTTCTCTGAAGGGGAATCGTTCTCATTTAATGATATCCCATGTTCCTTGCACCCTGGCCTCAAGAACACCTAGTGTGAATGCAAGTGCCCCTTAATCATTTTCAGAAGGACTCCAAAGTACTATAGATTCAAGGGATCACTGTTCACCCTTTCTTTTTTGAATCAGTTTAGGAAAACTGTGCACAGTACCCCTACACAGAGATGCATACACACACACACACACACACACACACACACTCTTAGAGATTCACAGTGTATGTTTTTTCTTGAGGGTCTTGCTGTGTTGCCCAGACTGGAGTGCAGTGCCATGATCACGGCTCACTGCAGCCTTGACCTCCCAGGCTCGGGCGATCCTCCCACCTCATCCCTCCAAGTAGCTGGGAACTTAGGCATGTGCCACCACACCCGGCTAATTTTTGTATTTTTTTTTTCTGTAGAGATGGGTTTTTGCCACCTTGCCCAGGCTGGTCTCAAACTCCTAACCTCCAGCAATCCACCTGCCTCGGCCTCCCAGAGTGCTAGGATTATAGGTGTGAGCCACCGTGCTGACCTCACAGTGAATATTACCATATGAAAGTCACTGAGAAGTCCTGCAGAAAAATTAATATTAAACTTTATTTAGCCCAATGTGTCCAAAATGTAACTGGCCATGGAAACCTCCATCCTGTTTTTTTTTTAACTTATTAGCATTTAGTAAACTTATTAGCATTCCTCAGAACTAGCGCTGTAGGGAACACCTTTAGGACATTCTGTATCCAGTCTTTTTATTGTACTGATGAGGAAATTGACATCCAGAGAGGTTGGGAACTGCCTTTGGGTACGTGCCAGCCACAGAGCCAGAACCTGATTCACCAGACATCCTTCCAAATCAACACTCTCTCCGGTAAATCACACTTCAGTATGTCTATTCCATACCTCTAATATATAAACAGTACACACAGCACATGAGTTGATAGCCTTGTAACTGCCAACTTACAAATCACCCTTTAAAAAAATACAAAGAAATCACTAGGTGAGAGCTGAGATCATGTATACAAACTTGAAGTGTGTTTATATACACTATTAATCGCCCTTGTCATGGTTTATACTAGTTATCCAAGTCTTGCTGGTATCAATTGTTTATCCTCATTGCCTTCTCACTGAAATAATACTACCAATAACAAATACTAGCTCCCTCTTTGCTCTCAATGTGAAGGATAACATTAATATATTGATGCAAATTTCTAGCATTTATCTTTATGCATTCATTTAAATAGAGCCAAAACTAAAGAAATCACTTGTTAACAAGATAATCAAAAACAAATCTTTATACTGAGCACTTCATTGATAGATCAAATCCCATTATCACTAACTAAAAGGAAAATTCTTTACTTTGGAATTTGGTTGAATTTAAGACAATTTTCAAAAAAGAAAAATAAGAATGAAGAGGGGGGCATGGAAATCTTTGTTTTTGCAAGAGTTATAACTATTTGTCATATTAAAAAGTAAATTACGTTTGACTGTAAACTTGAAAAGGTAGGTAACATACAAATTTTTTTTAAAAAATCATATTTTGAGAGCAGTCAGTACCCAACTTTAAAGAGCATTTATGAATAATAACATATTAGGAAAGATCAATTGGGATTTCTGTCTAAAAAGTTAAATATTCAGTGCCTGTGATCTGTATTTGTTACCTAAGGCTTCTTTATCAGCAGAAGAAGGCAAATGATACCCTGCAAATGTTTCCAGCATGCAACTTTGCTTATCTCCCTGTATTAATGATCTGTATGGCAGCTGTTATATTAACCTTATCACATAGTACAGCAATAAGGGAAAACTATTGTGAAGGAAGAAAAAAAAACCATTTTGTTTAATCTCTGGGAGCTTTTTTGAACCTAGCAATTTTCTGATTGTCAAGGGTGGAAAAAAAATGAAAGTTAAACTTTTACTGAGTTTATTTACAATCTCAAAGAAGAAACTGGACATTTCCAAATGGGTGATTCAGTAAACATCATAAAATTTGAAGAGGACACAGATTAAATTATCAACTAAACGCTCATTATGTGAATTCTGGGTTTCATGGGGTCCACTAGGGAGCTCCCACCAGGAGTCAGGAAGTGGCTCCTGAGAAAGGCAGTCTCTCCTTCAGGGCTCTGAACCGCTCATTTATGAATATGACATTACCAAAAAAACTCCCATTTGCCCCTCGTAAGACTTCTACCTCTTTCTTCATACAGTCTCTATGTGCACACAGATGAAATTCAGAGGCTCTGTCTTTTAATCCCTCTTTAACTTGGATAATATCAAACCTGACCCTGACACCATTCTACCTTCTCTTCTCTCAAGGTGTTGAGAAATCACCTAACTCTATGATTGCAATTAATGTTTGGTTCAGCTACAAATGCTTGAGCTCAACCCACGTACTAGCAGAATGAACACAAGCCCCTTCCACTCCCCCAACTAGGTAATATGCTTTTTCCTTTTTTTTTTTCTTTCATTATCCCTTTAATACAGAGCAGGGCTACTGATTAGCAAGAGGCAGTTTGACTCCAGCAATAGGTCTTCTTCACTAAGCCTCACTGTCATGGAAATTCCAGCTGCTACAAGAATAAGAGGCTCAATCCATATTTGCCAGCTCTAATATGAAATCTGTCAGAGCCCAAATTAATGAGTTCCAAATTCCTTACATCACGATAACAGGTTAAGACTGGTCAATTAATTACATAAATCCTTCCCGATTCATTGTGCGTTTGCAGCCCAGATTGTGTCTTACATTACTCCATGACACAAGGCCTTTTGGCTCCTGTTGTTCCGCAGAAAGGCCCCATTTAAGTGGAGGCTGCCTGCCACGGCAAAATGTTAAATGTCACACGTTAAATTTGCACTTTTCTGTAATTTCTTTTGTTTAAAAAAAAATTAAACGAAAGCACAGGGCTCCCAGTACACCGCTATGCAGAGAGCTGGGATTGTACTGCACGGATCCCAGGGCAGGTCAGCACCTGTGTTTTACCTCTAAAACAGGTTTTAGAGCACATGCTCCCCAGTACCGGGTCCTCTATAAGCAGTGGAACCCAGAACGTGCATATTTGTGAAAATAAGCCAAGTTTCCCTAAGATCTAAGATTCTTGTCTTTATGAAAGGATTAAAATAGGATTCTCTACATAGCCGGCTTCTCTTGTCTACCAGTAAAAATATGGGGTATCTTAAACCGTGCTGATCTAATCATCTTTCAGAAGCGTGTGCATATTATATTTGCATAGGCCTTTGCCTTAAAAAAAAAACAAAGGTATTCCAGATGGCTTTGCTATTTGTATTTGTCACTGTAACACACCTACAGAGAGTGGTCTGATTGAGGACCTCATAATCATCCAGGCCAAATCTTTTCCTTTTTATAACATCACAATGTGCCTGGAATCACAGCTAGTTAAAACTCGACCTGGATGTGTGACCTCCAGATTCCTAGCGTGGTCCCTCCACCCCATTACATGTCTCTGGACTTGTATGCACGTAGCTGCTGGGTACCGAATGAGACCGGTTCTGGTTGTGTTTCCTGAACCATCTTATTGCAGGCTAGGGGTTCTGCGAATACACGAGCGACCAAATGATGCTCTTAAGTACAACCGACACCTACGTAGGGAACAGGTTCTTTCTACTTGGGAGCCCTAACACCACTCCACTACGCGGGCAGCTCGCCAGACCCAACCAAGGGCGCGTTCTGCAGTGGGCGGCTGCAGCCTCCGCACTGGCCCGGCAGCGCCCCCTTCTGTCCTCCGGCGGCCTGGCACCTGATGTGTCACAGGCCGCGCGCTTTTTCCGGGTACTAGAACACAGTCCCGCTTACAGGGCCTCAGCCTAAAGCGGGTGGAAAACTTGTATCACCCCCCTACACACACACACACACACACACACACACACACACACACACACACACAGCCCAGTCCTACCACCAGGCGCGACCGTCCCCTCCCTCTCCAGACGGAAGGGGCCAGGTTAACGCAGCCGCGCGCCCGCCGGGCAGGTTAGGTTCTCGGGGGCCTAGAAGGGAAAGGGGTTAACTAATGTGTGCGATGCGTGTGCAGATGACAAAATTTAGGGCACGTAGAGTTTGCCCGGCCCCACCGCGTCCGCTCGCGGGGACCCTCGGGGGCCGGGCCCCATGGGGCCGGGGCAGCACGGTGTAGCCCCTCCTCCGGCCGGGCGCGAGCGTCTGCAGAACAAAGCCTGGAGTCCAGCCCCGGCCC
Source organism: Homo sapiens (assembly GCF_000001405.40). Classification (NCBI taxonomy): domain Eukaryota; kingdom Metazoa; phylum Chordata; class Mammalia; order Primates; family Hominidae; genus Homo; species Homo sapiens. The sequence continues at coordinate 26,376,709 of NC_000007.14, read as the reverse complement.
CGGCGCGGCCGCCCCTCAACCAACCCCCAGGCGGCAAGGCCCTCTCCACGCGCGCTCTCCAGCCTGGCGGGGCCCTGGAAGCCGGGACACGCGGAGGCCGGGAGGGTCATCGGCGTTTAAGGCAGCCTCCCACACCAAGTGCACCGCCCGGATCCCCTCTGCACGAGGGCTTTCTGCTTATTGCTCTTTTCCCCAGCAGCCAGAATCGTCACCGTAGCGCGGGAAGGGGCCTCGCGGGCCGTCTGCAGCAGGTGCGGCCGGGAGCCGCAGGCCCGCGCGGTAAATCGCTGTCTCTTTGCGGTCGTTGTTCCCATTCACCGCCCGCCGCCCCCCGCCCCACCACGGTTCTTTTTTTTCTTTCCGCCGCGCAGTTGCCATGGGTTACCAGGGCGGTTGCCATGGGTTACCGGACCGAGGCCGGCTGGCTCGCTACCTGCAGCCCAGTCGCCGCCGCCAGCGGAGCGGCCCGGGCGGGACGCGGCGGGAGCGCGCGTGTGCGGGACGCAGCGCGGGGGATGCGCGCGGGCCGCGGAGGCGCCGCAACCAACAGGCGGCCGAGGGTGCAGCCGCGGGAGCGCCACCGCCAGTGGGGTGGGGGGCAAAGCTATAAAGAAGGCCCAGAGGTAAGAAACTAGCAAAAACACAACCACAAGTTATGCCCGTGCTGTGCCTCTAGCAGCAAAGACAAGCGGTGTGGGGTTGGATGAATCTACACTTCTCGTCGGGGGAGAAAGGGTATTTTCCTCTTTAGCATAAGCCATTTACATAGTGTCTTTAGACCAGAGTTTAAATTCAGCAGGAAATTGTAGCTTAATGGTTTTTTTTCTCTTTTCCTCTATATCTTTTGAAAAGAAGTCTTTGGAATTTTGGAGAAAGAGAAAGGGTCATTAACTACCAGAGTTTGCGCAGCTAAAATAAATTAGTGTCCAATGCACTGCTCATGATCTAGAAAAGTTTGCAGTAGGAGTGAAGCGCAATTGTGTCTGCTAAAAAGGGACAATGGTGACTCGTTTGTAAGATGCATATGGCAAAGAATAGAACCAAAGTCCTTTGTATATATAGCAAATGTTAAAGAAATTGTTGCTTATTTACATCCTTCTGAAATTTTTGAACTCCACTCTATTAAAATTATTAATTTCTTATGACCTTTATTTGCAAAGAAAATTCTATGCTTTGAATGTCAAATTGCAGTAACTAATTTCAGACAGTATTTTGTATTTGAAAATGTGTTTATATATAATAAACTAAGAAAAGGTCTATATTCCAAACAAAAACACAAAATTGTACTGAAATTGTTTCCTTCATTGAAAAGATGTTGCCTTGTATTCACAGGATACCAGCTAAGTAATTTAAATATTAAGAGGAAGACTATTTAGAAACAGAATAAGCTTTGTTATTTTCGTTTAAAATGTTAAGGGGCCTCTAATGAAAAGGGGTTGTCTTTTATAGCTCAAATACTGAAAACCTTATTGGTATCACAGTAGCTCAATAATAATGAATCCTTAAGGCATCCAACAAATACAAACCAAATTCAAAACAACGTCCAGTTTACTGTTGGATATAACGGTTATTGTGGCCAGGCTAAATGAAGTTGTTTAACTTCTTAATTGTCATAAAAGAAACTTTGTTCTTTTACTTTATACTGCATATCACTTGTTTGTATTTAATTATTCAATAAAATGTGGACTAGGTTTGAAAAACTGGCAAGATACTTCATATCTTAAGGAATAGTATCTGCTTAAAAATAAATACTTGTTTGTCCCTAGTAATTTTTAAAACTTGAAATTTTAACTAGAATTAAGTAACTTTCTTCTAAGTGAGACTTTATAAGAAGCCGAAGTAACAGGTTGTTGACGTTCAGTGCTGTTGACACCTTTGGGTTATATATAAATCTAGTTCTACAACAAAACACGTAAGTTGGCTTTATAGGTGAATAGTTTACCCTTTAAGAATCAGCCAGGGAAAATGCAGTTTTGCTGTATTGTAATCATAAAGAATCCAGGATTAGAATTCTTTACATTTAAGTCACATTAAAAATAGTGTTAAATAAACATCTATTCAAGTTAGCTACATCAGTAATTATTTTCTTTTTCCTAAAGAAAGCTTTATAAAAAATATGCCAGAGAAAAATAAGAGACAAAGCAAGAAAACCACTGGGAACTGAAGTTCATCTAAATATCTCAGCTGCAAGAAATCAGTTTTAAGAAGCCAGTGTGTGGACATTGAAACAACTAAACCAAGGCTAAAAGCCTCAAATATGTACAACTATAGCTAATATTAAACCATGTTTTACCAAATTTCCTCATAAAAAATAAAAAACACTGAGTTTGGGTCTAAGGCAGAATATATTCTCTTGTATAAAATAAGTGATCCGGCAAAGTTGATTTTTTTTCACGTTTAATGTAAAAATGATCTCGTGACATTTACATACTAAGTATTAGGCATTACATAATATTAATTTTGATGGCTATGTTACATCATCTAAAAATAATATGACAATTGGTGGCATAGTATGTGTTTTTCAAAACTGCTGTAAAACAGAAATAGTGTGAACTCAAATACATATTGCTGAAGGGATGAGGATCGCTCTTAAATGCCTGGATGGCATGAACTTTACATATTAGCATGGTAAGAAATTACTAAATCTTTTCTTTTCCTGTATTAAAATAATGAGGATCTAAGACACATTAAATCAAAATATTTACAAAAATTTAATAATGTTTTAGACCAAAGAAAAAAAGGACAAATTAAAGAAATCATTCTTATTCTAAATTTAATTTTTTTAATGTTAGTTCTCAGTTTTCTTAGCTTTTTTTTCTGTTGGTTCTTTGAAACAAGCATTGTAAAGACTTTTTAATAATACAATAGCTTTTAAACTCTTAGTGAAAATGAAAAGGTTGCTTTTTGTAGTAGCCTCTGCCACTCTTCAATTAGGCTGGGTAACAAAGCAACAAGTTATCCTAGTTATCTGAAAATATCTTCCTGTTAGTTTCACAGAAATATTTTGTACCATTCAACATGGATGAAACTTGGGTAATTATCTCAAGAAAATGTTGCCTCATCTGAAATCTGAACTTCAAAATAGTTTATCTAAGATATCTTTGGGACACTAAAAAAAAAGACATTTTATGAAAATTATACCAATCTTCAAGTAGATGCTTTAAAAGGGGCTTTTTAAAAATGAATAATTATTTCTGAAATTAGCAAGTCGACATCCTTTTCTAAATTATGGGAATATTTATTGGTAAAATTAAATTTATTAATCTTTATAAAATCCTTCCTCTGATTTAAGTAATAAGTAACCACCACTGATACTGAAAGTTATCTAGTGATAAGAAATTGCACATTTAGTCAAAAAATAAATCATTAACCTGATTATACAATGATAATGAAAACAAATTATTTGTCTCCAGAAACCATTTGTTGAAGCTGATTTTGGATAATGAAAATGTATTTCTGAATCTATATATTACAGTTATAAGTAATATTACTAGCACTATCTATGTTTTTTCTAAGATGTAAACATTATTTTAATATGTCTCTATTCATAAGATACATTTCCATCTAAGCGTGAAACAGAATACTGGAAAGGTTAAATACTCTTAAAATATTTCAGTCTAACACCCAAAAGCATAGTGTTTTGCCAGTGCAGGGGAGGTATCCACAAAATATCAGGCACATATCTGAGAGAGGCAGTCTGGTCTACACTGTTACTCTTCATAGGGTTTAACAACATATACACCGTGTTTATGGTAACACTGCCCCACTGATACAAGAAGGAATGCTCTATCTTGATTTTAAATGCTACTTAGTTACCTATCTTTTTAAATTCAATAAAACCAACTCGGTTTTTTAAAACATGTAAGTCATTTCATTGGAGGGCAAGATCTTGTTTACCAATAATGTCTGCCTGTAAAGGATAGTATTGTATTCACAGGATTTTTAGCTTTACACAGAAGCTTACCTAAAATAAGACAACATAAAAATACCACTAATAAACAACCCAACATCTTTAAGAATTTAAATACCTAACATCATGACAGTGAGCTTTAGGTAAGAATGTATTATTATGAAGCTTTCTTCTCTATGACTGGACATAATTTGCTATTCCTAAGATAGTAACATTAGAATTATTTTTCAGGATTCCTGCGGAGCTGTATTTACTTTACATCCATGTGAACTGCTGTCATCACTACTGTGTCCAAGCCCAGAGGATGAACTGGAAAAGAAGAGAGGGGGAAAATAATAAAAAGAGGAAATTGGTTTTCACAACACACTCAAAGCCTGAGTAACAGAGGAGAACTTTAATTATCTCCAGTCACAAAGAGAGACAGGAAATTTGGACTTTTAATTAGCCATTTGGAGTGCAGTTGGGTATTTTTTTAGCTAGATAATTTAAACGCGAATAATTCAAGTCTGACTAAATGAAAGTCACATAATCAGAATGCAAATAATTGAATTTCTACTGCATTCATTAATTCAGTGTGGAGGTGTGTGTGAAGACTACTATGATGAGCTGTCACAGCTCAATAAAATCTCAGTCAATTAATTTTTTCATTATCTTAGTATTATATCAACAAAAAAGTGAAGTGTGTATATATATCTATACACGTGCATATGTGCATACTATGTATTATATAAATACATATACATTAAATCAAAATGCAAGGAAATACCTTTCTGAATCATAATCTATATCATTTTCTTTTTTTCCTTCTTCATCTTCTTCAGGGAAACGTCTATTCATTAAGGCAAACTTGTGAATTGCTTCTTCCACAGAGTACTTAGTCTGCCCAGAAACACACGCCTCAATGTCTTCTGAATTCAGATGGCTCTGTAAGAAGAGGTGAAGGCTGCTATCTGAAAGCAAAAGTGCATTCTGTAGGACTCTATATTAAAAAAAAAAGGAAAAATAATTGGTGAACAGGATGGTCAGTGATAGGGTAGAAGAAAGAAAAACATTAGAAAAGTACCACTGAAGGTAATTTCTCTACTGTGGTAAACTTTGTATCAATTATGGGCTCTGCCCATTAAGGGGAGGAAAGCATATGTTAACTTTTATTCAATTATTTGGAAATTTAGGTGGGTAAAAACATGAAGCTAATAGTTAAGAACATCTGTTAAAAGAATAACTTCAAGGACATTTCTTCAATTTACCCATCTCTTATTACCATGTGGATTAATTATGGAAATATTTTGCTTATATAGTCATAGAAAGTTATTCTACTTTAAAAAATTTACTGCCAACAGCATGTCAATTCAGTGATCTTTATGGGATAGGCTGTCATGAAACATCAAAACTTTCAACTACTATTAAAAATTATATGAAGAAAATACAATTCTCAGCATATTTTACATTTTAAAACTTTACAGTTATATACTTAAGGGCATGTTTACGACAGCTCATGAGAGAGATGGCTTTTTTTAATACTTAAGGTTAACTGTAAATTTCTCCAAAATCTTTAGGAGCACTGAATCTCTGTGTTGTCAAAATGAGCAACCAAATAAAATTGATCCCAGCCAACTTTACCATATATATAATTAAAATATGATAATTTTGTGATGAATACATACTGCTCTTCCCACATTTAAGATCAAAGTTTACAAAGACAGAACAGATTTCAACCAGGGCATCAGAACTACATGGAAGATTAAAAACTATCCTGTAGCAAAATCTACAGATGCTCAAATTCATATTAGTGAATGTGTTTTCTCTGAAATGCACATCTTAGAATATGAAATCAAATCAAAGTATACCTTTATATTTAAATAAAAACTGGTTTATCTTTTAGCAAAGATGTTGACATATGATCATTTAGTCTCTACTGATAGTTCAATAATTATGTAAGAGGAGACACTAAGACCAGATACAGGGGACAAAACTAACACACTAAAACCCAAGTAGAATTTTGTCCAACATAAGATTTTTCCGATATAACGATCTGTGAAAAATAGATCATGTATTTCAGACCAAATGAACCTTACCTTATATTCTGCTTGTTTAAACAAGTAATAAGGAAAGTAAATCTCTTTTGGCCATTAATATCAATTTAGTGAAAATCCAAGGTCATTATAATACCAAATCCTTTTCTACAAAATAAAACAATTATTTCTTAACAAAGGCAAAAATGCCTAAAAATGCACAGTATTAAAACCAAAATCTAGCTGTCCCCTTTGCTTCAGCAGGTTTACAGTTTGAGAAAATATTCTTTACTGGTCTATTAGAAGGAAAAGTAAAACCTTTGTGCTTTTTAAAAGGCAAAACCTCAAGCAAAGCAGCTAAATCCTTCTTTTTCCCTCTGTGTCCTCCGCCCTGGGTCCTCCCAAAAGATGACCATGTCACATGATAATGATTAATTTACCAAGTACAAGTAGCTAAGTAGTAAATCCCTCTTACTACTCTTTGAGATTTATTTTCTACATTTACAAATATTCACCATTCTTGTTTTTAAATACTTCAGATTAAGAGAAGAGTTATAGAGCAACAATCCATTAATACGAACTTGGATCGTGAAGTCTGTGAAGTCTGAGCAGAGTGTTTCCTGTGGCCTCTGTCAGCGGTTTCCTGCCTGCCATAAGTACAAGGAACTGTTCATGGGATTGTACTCGTGGCTTTGTTTCTGTTGGAAATGTGTTTTATTTTCTTTATAAAATAATGGGTAATCTTTAAAATTGATTTTAGATGGTTTGAGGCATTACACCACAACAGTAATGAGCACTAATGCCAATGATATTGGACACAAATTCATTTTAGCTTTATTTCATGTCTGAAGCAATTCTACTGAGCCTTGAACTGCTCACGTGTTGTTATTAACTTGCTAGTAACTTAACACATGGGTACAGCAAACAAAAGTGATCAGAGTCCAGGTTGATCGGGACCTCAAGGCTACTGTCCTTTTTCTTGAGCTATAATTCAATTTCCAATTTTACTGTACATTAGACTCATTATTTCCCAGCGTTTTCTTTTTCTGCTCAATACTGCCATCTGGAGGACACACAGATGAAAAGAGAAGGAGCCAGGCTCACCCAGCTCACAATTCCAAAGAGCCAGAAAGATGTGGCTGGGGAGGGGACATCTGAACACTCCCCCAGGCCTAGAGTTCAAACCAGTGAGTCGGCTAGGTACAGTTTTGGTTTTTGGAATCTCCTCTGTTTCTCTGGCTAAATTCATGCCACCATACTCCATGAGTTTTAAATAAGCAAAAATAATTTTTAAATGTATTTATATGCTTATTTTAGTCAGATAGTTCATTCTGAAATTTAAAATGAAAATTTTTGAGAGTGTTTTCCCATCTGGTTAGGTGAGCATAATTAATTTATTTTGAGTACTATTTGGCTTACTATCAGAGAGGGCTGTGACTGCCACCATCATAATATTAAATACTATTTTTTCCTTAGTCATGTTTGTGCCATATTTTCCACAAACAAATCTAATAGCCCAAAATCAATTTCAAACCTAATATAAAGAGTACTTTGTAAAACAGTCAATAAAATGTCATTTGTAGAAACCTCCATTTAAAAAGTATATGATTTTCAAACCTTTATAAAAGGAATAAAAAATAGCCTCTAGGATTTTAAAAGAATTTCTAGAAAGATATTTATAGTGCAAATCAGAAGTTATTCCTTTCCCCATAACAGTTTTAGACTAAACAAAGCAAAATCTGTTTTTTTTCCCTAAACTGGACACAGTTGAAAAGCACAGTTTTCCTCAACATGATTTTATTAGATGTATTATATGCTGGTTTAGCTGAGAATATATAGCTATGCAAAATCATTTCATCCTAACTAAGGATGTCCTGGGTCTGCTGAACCCAATACAATGATATATATACATAACTGCATAGTACATGGAAGGTTAGCAGTTTGATGTAGAAAAAAAAAATTAACTCAGCCTGTTTAGCTCTTACTATAAGAAAAAATAAAACCTACAAATCTTCATTGAAGACATTCATGATCTATGCTGTGGTGCCCTCTATTGAACACAAAGACATAAAAATCGTGTGTGTGTAAAACTAGCTGTCATGGTTCAACACTAGCCTTTTGTAAAAAATCTTTAATATTCCTTAATATTTGAAGAAATACAAAACCATGATACTAAAGTCTAAACTGTAGGGTAAATGTAGTTGTATTAATGGGATGAATTCAGTAAAGAAGGGAAGCGGCTCCCAGTCATGAACAAATCTATTCAAACCTAAATTGAAAATCCCATTCAAACCTAAAAATTAGTAGGAATTCCATTTTTCATAGTTAGAGACTTACTGAGTTTATATTTTTTAGCCTATAACTTTCTTTTCATAACTATTAGAAGGGACTTTAAGTTTATAATTACTCAGGGGCAAGAATACAAAAGGGAGATTATAGTTAAGACTGAAGAAAAATGAATATATTTGAAAAATCTCACAATCATACCAAATTTAGCCAGCATTTAAGAGTACTGCTAATTTTAAATTTGCCAGGTTCTGGGATTCATATAGTATGTCCATCTTTCCTATAATTTCTTTATCTATAAAACTGAGATAATACCCAACTCCTAAGATTTTTAGTACTGAGACTAAAACATGTAAAATGCCAAACACGTAGAAAGTGTTCGATAAATGGTAGAAATTATTCTTATTTGGCACCTAGTCAAAGAAACAATTTTCCAATTCCTCTACAAAGATCAGTACTTTCTTATTACATATGTATCATTTCACAAATGACCTTAAAGAAAAATAGGTATATATACACATATACAAAGACATTGTGGTTTCAAAAGGTTTGAACATATTTAGTGCTTCTGGTTCATAACTTCAAAACTCACATGAAAACCAGGCTTTAAAAATGCATGCGAAAAACCTACAATACAAGCATGTTTCCATGTTTTAATGCTGTGGTTCCTAAAATTCCTCTACAAACAAGGTACAGGCTATTGATGGCTGGCCCTACTTAACAGGTAACCAGTGGGGGCTCAGAGGATGTCAAACTGGGGCCAAGACACAGTGCCAAGGTACACATCACATCCAGTTCCCTAGAGTGGACCCTGGTTGGGTGAGGGGAGGGGGCACCAGGGGCAAAGACATGGAGGGTACTACCTTACACAACCCGGGCAAGCACAGATCTGAGGGACACAGAAGGGAGGCTGGGGAGGGTCAGCAGGGGCCGCAGAGCTCAGTTCAGGCCTGAAGCCAGCCCTGTGGTATTTGACTCCTCACTTCCTTCAGGTTTAGGCTGTGTGGAAGCACCAGCTTTCATTTTTAAAGTGAAATATTAACTTGTAGACAAATGTTCACATACCACAGGGGAACAAATGATATCACAAGAGAACCCCCTGCCAATTCCATGATTTGACAATCCAATCGGATGACAATCCAGATTCAGTGTTAATGAATCTAGCCGTAGCCCTGGATGTGTACACAGTGCTCCCCCTAGAAGGAAGTGTCAGGACAAGGACTTGTTCATTCTGTGCAGTCCTATGTCCGTGGCACGCAGCCTGGCCCAAAGCATTCACTTAATAAACATCTATTGAATGAAGGATCGCTGCATGGTTTTTAGAGTTTTTTTCAAGTCCTTTTCATCTGTAGGACACAACCACCCAGTGAGGTTGGCTATGTGTGGGTACTATTATCCCACTCTATAGCAAACAAAGGCTTAAAAGGAATGAAGTGACTGTTCCAAGGCTCACATGCAGCTAGAAAAAAAACCAGGAACCATGATTATGGGAGACCTAGAACCCGGCTCCTTGAGTTCCTGAACCAGGACACTTTCTACTATGACATCTGCATCAAACACAACCAGCAAACAGTCAAACCATGCACTATGCAAAAATAACCTGGCACAAGCATAACCCCACTATGGCTGAATGACACTCACAGGGTCATTCATTTGGGTAGATCAACTGTGGATAGAAAGGTTGTGTTCAAAACAACGAAGTAATTCCTGGTCAAAAACACATACCCTGCACTTAACCAGCAATATAATTCAGAGGTACGTGCTGCCTTCTGACCTGAAATAAGACTTCCCTACAGAAGACAAGATGCCACAGCTCCCCGAGGACAACATGTCCTACACTAGAGTGACAGGCAATTCTGTAGAATTGTGTGGCAGGGACCACATCTCAAGGGAGAGGCCATCAGCCACCTGGGCCTCATAGAGACAACAATTAAAATCAGAGGCCTCCTCTAGGGGAAAGGGCAGGAAAAACTTGGCCAGGTCTCTGTCCTGCCATGCCTGTGATACCCCCCAAAAATACAATGAAATGTTTTCGGAGGACTTGGCTCTGCTAATCAGTTCTTCTGGTCTCTTGCCATGTTTATTCCTCTGGCTTCTCTTCATTGGCCCACTCTCCCTCAATTTATAATCTTGGATCTTTCTGTATGCCTCTAGGACACCTTCAAAGAAAAGGCACTAAGTCAATCTAATAGAAATAAATATTAATATTAATGTGCATACTTAATATCCAAACCCTTTATGAGAGAGCCAAATGGGGAGGAGGCAGTATATTTATTTCAGGCTAGCTCTAAGGTCCTATTTAGTGAACCCCAAAGGAGATGACTTCAGATCCTGAAACTACTAGAAAAAGAAACAGTTCAGGAGACTGGGTCCTGTCAGTAACTAGTAGTCATATGACTCAGCCTATTTCCTTATCTACAAAATTGGAAATTAGGAAAGCAAAAGCTGTCTCATGTCTAAGTGCATTAAGATAATAACAGCCAACATGAAGATAGCACACACTGCATGCCAGACACTGTCATGAGTGCTTTACAGTCACTAACTTGTCTAATCTTCTCAACAACCCTATGAGGTAGGTACTATGATTACCCCATTTTATAGATGGGAAGACACAGGCAGAGGAGGTAAATGATCTGCCCAAGCCCCCAGCTAGTAAGTGGCAGAGCGAGGATCTGAACTCAGGTAGCCTGGCCTCGGAGTCTAGGTGTAAATCAGCGTGCTATATGGCCTCTAGCATTCTGGGTATTCCAGCATTCCAGAGAGTGGATTGGGGGAGGGAAATCACTGGTAGTGTGAACTCAGGCAGCTTTAACGGCAATACCCACCATCACAGAGTAATCCAGAGTTAATAACTCACTGAGACTGTTCACACGCCACCAAATACTCCTTTATAAACATTCCCTTCAAAGATCAGCGTTAAACTATTAGAGGAACCCAGAAGGATATTAGCAGCCCGTTACTGAGCTGATTTTGGTCTGTAAATTCTAAGCATTGTAAAGAAAGACAGTTTTTAAGAAGTGCCTTTTGATGATTAGGCATATTTGTTTCCTGGCAAATTTTTACTTTTGTCAGCTAAACGCCCAGGTAATTTAGATCTGCTTGACAGCTTAAAGGACCAGATATTTAATTCAATTTGTTCATTGTTTTCTTTCTAGAAGACTTGGTCCCAAATATGTACGAGATGATGTGAGCCACAAGATGGTGCTCTAATATAGGAAATGGGCCACTGGGTTTTGCTCTAGTGCAGATTATTTGCATTTCAGAAACAGGAACACTCTTCCCCACACCACCATGCAGCTCTTGTAAAGCACTTGCTCACACCCCTTGTCTGGCCACAAAAGTTTCTGGACACTCACTTTCTGAGGAAATCTTCCAGACCCTGGCGACGCTGATCCACGTGCTGGCGATTGTTCATGTTGAAAAACAGGTTTTTAGATGGAAGTTCTGGCAGTTGTCTTAGGAGAAAGAAAAAACAATGTTTTTAAATGATTAACTCAAGGTGCTTCTGTTACAGAAATCCCTCAAAGTGAAGGCAAATTATGTATGATGATTATTATCACACAGTTATTCTATAATTATGATTATACATTATATAGTTATATAATAAGGGTATCAGGAAGTCAGCTTAAAGAAAAACCCATCTTTAAACATTTCTGAGGCCTTTCATGGCCTATACCCATCAAAGTTGGTGAAATTTAAGTGATAAATTTTAAATTCAGATGCAGTAGCTAAGAAACTAAAGCTACATATTGTAATCAAGGCAAAAGCCTATAAAAATCCTTCATATCTTATATATCTTAATGAACGTCAATTTTAAATACTGAATATAATGACAAAGTCTCCACAGTATACTCTAAATCACTTACACCAGCAACGCATTACTTTGGAGTCTCTGCCTCAGCCACACGAATTCTCTATATCTTCTTCGTACACAGGATGTTTTCATTGTAAAACACATGCTATTAGTCTGTACAGAGAAAGTAGAAAAATGAGTCTTACCTGAGGAAAAAAATGCATTTCTTGTATCTATAATTCACAATATGATCTCAACATTCACTCTAAATAGGATTTAAACCACCAAACATATATTTATATTTATGCCAGTACTCTGAAATCTTGCACATAACCCAGGAACATAACAGCCCTGAAGACAGCCAGGATGATGGAAATAAGCAGTGTTGCCCCAGGGTGAGGTATGACCTGGCCACTCCCTGCATCCTGAAGGAGCCTCCTACTCACCTATGAGCACTGCTTTCAAGAATAAATCATAAAAAATAAATCCTAACATATAAATGACAGGTAGGAGCTCAGGTTCATCCGTTGCATTTTACCACCATCCACGTAAGCTGGAGGAAACTTTGGGGCTTAGAGACACCTCCTCATGACCCTTTATGAGACATTGCAGAAATCTTCATCTCCTTGACATGGCCACCCTGCAGATCATACAAATCACCAGAAATCCTAGAGAACAGCATTCCCTTCTCTACTGTATGTGAGAGGGAGCGTGTCCGTCCGAGCCAGAGAATGACCGTGGTACGTGGGGATAAACATCTGGCATAGAGGACAGGCCGACCGGAATTCCAGTCCTGGTTCTGCTACAGGGCAAGTCACTCAAACTTCAGTTTCCTCAGTACTAAAATGGGATGAACTAGTATATATCTAATTCACAGGGTGGTTGTGAGGATTGATAATAAGCACTTGACCAATGTTATCTATTAATAATACTGTTAGTTACTAAGTGTTGGTTTCCTTCCAGCTATCCTAAGGCAGACTTGGAAAAAGCCACCGATGGTGTCCCCATGCTAAGCTCAGCCACAATGCTTCTCCTTTGGGTAAACATAAGACGAGAGTAAATATTCTCCTTTGCGTAAACATAAGACGAGAGTAAATATTCTCCTTTGAGTAAACATAAGACGAGAGTAAATATTCTCCTTTGAGTAAAACAAGCGACTACCAAAATATTTGTTTCTCCTGATTTTTGAAAATATGAGTATCTCTAGTCTCTGTATTTCAAAATCCGATTTTCTAATCTAAATGAGAAACAATTCTTTACCCCCAAGATCAGTACTATTTCAAAAATTATTATTCTATCACTTAATATGCCCAGCGATTGTTTTCCTTGGGAAATCTAAGTAATTATGTGCATTAGCTCTCAAACTGTTCTCATGAAATATATGACATGGTTCCTGGTATGCTTATGCTTTGTAAAGTTCAGAAAACTTCAGAATGTAGACAGGTTAAAAGGCTTATCCCCAAGGTAGCCACTGGTCTAAATCCCATTATCTTTAACGATATGGCAGCAAAACCCGCTGGAAGGAGTTTGTGGCAAATAACATCCTGTGGGTGGACTTATAACACACCAGGGCCTCACTCTACTGTGCTCCTTGGGGACTAGGTTTGCAGACCATGTTATACCAGAACTAGTCCCCTAACAAGGCTTGAGCAGGTTATCTTCCCGGTACCCTCTCCCTAAAGAATCCCAGACCACCACAGGGATTCCTGACATCTCACACACAGGCTGGGTCCATTTAAATTCCCTTTAATTTCTCTGCTCACAACCACCATGGTTGTCAATAACTAAAAATCCACCTGGTACCTACACCAGACTAAGGTCGATCCATAAGTCCTTCATTTGCAGGGCAGGTTCAGGGGAGTATTTATGATGGCTACCCAGCTCTAGGGTCTACTAATTTAAAATTCCAAGTAAATGTTAAGATCCCAGAGTTGTGTGACATCATCTCCCTTGAGGTTAATTTAAACAAGTTAAAGACCAGCTTCTCTACCTCCAAAGCTCTATGGGTTAACAACTAAGAGAAGCCAACCAGAACTCCCTAGCTCTGCCATCCACTTTTAATTGTATGACAGGTGGAAGTCTCTTCAAGATTAGAGGATACTGAGATCACTAACTGATTAAGTTCCTCTAATAAATCTATTTGCTTGTTTTTGCTGTCCACCAAGCCAAGGCTTATCCATTGTCAATTTATTAGCATTTCAGAAAAGTGCCAGGACACCATCAAATAGTATTTGTGGAACCCATCATTTCTGGCTCCAGATGGAGATTTCTGAATTTACATCAGGCTATTTATAGAGCAGAGCAGAATCTATACTTTCATTAATTCCTGGGAATAATTAAATTTCATGCCTATCATGAAGTGTGTGATAAGGACGCACAATTTTTTTACAGAAAGTTAGAAGGCAACTAAAACTATTTCATTTTACTTCAAATGCTTATTCTTATATAGTCATAATTTTCCACACAGAATGCAACTCTAGTGTGAGCTTATAAGTAAAACCAAAACAGAATCAAAATACATGGCATATCCTGGAATGGCTTTACAACACAATCAAAAAAGCAGTTCTGAGTTTTTCTTTTATTTTCAAAGTTGGGGAAACTTCAAAGAAAAAAGAGAAGAAAGGAGAATTTAAAAAAAGAAAAGTTCTACAGCTGGTGTTTGGGTGTCCAATATACCAAGTTAGCTATTTACAATGGGAAGATTAAATAATGGCTAAATTTTACTTCACTTGTGCTATGAAGTCACGGATACAATCTGGGTCAATTGCTATGCTCCCCAGTTGAACTAATTTAGTTTGCATCTGATATGCATCTGGTTTAGATGCAAAGAGTATTATCCTCAAAATCGGGGCCAATAAACTACAGCCTGAGGGCCAAATCTGGTCTGACACCTGTCTTTGCACATAAAGTTTTATTGGAATACAATTATGCTCATTCATTTATGCACTGTCTGTGGCTGCTTTTCACCTGCAACAGCAGAAATGAGTAGTCTCGACAGAAACTGTATGGCCCACAAACTGAAGATATTTACTACCTTTACAGAGAAGTTTGCTTACCCTTGTTTAAGATGGTCACAGAAGGCCACACACCACACAACATTTTCAAGAGATTGTGATACAGTAGCATCCACGCAAGGCACATCATTTCTAGTTGCTTACTCGTTACATTAATTACTCAGATTCTAGATAAATTAATCACAATAATTGCACATATCCATTTCCCACCTTCTGATTCTATATATAAAACACCACACATCTCTTTTCCAAAGAACTCTATATCCTCTCAAACTTGAAGGTTATCAGGCATTATATTATCCAGAAATATGCTATAGCAGATCATAAGAAATGCCATTAATGAGCTATAAGTACTCTTTACCCATGCATTTTAGATGCGTGCACATCTTCACATGTGAAGGCAATAAACATTAAAATGTTAATATTAACAAAGGAACAATAAGGGATTCAAATAAGTAATTTTTCAACTTTAGGAACCATCTTACTAGTTCATGTAAGATAAAAGCATTAGTTGTAATCATTCAAATTCAGTTATTTGAATGAGAAAAACTTTTACAAGTGTCAACTTTATCCCATAAAATGTATCCCATAAAAGTCCCTCAAAATTACTATTTCTACTGACTACATACTTACATGAATACATATCTCATAGTCAATGTAAGAATGCCAGAAGTCCTCCTTCTGAATCCTAGGATCTCGAACCCAGACACTTACAAATTCCTGTAATGGCATCATAAACAAAGAAATATTCTTCAGAACTGCAAGTAGGACTGGAAAGAACTGAACAAAACGACTGCACTAAAACAAAACTGAAATGAGCTTTAACCAATGTGGTACTTGTAATCCTTTAAAAAACAAGAAGTAAAGTTAATGAATCAGGCACCACGAGCAAATCTAGAACACACTTTTGCCACATAATGGAATTTTTAAAATAATGCAACACTGAGGTGGGAGCACTTCTGGATAGTTTTACTGGTTATCTGAAGACAAAGTATACTGTAAAACTGATTTTTAATTTTTAATCTTAAATAATTGGTTCAGGTTTTTTTCAAATTTAAAAAGTGATCATTTCTTACTTTCTTCATCTCTCTAAACTGAAACAATGGGCCCTTCTGGGTAAGGTGCTTCCTAGGACACAAATAAGAAAGGCACCAGGCCAAGCAGGGTGGCTCACACCTGTAATCCCAGCACTTTGGAAGGATCTCTTGAGCCCAGGAGTTTGAGACCAGCCTAGGCAACATGGTGAAACCCCATCTCTACAAAAAATACAAAATTAGCCAGGCGCAGTGTGGTGCATGCCTGTAGTCCCAGCTACTCAGGAGGCTGAGGAGGGTGGATCACTTGAGCCCAGGAGGTCAAGGCTACAGTGAGCCTTGATTGTGCCACTGCACTCCAGCCTGGGCAAAAGAGCGAGACCCTGTATCAAAAGAAGAAAAAGAAAGGACACCAAAGCTCATGGGAAAAGTAAGCAAAGAGGGTTGAAGTTGACTTTGTGCATGCATCCCAGCCACATGAGAATAAGCGATAATAACTTATTAATAGAAAGAGGAACACCTTCTTTTACATAATACTTTTCTATTTTTAAAATACATTTCCCCTACATTAAATCATTTCATCTTCATAATACCTTTGTGTTATACATAGAAGTTAGGGATATTAAAAATCATATACAGTAGATAATTTTGTTCTTTTATAAAGATAATAAGAATAGAAAACATGGGGCAAAATTTAAAACAATAGGCCGGGCGCAGTGGCTTACGCCTGTAATCCCAGCACTTTGGGAGGCCGAGGCGGGCAGATCACAAGGTCAAGAGATTGAGCCCATCCTGGCCAACATGGTGAAACACTGTCTCTACTAAAACTACAAAAATCAGCTGGGCGTGGTGGCGTGTGCCTGTAGTCCCAGCTACTTGTGAGGCAGGAGAATCGCTTTAACTCAGGAAGCGGTGGTTGCAGTGAGCCGAGATCGCATCACTGCACTCCAGCCTGGCGACAGAGCAAGTCTCCGTCTCAAAAAAAAAAAAAATTAAAACAATACTTTTTAACAGGTGCTCTTTACTAAATAGGTTTAGTTTAAAAATTTGAAAATGTACAGCAAAAAACTATCATGTTTCACATAAGTTTTTAAGTATAACTTATTTACTCAGTGATCATAAACTTGCTAACTGAGTTTGATTTTAAATATTAGAGCTTTTTGATAAGATTGGGAGTTCAATGCTGGAATTCAGGCATTTCTTATTGCTTGTTGGGGCACATCTGAGAGGCAGGCTATGAACGCTTGAGAGCAGAAGAAAAAGAGAGATCGGGGGCTTTCTGGACAAAGCACCTCCATTGAATCATGCAGATAATTAAATGAGACTCTTCATCATAGAGGATTTTTTTTAATCAAAAAAATACACCACACTCTGAAAATAACTTTTGCCCCTATCAAGTTTCACCTTCTAGGGCAACACTTTGTCCTTGCACTGGAGACTTCTGTCCCACTACTTGTCTTTAGTAGACAGGGATTATGAATTACTGTTCCAAAAAGTCTTCTTTTAAAATATTTTCATTGTGTATTTTTAAAATCATTTAGGGGATAGAATAAGAACAAGATAGGCAGGGCTCACACCTGTAATCCCAGCACTTTGGGAGGCTGAGGCGGGTGGATCACCAGAGGTCGGGTGTTCGAGACCAGCCTGGCCAACATAGTGAAACCCCATCTCTACTAAAAATACAAAAATTAGCTGGGCATGGTGTTGGGCGCCTGTAATCTCAGCTACTCAGGAGGCTGAGGCAGGAAAATTGCTGGAACCCAGGAGGCGGAGGTTGCAGCAAGATCACGCCACTAAATGCACTCCAGCCCGGGCCAACAACAGCAAGACTTGGTCAAAAAAAAAAAAAAAAAAACACAAGATAACACTATAGTGATGCTCTTTGGCCATTATTTCTTTTCTTTTTTCTGTTTTTTGAGATAGGGTCTCACTCTGTCACCCAGACTGGAGTGCAGTGGTACGATCTCAGCTCACTGCAGCCTCAAACTCCAGGGCTAAAATGATCCTCCTACCTTAGCCAACCCCGCCCCCAGTAGCTGGACTACAGGCGGGTGCCACCATGCCCAGCTAATTTTTTAATTTTTTTAGAGATGGGGTCTTGCTATGTTGCCCAGGCTGATTCTGAACTCCTAGGCTCAAGCAACACCCCTGCCTCAGCCTCCCAAAGTGCTGGGATTATAGGCATGAGCCACTGTGCCCCAGCCAGTATTTCTTCTTCTCTATTTCTTTATTTTTTTCATGCGCATTAAGAGACAACCATCATTTCTTAAAAGCACATTCTAAATTATAAGAGGGATTTAAAAACCATTTTTAAACCAAATATCCATAATATCCCCTAATCACAGTGTGATAAAGCAGATTCTGCCCAGGGATGGAAACAGAAGCAAAAATCCAGGTACTCTGCTCTTGGCCTATGCTTTTCACCTCCATCTCTTGTCACCGTGTATGTGTGTGTGTCTCTTAAACTTTTAAATGCACACTCAAAATTCATTGCAGCACTAAGACTCCACATATTGTTTCAATCCTGAAAATCTTTAATTTGGTTGGAGTGCTAAATATCACTATTCTCTTGTGGATGGCAAACTTCTTCCCTCTCTGCATCCTGAAACGTTTCTGTGCCTGAGAGCCAACCCAGGCTGTTGTTCTTTGCACACTATTGCAATTCTAGGGTGACCTCATCCAAACACATTCAACCCCCTCCCATGAGCTGATGGACCCCACCCAAAGCTCCATCCCAGTGCAGGCACCTCTCCCATGGATCCAGCCTCTAGCCTGATCCACCTAGAAGTCCCTTGAGCACGCCATGTCCATACCCTTCCCACAGCATCCTGCTCCCCTTCTCAGTGAAGAGCATCTCCCACCAACCCCAGCTAGAAACCCAGTTCTCCTAGACCCCTCTGTTTGACTCATTCCCCAAATCCACACAGACCAAGTCCTTCATAGTCATTCTCCTTGGAACCACTGACAACTATTCCCTCTGCTACTGCCTTGGTTCAAGGACCTCTTGCCCAACATTAATGCAAGAACTGCTAATTTATTTCGGGGCCCATATCCAGTGCATTCCCCACATGAAGACAAGAATGGCTCCAAAACACGTATCTGATGATGTTGCTTTCCTTCTGAAAATCCTTCAAAGGTTGCCCCATAACCTTCAAGTTCAAACTCCTCAGCTAGCACAATACAGCCTTTCATGATTTTCACTCTGCTTATCTTCAAAGGCTAAGCATAGGTCCCCATAAGCAACATGCCACTTCACACTTCCATGCCTTTAACTAAGCTGTTCTCTGCCTGGATTGCTAGGCCACCCTACTGCCTTTTTTTTTTTTTTTTTTTAATCTTCTCTTTTCTTCTACTATTTTTTGCCAACTCCAATTCATTTTTCAAATGCAACTCGGTCACCACTTTTTCTGGGAACCCTTCTCAGATTCACCCAGTATGACTTATTTGACCCTCCTCTGGGCCCCTAATGTCTCTGGGATTGCCTTGGGCATAGTCCCTACTCACCACATCCTACTGTGCTGTATTGTAATTACCTGTAGGCCTCCTCTAGCAGACGCTAAGCTCCTGTAGGGCAGCTTAGGCTGTCTTGTAAGACTTGAATGCCTCATACATCCAATGCCTTCCATTAGTATCATTTAATGAATAAATAAATGCCTGTAGGAATAAACAAACTGCCTTCAGGAAAGGAAAATCAAACTTCACTTGAAATTAAAACCTCATCTACTTGGGTTCTTGGGCTCCATGAATTAATGATAAGTTATTTAGCAGCTGGTCTAAGTTTATCTTAATTTAACAAACCCCTTCCTCTAAGGATGTGCCAATTAACAGCATAAGGATCCAAGAGCAATGTTTAAGATCTGGGAGAACAAACTGTTTTCTAGCACCCTAAAGAACTCCAGAAGCACCTATTTACATAGAAATAATTGAAAATCCTTCTGATAGCTTCAGTAACTTAGTCCCCTAAGACTTGTACCAGGCAACAATTTGTTGGCCTAGTGGGAGTTAAAATATGTACTTGAAAGTAATAAAAGTACATTTATTTTAAAATATTCTATAATTCACATGGGTCTCCTCCTCCCCCACTCTGCAATTAGTAGGAATTAGTGAAGTTTCCCCATACTCTCAGCTACAAATAGCACACCCAGGAAGCCAAGGTTCACCTCTAATCTCTTAATTAGACGCATCCCTCACGACACTGCCCGCCATCCTTCAAAGGAATGTTGACAGGCTGTCAGCCACAGAGGACAGTTCCACAGCCCCTTACCTAGAATCATATGGATTTCCTAGGAAAATTGCTTCAGCAGCTGCAGTTAGTCAATTTAATAACCTTATTAAACACTTTAATGACTTCTTGGGCCTAATGACTATATGTAGTATGAGAAAGCCAGGCAGAGTGGAATTAAAAATTTAGACTAACTGTCCCTGCTGTTCTCCATGTGAAAACAGACTTCTAAAGAAAGACTCCTAGACTCTTTGAAGATCTAATTCCTGTGTTATCCTATAATAATCAGCCTTTGATTTCAATGTTCCCTGTTTTTCCCCCATCCCCACACCCCAGGTTTGACCATTATCCACTTCTACCCTATCATTTTTTTCCTTAGCCCTTAAGTGAGATGAAACTAATAATAAAAATAACTGTATTGTATTATACCAGGGCACTTGACATGTGGCAGGCATTATACCGTTTCACAAATGTTTTCTTCAATCTTTACAACAACCCTCAGAGCTCAGTATATTCTCATCCTACTTTACAGATTTTTTAAATGAGGCTTCTAAAGCTTAAGCAACTGGCCCAAAGTCAAATGACCAGCCTGAGCTAAGTTTCAAACTCAGATCTGCCTTGTTCCAAAGACTGTACTCTCAAACATGTTCTATCTCGTGATTCTTTTACTAATAATAAATATTAGGCAATTTCCAATTTCACTGTAATTGTATTGTTTTGGAGGGGGAAGTTTTTTCTGCTTTTATTAGCTAAAATGCCAGTTCAGACAACATGCTCTTCTCAAACTCTGTCCTTCTGGCTTCTTAAAGCTTTGTATTTCATTTTTGTATTTCTAGCACCAAGCATGGTACTAGCACATAGTAAGTGCATATTAAATGTTTCAGAATTAACCAACTGATTGACAAGATTTTTTAAAAAGCAGAGGTCCTCTATGCTGAAAATCTAAGATGCTATTGAAAGGAATCAAAGCAGAGACACACTATGTTCATAAATTGGAAGACGCAACATAGTAAAGAGAGAAATTCTCCCCAAATTGATCTGTAGGTTTAACACAATTCCTATAAAAAATCTCAGCAAGACTTTTTTTGAAGACATAGATGGGCTTATTCTAAAATTTATATGGAAAGGGAAATGTCTTAGAATAGCCAAAAAATTTTTGAAAAAGAATAAAGTGGGAGGAAGCCTTCTTCCCAATGTTAAGGCTACAGCAGCAAGACAATGGAGTCCTAGAGAGGGATAGACACAGAAGATCAGTGAAAGAGAACAGAAAACCCAGAGGGAGACCTACACAAATACGCCCACCTGATTTTTGACAAAGGTGCAAAAACAATTCAAAGGAGAAGGAAAAGCCTCTCAACAAATGATTATGGAACAACTGGACATCCACAGGCCAAGAGATGAACCTCAACCTAAAGCGTGCACCTTATACAAAAATCAACACCAACCAAACCACAGATGTAAATGTCAAACACAAAACATCAGAGAAAACTTTTAGAAAAACTTTTAGAAAAAAAAAAAATCAAAGAAAATCTTTCGGCCTAGGACTAGGAGAAGAGTTCTTCAACTTATCTCAAAAGGGCAATCCACATAAGGAAAAAGTGATCAATTAGGCTTCACCAAACTAAAAATCTTTGCTTTGCAAAAGATGCCGTGAATAAGGTTAAAAGGGCAAATTAAAGATTGAAGAAATATTTGCAAACTACACATCCCATAAAGGACTTGCATCTAGAATATATTTTAAAAAAAAACAAAACTATCAGACGGGTGAGGTGGCTCTCTCCTGTAATCCCAGCACTTTGGGAGGCCAAGGTGGGAGGATCACTTGAGCTCAGGAGTTCAAGACCAGCCTGGGAAACATGGTGAAACATTTAAAAACTAATTAAACAAACATTTAAACAAACATTTAAAAACTAATTAAAAATTAGCTGAGTGTACTGGCTCACACTTGTAGTCCCAGCTACTCAGGAAGCTGAGGTGGGAGGATTGCTTGAGCCTGGTGGGTGGGTGGGAGGTTGCAGTGAGCTGAGATCACACCACTGCACTCCAGCCTCAACAAGAGAGACCCTGTCTCAAAACACTCATTCACTTACTCTTATTTAAAAAATAGAATTCAATTAGAAAACAAGCAAAAGATATGAAGAGACATTTCACCCAAATAGGGCATACAGATGGCAAACAAGCACGTAGAAAGATGTTCGACATCGTTAACCACTAGGGAAATACAATTAACCCTACAATGATATATCATACATACCTATTACAGTTTCCAGGGGGATTATCACTATTTTTTATTTTAGCCATTGTGATAGGTGTGTTTTTTAAAATTTTCCATCATAGCTTAGTTTGAATCTTTGTAGCACAGTAAAGATGAGTAGGTGTTAACTGTAAAAATATTTACTTAGATTACAGAAAGATCACAAAAGACGAAAGCTAATAAAGCAGAATGTCTAGGTGTTAAGTGAATACTAATTTTTCATAGCTTTGATGAGAATTTTCTAACATAAAAATGTAAACTTGTCTCAGTTTGTTCTTTTTCTTGGGACATTTTTTTTCCTATTTCAAAGTAGTGTTTTACATGTTCATGTATTTACACTGGAGACTCATTCATTCACTTAAAATATATTGTGCAACAACAATGCGCTAGGTACTTTTCCATACAACTAATGATTATAGAATTTACCAGTGTGGGCTGGGCGTGGTGGCTCAAGCCTATAATCCCAGCACTTTGGGAGGCCAAGGCAGGCAGATTACCTGAGGTGAGGAGTTTGAGAACAGCCTGGCCAACATGGTGAAACCCCGTCTCTGCTAAAAATACAAAAATTAGCCAGGTGTGGTGGCACACACTTGTAATCCCAGCTACTCGGGAGGCTGAGGCAGGAGAATTGCGTGAGTCTGGGAGGCGGAGGTTGCAGTGAGCAACTGAGATCGTGCCACTGCACTCCAGCCTGGCCGACAGACCAAGACTCTGTCTCCCCACCAAAAAAAAAAAAAAAAAAAAAAAGCATTTACCAGTGTGTTAATCACCAGAGTGCTATTCAGGACCCCCATATAACAATTTCACAACTAAAATCTAGCACATTTCATATACTATATTCTTTACAAATAACAAAATAGAAGGGCAAAAGGAATATATCAAGCAACCTTTCTTTATTTCCTAATAACAGCTGTAACAAATAACTTAAGAGACATATGACAAGGGATATTACTTGCCACTCTACAGCATGGAGTATGTTTAAATACCATCCTCTGGTGGTACTGAATGATGATTTTTTGAGAAGCTTTTATTACTTCAGGATAAACAACTGTGAATGAGATTTAGCTAGACCTGCCTTTTACATGACTTATAATAGCTCACAATGTTGCAAGTTTCTTTACACAAGTAGTATCCCAAATCAGCGAGTTACCTTTTCATATCTTGTAACACATCAGGAAAAGTGCAGAAAAAAAAAACCTCCTCTTCTGCAGTAAGAAATAATTGGCATCCACAAGGATGCAATCAGCAAAATCTAGAATGTGAAAACCTCCATAAGGCAAAAGATGCAATTTCTTCCACAAATAAATTGCAAAAGGGGGAAAAGAGAGAATTAAAGACTTTAAACAATGTATCAACCAAATGCAATGTGTGGTCCTTATCTGAATCCTAATTAAATAGAGAATTAGAACAACCAAGTATATAATTTTTTTCAAAATAATCAAGGTAATTTGCACATTGAATATTTGATGATATGAAGGAATTGTTTAATTATTTAACATGTGATTATGTGGTTCATTTTTTAAAAAGGTCATTTGTTAGAAATGCATACTGAAATATTTACAGATGAAATTATATAATATCTAGAATTTGTTTCCAAATAATTGACTGTGGTAGCAGGAGGAAATAGGTGGGGTGGGGATATAGCTCGGCTATGAGTTAATAATGAGTTAGTAAATTGTTGAAGCTGGTTGGTAGGTACACATATGGGGGTTCATTTTATTATCATCTCTACCTTGCGTATTTTTTTGTTTTGGGGGTTGAAGAGGCAAGGTCTTACTCCATTGCATAGGGTGGAATGTTGTGGCTATTGATGATCGCTCAATGCAGCCTTGAACTCCTGGGCTCAAGTGATCTCGCCTTGGCCAAGTAGCTGGAATTACATGCATGCACCAACACACCCAGCTTTATGCAATTTTTTAACACAAACAGGAGCATAACCTACATTTATAAATACTATTTTGTTTATTGGTTTATTCACTATACAATCTTTCAGAATCTTTTTATGTGAGCATATATATGTCAATGATATTTGTTTTAAAATAAACTTTTTATTTTAAACAGTTTTAGATATAGAGAAATTATGAAGATAGTACAGAGTGGTCCTACATATCCCACACCCAGCTTCCCCTATTATTAACATTTTATATTAGCATGCTGCCTTTGTAACAATTCATTAATCAATATTGACATGTTATTATTAACTGAAGTCCATACTTCATTAAGATTGCTGGTCGGGCACAGTGGCTCACACCTGTAATCCCAGCACTTTGGGAGGCCGAGGCGGGCGGATCACGAGGTCAGGAGATCTAGACCATCCTGGCTAACATGGTGAAACCCCGCCTCTACTAAAAATACAAAAAATTGGCTGGGCGTGGTGGCAGGCACCTGTAGTCCCAGCTACTCAGGAGGCTGAGGCAGGAGAATGGTGTGAACCCGGGAGGTGGAGCTTGCAGTGAGTCGAGATCGCACCACTGCACTCCAGCCTGGGCGACAGAGAGAGACTCGGTCTCAAAAAAAAAAAAAAACAAAAAAAAAAAACCAGACTGCTTGATTGCTTTAGTTTTCACCTAATGTCATTAATCTGTTGTTCCAGGATCCCACTCGAGATACATTATATTTGGTCATTGTGTTTCCTTGGGCTCCTCTTGGCTATGACAGCTTCTCAGGCATTCCTTGTTTTTCATGACCTTGACAATTTGAGGAGCCCTCGCAGGTATTCTGCAGATTTGTCTGATGTTTGTCTCATGATTAGATTGGTGTTATAGGTTTTTGGAAGGAAGGCTACCTATTTCAGAGGGTAAAGTGCCATTTTTATCACTTCCAGGTGATATCACTTCCACATGCTAGCAACATAACATCACTGTGGGTGTTAACAGTGATCACCTGGCTGAGGAAGTGTTTGTCAGATTTCTCCACTGTAAAGTTATTCTTTGTTCATTTCTTAACAATTCAAAGATGAATTTATGTTTACTAATTCTTTCTTTTCCTAAGCCACTTCTAATTTAATCAGAGCTGGTGAAGTATTTCTTGAAATGTGTTAGAACACTGAGCTGGAAGAGTGAGATATTAAACTATAAATTCTGTATGATCTCAATTTTCTAAAAATGACATATACATATATATAGAAAAAGACTAGAAAGAAATAGCTCAAAGTTTTATTTTTTCCTGTATACTTTTCCAAAAATGTTCTGCAGTGAACAATTATTTTAAAATCTGGAAGAAGAGTTAAGAAAAAAAAAAGGAATGAAGATCTTTCTCTGGGACAAGCTCAGAAAAAAATATCAGAGTCCTCACAGTACCTGTAACACTAATGTAGCGCTCAGAATGGTAACAGCCTTCTCTGAAACCTGGTGTGTATGTGTGAAGACAATATTCCCAGCTGCCTTTCTTTGCTTACAGAAGACTGTAAATTGCCTCTTATGGAAACTTAACTATTTTTTCAAACAGGAACACTTAATAACTGAGTATAACAGAGACTGAGAAAAATGGAGGGAGGGAGGGTGGGAGGGGAAAAAGGGAGGAAGAAAGGAGGGAGAGAGGAACAACAAATTTAGGTTTTGGGGAGTGAGAAAATGTTCTGTCTTGTTGCTTCCCATCAAAGTACCCAGCATCACAGGATCCTAGCTAATATTATTTATTTGTTAAAGGTATTCATCAGTTCCAGACCAGTCAGTTTCCAGTCAGTTTCCGAATATCAAAAGCATGCTTTCCTAGAGGAAGTCCAAAATATTACCATGGGTCAGCATAAGCATATCTTAGACATATTAATATTAACCTTAGGGGCTGCTCATCCAAAATGGCAACACATCCCTCCCTGCCGGCTCTCCCCATAGTGCCCCATCTCCTCCCTCAGTGGTGGGGTCCTCATGGTTTGTGCAACTCTCTGGGGCCCACTTCGGCCTGTCCTACTCAGGATATTCCCTGCCAAAGAAGTGATGGATATATCATCGCTAAGGTGTCAATAACTGGAGTTGCCTAGAAGCTGCTGTTATACCTAGTATGAAGCATGTGCATTTGGGAAGGGGAAAATCAGTTATCCTAAAGGGATGAATCTCTAAAAGTAGAATGCAGCCATCATGATCCAGGAGAGCAGGGGAGATATGCACGCATGCACACATACATTCAAAAGGGGTTTCAGCCCACACTTCAGGTCACATCACACAGGGAGGAACAGTCTAGTTACACCAAGTGAGCCCTGTGCCAAGGAAAGAGCCCAGTGCCCTTATGGAGGAGGGAGCAGGCGCTTGGGCAAGAATGTCCGACTCCATGAAAGGGACTGTGTGCAGCTGGAGCAAATGCTCACTCATACACCCCACAAGATGAGTTCAGCAAGGCTGAGGCAAGCATCCTGAGTAGTGTAGAAAAATCAAACAGCTCACTCTGGACATTCGAATATAAAAAGAATAAAAATGCCTAGCTCCACAAAAGACACTGTCTGAAATGCGCTTCCTGTCACAGCCACCTGCCTTTCCATTTGGAGTCTGGGTTCTGTCTCATTAAACAGAAGAGTTGATTCAGTTGGGTCCATCTAATTATTCTTATTAAAATATGTAACCATAATATTTTAATTGTAAATTAAAGTTGCATGCATGAATGACTCTGAATTCATTTTAATTTCACAATGGCCCAATGCCAAGGCCTTTTTATGGAGAAGATCCATCAGCTCGGATACTGCTCTCCTGGGAATTCAAACCAATGTGCAAATGGAACATGCTTAACTAACAAGGGAGATTCTCACTCCCTTTTCTCCTCTTTCTAGATTTATTACAGTCATAAAGCTGTTTTAACAAGAGAGACTACATTTGATTCCTCACCCCCAAAATGTAAAAAAAAAAAAAAAATTACTAAATTTTAAGGTCAGTACTACCATTTAGACAGAACCAAGATGTCACTCCCAGGCTGTATGAATCTTGTTACGAGGATGGTAAATAAATCTCAATTCACGTGCCAACCTCATGATTAATTAGTAATGTTTGCTGTGGGTACTGAGAGAAAAGTGCTTCCATACTCACTGTACCCTTGGTCTAGATTCCAAAACAATCAGTCATACTGCATTTGGTCCTTACATATTCGATTAGGTGGAACCTGAATTACTTTCCACTAAACAACCAGACACTAGGATATGAAAGGCTTGACCTAAACCTTCTCTATTTCTAACTGGCATTGACTACAGGGTGCTGTTGAGGAGCTGATTAGATAAAAATATCTTTTATAGTTAAAGGTTTAGAAAGCTTCTTCTTGACTTCTAAGCCAATGCCTGAAGGATAAGTAGAAGTTAGCCAGTCAACACAGTACAAAGGCTAGGGGAAGAGATTATTCCAGGCAGTGGAAAAAAACATCTGTAAAAGTCCATGGGGGTCAGAGTGCATGGAGCATTCAAGGCTCTAAAATAAGCTCTGAAATAAGGAACAAGAAGTGCACTGGAGTGGTAGGTGGGGCACAGGAAAGAAGTCTGGAGAAAGAAGGAGGTTTGGATCCTGCAGAGTGCTAGAGACCACGTGCAGGTGTTTTGACTTTGTTCTAAGGGCAATGGATTTGACGCCAGGCGATCATTCCAGCTACACCAAGTGACTCTGCACACTGCCACACATGGGTGCTGGGAGGATAACTCCGCCCATGGCTCCTTTGGGAGGACGACCAGAAGCTCTGTCCTTGGACCCCACCTGACTGCCCATGCGTCCAGCTCTTGCTTTGGCTGGTTCTCGTTTGTGTTCTTTCTCTATAAAAAGCAGCGTCTGTGAGGATAATAGCTCTGAGTTCTGTGAGTTTTTCTTGTGAATTATTAAACTTGAAGGTGGTTCAGGAAAGCCCCAAGCTTGCAATTGGTGTTGAAGACAAGGGCAGTCCTGTGGGAACTATGCCCTTAACCTTGCAGTTTCATTAACTTCATGGGCGGGTATTTCCCGGAACAAGCAGCTTGGTCTCAGGATTACTTAAAATGAGATGGAAAAAAGCATGCCTGGTATAGGTATTGTGGAAGGTCACCTCTAGGGGTGGAAGTGAGGGGGACTGACTGGAAAAGGGCACACGGTACCTTCTGGGGAGCCAGAAACATCTATACTTTGATCTGAGTGGTAGTTACACAGGTATATAAAAATCCATTTAGGCCATGATCAGTGGCTCATGTCTGCAATCCCAGCTCTTTGGGAGGCTGAGGCAGGAGGACTGCTTGAAGCCAGAAGTTCGAGACCAATCTAGGCAACAAAGAGAGACCCTGTCTCTACTAAAACAAAAAGACAAAAATCCATTGAGCTACATACATAAGATTGGAACACTTTATGCATTTTACTATACATATTATAGCCCAATTTTTTTGTTTTTTGTGGGTTTTTTCTGAGACAGAGTCTCGCTTTGTCACCCAGGCTGGAGTGCAGTGGCATGATCTCAGCCCACTGCAACCTCCACCTCCCAGGTTCAAGAGATTCTTGTGCCTCAGCCTCCCAAGTAGCTGGAACTACAGACGCATGCCACTACGCCCAGCTAATTTTGGTATTTTTAGTAGAGATGGGGTTTCCCCATGTTGGACAGGCTGGTCTCGAACTCCTGACCTCAAGTAATCCAACCACCTCGGTCTCCCAAAGTGCTGGGATTACAGGCATGAGTCATGGTGCCCAGCCAATTATTTTGGTTTTTGGTTTTTCGTTTGAGACAGGGTCTTGCTCTGTCGCCGGGGCTGAAGTGTGGTGGCGTAATCTTGGCTCACTGCAACCTCTGGCTCCCAGGCTCAAGCAATCCTCCCACCTCAGCCTCCTGAGTACATAGGACCACAGGCACAGGCCACCATGCCCGTCTAGCCCAATTTTTAAAAGTTAAAAAACAAACCAAAACACTGCCTTTGAAAATGGGGAAGCCCAGCCTAGAGTTAAGGGATGCAAGCAAGGCTGGACTGCTGAGAAGAACCTGAAGCCAAAGATAGGGCTGAAATTAAAGATGTGAGAGCTAGCAAAGGACTTTCTGGAAAGATTCTCTGAAATAAATGGTTTCATGCTTTCCACTTGTGCAGGGTGAGCTGGGACCATGTGACTGTGTGAATGTGTGACTCGTGTGCATGTGTGTGCACGTGTGTGTGCACACTCCCTAGACAGGCCCCTGTGCTGCTTCTCCACTTCATCAGCCTCACCAAGTGATGATGTGCACTGCACCACAGCAGGCAGGGCAATGCGTACTGCCAAAGGAGGGACACTCAGCCGGGGCTGGCATGAGGGCTGTCCTACGCTCCTCCCAGTCAGGGAGAGGCTCAGGGGGCGGGCATGGAGGCCTGGGAAGCCAGGCTGCAGGCAGAAGGGCCAGTTTTGCCAGTGTTGTATGAAACCAAGCCCAGGCAACAAGTGGGGCAAACCTGAAACTAATGGCAGAAATTCCCCTGGGCTGCTACCTGAAGGAAGGAGAATTCAGGGATGAGTCAATGGAGTAAAAAAGCAGGAAGGCAGACTGGATGGATACTGCTCCAAGCCAAGGGGTGGGAGGCAGAGCCTGGGAGAATTCTGAGTCACGAGCTGTGGGTGGGAATGTGCTCCACAGCTGAGTCACTGGAACCCAAAATGAAGGCTATGCAGGCACCAATGGTGGGAGTAGAGGAGCAGGTACAGGAGGGTGGGCCTTTGGTCTTTCATGAAACCTCCTCAAGCAACCCATGGGTTTATGGTTCGCAAATGAAGAACTAACCTGTGTGAATCAAAATAAGTGGGTTATTTATTTTTGGATTTGTGATGACATACCTCTTTCTGTTGTTCCGGAAACATCTTCAGCACAGGACACGATCAATCTGAAAAATAAGATATCCACACTGGGTCATTTGGAACCTCCAAACTGGAGTGGATACACCACTCATGGCCTCCCACCCAAATCCCCTGACAGAGCCCCCCCCGCCCCACAGTCCCTGACATGTGAGCCTCTGCTCCTCCCACGCTGCCCTCTCCTGCTGGCAGGACCAAGGTGAACATCAGTCCACACCAGGGGTTAGGAGTCTGGACCCCAAAGAGTCCAAGGCAGCTGGATGATGACAGACCTTCAAACCGCAAGGCCAGCCAGTCAGGCTGGGGCTGGAGCCTTAGTGAATTGGCGAGGAAGCTGGAGATGCCGGGGAGCAGAAGCCATGTGCGGGGGGATGCTGGCTGGAAAAGACGCGCAGAGAGATCCACCACCAGAGGCAGCCCTGACGCTTTTACCGGAAACTCAAACCTTCTGGGATCAGGCCCTTCCTGTGACACTTATATTACTCCAGAGGTCACATAAGAGATGGTGTGGCCCTCAGCGGGATAAAGCCAGGACCTTGACTCTGACCTTCTGAGCAGTGCAGCCAGCCTGTTGTTTGATTCCAGGCCCTGCATGTCTCTGGGGTTGTCAATTGTTCTTTAAACCCACTTGGTATGTAAGCTCATTAGATTTAACACCTGCTCCCTGCCAAAAACAAAAAGCAAATTTAAATTCCCTGCCTATATCCACACATATGTATTCTTACAACTGAGGGTGACTATGACTGCAGGTCTACTATTTGCCTTCACTTTGATAATATCAGTATGTGTCTGAGCCCACTTTCCGGGTCCCTATTATCCCCCACACGTATTCCCAGAGTCTCTATACTCATGTCACTGGCACCATAGGGAACACAGGGAAGCAGGAACACAGGCTCCGCTTCCAGGGCCGTGTGGAGGTGCAGACGAGAGACCCCACAGGGCCTCTGGAAGGGGCAAGCGAGCTGCACCCGAGCAGCAGCAGGAAGCTTTCCAAGAGGAAGGGAGTCCCTCTCCCCTGGAGCAGTCAGAGGACCCATGGAGAGGGAATGGGAGAGCAGGGGATCGCAGTGTTCAAGGAAAAAAAGCAGGACCTCCAGGGGAGCGGAGGAGCAACAACAACACCCACAGAGCCTGGTGAAAAGCGTGCCCTATGGTCCAGAGATCGTGACCAGGCCAGATCAGCTGGGGGACAGGGTTCTCAGAGGGTGTAGTGGGGTGGAATTGTGGCTGCCATAAAGATAGGTCCATGTCCTGATCCACAGAACCTGTGAATGTGACTTTATTTGAAAAAAGAGTCTTTGGAGACATAATTAAGAATCTCAAGATAAAATCATCCTGGATGACTGGAGTGAACCCTAAATCTGATGGCAAGTGCCCATATAAGAGAAAGAGAGGAGAACACAGAGAAGAACATGTGAAGACGAAGACGGAGGAGGGGGAGGGATGCAGCCCCCAGCCATGGAGCCCCTGGGGCTGGAAGAAGCAAGGCGGGGATTCTGCCCTAGGGCCTCTGCAGGGGAGCAGGGCTCTGCTGCCACCTGGATTTTGGACTTCCAGCATCCCAAATTGTAACAGAATAAATTTCTGCTGTTCTAAATATCAAGCTTGTGGTAACTTATTGCCGCAGCTATAAGAAGCTAGTCAAGAGGGGACCAGTCGAGATTAGGTTGGAAAGACAGACTGGGGTTGGAACTGGAGATTCCGTTCAGTCACTCTTTGTGGAGCTCCTGCTATGTGCCATGGGCTGAGGTGCAAGCAGGACACACGGTGGAGTACACAGCAGGCTCAGAGCTTTGGAGGCGACTTCCTAATTATAATGTGGAACTGATAGGAAAGGACACCGTGTGATAGGAATG
Source organism: Homo sapiens (assembly GCF_000001405.40). Lineage (NCBI taxonomy): Eukaryota > Metazoa > Chordata > Mammalia > Primates > Hominidae > Homo > Homo sapiens. The sequence continues at coordinate 26,344,592 of NC_000007.14, read as the reverse complement.
GAAAAACACACAACAGGGATAAACCTGGAGGACACAGGCCAAATGAAATAAGCCAGTCACAAAAAGACAGACACCGTATGATTCCACTTGTATGAAGTACCAAGAGCAGTCACATTCAGAGGCAGAGGCCAGGTGGTGGCTCACACCTGTAATCCTAGCACTTTGGGAGGCCAAGGCAAGCAGATTACCTGAGGTCAGGAGTTAGAGACCAGCCTGGCCAACAGGGCAAAACCCCAACTCTACCAAAAACAAAAACTTATCCGGGAGTCATGGCACGCCCGTGGTCTCAGCTACTCAGGAGGCTGAGGTAGGAGGATCACTTGAGCCTGGGAAGCAAAAGTTGCAGTGAGCTGAGACTGTGCTACTGCACTCCAGCTTGAGTGAGAGACCTCATCTCAAAAAAAAAAAAAAAAAAAATTCAGAGACAGAAAGTAGAATGGTGGCTGCCAAGTATGGGAGGGAGAGGGGGTGGGGGGCAGCTGAGTGGGTACAGAGTTTCAGTTGTGCAAGATGAAAAGAGTTCAGGAGATCAACGGCACAACAATGTGAACATCCTTCACACCACTGAACTGTACACCTAGAAATGGATCAGATGGTACATTTTAGGTTGTGTGTTTTTTACCATTTAAAACAAAACTTTAAAGAATGGAGGGACTAAGTGGGGGTGGAGAGGGTTTACTGAGAAAATGGCACTTCCGCTGAGGCCTAAAGGATGGTGTGAGATAGCCAGGAAAGCAAAAGGAAAAAGGCCCTCTACACAGAAGGCCTGGGTCATGCCAAGGGGAGGAGGCCAGGAGGAGGAGCGGCTCAAGTCCGGTTATCATGGGATTCCTGCACCAGAGCCAAGTTAGCCGGTGGGTTCCACCATCTCAGGATCTGCCCATGCTCCCCACACACATCACGTGCTCCACACGGCTGAACCTCTACCCTCATACTTTCACCCTTTCCAGGCACCAGCAAACTCTGCCAGGATTCTGCACAGAAATCACTTCCCGGGCTCTCTGCCCCATTACACAACCGCGTGCTGTGCAGTCCCCTGGTGCCATTAACTTCGCTTGCATCATGATGTTTAGATACCCTCTGTCTCTCCCATTTGACTGAATTTCTCCACCAGGGCATAGCTGTGTTTCCTTGTGTAATTAAACTTCACAACTGTCCTGTGAGGATTTGAATATCCCCACTTCACAAGAAAGCGGAAGGTCAGAGGGGTTAAGGGGTTAAGTTGCCCAAGGTCACACTATGAAAGAGTGCAAGTGCTCAAGTTCCACTGCAACCAAAGCCAGTCTGCTTCCCTAGGGTGGCCTTCCAATGCCACAGGCTGCCTCCATGACTCTGTAATGTGAACAAATGGTTCAAAGTTGGGGTCTTAAATTTCCCCAAAGGGCTTGAGCTTTTCCCAGCCAGGCAGAACTCTGCAGTTCTATCTAATAGGAGTCTGATAATTGGCCACCTTAAGATGCTACAGACCAAGTCCAACTATGAAGTAGGAAACTGGCCCCGGGGGCTCACACCTGTAATCTCAGCACTTTGGGAGGTTGAGGCGGGCAGATCACTTAGGAGTTCAAGACCAGCCTGGATAACATGGCGAAACCCCATCTCTACAAAAAATACAAAAATTAGCTGGGCATGATAGCATGCGCCTGTGGTCCCAGCTACTACTTGGGAGGCTGAGGTGGGAGGACTGCTTGAGCCTGGGAGGTCAACGCTGCGGTGAGCCATGATCATGCCACTGCACTCCAGCCTGGGTTACAGTGAGACCCTGTCTCAAAATATAAAAAAGAAAATAAAAAAGAAAATAGGAAACTTGGGAAAGTTGAAAGCAGTTTCAACCAGTTGTTCCAAAACATCACAGTGAACTATCATGGTCAACCTCTAATACTGTAAATCTGTACAGTGAAAATGGTGATCATGTCATTTTCTAAGCTCTATACACTTCCATATTGTCTGAATTTTCCTAGTAACATTAATTTTAAACTTTTTAAAGTAATAATTATTTTAAATACAGTAAATAGCATAATGCTCTCAGAATAGTAATTTTAACATAAATTATTTTTATTTCATGTAAAATAAATAGCAAATTCAAATGTATTAAGAGATGCTACCTTTATGACACAAGAGAAAGTATCATTTGGTACTAGAACTTGCCATGGCATTTACTGGTGGGGAGAAGGAAATTCAATGACAGCGCAATTGTATGGTTTGAGATAAAAGGTCAACTGTCTATAATTTAGCAAACCAAAGCTGCCAATCAGAAATTGCTCCCTGAGGCCAGGCGCAGTGGCTCACGCCTGTAATCCCAACACTTTGGGAGGCCTAGGCAGCCATATCACCTGAGGTCAGGAGTTTGAGACCAGCCTGGCAAACATGGTGAAACCCCGTCTCTACTAAAAATACAAAAATCAGCCGGGTATGGTGGCACATGCCTATAATCCCAGCTACTTGGGAGGCTGAGGCAGGAGAATCACTTGAACTTGGGAGGTGCAGGTTGCAGTGAGCCAAGATCGTGCCACTGCACTCCAGCCTGGGCAACAAGAGCAAGACTGCATCTAAAAAAAAAAAAAAAAGAAAGAAGAAAGGAAAGAAGGAAAGAAAGAAAGAGAGAGAGAGAGAGAAAGAAGAGAAACAGAGAAAGAGGGGAGGGGAGGGAAGGGAAGGGAAGGGAGAAGGACAGAAAGAGAAAGAGAGAGAAAAAGAAATTGCTCCCTGACAAAACTAAGCCCTTTAGGTGAGTTGGAAAATTTTAGGTTTGTATAGATTTCCAAACTCCCCAGGCTACCTTATGTGTCTGTCATAATAATGCACATAGAGGGCTGGGTGTGGTGGCTCATGCCTGTAATCCCAGCACTTTGGGAGGCTGAAGCAGATAGATAATTTGAGGTCAGGAGTTCAAGACCAGCCTGACCAATATGGTGAAACCCTGTCTCTACTGAAAATACAAAAATTAGCCGGGCATGCTGGCATAAACAGCTACTTGGGAGGCTGAGACAGGAGAACTGCTTGAACCCAGGAAGCCAAGGTTGCAGTGAGTCAAGATCACACCACTGCACTCCAGCCTGGACAACAGAGCGAGACTCCATCTCAAAAAAAAAAAAATGCACATAGAGAATTCTTGTCTCACTGAAAGACTGTTATGCCAAGTATGGATATCTGCCTCCCAGTGTCCTCTGCTAGGCTGTCTCTAGAGTATTCTCTCTCTTCCACCAATGAAGAACCCCCATCACACCTGGATGGCCACCCATTCTCCTTCTCTCTTACCTTCATTGTAAGAATTATTATTTTTATTTTATTTCATTTTAGAGACAGGGTCTCACTGTCACCCAGGCTAGAATGCAGTGGCACAATTATAGCTCACTGTTGCCTCAGATTCCTAGGCTCAAGTGATCCTCCCACCTCAGCCTCCCTAGCAGCCGAGACTACAGGAACAAGCCACCATGCCTGACTAATTTTTTTAAATTTTTGTAGAGATGGTATATCCCTATGTTGCCCAGGCTGGTCTCGAACTCCTGGCCTCAAGCCATCCTCCTGCCTCAGCCTCCCAAAGTGCTCAATAACAGGTGTGAGTCATCGCACCCAGCCCATTCCAAGAATCATTAAATCTCACAATCAAGCTGGGCGTGGCTTGGTTTCCACATTGTTTGAATTTTTCATTTTAAAACAAAAAATCAGCCAGGGATGGTGGTGCACACCTGTATTCCTAACTACTCAGGAGGCTGAGGTGGGAGGATCCCTTCAGCCCAGGAGGTTAGGCTGCAGTGAGCTATTTGCACCACTACACTCCAGCCTAGACAACAGAGCGAGACTCTGTCTCTAAAATAAACAAATGAAAAAAGATAAAATCGCACAACCACATCAAACAACAGGAATGATTTCTCAAACCTGCTGGTGACATTACAGCTGGATACACACAGGCAGCAGACACATGGGTTATCCCCTTCCTGGGAAACATGGCAGTCCTGAAGACTCATCTGAGAGACTCGTGTATCTCTTCACAACCCCACTGCCCTGAGAGCATGGTACACAGATCTGCCCAAACCGAAAACTCGAGGAGAAAGCTTCCTCTATTTTCTACCTTGGAATACTTTTTCTATAAAATGCAAAATATCTATGAAGCAAAGATAAAATTCTATAAAGTACCACTTGGCAATCTTTTTCTGTAGAGGGTCAGATAGTAAATATTTGAGGTTTTGTAGGCCACAGGGTCTCTGCATCTCCTACTCAAGTCTGCAGTGCATAGTGAAAAGGCACTCACAGATGCCTAACTGAATGAACATGGCTGGGTTCCAGTTAAACTTTATCTACAAAAACTGGTGGCAGTAGTTTGCAGACCCCTACTACAGAGCAAGCCATTACTGTGCCTTCAGTACTTATATATACTATACCTTAATAATACCTTTCTGAGGTCAACAGGCCAAAACATTTGCAATGCTAGGCTTGGTCTATATGCCTATGGGAGATCTCACTGACAAGTAAACTACTGACCAAAAGTTTGTGGACTATACATGTAAGGAGTGAGAAAGGATCACATATTTTTTCAAATGATGAAATAAGGAATAACAAGTATGGTTTATATCATTATTTAAAAAAAAAACGGCAAAGACTTTTTCTAAATCTTTAGATCAGGTGCTCCCTGATTCATGAATCACTAATAAAAGCCAATTTAATTTTTAAACAAAATTTTTTGTAACTTTTTCTTTTGGCAAGATCAAAGTCTCAGAACCAACTATTTAAAAAAAAAAAAAAAAGATCGGCCAGGTGGGGTGACTCACGCCTGTAATCCCAGTACTTTGGGAGGCCAAGGCAGGTGGATCACAAGGTCAGGAGTTCGAGACTCCACCCTGGCCAATATGGTGAAACCCCGTCTCTACTAAAAATAGAAAAATTAGCCAGGCATGGTGGCAGGCGCCTGTAATCCCAGCTACCCTGTAATTCCAGCTACTCGGGAGGCTGAGGCAGGAGAATCGCTTAAACTTGGGAGGCAGAGGTTACAGTGAGCCGAGATCATGCCACTGCACTCCAACCTGGGTGAGTGAGACTCTGTCAAAAAAAAAAGAAAAAAAAAAAAGATCAAGCTCAACAACAACAAACAAAAACAAAGAAAAAAACCCTAAATGCCTGACTTCACCACTGTGCAACCTGGCATGTAAGAAAATTGCACTTGAACCCCATAAATTTATACAAATAAAAAATCCGATTTAAAAAATATGCAAGACCGGGCACATGCCTGTAATCCCAGCACTTTGGGATGCTGAGGTGGGAGGATCACTTGACCTCAAAGTTTGAGACCAGTCTGGGCGGCATGGCGAAATCCTGAAACCGCCTTTGCAAAATTATAACTGAGGAAATTATGGCAGTGAAAGAAATCAGACCTAACCGACTCCATCTTGCTTCTAACGCTTAAGATGTCCTTATTCATTCCTGGGCATAAGCTGAACTAACTTCGGGAAGGAATTCAGTTCATGGTTTGACTCTGAAACAAAACTGGTAACAGCCCTTTCCCGAAAAGACCCCTTTCTTGCCTGGGGTCCAGTCTGCCTTTGCAGAACTAACAAATTAGCTACAAGATTAGAAATTACAATTTAGGGGCCATGTAGTCTCTGGCTCCAAGGGTCTGAACCTTCCTAAATTGCTCCTGGGGATAACATCGTTATTGCAAAACCTAAGATCCATGCTTTAGATACTTTGCAGACCCTGCAACTGCACTGGAAGGATCAGCTGATATCACCCAGAGTGGTAATCTGGCTCAAGCAGTTCTGCCATCCCACCCAGGCACAGAAGACAGGAAGAAAACCTCATTTTGACCCCCCTACGATTCCATCTCCAACCTGACCAATCAGCACTCCCTACTTCCTAAGCTCCTACCCGCCAAATTGTCTTTAAAAACTCTAATCCGGCCGGGCCCAGTGGCTCACACCTGTAATCCCAGCACTTTGGGAGGCCGAGGTGGGCGGATCACGAGGTCAGGAGATCGAGACCATCCTGGCTAACAACACGGTGAAACCCCGTCTCTACTAAAAATACAAAAAATTAGCCAGGTGTGGTGGCGGGCGCCTGTAGTCCCAGCTACTCGGGAGGCTGACGTAGGAGAATGGCGTGAACCAAGATCACGCCACTGCACTCCAGGCCTGGGCAACAGAGCGAGATGCAGTCTCAAAACAACAGCAACAACGCTGGTCTCCCACACAGCGGGGTCTGCGTAAATTACTCTCTCGCCGTTTCAATTCCCGTCTTTATAAATTGGCTCTGTCTAGGCAGTGGGCAAGGTGAACTCATTGGGAAGTTACTATCCCACCTCTACAAAATACACAAAAATTAGCCAGACATGGTGGCATGTGCCTGAAATCCAGGCCACTCGGGAGGCTGGTGTTGTAGGGCTGCTTGAGCCAGGGAGGCAGAGGCTGCAGTGAGCCAAGACCATGCCACTGCACTCCAGCCTGGGTGACAGAGTAAGACTCTGTCTCACAGAAAAAAAAAAAAAAAAAAAAGGACAAAGGAATTGATAGACGTTTCTCCAAAGATGACGTGCAAAGGGCCAATAAACATATGAAAACATGCTCAACATCACTAATCCACAATGAGAAATTAACTCACACCCGTTAGGATAGATCCAAGAAACAAAAAACCAAAAAAGCATTGAGGAGGATATGGAGAAATCGGAACCCTTCTGTTGGCAGCAATGTAAAATGGTGCAGCTGCTATAGAAAACAGTATAGCAGTTCCTCAAAAAATTACAGAAAACTACCACATGATCCAGGAATTCCACTTCCAGATATCCATCCAAAAGAGCTGAAAGCAGGCTCTCAAAGAGCTATTTGTGGGTCCACATCCACAGCAGTATTATTCACAATAGCCAAGAGGTGGAAGTAACCTAAGTGTCCATCAATGAAATGTAATGGATGAGCAAAATGTGGTCTCTCCATACAATGGGTACCATTCAACCTTAAAAGGGAAGGAAATTCTGCCACATGCTACAAAAGAGGACGAACCTTAAGGACATTATGCTAAATGAAATAATCCAATCATAAAAAGACAAATCCTTTATTATTCCACTTACATGAGGTTTTCAAGGAAATTAAATTGATAAAGACAAAGTAGAATGGTGGTTGCCAAGGGCTAGAGGAAAGGGTGAAAGGAGCATTTAAGGGGGAAATGGAACATTCTTGTTTACTGATACAGAGTTTCACTTCTGTGAATGAAAAAGATCTAGAGATCTATTGTACAACAATGTGAATACACTTAACGCTACTGAAGTGTACATTTAAAAAGTGGTAAGGTCTATACACTAGTATGGTGTAGACCATGTGAAAAAAATAATAAAAATGGGTAAGATTGCAAATTTCATGTGTTTCTTACCACAATTAAAAATAAAGTTTTTGAAAGAAGGTCAATAATCTACTTAAATGTTTCATCTTGCTATTAACAGAAGTGCAAATAAAAACAAGTACCATATTTTTTTCTTTAAAATTAGAAATTTCTGTAATAATATCCACTGCTGGCAAGGATCATGAGAAATGGGAACTAAATACTGTTGGTAGGAATGTGAGCTATTTCAATATTTCTGAAAGATAATTTGGCCATATATTTCAAAAGCAACAATATAAATTGTTTATATTCTTTAACTCGATAATTTGACCTCTGGGAACTCAATCTAAAAAAATATCAGTGCTACATGTGCAAAATATTTGTACAGGAAAGAATGTTCAAAATGCAGTGTTTTTAAGAAACAATCAAAGAAAATGGAAACCTAAACGTCCATAAGCGGAGTAGAAAAAAAATGAATTATGTTCCATCTGCATGACAGACTACCTCATAGCCATTATAAATTGTTATAAAAGAATATTAAATGATCGGGGCTGTTCAAACAGTATTGTTGATTTTTTGTTGTTATTTTTTGAGACAGTCTCGCTCTGTCACCCAGGCTGGAGTGCGGTGGCACAATCTCAGCTCACTGCAACCTCCGCCTCCTGGGTTCAAGGGATTTTCGTGCCTCAGCCTCCCCGGTAGGTGGGACTACAGGTGTGCACACCAAGCCCGGCTAATTTTTTTGTATTTTTAGTAGAGACGGGGTTTCACCATGTTGGCCAGGCTGGTCTTGAACTCCTGACCTCAAGTCATCCACTCACTTCAGCCTCTCAAAGTGTAGGGATTACAGGCGTGAGCCACTATGCCCGGCCTCAAACAGTATTATTAAGTGATTTTTTAAAAGCACTTTTTTTTTTTTTTACATATTTACTTAAGAACTGGAGCTTATGCACAATAAAATTAAGAATTAACAGTAGTCATTTCTAAGTGGTAGGATTATGACTGATTTTTACTTCCTTTTTTTCTGTATTTCGCCAAAAGATTACAGTGCATTTGTTAAAGTTTAAGAACAAAACATGTTTTTTAAAAGAAAGTAAAACCTAATGTGCTCAGTTACTTTTATTATTCCCTCCCCACAAAAAACAAACAGCAGTCAAGTTAATTTCACTCTGTGTTTCACTTCCTCCCACAATGTTCAGCTATTTTTCTATTTAAATAAAAAAAATCACTGACTCCTTACTTTCATCTCTTAAGAATATTCCAGGCCGGGCGCGGTGGCTCACGCCTGTAATCCCAGCACTTTGGGAGGCCGAGGCGGGCGGATCACGAGGTCAGGAGATCGAGACCACGGTGAAACCCCGTCTCTACTAAAAATACAAAAAATTAGCCGGGCGCAGTGGCGGGCGCCTGTAGTCCCAGCTACTCGGGAGGCTGAGGCAGGAGAATGGCGTGAACCCGGAAGGCGGAGCTTGCAGTGAGCGGAGATCGCGCCACAGCACTCCCGCCTGGGCGACAGAACGAGACTCCGTCTCAAAAAAAAAAAAAAAAAAAAAAAAAAGAATATTCCATCTGCGAGGTTATTTTAAATTCAATGTTTAGTTCTGTGCCAAGTTTTCCCGTATCTGCTCTCAATACTACCTATGCCCTTGGCTCTGCACTGGACACATCTGTGGTGGTGCCAGGGCCCTCCCAGATCTGCTGGGGAAGAGCCTACCAAGGTCCTGCTCCTAGGGCAGATCTACAGGCGGCTGGCTGTCATGACCCTCCCCAGACACAGTAGGGAGGATCAGGGATGGATGTCTGACTCGAAAGAAGTCAGTCCACAGGCTAGAGGGTACCTAGGGCACAGCCTGGCACAAAAAGAAGAAAGGGCTGGGCAATGGCTCCCTCCTCGTACTTGAACCTAGGAAATATTACTACATTTGGTGGTTCTTTAAGAATGGAGGCTGGAAAGTGATGAAAGAGAAACTGGAGAGATAATGACATCACAGCTGGGGTTCTGAGGGACCAGAGGTTCTTGTGTTATACCCGTATAACACAAGTATATATGAGCCATGATGTAGATAAAAGACACTAAAGGCCACAGAAATTGGCCACCAGACAAGCTGAATCACAGGAGCCAGCTTCGGTTGCTGAAGTGTGCAGGCCTGCCTGGGGCCACTTTCCCAGTGGCTTCCGTGTCCAGCATCTCTGAGGTTCCCTGTGCACAGTGTCCTTAACATAAGCATCCCTTTACTCAAGGTGGCTTGAAGGTGACCCCAGTTTGGGCAATCAAAGGAACTCAAACAAAAAGAAAAAGAAATTAGAGCTGCACCAAAACATGAAAGCTGGGCTGAAGGCAGGCAGCCGTACGCTTTTGGGGAGGGCCTGCAGAGCAAGCAGAACCATCTGCAAACCAGGCCCAAATTGTCTCCCTCAGTCCCAGATTAGAACTAGAAAAGGCAAACCAAGATGGAAAAACAGCAGAACTCTGATATTCAGTTAAAGTTAGAAACACAAATAAAATTGCATTTAAGTTTTTCCACCATTCATCACAAAAGAAAAAAAGAGGATATGACAGCACATCTTTTTTTAAAGTTTATAGCAATCTAAAAAAATACTGGTTCATAGGACATAAATCAAAGAAACCACTAACTTGCTAATCTCTATGACATACAAGTTCCATTTATGGTCATGAACTTGATAGTAGGCCAAATTTAGGGTTTAAAATCCAAGAAACAAAAAAAATTACAGAATTTTAACCTCACAATTATTTGAATGTCATTTTGAAAAAGTGCTACCTGAGATGCAGACACTGAGAACATACCTGCATGTGCATGTTGGCCCTGACCTCCACCTCCCTTTGTACTCACTCACACTAAGAAGCAACCCAGTTACTAAACAGAATAAAAGGAAAGAAGCTGTGAAAAATTACATATGAGAGAGAGGAAATGACCACTGGCACAGGTGCTTCCTAACTCGTACTGTGACATTCTCTCTCTTCAAAAACTGTCCTTAAATGCTTGAGGTGATGGATATCCCAGTTACCCTGATCTGATCATTACACATTGTACATATGTATCAAAATGTCACATGTACCTCAAAAATACATATAACTATGATACAGCAAGTTTAAAAAGACAAAAAACAAAAAACTACCTTGACATCCCAGGCCAAATCCAAAAGCATTTTTCCCACCTCCCACTTTGCTTATGCTACCAAGGTTCTTTTAATTAGTGATTTGTTTGTGCTAATAATTTTCATCTTTTGGAACAGCAGATAAATCTCAGAAGCTGGGGGAGTGGTATTAGTGATTTAAATATTAGTGTTAATTAGTCCAATCGGATTGCCTTTGTATTAACCAGGAGCTATCTTCAGCTACTCACTCATCAGTCATCCCTTTCCACCACACAGGGTTTTGATTATGATGGGAAAAGGGGGAAATCATTGGTAGCTGGGTGCATGAAATTCTTTGAAGGCTGATGTATTCCTCGATGCCTTACCCAAGGATTGTGAAAAACCTGAGAACACAACCTCCTGAAGAACAGCAGAAAATGCCCTGCCCTCTCTCCTGCCAACAAAACATTTTTTCAATTCTACTCACTCTACCCCTTCACCTGGTAAGAGTAAGAAGTACTATCACAACTTCCCATCAAAGTACTACCTAAATATAGCATCAAAAGAATAAAATAGTCGGGTGCGGTGGCTCACGCCTGTAATCCCAGCACTTTGGGAGGCCGAGACGGGCGGATCATGAGGTCAGGAGATCAAGACCATCCTAGCTAACATGGTGAAACCCCATCTCTACTAAAAATACAAAAAAATTAGCCGGGTGCGGTGGCGGGCACCTGTAGTCCCAGCTACTCAGAGGCTGAGGCAGGAGAATGGTGTGAACCCGGGAGGTGGAGCTTGCAGTGAGCGGAGATCACGCCACTGCACTCCAGCCTGGGCGACAGAGCCAGACTCTGTCTCAAAAAAAAAAAAAAAAAAAAGAATAAAATACCTAGGATTACATTTAACAAAAGAAGTACAAAATGTATACTCTGAAAACCACAAAACATTGTTGGAAAAAATTAAGAGATCAAAATAAACAGAAAAACATACCATGTTCATGAACTGGAAGACAATTTAACATCTTAAAATGGCAACACTGCCCAAAGTGATCTATGGATTCAAGCACGATCACTATCAGAATCCCAGATGTCTTCTTTGTACAAACTGACAAGCTGATTTTAAAATTCATAGGAATTGCAAGAGACTCCAAATAGCCAAAACAATCCTGAAAAAGAAGAATAAAGCAGGAGGATTCCCACTTCCCAATTTCAACTTACTACAAAGCAACAGCACTCAAGGCATTGTGGTATTGGCACAAGTACAAACAAACAGATCAAAGGAACAGAATTGAGAAATAAACCCATAGGTTTATTTCTGTCTAGTCAATTGATTTCCCCAACAAGGGCACCGAAACCACTCAATGGGGAAAGAATCATCCTTTCAACAAATGGTGCTGGGACAAGTAGATAGCCACACGCAAAAGAATGAAGTTGAGCTCCTACCTTATACCACATACAAATATTGACTGAAAATGGATCAAATACCATTTTGTAAGAGCAAAAAACTATAAAACTCATAGACGAAAACACAGCAGTTAGTCTCTATGGCCTTGGATTTGGCAAAGGATTCTTTGATATGGCACCAAAAGCATGAGCAACAACAACAAAAAAATAGGTAAATTAGGCTTCATAAAAATGTAAAACTTTTGTGCTTCAAATGCCACCATCAGAGACAACCCACAGAATGAGAAAATATTTGCATATCATATATCTAAGGGACTGTGTCTAAACTATATCAAGAACTCTTACAACTTAATAAGAAAAACACAAATTACCCCACTCAATAACAAGCAAAGTATCCTGAGCAATTTCTCCAAGGAAGATATACAAATGGTGAATAAGCAAATGAAAAGATGCTTGATATCATTAGTTACCAGAGAAATGCAAATCTAAACCATGGTAAGATACCACTCTACTCCTACTAGTCTGGTTAGAATTAAAAAGTCAAATAATAACAAATGCTGCCAAGGAGGTAAAGCAATCAGAACCTTCATACACTACTGGTGGAAATAAAAAATTGTGCAGCCCCTTGCGAAAAGTCTGGCAGTTTCTTGAAGAATTAAATATACAGTCACCATTTGACTTGGCAATTCAACTCCGGGGTATATATATCCAAGAGAAATAAAAACTTGTATATGACTATTCACAGCAGCATAATTAATAACAGTGAAAAGTAGAAACAATCCAATTGCCTATCAACAGGCAAACAAAATGCGGTATATCTACTCAATGGAGTATTATTCAACAATATAAAGGAATGAAGTTCTGATACATGTTACAACTTGGATAAACCCTGAAAACATTACAATAAGTGAAAGAAACCGGTCACAACAGTCTACATATCATATGACTCCATTCACATGAAAGTCCAGAATAGAAACTTCTACAGAGATGGAACATAGACTACTGGTTGCTTGTAGCTACTGGGACTGGGACTGGGAGAAGAACTTGGTGGGTAGGGGAGAGACAGCCAAAAGGTACAGAGTTGCTGCTTTTTGAGGTCATGAAAATACTCTAAAAGTGACTTTGGTGATAAGTGCACATATCTGTGAATATACCAAACACCAGTGAGCTGTATGCATTTTATTTATATTTTATTTTATTTATTTATTTTTTGAGACAGGGTCTAGCTTTGTCACCCAGGCTGGAGTGCAGTGACACGAGCACAGCTCACAGCAGCCTCGACCTCCCAGGCCCAAGTGATCCACCTACCACAGCCCCTCAAGTTGCAGGGGCTACAGGCATGGGCCACCATGCCCAGCTAATTTTTATATTTTTTGTAGAGACAGGGTTTCACCATGTTGCCCACACTGGTCTGGAACTCCTGGGCTTAAGTGATGTATCTGCCTTGGCCTTGCGAAGAGCTGGGATTACAGGAGTGAGCCACCACGCCCGGCCTGTATGCACATTTTAAATGGGTGAATGTACTATATGTGGATCATGTATCAATAAAGCTGTTTTAAAAACATGCTACCTGAAACCCGAAGCCTAACCCATTTCTTTATGTTAATACATCTACTTTTTTTTTTTTTTTAGTTCTCTTTTTTTATTAGAGACAGGTCTCACTCTGCCACCCAGGCTGGAGTGCAGTGGTGTGATCACAGCTCACTGCAGCCTCAACCTCCCAGGCTCAAGCAATCCTCCCACCTCAGCCTTCCAAATAGCTGGGACTATAAGTGCATGCCACCATGACCAGATAATTCTTAAGTTTTTTTGTAGAGATGAGGTTTTGCCATGTTGTCCAGGCTGGTCTTGAATTCCAGGGCTCAAGTGATCCTCCTGTCTTGACCTACCAAAGTATCGGGATTATAGGCGTGAGCCACCGCACTCAGCTTAGTTCTGTTTTTTTGAGAAAGGTCTTGCTATGTTGCCCGGCCTGGTCTCAAACTCCAGGGCTCGAGCGATTCTCCTGCCTCAGCCTCCCGAGTAGCTGCGACTACAGGTGCATGCCACTATGCCTGGCCTCACCCATTTCATTCACAACCCTCATGTCCAAAACACCCTCCTCCTATGAGCCACAATGTCTGCCCAGGCTGAAGGGCCTCCAAGCAACATCCATCCTCTGGGGTTCTCTCATCTCTACCTGGATCTGACTCCGTCCTTCCTCTGCCCTCTCCTCTTCTAACCCTTCCTTCCACTATGCCTCGGGAACTCATGCCAGGGCTGCAAATGCCCCAATTCACACCCATCTCAGCAGCTTCATCTTAGCTGCACCCCGGCTTCTCCACCCGCCCCTCCCTGGTAACTCTCCCAAGTACCGGCTGCTCAATCCTCATGTGCTCCCCTCTATCCCAGGACCAGCAGAACCCAAATTGTCCTGGTCACTGTTATCTCCAGACAATAACCTACCAAGAAGTACCTAGAACCTAGGAATGTGACCAACCTCCTCCCCCTCATTTCCTAGCAAGACCTGCTTCTCTCCAGCTTCCTGCTCCTCATGCCTGTGGCTTTGCCGACCCCTCCACACTGACTTCCCCACTTTTTCTGACCTCCTACAAGGAGGGCCTTGATCATGAGTAAAGCCCTAACATTCCGGGCTCTTGCCTTAGCCTACCTCCTTCATTCCTGTTACCTAACCCTCTGCTTACCAACCCCCATGTGGCCACAGCCCTGGCCATGAAATGTAAGGCTAGAAGTTCCCTCTGACCACCAGGGCCTGCCCTTCCTGATCGCACTTCCTCATTCTCACCCAATCGGCTGTTCCACTTGAATGAAACCACTAGAGCCCTGACCCACCCTTCCCATCTCCCTGTGGACCTCCCGTCCTTCCACTGTGTCACATGCCCTCCCTCTGCACCCTCAGCTCCCTGTCCCACTGCCACACGAGCCACTTGTATCTCAGGGCCCTGAACCTGGATCAACCTAACATTTGTCTCCCCTATTTTCTCTCCTGTGCCGCCCACCACTGAAGAAAAATCCCGCCACGTCTGTGACTGGCTCCATGACCAGGTTACTAGTTTGCATCCTCCTCCCTTTGTAACGCTGTGATCATTGCCTGATGCCTTGTTCCTCAAGCAGGTTCCTCAAGCAGGTACACGGTATCAGCAACAAACACCACGTTACAAAGGGAGGAGGATGCAAACTAAGCAAACTAACGCTTGTTGAGTGGGAATCCAGGGTTCAGGAGAGAAGATCCCAGCAGACTCATCACTTACATAATAGTGAGAGAACACAAAGTAAACATCTAAGCAAATAAATGAACAAGATAATGAACAAGCTTAATGAGAAAAACAAAACTGGGTGATGTTTTTGAGAGTGACTACCAGGACTCGGTGAGGACTACTTCATATGTGGGTGGTCAGGGAAGGCTTCTCAGAGGAGGTGACATTTGAGCTGAAACCCGACAGAAGAAAGGAAACCAGGGACAAAACAGTCTGGGGAAGGAACACTGCGGGAAGAGTGGGCAGTGTGTGCCAAAGCCAAGGCCGAAAGAGCCTGGTATATCTGGAGAACAGAAGGAAACCAGTGTGCTGGAGTATGGGGGATGAGGGAGAGGATCTCAGAAAGAGAGATGTGGGCCGGGTCACACCGGGCCTGTGGACCACAGTGAGGAATGTGGAAGCCACTGGGGCACTTTCAGCAGGTGCATGACCTAACCTGACTTATGTTTTAACAGGATCCCTCTGGCTGCTGGGTGTGGAACAGACTGTAGGGGGCCAAAGCAGAAGCAGGGAGACCTGTTTGGAGATGACTAATGGTGCAGGCCAGAGGTGATGGTGGTCCAGACTGAGAAGCAGCAGTGGAGGTGTGTACAAGGGGAAGGAGGTATTGGCGTGTTTCCTCACTTATGCTTATCCAGTGGAGGGGAGAAAAATGAGGATGGGCAGCTATAAGGAGAGAGGAACCATAGCATGCATTCAAGAAGAATTCTCTGTGAGACATGTTGCAGGAGAAGGAGACAAACATTCCATGCAGCCTGGGGCCTGCAGCGAGGCCCATGATGGGAAAGAAGGCATTCTCCCCACTTCTGTACTGCCTACCCAAGGGCTGGCCTTGAAGTGCACAGACAGTGGCATATTCTTGGTGGGGCACATGGGCAGTTTCAGTGGTGAGGCATCACATGTGGCTTCCTAGCAGAAGCCACAGATTCCCTGTTGCCTTCCACTTTAATCAGGGCACTTCCCCAGTGGGCCACTGGCAGCCCTCTTCCCTTCCACTCTACACTCATTCTCTGGTTTGGCTACTTCCACTCCCATATCATGTACAAAGGTGTCCAGAATCAGAACTGCCTTTGAGGGTGAACTGGCCACCTCCTAGCGGTCTCTTCATGCGGACATTCTGCACACACCTCAAACTTACTGTGTCCAAACCAGGCTGGTAGACACATGATACCTTCTCCCTGCCCATCCACACCCTAGACAATTCTACTATCTTCTATGTTGCCCATTTTAATTAATGATGTCAGCATCCACACGGTGGCTCAAGCAAGAATCCTGGAAACTGTCATTGATTCCTTTCCAAACCCAACTGGTCAGCCAGCCCTTACAGTCCTCTCTCTAAACACCTCCTAAGTCCATTCCTGTCTCTCAGCCTCCAGTGTCACTGGCCTAGTTCGAGCTCTCATCAGTTCTACTCTTGACTCTAGCTGGAAGAAGGGTACATTCCATTGGTAGGGCCCAACATACTTAGCAAGTGGTTCAGTAAATGATTTTTGAATAAACAAGAAAAAGAATGTGGCCGGGCACCTCACGCCTGTAATCCCAGCACTTTGGGAGGCTGAGGTGGGTGGACCATGAAGTCAGGAGATCTGAACCATCCTGGCTAACACGGTGAAACCCTGCCTCTACTAAAAATACAAAAAAAAAATAGCTGGGTGTGGTGGCAGGCACCTGTAGTCCCAGCTACTCAGGAGGCTGAGGCAGGAGAATGGCGTGAACCCGGGAGGCGGAGCTTGCAGTGAGCCGAGATCATACCACTGTACACCAGCCTGGGGGATAGAGCGAGACACCATCTCAAAAAAAAAAAAAAAAAAAAAGAAAAGAATGCATGAATGAATACAATGAACAAATGAGTGATGAAATCAATGAATAAACCAAAAAAATTTTTATGTGCAGAGACAAAGAAAATTAAAACATATTCAGCCTAATGGAGGAGATGCAACCAAGCAGGTACAAGCATCAGGCAACAAACACAGTGTTACAAAGGGAGGCAAATGCAAACCAAAGAAACTAACATTTGCTGAGCATCTACCAGCTGTCAAGTGCTAAACCAGGCACTTCATAGACAGTGCAGTTCACACAGTATCACAAATGACATGCCCAGCAACCAGGTGATATATTGCACTCCAGATGAAGACACTAACGTTCAAAGAAGTTGAATAACTGTCCCCTGTCATCCAACACAAAGTAGCAGGGTTCAGACTCAAACCTAGGTCAGTAGGCCACAAATCGTGTGGTGGCTAGTGGACATATGCTTACTGGAAGGGCTGCACTTCAAAAGATAATTAACAAGACCCGGGCGCAGTGGTTCACGCCTGTAATCCCAGCACTTTGGGAAGCTAAGGCAGGTGGATGATCTGAGGTAAGGAGTTTGAGACAAGCCTAGCCAACATGGCAAAACCCCATCTCTACTAAAAATACAAAAATTAGCCAGGGATGGTGGCGCACACCTGTAATCCCAGCTACTCTGGAGGCTGAGGCACAAGAACCGCTTGAACCCAGGAGGCAGAGGTTGCAGTGAGCTGCGATCACACCTTTGCACTCCAGCCTGGGTGACAGAGCGAGACTCCGTCTCAAAAAAAAAAAAAAAAAAAGATAATTAACACAGAGACAGTGCTTCTAAAGGATAATCGCTGTTCTAAGCACTTTACATATATCCTCACAAAAATGGTCAGTTCATCTGGGTGCAGTGGCTCACACCTGTAATCCCAGAACTTTGGGAGGCTGAGGCAGGAGGATCACTTAAACTGAAGAGTTCAAGACCAGCCTGGGTAACATAGCAAGACCCCATCTCTTTCAAAAAATATGGAAAAATAAAATTATATTTAAAAAACAAAAACAAAAATGATAGGTACTAATATTATTCCCATTTCACAGTGAAGCAAACAGAGAAATGGAAAAGTTAACAGGTAATGTGTCAAAGGTCATATAGCTTTAAGCGACAGAATTGGGACTTGAACCCAGGCAGCCTTGCTCTGGTGTCCCAGTTGGCCATCACTAAAACCTTTCATTGCATTAATGAAGGAGGTAATATGGGAGGCATGGGTTCCAGGTGCAGAGTACAGTATGATCCATGTAGGGAGGCAAGAAGATGCAAGCCATGTGTGGGATCAGGAAGTGATTCACTGGACTCGGATGGGGAGGGTAGAGGAAAATGAGGCTCTAGAGAAATGATAGACTCAGACATGAGGCTTCGTGCACCTAGTCCAGGACCACATGATTGTCTTATTTGAGATTTAAAGTGCCTTTATCTTTCACAAGGTAGTGAACAGTTACAAGGAAGTGTTCACTGTTTTCTTAGCCAAGGTATTTAGTTCTCTCCTTTTTGTAGGTAGAAAAACTAAAAAAGCAAGGGAAGAACTAATTTGTTCGACGTTTTCTCGTTAACGAAATGGCATAACCTCCCCCACAGTCCATGGAGATAAATATCGGCACCCTGACCCCTTGGTATTTACTTTTAATACAGTTTTAGTTGTAAAAGACTATTCATAACGTATTTTTAAAATCTCTAATTTTGGCCAGGCACGGTGGCTCATGCCTGCAATCTCATCACTTTGGGGCACCAGGGCTGGTAGATCACCTGAGGTCAGGAGTTCGAGACCAGCCTGGCCAACATGGCAAAACCCTGTCTCTACTAAAAATACAAAAATTAGCCAGGTGTGGTGGTGAACACCTGTAGTATCAGCTACTCGGGAGGCTGAGGCAGGAGAATCGCTGGAACCCAGGAGGTAGAGGTTGCAGTGAGCTGAGATCACACCACTGCACTCCAGCCTGGGCAACAGAGTGAGACTCCATCTCAAAAAAAAAAAAAATCTCTAATTTTGTTTCGTATACTTCAAATGTGAGCCAATAAAACTGTCACTTGTATGCCCCATTACCATGAAGCTACACACAAATCCGTCAAACAAATTTATATTTGATGGCTGGGTGCAGTGGCTCACACATATAATCCCAGCACTTTGGGAGGCCGAGGCAGGCGGATCACTTGAAGTTAGGAAAGTTAGGAGTTCGAGACCAGCCTGGCCAACATGGTGAAACCCCGTCACAACCAAAAATATAAAAAATTAGCGGGTGTGGTGGTGTGCACCTGTAGTCCCAGCTACTCAGTAGGCTGAGGCAGGAGAATTGCTTGAACCTGGGAGGCTGAGGTTGCAGTGATCCAAGATCGTGCCACTGCACTTCTGGCCTGGGCAACACAGCGAGACTCCATCTCAAATATATATATATATATATATATTTTGCAAACTTCAGTAGAAAAAAATTCAAATCCAGATCCCACAAACTAACCTTTAACTGTAACATTGCTTTGGGAAAGGCAAAGGAGAACAGGCCTGTCAAGTGATCTAAGCAAATCCTTAGGACATTTTGAACGTACTAGGATCCTAATCTTATTAGTCACAGAAAAAGGTCATCTTGGAGTCTGTAGGTGCTATGCTAGCCCGTTCTTTCATGAGAATGGTAGAGGGCAGAGGGGGATGATCACAGCTTCAAAGCCTCCCAGCTGGATTATCCCCAACCTCTGAGACCACCCATCCTCTGAGACCAATGTCTCCACGGTATCCCTATCACTTTAAAAGGCAGGAGACATTTAAGTGCTTGGTGAAAGAGCCAAAGAAATGTTCTGTGACCTCTGAAAGCAAATATTCTAAAGCAAGATCATTCTTTTTACGTATTTTTAAATTTAAATTAATGTTTAAATAATATAATTCAGGAAATTTGAAAAACAGAGAAGTAAAATATTGCCCATAACTAGGGTGACCACATGGCCTGGGTTGTTCAGGACAGTCTTGGTTTTCTCTTGTCATCACAGTATGTATAATTATTCATAGCACCTTCATTCCCCACTCAGTCATTTGAACGGTGCTTGGAAGTGCTATGATTGAGGCCAGGCACAGTGGCTCACACCTGTAATCCCAGGATGTTGGGAGGCCGAGACAGGAGGATCACTTGAGGCCAGGAGTTCAAGACCAGCCTGGGCAACATAGTGAGGCCTCATCTCTACAAAAACAATTTAAAAATTATCCAGGTGTGGTATGTGCACCTGTAGTCCCAGTTACTTGGGAGGCTGAGGTGGGAAGATCACGTGAGACAGAATGATTGAGGCTACAGTGAGCCATGATCACACCACTGCATTCTAGCCTGGGTGACACTGCAAGACCCTGCCTCAGAAACAAAGTGTCATTATTTCCATAATAAATTATTCCTGGTCACCTTAACCATAAACCACCACAATGAACAATCATTATCACAATTTTACTTCCTTACGGTTTTTTTCTCACACACATTTTTTTAATTGATATAATCATAAGCGTTTTCACAAGCCTACATTTTCTCTTCTTCAATCTCATTACAACAAAAATATCTATGTTTCTGAATAAGGGGTTATCTTATTCAACTGAGTGGATGTTACCTGTATTGTTGAGCATTCAGGCTGCTTCAGGATCATTTTAAAGAAAGTGTATTTGTGAGGTACCTATAGGACCAGTATATAAACTTCAAGAGAAATTTCAACCTAAGTGAGGGCGTGACAAAAATACAATTACTATTAGGAGGAAATTTTACAAATTCCTTTCATGAACACGGCAGTCCTCTGTTGCATTCTAAACCAACTGGATTCCCTCATTCAGCCCTTATTTACGGAGCACTGATTTGCTTCAGGCACCATGGCAGGTGCTATCTGGAGATACATGTCCTGTTGGCACTACTTCCAAATGTATCCTAAATCTCATCACCAACTTTATTGCTGAAACCCTACTCCTGGTTACCACCATGCATCAGCCAGACTGCTAAGATAGTCTCCTAATGACTCTGCAGTCTTGCCCCACACGATCCATTCTCCATGCGCTCAGAGTGATCTTCTCAAGGTAAAATTCAGATCAAACCCCTTTTCTACGTAAAGCCCTCCAATGGCTTCCCACTGCAAAAGAAATAAACGGTAAATCCCTTGCCATGACTAACAAGGCCCCTCTTCCCCAACCACCCCTGCCGCCTCCTGGGTGCCTCCTTCCACTCTCTTCCTCTCCTCTGTGTTCCGCTGCCTCGTCTTCTCTCTGTCCCTTTTTATATAAAGAGCAAAAAGCTGTCCCACGCACCAAGTGCATCTCATCCCAGGGCCTTCGCATCTACTATGCCCTCTTCTTGGAATGCTTTTTCCCTAGACTGTTTTTTAGCTGTGTCCTCAGCTCATGTTTCCAAAGTCATCTTTGCTGCAATACCATAACTCGTTTTTCCCCTAAGTTTTTCCCCTAAGTTTTACACTATTTTATTTATTTTTGTTTTGTTTTGTTTGGTTTTGAGACAGGATCTCACTCTGTCACCCAGGCTGGAGTGCAGTGGCGTGATCCTGGCTCACTGCAACCTCCACCTCCCAGGCTCAAGTGATCCTCCCACCTCAGCCTCCCAAGTAGCTGGCACTACAGGCTCACACCGCCACACTTGGCTAATTTTTGTTATTTTTTTATAGAGATAATATCTCACTATGTTGCCCAGGCTAGTCTTGAACTCCTGGGCCCAAGTGATCCTTCTGCCTCGAACTCCCAAAGTGCTGAGATTACAGTCATGAGCCACCGTACCCGGTCCACTATTTTATCTTCTTAGCAGCACTTAACACAACCTGAATCTATACTATTTATTTGTTTTTAATTATTTTTCCTGTATTGTGAGCTCCAAGAGGGTAGAGACATTTGCTTTTCACTGCAGTGCCCCAGTGCTCGGCACATAATCGCAGGTGGGCAATAAATAACTGCAGAATGAATGAGCCAACACTGGACAAGAGAGCCACTAAGAGAACAGATCTTTATTCCAACCTCCAAGAATACAAAACCTTTTTTGTTTATTCTGCAAAATGACCATTTTATACTATTAAGTGGAAATAATAAAATAAAATGTTCATCTGAGTACACAACATCAACGCCAATAAGCAGTATCACCTGGATTCAAGGAATTAAATTTTGGCTTTGTAAAAATATAAAGAAAAAAATCTCTGGCAGTCTGAAACTTACGACACGGGTTCCTAAACAGTACTTAGGTCTATGACCAAGTTTTTAATAACAAATTGGGGAAAAGAAAGACAATGCACTGGACTTTTTATGTAGCTAGAATCTCTCAATTTAAAGGACTCCCCTTTATTCTGAGATTATGTCTTTCTTATTTTGGGAGGGTGACAAAATATTCTTTCTTTTATAAAATGGCAGAGAGTAGATCTGATAGGTTTGGGGAGGTGTTAATGCCTTTCATATAAAGAGCAAAAAGTTAGCAATCCTGTGCAAGACTCCCAATGTTCTTTTTTACATTTTAGTAATCCAAGAATTCCACAAATCTGGGTACCACTCAGCATTCCCCAAAACCCTTCTCAAGTATGAATCCTGAAAGGGTTTTCCTGGGCCCTTAGTTGTACCAACTCCAGTCTGGTAGGACGGGCTGCCTGGGGTATCAAGAAAGATCCCAAGGGCTTGTCTGGCTCACTGGATCATGTTCAAAAGAACAGGATCAATTAGTGATGTCTGCCATCATGGGAAGGAGGGTAGTAAGGACTTGGGGAATAAAGGCATGGGAGAGTGGCATGAGCAATGCAGCTGACAAAGGTAAGCTGTGGCCTAATATGTATCATAGCCCAATATTAAAATGATTTGGGAGCCAGGCACAGTGGCATGTGCCTGTAGTTCCAGCTACTCAGGATGCTGAGACTCAAGAGGATATCTTGAGGCCAGGAGTTTGAGGCCAGCCTGGGCAACACAGCAAGACCCCATCTCTTAAGGAAAAAAAAAAACTGGTAAAGTGAAAAAATTTAATGATTTGCTCAGCCCCTGATGGAGAAGATAATGAAGTAAGGAGGGTGTCCAGCAGTCAGCAGGGTTCACTCACTCCCTCCTGGCATGTGATTCATTTCCTGCCTGAACAAAACCTTGGGAAGCTGTCAGTGCTCAAGCCATTACATCCAGAGTCTGCAGTGCACCTGACCTGGAAAGGAACACGTGGCCAAGGCAGGCAGGCCAGGAAAGAGCTCAGTGGGAAGGGCTCAACACTGACCAAATTAAAGAAAGCCAACAGGAGTCTTCTTCAAAGAAAGCTAATCTTGTGATCCTGTAAGTAAATCAAAGTCCAAAGATGAACAAAATATCCAGAAGGAAAACAAATGCACTTGGGGAGTGGGAAAGAAAACCAAGACTGGCTTTATTCCAGGAGCAGACTTAACATATTAGAGTTCTCTGTGAGTACATCTGGAATGAAGCAAGATTCAAGAGGAAAAAGCTTTTACCTTCATAAATTTCAAAAGGATGAAATAGGCAGAAATTGTCATCCCCATCAAATAACTCTGCCTACACACCGGGCTGTGAGCTCCATGCTACTCGGCCTACCTTATGGAAACAGAAAATGGCCACAAGAAGAAATGGCTCCATTTGAAACAGGCCAATGTTCACACTTTCACCCTGATCCAAACGCAGGGCTACTGACAAGTCCAGAGTTCACATAACCTTTGGCTCAGCATCCCTACCTCTAGGCAGGTATCCTTCAGAAAGATCAGCACCCAGAGGTAAAGCCACATGTGTCAGCTGCTCACTGAGCCATGTTTATAACTGGAAGAGTTAAGATAACCCAAATGCCCCTTGGTAAGGAAACGATTAAATAAAGCAGGATGTAGTCATGGAATACCTTGTAATTCAAAGGAAAGAGGTGAATCTGTAAATCCTGGGATAGAGAGATGTCCATGC
The DNA here is from genome assembly GCF_000001405.40 of Homo sapiens. NCBI lineage: Eukaryota > Metazoa > Chordata > Mammalia > Primates > Hominidae > Homo > Homo sapiens. The sequence goes on along the minus strand of NC_000007.14, from coordinate 26,320,832 downwards.
TGCACAAACAGGAAACAGCAAATGGCTGAACAATAGCAGCATGATTCCATTAAGTGTGTACATATGTGTATACATGCTTGTATGCATAGAAGATGATTCCAGGCTGGGTGCGGTGGCTCATGCCTGTAATCCCAGCACTTTGGGAGGCCGAGGCAGGCGGATCAAAAGGTCAGGAGTTCAAGACCAGCCTGGCCAATATGGTGAAACCCCCGTCTCTAGTAAAAATACAAAAATTAGCAGGGCGTGGTGGCGGGCGCCTGTAGTCCCAGCTACTCGGGAGGCTGAGGCAGGAGAAATCACTTGGACCCGGGAAGCAGAGATTGCAGTGAGCAGAGATCGCACCACTGCACTCCAGCCCGGGCAACAGAGTGAGACTCCATCTCAAAAAATAAAAATAAAATAAAATAAATTAAAAAAAGAAGAAGATTCCAGAAAATATATGCCAAGGTAAACAGAAGTGGGATGGGTGAGGGGGCTTTCATTTTTTTACTTTGTACATTCCAGGATTAACAACTTTTTTTTATATATTATTTTTGTGATTTAAAAATATAGGCCGGGAGCAGGGGCTCACACCTGTAATCTCAATACTTTGGGAGGGCGAGGCAGGCAGATCACTTGAGGTCAAGAGTTGGGGACCAGCCTGGCCAACAAGGTGAAACCGTGTCTCTACTAAAAATATGAAAACTAGCCGGTTGTGCTGGTGGGCACCTGTAATCCCAGCTACTCGAGAGGCTGAGGCAGAAGAATCGCTTGAACCCGGGAGGTGGAGGTTGCAGTGAGCCGAGATTGCACCACTGCACTCTGGCCTGGGCAACAGAGTGAGACTCTGTCTCAAAATAAATAAATTAATTAATTAAAAATATAAACAAATATATAAATACAAGTAACATATATATACATATAGATATATAAAATAAAGAAGAGCCCCACACTTCTTTCTTCCTCTTTTGCTGAATTAGGAAAAACCAGTACTAGGGAAGGAAACGTCCTGGAGAAGTGAACACTTGGCTCCTGCTCTCTGAGGCTTTTGTCATTTCCCCCCCGCCTTAGCTAGCACATCAGGTTGTATTTTTGTTTTGTTATCATCAGTCAAAATCAACACTTAATTTTTGAAGCAGGGTTTGCGTTAGAAGAAAAACAAAATAAGAACTGCAGAGCAAATCCAAATGGGTTTTTTTTGTCTTTTTTCCTGGGTTTAGCTCAGCTGAAGATAAATCCAGATGGTCTAGAAGCAAGCTAAGCCCAGACCAATATGTTTGTAATGATATCAGATGCTGATAGACAAAAGCTTTACTGGCCTTCCGTCTCACTGAAATGTCTTTCCAACTCTGCCCATCTCTGAACATATCATTTATTTATAATGTATCCTCCCCTTGCTTCCAAATGGATTTGAAGCAGCTCCCAGATAGATTTAAGGCAACAAACAGTAGTTGACCTGAAAATGGCAAAGCAGTTAACATAGAAACTGAAGAACAGAAATGGCAAGAATGAGGAAGAAGTAAAAATGCTATTTTAAACATAAACTCCTAACATTTCATAAGTATATTTAATTTTCAGTTGTTATATACCAGAGTTCCTCAAGGAGGAGATAATAGCCTAGAAAGATACTGCTACAATATCTACGTCTACTGATTCAGTGAATAAATCTAAATTCAACAAGCTTCCCAATGCTTTTCAGACATGACATTGTTCACAAGCCACTCTTATGACCACAGAAGTACAATAAATCTCTTGACACAGACCTCCCTTCCTCCACTGACACAGGGGTTTGATCATCTCCAATAACTAGCTTGAAAGGCAGCATCAAAGTTTAGAGTTCAGGTTTGGAGTCATTCATATCTCGGTTCAAATCCCCAACTATGCCACTCATGGCTGTGTGACCTTGAACAAGTTACTTAACCTCTCCGAGAAAGCCTCAATATTCTCTTGGAGAAAAAGGGATCTCATGTGGAGAAAAAGTGACTCTTTCATACAGCTACTAGAAGGATTAAATCAGATAATGTACTTAAAGCACTTAGGAAGTATACAAGAAAAATTAAGTATACAAGAAAAATTAAGTATGGGCTGGGTGTAGTGGCTCATGCCTGTAATCCCAGCAATTTGGGAGGCCAAGGCAAACAGATCACTTGAGTCTCAAGTTCGAAAGCAGCCTGGGCAACATGGCAAAACCCCATGTGTACAATAAACACAAAAATTAGCGAAGCATTTTTTTCGGCAGGCACCTATAATCCCAGCTACCCGGGAGGCTAAGATGGGAAGACTGTTTGAGCCCAGGAGGCAGAGATTGCAGTGAGCCATGATCTCGCCATTGCACTCCAACCTGGGCAACAGAGTGAAACCCTGTCTCAAATAATAATAATAACAATAATAAATAAGTATGACCACTGGCTGAATTATTGGTACTTTTTTCTTCAAAATATAAGAACAATGGAAGGTGTAAAAAACGATATTATTCCAATAAAAAAGCTGGATTGGATATCTGCATATACATGTACATCTTCACAGACCAGAGAGACAAAAGCAAGACTCGCCTTTCTCAAAGGATGCACAAGGATCCCTGCACACTTAGCTATAAGAAATAACCACATATACCTGCAAACACTGTGGAAAAAAAAAATCACTGGGCAAATAGTGTACGGCTATTGGTACAGGAAATATGCGTTAGCCTGGCTATTCAAGATTGACTACCATCAGAAATGTAGGCGATGTGATCTAACATTTGCGTCTTAAAATTCTAGTATATTCTGGGCATACTCCAATTGCTTTCAAGTAAGCTCCATTCTGAATGTGTCTTCAAACCAACAGTCCCATAAAGGCCTTTCCCATATCCTAGATGCCGAAGACATTTGGCCTATTAGAAGATCACCATGAAAGCCGGGCGTGGTGGCTCACGTCTGTAATCCCAGCACTTTGAGAGGCCGAGGCAGGCAGATTATGAAGTCAGGAGTTCAAGACCAGCCTGGCCAATATGGTGAAACCCCATCTCTACTAAAAATAAAAAAATTAGCTGGGCGTGGTAGTATGTGCCTTTAATCTCAGCTATGCAGGAGGCTGAGGCAGGAGAATCGCTTGAACCCAAGAGGCAGAGGTTCCAGTGAGCCGAGATCGTGCCACTGCACTCCAGCCTGGGCAACAGAGTGAGACTCTGTCTCAAAAAAAAAAAAAAAAAAAAAGATCAAAGAAGATCACCATTAAATATTCAATATTCATTCAGGCTTCCATTTTTCCAAGTTAATTATTCCCAGGTATTTGGTGGCCCTTGCTACAGAGTAAGAGACTTAAATAAGTGTCTCTTCTAAGTTCCCAGTAAAATGAACAGAAAATGCCAACAGTAATAAAAACTGCCACTACTGATGACTATGTATCGGCCTTGTGCTGAGTATGTTGTATGTTGTTAATTCTCACAATCACCCATTTTACAGATGAAGATACTAAGGCTTAGAGAGGTAAAGTAACTTGTTCAAGGTCATCACCACAAAGTGACCAACGTGCTCAAGGGCAATGCTGGAATTCAAATCCATCTGTCACTAGTTAACCCTACTCACTTTTCAAATCTTGGTTACAATCTCACTACCCAGGGCGCTTGCTCTCACTCCCTCCAACAAGGTCAGCTCTCCCTAGGTAGCTTCCCTTGTACCATCATCTTCCTCTGTAACTCTTATCATAAGAATAAAAGATTATTCTGAGAATAAAAATATCATTACCCTTATTTGGGTAAATGCTGAATTAATGTCTGTGCCCCACCAAACCGTAAATTACAAATGGCATGGCTCCTCACTATTCTTGTTTATTTAGCATCTCCGGCCTCGATCTTGGTAGTATCAGGTATGTAACGCATACAGGAAATATGCATTAGCCTGGCTATTCAAGATTGACTACCATCAGAAATGTAGGCGATGTGATCTAACATTTGCATCTTAAAATTCTAGTATATTCTGGGCATACTCCAATTGCTTGGAGTTTTCCATACACATTCGCACAGACAGCATGAATAAATGGAGAAAAAAAGCGCCCAAAAATACTCAGCAGCTTAGGGCACTGCACTGATGAAGCATGGGCTGCCCAGTGTTCATCCTCCCTGGGCTCAAATCCTGCTAAGTGACCCTGGTCCACCTGCTTACCCTCTGTGCGCCTCGGTATCCTCATCTATAAAACAGTGATCAACAACAGAACCTAATTCTATATAATTATTACAAAGTACAAAGAAGTTAATATGTATAAAACACCTGGCCTAAAGCCTGGCTCATAACAAGCACATAGTAATTGCTGCCATTAATTATTATTATTAGGCTTAAAACCAAAAAACAGAACTACAGTTTGTCATTTGTTTTCCCCACTAGCACAAGCTCAGTGAAGATGAGTGTGGAAATGCCACAAGAGTTAAGGAACAGGTGCTTTCTTTCCCTCTGGTTACTTAATGCAAGGCAAACCCATTACGGTTAAAGGATAATGTAATCACACCAATGATTCATTGTTCCCATCCATAACCTTGGGTTTCTGGAAAATCCTGGGTTGCTGTCAGGTCTGAAATCATGTGATTCTAAGCCAATTTACTAATTAAGCTAGACCAAGAATCCAAAGTTGTCATCTGCTGCAAGGAAATGAGATCCCATTTTTTTTACTCTAGGTTTTTTGTTTTTTTTTTTTTTTTGAGACAGTCTCGCTCTGTCTCCCAGGCTGGAGTGCAGTGGTGCGATCTCGGCTCACTGCAAGCTCTGCCTCTGGGGTTCACGCCATTCTCCTGCCTCGGCCTCTCAAGTAGCTGGGACTACAGGCGCCTGCCACCACGCCCGGCTAGTTTTTGTATTTTGTTTAGTAGAGACGGGGTTTCACCATGTTAGCCAGGATGGTCTCGATCTCCTGACCTCGTGATCCACCCACCTCAGCCTCCCAAAGTGCTGGGATTACAGGAGTGAGCCATCGCGCCCAGCCAACTCTAGGTATAATTTTAAGCAAATAAGTTGCAAAAGATACCTTCTAAATACAAATTTGATAAAAATATAAAATCTCAAATTTGTCAGCTTCAATTTTATTTACATAAAAGAAAGCACCCCCTTTAAAACTGCTTTTCTAATAGAAAATATAAATTCACTTCATTTTGTATTATATTCGCTATCTTGCAGTTTTAAAACCCTATCAAGTATTTTGCAATTTTTTTTTTTTTGAGATGGAGTCTCACTCTGTCGCCCAGGCTAGAAGTGCAGTGGCGAAACCTCAGCTCACTGCAACCTCCGCCTCCTGGGTTCATGCCATTCTCCTGCCTCAGCCTCCCGAGTAGCTGGGATTACAGGCTCCCACCACCAGGCCCTGCTAATTTTTTGTATTTTTAGTAGAGACGGGGTTTCACCATGTTAGCCAGGATGGTCTCTATCTCCTGACCTTGTGATCCGCCCACCTCAGCCTTCCAAAGTGCTGGGATTACAGGCATGAGCCACCACACCCAGCCATATTTTGTGATTTTTAAAAAGCTATGACACTTTTGGGACAATGGGGATAGATTAATGTGACCCTGTTTATTAGATAATGTACTGTATAAAGTTAAATTTCCAGGATATGATAATGGCATTATAGTTATCTAGAAAAATGCCTTTCTTCCTAGGTTCAACTCTTGTAAACAAATATTTCTATGATCACATCTATAGGGTTTTCTGTGCACCCAAACATACAAATTCATTATTTACTCCTGACCAATCCAATTAATACATTTTGTTTAAATTGCTTTTCTGATTCATTTTGGTGGACTCTTTTCACTACATATGGCTTCTATTTTGATTCTTTTTCCTGCTATTTTAATCTGCTTTCTAGTCCCTTCCTTGGTTGTTTTTTTGTTTTGTTTTGAGACAGTCTCACTTGGTCACCCAGGCTGGAGTACAGTGGCACAATCTCAGTTCACTGCAACCTCTGCCTTTCGGGTTCAAGTGATTCTCATGCCTCAGCCTCCCGAGTAGCTGGGACTACAGGTGTGTGCCACTACACACAGCTAATCTTTGTATTTTCAGTAAAGACAGGGTTTCACCTGTTGGCCAGGCTGGTCTCAAACTCTGACCTCAAGTGATCCGCCCGCCTCAGCCTCCCAAAGTGCTGGGATTACAGGCATGAGCCACCACGCCTGGCCTGTTCTTTTTTCTTAAAATACTTTATGCAGAATCCCATGCAGTTCACAGGCTATATTCTTGATACTCAACTATGAAACTGAAAGCCACTAGAAAAAAAGGGAACTGCATATACTACGGAAATAGTTGCTAAATCTCAGCAAATTCACAAGTCAATATAACAACTAAAAGCCCAAGGGTTTCAGAGCAATGTGTTTTAAACAAGCCACACAGGACCCATATTATACTTAGTCATAATATAAAAATATTGCCAGTCTGGCTAACATGGTAAAACTCCATCTACTAAAAATTCAAAAAATTAGCCAGGCATGGTGACACACGCCTGTAATCCCAGCTACTCGGGAGGCTGAGGCAGGAGAATCGTTTGAATGGAGGCAGAGGTTGCAGTGAGCTGAGATACCACCACTGCACTCCAGCCTGGGCAACAGAGTGAGACTCCATCTCAAAAAAAAAAATTGAACAGTAGGCACATTATGTCCTTTACAAGAATGGACTACCCTTTGAAAATATATTGACAGACAAGCCATTTCAGTCTAACAAGATTAAAAAGGAATAACTTTTTTAAAAAGAAAATGGTATTTGTTACCTGTCAGAAATTCAGGTTCTTGGGCCAGGCGTGGCGGCTCACACCTGTAATCCCAGCACTTTGAAAGGAGACTGAGGTGGGAGGATCACCTGAGGTCAGGAGTTCGAGATCAGCCTGGCCAACATGGGGAAACCCCGTCTCTACTAAAAATACAAAAATTAGGTGGGGTAGTGGCATGTGCCTGTAGCCTCCCCAGCTACTCGGGAGGCTGAGACAGGAGAATCACTTGAACCCAGGAAGCGGAGGTTGCAGTGAGCCGAGATCGCGCCTCCACTGCACTTCAGCCTGGCGATAGAGTGAGTCTCCATCTCAGAAAAAGAAAAGAAAAAGAAAAAAGAAATTCAGGTTCTTCAGCACTCAGGATTTCATTACCAGTCTGATGACGGCTCAATTTCACATTTTTTTTTAATTATTATGCCACAAGGGAACAATGATCCTTAGGAGGAGAGAGAATGTGGGGACAAACAGGGGGTGGGGTTTTCTTACATGAATGTTCAGGAAAAGGACAGACTTTAGCCACACTCATTTGGCAGGGCCCCCAATTCGTCTAATGCCTAAATTATTTAACCCTTTGTTAACAGGCAGCCTTTAAAGGCATATCATTCCTCTGAATATTCTTTGCATAGAGTCCCAGATATAGTAGGTCCTCCCATGCTGGCAAAACAATCACAAAAAGCTCAGTTAAGCAAACTCAGCCAAAAAAGGTGCATCAGGTAGTGAAGCAACAGCATTGGGAAGAAAGACATCAGTTTACAGGTTCTAACAAGATCAGGAGTCCACTAGATTAATTAAGCAGCTCTAAAGATCTGCTGTACAACATTGCGCCTATGGCTAACAATACTGTATTATACACTGGAAAGTTTGTTAAGAGGGTAGGTCTCCTGGTGAGTATTCTAATCACAATAAAATGTTCTTTTTTTAAAAAGTGGGGGCAGGTATCTGCTAAATGGTTTTTAGTTAGCCTCGTTCTCTTTTTGTGGCTGTGTACTATTCCATGATGTGAATGCAACACACTTCATTTCACCAGCACCCACTGATAAGACATTCTCGTGCTACTATGAACAGTACGCAGTAAATACCTGCATGAGTAAATTTCTGTAAGTGGAATTGCTGGATCAAGCCATATCATCTGAATCATCAAGATATTGGCAAAGCAACGTATTTACAAATGAGTGGGTTGTTTTCCTGTATCTTCCCTAACATGATCCGTTTGCAAAATGTTTTATCTTTGTCAATCCTAGATAGGCAAAAAATGGCTTATTTCAATGTGATTTAATTAGTATTTTTTTTCAATTATGCATAAGAGCAAGCATTTTTCATGTGTTTAGGTGCCACTATTTTCTTTTTTTTGAGACGGAGTCTCACTCTGTCACCCAGGCTGGAGTGCAGTGGCGTGATCTCGGCTCACTGCAACCTCCGCCTCCCGGGTTCAAGCGATTCTCTTGCCTCAGCCTCTTGAGTAGCTGGGATTACAGGCAAGCGCCAACACGCCTGGCTAATTTTTGTATTTTTAGTAGAGACGGGGTTTCACCATATTGGCCAGGCTGGTCTCGAACGCCTGACCTTGTGATCCGACAGCCTCGGCCTCCCAAAGTGCTGGGATTACAGGCTTGAGCCACCATGCCCGGCACCACTATTTTCTTTTATACAAATTGTTTATGTCTTTCAATCATTTTCTTACAGAGTTCCTGTTCTTTTCCTTATTGGTTCATAGGAGTTCTTTTTGTATTAGGGAAGTTAATCCTTAATACATAACATAAAGTTCAAGTATATTTTTCTGGTTTGTAATCTGTTTGTTTTGCTTATGGTGGTTGCTATGCCAATACTTTTTATTAGATAATGAATTTTATGAAGGTTTTCCTTATGGCTTCCAGGCTTTGCACCATCCTTACAAAGACCACTCCTACTCCAAAGTTATAAAAATATTCTCCTTTAGATTTTTCTAGAGACCAGTCATCTGTGAACAGTGAAAAGTTCTGTTCCATGGTCATGAATTACATCCTTGCCATAATGTGCTATGGGCCATAATGTACAGAAACTAAATTTTTTTGAAGTAACTTTTGTTTTCTGATATTGTGTAATTTATAAAGCACTGTTCCATGACAGCTGACGAGGCAGGCAGTGCAAGACTTATTTGTCCTACTTTACCAGAGAAGTTAAATCACTGCCCAAAGCCACAGAGCCTGGTGCAGACACAAATGCAATGCCAGCTGTTCTCTTATCTCCTCGACACTGCCTCTCTCAACAAAAGGGCAACATCCACGTGCGTGAAAATCTTAAAGGATGTCTCCAAAGTCTTGTTCATACAATTTCAAAATAAAATAACTTTTCTATTCCAAAACAGTATTTATTTAAGTGGGCCACACAGTAATCCAATTAAACAGTGACTCAGCCTCAGAGGGCTGAGCCAATGTTCTCATCAATTGACAGAATTCCATGTTCCTATAGTGTGCCTCTATAACCCTTCAAAATTTAATTGAAAAGTAAGAGATGTAAATGTTCCCAGATGCCCATGGATTCTGTGAAGAGCTGTGTTTCTCAATTTGAAGAGATGGAAGGCAAGGTATGTCTAAATCACCAGGGGCTCTTTTCAACCCCACACACCCTGACAATTCCCTCCCCCCAGTGCAACAGCCCTACACTACAAGAGTATCTTATGCCTTCTCAAGTATGTCAATGATAGAAAAAAATTTTAAGCCACTGGCCAGGTGCAGTGGCACTTTTGGAGGCCGAGGCGGGAGAATCGCTTGAGCCCAGGGGCTCCAGACCAGCCTGGGCAATACAGTGAAACCCCCTCTCTACTAAAAATATTAAAAATTAGCCAGGCCTAGTGGCGCAAGCCTGTAGTCCCAGCTACTTGGGAGGCTAAGGCATGAGAATCCTTGAACCCGAGAGGCGGAGGTTGTACTGAGCTGAGATCCTGACACTGCATTCCAGCCTGGGCGACAGAGCGAGACCCTGTCTCAAAAATAAAAAGAAAAAGAATTTAATTTAAAAATGTTAAACCACTGTCCCAGATAACGGGGTATGCACTTACACAATCCCTATAAGCCTCGCCCCTTCGGTTCCCTGGCCACCCCCTCAGCCAAGCTCTTCTGTACACTCCAGGTGTCTTTTCACAGAGACCAGACTATTAATAGTTCCTCAGCTTGGCCAGGCACGGTGGCTCACGCCTGTAATCCCAGCACTTTGGGAGGCCGAGGTGGGCGGATCACGAGGTCCGGAGATTGAGACCATCCTGGCTAACACGGTGAAACGCCATCTCTACTAAAAATACAAAAAAATTAGCCAGCCGTGGTGGCAGGCGCCTGTAGTTCCAGCTACTCGGGAGGCTGAGACAGGAGAATGGCGTGAACCCCAGGAGGCGGAGCTTGCAGTGAGCCGAGATGGCGCCACTGCACTCCAGCCTGGGAGACAGAGCGAGACTCTGTCTCAAAAAAAAAAAAAAAATTGTTCCTCGCCAGATCCTTCCTCAGTCCCCTCGTGCTGCTGTACTCTCGACATTCTCCCCTTTCCACCTCCCCACCCCCAACTCACCAAGGTGGCTCCTTCCCAGCTTCAGATCTTGGTTTAAAGGCCACCTCCCCAAAGAGGGTTCCCTAACCACCCACTAAAGCAGACTCCCCTAGGAACTCTATCCTTTCATTTTCTCCTCGGACTTTGTCGCAGTCTATATTAATTTATTATTTATCTATTAATCTATTTTCTTGAGGATTATATGTCCTCTGAAAAGTCCCTTGAGGGCAGGGACCTTGCCCAATTATTTATGCTTTACAACTTTAGCACTTAGCACAGTGCCTGGCATATTGTCAGTGCCCAGAAAATATGCAGTATATTAAATTTGATTGAATGAGTTCCAGCTGGTTTTCTCCATTTCTGCATCTCCATCAAGTTTCTAAGCCGCCCAACCACCTGGGAAGGGAAGATGGGTTGACAGTCGCCCGCCTCTCGGGCCAGCCCACCTGTGAGCCCACTCATGGTTAATCATTCGTCTTGTGAGGAAAGAAAGCATTTAGCCAGCAACAACGCAGAGTGAAGTGGCCTCTGTTTTCTATCTTTCCTCCTAAACTAACTCCACTGGACTGTGGAGGATGAGACTGGGGAATAATGTTAAAATTATGCCATTAAAAATCCAAAATAGCAATAAGGCCAAAAAAAATTGTTTACTATGTCCCAGACACCGTGCAAAGCTTGCAACATGTATTATCTCATCTAATCCTGGTAAGGGCCCCAGAGGCCAGGTATCATTATTACTTCAATTTTGCAAATAAGGAAAAGGCACCTAAGGCTGTGCAGCTGATCAAGTGAAGAAGCCAGGATCGCGGCCCAGGCAGCCAGACTCAGAGGAGCCCTCACCCTCACCACAAGGTACCCCTACATCCAACAGGGCACCCAAGCATCCCCCTTAGAAATAAATGCTTAAAAGACAGCAGTGAGTGAAAAATACCAACCCAAAGTGAGTTACTAACGGCTCAAATGCTTTAGGGATGAAGGTTGGGGGTAGAGTTCTTCCCACATACATGAACCCGGGAGAAGCCAACAGCCGGATACCTGAAAAGACGTAATACTTATCTTCCGAAAAGAGGTAATACTGAGAAAAGTGCAGTGCATTCACTCGGCAGACCTGGTTAGGGTCACTAGCTATGAAGGGCCACCTAAGGCTAAGCAGAGGACAGTGGCAAGTCAGTCCAGTACATAATCACTGAGAACCGACTGGGTGAGCGTTCCAGGTTTGGTCCTGGTGAGGGATTTTTTTTTTTTTTTTGGATGATTAAGTAACACTCCTTGAGTTCTAATACCTAAAGATGTCAAGACTCAGATATGAAACAGGCCACTTCTAACGCAATGCTCACTGTGATGTGCCAGAAGAACTGCACTGATAGCAGGGCTAACCGGAAGAATGGAGGGGGAGGCTTCATGGAGAAGGCAAGGCTTGACTAGGTCTTGATGCTCGCATTAGGACAGGCAGAGAAAACAGGACCAGCCTGTGGTGATTAAGAGGCAGTAATGAGTTTGGGAGAAGTGAGGGGCCCAGTCCCCCATGAATGGAGGGCTGTGCTGGCAGAATATCACAAGGGGGTTTGTCTGAAGAGCTGTCTGAGAAACTCAAACTCAAAGCATTTTTTTTAATTCTCTTACTCAAAGACAATCGATCAACATAGAAGATTGCTGTGACCAAGTGTGTGGGGACTTCTTCCCACCAACAAGCAAGCAATCAATTCTGCAGTAGATACCAGCTGGGTGTCCTCCAACCCAGTTCAATTCTGACCCTACCTACCTGGGGACATTATCAGATCCCAGAGGTTGAGGCTCAGACCCAAATGACTGCCCCCACTTAAAGTGCCCATCTCAAGCCCCAGGCTGTTTCGCCTGTGCTTCTGACTCACTGGCTATAAACTGGGGATCCCATGACCTCCTCCTTGGGTTTGATTAATTTGCTAGAGCGGCTCACAAAACTTATTACTGGTTTATTATAAAGGATAGTACAAAGGACACAGATGGAGACGCACAGGACAAGGTATGGGTATGGAGCTCCCATACCTCCCCAGGTGCACCACCCCCCAGGAACCTCCACGTGTTCAGCCTTCCAGAAGCCCTCCAAACCCTGTCCTCTTGGGCCTTTTACACAGACTTCATTGAACAGGGATGACTGAAGCAGGGGCAACCATGCAGAAATATGATTGGACAAAAAGGACATGACCCAATACTAACAGACTGAGTGGGGAACCCAGAAAGGCCTGTCTGTTCAGATTCTTCTGGGCCGCTTGGTGCAACATTGCTTCCCCCAGGGTAAAGGGCAGAACCCCTCCTGAAATGAGGGTCTTATGATCTACAATCAGACAAGGTAAGTCTGAGAATTTCTTTATGGAAACACAGGGGAAGATTAGCCTTGGGGAGAAAAAGGAGCAGGTTGAAGGGAGAACAGGAGAAAGTCAGCAAGAGGTACTGTTTTCTGAGGCCTGCTTCTGAGGCCTAAAACACCCAAACACTGTAACAAGGGCTATGGGATTTATGGGCCAGGAACTGTGGACAAAACCAACATATATATCATAATATCACAGGCTGTGGTAAGCATTTTAGGATTGGGAAGTCCCTGAAGAACAAAAGGAGGAATTTGGACTTCTATCCTGTTGGAAGGCAGGGATGGAGTAAGTGGAAGCTTGACATGATGGCAGTGATTCATCTGGGATGGGTGTTGGAAGGATTGCCAGGGAGAGAAATTACAAGCCATGAGCTTCATCAAAAGACTGATGAAGGTAAACTACAGACTGTCCACTTTGGGTGATGATAATGTATCAGTGCAGGTTCATCAACTGTTACCAATGTACCCCCACGGTGCTGATGTTGATAATGGGAGAGGTGGGTTATGGGGAGCAGGGAAGCTCTGTACTTTCATTTTTGCTGTGAATCTAAAACTGCTCTAAAAAATAAAGACTATTAAAAAAAAAAAAAGAATGCTAGCCTGGGCAACATGGCAAAACCCCATCTCTGGAACAAAAACAAAAAAAAATGCAAAAATTAGCTGGGTTTCATGGCACGCACCCATAGTCCCAGCTACTCAGGAGGCTGAGGTTGGAGGATGGCTTGAGCCTGGGAGGCAGAGGTTGCAGCGAGCTGAGATCGTGCCACTACACTCCAGTCTGGGTGACAGAGTGAGATCCTGTCTCAAAGAATACAAATAAATGAATAAACAACAAGAAAAACTTGGACACAGGGCATGATTGAGAAAAGGGAGTCAAGGATGACTCACAGGCCGGGTGACTGGAAGAAGACTGGTGTTCCCAGAATGGGGAAGTTGGAAAAGGGGGGCTGTTTTGAGAGGTAAGAAAGAAACTGGAACATGTTAGGGTGTTGGGGACATCCAGACGGGAGAGACAGTCTTTAGGCGTCTGGAGAGCAGCTTGGGGCTGAGATAAGGAAAGGATACAGGGATGCAGATGAGAGAAAAAAATTCAACATTTAATGTTCTGCTTTTAAACAGAGAGAGAAATTCTCTTTTCTAAAGGAAAAGCATCGCAACTCACTGGAAATAACCCTCTTTCCTTCACGGTGCCTCTGTCATGAAGATCCACTGCTGAGGAGCAGTTTAGAGGGGAATGCCCCCCTAAAGTGAGCAGGATGAGCACAGTGAGTGGTAAAAGTAGTGTGAGGCATTTGACTCCAGACCACCTGGTTGTGAATTCACATTCTGCCCTTTCCCAAATTACTTCATCTCTGTGCTTCAGTGTTCTCATCTGTAAGAGGAGATAACTGCCTGCTTCATGATCTACTGTAAAGATCAAATGAGCAAGCATGGAGGCCTGTGCCTGGCTCCGACTGTGCCAGCTGCAGTCACTGTTCATTCTCAGACTTTCCCAGGACCCCCAATATGAAAAATGCTGAGGTGCCTTCCTCATGATCACAGAGCATTTGTTCCTTTACAAAAATTTTCTGTCTGGGCACGGTGGCTCATGCCTGTAATCCCAGTGCTTTGGGAGGCTGAGGCGGGTGGATCACTTGAGCCCAGGAGTTCGAGACCTGGGCAACATGACGAAACCCATCTCTACAAAAATACAAAAACATTAGCCAGGCATGGTGGTGCGTGCCTGTAGTCTCAGCCACTCAGGAGGCTGAGGTAAGAGATCACCTGAGCTCAGGAAGCTGCAGTGAGCCATGATCATATCACTACACTCCAGCCTGAGTGACAAAACAAGACCCTGTCTCAAAAAAAAAAAAAAAAATTCTCTTCAAGCATCTTTTTTGTCAGATAGGATAATAATGTTTAGGGAGCAGAATATTTTAAATCTAAATGCTCTGAAACTCAGCCACACTGTGGCCACTCCCTGCAAGAGTTGGATCATTTACTCACGGATGTCCAATGCCTGGCCTTGATCTAAGAAGCCTAAGATAAGTAACACAAGAAAGTCCTTTTAAAAAGTGGGTGAAATGTGGCCAGGTGCAGTGGGTCACGTCTGCAATCCCAGCACTTTGGGAGGCCAATGCGGGTGGATCGCTTCAGCTCAGGAGTTCGAGACCAGCCTGGCCAACCTGGCGAAAACCCGTCTCTACAAAAAAAAAAAAATACAAAAAATTTAGCCAGGTGTGGTGGCTCATGCCTGTAGTCCCAACTACTCCAGAGGCTGAGGCACGAGAATCGTTTAACCCTGGGAGGCAGAGGTTGCAGTGACCCACGATTGCGCCACTGCACTCCAGCTTGGGCGACAGAGAGAGAGATTCTGTCTAAAATAAATAAATAATTTTTAAAATAACAGAAGTGGGTGAAATGCCAAAGTTATTATTCTTAAACTCTTACTTGCTGGCAATAATGACTGTAATCCAAGGGCATTTGACATGTGTCTGTCTACAGACTCAGTTTGGCAAAGTCCTCAAAATAGACGCCACCGTTTTTCAAGGTTTCCCAACCACTAGTGAAGCAAGGTGACTAGCAAATCGCAGCATCCGGTCTGCGTCTGGTTGTAAATCTTTAAGCTGATTTCCCAACATAGGAAGTTTCCTGTGTGTTTAGACAGAAAGAGCTCAGTTTCTCAGGGTCTGATCATCTGCAGACAAGCTGATGAAGAGACCCCAAGTTGTTTGCTGTGAGATTCCAGAGCCCAGAGCTACAGTAACACTGCCTGCCCCCTAATCCAGACAGTGACCTTCGGGGGCAGCAGGAAGAGCACATCTTCTCCCCAGCTCTTCCAAACGCCACTCTACAATAAGAGCTGCTACATCAGTGAGAAAGGGGAAGATAATTACAGTGTGATAGAAAACTCTTTTGTGTGTGTTTGTATTTATAACTTCTAAGGAGTGTTGGTTCCCTACATATAAAGCCCGTTGTTCTGCCCTGTACTTTGACTTGGGTTTGTAAGTTGAAGAGAGGAACTGGGGAGTATCCATAGTTACAGAGGAAGAAGACTGGAGCTCACGGACAAGTGAGGGGGATGGAGTGAGGGGTAGGGATGAGAGGAGGAAAGAGGGACCCAGGAGACTATGCAAGATCAGGAGCCCCACAGGGGACTCCAGTGAAGTCCACTCAACTAACAAAACACATGGTAGTAGTGGTGGTGGATTTCTCCATCCATGAGGGAAGGGGCTGAGTTTGTGTCGGGGCTGACACCAAGGTAAAAAAGAAAGCACATGAGGCCTCCCCCATCCACCCCCTCCTCCAGGGAATTCGCAGAAAACCTGGGCAGGGCTTTGGATTTCCCTGGGCCGGGCTTTGGATTTACCTGGGCCATGGACCTGTGGGTTCTCACCAAGCTTAATCAGCTCTCTAAGGAGATTAAGGAACCCGGAGTTAAAAGATGACACCGGGGTTAAAAAAGAATGTGTGATTCTTCCCCAAAAGTAATTAAACAGTTTGATTGCACTATTTAGCATCAAATGCCACAGGAATGCACTGAAAAGCAAAGAATTAGGGAGTACCCATCCCCATTTGTGTTCACAGGCCTTATACAGCTCAAGTTCTTCCAATGAAATGTGGTAAAGTGGGACTGAAACAAACAACTGCAGTTGATAATTCTTGCATACCTCCCCAGACACACCCCCACTTCTTTCAAGGTTCCAGGACAGTCAAGCTTGTGCGGTGTAATCCCCCCTGACCCTCTCCCATCTGCCCACACCCCTGGCCCTGCCACCAGACTCAGCCATTTCTATGGACACATGGCAGGACTGGAGTGACACGTTCTGATGTACTTTAAAAGACTGCTCTGTCTGCTTCTGGAAATTGGATCGGAGGGGAACAAAGTGGAACCAGAGAGACTCGATCAGAAGCTAATAGGAAAGTAACAATGGCAACCTGAGATTCGGGGCAAGGGGGTACTGAATTGGAGAATCAAGCAAGACCTTCAGAGAGCTCAGAAGTGGGCTGAAGATGAGAAACGGCTCCTAGGTTTCTGGTCTAAACAAACAAATGGAAGGCATAGGCCTTCATTCAGATGGGGAAGGCTGGAGGAGACGGTGCTGGGGTGAGTAGGCAAGCCGAGGAGGAGTGACCCAAGGCTACAGAAGCCAAGTTTCCAAGCCCTAATCTGCACAGTGCACCACCACGTTCCCACATCTCGCTTTGTATTCTCAATTCTATGTTCCTTTTCTTACAGAGGACCCCAAACTATGTAAGTGTTAGGCCCTTACAAAACTGGGGAGAGGATCAAGTATTGGGCAAGTTAATATGAAATGTCTGTGACAAACCCAAGAAGCCACAGTCAAATTCAATGTTAAATATCTAAACCTGGAGCTCTCAAGAGAGCTAGATATCCACACCAGGGAATTAGTAGTTTATTAACAACACTTAAAGTCATAGAATGAAACCAGCTTGTCCTGAGTGTGTCATAGCCTCTGGATCACCCAGGAATAAGATACAAGTCCCTAGGTCTCATCCTAGAACTACTGAATTGGAATACTGAGACCCAGAAATCTGCCTTAACAAGTTTTGCAGATAATTCCTATGCACAGAAATGTTGGAAAACCACAGATCTAGGGAGAAAACATAGAGAAAAGAAGAGGGCTCAGAACAGGCCCCAAGGAGCTGTCAATTGGAGGAATCAGAGAAACCAGAGAAACAAGCAAGGGAATGGAGCAGAGTGGCCAGATGAGTAGAGGAAAGGTGAGGAGTTCGGCATGATGAAGACAAAAATGTACAAAGAGGGTCGGAGGAGCCTGAAAGACTGCATCAGAGGGCAATGAGCCCTTGGATGGGAAGCTGTGTGCAGGCAGGGCCAGGCAGGCCACACTGAACCATGTGCAAGTAGAGAAGCCCCAGCCAGAGAAACAGCGACGGGGAGTTAGAGGACTTGGGCCTTGGGAGAGGAGTGAAAGTGCAGCTTCAGTTTTTGACTTTCCAGTTCCAAGCAGTTGCCTTTGAGTTGTCTGCAGTATCCTTACATTAAGCCCCCAACTCCAATGCTAACTTAGGAAAGTTTCTCTTCTTTAAAACCAGCAACAGCTGAAGCACAAAGGGATGAATTTGCAAGAATACTGTAATCTTGAAAGAATCATGACAAAGCCTTTCAAAGACTTTAGGGGATCTGCCACCAACAGAGTTGAAGCTAACGCATTCTAATTCTTAGTAGCTGATTTTAGCTGAGGAGGATTCTTAATCAATGTGTTACCTCTGATCTCCCTTCCTTTAGGGTCCTCTCATTCTCTCTCTCATTTCTGAGACCATCAGAAACAGGTTTTTTGTTTTTGTTTTTGTTTTTGTTTTTAGATGGAGTCTCACTCTGTCGCCCAGGCTGGAATGCAGTGTGATTTCGGCTCACTGCAACCTCCGTCGCCCTCCCATCATGTTGGCCATGCTGGTCTCAAACTCCGGGCCTCAGGTGATCCACCCGCCTCGGCCTCCCAAAGTGCTGGGATTACAGGCATGAACCACCCTGCCAGGCCAGAAATAGATTTTGCCTAGTGATGGCAAAACTGGGGTCAGAACTCCAAGCCCAGCCTTTGTGGGTATGCAGCAAAAGTGGTCACCAGGGAGCAGGGAGTACCAGAAACCGAGGGTGCACCCCGCAGAAAGCAGCCACGCTGGTGAAAACAAAGAATAAGAGTGCACAACACACAAGACGAGTAAGGTATTACCCGAGGGTCCTGGGCAATACGTAGGCCAGGCTGGGGCGTACTGTGCTTAAGAGAGAAGCTGTACAAAAACGTGAAAGAGGAGGCTTGCTGCACACAGAGGGAGACCATGTGAATGGAAACACAGTGCTGAGGTGGGGTTGTCTTGGGGCTGCAGAGGTGGCCCCCATTGTCACTGCTGGTGCCAGCCTGCGTAGAGTCCATCTCCTGCCTGCAAAGGAGTTGGCTCTCAAGGTCACGTCAGGGCAAGTGCCCTACACTGATGAGAGCTGTGTAAGATTCTGGGCCCACACAGCTTGAGATGGGTCTTTCTGTTTCTCTGATACCCAGAGAACTTTGACCACATGCTAAAGGGACCTTTGCAGAATCAAGGAAGCATAAAAAGGCACAAAGAAGGAAAATGCACACCTGAGATGGAAAATGGGAAGGGAGATTGGAAAAAAAGGAGATGAAAATAACCTCACACCACTGATGTCAAAGTTAAAATGCTCTGAGGTATTTTACAAAGCCCTGGTTGTCTATGGTATAAGGGAAAAAACGTATGACCCAGTCCCCAAGTTACAGCCTTTTATAATCTACATGGATTATGTTTGAGGATCAGAAGTGGTAACCTCAGAGTCCTATGCCTAACGATGTACCCAGTATGACTTTTAAATTTTTCCCTTAATAAAAAACTTTTAAATCAGAGAGAGTGCATTTTGACTCTAAAAGCAAACTCAATGGTGGGACTCTTAAAATAAAGTACTGGAAAAAAAAATGGGTATGGGAACAGCTGTGGCTCAAATCCTGTCTCCTCCATTTGTTCAAGTCATGAAATATCTCTGAATTGTCGAAAATGTCTGTAGCATCTCCTATATCACAGGAATAATGAGATAATGTAAACTGAAGTACCCAGGACAGTGTGTGGTACATGGTTGAGTACTAAATAGATGTTTCCATCTCCTTCCTAAAACATGCCATGCCAAATAAACACAAAATGTTCCTGGAAGCATGTCAGAAAGCCTTGTCACACTCCTTGGACACAGGACTTGTCCTGGGTGAAGTCTGTCTTTGGCCTTTGGTGCCCCCTTTGGTTCCCCCTCACCCTCTTTTTTGTTCTCTCATCCCCAGGAATCCAAGGCTTCTTAAGGCACAGCACCTTGGAAGCTATTAGGAATTTAGTAGGCATTTCCAGCCTGAATCTAAAAAGGAGCTCAAGACTTCCCTTTCCTATCTTCCTAAGGGATTCGGACCACATAGGGAAAAGAAAAAATCAAGGACATGACATCTGTAGTTCATTATAAATTCTGCCTTGCCAGCCACCTTTCTTGAGCACAAGAGAATATACACATTTAACTATACCAATGAGTAACATAAGATCTGGCCTTGTTAATGCCAGAAAGCCTGGTTAGACATACACTCTGTGTGTGGTTTTTGGGGGGATTTGGGAAGGGATAGTGATGCTGAGAAAACACCAATGAATACCAATGATGAAGTAACATAACTAGTTTTAAGCTATACTCAGAAAACACAACTAAACTGAGAGATGATGGCTTTTTTTTTTTTTTTTTTTTTTTTTGGAGACAGAGTATCACTCTGTCACCCAGGTTGGAGTGCAGTGGTACAATCTCGGCTCACTGCCACCTCCACCTCCCAGGCTCAAGTGATTCTCCCATCGCAGCCTCCCGAGTAGCTGGGACTACAGGTGCTCGCCACCACACCTGGCTAATTTTTGTATTTTTAGTAGAGATGGGGTTTCGCCATGTTGGCCAGGCTGGTCTCGAACTCCTGAGCTCCAGTGATTCACCCACCTTAGCATCCCAAAATGCTGAGATTACAGTGAGAGACACGGTGCTCGGCCTAATTCTTTTAAAGCACTTAAAGACCACGAAATCCAGGGTAAATCACCCTTCTGAATTAAGCAATACTCTTGCTGCATACATCCTGCCTTCAGAGATGGAGGCTGGGATAAACCTTTTAAAATAAGTAGCAGAAAAGGCAACTGGGAACACTCACCTGGAAATTCAGAGGACCAGGTCTTCCACTCTAGCAGAGACCACCCCTCCCTAGGCAGTTCAGCTGGGAGGCTCTAGGCAGGAGGGCCCTGTTAATACTTCAAATCATTTTGTTATTTTTTTCCACAGGTCTTAAGTATTATTTTATTTCAGGATAACAGACTTATTATCTTTAAAAATAAAAGATTTAGGGCTAGATGTAGTGGCTCATGCCTGTAATCCTAAACCCTTTGGGAGCCAAGGCAGGAGGATCCCTTGAGGCCAGGAGTCTGAGACCAGCCTGGGCAACACAGCAAGACACAGTCCCTACTCCCCTAAGCCAAAAAAAAAAAAATTATTATTTTGGCACTTTGTTTTATTTTTATTTATTTTTGAGACAGAGTCTCGCTCTGTTGCCCAGGCTAGAGTGCAGTGGCATAATCTCTGCTCACTGCAACCTCTGCCTCCCAGGTTTAAGCAATTCTCCTGCCTCAGCCTCCCGAGTGGCTGAGATTACAGGCATGCACCACCATGCCCAGCTAATTTTTGTATTTTTAGTAGAGATAGGGTTTCACCATGCTGGCCAGCCTGGTCTTGAACTCCTGACCTCAGGAGATCCACTCGCCTCGGCCTCCCAAAGTGCTGGGATTACAGGCGTGAGCCACCATGCCCGGCTTTTCTATTCTTTTTAAAAGTTTTTTTGAAAACAGAGACAGGGTCTCACTATGTTGCCCAGGCTGATCTCAAATTCCCAGGCTCAAGCAATCCTCCCACCTCAGCCTCCCAAAGGGCTGGGATTACAGGTGTGAGCCACTGCACACAGCCTGCACTTTTTATACTTTAAAATTATTTCAAAGTTTGGGGAAAAAAATAGAAATATAGGCCAGATGCGGTGGCTCACACCTGTAATCCCAGCAGTTTGGGAGGCCAAGGCGGGCAGATCACGAGGTCACGAGTTCGAGACCAGCCAACACGGTGAAACCCTGTCTCTACTAAAAATATAAAAATTATCTGGGTATGGTGGTGCTCACCTGTAATCCCAGCTACTGGGGAGGCTAAGGCAGAAGAACTGCTTGAACTTGGGAGGCAGAGGTCGCAGTGAGCTGAAAAAAAAAATCAGAGGCCAGGCACAGTGGCTCACACCTGTAATCCCAGCACTTTGGGAGGCTGAGGCAGGTGGATCACAAGGTCCACCAGCCTGACCAACATGGTGAAACCCCGTCTCTACTAAAAATACAAAAATTAGCTGAGTGTGGTGGCACATGCCTGTAATCCCAGCTACTCAGGAGGCTGAGGCAGAAGAATCGCTTGAACCCGGGAGGCAGAAGTTGCAGTGAGCCGAGATCGCACCACCGCACTCCAGCCTGGGCAACAGAGCGAGACTCCATCTCAAAAAAAAAAAATTGCTGAAATCCTCCATAATGCCATTCCCTTTCCCTTTCTAATCTCACTCTCCACAGGTAATGACTGTCTACAATTAGGGGCATATCATCCTTCCAGATTTTTTCAAAAAATAAGATTGTATTTCTCCCACTGTTCTTCCACTTTGCTTTCATTACTTAATATACAGTATAGGTTGAATTGTGTCCTGCCAAAATGCATATAGTAAAGCCCTAACCCCCAGTGTGTTGGTATTTGGAAACAGGGCCTCTGATGGGGTGATTAGGTTTAGATGAGGTTAAAAGGGTGGGGCCCTCGTGATGGGACTGGTGAGACACCAAGCGGAGATACCAAGAGCTTGTTCTCTTTCTCTCTTTTTCCACCATGTGAGGACGCAGCACGAAGGCGGCTGTCTGCAAGCCAGGGAGAGAACTCTCAGTAGGAAACAAATCAGCCTGCATTTCCCAGCCTCCAAAACCCTAAGAAATAAACTTCTGTTGTTTAAGCCACCCAGTCTATGGCATTTTGTTATGGCAGCCCAAACTGACTAACATAATGCATAATGAACATTTTCCATTTTGGCTCATTTGGAGCAACTTCCTTTTTTCAAGTAGGCAAGTATTTCAGAGGGATAAGGTCCTAGAAGTGGAAGTACTGATCAGAAAGTATGCAAACTTTAAAATGTTATAAATACTGCTAACGTGCCTTTCCAAGAGATGGTACCAATTTACACTCTCCGCCATATATAGTGACAATCTATTTTCCCACACCTTCGTCAACACTGGATATTACAAACCTAAGCAAAAAGGTTTCATGGTTTTTAATCCACACTTATCTGATTATTAATAAGATTAAGCATTTTTACATATATATGTGAATTACCTATGAATAGCCTTTGCCCATATTCCTGCTGGATTGTTTTTCCTATTGATTTCTAAGAGTTCATGCCTGTTATAGATATTGCAACTATTTGCTTTACTCCTTTGTCATCTGCCCTTTTTTTTGAGACTGAGTCTTGCTCTGTTGCCCAAGCTGGAGTGCAATGGCACGATCTCGGCTCATGCAACCTCCACCTCCCGAGTTCAAGTGATTCTCTTGCCTCAGTAACTTGGATTACAGGCACCTGCCACCATGCCCAGCTAATTTTTGTATTTTCAGTAAAGATGGGCTTTCACCATGTTGGCCAGGCTGGTCTCGAACTCCTGACCTCAAGTGATCCACCTGCCTCGGCCTCCCAAAGTGCTGGGATTACAGGCGTGAGCCACCGCGCCCAGCCCTGTCATCTGCCTTTTAACTTTGTTTATGGTATTAATATATTCTTCCTTACTTTTTAAAAAATGTGTTACATATATATCTATAATATATATAATATCCATAAGCATATACTAAGGCACATAAAGCAACATATAGAGCCAGCTTTATGAAATAAGAGGTGAGAGAGAGGCGGCAGAGGTGCAGCCATTATTTCTTGATATTTTACATGTATTTCTAAAAATATTACTTATAACTAAGGAGAGACAAACAAAGGGGCAGGTATGGAAGGCCCTGAAAAATCTGTTTCCTGCAGAGGAAGAAAGATGTGAGGAAAGAAGGAAGGAGGATGACCTGGGGGAAATCCCACCTGCCAGTCTGCAGTGGGGAAGGACAGATTGGGGGTGCCTGAGCTGTGAAGATGGGAAATGTAGCCAAAGTTCATGTTCAAATAAACTACTAGACATGAAGTATAATCTTTCATGAAATTAGGTCTATCAATATTTTCCTTTATGGTCTCTGAATTTTATTAAACTTGAGGTCTTTCCTACACCAAAGTTATTTCTAAAAACCATCTTCTGGCCAGCTGCGGTGCCTTATTCCTGTAATCCCAGCACTTTGGGAGGCCGAGACGGGCGGGTCACGAGGTCAGGAGTTCAAGACCAGCCTGGCCAAGACGGTGAAACCCTGTCTCTACTAAAAGTAAGAAAATTAGCCAGGCATGATGATGGGTGCCTATAACCCCAGTTACTTGGGAGGCTGATGCAGAGAACTTATTGAACCCAGGAGGCAGAGGTTGCAGTGAGCTGAGATTGTGCCACTGCACTCCAGCTTGGGCGACAGAGCGAGACTCCGTCTCAAAACAACAAAAAGCTCTTTAAAACCATCTTCTATATTTACATATATTTTAATATTTATAATTTTGGTTTTGACATTTAATCTTTAAATGGAATTTACTTTTGTGAATGGTATGAGTCAGGGATCTAATCTTTTCCAAATTGAGAGGCAATTTTCCCAAGACTTAGTAACAGTCCATTTTATCATACACTCAATTCCTGTCTTTACAATGGAACCATTTCTCGACTTTCTATTCATAGTCCCAAATGATATATACTTTCTAAAATTTTTTTTAGACATGGGGTCTATGTTGCCCAGGCTTGTCTTGAACTCCTGGCCTCAAGCAATCCTCAGCTTCAGCCTCCCAAAGCACTAAGATTACAGGCGTGAGCCACCACGTCCTACCTACCTGATATATTTTGATAGCTGGCTGAACAAGCCTCTCCTCAATATTCTTTTTCAAAAATGTATTGCCTACAAGTACAAATCTATTTTCCAGGTAAGCTTTATTATTATCAGTTTGTAAAATTTAAGTCGTGTTAAAAGTCTGGCCTAAACTATTAAAGGTCTCATTACCTCTTAGGCTTTTCTTATTTTTCTTATTATTAGTATTTCTTTTTAGAGTTGGGGTCTCACTGTGTCACCGAGGCTGGAGTATAGTGGTGAGATCATGGCTCACTGCAGCCTCCAGCTCCTAGGCCCAAGTGATCCTCCTACCTCGACCTCCCAAGAAGCTAGGACTACAGGTGTGTGCCGCCACACCCAGCTTTTGCCCAAGCTGGTCTCAAAGTCTTGACCTCAAGCAATCCTCCCACCTCAGCCTCCTCAGTCACTAAAATTACAGGTGTGAGCCACCAGAACCCAACTCTTTTAGTCTTCTTTTGTCGTTGGAGCATCACCCTTCAGCCAGGAGATGGCTTACTTCCCAGTGAGCCACATACTATGCAAAAATCTCAGACTTCAGGGAATTTGGGGGTTATTTGTATTTATTTATTTATTTATGAGACAGAGTCTAATTCTGTTGTGCAGGCTGCAGTACAATGGTGCAATCACAGCTCACTGCAGCCTCAACCTCCTGGGCTCAAGCGATCCTCCCACCTCAGCCTCTTAAGTAACTGGGACTACAGGCATGCGCCACCACACCCGGCCCAGGGAATTTTGTTTGAATTTCTAAATCTCTTAGCAAAAACTTTCCAATACGACAATTCTACCAAGAGGTCTGAATGGCTGCCTGTGCCTCAACCAATGCATGTCTGCAACATTCCTCTTCTTCTCCCCAAACAGCTTTTCTTTTCCTGGCTCACATCTCTCCGAGTTGTAGATTCCCATACCAAATCAGAGTAAAGTGGCTCAGCTAACAGGATCACATGCCAAACGATGTCGTATTTTGACAGGCACTTCCAGGCAGCTTTGCTGGCCTCATGCATTGGACAGCTTGGTGAGAGAGCTGGGGGTCTCTGGCAATTCGTAATTGATTGATCTGGCACCACTTAATCCACAGGGAACTATCAGGCTATAATGGAAAGAATATGAGACTGGAAGTTCAGGAACCTGAGTTTGAGTCCCGTTTTTACCTCTAATTAGCTGTGTAGTTCAGATTAAGTTATTCTGCCTCTCCATTGGGCCTTGGTAGCCTCATTTGTAAAATGAGATTATTAGAATAAAATGGTGAATAATGACTTTCTTTCCACCATGGGTGACCACGTAAGAATCTGAAGAAAGCTACAGATTCTCTCCCCCAGAATAATGCACTTTTGCAGATGAATATGAAATCAGGCTGGCCACAGTAGCTCACACCTGTAATCCCAGCACTTTGGGAGGCTGAGGTGGGTGGATCACTTGAGCTCAGGAGTTCAAAACCAGCCTGGGCAACATGGCAAAACCCCATCTCTACAAAAGTATCAAAAAAAAAAGTAAAAATGACATCATATATTTGAAAGGGGTTCACAGATCTGATAAAGACTATTTCCCTGTCCCCAGAGGCAAGATCACTGAGGCCTAGCACAAGATTTTAAAAATAACAGAGACTACAATAGAAATACATACTGAATCACAAAGCCTTGAGTAAAGTTGAATCACTTGTAGAACTAAAAGCATCTCTTCTGCAGAAACTGGGAGCAAGGAGTAGTTACTTAGGGAAAAATAAATGTAAGTATCAATAGGAGTTGCCCTTGACTGAAGCCTGGCTAAGCCCTTTACATTCGCAGGTGGGTGGCTGAGAGTTACTACTGATTCCAGACCCAGGCTCCTAGTTCAAATTTTGGCTCTCGCATTACTAGTTGTTTGACCTTGGGCTTTGTGCCTCAGTTTCCACATCTGTAAAAAGAAAGAAGAAGGGGAGAAAAACAATACCTATCTCAAGGGTTGTTAACGTACTTAGGACACTTGTAACAGGGCCTACCACACAGTAAGCCCTAGATAACTATTAGCTTATAACAGAAATCTGACACACATTTGTTGGGTAGTTAAAACTGTAAGCTGAGTTTAGAGAAATCATAAATACTCTGATGGCTTAGTTTCCCCAGAGGTAAACTGAAGACAGTAACAGAATCTGCTTCATAAGTCTGTTGTGATGCTTAATGAGACTGCCACATAAAAACTCTTTCACAATGCCTGGCCCATAATTAAGTGCTCGATAATGTCACGATGCCTGGAATATAGTAAGCACTCGATAAATGTCAGCTGTTGTATTAACAGTTCTGGGAAGCAAAGATTACCATCACCCTTTTTTATTTCTGAATAACAGGCAACTCAGAGAGTGTTAAGTGCCCCGCCAACAAAACTATACTTAGAAAATTATTATACCAAGATTTCAACTCAGATGGGTCTGGAATCACAAGTTCTAACCACTACACTATATACCTTCCTCTTTGAACAGGGCTTAGAGAACAGAAGAGCTAATTCATACCTACCAGATTACTAAGAAAAAGATGTTTGGAGATAACAATGCTAAATTTGGGGGATTCCCCACAGAGTCAACCATGAGCTTGGCCAAAAGCCCTTCTCCGCCATGCTAGGAAATGAAAATCTGCATAGACTGGCCCCTGTTCTCAACCAGTTGTCTGCCTTTCACCAAGTGGTTGTGAAACCACAGCCCTGTCACTAAAAACGGAAAAAAGAAGTTATTTTCCCCAGTAACTTAACGAGCAAAATGAAGCCTTAAAATGAAAGTAGTGATCCTAGGGCTGAGAAAAGATATCCACTGCTCCAAAGCCCAGCAGAATTGCTGTAGAACACCAACGTTACTCTTTGATTAACATACTTTTATTTTTTTTAATGAACGTGCTTATTTCTATTACTTTAGGTTACCTAACTCAGGGGTCCTTCCCATTAGTAAAATAAGAGGAAGTGTGTACCAGCCTGGAGGGGAGACTCCCTGGTGGGGCACAGTGTCAGCCTGAGCAAGTCCCACTGTCAACACTGATGTCCTCCCCAGTTAAATGGTAATCAAAAGTGAGAATGAAATGGACTGGTAGAAGAAACAGGACGACCAGTTGAGTCCATGCTAATCACTGATATTTCACATCTTCACACAGTTTCTTCTAAATGTATTTTATTTTTGTATTTTTATTAAAAACTGCCCTATCAGTCAATCTCAAGTCTACCCTTCCTTTAAAAAATAGTAATAAAAGGCCGAGCGCAGTGGCTCACCCCTGTAATCCTAGCACTTTGGGAGGCCGAGGCAGGTGGATTGCTTGAGCTCAGGACTTCCAGACCTGCCTGGGGCAACATGGCAAAACCCTGTCTCTACAAAAAAAATACCGAAGTTAGCCAGGGGTGTGGTGGCCCGCACCTGTGGTCTCAGCTACTAGGGAGGCTGAGGTGGGAGGATCACTGAAGCCTGGGAGGTGGAGTTTGCAGTGAGCCAAGATCGCACCACTGCAATCCAGCCTGGGTGACAGAATAATACCTTGTCTCAAAAGAAAAAGAAAAAAGTAAATAATATTAAGAATAATGAAGGTCCAGCTATGTACCTACCTTAGGAATAGGCATCACTGGAAGTGATGGCAGAGGCAAGGCAGGAGTCCCTGACCTCACCTCCATTCTCTCACTGAGGAGCCCCTGCAGAAGCTGGTCAACTATCCAAGCAGTCCCTGCTTCTTCCTGGCGAAGGCCTCAGCCTCCAGCCCAGCCCCCTCCTGGGAGAGGAGGGGGAGCTTATGCAATCCAAACCCAGTTCCCAGGCCCCAGAGGTGGACATAACTCCGGGGTGGAAGTCAGAAGCCTGCCAGGTTGTAGGCCTGGTTCTGCTCCCATCTGGCTGAATGATCCTGGTCCCAACACTCAGCGTCCCTCGGCCTTAGCCTCCCTGTCTGTAAAATGAAAGGTTTGATGGAGATCATGTGCAAGCCTCCTCCCCGTTCTAATTTTCTGATACCATCATTTTTAACGTGTCTTGTAGAGATAGAAGCCCTTCCTTTCAGCAGGACATGTTGCTCCCCATTCCGTGACGATCCCCCTCAATAATCCGTGTAATTTGAGAAAAGTATGATGCATCGGAACTGAAAAACAGGCTGTTGCTTTCCTGGTCACCAAATCTGATAATCAGTCAATTATATGGATTTTCCCCTGGGCCTTCTCCCTCAATCCCACAATCCCACGAATAAACCTGCCTACCCCTCCCAATTCCTCAACTCAAGGCTACCCGTTAATGAATGAATAAAAAAATAAATAAATAAATTTTAAAAACCACCTCCCCACCCCCTTCTACCCGGCCTGGTGTAAGGTGCCACAGCACTTCTTCCGTAATCTAGAATCCACCTCTGCCCCACCCTCTCCCCGGGGTGTCTTTTTAGCCAAGAATCCCTGGATCGACGCGCTCCATCTCCCCGCTCTACCGCGCTGATCATTTCTCCCTGCCCGGCACACCTCGGCTGAAAAGGAGGCGGCTCCTCTGCTCCAAGCCCAAGGGACCCAAACCTCTTTCCAGCCCGCAAGGGTGCGGGCACCTGGGAACAGCGGGAAGGGCCCGCGCCTCTGGAAAGAAGGGCCGCCGTCCCCACCTGGGCGGTGCAGGGGAGGCCCCCTCAGCGGGTCTCTTGTCACTTACGGGCGGCTCCTCCGGGCAGAACAGAGCAGGGCCGGGCCGAGCCGGGCTTGCGGGCCGCGGAGTTTGCTGACTCAAAGGCGCGCGGCGGCAGCGGCGGCGGCGAGCGCCCAGGAGCGCACACGAGCGCAGCCCCGCGCTCCCCGCGCTCCCCGCGCTCCCCGCGCACGTAGCGGCCCCGCGCCCGCGCTCAGCGCCAGCCGTCCGCCTGTGGGCGCCGCGCCTAGTGCTTCCGCCGCCTCCGCGCAGCCCAGCCCAGGTGCGCCCCCACCCTGCAGAGCTAGCCTCCTGCTTCCTGAAATTGAGTTAGGGAGGAAATGCCCCCATTAGTCCGGACGTTGAGGCTGGAGGTGCTCCAGCGGCACCCTTCGGAATTCGCCACCTGAGTCACCTTAAGCTTCCTAACCCTGACCCCACAGTTATGGGGAGGATTGCCGATGGGGAGGAGGACGGATAAATAACGTGATAAACAAGAATGGCAGAATGTTCATAGCATCTAGGTGGTGGGCTATGGTGTTTATATAAAATTATTTCAGTTTTTGTCTATGTTTGAAATGTCTCAATAAAACATTTGGGGGGAAAGCTAATGAGATCTGCCAAGGGACCTGACTGAGGAAAGCATTTCCCAAATGGCACCTGAGGCTGGGTCCCCACACCTGTTTGCATGGGAAACCACAATCATCACTTAAACTGCTAATAAGTGACTGAATGACACAGAATAATAAGCATAGCCTAATATTTCATTTTTCAAGCATGAATTTTCCCATTAGATACAGCTTGTCGCTGATCATCCTCCAGGGACCATTCCAGGCCCACCTGAAAACGCATCTGTTCACCACACCTACATTAACTCCCTAACAAAACGTATAAATATACAATGTTGTGTCTTAACATCTTGGATCTTGAAGTTGTATTGCTGAACCCTCAATCACTGGTATTTAATTTCCTAAAATTGCACCCAAGTCATGACACACAAGTGAATGCAACCATGATCACTTTTGAAAATCAAATTAAGCTGGTGTGGTGGCTCACGCTTGTAATCCCAGCACTCTGGGAGGCCGAGGCGGGTGGATTACAAGGTCAGGAGATGGAGACCATCCTGGCTGACATGGTGAAATGCCGTCTCTACTAAAAATACAAAAACTTAGCTGGGCGTGGTGGCGCGCGCCTGTAATCCCAGCTACTCGGGAGGCTGAGGCAGGAGAATAGCTTGAACCCGGGAGGCAGAGGTTGCAGTGAGCCGAGATCATGCCATTGCACTCCAGCCTGGGCGACAGAGCAAGATTCTGTCTCAAAAAAAAAAGAAAGAAAATCAAATTAAAGTGTATTTTTTATATTCTTGTCCCTATGCTCCGCAAAGAAAAACATTGAGTAGAAAACAAAATGCAGCATGTATCTAAGATCCTAAGAGATTCTGTAAAATTAAAATCTTTCTGAACTTATTGTCAAGAGCATGACTTTACAGCTGTAGACAAAGCAGCAACAAACCCTTGGAGAGTCTACTGAAAGTCATTTGAATATCTGTTAGAATTTTGACCCTATTAAGACTGGTAACTTGGGCCGGGCGCGGTGGCTCACGCCTGTAATCCCAGCACTTTGGGAGGCCGAGGCGGGCGGATCACGAGGTCAGGAGATCGAGACCATCCCGGCTAAAACGGTGAAACCCCGTCTCTACTAAAAATACAAAAAATTAGCCGGGCGTAGTGGCGGGCGCCTGTAGTCCCAGCTACTTGGGAGGCTGAGGCAGGAGAATGGCGTGAACCCGGGAGGCGGAGCTTGCAGTGAGCCGAGATCCCGCCACTGCACTCCAGCCTGGGCGACAGAGCGAGACTCCGTCTCAAAAAAAAAAAAAAAAAAAAAAAAAAGACTGGTAACTTGCAACCTGAATCCAGGAAACTTAAGTGATGGTCACCTTTTTTAGGTTGTGGCATTTTTGTTATACCATCAGTGGGATTGGGTAAAAACTGGGACTCTACGGTGGTTAAGAAACCTTGCCTACTGGCTGGGCTGGTGGCTCACGCCTGTAATCCCAGCACTTTGGGAGGCCGAGGCAGGTGGATCATCAGGAGCTTGAGACCCGCCTGGCCAACATGGTGAAAGCCCCATCTCTACTAAAATACAAAAATTAGCCGGATATGGTGGTGCGTGCCTGTAATCCCAGCTTCTTGGGAGGCTGAGACAGGAGAATCACTTGCACTGGGAGGCAGAGGTTGCAGTGAGCCAGGATCCCGCTACTGCACTCCAGCCTGGGTGACAGAGTGAGACTCTCTCTCTCAAACAAAAAAAAAAGAAAGAAACTCTGCCTACTGAGAAGATCACCATAACATTGCTTTTAAAAACAAACATCAAAATTCTTAATAGATGAGCATTTTAACCCTGAGAAGACTGAAAATTGAGTATGAGATGTGTGAAAGATTCAAGCCTGAAATATTAATATTTTGTTTTAAGGAATCTGGGCACATTTGGAATTCTATGTGCATGTTAATGTGTAAGACAACTTGGCCTACTGGAGTAACCATTTGCCTTGTACTTTAAGTTTTAAAATGTGTAATTTAATAGCTGGATACTAATGAGTTGAAGATAGTCTTATTAACTTAATAAAGTGTTGGAACACTCACTACAATTTAAGATTTACCACATTTATAAATTTAATTTATTAGATGTTGAGTTACTTGTTAATCAGACAATTAAAGACCTTTACAAGGGAAACAAATATATTAAATTCACGAATGAAGTTTAAAATGTTTAGAGGTGATTAAGTTAATGGGATCAAACATTAATCAAATGCCTTTTTGGTTGTTAAAGTTTGCTAGAGTTATAAATGGAATAAGATCACGTGTGATATTGTAAAATA
The DNA here is from genome assembly GCF_000001405.40 of Homo sapiens. Classification (NCBI taxonomy): domain Eukaryota; kingdom Metazoa; phylum Chordata; class Mammalia; order Primates; family Hominidae; genus Homo; species Homo sapiens. Next base: position 26,289,235 of record NC_000007.14, on the reverse strand, counting down.
TGTATTTGGTCATCATCCCCATTTCCTGGTATAAAATTCTTAAAATCCTTAGAATCTCCAAAGTGATTTTTTTTGTATGCTAATGAGTTGACTGGTGGCTGGCAGCCCCTAGGTAGCTTCAGGAAGGGGCTAGTCACTGGAAAGACCACACCCTGATTAGAGGGTCAGTACTTCCAGCCCCATTCCGCAATTTCTGTGGGGTGGGGAAGGGCTGAAGATTGAGTTGATCACCAATGAACAATGGTTTAATCAATCATGCCTACATAATGAAGCCTCCATAAACACACAAGAGGACAGGGTTCAGAGAGCTTCAGGATAGCTGAACATTTACAGGTGTATGGAGGGTGGTCCACCTGAGAAGGGCATGGAAGCTCCATGCCCCTTCCCCCATGCCTCGCTCTATGCATCACTTCATCTGTATCCTTTGTACCATCTTTCTGATAAATGTATCTGTTTCCCACAGTTCTGTGAGCCACTCTAGCAAATTATTTGAACCTAAGGAGGGGGTCATGGGATCCCCAATTTATAGCTGATCAGTCAGAAACACAGGTAAAACCGCCTGAGCGGAGCTTGCAATTGTCATCAGAAGTGGGAGGAGGCAATCTTGTGGGATTGAGCCCTCAACCTGTTGGATCTGACACTGTCTCCAGGTAGGTGGTGTCAGAATTGAACCGGGGACGGGCGCAGTGGTTCATGTCTGTGATCCCAGCACTTTGGGAGGCCAAGGAGGTTGGATCACTTGAGGTCAAGGGTTCGAGACCAATCTGGCCAACATGGTGAAACCCCGTCTCTACTTAAAATACAAAATTAGCTGGGCGTGGTGGCCCATGCCTGTAATCCCAGCTACTCGGGAGGCAGAGGTGGCAGTGAGCCAAGATTGTGCCACTGCACTCCAGCCTGGGCAACAGTGAGACTCCATCTCAAAAAAAAAAAAAAGAGGAATTGAACTGTGGTGGAGAACACCCAGCTGGTGACAGCTGCAGAATTAACTGGTTGCTTGGTGTGTGGGGAGAAACCTCCACACCTTTGGTCACAGAAGCCTTCCATGTTGACTACGGAGTGAGAGCAGAAGAAAAATTTTTTCCACAGAGTTAGGAAAACTTTAAAAACTAAGGAATAATTATACTCTTAAACTTGTAACTTTAACAAATCAAATATTCTAAAAATAGCATCAAAACAATATTTTCTGTTCACAAGAACTACTCTTGGAGGCGTACACACACACACAAACCACATAAACAATTATGACCAGGCCAGGCATGGTGGCTCACGCCTGTAATCCTAGCACTTTGGGAGGCCAAGGCGGGCAGATCACCCGAGGTCAGGAGTCCCAAGACCAACCTGGCCAACATGGTGAAAACCCATCTCTACTACAAATACAAAAAATTAACCAGGCATGGTGGCACATACCTGTAATCCCAGCTACTCGGGAGGCTGAGGCAGAAGAATTGCTTGAACCTAGAGGGGGAAGTTGCAGTGAGCCGAGATTGCGCCACTGCACTCCAGCCTGGGCAACAGAGCGAGACTCCATCTCAAAAAAAAAGAAAAAATATATATATAATCATTTCTGCCTCTCTTGGTATAATGTCCTTATGCTGGGGAAAGATATTTTATTCTGTGTCTTATGGACTATCTTCTCGGTTCTTTGTATTTAGGGCTGTAACGGGAGCATTTGAGGAACATTTTGCTTTCTTGTATTTGTGGTAGATGTACTACTACACCAGCTTCATAGGGCTGTTGTGGAGTTTAAATGAAATAACCCGGGTAAAGCTCTTGTGCTGGGTCAACAGTAAGTGTTCAGTAAATTGTAGCTATTATTATAACTTGATCCTTTTCTCCAATCTCTCCTGTCTCGAAGCTAAGTGCACTTAGTTACATACACTAAGGAAAGCCACCTCCACCCCCTGTCCTTCCTCCATCTCTTGGGAAAATTGCAAAATCCACAGAGAGTAAAAATGGAAGTTGCCTGGACTTGATGTTCAGAAATTTTAATTAACTGATAATATACATAACATTGTGTTCAAAAACACTTTGCCTTTACATTTACATGAATGGTTCTGCCTTCTTGGGAAACCTGTCACAGGAAATATTTGCAATGTAGGGAAGATAGTTTTTATCTTTCATCAAGCAACTAATAATGGGATGTAAGAAAAAATCTAAACAAATGACAATTTGGATTTTGATTTCTGATCTTGTGATTATAATTACTGTTTCTTCAAAAGAATGAAATATAGATTAATGGTGAATAAAATAACCACTCTTGAATATCAATCTTATATAGTTTTTCAAAATATTTAACCTATGCACGCCTCTCCAAAAAAGACTAGAAAAACGTTTTGAGTGACCTTACCTGTTTGTAAGACGAAAGGGTTTAACTTCTCATCCATCCACCCACCTCCTTATTCTTGTTAGTGGACTACTGTTCTCCCAGTTAACACCCCAAACACGCTAACTTTGGCACTTCCTTTGACCCAATCCCTTCCTTTGATCCACTCAGGTCCAAGATCCATACATTTCGTCTTGGCCAGATCATGGTGGAACTCACCTTCTGTGTTCTATTCTCCTGCAGACACTCTCAACTCTCAGAATCCTACAGTAGCCTCTCTACAGTGATCCAATTTACTGGTTTTTCGAACGCCTTTAGCATCAGAACCCTTTCTTCAAATGAACCCCATTTATAAAACAAAGAAAAACACAATTCCATTACTATACGTTTATCTGATGAATTCAATTTTGTAGCATTTGCTAATTATAGAGAAATCAATGACCATTGGAAACTGTTTTGTTGAACACCAAGATTTGAAATCAGGGATTTGTGAAAGATCGTTGGACTCTCCTATCAGTTTCAACATCCCATTTTTTTCCCTCTATTTGATTGCTCAATATTAACAAGATTCCAATCTACTCAGAGAAATATTTGCAAATGGTAACAATTCAGACATATGAAAAAGGAGTAGTTGAAATTTTTGTTTCAAAGTTGAAGCACTAAGGGCATCTCACATCCTCACATTTTATCACTTACAGAAGTTGCAAGTAAGAAGACCAATCCTCACTGTAAATGCTAAAGTGTCTATAATGGGAATTATCACCACACGACTTGCTACATGTTCATTTGGCTTTACACGACTGACAGGAGCACACACCCAAGCAGAGGTAGGCACCTTGCCCAATATTCCCCAGGACCACCAAGGGATGCTCTGCAGTGATGTCCTGCTCATTCTGCTCTACCAAAGTAACTTCATTCCTGGGAAAGAGAAAACAAAAACAAAAAAGCCCTTGCATTATCAAAAGCTACATTTTAAGGCCTAACGTGGTGGCTCATGCCTGTAATCCCAGCACTTTGGGAGGCCGAGGCGGGCAGATCACTTGAGGTCAGGAGTTCAAGACCAGCCTGGCCAACATGGTGAAACCCCATCTTTACTAAAAACTACAAAAATTAGCCAGGCGTGGTGGCGCACACTTGTAGTCCCAGCTACTGGGGCAGCTGAGGGAAGAGACTCACTTGAACCTGGGAGGCAGAGGTTGCAGTGAGCTGAGATCAGCCACTGCATTTCAGCCTGGATGACATAGTGACACTCTGTCTCAAAAAAAAAAAGAAGAAAAGAAAAAAGAAAAAAAAAAGCTGCATTTTAAAAGCATTGGTTTCAATGGTGAATTTTATTTTATTATTATAAACTAAAAATAAATTGGTTGATTAAAACTGACAAAAACAAAACAAACCTTAGCCATTACTGAGCATATCAAACATAAACCCATTCCCAATCATCTAATTTCTAAGCTTTTGATATAAATTGCAGTATGGTATAATTGGCACCAACACTCAACCAAAGAACAAGAGACCAGTAGAGAAGCCATCTTCTTGCATGGAGAAGCTGGGTTTTTTTTGTCTTGGGTGGGTTTGGTTTTCTTTAGTGCTCTGCATATAGCCTTTAGTACCTGTACACGTGGTACTAGTTCTGGATATTGGGTGCATTATAGTCTATAACCATGTGGAGGTAGTAGAGTACGGTGGTTAAGGCTCAGGCTCCAGCGCTGAAAAGCTTCTGTCTAATCCCCAAATTCTTTAGGCAAGTCACTTCATGTCTCTAAGCCTCAGTTTTCTTATCTGTGAAATAGTACCTATCCAACAGGGTTGTCATTACGAAATAATAGATAGAAATTACTAAGTCCAGGACTGCAGCAGAGTAGGAAAGAGCTTCATAAACATGATTTTGATGTCGTTGTTTTTAGTGCACAGCTCATCTTTCCTAAATAAATGGTTGCATAATATCCAAATCTCTTTATGACAACTTTTGCAGAAGAAAGTATACTTATACTCATTTATACAATTTTCTGTGAATGGACATACATAGGACTAAGTTTTTTTTTTAACAACCAACCTATGTATATGTATGAAATTCCTCTGAAAGGATGAACTTTGGTGAGGAGAAATAAGGAGGTAAGGGCAAACATGAGAGGAAGATTGCTTTTTAATGTATATCCTTTTGAACCATTCAAATGTTACGTAGAGTGCATTCAACAATGTATAAACAGGCCAGGCGCGGTGACTCATGCCTGTAATTCCAGTATGTTGGGAGGCCAAGGCCAGAGGCCTGAACCCAGGAATTCAAGCCTAGCTTGGGCAACATAGTGAGACCTTATCTCTGCAAAAAATAAATTAAAAAAAAAAATAGCCAAGCACAGTGGTGCACACCTGTGGTCCTAGCTTCTCAGCAGGCTGAGTTGAGAGGACTGCTTGAACCCAGGAGGTGGAAGCTGCAGTGAGCTGTTATCATGCCACTGCACTCCAGCCTGGGTGACAGAGTAAGACCCTGTCAAAAAAAAAAAAAAATATATATATATATATATATATATACACACACACACACACAGACAATATATATATATTTATATATATACTATATATTTCTCTATATACACTATATATAATATATAAATATATGTATGTATATATTTATAAGATATACAAATATATGTATGTATATATTTATAAGATATACAAATATATGTATGTATATATTTATGATACACAAATATATGTATGTATATATTTATAAGATACACAAATATATGTATGTATAGATTTATAAGATACACAAATATATGTATGTATATATTTATAAGATACACAAATATATGTATGTATATATTTATAAGATACACAAATATATGTATGTATAGATTTATAAGATACACAAATATATGTATGTATAGATTTATAAGATACACAAATATATGTATGTATAGATTTATAAGATACACAAATATATGTATGTATAGATTTATAAGATACACAAATATATGTATGTATAGATTTATAAGATACACAAATATATGTATGTATATATTTATAAGATATACAAATATATGTATGTATATATTTATAAGATATACAAATATATGTATGTATATATTTATAAGATATACAAATATGCGTATGTATATATTTATAAGATATACAAATATGTGTATGTATATATTTATAAGATATATAAATATATGTATGTATATATTTATAAGATATATTTATATATTTTCTATATATTTATACAGAAAATAGAGTATAGTACATAAATAAATATTTATAAATATTTTATTTATATACACAAATATATATATCTATATACACAAAGAGACAAGCACTGAAGGTATTGTAGGGGCAGCAAAACTCCACCTCTGTCCTCTTTTAGGCTGGGCTGGAGAATTAAATTGACGTAAGACAGATTAACAGGATGAAAGCATGCAAGTTTATTTAATACAAGTTTTACATGGCATGGGAGCCCCCATAAGGAAATGAAGACCCAGAAGCAGTTAAAGTTATTTTAACAAGGTCTGTACAGAAGTTTCTCAGTCTCAACTTTCTATCCTTGATAAGAATGCTGCGGGGGTGGCCAGGTGCAGTGGCTCATGCCTGTGGTCCCAGCACTTTGGGAGGTCCCAGCCGAGGCAGGAGGATCATGAGGTCAGGAGATCAAGACCATCCTGGCTAACACGGTGAAACCTCGTCTCTACTAAAAAATACAAAGAAAAATTAGCCAGGTGTGGTGGTGCACACCTGTAGTCCCAGCTACTTGGGAGGCTGAGGCAGGAGAATGGCGTGAACCTGGGAGGCGGAGCTTGCAGTGAGCCGAGATCGCGCCACTGCCCTCCAGCCTGGGTGACAGAGGGAGACTCTGTCTCAAAAAAAAAAAAAAAAAGAATGCTGTGGGGGTTTTGGGGGGTTTCGTTTGTTTGTTTGTTTGTTTGTTTAGAGACAAGATCTTGCTATGTTCCCCAGGCTGGACTCAAACAATCCTCTCACCTCAGCCTCCCAAAAAAATGCTGCATCTTTCACATGAGAATTTCATCTCCTGCTTTTAAGAAACTGAATGAAGGTCGTATTCTTTTTTTTTTTTCTTTGAGACAGGGTCTTTCTCTGTCACTCAGACTAGAGTGCAGTGGCACAATTATGGCTCACTGCAACCTTGACCTCCCAGGCTCAAGTGATCCTCCCACCTTAGCCTCCCAAGTTGCTGGGACTACAGGCACAAACCACCATGCCCGGATAATTTTTGTTTGTTTGTTTTGTTTTGAGACAGAGTCTTGATCTGTTGCCAAGGCTGGAGTGCAATGGTGCAATCTCAGTTCACTGCAACCTCCCCCTCCCAGGTTCAAGCAATTCTCCTGGCTCAGCCTCCGGAGTAGCTGGGATTACAGGTGCCCACCACCACACCTGGCTAATTTTTGTATTTTTAGTAGAGATGGGGTTTCACCAGGTTGGCCAGGCTGGTCTTGAACTCCTGACCTCAGGTGATCATCCTGCCTTGGCCTCCCAAAGTGCTGGGATTGAAGGCGTGTGCCATCATGCCCAGCCTTTTTTTTTTGTAGAGATAGGGTCTTGCCATGTTGCCCAGGCTGGTCTTGAACTCCTGAGTTCAAATGATCCTCCGGCCTCGGCCTCCCAAAGTGCTTGGATTTGCATGAGCCACCACGCCCAGCCAGGGGTGTCATATTCTTAACCCATTCAATAGAAACAGACAGCTCACAAAAGAGGAAGTACCAATAACTAATAAACATAAAAGGAGAATCCATTTCCCAACAGTTTAGTAAAAAAAATATTTGAGACAGGGTCTCACTCTGTCTCTGTTGCCCAGGCTGTAGTGCAGTGGTGTGATGATGGCTCACTGCAACCTCAACCTCCCAGGTTCAGGTGACTCTTCCATGTGTCTCCTGGGTAGCTGGAACTACAGGTGCACACCACTACACTTGGCTAATTTTTTGGATTTTTCATAGAGATGGGGTTTTACCATGTTGCACAGGCTGATCTCAAACTCCTGGGCTCAAGCAATCTACTCACTTCAGCCTTCCAAAATGCCAATATTACAGTGTGAGCCACTGACTCCAGCCCAAAAAATTTTTTTAATTTTTATTGTTTTTTTTTTATAGAGATAGGGTCTCACTATATTGCCCAGGCTGGTCTCGAACCCCTGGCTTCAAGCAATCCTCCCACTTCAGCCTCCCAAAGCACTGGCATTACAGGCATGATCCACCACACCCAGCCAAGTCAAAAAATTTTTGCATTGAGAATATCATATATTGACAACAGGTAGTTTCATGCTTTGCTCGTGAGAGTATAAATTGGAAAAGCAATTTTTAAAATTTATTTATTATTATTTTATTTTTGAGACAAAGTCTCGCTCTGCACCCAGGCTGGAGTGCAGTGGCGCGATCTCGGCTCACTGCAAGCTCCACCTTCCAGGTTCAAGCGATTCTCCTGCCTCAGCCACCCAAGTAGCTGGGATTACAGGCATAGGCCACCATGCCCAGCTAATTTTTGTATTTTTAGTAAAGACAGGGATTTGCCATGTAGGCCAGGCTGGTCTTGAACACCTGACCTCAGGTGATCTGCCTGCCTCAGCCTCCCAAAGTGCTGGGATTTCAGATGTGAGCCACTGCGCCCAACCTGGAAAAGCAATTCTAGAGAGCAATTTAGCAATGTCCTATTGAAAGGACAGGCAAGCCCCAAAATCGCGGCTTAGCGTGGGAGGGTTCTTAGCTTCACCCAGGAAAGAATTCAAGGGTGAGCTGGTAGTGTTAAACAGCAACTTTTATTGAAGCAGCAGTGTACAACCGCAACTGTGGAGCAGGGCTACCCCATAGGCTGTGTGTACAGAATAGCAGCTCAGAGGTAGTTCAGCAGGCATAGTTATACCCACTTTTAATTACATGCAAATTAAGGGGGAGTTGATGCAGAAATTTCTAGGAAAAGCATGGTAACTTCCAGGTCATCGAGTCATTGCTATGGAAAGGGAAGGTAACTTCTGAATGTTGCCATAGCAACGGTAAACTGCAATGGCACACCGGTGGGTATGTCTTATGGAAAGCTGCTTCCACCCTGGCCCTGTTTAAGCTAGTCCTCAATTTGGTCTGGTGTCCAAGCCCTTCCTCCAGAGTTGAGTCCCACCTCCTACCTCACTATCAAAACTAAACTCATATGTGCCTTATGGCCCGGCAATACTACCTCTTAGTATCTCTCCTACAGAAGCCCTCACGCATGTGCCTGAGAAGATATGTACAAGGGTAGACACTGCAGCATGGTTGGTAACAGCAAAAAACTGGAAGCAAGTTAAATGTTCACCAATACAGAAATGTTTAAATAATCCATAGTATATTCATAGTGTGGAATATCATACATCAGATTTTAAAATTAGCAAGGGCTAGCTGCTCAACACACATAGAAGCCGATATGGCATTGACTTTTGAGAAAAGAAAAAGCTTCATTGCAACTTGACTGGCAAGGAGACAGGAGGCAATTCTCAAATCTGTCTCTCAAGCAGGGGTCTGGGGCAGGTTTTATGGGCAAAGGGGAACAATGGAGGATATAGGAAGATGAGATAAAGGTGTGACCTGATTAGGTTCATGCAAAGAAGCAGTGATCTGATGAGATCATGCAATGGGGTCATGTTGGGTCCTCAACTTTTAGAAAAGTCCATACTCCAACAAAACAGGGCAACCCTTGCTTTTTAATGTGGTCTCTGTTGCTTGATCCAAAGCACTTAGATTCTGCCTGTGGTTGGTTTTTTCATTCCAGCTGGCTCTGAGGTCAGGACCTGGGCCTGCTTGATTCTTCTGGCCATACTCAGGTTAGGTGACTTGCAACCTGGGTGTCCTTAGGAGCTGAGAAACAACTCATCATTTTGTTACATTTTGTTGCTGACAAAGTTGAACCAGATTGGTCTAGTTCCAGGGTTACATATGGTTACATTGAAAGATCTTTAAGGCATACTGAGAAAGGCAAGATAGAAAATATAGTGCGCTACTTGTTAAAGGTGCAGGGTCTTGACTGCAAATTGTCAGGTTCTTGGCGTTTTGAACAGAGAATTAGACAAAATGCAAAGCAAAGCAAGGAAAGAATTAAGCAAGGAAAGCAGAGATTTATTGGAAATGAAAGTACACTCCACAGGGTAGGAGTACCTGGAGCAGTGACTCAAGGGCCCTGATTGCAGGATCTTCTGGGGTCCAAACATCCTCTAGAGGTTTTCCATTGGCCATTTGGTGGATACCTCATGCAAATAAAGTAGTGGCCCACGATCGGGCTGATTGGTTGCAGAAAGCAACCAATCAGAGGCTAAAGTGAAATTACAAAGTTACACTCCTATGCAAACATCTGATTGGTTGCTCAAAGCAACCAATCAGAGGTACTTTCAGTTTTCCATCTGCCAAGCAGAAAGTGGGGGACAGGGGTGGTTTGCAAAGGGAGTAGCGTTTGGTCATTTTGATACTTAGGTGTTGAAAGTTGGGGTTTTCCTTTTGATTTAGTTCTAGGAAGTCAGTATGAATCGGCCTTAGGTTCCCTGCCTCCAGACCCTATTCTGCCTCACTACTGTTTATATTTTAAAAGTTTTTTTTCAGTTATTTATTTACTTATTGTTTTTTGTTTTTAATTTTTTTTTTTTTTGGTAGAGACAGTGGCATCTCACTACATTGCCCTGGCTGGTCTCGACCTCCTGGCCTCGTGATCTTCCTGCCAAAGCCTCTCAAAAAGTTTTAAAATAATAAAATTTCTATTTTTCTATGTACATATATTTATGTATGTGAATATATGGTCTAGAAGGACAAATTCAAACTTTTATAAGAGATTACCTCTGGGGAGAGGAATGATCCAACATAGCAGCTAGCCTATATAATACCTTTGTGAGAATTTTTTAAAGGTTACCTTTCTTCCAGACAATTTACTGCCATCTGCTGGAAAATTATCATTTAAAAATATCAAATATACTACCCTGTGAATAGTGACCCCTAGGGTTGCTGATGGCACAACTTGCACACAGTCTGTGGCCTTAGAGGACATTCCTTGAGACTGAGATCAAGTTTTATTCTGAGGTCTATACAAAATAAGTCAATTTGACCACATGGATAAACACTAGCTTTCAATGTGTTAAAATTTATTTTGTAACATTTCCATGTACAAAAGCACCTACGTTTTGGAGAGGTGAGGTTCGTGGGTTAAATTGTGGGTTATGTCACTGACAAAATCAGAGACTCACTGCTTCCAAGTGCAGGGAGGATTTGAGCAGCAGCAACTGGGTACTAAACAAGAAAAGTTACCTCTCAGGTCCTTCCTTTCGAATAGGAGGAATGCAGTATATTCTTGCATAATAAAGTATTTCTCAGTACCAGGTTTCCATTTTCTTCCCTTCCTGTTTCAAATCATGTTTTGGAGGCAGGAAGAATTCGTAAAGTAGTTGCAGCAATTTACAGTACTTTTGCAATATTAAGCAATTCAAATTACCATTAAATTTCTACGTGTGTGACTTTAGACATAACGCCAGTGAAATGTAATACTGATTTTTATATTGTTTGGTTTTTGTTTTTGTTTTTTTGAGACGGAGTCTCGCTCTTTCACCCAGTCCGGACTGCAGTAGCGCGATCTCGGCTCACTGCAAGCTCTGCCTCCCGGGTTCGCACCATTCTCCTGCCTCAGCGCCCCGCCTCCCCCCCTCCCCCCGAGTAGCTGGGACTACAGGCACCCGCCACCGCGCCCGGCTAATTTTTTGTATTTTTTAGTAGAGATGGGGTTTCACCGTGTTAGCCAGGATGGTCTCGGTCTCCTGACCTCGTGATCCGCCCGTCTCGGCCTCCCAAAGTGCTGGGATTACAGGTGTGAGTCACCGCGCCTGGCCTGATTTCTATATTGTTAAAGCAAACTAAACATGGCCTGAGGACTCTGTACTTCTTTTTTTTTTTTTTTTTGAGACACAAAAAAATTTTTTGAGACAGGGTAGGAGTAGCTGGAGCAGTGACTCAAGAGTTTTGCCCTTCTCACCCAGGCTGGAGTGCAGTGGTGCGATCCCAGCTCACTGCAACCTCCACCTCCCAGGTTCAAGCAATTGTACAGAAACAGCTGAATTGGCCGGGCGTGGTGGCTCACGCCTGTAATCCCAGCACTTTGGGAGGCCAAGGCGGGCAGATCACGAGGTCAGCAGATCGAGACCATCCTGGCTAACACGGTGAAACCCCGTCTCCACTAAACATACAAAAAAAATTAGCTGGGCGTGGTGGCGGGCGCCTGATAGTCCCAGCGGCTCGGGAGGCTGAGGCAGGAGAATGGCGTGAACCTGGGAGGCGGAGCTTGCAATGAGCCGAGATTGCGCCACTGCACTCCAGCCTGGGCGACAGTGAGACCCTGCCTCAAAAAAAAAAGAAAAAGAAACAGCTGAATTGGTTACAGCTTGGCGTTTGCCTTATGTGAACACAGTTTGAACACACAACAGTGTATCAGTAGTTAAAGGCGTGAGCCACTGTGCCCGGCCCTAAATAATTTATTTTCAATATTTGATGTTTAGGCTGGGCTCGGTGGCTCTTGCCTGTAATCCCAGCACTTTGGGAGGCCGAGGTGCGCAGATCACCTGAAGCCAGTAGTTTGAGACTGGCCTGGTCAACATGATGAAACCCCATCTCTACTAAAAATACAAAAAAATTAGCCGGGTTGGTGGTGTGCGCTTGTAGTTCCAGCTACTCGGGAGGCTGAGACAGGAGAATCGCTTGAACCTGGGAGGCAGAGGTTGCAATGAGCCGGGATCTCACCACTGCACTCCAGCCTGGGCTGCAAGAGCAAAACTTGGTCTCAAAAAAAAAAAAAGAAAAAAGAAAAGAAAAAAGAAATCTGGCTGGGCGTGGTGGGTCACTCCTGTAATCCCAGCACTTTGGGAGGCTGAGGCTGGTGGATCACCTGAGGTAAGGAGTTCAAGACCAGCCTGGCCAACATGATGAAACCCCGTCTCTACAAAAATTAGCCAGGCATGATGGCGGGTGCCTCTAATCCCAGCTACTCGGGAGGCTGAGGCAGGAGAATCGCTTGAATCCAGGAGGCAGATGTTGCAGCGAGCCGAGATCACACCACTGCACTCCAGCCGAGGCAACAGAGCAAGACTCCGTCTCACAAAAAAAAAAAGAAAAAAAAAGAAAGGAAAAAAGTCTATTAAATAAGATTTATTTTTGCTTTTTAATTTTTTGTCAAGAAACACACCTCTGCTTAATGTTTTAATTAAATTTATTTATTTATTTATTTATTTTTGAGGGGGCAGAGGACAAATACTTTTTAATGGGTTTTAGGATTTTTTTTTACAAATATACCAGACAATCATGCAATGCTGCCAGTATTGAACGCAATCCGGGGCCACAAGTCTGCACACTCCTTTGCTACTGGTCCTGTAATGGCAGAACCCTTCATCTCGTCTTTGTTTTTTATTATGACCCCTGCATTACCTTCAAAATAAAGAAACACACCGTCTTTTCTCCATATGACTTTTGTTGTCAAGTGACCACTGCTGGATGTACCTTTTTTCTGAGCTCTGGTTTGTCTTTCTTGACTGTGGCCATCCCCATGTCACCCACACTGGCAGGGAAGTCTGTTCAGCCGTCCCTGATCCTCTTCACGGAGATGATATACAGATTTTTGGCTCCTGTATTGTCAGCATTGTTGATCAGGGATCCTACCAGAAGACCCAAGGAAATCCAGAATTTTGCACCAGAGGACTCACCACATCCTTGCTTCGACATCTTGAATGCCAGAAAGAAGGAAAAAAGCAATTGACTTCTTTTTTTTAGAAACAGGGTCTTGCTTTGTCGCCCAGGCTGGAGTGCAGTAGCTCGAACACAGTTCACTGCAGCCTTCACCTCCTGGGCTCAAGCAATCCTTCCACCTCAGCCTCTTGAGTAGCTGGGACCACAGACATGCACCACCACACCAGACTAATTTAATTTTTTTTTTTTTTTTTTTTTTTTTTTTTTTTTGTAGAGATGAAGGTATCACCATGTTGCCAGGCTGGTCTCAAACTCCTGGGCTCATGCAATCATCCCACTTCGACCTCCCGAAGCACTGGGATTACAGGTGTGAGACTCCGTGCTCAACCTAGCTTTTAAATTTTGATAGGTGATATTGAATGTGTTAGAAGATGAATAACTTGGATAACACATATGGAACTTTTGATTAAAATATATTCAAATTTTGTTCATTTGACTATAGCTACATCTTATTTTTCTTTAGATACTTACTGTTGATAGAAGACAAATTATGTCAAAATCTTGATGATAACAAAATTAATGATTTAGATAAAATAAAATAAAGAAAAATAACTTTATGGAATAAATATATAATAATTTTGAATTTACCACTCATGTGAAAACACCAGTCCATCAACAGAACACCCAGACATGCCCAATAATAAAGAAATTCTGTAATCTTTGATATTTTTCCAAATGTCAATCACAGAAAAACATGACTATGAATGTATTTTTCAATTTTGACATTGTGAAGGTAGATCTGTCAAAGTAGGGGAATAGAATATATTTCACTTCACAGTTTGTCAGTTTGATTTATATCTTGTAAATATTTAGTCATTTGAAATACAACTCTCATGCCAGGTGTAGTGGCTCATGCCTATAACCCCAGCACTTGGGGAGGCCGAGGTAGGTGGGTCACTTGAGGCCAGGAGTTCGAGATTAGCCTCACAAACATGGCAAAACCCCGTCTCTATGAAAAATCAAAAAATTAGCCCAGTGTGGTGGCATGTGACTGTAGGCCCAGCTACTCAGGAGACTGAGGCAGGAGAATTGCTTGAACCCGGGAGGTGGAGGTTGCAGCAAGCCAAGATGGTGCCACTGCACTCCAGCCTGGGTGACAGATTGAGACTCCATCTCAAAAAAAAAAAAAAGAAAAGAAAAGAAAAAGAAATGCATCTCTCCATTTTACATTTGGCCCAGGACGTATAAATGTTAGGGGCACATTTATGAATATATACGTATGCATTTTTTAATATCACATGATAAATATCATTTCAATATACATCATAGATCTAAATATGAAAGGTAAAACTTTTAGTTGAGAAATTAGAATGCTGTTTGCTGAATATAGGCAAAAAGTTTTTAAAACTGCATACAAAGCATTAAACATCAGGAAAATTTGATAAATTGGACTGCATTAAAAGTAAGTAGTTCTGTTCATCAGGACACAATAAGAGAGTGAAAAAATTAAGAGTAGGAGAAATATTTTCAATATATACATCTGACAAACTACCTGTATCTAGAACATATAAACAACTCCTTAAAATCAATTTTTTTAAAAAGCCAGAAAACTCAATAGAAAAATGGGCCAAGTCTTGAATTTCCCATAAGATATCCAAATGAACAAGAAAGATATAAACATATAAAACAATGTTCAATCTTGTTAGTTATCAGTGAAATATACATGAAAACCACTAACACAGCCGGGCACTGTGGCTCACACCTATAATCTCAGCACTTTGGGAGGCTGAAGCGAGATTACTTAAGCCCAGGATTTTGAGACCAGCCTGGCCAACATGAAGAGACCCCCTCTCTACAAAAAAGTTAAAAAATTAGCTGGGCATGGTGGTGCACACCTATGATCCCAGCTACTCAAGAAGCTGACGTGGGAGGATTGCTTGAGCCCAGGGGGCCAAGGCAGCAGTGAGCTGTATTCGCACCACTGCACTCCAGCCATGGTGACAAAGAAATTGTCTCAAGAAACAAAAAAAAAACAAACAAAAAACACTGACCAAAATAAGACTAATAATACTAAATTTTGCTGAGGATGTGGAGCAACTAGAACTGTCATAATTCACTTTTGGGTTTTTTGTTTGTTTATTTGTTTTGTTTTGTTTTTGAGACAGAGTTTCACTCTTTCTGCCCAGGCTGGAGTGCAGTGGCGTGATCTCGGCTCACTGCAACCTCCATCTCCCAGGTTCAAGCAATTCTCCTGTCTCAGCCTCCTGAGTAGCTGGGATTACAGCTGCCCGCCGCCACGCCTGGCTAATTTTTTGTATTTTTAGTAGAAATGGGGTTTCATTATGTTGGCTAGGCTAGTCTTGAACTCCTGACCTCAGGTGATCCACCTGCCTCGGTCTCCCAAAGTGCTGGGATTACAGGCATGAGCCACCGTGCCCGGCCTCATAATTCACTTTGGAAAATCATTTGGTATTATTTACTACAGTTGAACATACACATCCCCTATGGGCCAGTGAATGCAATTCTGGATGTATAACCAGGAGAAATGCACCTGCACTCATATATTTCTAAATAACATATATAAGAATGTTCCTAGCAAAAATATGCATAATATCCCCAAACTATCAATGATGCAAATGACCATCAACATCAGGAGAGATAAGTAAACTGTGGAATATTCACACAACACTAGGAGTGAACTTATACCAACTGCTGTACACAACAATATGGATGACTCATAAGCATGATGTTTAGTGAAAGAAGCCAAACACCAAAGAGTATATAAAATACAAAACAGGCAGAACGCCCTAGAATCACCACTGAGGTTCAGTCTGTGGTTCTGCTGGACCTGACGATGGTCTTGGCCTCCCCGTGTGAGATTACGCTTTCATTGCTTCACTGTTTGGCAAATTTCTTTTCACTGCCTCTCAAGTATCACTGGAAAATACACATGGAGCTTCAAGGATTTCCCTGCTCAACATTTACATCAGCATGAACTACAGCAAAAATTTGAGCAATATGACTTCCATGAGGATCTTCATTCACCGCAGGTGGACTTTTCCCTGGGCCAGAATGAACTGACTTTACAGCCCTGTAAAGCATGCTTGAGCCAACAATACATGATTTTATTTGACTGACTCTGTCAAAGTGGAACAAATGGCCTTCATGAGCAAATTTTCTGCCATCCCAACTAGATGCGACTGTTACATTAATTACTGCGCAGTGCATTTTTCTCATTGAACACCATCTCGTATGCAGTTTCTTGAGCTGCTTGCTGCCAAGCCACCCTGGCCTCTGATCCAGAGATGCAATTGATGATACCCTACTGTGGGTTATGGAGTCATCATCATTATTATTCATTTATTATTACTAGGGGCAGCAGTGGGAGCACCTTTTTGAAACTGGTCAAAAGGAAAATAACGTAGGATGGAACAAGACTTGGGAATTGGGTGGGATATAGTGAGAATGTCTTTTGTGTATATGACTCAGTCCTTTTTAAAAAAAGGAAATTCAAATGTAATCGTTTGATATTTTGTCTGTATAAAAATATGCCACGTTGAAACCTCAATATCAGCTGCAACTAGCTGGGATCAAAAAAATTGTCATCTTTGGGTGACATACTGTAATAACAGGTCACGTATAGTCTTTTCTTCATGTTTGGCTGCTGATAGCTTTTAAGTCTCACACCTTCCTCTTCCCCTCTGTCTCACACCTGGGCAAGCTGATAAAAGCTAGTTATCCACCCTTTGGCACCATCAGGAAGTCCAAACACACATGGAACCCTCACCTGGCCCTACCTCCAAATATCCTAATACTCCCAGGCCAGTCTCTTTTTACTCCTCTCTCAAGCTATTTTTGGACCTGCTTGGGAGCCACCCTACTCTCCACAGAAAGTCTCATTATATAAATAATAAACCTTTTCATGCCCTTGTAGGGTGTGTGTGGCATTTTCAGCCTCAACATCCCACTCACGTTTTTTTTTTTTTTTGGAAACAGAGTCTCACTCTCTTGCCTAGGCTGGAGTGCAGTGGCGGGATCTCAGCTCACTGCAACCTCCACTTCCCGGGTTCAAGCGATTCTCCTGCCTCAGCCTCCCAAGTAGCTGGGATTACAGGTGCCTGCCACCACGTCCAGCTAATTTTTGTATTCTTTTTTTTTTTTTTTTGAGACAGAGTCTCGCTCTGTCGCCCAGGCAGGAGTGCGTGGCTCGGTCTCCGCTCACTGCAAGCTCTGCCTCCCGGCTTCAGGCCATTCTCCTGCCTCAGCCTCCCGAGTAGCTGGGACTACAGGTGCCCGCCACCTCCCCCAGCTAATTTTTTGTATTTTTAGTAGAGACAGGGTTTCATCATGTTAGCCAGGATGGTCTCGATCTCCTGAGCTCGTGATCCGCCCGCCTCGGCCTCCCAAAGTGCTGGGATTACAGGCGTGAGCCACCGCGCCCAGCCTATCGTTAGTTCTTATAGGTTTTGGGATAGGCGGTGGAGTTAGGAGCAATGTTTTGCGGGCAGGGGGTGGATCTCACAAAGTACATTCTCAAGGGTGGGGAGAATTACAAAGAACCTTCTTAAGGGTGGAGGAGATTACAAAGTACATTGATCAGTTAGGGTGGGGCAGAAACAAATTACAATGGTGGAATGTCATCAGTTAAGGCTACTTTCACTTCTTTTGTGGATCTTCAGTTGCTTCCGGTGATCTGGATATATATGTGCAGGTCACAGGGGATATGATGGCTTAGCTTGGGCTCAGAGGCCTGACAGGAACTGTACAAGGAGATTAATGTCTTATGTTTATGAACCCAACATCCATTCTGCAGCCCATGGATCAACGAGTCATTCTGAATTTCAAGTCTTATTATTTAAGAAATACTGGCCGGGCATGGTGGCTCACACCTGTAATTCCAGCACTTTAGGAGGCCGAGGAGGGTAGATTACCTGAGGTCAGGAGATCGAGACCAGCCTGGCCAACATGGTGAAACCCTGTCTCTACTAAAAATACAAAAATTAGCCAGGCATGGTGGTGGGCGCTTCTAATACCAGCTACTCAGAAGGCTGAGGCAGGAGAATCGCTTGAACCCAGGAGGTGGAGGTTGCAGTGAGCCAAGATTGTGCCATTGCACCCCGGCCTGGGTGACAAGAGTGAAACTGTCTCAAAAAAAAGAAAAAGAGAAAGAAATACTGGCCAGGCACAGTGGCTCACGCCTGTAATCCTAGCACTTTGGGAGGCCGAGGAGGGCAGATCTCTTGAGGTCAGGAGCTTGAAACCAGCCTGGCCAACAAGGTGCAACCCCATCTCTACTAGAAATACAAAAAAAAATTAGCCTGGCATGGTGGTGCGCACCTGTAATCCCAGCTACTTGGGAGGCTGAGGCAAGAGAATTGCTTGAACCTGGGAGGCGGAGGTTGCAGTTAGCCTAGATCGTGCCACTGCACTCTAGCCTGGGCAACAGAGCAACACTCTGTCTCAAAAAAAAAAGAAAAGAAAGAGAAATACACTTTGTAAAGCTGTAGCTGTTGTAGATGGTTCCTCTGATGGATCTGGGCAAAATACATTGAAAACCTTCTGGAAAGGATTCACCATTCTGGATGCCATTAAGAACATTTGTGGGAGGAAGTAAAAATGACAACATTCACAGGAGTTTGGAATAAGTTGATTCCAATGCTCATGGATGACTTGGAAGGGCTCAAGACCAGTGAGGAAGTCACTGCAGATGTGGTGGAAATAGCAAGAGAACTAGAATTAGAAATGGAGTCTGGAGATGTGATTGAATTGCTGCAATCTCATGATCAAACTTGAATGGATGTGCAGTTCCTTCTTATGGATGAGCAAAGAAAGTGGTGTTTTGAGAAACCAGGAATGTACTCCTGGTGAAGGTGCTGTGAATATTGCTGAAATGACAACAAAGGATTTAGAATATTCCATCAACATGATAAAGCAGTGGCAAGGTTTGAAAGAACTGACTCCTATTAAGAAAAAAAAATTCTTCCTTCTTGAGGATTTCTAACTGGTATGAAAAAAAATTAAAAGAAAAATATGAACAAAAAGTTATTAAAATATAGTAAAAAAGAAAAAATTCTATTGTGGTAATATGCTAACACACAGCATTGCATGCTACAGATAAATCTTTCATAAAAGAGTCAATGTGGTGAACTTCACTGTTGTCTTATTTTAAGAAATTTCCACAGCCACCCAGCCTTTAGCAACCATCACCCTGATCAGTCAGCAGCCTTCAACATCAAGGCAAGACCCTCCACCAGCAATAAAATTAAGACTCACTGAAGTCTCAGGTGATCATTATTAGCATTTTAGGCCATAAAGCATTTTATGTATATATTTACTTATTTATTTATTTATTTATTTGAGATGGAGTCTTGCTCTGTCGCCCAGGCTGGAGTGCCGTGGTGTGATCTCAGCTCACTGGAACCTCTGCCTCCCGGGTTCAAGCAATTTTCTTGCCTCAGCCTCCAAAGTAGCTAGGACTACAGGTGCATGCCACCACGCCTGGCTAATTTTTATTATCTATTTATTTATTTATTTTTGAGATGGAGTCTCGCTCTGTTGCCCAGGCTGGAGTACAGTGGCATGATCGTGGCTCACTGCAACCTCCGCCTCCTGGGTTCAAGCGATTCTCCTGCCTCAGCCTCCCGAGTAGCTGGGACTACAGGCACGTGCCACCACACCCAGCTAATTTTTTGTATTTTTAGTAGAGATGGGATTTCACCATGTTGGCCAGGCTGGTCTCGAACTCCTGACCTCAAGTGATATGCCTGCCTCAGCCTCCCAAAGTGCTGGGATTACAGGCATGAGCCACCATGTCCAGCCAATAAAGCATTTTAAAATTAAGGTATACACATTGTTTTCTTAGACATAATGCCATTTGCACACTTAATAGACTGCAGTATTATATAAACATAACTTCTATCTGTACTGGGAAACCAAAAAAATTGTGTGACTCACTTATAGTGATATTAGCTTTATTGCAGTGGTCTAAAACCAAACCTCCAATATCTCCAATGTATGCCTGTATAAAAATGGCCAATAAACGTATGAAAAGATATGCAAAAGTAGTTATTAGGGAAATGCAAAAAGCCACAAAGAGCCACTTCACACCCAATAGCGTGGCTGAAATTAAAATGACACATAATAACAAATATTGGTTAGGTGAAGAAACTGGAAGTTTCCTACACTGCTGGCGGGAATGTAAAATGGCGTAGTCTGGCAGTTCCTCAAAAGGGTAAACTTAGAGTTACCATATGACCCCTTGGGTATACACCAAAGAGAAATAAAAACATATGTCTACATAAAAACTTGTTCACAGCAGTATTATTTGTAATAGCCAAAAAGTAAAAACAACCCAAATGTCCATCAGCTGATGAACAAATAAACAATATGTGGTATATCTATACAATGGAATATTATTCAACAATACAGGAGACTTAAGTACTAAATGTGTTAAAACATGAACAAACCTTTAAAACATTATGCTAAATGAAAGAAGTCAGTCACAAAGACCACATATTATATGATTCCATCTATATAAAATGTCTAGAAAAGGCAAATGCATAGAGATATTATCAGGTGCAAAGCTTTTCTTCCCATGTTTTTCACAATGACATTAGTTGAATTTGTGTAGCATGTATATTCAAAGGATAAAAACCAGAAATCTGCCAGCATGGGCACCATAGTGAGACTCTGTCCCTACAAAATATTTTAAAAATTAGCCAAGTGTGGTGTTGCGTGCCTGTAGTCCCAGCTACTCAGGAGGCTGAGACAGAAGGATCGTTTGAGCCCAGGAGTTTGAGGCTGAAGTAAGCTCTGATGGCCACTGCACTCCAGCCTGGGGACAGAGCCAGACCCAGTCTCTGCAAACAAACAGAAAAACAAATGAACCCAGAAATCTGGTAAAGCAGGAACCATAAAAATCTGAAAACTGGAAGCAACAAGTTCCTCTCAAAGGATTCCATTTATTTATTTAATTATTTAGAGACAGGGTCTCGCTTTTTTGCCCAGGTTGGAGGGCAGTGGTACAATCATAGCTCACTGCAGCCTCAAATTCCTGGGCTCACGCAATCCTCCTACCTCAGCCTCCCAAGTAGCTGGGACCACAGGTGTGTGCCACTACGCCCAGCTAAATTTGTATCTTTTTTTTTTTTGGTAGAGACGGGGTCTCACTACGTTGCCCAAACTGACCTCAAAAACCTAGGCTCAAGCAATCCTCCCACCTCAGCCTCCCAGAGTGTTGGGATTACAGGCGTCAGCCACCGCGCCCAGCTTCAGAGGATTCTTCAGGTAGCCACTGGTCTGGCCCACAGTGAGAGCAGGTGTTGCTGAGAAAATGCATCAGTTCTGATAATAGCTGCCATAAATTGGTGCCCCATGTCCCAGACATTCTTGTTATCATCTTACTTAATCCTTCAATACCCCTGCCATGCAAGTGGCCAAAGTACAAAATATTTAATAGAGGAAAATATAGGCATTCCTTGTTATATGTTACTTTACCCTGCAATAACCCATTTGTTTGACATCATTGGAGAATAAAATGTTACACATTTTTAGATAAGATTAAAAAAAAAAAAGAATTACGCTCCTGCTCACCTAGAGGATTCCGGCCAGTATGACTGTCTGCGACAAAGTTCATAGTCATGATTATTATAAGACCCCACACTAAAACCCATTACTAAAACCCAACACTTCACATGTAGGAAAACCCTTAAAACTCATAGTTAGACCTCTTTTCCTCTTATTTACTGCAATTCTGGACTCTCTGGTAGCCCATAAAACAGAAGAGGACAAGAAATGTTCAGGGTAGGCATCATGATATCAGAAAGGAAAGAGAAAAACTTTTTGAAAAGTAAGTCTGAAAAGATCCCCTAAATCCCAACACCACTGCAAAGCTGATATCCATCTTCCTCATCAGACTATGGGCTTCCTGAAGGCAGGAACTGTGCTGCCTGTAGACTCCAGAAGTTCCAGATATGGACCCGAACACAGGCTCTAGGTCCTCAATAAAGTCATAAGGATGAGAGGGGAAGGAAAGCAAGCAGAAAGCAAACTGAAAAGAACATTCTTGAAAAAAACTGGGCCAGTGTGGTGGCTCACGCCTGTAATCCCAGCACTTTGGGAGGCCAAGGCGGGCAGATCACGAGGTCAGGAGATCGAGACCATCCTGGCTAACACAGTGAAACCCTGTCTCTACTAAAAATACAAAAACTTAGCGGGTGTGGTGGTGGGCGCCTGCAGTCCCAGCTACTCGGGAGGCTGAGGCAGGAGAATGGCCTGAACCGGGGAGGCGGAGCTTGCAGTGAGCCGACTGCACTCCAGCCTGGGCAACAGAGTGAGACTCCATCTCAAAAAACAAAAAAAAAAAAACCTTGCTAAAAATGCCCCTATTGGCTAATCCTAAGGGCAACTTTTTTTCTTGTTCTTTCTTTTTTTTTAAGACAGGGTCTTGCCCTGTTGCCCAGGCTGGAGTGCAGTGGCCCAATCACAGCTCACTGAAGCCTTGACCTCCTGGGCTCAATCAATTCTCCCACCTCAGCCTCACTAGTAGCTGGGACTACAGGCACATGCCACCACATCCAGCTAATTTTCATATTTTTTGTAGAGACAGAGTTTCACCATGTTGCCCAGGCTGATTTCCAACTCCTGGGCTCAAGTGATCTGCCTGCCTCAGCCTCCCAAAGTGTTGGGATTACAAGTGTGAGCCACCACACCTGGCTCCAACTTTTTTTCTGTAGAAATAAATCCCTAACAAAATAACAAAATTGTGTGGAGAAGAGAAAGAGGATATGTAGATCTCCCCTGTAATATCTATTTCATAAAGCAAAAGGAAACTTGCAAAGAAAAAGACAAATATTAGGAGAAGAAAACAGCCCGTATCTTTGCTTCAAATATTCAGATAGAGGTATCTCTTCTTTTCTTCCCCAGGTACACCTTGGTGAAGCCCTAAAGAGATTATACCTTGCTTCTGAAATGTTTTTAAATATTACTATCAAGAGAGACTGTTTCAGTTTCCAGTTGACAATGAAATTAACAATAGAAACATTCCATTCCTAGGCTAGGTGTGGTGGCTTACACCTGCAATCCCAGCACTCTGGGAGGCTGAGGCAGATGGATCACTTGAGCCCAGGAGTTTGAGAGTGACTGAGCAGGAGCATTGCCATTTTGGATAAGCACTGCCATTTTAAAGTTCCCCTTGATCAAAAACTGCCTAAATCCAAATGGTATCAGCCTAATAGCTAATGCCAGCATGAGCATAAACCACAAATGACATCTCTGACCAGAAACATTCCAACCAAAGATAAACCCCTCCCCAACCAGAGACATGCCAGCCCTGAGATAACCTCCCCTCCGACCAGAGACATTCCAATCCCACAATAAACTCCTCCACACAGAAACATTCCAAGCCTGTAATAAGCTCTCTCGCCCTAAAACCCTTAAATACTCTTAGTCTGTAAGAGAGAGTGCTCTGGACTGAAATCAGCCAGAAACCCCTCTCAGGTTTATCCTCCAAAATAAACCTGTCTTTGACTGTTGAGCTGCTTTTCACATTTCTTTCCTCTTTCTTTAACCCTCACAGAGACCTGTCTGGGCTACATGGCGAAACCCTATCTCTACAAAAAATACAAAAATTAGTTGGGTGTGGTGTCGTGTGCTTGTAATCCCAACTACTCAGGAGACTGAGGTGGGAGGGGTGGGAGTATCACTTGGGCCAACGAGGGGGCTCAAGGCTGCAGTGAGCCATGTTCACACCACTGCATTCCAATCTGCGTGATAAAGGGAGACCCTGTCTCAAAAACAAAAACAGCAATAATAACAACAAAAACGAAACATTCCATTCCTTTGTAATCAATACCAAGTAGCATTTAATTGTGTGAGGCAACAATAAGACAAAGTGAATTACAGTCTGTCCTGTTCCCGTGGCTCATCTGGACAGTCTCACCGTCTGTGATTCACTTTTCTTGGAAGTTAGTGTGAATCAAACGAAGCCAGTCATGAGCTGCCCTGGAGTATGTTTCCTGTACAGAAATTAATGTACTTCAGCTGTGTAACAAAACCTACTTGTTTTTAAAGCATTCATACCTACTTGTTTTTAAATCAATATTGAAATGGCTTGTTATTTTTTCTCCACAATTATTTCTGTGTAAGAAAAGCCATCAAAGCGTAAACCAAAAATAAAATTCTTTTTTTTTTTTTGAGACAGAGTCTTGCTCTGTCACCCAGGCTGGAGTGCAGTGGCACGATCTTGGCTCACTGCAAGCTCCGCCTCCCGGGTTCATGCCATTCTCCTGCCTCAGCCTCCTCAGTAGCTGGGACTACAGGTGCCCGCCACCACGCCCGGCTAATATTTTGTATTTTTTTAGTAGAGACGGGGTTTCACCGTGCTAGCCAGGATGGTCTGGATCTCCTGACCTCGTGATCCGCCCGCCTCGGCCTCCCAAAGTGCTGGGATTACAGGCGTGAGCCACCGCGCCTGGCCCCCAAAATAAAATTCTAATGCCCCCCAACCATCTAAACGAACTTGCTCCTCAGCCAGGGCTGTTAAAGTGTAACATGAAGGACTGGTTCAGGCCATGAAGGGAAGTGGGGGTTGGACATGCCTTATTATACCTCTCCACCATTAACATCAACACAGACTTTCAGTCTGACAAGAAGCATTTTACAGCCTGTTCTCTCTGAAGCCTGCTACCTAAAAGCTTCATCTGCATGATAAAACTTCCGTCTCCACAACTTCTTATCGTAACCCAAACATTTATTTCTGTTGATCCCAGGTCTATTGTCCATTGATCCCGGGTCTTTACACAAACTCAACTAATTGTCAACCAGAAAATGTTGAAATTCACCTATAGCCTGGAAGCCCCCCCACCCTACTTTGAGTTGTCCTGCCTTTCTGGACCAAACCAATGTATTTCTTAAATGTACTTGATTGATGACTCATGTCTCCCAAAAATGTATAAAACAAGCTGCACGCCAACCACCCTGGGCACATGTCGTCAGGACCTCCTGAGGCTGTGTCACAGGCGCATCCTCAACCTTGGCAAAATAAACTTTCTAAATTAACTGAGACCTATCTCAGATTTTCTGAGGTTCACAAAAGTAAATCCAGAACCATAGACCATCATAATCTCTCCTTAGCCCCTGCTTTCATTTATGTTTATCTTCTTAAGGTTTGTTCATTCATTCAACAGGTACTTACTGAGCATCTGTTTTGTGTCAGCCCACAAGCCAGCTTTTTCAATAGACATTATCCCTGTCCTCATGAAGCTAACAATCTATTAGGAAAGATGAATTTTAATCCAGTAACCACAAAAATAATTAAGTATAATCTGCTTTAAGTGCTATGAAGAAAAAGTACTAAGTGTTATAAAAGTAAAAACTGACAGAACTGACCTTGTCTAGAGGAATCAGGGAAGGTTTCACTGAGAAAAGAGATTTGGCGTGACATCTGATGTTTCTGGCATTTGGAATCACATGTTCAGAGGCCCTGTGGCTGAAGCACAGTGCCCGGGAGGACCACTGGAGATAAAATTGCAAAGGTAGTTATAAGAAATGAAGCTGCAAAAATGTTCACAAGGAGTTATAGCCAGGTTAGGGATTTTGGACTAAATCCTAGAACATCATGAAGCCAGTAAGGAGTTTTAGATAGAACAGGAATGTGATCAGATTTCCATTTTGAGAAGATCACTCAGAAGAGTAGTTGTTACAGGGTCTCCCTATATTGCCCAGACTAGTCCTGACTCCTGGGCTCAACCAATCCTCCTGCCTCAACCTCCCAAAGTGCTGGGATTACACTGAGCCACTGCACTCAGCTTTGAATAAGATTTAGAAGAATGAATACAAGGAGACTAGAGAGCGATAACAAATATTTGAGTGAGAGATGAGGATAACTGGCCTAGGGTGTTGGCATTGAGTATGAAGAACACTGAAAGTTTTAACAAGTATTTAGAAGGCAAAATTGATGGTTGTGGTTAACTGTAAGTGGTTTGACAGTAATTTTATTTATTTATTTATTTCCTCTGTCAGGTGCTCATAGTGAATTGGCAGTAATTTCAGAGAAGAAGGAGATTATTCTCATAATGCTTAAGAGGTAGCAAGTTAGAATGGGAAAAGCCTGGGTGGTAGAAGCAAAAGTATATTCAATTTTCATCTCTGCTCCCCGTTAGCTGTGTAGCTTGGACTTGTTTTTTTTTTTTATTTTTTTATTTTTTTTATTTTTTATTGATCATTCTTGGGTGTTTCTCGCAGAGGGGGATTTGGCACGGTCATAGGACAATAGTGGAGGGAAGGTCAGCAGATCAACAAGTGAACAAAGGTCTCTGGTTTTCCTAGGCAGAGGACCCTGCGGCCTTCCGCTGTGTTTGTGTCCCTGGGTACTTGAGATTAGGGAGTGGTGATGACTCTTAACGAGCATGCTGCCTTCAGGCATCTGTTTAACAAAGCACATCTTGCACCGCCCTTAATCCATTTAACCCTGAGTGGACACAGCACATGTTTCAGAGAGCACAGGGTTGGGGGTAAGGTCACAGATCAACAGGATCCCAAGGCAGAAGAATTTTTCTTAGTACAGAACAAAATGAAAAGTCTCCCATGTCTACTTCTTTCTACACAGACACGGCAACCATCCGATTTCTCAATCTTTTCCCCACCTTTCCCCCCTTTCTATTCCACAAAACCGCCATTGTCATCCTGGCCCGTTCTCAATGAGCTGTTGGGTACACCTCCCAGACGGGGTGGTGGCCGGGCAGAGGGGATCCTCACTTCCCAGTAGGGGCGGCCGGGCAGAGGCGCCCCTCACCTCCCGGACGGGGCGGCTGGCCGGGCAGGGGCTGACCCCCCCACCTCCCTCCGGACGGGGCGGCTGGCCGGGCAGGGGCTGACCCCCCCACCTCCCTCCCGGACGGGGCGGCTGGCCGGGTGGGGGGCTGACCCCCCCACCTCCCTCCCAGACGGGGCGGCTGGCCGGGCAGAGGGGCTCCTCACTTCCCAGTAGGGACGGCCAGGCAGAGGCGCCCCTCACCTCCCGGACGGGGCGGCTGGCCCGGCAGGGGGCTGACCCCCCCACCTCCCTCCCGGACGGGGCGGCTGGCCGGGCAGAGGGGCTCCTCACTTCCCAGTAGGGGCGGCTGCCGGGCGGGGAGGCTCCTCACTTCTCAGACGGGGCGGCTGTGGGCGGAGGGGCTCCTCACTTCTCAGACGGGTCAGTTGCCAGTCAGAGGGTCTCCTCACTTCTCAGATGGGGCGGCCGGGTAGAGACGCTCTTCCCCTCCCAGACGGGGTCGCAGCCGGGCAGAGGTGCTCCTCACATCCCAGACGGGGCGGCGGGGCAGAGGCGCTCCCCACATCTCAGAAGATGGGCGGCCGGGCAGAGACGCTCCTCACTTCCTAGATGTGATGGCGGCCGGGAAGAGGCGCTCCTCACTTCCTAGATGGGATGGCGGCCGGGCAGAGATGCTCCTCACTTTCCAGACTGGGCAGCCAGGCAGAGGGGCTCCTCACATCCCAGACGATGGGTGGCCAGGCAGAGACGCTCCTCACTTCCCAGACGGGGTGGCGGCCGGGCAGAGGCTGCAATCTCGGCACTTTGGGAGGCCAAGGCAGGCGGCTGGGAGGTGGAGTTTGTAGCGAGTGGAGATCACGCCACTGCACTCCAGCCTGGGCACCATTGAGCACTGAGTGAACAAGACTCCGTCTGCAATCCCGGCACCTCGGGAGGCCGAGGCTGGCGGATCACTCGCGGTTAGGAGCTGGAGACCGGCCCGGCCAACACAGCGAAACCCCGTCTCCACCAAAAAAATACGAAAACCAGTCAGGCGTAGCAGTGCGCGCCTGCAATCGCAGGCACTGGGCAGGCTGAGGCAGGATAATCAGGCAGGGAGGCTGCAGTGAGCCGAGATGGCAGCAGTACAGTCCAGCTTCGGCTCGGCATCAGAGGGAGACCGTGGAAAGAGGGAGAGGGGAGACCGTGGAAAGGGGAGGGGGAGAGGGAGAGGGAGAGGGAGAGGGAGCTGGACTTGTTATTTAACTTCTCTGATCTTTATTTATAAGTAACCCATGTTAATGTCACTCTCTAAACTCAGATGTGCAAGAAATATCTTGACTTAAAAAAAAGTCAACAAACTAGCTTTTAGCTGAGCGTGGTGGTTCACACCTGTAAGTCCGGCACTTTGGGAGGCTGAGGCTGGTGGATCACTTGAGGTCAGGAGTTCCAGACCAGCCTGGCCAACATGGTGAAACTACATCTTTACTAAAAAATACAAAAATTAGCCAGGTGTAGTGTCGCATGCTTGTAGTCCCGGCTACTCAGGGGGCTGAAACATGAGAATCGCTTGAACCCGGGAGACGGAGGTTGCAGTGAGCTGAGATCGTACCACTGCACTCCAGCCTGGGGTGACAGAGTGAGACTCCATTTCAAAAAAAAAAAAGAAAGTAAAGAAGTAAAAGAATGGCTACTCTATAGACACAGTAAAAGAGTGAGACTCCATTTAAAAAAAAAATAAATAAGGCCGGGCACGGTGGCTCACGGCTGTAATCCCAGCACTTTGGGAGGCCGAGGCGGGTGTATCATGAGGTCAGGAGATCAAGACCATCCTGGCTAACACGGTGAAACCCCATCTCTACTAAAAATACCAAAAAAAAAATTAGCCGGGCGTGGTGGCAGGCACCTGTAGTCCCAGCTACTCGGGAGGCTGGGGCAGGAGAATGGCGTGAACCCGGGAGGCAGAGCTTGCAGTGAGCCGAGATCATGCCACTGCACTCCAGCCTGGACAACAGAGCAAGACTCTGTCTTAAAAAAAAAATTAAAAGACTTTAGGGACAAAATTCTTACTTTTATGTTATGTTATTTATTTATTTGTTTATTCTGAGACGGAGTCTTGCTCTTGTCGCCCAGGCTGGAATGCAATGGCACAATCTTGGCTCACTGCAACCTCCGCCTCCCAGGTTCAAGCGAGTCTACTGCCTCAGGCTCCGGAGTAGCTGGGATTACAGGCATGCACCACCATCCCCGGCTAATTTTTGTATTTTTAGTAGAGATGGGGTTTCACCATGTCGGCTAGGCTGGTCTGGAACTCCTGACCTCATGGTCTGCCTGCCTCGGCCTCCCAAAGTGCTGGGATTACAGGTGTGAGCCACCCCGCCAGGCCACAAAATTCTTAATTTTAAATGCTGCAGAATTTAAGAGCTTGTTTGGATTAATGCAGAACCCACAGCTCATTACTGAACAATCACTGAGTATTTGTGATCCAAATGCACAGGGAGTTATTCCTGAAAAAGCAATCAGCCTAGTGGGTGAGATTATGCCATGATAAGGTCTGTTTTGCCCTGAGAAGGGGACTGCCTAACTCTCCCTAATAAAATACCAAGCGAAGTACCCCAGATGAAGCAGCTAATATGTTTCTTATGCAAGCTTTGTTGGACTAGCTTTATGATAGCTCTGATATCCTCCCACCTAATATGTCTATCACCCAGGTCATGGTAAATTTGGAGGTTAAGGAGCCCTTTTTCATGGTGCCCCTCCCACAGAATTATAGGTCTGTTTGCCTTATCAAATCTGCTGCCCTCATAGGTCTTACAGATGCAACTCCCTGCTGGGAAACCAAACCCTTTTCACCAGAAAAGGTAAGATGGTCTGGGGATTAAAAAAGGCTTCCTGGGACCAGAACATAAACACATACAGGTTAATGGAATTATAAAATGTAAGATGTAAGATGTTTAAACAAGCTTTATGTAAGGTAGTTGTAACCTCTTTTACCTAAATGTCTTATGAAAGTGGGTGCTATACATAACTGAGGGATGTTCTCCTTTCTAGTATTATAAAACTGAAGACAGCCAGGCGCGGTGGCTCACGCCTGTAATCCCAGCGCTTTGGGAGGCTGAGGCGGGCGGATCACAAGGTCAGGAGATAGATACCATCTTGGTAAACACGGCGAAACCCTGTCTCTACTAAAAATACAAAAAATTAGCCAGGCATGGCGGCATGCACCTGTTAATCCCAGCTACTGAGAGGCTGAGGCAGGAGAATCGTTTGAACCTGGGAGGTGGAAGTTGCAGTGAGCCGAGATTGCACCACTGCACTCTAGCCTGGGCGACAGAGCGAGACTCTGTCTCAAAAAACAAACAAACAAACAAAACTGAAGACATGTAAATCTGCTTGTGTAAATTCTCCACTGCATAACCTTTTGTGTGGAGCATTTATTAGGACTCATGGCAAAAACTGTGAGTACTTTTCAATAACAACAACTGAGCTAGAGAAGTTCTACTTGATGGGGCATTTGCTGCCTTGCTATGGAGTATTAACTGAAGCTGCCCCTGTACTAATAGAAGTAATGTTTCCCAACAAGTTCCATGATAAATAAAAATGGTTTACGTGAAATTTTGCTACCTAATAAGCCAAGAGCCTTTGTCCTAAGGACTAATTGTGAGAAGCTGATAAATTCTATAGTGCCAAATAGCTCCTGTGTTTGTTTGAAAATGGCATTTCCAAGGTAAACAAACATCTTGTTTTAAAAGCTGATGCTCTAGTTAAAGGAGGGTCAGGAACATCTTTTCCTTTTAAGTTATTTGGGTAAAGTATGTTTAGGTAAGCAAATTTACCTTTCTGAGTTCTCCAAAATTCAGATTGTAATTTTATAACAGTATAGTTGTCTGCATGAGTTCAATAATAGTTAATTGTTTTAAGGGAAAAGTGTAATACTTAATACTAGATTTCAGCCCTAACTTTTTAAGTGTAGGTTAAATCATTATTTCTTGGATACAATAAATCTTTAGAAAGTACCAAATTATAATTTTTTCTTCAGATTTTTAGTTGGTTCCCTAATGGAATAGGTTCCTTTTTCTGTTTTAACATGCGAATTACTCTCATAACTGTCAAAACTATAAATGTTATTTATCTCTCCTTGTTTTACTTCCAAGGAAACCAAAATCATGGTATTCTGAAGACCAGAGATATGAGTCTCCCCCATTTGGCATCCCACTGGACCCCGATCTGTTTCGCTCCCAATTCTCCACTGCTAAAACTATACAAGCTGCCTCCCTCTAGGCCCAGGACTATCGCGGAAGACGTGGGCACATAAGATTTAAGAGCCAGTTTTGAGGGATAAAATTAGGAGAAGATCAAACTTCCAAATTAAGAAGGGGGTACAAAAAATGCCTAAACAGCTGGTAAAACAAGTTTAGTTGCCTTCTAAACTGTTATGTGTCACTTTTGCATACACCCCTACCACACAAAAATTTTCTGCTTACTATAAAATTTTAAAAATATATTTATTAATGGGGTAAAATACCTTTTAACAAAGCCTCCTGGTCATAATACTCCCAATTATAAGTTGTGAAGATAAATATATCTATACATATATACACATTTTTAATAATTTTTCAGAACAATGCTTATGTTTTGTATTGCTAGTTGCTGTAAGTCTGTAACAGAAACCAAGCTTACAGTAGCTCAACACATAGAAATTAAAAATAAGTTAGTCTTCTAACTTTGCATTTTGGTTTTATTGATGGCTTTTTCTTTCTTTTTGGGAGGGGGATGGGGTCTCGTTCTGTCACCCAGGCTGGAGTGCAATGGCGCAATCTCAGCTCACTGCAACCTCCACCTCCTGGGTTCAAGTGATTCTCCTGCCTCGGCCTCCCGAGTAGCTGGGATTACAGGCACCTGCTACCGCACCTGCCAAATTTTTTTTTTTTTTTTTTTTTTGAGATGGAGTCTCGCTCTGTCACCCAGGCTGGAGTGCAGTGGCACGATTTCGACTCACTGCAAGCTCACCTGGGTTCACGCCATTCTCCTGCCTCAGCCTCCCAAGTAGCTGGGACTACAGGCGCCTGCCACCATGCCCAGCTAATTTTTTGTACTTTTAGTAGAGACAGGGTTTCACCGTGTTAGCCAGAATGGTCTCGATCTCCTGACCTTGTGATCCGCCCGCCTTGGCCTCCCAAAATGCTGGGATTATAGGCATGAGCCACTGCACCCGGCCTAATTTTTGTATTTTTAATAGAGTCGGGGTTTCACCATCTTGGCCAGGCTGGTCTCAAACTCCTGACCTCGTGATCCACCCACCTCGGCCTCCCAAAGTACTGTGATTTTTTAACTTAAAATAATATTAGGAAGTAATGAATGCCTGTCCACATTCATTCCTATCTGGCCTGGAACAATTAATTGGCTGTAAGACTTCTGACTCTTTTTTTTTTTTTTTTTTTTTAAGTCTTTTGACTCTTAAAGCCCTCGGCCATAGGGAATCCTGCAGAGGAAAAACTGACACTGTGGAATTATGTGACTTCTCCTATGACAAAACCTTTTCTCTCCCAAATACCAGTATATGGTGCAATACAAAAGTGGTGGGAAAAAGAGATTTGTCTACTGTTAACAAGTCTGTAACAATTTAGACACTAAGGACCAGGCATTTTTTGCATTTAATTTATACCCTCCTCAGGATGCTATACCTATGGAGATAAATTGGCCGGAAGAGAGATTAAACTTATTAAATTATAATTTAATTTTGGTCCCACGATTTTCAAGTAAGATTTATCACAAGGTCCAAATAATCCTTGATAAGGACAATAAACACATTGTGAGTCTGATCAAAGAATATGATGATGCACAGGGGTTTTCTTCTGGCTGACTGGATTGTTTACTGCCCTCTGATTCTACCTATAACCTTGAATGTCCAAACCTTCACTATCTTTATGATATTTGTTACTGTATTAACATTAGACATTTCTTGTAAATGTTATGGCAGATACAGCGGAAGGAAAAGGCAAATTTAAAGACCTGAATCATGATCGCTTAGAAAATAGATCTGATCCAGAATTTTTTTAGACTAAACCCTAAGCCTGACTCCATCTCACCCCTTAAACAATTGGCTATTACATCGGGTTAGGCCATATCCTCCCACCATGATCCAAATCACTAATATTTAAAACTATTACCATCAAATCAGAGAACTCTAGGAACAAGCCTTTGTAGCACTGTGGGTCCCTGCCAGATTGCCAAATCAGACACTAATTTAGCCGGGCATGGCAGTGTGCACCTGTAATCCCAGCTACTCGGGAGGCTGAGACAGGAGAATTGCTTGAACCCGGGAGGCGGAGGTTTCAGTGAGCCAAGATGGCACCACTGCACTCCAGCCTGGGTGACAGAGCGAGACTCCGTCTCAGAAAAAAAAAAGAAACAATTTACAACCTGCTCTCTCTCTGAAGTCTGCTATCTGAGAGCTTCCTCTGCACAATAAAACTTGGTCTCCACAATATCTTAACCTGAACATTCCTTTCTATCAATCCCAGGTCTTTAGACAAACTCAAGCAATTGTCAACCAGAAAAATGTTTAAATTTAGCTATAGCCTGGAAGCCCCCTGCTTTGAATTGTCCCGCCTTTGTGAACAAAACCAATGTATTTCTTGAGTATTTGATTGATGTCTCATGCCTCCTTGAAATGTATAAAACCAAGCTGTGCCCGACCACGTTGGGAACATGTTCTCAGGACCTCTTAAGGACTGTGTCACGGGCCGTGCCATTCATATTTGACTCAGAATAAATCTCTTAAAATATTTTACAGAGTTTGACTCTTTTCGTCGAGAAGGACCACCCACCAAAGTGAGAGCTGGGGCTGGTGAATTCATTTAGAGGCAGGAACTTGCCTCCCCACTCTAAGTTCGAGGCGGAATGAACTACTGTGACAGGGTAATTTTTTAAAGGATCAATTCATATTCTTTTTTCCTTCCCCTTTGTCTTTTTCTCCCCTTCCTTTTTCTCCCATTCAAGCAAAAATCAGAAATATTGCATCTCCTAGCTTTGGCTTCCAAAACCCTCCATTGAGATTAAGCTAGGTGTGAAACATTAAGAGGAAGTATGACCCTTAAGAATGCATTTGGGGCCAGGCACGGTGGCTCATGCCTGTAATCCCAGCACTTTGGGAGGCCAAGGTGTGAGGATCACAAGGTCAGGAGTTTGAGACCGGCCTGGCCAACATAGTGAAACCCCATCTCTACTAAAAATACAAAAATGAGCTGGGTGGGGTGGCACACGCCTGTGGTCCCAGCTACTCGGGAGGCTGAGGGAGGAGAATAGCTTGAACCCAGGAGGCAGAGGTTGCAGTGAGCTGGCACTACGCCATTGCACTCCAGCCTGGGTGACAGAATGAGAGTCCGTCTCAAAAAAAAAAAAAAAGAATGCATTTGGAGGCCAGGTGTGGTGGCTCACGCCTGTAATCCCAGCACTTTAGCAGGCCAAGGCAGGCGGATCACTTGAGGTCAGGAGTTCGAGACCAGCCTGGCCAACATGTTGAAACACTGTCTCTATTAAAAATACAAAAATTAGCCAGGCATAGTGGCGGGTGCCTGTAATCCCAGCTACTGGGGAGGCTGAGGTGGGAGAATTGCTTGAACCCGGGGGTGGAGGTTGCAATCTCTGTCCAAGATTGTGCCACTGCACTCCAGCCTGGGCAACAAAGCATGACTCCATCTCCAAAGAAAAAAAAAAAAAGCATTTGGGCCGGGCTGGGCGTGGTGGCTTATGCCTATAATCCCAGCATTTTGGGAGGCCAAGGCGAGAAGATCACTGGAGCCCAGGAGCTCAAGACCAGGCAACATAAGGAGACTCCGTCGCTACGAGAAAATACAAAATTTAGCCAGGGAGCATGGTGCATGCGTGTAGTCCCAGCTACTTGGGAGGCTTAGGTGGGAGGATCCCTTGAGCCAAGGAGTTTCAGACTGCCGTGATCATACCACTGCGCTCTAGTCTGGGCAACAGAGAAAGACCCTGTCTTGAAAAAAAAAAAGTGTATTTCACTCTCACATAAAAACTGAGAGGTGGTCACTGCAGTGTTGTTCAGGGAACCAGGATTTTATTTTTTTGCTCTGCTGTGTGTGGCTTCTGATTTCAAGATCACTGCATGGTGCAAGACAACTTTCCTACATGGCAGGCATCGTTCTAATCCCTCTTGTATGCATTATCTTGTAATACTCATAACAGCCCTGTGAGGTAAGTGCTATTATTACCTCCATTTTGCAGATAAGTCAGATAAATAACTTGTCAACCATCAAGTTTATGCTCTTAAACCATATTTTTAGAGATTATATCTCCCTATCCAGGAACCTGGCTCATGACTTACTCTGCATTTATTTAGGTCTCCTTTAATTTCTTGCACATCTTTTATTAAATTTATTAGTAGGTTCTCTATTTTGCTCTTGTTACTGATATCATTTGGGATATTATATTTTCTTTGAGGCTGATGAATCTAAAATGTAATTGAATTTTGTGTATTGACTTTATATCCAGCTATCTTACTAAGCTTATTAACTATAATAATTTGTCTAAAGGATTTTGAGTTTTCTATGTAAACATTTATATCATCTCTGAATAAAACCAGTTTTGTTTCTTCCTTTTCACTCCTAATACCTGCCCACCTCCCTTTTCTCCTTCTCCTCTCCTTTCCTTCCTCCCTCCCTTTCTTGTCTTACTGCATTGGTTACAAGCTCTAGAAATGAGAACAGTGAGCATCCTCTTCTTGATCCTGGTTTTTAAAGAGAAAGTTTCTAAAGTTTTACTAAGAATGATGTTTACTATAGGTTTTTGTAGATAGTCTTTATTTGGCTAACAAGAATTGCTCTCTAGTCTTGGTTTGCTAAGGGTTTTTCCATAAACGCTTTTCCTACAACTATTGAGAATGTGTTTTTTTCTTTAATCTATTAATGTAATAAATTACATTTACAAAAATTTTTAGTGTTAGATGAAATATATTTCAGGGATAAAGTGAACTTAAGTTGTAGTATCTTTTCTATGTTTTGTTGCATTCAGTTTTGAAACTAAACAAAAACTAATATTTTGTTTAGTTTCACACCTATGTTTACGAGTGGGATTAGTCTGTAATTTTCATTTTTTATATTATCCATATCTAGTTTAGGTATCAAGATCACACTAGCCTCATAGACTAAATTGAGGACTGTTTCTTCTTTTTATATCCTTTGGAAGCCTTGTATTAAATTGGAATTATCTGTTCCTTGAAAGGTTAGAAAAATTTTCTTGTAGGCATGGTGATTTATTTTTAAACATTATCTTAATTTTTTATTTTTAAATAATTTCAGCTTATAGAAAACTTACAAGTACACTACAAAGAACTCCCATAAAATTTTCATTCAGATGACCCAATTATTGACGTTCTATCACATTTGTCTTATTATTCTATCTCTCTCTCAAGACACATACACACACAAATGCTTTTTTTTTTTTTTTTTTTTTTTTTTGAGATGGAGTTTCGCTCTTGTTGCCCAGGCTGGAGTGCAATGGCGTGCTCTTGGCTCACCACAACCTCCGCTTCCCGGGTTCAAGTGAATCTCCTGCCTCAGCCTCCCAAGTAGCTGGGATTACAGGCATGTGCCACCATGCCCGGCTAATTTTGTATTTTTAGTAGAAACCAGGTTTCTCCATGTTGGTCAGGCTGGTCTTGAACTCCCGACCTCAGGTGATCCGCCCATCTCGGCCTCCCAAAGTGCTGGGATTACAGGCATGAGCCACTGCGCCTGGCCACACAGTTTTTTTTTTTTTTCTCTCTCTCTTTTTTTAAATAGAGATGGGGTCTCACTGTGTTACCCAGGATGGTCTTGAACTTCTGGGCTCAAGCTATCCTCCCACCTTGGCCTCTCAAAGTACTAGGATTACAGGCATGAGCCACTGAGCCCAGACTCTATTTTTCTGAACACTTTTAGAATAAATTGAGGATATGAAGTTCCATTACCCCGTAATACTTTCAGTGCATATTTCCTAAAATGAAAACCACTCTCCTAATTAACCACGTAATACTCACAAAATAAAGAAATAAACATATATATACACATATATATATACATATATATATATTTTGTTTGTTTGTTTTTTGTTTTTTTTTTTTGAGACGGAGTCTCGCTGTCGCCCAGGCTGGAGTGCAGTGGCGCGATCTCGGCTCACTGCAGGCTCCACCCCCTGGGGTTCACGCCATTCTCTTGACTCAGCCTCCGGAGTAGCTGGGACTACAGGCGCCCGCCACCTCGCCCGGCTAATTTTTGTATTTTTAGTAGAGACGGGGTTTCACCGTGTTAGCCAGGATGGTCTCCATTTCCTGACCTCGTGATCTGCCCGCCTCGGCCTCCCAAAGTGCTAGGATTACAGGCGTGAGCCACTGCGCCCGGCCAGATATTACATTTTCATTTATCCACAGAACTCATTCAAATTTCACCAGTCATCCTAATGATGTCATTTATAGGTCTGGGGTCCAATCCAAGGTTGAATTGCACGTACTTATTCTGCCTCTTTAGTCTTTCCAATTTGGCACAGTTCCTCAGGCTTTCATGTCTTTCATGACCTTGACATTTTTAAAAAGAACAGTTTAGTTATATTGTAGATTGTTCTGAAATTTAGGCTTACCTGATAATTTCTTATGATTAGATTCAATCTATGCATTTTTGGCGAAAAACACACAGTGATAGGTTTTCCTGCCACACATCAGAAAGCACATAGTGATTTGTCCCATTACTGTTTTTGTTGTTTTTTTTTTTTTGAGACTGAGTCTCACTCTTATTGCCCAGGCTGGAGTGCAATGGCATGATCTTGGCTCACTGCAACCTCCGCCTCCGGGGTTCAAGTGATTCTCCTGCCTCAGCGGCATGAGTAGCTGGGATTACAGGCACCTGCCGCCAAGCCTGGCTAATTTTTGTATTTTTAGTAGAGACGGGGTTTCACCATGTTGGCCAGGCTGGTCTCGAACTCCTGACCTCAGGTGATCTCCCCACCTCAGCCTCCCAAAGTGCTGGGATTACAGGCATGAGCCACCGCGCCCAGCTGTGACATTAACTTTTATCCATTGGTTTAGATAATGTCTCTCTTTTTTCATCACTGTAAGTGAAACAGTATTTTGTACTATTAATAATAAATGATTATTTTTGTGATACTTTAGACTACATAAATGTCCTGTTCCTCATCCAATTTATATCCACAAATTTCAGGATTTATTGGTGATTCCTGTCTGAATCATTTATTATTATTATGGTGGTTGCCAATTGGTGATTTTTTTTCTATTCTTTTCTTTTTCTAGAGACAGGGTCTCACTCTCTTGCACAGGCCGAAGTGCAGTGGTGTGATTATAGCTCACTGCGGCCTCCAATCTCTGGGCTCAAGCAATGCTCCCACCTCAGCCTCCCAAGTAGCTGGGAGAACAGTCGTGCACCATTGCCATGATCTCTTCTTATAAAGCCACTAGGTCCCTTCCCATGATAATCCATTAATCTGTGAATGAACTAATCCATTCACGAGGGCAGAGCTCTCATGATCCAATCATCTCTTAAAGGCCCCACCTCTAAATACTGCCAATATTGCCAGATTGAGGACCTTTCTTTTTTCTTTCTCTTTCTTTCTCTCTCTTTATTTCCTTTCCTTTCCTTTTTTTGTTTCTTTTTTTTTTTTTTTTTTTTGAGAACAGGACCTCACTGTTGCCCAGGCTGGAATGCAGTGGTGCGATCTCGGGTCACTGCAACCTCCGCCTCCCAGGTTCAAGCAATTCTCCCACCTCAGCCTCCCCAGTAGCTGGGAATACAGGCTACTGTATAATTTTTTATATTTTTGGTAGAGATGGGGTTTCACCATATTGGGTAGGCTGGTCTCGAACTCCTGACCATAAGGTTCTTGTATTGGTTCGAACCCTGAAAGTATGCCAATAGACAACACGAGGCGGTGTGGAGCAACATGCTGTTTTAATGAGCGCCTGGGTGCAGGCAGGCTGAGGCCTAAAATGGCGTCATCCTGAGGTGAGGTTTTATAGTCTCTTGTAAACAGGAAGTGTCCTAGTCTGACGTTACTGCTACGTTGTACACAGATGGCCTCTTTCTGGATCTTCAGGGGTACGTGTCTTCCTGCCGGCTTTCTTCCTGCTTCTGCTACCTTGCTGGCGCACGCTGCTGGCACAAGTAGCCTTGCACCTTGGGACTGGGCCTGAGAAGGGAGGAGTCATTCATCTCCTTTAGCTTGCAGGCCCCAGAGAGAATCTTACATTCCTATTTGGTTATAGAAAAGGGAAAAGGGACGACTTTCTCAATAACTACTTCAGGTGTGACATAGGGGTGGAGTGGGCACCTTGGAAAAAGAAAAACCTAATTTTTGGGGTATTCTTGAGAGACGGGTTATCCATCGTGTCGTTGTAGCAGGAGCATCGTCTGGATTGTCTGGCGGTTAACTGTACTTTCAACAAGAGTTTTAATGGCTTTTAGCTTTTATTATCAGTGGGATAACACAGGGGAGAAACAGAAGGAGCCCAATGATGAAGATTACTGTCCCTACCAGTGCTTTAAATCCTCCTAAATGAGAGAACCACCCTCCTAGAAGGTTTGTTGGGTCTCATCCCTTCCAGGTTTGGACTGGTACATGGGCTACTTTTCTGATGTTTGAAGCGATTTCTAGAACCGCTTTTCTATTATCGCCTATGTTAAGACAGCAGTTAGAGATATTAAATTTACCACAGACTCCACTCTCTGGAGTTTTTGTATTTTTAGTGGAGATGGGGTTCCACCATGTTGGCCAGGGTGGTCTTGATCTCCTGACCTTGTGATCTGCTAATAAGTAGTTTAGTGCTAGCCCGTTTTAATAAATTGCCGTGCACATTTGGTTTTGTTGTTGCGCGAGCATTTCCGGGGCTGAGGCGGTTTGGTATTTCTAGAACAGCCTGTAGTCTAATTATTCTATTTAGCATATATAGGAGTGTGATAACCCCATGAACCCTTCTCAGCCCAAGTGGCAGGACTATAATATTCGATGATCTGTTGCGGAGGCCATTTGTTCCCTTGTCATTTTTGGCTTCCTCCTACCTTTAAGGATTGTTTTTCTTTGTTTAGGTTATTATATACAAGGACTCTGAGGGTGTTGCCTGCTGTTAATGTTTTGGAGGAAGGAGTACCCTTGTGGGGTGAGCTTGACCCTGGTGCGATGGACCCAGTGGGGGAGTCCTTGGACTCTCACTGCAGTTGGCGTGCTGAGTATCACAGTGTAGGGGCCTCTCCTCTTCGGCTGTAGCTTTTGATGAGGGTCGGATTGACAGATAAACACATCTGTGCCTGCAAGACAGTTATGTTGAGAGGACAAGGTAGTGCCAACAGGGAGAGGCATGGCCTCATTTGCTGCTTCACGAATGAAAGACCGTGTCTGGACTAAGGAGGGGAGGTAATTCCTGAGTGGCTCAGAGTCTGGTAAGGGTGGAGGCCCCAAGACAAAAGTTTGGCCATACATGATTTCAAAGGGGCTATAAAAAGAGGATGACTTTAGTGGTGTGTGGAGTCCTATCAGGGCAAAAGGGAGATTTTTTGTCCACAGCTGGCAGGTTTCTAGAGCCAGCTTGATGAGTTGGGCTTTAAGGACAGAGTTAATTTTTTTTAACTTTGCCTGAAGATTGAGGCCTGTAGGGTGTGTGGAGAACCCACTTTATTCCTAAGGATATAGAAATGCCTTGGGTAATTTGGCTGATGAAGGCAGGCCTGTTATTGGACTGGATGGATGTTGGGAGTCCAAAACGGGGAATTTTATGCATGATGAGAGTTTGTGTGAGGATATTTGCACCTTCTGAAGTTCTTGGGAACACTTTTACCCACCCGGAGAAAGTACAAAGACTAGAATATAGCAGAGCCGTTTATTAGGCGGCATGTGAGTGAAGTCTACTTGCCAATCTTGCCCGGGCAACTGGCCCTGGGCTTGGTGGGTAGGAAAAGGCAGTGGCCGGAGGGAGCCCTGGGGTGACGTTGAGTGGCAGATAGAGCAGGACTGAGTAATTTCTTGAACCAGCTGGAAAGATGAGGAAAGTGAGAATAGGACGGAGAAGTTGCAAGAGAGGTTTGTAACCAACATGGAAGGAGTTGTGGAGGCTTTGGATAAAGATTGTTTGAGAGTGAGGAAGAATGAAGCACCTTTCCTTGACATACCATGGTCCTTGCTTTTGAAGGTTGGGGGCTCAGAAGTCCTCCTTTTCTTCTGAGGAGTAAAGAGGAGAGAACAGCGACAGGGACAGAAACTGGTCTTGCACGGGTTGTAGAGCTACTTCTTTGGCTACCTGATCTGCCAGCGCATTTCCAGCTATTATAGGATTGTCTGGGGTTTGGTGGCCTCTGCAATGAATGATGGCAACTTTCTGCAGGAGCATGGCAGCTTGAAGGAGTTTGCTGGTGAGAGAGCCATTTATGACAGGAGTGTTTTTTTGCAGTTAGGAAACCCCATTCTTTCTAGATGGACAAGTGTGAGTGCACTATGTGGAACGCATAACGAGGATTTGCATATATATTTTTTTTTTTTTTTTTTTGAGATGGAGTCTTGCTCTGTCGCCCAGGCTGGGGTGCAATGGTGCGATCTCGGCTCACTGCAACCTCCGCCTCCTGGGTTCAAGCGATTCTACTGCCTCAGCATGCCAAGTAGCTGGGACTACAGGCGCGTGCTACCACGCCCAGCTAATTTTTGTATTTTTAGTGGAGACAGGGTTTCACCATGTTAGCCAGGGTGGTCTTCATCTCCTGACCTTGTGATCTGCCCGCCTCAGCCTCCCAAAGTGCTGGGATTACAGGTGTGAGCCACAGCGCCCGGCCAAGATTTGCATATATGTTGATCTGTTGTCTGGCTGCTACAGTGAGAGCTCGAGTGAGGGCGATGAGTTCAGCTTTTTGGGAGGTGGTGCCTAGGGAGAGCAGATTGGCTTCAGTAGTGTGGAGAGGTGACACTAT
Organism: Homo sapiens; assembly: GCF_000001405.40. Taxonomy (NCBI): domain Eukaryota; kingdom Metazoa; phylum Chordata; class Mammalia; order Primates; family Hominidae; genus Homo; species Homo sapiens. Next base: position 26,247,517 of record NC_000007.14, on the reverse strand, counting down.
AGCATAGCCAGCATGCCAGCGTCCTTGATGTAGGAAGAAGCTACCATCTACAAACCAAGTAAAGGAGGCATCTGGAAGGGGTTGGTTAGGTTTGGAAAAGGTATAAGAAAGGTTTGAACAGTGTTCACACAGATATGTGTAGGGTCTTGGGCGGTCGTAGCTTTAGGTAAGAGCATGGCCGGGTTCAGACGGGAGCTGGTTCGCATGGGATTTGGGGGGTTTCTATGAACAGAGCATACAGTTGGAGGAGCCGTGGGGCAGAGATGAGACTTAGTACACTGCGGTGAGCTAGCATATCTTTGATGTTATGGGTTGAATAAACTGTTACGTTGGCATGGAGAGATAGTTTTAGGCTTTCAAGGGTGAGGACAGCAGCTGCCGCCAATGCTTGGAGGCAGGCAGGCCATCCTAGAACTGTGGCTTCAAGCTGTTTAGAGAGGTAGGCAACAACCTGGAGGGTGGATCCCTTAGACTGGGTTAGAACACCTAGGGCAACTCTACGCCGTTTGTCAGTATAGAGGGAGAGAGGTTTGGTGAGGTGTAGAGAGTGAGGACGGGGACTGAGATGAGAGCTTTTTGGAGTAGACAGAAAGGTTGGGTAATAGGCTGTGTAGGTTTTAAAGGCTCACGGATAGGGCCTTTAGCAGTTTGGTATAACGATTTGGCAAGTAGAGCGAAGGAGGGAACCTAGAGCCTAAAGTATCCCATTAGTCCTAGAAAAGAGAGAATTTCTTGCTTAGTGTGTGGAGGCGGGAGGGACTGGAGGAGGGATACGCGGTCGGTTGTGAGCCCTCAGGTTCGCGGGGTAAGAGCTAGGCCTAGATAGGTGACTTGAGGGGGTGTATATTTGTGCTTTTTAAGGGGAGACCTGATACCCCCGTTCTGCCAAGAAGTTTAAAAGAGATGGTATGGGCGTTGCAGTCTCTTTGAGAGGGGCTACACAGGAGTAGATTATTAACATATTGAAGGAGAGTGGACTGTTTAGAAATAAGGTACAGAGGTTGCGAGCAAGGGCCTGTCCAAAAAGTTGGGGGCTGTCTCTGAAACCTTGAGGTAGTACGCACCAGGTGAGCTGACGTGAAAGGTGGGTGCCAGGGTTTTCCCACACAAAGGCAAAGAGGTTTTGGGAATTAGGGTGTAAAGGAATTGTGAAAAAAAAGCATCCTTTAGGTTTAGAACAGAAAAATGGGTAGTATTGGAGGGAATTGTGGAAAGTAAAGTATATGGGTTCGACATACTGGGAGTACAGCTTGGTTAATGAGCCTGAGGTCCTGGACTAAACGATAAGTTCCATTTGGCTTTTTAACAGGTAGAATTGGTGTGTTAAAAGGAGAGTCTGTTGGGCGGAGTAGGTGACTGGCGAGGAGGTGAGAAATGATAGGCTGTAGGCCTACGAGAGCTGCTTGGGGGATGGGATACTGCTTCTGTGATAGGAACTGGGTGGGCTCTTTAAGGGTAATGCGGATGGGGGTATGGTGTTCTGCGACTGAGGGTGTGGAAGTATCCCAAACAGCAGGGTTAACTATGGATGGAGGACAAGGAAAGGCTGCACGTTTTAGGGTGGGAGGTTGAAAGGGTAGAAGAAAGCTAGAAGTACTGGAGGGGTCTGGGTGGATGGATTGGGTACTGTGGGGAATGTGGAAGTGGAGAGTAGTGTGGAGTTTTGAAAGGATATTTCTGCCTAGGAGCGGAGTTGGGCATGAGGGCAGGACTAAGAAAGAGTGAGTGAAGGAAAAAGTGTGCAGGGAGCAGAAAAGTGGAGGGGTGGCTCGGGGTTTGGAGACTTGTCGGTCAATTTCCACAACAGAGACGTGGGAGGATTGGGTGGGTCCTGAAAAATTAGGTAAAGCAGAGTAGGTTGCCCAGGATTAATTAAAAAAGAAATACTGGCCTACCTGCCACCATCAGGGTTACCCTTGGCTTGGATGAAGCGATGGTAGTTGCTGGGGCATCCGTTCCAGGGCACCGTCAGTCTTCAGCAGCAAGGCCAATGAGATCCAAGTAGGCCAGCTCAGGAAGGGATGGGGGCGGTCCTCGCAGGGGCTGCTCACAGTCCGACTTCCAGTGGGGTCCTCCGCAGAGGGGGCATGGCCTGGTGGGCTTACCTGGCTTTGGGCATTGTCTGGACCAGTGGCCTTCATTGCCGCACTTGAAACAGGCACCAGGTGGAGGTGGAGTGTTAGGAGGCTTCCGTGCGGAGCTGCCGCCCCGTGGGCCTGCAGGGCTCCTGATGGCGGAGGCAAGCATTTGAAACTCTGCCGGTTTTTGCCTTTTACTTTTCTCATCACGATTGTTAAAGACTTTGATGGCTAAATTAAGAAGGTCTCTTTGTGGGGTTTGAGGGCCGTCATCAAGCTTCTGAAGCTTGCGCCGAATATCGGGGTGGATTGGGAGATGAACCGAAGGTTTAAGCTAGTGTTTCCTGCTGAGGGTTTGAAGGGAGAAGGGGGGTTGTGTTAACAGGCAGTGGAGGATAGATAGGGGCGTAAGGTGGCGGGATGGGTTTACAAGCCTCAGGAGAGGGCAGTTGTGGACGAGAATACGTGCAAGCAATACTAGAATTGTCCTGAGGGGGGATGGTGTAGGAAAAGAAGTGGATACAGCTGACTGGGAAGATGGCGGCTGGGAAGATGGCAACTGAGAAGACAATGAGGAGGCTTTCGGGGTTAAAGAAGGCAGTTGAGAGGAAAAGGTAGGGGCTGGGAGGGGTGGACAGCAGTCAGCTGGATTAAACGAGGAAAAAGAGGTAGGCTTGGGAGGAGAAAGGCGATCTGGGCCATGGGAATGAAGGAGGAGGATTTGAACAGTTGAGCAAGAACCGCAGAGGTCGGGTTGTGATCTGAGTGCAAAAAGGCCTGGACATAAGGAATTTCTTCCCATTTCTCCAGTCGTCGGCAATAAGTACTTAAATCAGTTAAAATTGTAAGGTTGAATGTTCTATTTACGGGCGATTTGGACCTGTTATTTAATTTGTACTGCTGCCAGGCTGTATTGCAAAAAAAAAAAAAAAAAAAACGCGCTTAGGGTGGATATTTTGCCTGAGGCCTAAGGTTTGCAGGTTTTTTATGAGGCAGCCTAGAGTACTGTTTTTTGGAATGGAAGACCAGGAGTTTCCTATAACAGAGGGTAGGCTCAGGAGAACAGGGAAAAAGGAGACCGTCCTGGACAGCCGGAGGGAGACCATAAAAGGAGCAACCGTCACCGCTGCCATTTTCGTTCCCGGAACGGGATCAAATGGCTTAGAGGCGTCTCCGTAAGACCAGATGATCAGTGAGTGCCTGGCACACACCAGAGCCTTCTTGGACCAACGTTGGATTTTCGGACCGAAGAAACCGAGAGGCCATGCGAATTTTTCCCTGTTAACTGGGCTCCCGGAGAAACCATTAGTCGAGACCAGTGACCGAGGTGCATGCACAGAGAGGCGACTGGAGGCTGAGGAGCTTCCTTTGTCCGGCTGCCTATAATCCCAGCATTTTGGGAGGCTAAGGCAGGCGGGTCGTTTGAGCCCAGGAGTTCCAACCTGAGCAACACGGCAAAACCCCATATCTATTAAAATACAAAAAAATTAGCCGGGTGTAGTGGCACATGCCTGTAGTCCCAGCTACTCAGGGGGCTTAGGTGGGAGGATCACCTGAGCCTGGGGAGGTCGAGGCTGTGGTGAGCCTCACACCACTGCACTCCAGCCTGGGTGACAGAGTGAGATCCTCGTATCAAAAAAAAAAAGTACAGTCTGTTAAATTTTAAAATGCATATAACTTTTCATGTAACAATTTCACTGTTAGGAATATGGTGTAGATTTTACTTATGCATAAATCCTTTATGCAGAAGATTTATATCCAAAGAGATTCACTATAGCGTTGTTTGGAAACAATATAAATGTCCATCACCAGAGGATTGGTTAAATAAATAAATAGAATATTAGCTAATAAAAAATGAGTTAGTTACAAACTGAAAAGAAATGACTTTCAAGGTGAATTTTGACTACTTGGTTTATAATTATATAGAGAGACTATCCCTGTGCTTACACAACCCAGGAAAGACATAGGAGAAATGATGATAGTTGGCAGCTGTGGGCAAACCACTTGGGAATCACACCAGCTCAGGGACCAGGTAGATAAGATCTGCTTAGTATCACCTATGATAGGGAATCATGCAAAACCTTTTGACTCCTGTCTCTTTGTATCCAGAAATTCCCACCCCACTACAATGAAAATAATTTAGGGTAATGTGGATTAAATTAAGCAAACAGGCTGGGGAACCAGACCATCTGGGTTTGAATTCCAGCTCCATTGCTTATAAGTTGTGCAACTTCGGGCAAGTTATTTAACTTCTTTGTGATACAATATTCTTATCTGAAAAAATTAGGATCATAAACAGTACATATTCATATTCAGAAAGTTGTAGGGAATTTGAATGAATTACTAAGTCTAGGAAATTTTGTTTCTGGCACATAGTAACTCAAAAAATGTGAGTTATTATTAGTAGTAGTAGTAATATTAGACCTAGAGAGAGGGAGGGAAGACAGGGTCTAAGTCTGGCAATCTTTTTTTTTTTTTTTTTGGAGGCAGGGTCTTGCTCTGTCGCCCAGGCTAGAGTACAGTGGCATGATCTTGGCTCACTGCAACCTCCACCTCCTGGGTTCAAGCGAGTCTCCTGCCTCAGCCTCCTGAGTAGCTGGGATTACAGGCGTGTGCCACCACGCTTGGCTAATTTTTGTATTTTAACAGAGACAGGGTTTTGCCATGTTGGCCAGGCTGGTCTCAAACTCCTGACCTCAGGTGATCCGCCTGCCTCGGCCTCCCAAAGTGCTGGGATTATAGGCATGAGCCACTGCCCCTGGTCCTGGCAGTCTTAAGACAAGGACACTTGATTTTTACTATGTAAACATGAGTAATGTTTGATTTTTTTTTTAAACCATGTACATGATTTTCTTTAGGGGAAAAGGAATTATTCTACAGAATAAAAAAAAAAAAAAAAGCCAGGTCATGGTAGATGTGAATGAACTATCCCACTCCATCCCAGGGTATACTTGGCAGATCATTCATTCATTCATGAGCATCAGGGCCAGGTTCCCTCTCCTGGTCTTTCTGTCTCTCAGTCTCCTCCCTCAACTCCAGCCCTCATGCTGGTCAGCAAAGTTTTATTGGCTCTCTCAAATGCATATAGAATAAAGTAGTAATTAAAAAACAAAATAAAATGAGGAACTGGGACTTTTGTTTGTTAGTTTGACCTATCTGTTTGGCAACAATTAAAAAGACAAAAAGTGCCTATTTTGGCAAATACGTTGGTGGGCGGATCTCCTAAGCCCAGGAATTTGAGACCAGCCTGGCCAACATGGCAAAACCCAGTTTCTACTAAAAATACAAAAATTAACTAGGTGTGGTGGCATCCGCTTGTGGTCCCAGCTACTCAGGAGGCTCACTTGAGCCCAGGAGGTGGAGGTTGCAGTGAGCCCAGATAACGCCAGTGCACTCCAGCCTAAGCAACAAAGCCAGACTCTGTCTCAAAAAATAAAATAATAAAAGTAAAAAGCAGTTATGAAATAACATATATGTTTTTATTTTTGTTCTAAAAAACCAATATATGTATCTTTGTGTCTACTGCACTTTCTTGCAAGTGTGTGCTCTTTTTTTTTTAATCCATCTATCATCTATCTATCTCTACGTTATTATCTGAAAAAGTCCTAGAAAGATATTGACAAAAAATTAGGGAGTAGGGTTGGGAGAAGCAGGGCTTTTACTGTCTACTGGTTTTCACTTTGGTACAGCTTGATTACTTTTCTTTCTTTTTTTTTTTTTTAACAATTAACATACATATATCAATTTTATGATTTCTTATTTCTATTTTGAAATAACAAAAATATATTGTTTGGAGCTTATAAATAGGAGTTTACATTGATGATGGAAGTGTAAATTCCAACAATATGTACAAACATAATTTGGCATTATGTTCCAAAATCCTTAAAAATGTGCATACTACATGATGGTAGCAATTTTACTTGAAGGAATTTATACTAAAGAAGCAAATAAAAATGCCCATCAAGATGCCTAATAATAGCCTGGGCAATATGGTGAAGCCCCACCTCTACAAAAAGATATGCATGCCTGTAGTCTCAGCTACTAGGGAGGCTGAGGTAGAAGGACTGATTGAGCCCAGGGAGGTTGAGGGTGCAGTGAGCCTTGATCATGCCATTGCACTCCAGCCTGAGCAAAAAAGTGAGATCCTGTTTCAAAAAAAAAAAAGTCCAAGCATGGTGGCTCACGCCTGTAATCCCAGCTACTCAGGACGCTGAGGCACGAGAATTGCTTGAACCAGGAGATGTAGGCTGCAGTGGGCCAAAGTTGCACAGTTGCACCCCAGCTTGGGCAACACAGCGAGACACACACACACAAAAGCTGCCTAATAGAAGGGTTTTGTTTTGTTTTTGAGGCATGGTCTCACTCTGTTGTCCAGGCTGGAGTGCAGTGGCCCAATCAGCTCACTGTAGCCTCTGCCTCCCAGGTTCATGTGATCCTCCCACCTCAGCCTCCCAAGTAGCTGGGATTACAGGCACACACCACCATACCCAGCTAAGTTTTTGTATTTTTTGTAGGGATGAGGTTTCGCCACACTGCCCAAGCTGGTCTCAAATTACTGGGCTTAAGCAATCCACCCACCTTTGCCTCCCAAAGTGCTAGGATTATAGGCATAAGCCACTGTGCCCGGCCAAGAGCAGGGCTTTGCCATGTTGGCCAGGCTGGTCTTGAATTCCTGACCTCAAGTGATCCTCCCCTCTCAGCCTCCCAAAGTGCTGGGATTATAGGCATGAGCAACCATGCCCGGCCATAAAAAATACTTTTTCTTTTTTTATGTGTGAGACAGGGTCTTGCTCTGTCACCAAGGCTAGAATGCAGTGGCGTGATCTCAGCTCACTGCAGCCTTGACCTCCTGAGCTCAAGCAACTCTCCTACCTCTGCCTCTAGAGTAGAAGGTATATGCCACTACACTTGGCTAATTTTTAAATTGTTTGTAGAGACAGGGTCTCCCTATGTTGGTCAGGCTGGTCTTGAACTCCTTGGCTCAAGTGATTCTCTGACCTCAGCCTCCCAAAGCGCTGGGATTACAGGCAACAGCCACTGCACCTGGCTGAAAAAAAGTTGTTAGTAATATTTCTGAGTACAACATTTCCTGCTTTGCTTTTAATAATATACTGTAAATACTCAGTCTCCACTCTGCAGCTGACTATGAAGGTGTTTATAATAACAGCTAATGACTGTGCGAAGCTTACCTTTTTTACTTTGTATTAAATCCAGCTTTCTGGATTTTTTTCTCTCAGTTATGCTTGTGTTTTTCCATATTCCTAAGGTGAAGTCAAGAGTAGGCACTGGAGCCTGTTGTCATGGATATAGATGACACTAAGTTGGTGAAAAGTATTCAATGACGAGAAAATATGATTATTTAGTCTCTGATATGAAGTAGTCCTTTTCTTAAAAAAAAAAAATTGGGCCAATGAAAGAAAATTTGACAATGGCTTCTGTAGATTATTTTAGGCTTTTATTTTTCTTTATTTAATTATATGGCTAAGAGAGAAGTCTGGTGTGTGAAGGTCAAACCTGGAGGTGATACAAAGCCATACCCTAAATTCTGATCTTAGCTCTATCACTAATTAGGTATGTCTGAGGCCTCTAAGTCCCTCTTTCCAAAAGCTTTAAAAACAATGACTTAGCCAAGTCTCCTACCGTTCAGCATAGTGCCCTAGATCCGGAGAATGCTATTTAATAGCTCTTTTAAAATCTTTTTGCATGCAGGCTCTTATGTCCTCAGAGTATTATATATTTTGTTTTTTATTTTTATTTTTTCTTTATTTTTCTTTTTGAGATGGAGTCTCGCTCTGTCACCCAGGCTGGAGTGCAATGGTGTGATCTTGGCTCCCTCTGCCTCCTGGGTTCAAGCGATTCTCCTGCCTTAGCCTCCTAAGTAGCTGGGATTACAAACACGCACCACCATGCCTGGCTAATTTTTGTATTTTTAGTAGAGATGGGGTTTCGCCATGTTGGCCAGGCTGGTCTTGAACTCCTAACATCAGGTGATCAACTCTCCTCGGCCTCCCAAAGTCCTGGGATTACAGGCATGAGCCACCAGCGTGGCCGGAGTATTATATATTCTGAAAATAGCAAGGTTATGTCATTTACAGATGATGAAACTGAGAAAGAGATAGATTAAAAGTTGGCCAATGTTTGACTAGATTGTGAGACAAGAGATCCAAAACCTGAATTTTCCAGCCCCTGAAACACTTACTGTCACAGGAAAAATATATAAGGGACAAATGTTTGTGAAGTGTCTCTCATCAGCAATGTCTACATCTGGAACAGTATAGTTTATCAACTTGTAACACTATCTTTTCCAATTTCTATGTTCTTCATCAAAATTCTTTCAAATGGCTGCATTAAGAGTTCATACTGGCCGTGTGTGGTGGCTCACACCTGTAATCCCAGCACTTTGGGAGGCCAAGGTGGGAGGATTGCTTGAGATCAGGAGTTTGAGACCAACCTGGGCAACATGGTGAAACTCCATCTTTACAAAAAATACAAAAATTATCTGGGCATGGTGGCGTGCCTCTATAGTCCCAGATACTTGGTAGGTGGAGGTGGGAGGATCACTTGAGCTTGGGAGGTGGAGTTTGCAGTGAGTGAGTGGAGATCGCGCCACTGCACTCCAGCCTAGGCGACAGAGCCAGACCTTGTTTCCAAAAAAAAAAAAAAAGAAAAGAAAAAAAAAACCAAACAAACAAACAAAAAACAGTTTGTACTATAGCTGTGCCATAGTTTACCATTTTCCTGGTGTTGAGTATTTTGCTGGGTGTGTGCCATTTGGACTTTATTTTTATACATCATTTATAGTTTTGGAGAAGTAGGAGTTCAATAGACAGTTATTGACCAAGACATCAACCCCCAAAGACAGTTGAGAGGAGTTGCTTAAGGGTTTTCTCTCTTCTCTGTCTCAGCAGACACCCTAAACCTCTCAGAGTTTCAGGGGTATAATTAGAATCTTTTGAAGACTGACATGGATGTTAATTCTTCATTAGTAAAGGGATAAGCACTATAGGAGCCATCTAATGAGGTACCAGCTCTCCTTGGAGAATTATTCATTTGCTTGCTTTTCTCTCCTGTTTCTCCCACCCCCATGCTGATGGTCCGTTAGATTAACAAAACTAGCTGCATCCAGTTTTTTTTAAAGCATTTTCTCTCTGAAAGACAAGGAAATTGTCTTAGTCCATTCAGTCTGCTATAACAAAATACCATAAACTGGGTGATTTATAAACAACAGAAATTTATTTCTCACAGTTGCGGAGGTGGGAATTCAAGGCAGATTTGGTGTCTGGTAAGGGCTGGCTTCCTGGTTCATGGATGGCCATCTTGTGGCTGTAACCTCACGTGGGGGAAGCAGCTAATGAGCTATCTGGGGCCTCTTGTATAAGGGCATTAATCCCTTCATAAGGGCTCTGCCCCACCGTGAACATTATAATCATCTCTCAAAGACCCACATCCTAATATCATCACCTTGAAGGTTAGAATTTCAACATAGGAATTTTGGGAGTGGGGACAGAAACATTCACTGCATTGCAGAAGGTATATGTATTAGTTACCTATTGCTACATAATAAATTACCCCCAAATTTAGCAGATTAAAACAACAAACTTCTGTTATTTCACACAGTTTCTGAGAGTGTCAAGAATCCAGGGGTGGCTTAGCTGAGTGGTTCTGAGTGTCTTTCATGAGGCTATAGTCAAGCTATTGGCTGGAGCTGCCATCATCTCAAGGCTTGACTGGGGCTGGGGAATCAGCTTCTAGGCTCACACACACAGTTGCTGGCAGGCATGGTTTGTTCACTGCCTGTTGGCTGGAGCCTTCAGTTCTTCAACAGGTAGTTCTCTCCATAAGACTGCTTAGCACATGGCAGCTTGCCTCCCTGAGAGCAAGTGATCTGAGATTGGGAGTGGAAGCAGGGAGAGCACGCAAGACAGAAGCTGCAATCTTTTATAACCTACTCTTGCAGAAGTGACATACCATCTTTTCTGCTGCACGTTTTTGGTCACACAGACCAAGGCTGGTACAATGTGAGAAAGGACTACCCACGGCTGTGAATACCTAGAGGAGGAATCATTGAGGGAGATCTTGGAAGCTGGCTATCACAGCATCCAGCCAAGCCCTATTGCCTCTACAAACCACTCTTACCTCCTGAGGATGGGTAGAAACAGGGAAACACAATTTCACGCTTTAACAATGAGCGTCCCGCTTAGTCACTCTGGAAACTGGAAACTTACCCATGGTTTGCCAAGTCCTGTGTGGTTTGTAGAGGCATATGTTGGAGGGAGTGGAAACTTCTTTGCTCTCTCAATGATATTTAATTAGCATTTTGCCACATTTTCTGTTATGTTTGTCTGGTCTTCATAATAGGTCTTCATTTCCCCACTGAAGTAACTAACTTTATATAAAATTCCACCAGCTATTTATAAAATTACTGGGCTTTTTACATTAAATGCTTTTTTCCCTGAGGGTTGCCAACTTAATTATGAAAAAGACTCTTTTCATAGAGTCTTTGTGTTAGTTTGGGCTTAAATTCACATACTTCAGCATGTATGAGAAAAGACATACACATATGTATTAATCCATTCTCATAATGCTATAAGAAATACCTGGGACTGGGTAATTTATAAGGAAAAAAGGTTTAGGCCAGGCACGGTGGTTCATGTCTGTAATCCTAGCACTTTGGGAGGCCAAGGCAGGCAGATTCCTTGAGGCCAAGAGTTTGAGACCAGCCTGGCCAACATGGCAAAACCCCACTTCTACTAAAAATACAAAAATTAGCCAGGCGTGGGGGCATGAGCCTGTGGTCCCAGCTACTCTGAGGCTAGGAAGTGGAGGTTGCAGTGAGCCAATATTGCACCACTGCACTCTAGTCTGGGTGACAGAGTGAGATTCCGTCTCAAAAAAAAAAAAAAAAAAGATTTAATTGGCTCATGATTCTGCAGGCTGAACAAGAAGCGTAGCAGTTTCTGCTGCTAGGGAAGCCTCAGGAAACTGACAATCATGGCGGAAGGCAAAGGTGGGGCAGCACTTCACATGGCCAAAGAAGGAACAAGAGGCTAGGGAGATGTGCCATGCACTTTTTTAAAAAATTATTTTTATTTATTATTATTATTATTTTCTGAGATGGAGTCTTGCTCTGTCACCCACGCTGAAATGTAGTGGCGCAATCTCAGCTCACTGAAACCTCTGCTTCCCGGGTTCAAGCGATTCTCCTGTCTCATCCTCTTGAGTAGCTGGGACTACAGGCGCCCACCACCACGCCCGGCTAATTTTTGTATTTTTAGTGGAGATGGGGTTTCACCATATTGGTCAGGCTGGTCTCAAACTCCTGACCTTGTGATCTGCCCACCTTGGCCTCCCAAAGTGCTGGGATTACATGCATGAGCCACCACATCCGGCCTACTTATTATTTTTTCTTATACTTATTTCAGATTCTCAAGTGTCACACACCTTTAAACAACCAGATCTCACAATAACTCACTCACTATCATGAGAACAGCACTGGGGGGATGGTGCCAAACCATTCATCAGAACTATGCCCACATGATCCAGTCACCTCCCACCAGGCCCCACCTCTAATACGGGGGATTACAATTCGACATGAGATTTGGTGGGGACACAGATCCAAACTGTATCAGCAAACTATTGTGGGCATTTCAGTGAATATTAGAATACAGGCCAGCCACAGTGGCTCATGCCTATAATCCCAGTACTTTGGGAGACCAAGGCAGGAGGATCCTTTGAGCCCAGGGGTTTGAGACCAGCTTGGGCAACATGGTGAAATTCTGTCTCTACAGAAAAATACAAAAATTAGCCGTGTGTGGTGGCATGCATCTGCAGTCCCAGCTGCTCAGGAGGCTGAGGTGGGAGATTGCTTGAGCCCAGAAGATGGAGGTTGCATTGAGCCATGATCGTGTCACTGCACTCCAGCCTGGGTGACACAGCAAGATTCTGTCTCAAAATTAGTAAATAAGTAAAAAATAAAAAAAGAATGCAGCCATATATATATATATATATATATATATATATATATATATATATATATATATAATTCTTAAATTCGCTTATGCCTAAATAAAAGCTGCTATTAGCTAACTCACAATGTAAATTAAAAATCTGGATAAGAATCATTTACAACCAATATTCTACAAAAAGTGATATAAAATCCAGAAAAAAATAACACTACTGTTTCCACATTGTAGCATATGGTCCCAGGCATTCTGTTTCTCAATAAAGGATATGAATGCCCAATGAAGGATATTATCTGTGATGTTAATAATGCAATCTTGGGTAATTGCTCTTTCCAATTAAAAAAGAACTATACAAGGCCAGGTGTGGTGGCTCATGCCTGTAATCCCAGCACTTTGAGAGGCTGAGGCATGTGGATCATCTGACGTCAGGAGTTCAAGACAAGCCTGGCCAACATGGTGAAAACCTGTCTCTGCTCAAAATACAAAAAATTAGCCAGGCGTGGTGGCGGGCACCTGTAATCCCAGCTACTCAAGAGGCTGAGGCAGGAGAATCACTTGAACCCGGGAGGCAGATGTTGCGGTGAGCTGAGATCGTGCCATTGCACTCCAACCTGGGCAACAAGAGCAAAACTCCATCTCAAAAAATAAATAATAAAGTAAAAAAGAACTATATATAAAAATAATTTTTGATTTATGGTTTAGTTTGCTTATCTTTTCCTCACCAATATTTTTGCACAATTTGAGTACTACTGCATACTCTTTAAGGAAATACACCCACTGTTGCAGGACTCAAGAGATTCTTTTCTCTGCCTTTATGCAGATGGAGAAATGACTTCTGATATCCTTTGAAACCATGAGCTGTGTCCTAGGTCTGGAGTTCTGCCTTCTAGCCAGGAGTGTGTCACTTTCTGCACCTGGCACACTTATCAACTTTTAGCCTTTCTTCTGCTACCTCATTTCTACTGTCCCCATTCACATTGTGTCCTTGCCCCTCTGTGCCACCAAGTCGTCCAAGTAGGGACGCTTGCTGGACTTTTGCTCTAGTCTCTTTCACCTTCTACGTGCAGTCATCAGCAGGCCCTGCTTCTGCTTACCCATTCCTATCTCCAACAATCAGAGTCTAAGCCAGCTCTTCATTTCCTCTTCCCACAGCCCCCATTATAATGCACCTTCCTGCATACAGTGTTCTTGCTGCGTCATGTTCCTCCAGCTCCAGACTTATCTGGCCCCTAAAGATGGCCACTGCTGACAAAGTGTATGCCTGTCATTCAGCCATTACAGTGTTCATGTCCTCACTTATGATGGTGGACACACAGCTTGGCACTATGCTTCTTGTATGTCCTCTCCCATAGACTGAATTCTAGTTTCTTCAAAGTAAGAAGCATTAGGGTAATAACAGTGGCCAAGGACTGTGGCAGATGCTTTACAGATACCAGTGACTCTTAATCTGGGGTGATTTTTGTCTACCAGGGGAGATTTGGCAATGTCAGGAGATGGTTTTCATTGTCACAACTGGAGGGGGCGCTACTGGCATCTAGTGGGTAGAGTCCAGGAATACTGTTTAACATTCTGCAATCCACAGGACAGTCTCCACAACAAAACATTCTCCAACTCAAAATGTCAATAGTTCCGAAGTTGAGAAACCCTGATTATATGCTCATTTAGTTTTTTATTTTTAGGAGACGGAGTCTTGCTCTGTCACGCAGGCTGGAGTGCAGTGGCTCAGTCTTGGCTCACTGCAACCCTGCAACCTCTGCCTACAGGGTTCAAGCAATTCTCCTGCCTCAGCCTCCCTAGTAGCTGGGATTACAGGCAAGTGCCACCACGCCTGGTTAATTTTTGTATTTTTAGTACAGACAGGGTTTCATCATGTTGGTGAGGCTGGTCTCAAACTCCTGACCTCGTGATCCACCAGCCTCGGCCTCTCAAAGTGCTGGGATTATAGGCATGAGCCACTGTATCCAGCCTTCTTCTTCTTCTTCTTCTTTTTTTTTTTTTTTTTGAGATGGAGTCTCGCTCTGTCGCCCAGGCTGGAGTTGCAGTGGTACGATCTCGGCTCACTGCAACCTCTGCCTCCCCAGTTCAAGCCATCCTCCTGCCAGCCTCCTGAGTAGTTGGGACCACAGGCATGCACCACCACTCCTGTTTAATTTTTTGTATTTTTAGTAGAGATGGGGTTTCACCATGTTGGCCAGGCTGGTCTCAAACTCCTGACCTCAAGCAATCTGCCTGCCTCGGCCTCCCAATGTGCTGGGATTACAGGCATGAGCCACCGCGATCGGTGTTATTTAGTCTTTATAAAAGCCCCACAAGGATCTGATAACCTCCTTTCCCAGATAAAGAGGCTGTTGCTTTCCTCAGTTTCCTTTTCCAGAAAACTGAGACTATTTTCCCTAGCTCCCTGGGTAGAACTAGTATTTGCATTCAAGACTCTGCCTAGAGAGTCTGCTCTTTTTTCCACCACCTCCATCTTGGTGGAAGCATCTACTGACTGCCAATCAGGAGCAGCTAGGGTAGGACTGAGGCTGCTGCATGACTGTGTTGTATAAATCAAACTGTAGCTTCTGATTTATTCGTGGGTTATGCGTGAAATTAGTGGTGGTCTGTGACCAGCAAAAATAGCAACAGCCACAGCAATTGTAATAATACAAGATAAGAAAGACTAGAAAACATATAGAAATATTGTTTGGTAAAACTTTAGTTTCAGATATACGTGTGGTAGAGTATATGCTCTATGTTAATGTAAACTAAATTTATTTATTTTATTTGAGAGTGGGTCTCACTCTGTGGTCCAGGCTGGAGTGCAGTGGTGCCATCTTGCAACCTCTGCCTCCTGGGTTCAAGTGATCCTCCCACTTCAGCCTGCCGAGTAGCTGAGATTACAGGCGCACGCCACCACGCCCAGCTAATTTTTGTGTTTTAGTAGAGACAGGGTTTTGCCTTCTTGCCCAGGCTGGTCTTGAACTCCTGGGCTCAAGCGATCCACCTGCCTCGACCTCCCAAAGTGCTGGGATTACAGGTGTGAGCCGCTGTGACTGGCCAGCAGAATTTATTTCTTCTTAATATTTGCCATCAAAATGTTTGATAAACATGTTCTATGCACTAAGAAACCCTTACTCCATCCCTGAAGATAGATGATTTTTTGTACCTTGAATCCAACTTGATCCAACTCATGGGAGATAGGAAGGAAAAGGTGAAACTGGGTTAATTATATACTGGAGACGTCATCTCCCCAGTAATTATATTTACTAAGCATCTGCTCTACTTGGGTCTATTCTAGGCAGCAAAGATACAGTGGAGAACAAAACAGTGAAACTCTATTGGAGTTTACATTCTGGTGGGGGCTAGCAGGCAACAGTCAGGTAGATAGAGGGAGAGAAGAAAGTATCCACCTAATAAAGACTGCAGTCACTTTCAGAGCTGTGATCTGCATAGACACCTCCTCCCCTGACATCCAAACAGTCATCCCATTCACAGGCTGCATCTTGGTTTCTCTCTTTCTTTCTTTCTTTTTTTTTTTTTTGAGACAGTCTTCCTCTGTCACCCAGGCTGGAGTTCAGTGGCATGATCTCAGCACTGCAACCTCTGCCTCCCGGGTTCCAGTGATTC
Organism: Homo sapiens; assembly: GCF_000001405.40. NCBI lineage: Eukaryota > Metazoa > Chordata > Mammalia > Primates > Hominidae > Homo > Homo sapiens. The sequence continues at coordinate 26,231,868 of NC_000007.14, read as the reverse complement.
TCCTGCCTCAGCTTTCCAAGTAGCTGGGATTACAGGTACCTGCCACCACGCCTGGCTAATTTTTATGTTTTTAGTAGAGATGGGGCTTCACCATGTTGGTCAGGCTGGTCTCAAACTCCTAGCCTTAAGTGATCCACCCACCTCGGCCTCCCAAAGTGCTGGGATTACAGACATGAGCCACTGTGTCTGGCCTGCATCTTGGTTTCTGATGACTCCAATTCATATCTCCCTCCAGAATCAGTGCAGTAATCAACCTCAGCAAGCACAGAATTTAAAGAAAGGAAAAATTAAGAAAAGACAGGGGCTGAGAACAATTGGGATATCGGATAATGTAGTCCCGAAACTACTTGAGCTTTAAAAATACTATTAATGTGCTCCAGAAATGCCATGAAGAAATAAGAATGTCATGGGGCTTTTAGCCATTTTGTTAAAAATATTATACATTTAAACAATTTTCCCTGCCTTCCAATTTATTTTATTGAAGAGTGGATTTTTTAAAAAAAGCTTTTTTGGAGTCCATCTCGTTTTTATAGATGATGACTCTACTTGAACAATGGATTCTGTATGTAGGAGCAAGAGGTTTATGAATTATTGATATAAAGTCAATAAATAATCAGACTAGTGCTTCTTTGTTGCTGTGGTACAGTAATACTGTATGATACAGATAAACCATTCATTAGAGATACTTCTACTTTCATGAGATGTCATATACACATGTTAACTGCATCTGTCTAGGACTGGAAGTGTCTGGTTTGTGAAGTTAGTTGAATTTTTGGTGAATGGCAGGTAAGGACATTGCAAAGAATGAACCTGTGAGCTTAGGTGAAAATGTGAGCTTAGGTGAACCTGTAAGCTTAGGTGAAAATGGCCCTTAGGGTCTGGGAGCACATGGATGTGTGGGGTACTTAGATACGTGACTGGTTGAGATTTTTTTTTTTGAGATGGAGTCTTGCCCTGTCACCCAGACTGGAGTGCAATGGTGCGATCTCGGCTCACTGCAACCTCCGCTTCCTGAGTTCAAGCGATTCTCCCACCTCAGCCTCCTGAGTAGCTGGGATTACAGGCACCTGCCATCAAGCCTGGCTCATTTCTGTATTTTTAGGAGAGACGGGCTTTCTCCATGTTGGCCAGGCTGGTCTTGAACTCCTGATCTCAGGTGATTCAGCCACCTCAGCCTCCCAAAGTGCTGGGATTACAGGTGTTAACCAGTGCGCCTGGCCAACTGGTTGAGATTTTATACATATCTTCATAGATTAGTTAATCTAAACTAGCTGCATGTATGCTAGGCACAGAGGCTAAAACAGTGAACAAAACATAGTGCCTGCTCCTAGGAGCTTGTCAGGGAAGTCAGGCCAATTAGCTAGCAATCACAATACCACAAGGGAAGAGGTGGTGGGGTAGAGACAGAAGCTCCTGGGAGGAGGCCTAACTCATAAACTTCTTTTGGGGTAAAAATGTAAATTAGCAAGTAGAGGGTAATTGAAAGCAGTAGGAGGTGGGTAGGAGGTTGGAAGGGGTAGGTAAAAGAAGAGATCATAGAATGGCGGGGCATGTTGAAGGACTGTACATGAGCATTCTGAGGGGCACCAGGAAAACTTCAGCCTACCAGAATGCCTGTAATTCCAACAGTGGAACTTTGTGTTTGAGCATCATTTTTAGGACACTGTTAGAGTGCACATATATTAAAAGGATGGGGAAGGAAGGAGGGCAAAGTAATTTCTTAGCTTACTGATTTTACCTTGGAAAGCAGAATCCATGGTTGTGAGGGGTGGGAAACAGGACAGATGGGTTTAAAGAACACTACAGAAGGCCGGGCGCGGTGGCTCACGCCTGTAATCCCAGCACTTTGGGAGGCTGAGGCGGGTGGATCACAAGGTCAGGAGTTTGAGACCAGCCTGGCCAACATGGTGAAACCCTGTCTCTACAAAAAATACAAAAATTAGCCAGGCATGGTGGCAGGTGCCTGTAATCCCAGCTACTTGGGAGGCTGAGGCACTAGAATCACTTGAACCCAGGAGGTAGAGGTTGCAGTGAGCCAAGATTGCCACACTGCACTCCAGCCTGGTGACAAAGTGAGACTCCATCTCCAAAAAAAATAAATAAATAAAAAATAAAAACTGCGGAAAAGACCTAAAGTAGGTCTTTAGTTTTAAGTCAATTTTTTTTGTGATGAATTAATTATTTGAGAATATGTTGCAATTTTGGACCATTTGGCTTGAAATTTCTCCCCTGAAGTATTGCATTAAATTCATGCAGCCTCTTGCATCAGGTTAAGAACTCCTGTTTTGAAGTATAGGTGTGGACAATCTCCAGTGGAATGCCATGTGAGGAGACCCTAGACAGCTGTAGGGAAACCAGAGAGGGGAAAGGAAATCTCTGGAAGAGAGGAGGAACTAAAAAAGAAATTTCACAATTTTTTCAATGATCGGCCCTGGAAGGTAATGGTGCATACTATGATAAAAAGTAGGTATGCCATTGTGAATATTGCTGCAATGAACATACACAAAGACATGGAATCAACCTAAATGCCCATCAGTGATAGACTGGATAAAGAAAACGTGGTACATATACACCATGGGATACTATGCAGCCATAAAAAGGAATAAAATCATGTCCTTTGCAGGGACATGGATGGAGTTGGAAGCCAGACTAACTCAGCAGACTAATTCGGGAACAGAAAACCAAACACTCACTTATAAGGGGGAGCTGAATGATGAGAACACATGGACACGTTGGGGGAACAACATAAAACTGGGGCCTGTCGAAGGGAGAGCATCAGGAAGAATAGCTAATGATTGCTGGGCTTAATATGTAGGTGATGGGATGATCTGTGCAGCAAACCACCATGGCACACATTTCTCTATGTAACAAACCTGCACATCCTGCACATGTACCCCTGAACTTAAAAGTTGAAGGGAAAAAAAAAGAACAAAACAAAACCAAAAAAGTAGATATGCCATGTTGTAGAGACGGGGGGTCTCACCATGTTGCCCAGGCTGGTCTCGAACTCCTAGACACAAGTGAGCTGCCCACCTCCTCCCCACAAAATGCTAAGATTACAGGTATGAACCACCACACCCAGCCAGGTAGAGATTCTTTTAGAGGAAAGGTTTACCAACACACCTTAATCCTGTAGAACAGTGGTCCCCAACCTTTTTGGCACCAGGGACTGCTTTCGTGGAAGATAATTTTTCCATGGACATGGAATTGGGGGATGGGGAGAAAGGTTTTGGGATGAAACTGTTCATCAGTTCATCAGATCATCAGGCATTAGATTCTCATAAGGAGCTCACACCTAGATCCCTTGCATGTTCAGTTCCCAATAGGGTTCTTGATCCCATGAGAATCTAATGCTGCTGCTGATCTGACAGGAGGCAGAGCTCAGGCAGTAATGCTCGTTCCCCTGCTGCTCACCTCCTGCTGTGCAGCTCAGTTCATAACAGGCCACAGACTGAGGCCCTGGGTTTGGTGGGGGGGTCCCCTGCTGTGGAATAATGTCAAACTTTAGTTTTCAGGCCGAATCAGCCCTCTGCCTATTTCTATATGACCAGCTCCCTGTTTTATTGTGATCCAAAAACTAAGAAGGATCTTTAAATTTTTAAGTGGCTGAAAAATGTAAACAACAGAATAATATTCCATGACATATGAAAATTGTATGAAATTTCAATTTCAGTGTCAGTAAAGTTTTATTAGAACACAGCCACGCTCATTCATCTGTGGTGCTTTTGTGCTAGTGGCAGAGTTGGTAGTTACAACAGAAGCCATAATGCCCATGAAAACCTAAAATATCACCATGTGGTCCTTCAAAGTTTGCCAACCTCTGTGTTAGGATAGAGCTAGTAGGCATCAAAAGACCTAAGTGATAGTGTTGGTTATTTGGGGCTAATATCAAAGAATAACTATTTTCATAAGAACAGATCAGTTCATTTCTTATACATCACTTAGAGGAGAGAAAAATTTTTAAAAAGATCTCACCTACAGTATGACGTATATATTAATCCTTAGGAAGCCAGCCTGAGCAACATAGCAAGACCTCTTCTCTACAAAAATTGAAAAATAAAAAAAAATTAGCTGGTGTATTAGGGTTCTCTAGAGGGACAGAACTAATGGAATGAATATATATCTGTATATATATAAATAACTTACTAAAATAATGGAATATATATATATATATATATATTCCATTATATATATATATGGGAGTTTAATGAGTATTAACTCACACGATCACAAGGTCCCACAATAGGCCATCTGCAGGCTGAGGAGCAAGGAGAGCCAGTCTGAATCCCAAAGCTGAAGAACTTGGAGTCTGATGTTCGAGGGCAGGAAGCATCCAGCATGGGAGAAAGATGTAGGCTGGGGGCTAGGCCTGTCTCTCTTTTCACATTTTTCTGCCTGCTTTATATTCTAACTGTGCTGGCAGCTGATTAGATTGTGCCACCCAGATTAAGGGTGGGTCGGCCTTTCCCAGCCCACTGACTCAAATGTTAATGTCCTTTGGCAACACCCTCACAGACACACCCAGGATCAATACTTTGTATCCTTCAATCCAATCAATTTGACACTCAGTATTAACCATCAAAGCTGGGCATGGTTGCATGCTCCTGTAATCCCAGCTACTCAGGAGGCTGAGGTGGGAGGACCACTTGAGCCCAGGAATTCAAGGTTACAGTGAGCTACGATGTCACCACTGCACTCTAGCCTAAGTGGCACAGAAAGACCCTAGTTTAAAAAAGAAGAAAGAGAGAGAGAGAAAGCAAGCAAGAAAGCAAGCAAGCAAGAAATATTCTTAGGAAGCATATCACTAAAGCTAAGACAACTTAAAGTATGTAATAAGTCTGCACATAAATTATTAATCTAGGGTGATACCTTATTTAAAGTACAGGGGACAAATGATGTGAAAATCGAGATATAATTTTATTATATTTTTCGCATCCTATCTTTTACACCCTTAGTGTAATTGTCTGTTCACTGGTGGGGACGTATAGCCATTCTGCTATACAACCAGGGTAGTTATTTATTTAAGCATCTTTGTATCTTTTATGCTACAAATGAAAGCACTGTGATGATTATATAAGGTTTTGTTTTTCTTCTAATATTTAGTTGACCACTATAGTCCAAGAGTCCTTTCTATGAGCATGAAATGTGAGGCTTCTCAGGAAAACTTCTATCCAATTCTAAAGAGTCTTTTTTTTTTTTTTTCTGATACAGGGTCTTGCTGTGCCACTCAGGCTAGAGTACACTGGTGTGATCTCAGCTCACTGCAGCCTTGACCTCTGGGTTCAAGTGATCCTCCCATCTTGGCCTCCCAATGTGCTGGAATTACAGGCAGGAACCACTGATTTACAATCTTCTAATAAGAGTCTTTATCTTAAAGATATTTGTTTCCTGTGTTTGAGAATTAAAATGCTGGCTTTTTGCTGAATAAAAACAAGTTGGCAATAATAGTTAAATTGACATGGTAAGAGAAATTATTCTAAAAACCCACCAGTTCTTTAGTAATTTGTTTTAGAAGTTTTCACTTGAGTTACCTTACAGATTTCTTTTCATTTTTATTTTGGAATTTAGCAAGTATTCTTTATTTTCTTGGGGGCAGGGACAAACCAATAAGAATCAACCAGTAAGCAAATAGTAAAAACAAAAACAAAACAGTTATAACTGCTTTCTGTCAAAAAGTTGGAGAGTCAGCCAAAGTTCAGGAATTGTTTGGAAGGTACATTTCATCCTGATTAGTTTCTCTTGACTGACACTTGGGTTCCTAGTCTGGAGGAGAATCACTGCAACCCCCGTAGGGTCAGAACAATGTATGCGGGACCCCCAAAAGACTTAACATGGAAGTCATAGTAATGAATTCCAGGGGCAATAGCTGAGGATGTGGCAGATTATGAAACAAAATTCAGAGTCTGCTGGCCAGTACTTATACATTGCATCTGGGTTCTCTGTGGTATAAGCCACCACACAGCGCAAAATACATTTCCCCAATAGTTTTTCCTTTTCTTTTCTTTTGTTTTTGAGATGGGTGTGATATGGTTTGGCTGTGTCCCCACCCAAATCTCACATTGAATTGTTGCTCCCATAATCCCCACGTGTCATGGGAGGGACCCAACGGGAGGTAATTGAATCATGAGGGTGGGTTTTTCCATGCTGTTCTGGTGATAGTGAATAAGTCTCATGAGATCTGATGGTTTATAAAGGATAGTTCCTCTGCACATGCTGTCTTGCCTGTTGCCATGTAAGATATGACTTTATTCCTCCTTCACCTTCTGCTATGACAGAGAGACCTCCCCAGCCATGTGGAACTGTAAGTCCATTAAACCTCTTTTTCTTTATAAATTACCCAGTCTCAGGTATGTTTGTATTAGCAGCGTGAGAATGTACTAATATAGGTTGTCACTATGTTGCCCAGGCTGGTCTACAACTCCTGGGCTCAAGGGATCCTCCGGCATCAGCCTCTCAATAGCTGGGATTACAGGCACACACCACCATGCTCGGCTAATTTCCCTACTAGTTGACTGGGAAATCTACCTGTAAGAAGCCCCAGCCCAGCTTTGTGGGTGTACAGGGCATTCCAGGATTTAGGCATTTACCCAATTCAGGCCACTATATACCAACACTTTTGTAATTTCCCTGTTAACACTGTAAGATGCATAATATGACTTTTTAAAATTGATGTCACACCATAGAAGTGTGAGCAAAGGAAGACATGAAGGTAAAAGTAGGAGAGAAAGTTTCAAGGTGACAGAAAATGATGGCATGATCAAATCAAAGAGTCTATGAAGGAGAAAATTAATAAGAATGACATTTTAAAAATTTAGTTTAATTTTATTTTTTAATTCCCCCAGCTTTATAAGGCATAAGTGACAAAAAGTGTATGTATTTACAATGTTCAATGTGATTTTTTTTTTTTTGAGACAGGGTCTCACTCTGTTACCCAGGCTAGAGTGCAGTGGTGGGATCATAGTTCACTGCAGCCTTGACCCCCCAGACTCAATACATTTTCCCACCTCAGTCTCCCAAGTAGCTGAGACTGCAGGCATGCACCACCATTCCTGGCTAATGTTTTTGTATTTTTTGTAGAGACAGGGTCTTACCATGTTGCCCAGGCTGGTCTTGAACTCCTGGGCTCAGGCTATCCACTCCCCTGGGCCTCCCAGATTGCTGGGATCATAGGCGTGAGGCTTCAATGTAATGTTTTGATATAACCACCTTACCCCCATTCTACTCTCTGCTTTTACTTTTTTTTGTCTTTAGAGACAGAGTCTTGCTATGTTGCCCAGGCTGGAGTGCAGTGGCCACAGGGCACTTATAGCCCCAAAATCCTGGGCTCAAGTGACGCCCTTGCCTCAGCCTCTCGAGTAACTGGGATTACAGGCACATGCCATCGCACCCAGCTCTACTCTCTGCAAGGTCAACCTTTGCAGATTCCACGTATGAGTGAGACATGCAGCATTTATCTTTCTGTGCCTGGTTTTTTTCACTTTTTTCACTTAGCATAATGTCCTCCATGTTGTCACAAATGATGGCATTTCCTTCTGTTTAAAGGCTGAAGAGTATTCCACTGTGTGTGTGTGTACGTATATATTTTCTTTGCCCATTCATCTGACAGACACTTAGGTTGATTTCATATCTTGGCTATTGTGAATAATCCTGCGATAAACATGGGAGTGCAGATATCTCTTCAACACACTGACTTCATTTCCTTTACATATATATATATATATCCAGAAATAGGATTGCTGGATCATATGGTGATTTTATTTTTAGTTTTCTGAGGAACCACCATTCTGTTTTCCATAATAGCTGTACTAATTTACATTCCCGCTAACAGTGTGCAAGGCTTTCTTTTTCTCCACATCCTTGCCAACACTAGTATCTTTTGTTTTTGTGCTAATAGCCATTGTTAACAAGTATGCAGTGATAGCTGATTGTGGCTTTAATTTGCATTTCCCTGATGATTAATTATGTTAAGCATTTTATTATATAACTCTTGTCTCTTTGATATGGGAGAAAATATTTGCAAACCATACATCTGATAAGGGGTTAATATCCAAAATACCGAAGAAACTCAAAACAACTCAATAGCAAGAAAAATAATAACCAGATTAAAAAATGATTTTTTTTTTTTTTTTAAGACGGAGTCTCGCTCTATTATCCAGGCTGGAGTGCAGTGGCACGATCTTGGCTCACTGCAAGCTCCGCCTTCCGGGTTCACACCATTCTCCTGCCTCAGCCTCCCGAGTGGCTGGGACTACAGGCGTCTGCCACCATGCCCGGCTAATTTTTTGTATTTTTAGTAGAGACGGGGTTTCATGGTGTTAGCCAGGATGGTCTCGATCTCCTGACCTAGTTATCCACCTGCCTCAGCCTCCCAAAGTGCTAGGATTACAGGCGTGAGCCACCGCACCTGGCCTAAAAAATGATTTTTAAAAGTATTTTTTCAGCTAACTGCTTTCTCATACTGCAGCTTTTTCTTTTTTTTTTGTTTTTGAGATGGAGCCTTGCTCTGTCGCCCAGGCTGGAGTACAGTGGTGCGATCTCGGCTCACTGCAACCTCCGCCTCCCAGGTTCAAGCGATTCTCTTGCCTCAGCCTCCCGAGTAGCTGGGATTACAGGCACAGACCACTATGCCAGGCTAATTTTTTTGTATTTTTAATAGAGATGGGGTTTCGCCATGTTGGCCAGGCTGGTCTCGAACTTCTGACCTTAGGTGTTCCACCCGCCTCGGTCTCCCAAAGTGCTGGGATTATAGGCGTGAGCCACCATGCCCAGCCAGCTTTTTCTTTAAGCATTGAATTATTGAAATATAATTCACATAACATACTATTTACACATTTATAATGTACAATTAAATATCTTAGTATAAAGCTTGTTCAACCAGAGGCATGATTCATATGTGGCATGTTCTTTCTTTTGGCTGGCTGAACAAGGTGTCCCAATTGCATATGTCTGCTTTACTCACTCCTGTATTTCAATCCAGTTTGATTGAGTGTTCTCACCAGCATCCATGTTAAAATGTAAATGCCACCAGGAAAAGAAATATGGCTGTGTAGAATAGACCTGGGTCCAAACCAAGTACAGTACCAGCTCAGTATAGAGCGAATGGTTAAAACTTGTTTTATAATAATAGTACCATTTTAAATTTAAGCTGCTTGTTTGAAGAATAGTAATTTTCATCATGGATTTAATTCATCCTTGAAAATGACCATGTACTCAAAATCCCTGAACTCTTCTCACTTCCCCTTGTTCTTCCCTCTTTTCTCATAGCAAAATGATAGGGTATGGGACCATATTAGTCCACTGTTCTGCTACCGAAGAAAAATACTTATGCTTTTAGTTAGATAAATGAGAATAGAAGGATAAATTATTAACAGTATAGAAGACAATGATCCAGCATGGCCAAAAAGGTGAAACCCCATCTCTACTAAAAATACAAAAATTAGCAGGGTGTGGTGGCTTGCGCCTGTAATCCCAGCTACTCGGGAGACTGAGGTGGGAGAATCGCTGGAACCCGAGAGGCAGAGGTTGCAGTGAGCCAACATCGCGCCACTGCACTCCAGCCTGGGTGACAGAACAAGACTCTGTCTCAAAAAAAAAAAAAAAAGACAATGATAAACACAAGGAAGGCCATTGTAGATTATGTGGGGTCAATTAAAGCAGGCTTCGTGATTTAGAGAGGGAAAAAAAAATAGTGTTCATTCCTAGGACTATCTTATTAATTCAGGCATTCAGGCACTTGACTCACCCAAACTATAGCACTTTTTCTTTTTTGAGACGGAGTCTCGCTCTATCACTCAGGCTAAAGTGCAATGGTGCAATCTCAGCTCACTGTAACCTCTGCCTCCCACGTTCAAGCGATTCTCCCGCCTCGGCCTCCCAAGTAGCTGGGATTACAGGCACCCGCCATCATGCCCAGCTGATTTTTGTATTTTGGTAGAGACGAGGTTTCACCATGTTGGCCAGGATGGTCTCGAACTCCTGGCCTCGTGATCCGCCCGCCTCGGCCTCCCAAACTTCTGGGATTACAGGCATGAGCCATGGCACCCGGCAGCACTTTTAAGTTAAAAAAAAAAAAAAAAAAAAATATATATATATATATATATATATATATATATATATATATATAATTTTTTGTGCTGTCTAGCCTTAATATGTAATCCATATGTCGAGCTTGCTGTATTGCATTTTTAAATGGTAGAACTGGCCGAGTGCAGTGGCTCACGCCTGTAATCCCAGCACTTTGGGAGGCTGAGGCGGGAGGATCACTTGAGGTCAGGAGTTTGAGACCAGCCTGGCCAACATGGTGAAACCCCATCTCTGCTAAAAATACAAAAATTAGCCAGGCACGGTGGCAGGCACCTGTAATCCCAGCTACTCAGGAGGCTGAGGCAGGAGAATTGCTTGAACCTGGGAGGTGGAGGGTTGCAGTGAGCCGAGATTATGCCACTGCACTCCAACGTGGGTAATAGAGCAAGACTCCGTCTCAAAAAAAAAAAAAGGTAGAACCACTATACTTCAAGCCCAAATTTAAATCTCGGGCCCTTCCTCCAACACTCCTTTCCCCAAATAGATGCTAGGTCCTCTCTTCCAGGTGCTAGGCATACAGCAGTGAAAAAGACAAGTACTTGTTCCCATGTTCTAGAAGAGGGGAAAGCAAAAGATTCAGTCCTCCTCTGCCCTGGTTTGCCTAACAACCACCTGTGGAAAGATCAGTATCTTATTTCTTCATGATACTACAAAGGAGCAGTATAATTTGCTTTAAGAATTCTGTCCTACTAGATGTCATGTTTTGGTGCTAGAAAATGGTTGACTATGGCTTTCTGTGGTGAACAACTGGGATTTCAGAGTAAATCTGAGTTTTTCATTGTATTGCCACTCTATGTAACAAACTGCAAGAAAGCTACAGCATTCTCTCTGCAAAATGTCCCAATTTTTATCGTTTTCATCAGGTCAGAGATAGCTTTCTATAATATTACTTAGAAAGTTTTCTTGGGGCAAAGAAATCAGATATTCATGAAAGCTAAACAAAGAGACTAGAGAATTAAGAGGAAGGAAACCCACTGCAACACTGTTTTAATTTCCCTTTAAAATGTGTCCATCTTGGGGTCTATCCAAAAGTGTTCAGTTACTGAAATACCAAAAAGGCCTTGTTAAGTGATGGCATGGATATTGAATATATATCTTCTTTGGTTTCTTAATTTCATTCTTAAACTTCCCAATGCCCATTCTCACCTACACTTTTCACCTTGATGTCTGCCCCTCATTTTTCTTGATTCATTTCACTCGATTCTCTCCTACTTTCATCAAAATGAATAAGAACATACAGACACTAAAAGTGACTTTAGAGCACTAAAAATATTAGCTTAATATATAAGAATGACCAATTCAGGATATTAAATTAGGGTGTTGTTAGTGTCTAATAAAATGCATCAGGGAAATAGGTAATTGTTGGATACCATTGAGCTTGACTGATCCTTATAGTAGAAGTTGAAATATGGCCAGGTGCGGTGGCTCATGCCTGTAATCCCAGCACTTCGGGAGGCTGAGGCAGGCAGGTCACAAGGTCAGAAGTTTGAGACCAGCCTGGGCCAACATGATGAAAACCCTGTCTCTACTAAAAATACAAAAATTAGCTGGGGCATAGTGGCACATGCCTGTAATCCCAGCTACCTGGGAGGCTGAGACAGGAGAATCATTTGAACCCGGGAGGTGGAGGTTGCAGTGAGCCGGGATCGCGCCACTGCACTCCAGCCTGGGCGACAAGAGTGAAACTCCGTCTCAAAAAAAGAAAAAAAAAAAAAAAGAAATTGACATATAAGGAAAAAGGTTGGCATGAAAGATTATTTAATATTAGTTTTAGTGTCATATTATTTTCTCCTTTAAGGAGCTAAAATGCAAAACTTCTAGAATAAGGATAAAAGGGAGTCTATGGGCAGGGCGCGGTGGTTCACGCCTGTAATCCCAGCACTTTGGGAGGCAGGCGGATCACGAGGTCAGGAGATCAAGTCCATCCTGGCTAACACGGTGAAACCCCTTTTCTACTAAAAATACAAAAAATTAGCCGGGCGTGGTGGCAGGCGCCTGTAGTCCCAGCTACTCGCAAGGCTGAGGCAGGAGAATGGCGTGAACTCAGGAGGCGGAGCTTGCAGTGAGCAGAGATCGCACCGCTGCACTCCAGCCTGGGCGACAGAGCGAGACTCTGTCTCAAAAACATAAAAAATAAAATAATAATAAAAAAAGGGAGTCTATGGTCTTAAGTTTTCTAAAAAGTGGCCGGGTGCAGTGGCTCACCCCTATAATCCCAGCACTCTACTCTGGGAGTGCCAAGGCGGGAGGATTGCTTAAGCCCAGGAGTTTGAGACTAGGCTAGGCAACATAGTGAGACCTCGTTCTACAAAATAAACAAAATTAGCCAAATGTGGTGGTGCGTGCCTGTAGTCCCAGCTACTTGGGAGGCTGAGATGGGAGGATTGCTTGAGCCTGGGAAGTTGAGGCTGCAGTGAGCTGTGATCATGCCACTGCACTCCACTCTGGTGACAGAGCAAGACCATCTCAAAATTAAAAAAAAAAAAAAAATCTAAAAAGCAAGAACAAAAGGTATTTTAAGAAGGCATTTTCAGCCAGGCGTAGTGGCTAACGCCTATAATCCCAGCACTCAGGTGGAACACCCAAGGTCAAGAGATCGAGACCATCCCGGCTAACATGGTGAAACCCTGTCTCTACTAAAAATACAAAAAATTAGCCGGGCGTGGTGGCAGGCGCCTGTAGTCCCAGCTACATGGGAGGCTGAGGCAGGAGAATTGCTTGAACCCGGGAGGTGGAGGTTGCAGTGAGCCGAGATCACGCCACTGCACTCCAGCCTGGGTGACAGAGCGAGACTCCATCTCAAAAAATAAATAAATAGATAAATAAGAAGGCATTTGCAAATTGGCTGAAATTCCATACGTTAGTTATACATTTTGTTTATATAGGGCAAATATCCACCTTTTCCTGGAAAGCACTCTTCTGCTGATTGATGTAATCATAGTACTCCACACATCTCCTTATGCTTGATAGTTCCAGGGAGGACATCTGATGCAAGCCAGGACAAACAGAGATCTTTTAGAGGAATTTTTTTTTTTTTTTGAGATGGAGTCTCGCCCTATTGCCCAGGCTAGAGTGCAGTGGTGCAATCTTGGCTCACTGCAGCCTCTGCCTTCGGGGTTCAAGTGATTCTCCTGCCTCAGCCTCCCGAGTAGCTGGCATTACAGGCACACGCCACCACGCCCGGCTAATTTTTATATTTTTAGTAGAGATGGGGTTTCACCCTATTGGCCAGGCTGTTCTCGAACTCCTGACCTCATGATCTGCCTGCCTCGGCCTCCCAAAGTGCTGGGATTACAGGTGTAAGCCACCATGCCCGGCCTTAGAGGACTTTTTTTTTTTTTGAGACCGAGTTTCGCTCTCATTGCCCAGGCTAGAGTACAGTGGCCTGATCTCGGCTCACTGCAACCTCTGCCTCCCAGGTTCAGGCAATTCTCCTGCCTCAGCCTCTGGAGTAGCTGGGATTGAAGGCACCCGCCACCACACCCAGTTAATTTTTTGTATTTTTAGTAGAGACAGGGTTTCATCGTGTTGGCCAGGCTGGACTCGAACTCCTGACCTCAGGTGATCCACCCGCCTGGGCCTCCCAAAGTGCTGGGATTACAGGCGTGAGCCAAGGCATCCATCTAGAAGATTTTATTTATTTATTTATTTTTAGACAGAGTTTCACTCTGTTGCCCAGGCTGGAGTGCAGTGGTGCGATCTCTGCTCACTTCAAGCTCCGCCTCTCAGGTTCATGCCATTCTCCTGCCTCAGCCTCCCGAGCAGCTGGGACTACAGGCACCATCACCACCGCCCGGCTAAGTTTTTGTATTTTTAGTAGAGACGGGGTTTCACCGTGTTAGCCAGGATGGTCTCGATCTCCTGACCTCGTGATCCACCCGCCTCGGCCTCCCAAAGTATTGGGATTACAGGCGTGAGCCACCGTGCCCGGCCAGAAGATTTTTAAACTGGACACTAGAGTGAGTCTCAGTCTCCTTAGAACAAACCTGGGGATATGGGAGTTGCTAGCAGCTCTGTTTTCGGTTTGTGGAAATCAGTCCCAAAGAAGAGAGCTAACGTAAGGAAAGCAGCAGACACCAGGGATGGCGAGTCTTGGGGTTGTGCTGGGTCAAGGTTCCAGACATCTGAGGCACACAGTGGAGGCTGGCAATAACACTGATCTGGTTCTTCTTATTATATACCAGATATTCAGCTCTAGGTGTTTTTCACATTTCACATTTAATCCTGAAAACCTCACGAGATAAGTACCATCATTATCCTGCCTGTTTTACGGATGAAAATATTGAGGCATAGGAAAGTTAAGTAACTTGCCTAAATATACAATAAATCCGAACAGCAAGTTCGGATTTAAACTGAAGAGGTCAAGCTCCAGAGCCAGTGCTCTGAACTACTTTGTTATTGTCTCTAGGCCAGGAATTTCCTTTATCTTTTTTTTTTTTTTTTTTTTTTTTTTTTTTTTTTTTTTGAGAAAGAGTCTCACTCTGTAGCTCAGGCTGGAGTGCAGTAGCGCAATCTTAGCAAACTCTGCCTCCCGGGTTCCAGCAATCTCCTGCCTCAGCCTCCCAAGTAGCTGGGATTACAGGCAGATCGACTATTGGAGTTCTTAAGTTGTTAAAATTGCTCCTCTTATTCAGTGAATATTCAAGGCATAAATTCACTTGATTCAACAAAGGATAAAAGGGTCTCTATTGTATAGGTAACATACAAATACAGACACAAAATATTCACATTTCACTTCATATTAGAGATTGTTTTATTGTTGTTGTTTTGAGATGAGGCCTCGCTCTGTTGCCCAGGCTGGAGTACAGTGGCACAATCATAGCTCACTGCAGCATCAAACTTCTGGGCTCAACGGATCCTCCCACCTTAGCCTCCCAAAGTGCTGGGATTACAGCTATGAGCCACCGCACCCGGTCTCTTTTTTTCTTGATATTCAATGTCCATATTGGCTTAATAAAACGAAAAGGGCCAGGTATGGTGGTTCACACCTGTAATCTGAGACAGAAGGATCACTTGAGATCAGGAGTTTGAGATCAGCGTAGGCAACATAGTAAGACCTGGCTCTAAAAAGTAGCCAGGCATGGTGGCATGTGCCTGTAGTCCCAGCTACTCAGGAGGCTGAGGTGGGAGGATCACTTGCCCTCAGGAGTTTGAGGCTGCAGTGAGTTGATTGTCCCACCGCTCTCCAGTGCAGATGACAGACGAGGACCCCCATCTCTGGAGGGGAGAAAAAAGCCTACTGTAAGGATCAAATGTAAGACAGCCTATGAGTTTTTCCCATTAAAACACATTTGTCTTCATTAGTCTTCTGGGGGAATAGAGCCATACATATGAGTCCAGCTAGGAGCCTGAGGGTCGTGTGGTTAAGACAAAATAAACTGGGCTGTTTTTTGTGTGACAGAAATAGAAAAGGAAGATCTAGTAATAATCAAACTCAAATGCATGATTTCCTGTCATGCATTGCTTAATGACAGGGATGTTCTGAGAAATGCATCATTAGGCAATTTCATTACTGTGTGAACATCACACAATGTACTTAGGCAAATCTAGATGGTACAGCCTACTCCACACCTAGGCCAGATATTGCTCCTAGGCTACAAACCCATACAGCATGTTACTATATTGAACACTGTAGGCAACTGTAACACAACAGTAAGCATTCATGGATCTAAACATAAAAAAGGTAGTGTAAAAATACTGATATTATAATCTTATGGGATCCACTATCGTATATGCTGTCCATCATTGATCAAAGCCTTGTTATGCAGAACATGACTAATCTACATATGAGGAAATGCAAAGTTAAATATGAAAAGAATGCTCAACAAAATCAAACATGCAAAATTAAACCAAGATGCCATCAGATTGACTAAAAATTAGTAAAATCGGCCTGGCAAGTGGATCATGCCTGTAATCCCAGCACTTTGGGTGGCTGAGGTGGAAGGATCACTTGAGCCCCGGAGTTTGAAACTGGCCTGGGCAACATAGTGAGGCCCCATCCCTAAAAAAGATTAAAAATTAGTAAGATCAATGTTGTTAATTTGTAGTCCTAGTGAGGAAATGGGGTAATGGTTATTGATAGAAATCACTGCAATCTTGACTTCTCTGATGACTTCTGAGAATCCATCTATCTGCTAAGTGTCACTATATGTAAGAATGTGCACTACATTAATCCTTTTTTCGAGACAGAGTCTCGCTCTGTCACTCTGTCACCAGGCTGGAGTGCAGTGACATGATCTCAGCTCACTGCAACCTCTGCCTCCAGTGTTCCAAAGTGATTCTCTTGCCTCAGCCTCCTGAGTAGCTGGGACTACAGGTGCACGCCACCATGCCCTGCTCATTTTTGTATTTTTAGTAGAGACACGGTTTCTCCATGTTGGCCAGGCTGGTCTCCAACTCCTAACCTCCTGATCTGCCCGCCTTGGCCTTCCAAAGAGCTGGGATTACAGGCGTGAGACACCTCGCCCGGCCTCACTACATTAGTCTAATAGTAGGAAACTACCAACCACCTGAGTACTCATACCCAGCAATTGGTTAAGTTGGGGAGCTGCCATATGATACCCTACTATGTCCCTATTTAAAAAGATATAAAATATCTTGATTACTAAACAAACACAAGACACTGTTCTGTCTCACATGCATACATTTCACCCTTATAGGAGCCCATGAATAACAGATGAGGAAACTCAGACACAGAGAGGTGAAGTACATTAATTTGTTCAGAATCAAATAGCAGATTCCAACCCAGGTAACCTCTCTGGAGTGGCTAGCAGCTATGCTAGAATAGAGTATATTTTAGTGTATTTATTAAGTAAGATGACCCAAGATAACAACTGGGTGAAATATAAATTGCAAATATATTTTTTGTTAAAAACTATTTTTTTTGAGTTTCACTCGTCGCCCAGGATGGAGTGCAATGGTGCAATCTTGTCTCACTGCAACCCCCGCTCCCTGGGTTCAAGCAATTCTCCTGCCTCAGCCTCCACAGCAGCTGAGATTACAGGAACACACCCCCATGCCTGGCTAATTTTTGTATTTTTAGTAGAGAGGGGGTTTTGTTATGTTGGCCAGGCTGGTCTTGAAATCCAGAGATATGGGTATCAATTGAACTTCGGGTTTGAAGCAAGGAAATTGATGAGGTGGCCTTACTTCTGTAGCATCTGAGTTGTTACAAGAAGCCTATTACATAAACATCAGAGGGTAGAAATGATAGAAAAAGGGTTTTCTCTTCAGCTAAAGATCTAAGCTCCAGGAATTCAAGAATTTGAATGAATGGTTTGGCTCAATCCTTCCATAATACACCGTGGTAGACAGGAGAGATGGAAAGAGGAAGAGAGGAAGGGCGAGAAAGATGATGCAAGATGCTCCACTGCTTGCTGATTCTGAAGATGGAAAGGGCCAGGAACCAAAGAATATACGTGGCCTTTTGAAATGGAAGAGAGAAGGAAAGATTCTGCCATCAAAGCCTCCAGAAGGAATTCCCCTGATAACCTGACTTCAGCTTGCTTAATTTTGGACTTCTGACCTACAGAACTATTTTCAGCCATAAATGGGTTAAATTTGTGGTAATTTGTTAAAGCACCAATAAGAAACTAATACAAACACTAGAGAATATAAAAAAACAATATTTTTCAAATTTTTTGAGAAACAGTCTGTCATCCAGGCTGGAGCACAGTGGTATTGACATAGAGCTCACTGTAACCTTAAACTCCTAGGCTTAAGGGACCTTCCCAAGTAGCAAGGACTACAGGTGCAAGCCACCACACCCAGCTAATTTTAAAATTTCTTGTAGAGGTGGGGGTCTCACTGTTGCCCGGGCTGATCTCAAACTTCTGGGATTCAAGTAATCTTCCTGCGTTGGCCTCCCCAAATTTTGGGATTACAGGTGTGTGCCACCATGCATGGCCAAAGGACAATATATTGTTTTCAGAAATGCCCTTAGTAAAATTGAATGTAGGGCCACCAACTACTAATATGAATAGAAGGTTCTCTATCATCTGTGAACCCACCGCTGAGAGCAGTGGTGGGTATATATATATATATATAAGGAGGTACTTAATAAACATCAGTTATTTACCTTTTTCTGTATGGATTTTGGAAATCAATTAAAATGTGTCTATCATCACACTGAGCCCTATCAGAATACTTTACATTCTTTAGAAGACAGTTACAACAAACCAGAATTTAAAACCTCATTTTAATGAGACAATTGACCCTAGGCATCACATGAAACTTTTATTTCCCAACTGTGGAAACATTCCTGTGGAAATACATATTCAAGTTTAAAACTCGTAAGCTCAAAAGATCTAGGATATGTACTGTAATGCCTTACTGGTATCATCTAACTTATAAACAAAGATAATCCAATGAGTGTGGGCATTTCTATTTCTACTGTAAAGGCATATCAAATAAAGAAAAAAGTCTAATAATTGCATAAAGGAATATAAAACTATTTATTAACCACTGTTCACCAGTATTTACAATAAAGTAAACAATATACAGTTGGATAACATTTTGATTACTACAAAGTTGTTCTTCCTGGCTTTTGCTGAACCAGTAAAGCAAACTCAAGATTGAGCCTCCATGTAATGAATTGGGGTAAAGAAAAAACATGCAGGTCAATAGGTTAGGTTACAAAAGGTTGTTCACACATTTATGACAGCAGGTCCTAAACTGCCAACACCTCTAACCATCTGATTAGGTTTCTATGAGCCAAGTCTTACATATTCCATTCATCATGACCTTTTAGTCAATGTAGCAACAGGGATTCCAACATTTTGCTAAGGAATGGCCCGCTAGGGAAACTTTTAAATGTTCATTTAACTTAGTTTTGTTTAGCTAGTTAAAACACACTAGCATTTGTCTAGTTTCCTCATCTGGATGAGGAAACCTGCTGTGATGGCAGTGATAAAATTTTTCCTTTTAGGAATTTTGCAAATAAACCACTGCAATTATAGACACTTTAAAATTATCCAATTTAAATTGTCCTATCTAGAATTACTTATTTCACTTGAAATGTATGGTTTCAGGAAAATTTTCAATTTAACTTGAAGGGATTATCTCTTATTTTGCTTGGAATAATGGCATCTCAGAAACATGGGTTTACCTGTGATTTTTTTGTTTGGGTGAATGCTTAAAAACAAAAAAAAATTTACATATGCATTTTATGGATACACACACACACACACACACACACACACACAAAAAACACGTAATAAATCTAGAATGGTCCTTAGGCTCATGAGAACACAAGTTTTGACTGAGTAATGACTATGGACATTTCCCCCAACATTTAGAAAAGCTGTTCTTTAATGAAGAGGAAATGATATACCATGGTATCAAATGTTCTTTTCTGATAAAGGAAGCAACTACAGAAAGCTTTTATTTATTTGTTCAAAGTAACCAGTGCTATGGATGCAAAAAACCCCCAACAACTCTTCCAACGCTACTTTCAAAACAAACATATCAAACTTGATTTTCATTAGGATGTAGTTATTTTGTCACACTAGTAAATCAAAATCTAAGACCCAATTTTTATATATATATATAAATATATATAAAAGAACAATGTGAACAATTATTGAGCTTCATCTTCTGGACAAGAATGCCAAGTTAGTCTCTCTTCATAAAAAGCAATTACAATTTGAGGACACTTCATATTTGCCTCTTTCGCCAGCACCAAGTCTGCCTCATCTGAATCTTTCCTGTTTTAAGAAAAAGAAAAATTCAGTTACAAGTCGAAGTTGTTCATGTCAACCGACAGCCATTCATTTAAGAAATAATAGTCCAAACAAAAGGTATTGAAGTGCTCCAGGAGAGTTATGTTACTTGTTGCTATGTTCTAATAAACTTCATTTTCAAAACAGGCCACAGTTTGCTGACCCTTGCTTTAAAACACTACTAGTAAAAGTAACCAGAATCATCCTCTCAGCAGATAGTTTTTCCCTACCTAATGATGAAAAACCATTTCACAAATTAAAAAAAAAAAGCTACTCTTACTTTCAAATGTAACAATCTCTGCATACTCACCATTTCATGAGAAACATCAATTCTCCACTGCTGTCTGTGGCACCAATTATTCTTTCAGGATCAAGACCTCTGGCAAATCCTCTTGGTTTGTCAGCCTGTTTAGAAGACATTTTTTCATACAGCAAACTCAGAGTATTAAATTGTTTTCATGGCGTATTTTAAATAAAAACATTCCAATAGTGAGATGGAAATGACTAGAGCAAGAACCCATATTTGGTAATTAAAAACATCTGATTTCCATTAACTTTACAAGCAGAAAAACCTGAGTTTGATACTCAACGTAGAATACTTAAAATTTCTGAAAACATTCAGAATAAAAAGTCAAGAAAATTACTGCGTTCAATGACACCAAAGTCAGAGTTGTGTGGGCATACAGAAAAACTAACCTCTTTATTTCTGGTAATAATAAAGTCTTGAAAGTTAATATATTTCAAATGACTTCCAGGAATTAGTCTGAATTACTGACACATTTTAAAAGCATAAACAAAACACAAACGGTAAGAAATATTAAAAATGTTAAAACTCATACCAACTATCTGTAATCATTCTAAATGATAGTAAATGTTAGAACAAACTTGTGTAACCTGTGGCCCAGGATGGCTTTGGAGGCCCAACACAAATTTGTAAACTTTCTTAAAACATTGAAACTTTCTTGCGATTTTTTTTTTTTTTTTTTTTAGCTCATCAGCTATGGTTGGTATTAAGTCTATTTTATGTGTAGCCCTCGACAATTCTCCTAATGTGGCCCAGGGCTGCCAAAAGATTGGACCCCCTGCGCTAGAAAGTACTTAATATAAACCAGTGGCTCTCAAAATGTGGTCTACGGATTCACTGGGGATTCCAGAGTCCTTTTTGGGAGGGGGTTGTGTAAGGCCCCCTTTTTTCATCTATTTGTGACTTTGGATTGTCTTCATATACCTCCACCAAAATGATCCGCCACAGCAATCAAATGTGTTTAAGTAAAATTGCCTTAAGACACATGTTGAATATCTGTAAAAATGTAAAATGCTACTCTTCTCAGCTTTTTTAGAAAAGTCATTTTAGAAATTTGTTTTAATTTCTACTGTTAGTATTGATAATTATAACCCATATAAACAAAAGCTCTCTGGGGATCCTCAATAATTTTTTTAGAGTATAAAGAGGCCCTGAGACCAAAAAAAGTTTGAGAACCAATGATATCAATAAATCCTTTATTCCTGTCAGAGTTTTACATCAATGTCACAAGCTCTGGAGTCACACTGCCTGGGTGAGAATGATGGACCTACCCCACTTACGAGCTGTGTGGCTTTGGGCAAGTTAATTAACCTCTTTGTGGTTTAGGTTAATAAAACAGAATTTTAGTATCTACTGCACAGATATTTCACAGCACATTAAAAGCAAATAATTTGGCACACAGTATAGCACATGCTAAGGACTCAATAAGTGTTGTTAAAGTTGTGCCTGATTTATTATTTAATAATTTTTTGAGACAAGGTCTTGCTCCGTTGCCTAGGCCAAAGTGCACTGGCATGATCACAGCTCACTGCACCTTGAACTCCCAGGCTCAAGCAATCCTTCTGCCTCAGCCTCCCAAGTAGCTGAGACTACAGGAGGTGTCCACCACGTCTTGCTGATTCTTTTTTTTTTCTTTGTAGAGATGGGGTCTCACTATGTTGCCCAAACTGGCCTCCAACTCCTGGGCTCAAGCGATGTTCCTGCTTTGGTTTCCCAAGGTGCTGGGATTATAGGTGCGAGCCACCGTGCCTGGCCAAAACTGCTTCTGTTGAGCATGTGATTTATTTTCAAAACCAAATTTGTAGTCAATCTCGTTTCCTCATCTGTAAAATAGTGATTATACCTATGACCTTATACAGAGTTGTCTTGAAGGTTGTACTTGGCTTCTAGTTCAAATGATCAAGTTTTAAATCATGTTTAGTGCCTGAGCCTAGAACCTAATTCAGCACCAAGATGTTTCCCCAAATTGCCACACTAGGTCAGTAGGCAAGACAAGTATAATCTGTTTTACAATCAAGGGTGTAAGTAAGAAGTTACCTGATTTGCCTGACGCCACAGAGACATAAGTAAAGCAAAGACTGGACCAAAACACATGTATAGTGAATGAACTGAATGTCTCAATTCATGCCAAGAAAAGTGTTTAACTATTATCAAAGATTACAGACTTCAAAATCAAGGTATTGTTTGGCAATACAAAGATGACATGCAAGTACTTTTCGGTGGTCAATGCCATTGATGGACTATAATCAGAAAGTTCTATTTGCGTTGTTCTTACTGTAGTGCAAAGGCTTTCGATAATCCAATCTTAGTATTGTTTGTATTTAAGATTGCTAGCCTTGGATCACAGGTAATTGGTCTGATCAGGGATCAAATCCATGAAACTAAGAAAAATTGCACTAGCACAACCTAAGTGGCATGAGCACTTACTGCACATTTACACAAAGTAGGCTAAACCACGCCCATCCTTATTGTCCTAAGTATTAAAATATTTAAAATACGATTAAGAGGCCTTTTATAAAAGTATCTGAATTTTAAAAAAGCAAGTCGTCAAAGGTGGGCTTGGTGTGGTGGTTCACGCCTGTAATCCCAGCACTCTGGGAGGCCGAGGCGGGTGGATCACCTGATGTCAGGAGTTTGAGATCAGTCTGGCCAACATGGTGAAACCCCGTCTCTACTAAATATACAAAAACCAGCTGGGTGTGGTGGTACACGCTTGTAATCCCAGCTACTCTGGAGGCGGAGGTTGCAGTGAGCCGAAACTGCACCACTACACTCCAGCCTGGGTGACAGAGGGAGACTCTGTCTCCCAGGAAAAAAAAAAAAAAAAAAAAAAAAAAAAAAAAAAGGCCAGGCGTGGTGGCTCATGCCTACAATCCCAACACTTTGGGAGGCCGAGGCGGGAGGATCATGAGGTCAGGAGTTCAAGACCAGCCTGGCCAACATGGCAAAACCCCATCTCTACTAAAAGTACCAAAATTAGCTGGGCGTGGTGGTGGGCACCTATAATCCCAGCTACTTGGGAGGCTCAGGCAGGAGAATCGCTTGAACCCAGGAGGCGGCAGTTGCAGTGACCAAGATCATGCCATTGCACTCCAGCCTGGGCGACAAGAGCAAGACTCCATCTCAAAAAAACAAACAAACAAAAAAGAAATCAAGCCATCAACCTTTTACAAAAGGACAAGCTGGTGGGCAATATTTTATACTTACAGCATCTCTTTTCTTCTTTGATTTGCTGTCATCAGATTCACTGTCAGATAAAGATTTTCTTTTTGTACCATCTTTTTCTTTGCCAGCTTTCTGAGAGTTAAGAAACGCTTCAATCAATTCTGGACAATCTAAATTTTCTTCAGGTTCCCAAGTATTGTCAGCACTGTGTTTAGTTTATTAAAAAAAAAAAAGGTGATTGAATTAAATATGATTCATCACCATTATCCAGATCTATTTTAATAGACACCCGGGGGAATAAAAAGTCCTCTGTACTGCAGATACTAATCATTTCCTCCTTCCCTACATTACCCCACCCCCCAGCCTGCCTCCGCCAGAGACAGGGTCTTGCTTTGTTGCCCAGACGAGAGTGCAGTAGTGGAATCATAGCTCACTGAAGATTCCAACTCCCGACTCAAGCGATCCTCCACCTCAGCCCAAGTAGCTGGGACTACAGGCATGCACCACCATGCCCAGCTAACTTAAAACACACACTTTTTTTTTTTTTTTAATAGAGAAGGGGTCTCATTTTGTTGGCCAGGCTGGTCTTGAATTCCTGGTGTCAAGTGATCCTCCAGCCTTGGACCCCCAAAGTGCTGGAATTACAGGTGTGAGCCACTGCACCCAGGCCCTATATTCTAATTTGCTACCCTGAGACTCCAAATTAGTAAACCCAAATTACTGGGTAGAGGACAATAAAAGTCTCTGCTCTGTAGTATTATTTTCATTAAAGTCTTCTTTGGCCTGGCACGGTGGCTCACACCTGTAATCCCAGCACTTTGGGAGGCCAAGGCAGGTGGATCACTTGAGGTCAGGAGTTTGGGATCAGCCTGACCAACATGGTGAAACCCGGTCTCTGCTAAAATACAAAAATTAGCCGGGCATAGTGGCAGGCGCCTGTAGTCCCAGCTACTCAGGAGGCTGAGGCAGGAAAATCGCCTCAACTCGGAAGGCAGAGGTTGCAGTGAGCTGAGATCACGCCACTGCACTCCAGCCTGGGCAACAGGGTGAGACTCCATCTCAAAACAAAACAAAAAAAAGTCTTTTACATTACCTGTTACACTGCACATGGGAAGTACGCTATAATCATGCTAGTGGCCTTAAGTTTTGGGAGAAGAGGGAGGAGCCCATTCATTTCCTAATGTTTTGATGGGTAAAAATAATTTTTCATGTTTCATGGGCTTAATAAAGAAGGGACTTACGACACATACTTAATTTAAACTAAGAATACTGAAGGATAAAACAGGCAAACGTAAATCTCCCATTCAATTCATAATTCCCAAACTGCTATGAATTAAATGTGAAGAGCAGGGGAAGTAGGAGATAACAGATAGGTGAAGCCCAATCATTCGACTATCATATGCTCCATCTCCAGCGTGCTCAGGAAATTGATCTCCACCTATCCATTTTTAATTGTCACTGCCTATGGAGCTTTGTGGTGTAAGGGGGAAGAATCAAAGCAGATAAGCACAACAAACCCCAAGCGTTAAAGTATGTAATTGTTGCATGTTCAAGTTATTCACATTTTGTGAATAACATTATCAAGAATAATGAGAGCAATCCATATCAAAGAACACAAGGAACCAGAGAGCTTAAAACATGCCCAGGTTCTACTTCTTAGGTATAAGGATATAATAAACCTAGTATAAAGCCTAGATTATATGTAATCCTGTATGAGACCCACTAGTCTATATTGTAAAGCTTCAATGTTTTTAGCACCCTCTGTGTGGAGGAAAATAATGCAGATTATTCTAATTAGTGTAATATCTAACCACATTAAAATATATTACATAGTAAACTACACTCCATAATTTTATAAATTTGACTCCCCAGGGTAATAAACTAGTCTCTAGTCTGCTCACCTTCAACTGTACAATAAAGTCTTGGTTCTTTTGAAATAGACCTCAAATGAGACACCTAAAATTCAAAGTGTCTTTACATTTAAAGACACCTACAGGAAAGCAGGTAAAAGAGCCAGGTTAAAAACAAATTCTAAAACCACTTAGCTGCAGTTAAACATATAGTAAAGATGCACTAAAGTTTCTTACTCTGTAAATCCCTTCCACTTCAGGAAATATTCCACTTTCCCATTCACTACACGTCGATCTAGTACTTTTTCCACGACAAATTCTTCAGGCTCTGCCTCTTCAACTTTTTTACTCTTTCCATTCTGTTTTTTTCCCATTTTTTGCTAAAATAAAACAAAAGAGAAATTAAGAAATATTCCTCTTGAATTTTGAGCACATTTTCAAGGCTCAATTGCTTATATTATTATCACATTCGACATAAATTTTTACTTCTATATCCCAGGGCAGACACCTTCTGGAAAGATTAAAAGTCAACAGACAATAAAATAAAAGAATGCTTTATCTTGTTCATTTAGTTCAAACTTACAACCCACCACCAAAATAATACAATAAAAAAACACTATCTGGAAACAGTTATTTTTTTCCAGTCTTTTTTTTTGAGACAGGGTCTCACACTCTTGTCGCCCAGGCTGGAGTGCAGTGGCGTGATCTCAGCTCACTGCAACCTCCGCCTCCCCAGGTTCAAGCAGTTCTCATGCCTCAGCCTCCAGAGTAGCTGGGATTATAGGCGGATGCCACCATGCCGGGCTAATTTTTTTTGTGTTTTTATTAGAAACAGGGTTTCACCATGTTGACCAGGCTGGTCTCAAACTCCTGACCTGAAGTGATTCACCAGCCTGGGCCTCCCAAAGTGCTGGCATTACAGGCGTGAGCCACTGCGCCCGGCCCTGTAGTCTTAAAAGACCAAGTTTACTAATTTTCACTCATTTTAACAACACTGCAACAAACAACTATGCAGGAAGTACCTAAAGGGTGATACAGAGAAGCAAGTAGTAGTGACAGGTCTTAGGTGAACCTATGACAGACCTTGTATCCACCCCCAGATGGTAAAAGCCCCAGCCCCCTTCTCAATTCAAATATTAATGTCAAAAGCATCAATGATACAGAGAAAAGATAAATGCAGAATGAAAACATGGTTCAAAATCCTGATACCAACTGCAGGGTCAACTATAGAGACCACTAGGAGGTTCAATTAAAGGACAAGATTATTTTTCCATAATCTCTGTAGATAATATTTCCTACCACTTAGAACAAAACTATAAAGCTATCACTTCAAGAGACCAACATTACAAATTTATTTTAATTCCCTAAGGTGAAAAAAATCCTTCCTTCCTGGTTTCTCAAGAGAAAGTCTATACTGGTAACCAAATTCACTTTAAACAGGCATTTTCTTTGGTATGACACTATTTAAGAGAAGCAGGAAACCAACGTGAACCAGCTCTTTCCAATGGCTCAAGATTTCCTATGAGAGGACTAAAAATGGGGAAAATTTTTATGAGAGGATTAAAAATGGGGGAAAAAAAACCCTGAAATGGTTAATCAGAAGATCCTATGGGCTGAGAAGGAATCCATCTTAACATTTCATCTTAAAGCAAATGCTATTGCCGGGGGCAGTGGCTCATGCCTGTAATCCCAGCACTTTGGGAGGCCGAGGTGGGCAGATCATCTGAGGTCAGGAGTTTGAGACCAGCCTGACCAACATGGAGAAACCCCGTTTCTACTAAAAATACAAAATTAGCCAGGCATAGTGGTGCATGCCTGTAATCCCAGCTACTTGGGAGGCTGAGGCAGGAGAACTGCTTGAACCCAGGAGGCTTAAGTTGCGGTGAGCCAAGATCACGCCATTGCACTCTAGCCTGGACAACAAGAGAAAAACTCTGTCTCAAAAAAACACAAAAACAAAAAACCCAAATACTATTTAAAAAAGATAAACCTTAATTGCTCAATCATTAAAGCCATCCCACAAGTAAAGCAGCAAGCAGAAAAAAGTTAAGAACACCTCAAGGCTACAGAAGGACATTTCAAGCTATGCAGGCATATGAAGTGTGCAGACAGATATGTAAGAAAGGCCTCAAGACTGCAAAAGGGCATTTCAAGCTATGCAAGCATATAGGTAACACATACACACACACAAAATAAAAATCCCCTGAAATACAAAAACATGCAGCAAACACCTGACGTTTTTGGATACCATTTCTAAGTCAGGTGTTATGATTCTCATTAGTCAAGATACTTGAGTACTGGGCCCAAACAGCTTTCTGCCACTGTACAGTACAAGAAGGTAGGAATAATGGTGGGAGGAGCAAAGACAAACTGTAATAGACAGAAGTGTATCAGATACCTATACTACATGAAAAACAAAACAGCTACTGCCACAAAGGGAGAAGGCTAACAAAATAAAGTCAACAATAAATACAGAAAATGAAAAGGATACACACTAAGGTTTACAAAAAAAAAAAGGCAGACAAAATGCCATACAGTATTCATTCACTACTATGGCATTCATAAGCTAGTTTCAAATGCTCACTATTTTCTTTTATAGTATATATTTGCCTTAACCCAGCACTTTTTTCCAAAAGTGGATGAGTCAAAATAAATTTCCCATTATTTAAGTGAAATTAACAGCACACATATCTCACAACACTAATGAATTTTTAAAATGGAAAGTTAAGAACTTTTAAAGTGGCCAACCTGTGATCCTTCACAAAATAAACTAAATACAATAACAGACCCCAAAGGCTATCAATTGCGTGCAAAAACAACTTCTGTTTTCCAGGGTAAACAGAATCTAATGCAGAATCTAATGCAGGGTAAACAGACTTAATGCAGAATCTAATGATGGCACAAATTAAAAATCACTAACGTGCCCTTTTTAGTGTGAAACCCAGAGAGAGCACATACAAGCCAAAAACAAATGCTTTATTTTACCTAGGAGACATTAACATTCACCTTTACGTGTTTAAGATTAATGCAATGTTAAATATTGTGAAAACTGTAACTTTGAATTTCATGATTTTTATGTGAATATTCCAGGGTTTAAAAAAACTTGTAACATGACATGGCTGAATAAGATAAAAAAAAAATCTAGCCTTTTCTCCCTTCTGGCTCATATTTGCGATTTCGATCATTTTGTTTAAAAAACAAAACACTGCAATGAATTAAACTTAATATTCTTCTATGTTTTAGAGTAAGTTAAAACAAGATAAAGTGACCAAAGTAATTTGAAAGATTCAATGACTTTTGCTCCAACCTAGGTGCACAAGGTACCTTGTTCTTTAAATTGGGCTTTAATGAAAATACTTCTCCAGAATTCTGGGGATTTAAGAAAAATTATGCCAACCAACAAGGGCTTTACCATTTTATGTAACATTTTTCAACGCTGCAAAAATGTGTGTATTTCTATTTGAAGATAAAAATCCTCAGCAAAATCCACATTGCACTGTCCTTCAAAGATTAGCCTTCTTTGAACTAGTTAAGACACTATTAAGCCAAGCCAGTATCTCCCTGTAATGAATTCGTTTTTCTCTTAATTTTCCCCTGTAATTTACACTGGGAGAGCTGGGAAATATGTGGATGTAAATTTCTCAGCCACAGAGATGCAAAGTTATACTGTGGGGAAAAAAAACTTGAGTTAAATCCTTACATATTTTAGGTTTTCATTAACTTACCAATGTAGTTTTGTTGGAGGCCATTTTTTATTGCAGACTTGAAGAGCTATTACTAGAAAAATGCATGACAGTTAAGGTAAGTTTGCATGACACAAAAAAGGTAACTAAATACAAATTCTGTTTGGATTCCAACCCCCAAGTAGAGAGCGCACATTTCAAACGTGAATACAAATCCAGAGTAGATCTGCGCTCCTACCTACATTGCTTATGATGTACTTAAGTACGTGTCCTAACCATGTGAGTCTAGAAAGACTTTACTGGGGATCCTGGTACCTAAAACAGCTTCACATGGCTTAAAATAGGGGACCAATGTCTTTTCCAATCTAAGTCCCATTTATAATAAAGTCCATGTTCCATTTTTAAAGGACAATCCTTTCGGTTTAAAACCAGGCACGATTACCCAAACAACTCACAACGGTAAAGCACTGTGAATCTTCTCTGTTCTGCAATCCCAACTTGGTTTCTGCTCAGAAACCCTCCCTCTTTCCAATCGGTAATTAAATAACAAAAGGAAAAAACTTAAGATGCTTCAACCCCGTTTCGTGACACTTTGAAAAAAGAATCACCTCTTGCAAACACCCGCTCCCGACCCCCGCCGCTGAAGCCCGGCGTCCAGAGGCCTAAGCGCGGGTGCCCGCCCCCACCCGGGAGCGCGGGCCTCGTGGTCAGCGCATCCGCGGGGAGAAACAAAGGCCGCGGCACGGGGGCTCAAGGGCACTGCGCCACACCGCACGCGCCTACCCCCGCGGCGGCCACGTTAACTGGGCGGTCGCCGCAGCCTCGGGACAGCCGGCCGCGCGCCGCCAGGCCTCGCGGACGCGGGACCACGCGCCGCCCTCCGGGAGGCCCAAGTCTCGACCCAGCCCCGCGTGGCGGCTGGGGGAGGGGGCGCCTCCGCCGGAACGCGGGTGGGGGAGGGGAGGGGGAAATGCGCTTTGTCTCGAAATGGGGCAACCGTCGCCACAGCTCCCTACCCCCTCGAGGGCAGAGCAGTCCCCCCACTAACTACCGGCGCTGGCCGCGCGCCAGGCCAGCCGCGAGGCCACCGCCCGACCCTCCACTCCTTCCCGCAGCTCCCGGCGCGGGGTCCGGCGAGAAGGGGAGGGGAGGGGAGCGGAGAACCGGGCCCCCGGGACGCGTGTGGCATCTGAAGCACCACCAGCGAGCGAGAGCTAGAGAGAAGGAAAGCCACCGACTTCACCGCCTCCGAGCTGCTCCGGGTCGCGGGTCTGCAGCGTCTCCGGCCCTCCGCGCCTACAGCTCAAGCCACATCCGAAGGGGGAGGGAGCCGGGAGCTGCGCGCGGGGCCGCCGGGGGGAGGGGTGGCACCGCCCACGCCGGGCGGCCACGAAGGGCGGGGCAGCGGGCGCGCGCCCGGCGGGGGGAGGGGCCGCGCGCCGCGCCCGCTGGGAATTGGGGCCCTAGGGGGAGGGCGGAGGCGCCGACGACCGCGGCACTTACCGTTCGCGGCGTGGCGCCCGGTGGTCCCCAAGGGGAGGGAAGGGGGAGGCGGGGCGAGGACAGTGACCGGAGTCTCCTCAGCGGTGGCTTTTCTGCTTGGCAGCCTCAGCGGCTGGCGCCAAAACCGGACTCCGCCCACTTCCTCGCCCCTGCGGTGCGAGGGTGTGGAATCCTCCAGACGCTGGGGGAGGGGGAGTTGGGAGCTTAAAAACTAGTACCCCTTTGGGACCACTTTCAGCAGCGAACTCTCCTGTACACCAGGGGTCAGTTCCACAGACGCGGGCCAGGGGTGGGTCATTGCGGCGTGAACAATAATTTGACTAGAAGTTGATTCGGGTGTTTCCGGAAGGGGCCGAGTCAATCCGCCGAGTTGGGGCACGGAAAACAAAAAGGGAAGGCTACTAAGATTTTTCTGGCGGGGGTTATCATTGGCGTAACTGCAGGGACCACCTCCCGGGTTGAGGGGGCTGGATCTCCAGGCTGCGGATTAAGCCCCTCCCGTCGGCGTTAATTTCAAACTGCGCGACCGTTTCTCACCTGCCTTGCGCCAAGGCAGGGGGCGGGACCCTATTCCAAGAGGTAGTAACTAGCAGGACTCTAGCCTTCCGCAATTCATTGAGCGCATTTACGGAAGTAACGTCGGGTACTGTCTCTGGCCGCAAGGGTGGGAGGAGTACGCATTTGGCGTAAGGTGGGGCGTAGAGCCTTCCCGCCATTGGCGGCGGATAGGGCGTTTACGCGACGGCCTGACGTAGCGGAAGACGCGTTAGTGGGGGGGAAGGTTCTAGAAAAGCGGCGGCAGCGGCTCTAGCGGCAGTAGCAGCAGCGCCGGGTCCCGTGCGGAGGTGCTCCTCGCAGAGTTGTTTCTCGAGCAGCGGCAGTTCTCACTACAGCGCCAGGACGAGTCCGGTTCGTGTTCGTCCGCGGAGATCTCTCTCATCTCGCTCGGCTGCGGGAAATCGGGCTGAAGCGACTGAGTCCGCGATGGAGGTAACGGGTTTGAAATCAATGAGTTATTGAAAAGGGCATGGCGAGGCCGTTGGCGCCTCAGTGGAAGTCGGCCAGCCGCCTCCGTGGGAGAGAGGCAGGAAATCGGACCAATTCAGTAGCAGTGGGGCTTAAGGTTTATGAACGGGGTCTTGAGCGGAGGCCTGAGCGTACAAACAGCTTCCCCACCCTCAGCCTCCCGGCGCCATTTCCCTTCACTGGGGGTGGGGGATGGGGAGCTTTCACATGGCGGACGCTGCCCCGCTGGGGTGAAAGTGGGGCGCGGAGGCGGGAATTCTTATTCCCTTTCTAAAGCACGCTGCTTCGGGGGCCACGGCGTCTCCTCGGCGAGCGTTTCGGCGGGCAGCAGGTCCTCGTGAGCGAGGCTGCGGAGCTTCCCCTCCCCCTCTCTCCCGGGAACCGGATTTGGCGGCCGCCATTTTCATGGCTCGCCTTCCTCTCAGCGTTTTCCTTATAACTCTTTTATTTTCTTAGTGTGCTTTCTCTATCAAGAAGTAGAAGTGGTTAACTATTTTTTTTTCTTCTCGGGCTGTTTTCATATCGTTTCGAGGTGGATTTGGAGTGTTTTGTGAGCTTGGATCTTTAGAGTCCTGCGCACCTCATTAAAGGCGCTCAGCCTTCCCCTCGATGAAATGGCGCCATTGCGTTCGGAAGCCACACCGAAGAGCGGGGAGGGGGGGTGCTCCGGGTTTGCGGGCCCGGTTTCAGAGAAGATATCACCACCCAGGGCGTCGGGCCGGGTTCAATGCGAGCCGTAGGACAAAGAAACCATTTTATGTTTTTCCTGTCTTTTTTTTCCTTTGAGTAACGGTTTTATCTGGGTCTGCAGTCAGTAAAACGACAGATGAACCGCGGCAAAATAAACATAAATTGGAAGCCATCGGCCACGAGGGGCAGGGACGAAGGTGGTTTTCTGGGCGGGGGAGGGATATTCGCGTCAGAATCCTTTACTGTTCTTAAGGATTCCGTTTAAGTTGTAGAGCTGACTCATTTTAAGTAATGTTGTTACTGAGAAGTTTAACCCTTACGGGACAGATCCATGGACCTTTATAGATGATTACGAGGAAAGTGAAATAACGATTTTGTCCTTAGTTATACTTCGATTAAAACATGGCTTCAGAGGCTCCTTCCTGTAATGCGTATGGATTGATGTGCAAAACTGTTTTGGGCCTGGGCCGCTCTGTATTTGAACTTTGTTACTTTTCTCATTTTGTTTGCAATCTTGGTTGAACATTACATTGATAAGCATAAGGTCTCAAGCGAAGGGGGTCTACCTGGTTATTTTCTTTGACCCTAAGCACGTTTATAAAATAACATTGTTTAAAATCGATAGTGGACATCGGGTAAGTTTGGATAAATTGTGAGGTAAGTAATGAGTTTTTGCTTTTTGTTAGTGATTTGTAAAACTTGTTATAAATGTACATTATCCGTAATTTCAGTTTAGAGATAACCTATGTGCTGACGACAATTAAGAATAAAAACTAGCTGAAAAAATGAAAATAACTATCGTGACAAGTAACCATTTCAAAAGACTGCTTTGTGTCTCATAGGAGCTAGTTTGATCATTTCAGTTAATTTTTTCTTTAATTTTTACGAGTCATGAAAACTACAGGAAAAAAATCTGAACTGGGTTTTACCACTACTTTTTAGGAGTTGGGAGCATGCGAATGGAGGGAGAGCTCCGTAGAACTGGGATGAGAGCAGCAATTAATGCTGCTTGCTAGGAACAAAAAATAATTGATTGAAAATTACGTGTGACTTTTTAGTTTGCATTATGCGTTTGTAGCAGTTGGTCCTGGATATCACTTTCTCTCGTTTGAGGTTTTTTAACCTAGTTAACTTTTAAGACAGGTTTCCTTAACATTCATAAGTGCCCAGAATACAGCTGTGTAGTACAGCATATAAAGATTTCAGCTCTGAGGTTTTTCCTATTGACTTGGAAAATTGTTTTGTGCCTGTCGCTTGCCACATGGCCAATCAAGTAAGCTTCAGCTTTCAGTAATTGTTATCTTAGAGATTATGCCACGTGAATGTATTTTATTGTACATATGGTTAAGCTGAGTAATTCATATTCTGTATTGTCATATATCAAATATAGACATGTCCACCAAAAATTAAACTTTTTAAGCTTCGAGTGCTGCTGGTCATAAAAATTAATTTGTCCTGGTTATAAGAGTAATTTTTAAGGTTATTTCTAATGCATATCTTTAAATATTTTCGTAACTGAGAGTCATATGGAGAAACTTAGTGTTTGTTGTAAAAAGTTGTGTTTTTTTGGCTGAGATACTTAGAATCACCACCAGAGGGGGCAGTTAAGGGAAAATAAATGATACTTTTCAGATATTGAATAGTGAAATAAAAACTTTGGGTCATAAGTAATGAACCAAGAGTTATTTTCTGATGTTTAAAAATAGAAATTTGCGTTTTTAGGTTGTAGGGTTGAAATTTTTGGTAAAGATTCTTTAATAATCCTTTGATAATCACGGTCTACATTTGTTTATTTTTCCTTAGAAAGTTTTTTTTTTAATTAATAATTTAAGATAATTTAATGTTGAGTAAATTTATATCAAGCATTAATGACTTTGAAACTTGTGTAGATCAGCTGAGGCAATTTTTTGGTGTAACACAACTAATATGCAGTTTAACATATGGTTTAAATTTGATGTAAGTTTTTTTTTTCCCCCCAGAAAACTTTAGAAACTGTTCCTTTGGAGAGGAAAAAGGTACTCTGCCAGCAGGTCACCTCATATTTAAGAATTTAATTTCCTGCATACAAAGAGGAAAATGTAAATAAAAATTGAAATGGTATTTTCCTTTGCAGAGAGAAAAGGAACAGTTCCGTAAGCTCTTTATTGGTGGCTTAAGCTTTGAAACCACAGAAGAAAGTTTGAGGAACTACTACGAACAATGGGGAAAGCTTACAGACTGTGTGGTATGTAAATTACTGAATTGTTACTGGATATTAGTCTTTTAGCTGTATGTTAAGTGAATCATGGAGGAAATAACTATCAGCATAGTAAAAAATTCTATTATGACTTCACTTATAAGCTATAATGAGATTAAATGCTAAAGTTTACCCTTTGGTTTGAAAGGTAATGAGGGATCCTGCAAGCAAAAGATCAAGAGGATTTGGTTTTGTAACTTTTTCATCCATGGCTGAGGTTGATGCTGCCATGGCTGCAAGACCTCATTCAATTGATGGGAGAGTAGTTGAGCCAAAACGTGCTGTAGCAAGAGAGGTAAGCAAACAATGACTGTCTTGTGCATTAACATGAAGAACGCTGCCCTGCTGAAAATCAGAAACTATTTCTGAATTTAGTTTTAACTCAAGATTTTTTCTCTTATTAAAGGTGTGTTGGGTTTCTGGACCATTTTCTTAAGCTAGCTTATTTTTCAAAAGCTAGGTCCCTAAAAGCTATTTTATATCTGGTAGTTTTAAGGTGGATACAAGCGAAGTATGGTACTACGGTTGGGTGCTTTGAATTATGCTTGTGTTTTTTTCTGTTTGGATGACTTTTACCCCACCACTATTTTAGGAATCTGGAAAACCAGGGGCTCATGTAACTGTGAAGAAGCTGTTTGTTGGCGGAATTAAAGAAGATACTGAGGAACATCACCTTAGAGATTACTTTGAGGAATATGGAAAAATTGATACCATTGAGATAATTACTGATAGGCAGTCTGGAAAGAAAAGAGGCTTTGGCTTTGTTACTTTTGATGACCATGATCCTGTGGATAAAATCGTATGTAAGTGTCTAACCACAAATGTACTGTTTTTTTCCAGTGTATTCAATTTTGTGTATGTTAACATCTGTAACTTTATTGAAAGGTAAACTTTTGAAGCTGCTTAATATTGTTGATTTAATTTAAAAGGAGTCTGAATTTTTCATTCCAGTGCAGAAATACCATACCATCAATGGTCATAATGCAGAAGTAAGAAAGGCTTTGTCTAGACAAGAAATGCAGGAAGTTCAGAGTTCTAGGAGTGGAAGAGGAGGTAATTTTAATTCTGTTTCTTCTTTATTTTTGTTCATATATAAGGGCTTGCTTCTAACTGGGGCATTTATTGTAGGCAACTTTGGCTTTGGGGATTCACGTGGTGGCGGTGGAAATTTCGGACCAGGACCAGGAAGTAACTTTAGAGGAGGATCTGGTGAGTTTCAAGTTCTACGTGTTTAAAGGATGAGTGTGCTTTTATTTTAAATATGATTAGGTTTTCATTAGTAGAATCAAGAAATCCAACCTAAGTCAATTTTCCTAAGACTTCAAATAGATTGTATCCTGGCAAGCTCTTGTGATTTGGCCAGACAAGAAGTTAATAGAGTTGTATTAATAACAGTTGTATTTATCTGGATTAATAATGTAACATGAAGTGTCATCCGAAAAGCTTTGACCCCCATCAAGTGTCATTCTTACGTATAAATAGGATGGAATCTCTAAGATTGAGACTTGTTAAGAGTCCAAAATTTAGGCGGTAGATTTAATTATATGCTTTCATGTTTTGTGGGTAAACTGGTAGCACTGGTGTGTCCTTTTCTGCGGTTCTTAATTATTGTGCTGAGGTAGTAAGAGAACTGAAAATGAATATTAGCAATAATGCTGAACAGTTTATAGTAAACGTAATCTTTTTTTGGCCCCTAACAGATGGATATGGCAGTGGACGTGGATTTGGGGATGGCTATAATGGGTATGGAGGAGGACCTGGAGGTCAGTTTTCCTCTACGTTTTGGTTTGTTTATGTGACTAATACTTAACTATATCGTATATTTACTTCATTTATATTTTGAGTTTTTAAACATTTTATATTAGTGTCTATAAATGGCTTGGGTGATAGTGGTCCAGTTATTTCTAAGTAGTTTTGCCATCTTAGCTGTTATAGCCTAAGGAATAGAGTGCCATTTTAAATGAAAATGTAAAGATAACCATCAGAGTATCTCATCTTTTCTCAAGCAAAATGATTGGATCTAGATATATCTTTGTACGTGCTTCTCTGGAAAAGTACAGAATACTGGATTTAACAGAGTAAAACCTAAGGGGGTGGTATATGTAGGAAAAAATATGAAATATGTCTAAACCCGTAACTAGATGGGAAGCATCCCAGGATAACTTTCAAAAAGCGTAACCTACGGAAATGTTCCAAAATGTTTAGTGTGCTCCTGGCTGCAGATAAGGTTGTGAACTACCATTAAACATGAAGTGTGATATATCATTGGCGTACAGAAAAGGCTGATACACACTGACAGATTTTGTAACAAGGGACATTTAAAACTGAGCTGGTAATAGACTTGATTTCTGGTGTTGCCACTCAATAGGCATGACTAAATAGTGTATCTCACTGTTCTACTTTTTATAATTAAAATTTTAGAGGAAGCTGAGTTCTTGTATTTAACTACAAGTTAGAGACTCAGCCCACAAGCTTTTTTTTTTTTTTTAATATGGTTTCTTTTTTTTTTTTTTTTTTGAGACGGAGCCTTGCTCTGTCACCCAGGCTGGAGTGTAGTGGCGCGTCTCTGCTCACTGCAATCTCTGCCTTCCCGGTCCAAGTGATTCTCCTGCCTCAGCCTCCTGAGTAGCTGGGATTACCGGCGTGCACCACCACGCCCAGCTAATTTTAGTATTTTTAGTAGAGACGGGGTTTCCCCATGTTGGTCAGGCTGGTCTTGAACTCCTGACCTCGTGAACTGCCCACCTTGGCCTCCCAAAAACGCTGGGGTTACAGGCGTGAGCAACCATGCCCAGCCTTTTTTTTTTTTTTATTTTTGTTTTGCAGTATGTGAAAGTGTAAATTTTTGTTTATGTCCGCACTTCTATTTACAGTAAAGAACATACTGTGTGGAGTGTTGGGTCTGTTTTTTTTCTTTGAAATGGGGTCTGGCTTTGTTGCTCAGACTGGAGTGCAGTGGTGTGATCTTGGCTTACTGCAATCTTAGTCTCAAGCCATCCTCCCACCTCAGCCTCCTGGGTAGCTGGAACTACGGGGTGTGCCACCATGACCGGCTAATTTTGTGTTTTTTTGTAGAGGTGTGGGGGTTTTGCTGTGTTGCCCTGGCTGGTCTTGAATTCCTGGGCTCAAGCAATCCACCCGCCTCAACTTCCCGTACTGCTGGGATTACAGGTGTGAGCTGCTGCGCCCAGCCAAGAACATTGTTTCGTTTTTTGAGAGGGAGTCTCTCTCTGTCGCCCAGGCTGGAGTGCAGTGGTGTGATCTCAGCTCACTGCAACCTCTGCCTCCCGGGTTCACGCCATTCTCCTGCCTCAGCCTCCAGAGTAGCTAGTACTACAGGTTGCTGCCACCATGTCCGGCTAATGTTTTGTATTTTTAGTAGAGATGGGGTTTCACCGTGTTAGCCAGGGTGGTCTCAATCTCTTGACCTCGTGATCCGTCCGCCTCGGCCTTCCCAAAGTGCTGGGATTACAGGCATGAGCCACTGTGCCCAACCGAGAACATTGTTTTAAGATATGTAATTCGTAGAGAGACATAATAGAAACTTTATCTTTTGGGCCAGTAGGAGGAAGTGCTCTTTTACTTTCCCTCTAGCCCACACTACTAGTCTAGCCTCACAGTCCTTACCCACAATATACATGAAGTATTTCAAGATACTTAAGATTTTTAGTTTTGAGGGAAAGCTGTGGAATTACAGGTATTTAACTGTGTGCACATGGTGTTATCCATTTGGCTGAGTAACCCCAGCCACCAAATGTTTACCAAGGATAGTTATTCAGTCCTTGAAGCTATTTTAGAGGAATTTCATTAAATATTTCACATGGAAACTTGGAAAGCTGGAAATGGATGTGAGGAGACAGTTCAAAATGGTATTGAAAATATTAAGTGATTACTTAAAGGCTTATTTTATAATAGGTGGCAATTTTGGAGGTAGCCCCGGTTATGGAGGAGGAAGAGGAGGATATGGTGGTGGAGGACCTGGATATGGCAACCAGGGTGGGGGCTACGGAGGTGGTTATGACAACTATGGAGGAGGTAATAAATTCACCTGCAACCTTTATGTGGGAATTTGGAATTAATGTCTTTGTAACACTTGATCTTTTGTTTCCATGTTTGTCACTAGATGCCCATAAAATTTGTGGATAAGTGTTTGCTTTTATTTGTTTTTATGGGAGCTTTGTCCTAAGTCCTTGGTTTAATGTTTGTATTGTTCTGAGTATTCCAATTTTTTAATAGGAAATTATGGAAGTGGAAATTACAATGATTTTGGAAATTATAACCAGCAACCTTCTAACTACGGTCCAATGAAGAGTGGAAACTTTGGTGGTAGCAGGAACATGGGGGGACCATATGGTGGAGGTAATTTATAAAAATTGAGGTTATTCAGATTTTTGTGATTAAAGGATTAGCCTTTTGTGACTTAAAGGGAAGATAACATACTAAGTAGTTTGTACTGTGGGCAGTGCTCCATGTACGGTCTTAGTGAAAATAAAGAAATTTTGCATAAATCTCCACAGAAGTACTCAGCAAGCAGTTATGACATCAAATTGGGATTAGGGATGTTGGAGGTGGGGGTGTTCAGTAGTTTAATTTCTGGTGGGGACTCATAAACAGCTAAATACAGTTGCAACCCACATTGCAAGTGGTATACATTGGAATGAGGGTCTTTGAAGTTAAATCCTTAAACCATGATTCAAACCATTGCTTAGCTTATTTTTGAGGTTTTTAGCTAGGAGTAAACTAGCTTTGTCTTGGGCTTGATGTACTTTTAAAAAAATCCCTTACTCAGTCCAAATGAGGATGAGAGGGTGAAAGGACCCTTTATTTAAAAGAATAGGGTCAGCCACGAAATAAAAATGTCTATGAACCCGAGTAATTTATCTCCTGAGTAATTCTGCTAACTGGCTGCAAAGGATTAGGATCTGCTTGTTTAAAAGACTGGATGGATATAAAATAGAATCAACTGTAGTGTTAGGCTGATCATGGGAAATCAAAGTAAGTTTGTTTTCTCTTGCTGTTCCAACAATTATAGGAAACTATGGTCCAGGAGGCAGTGGAGGAAGTGGGGGTTATGGTGGGAGGAGCCGATACTGAGCTTCTTCCTATTTGCCATGGGTAAGTAGCTTTTGAGTTTTACAATTATTATTATCTTGGGAGACATAGCTGCAGGAGTAAAAGCTTTTTAGGATCATGTTATCTTTCCTTAAAATCTGGTTAGATGGATAATTTCATAACCTATTTTTTTTTTACTCTTTACTTCTGTTGAAACAGGCTTCACTGTATAAATAGGAGAGGATGAGAGCCCAGAGGTAACAGAACAGCTTCAGGTTATCGAAATAACAATGTTAAGGAAACTCTTATCTCAGTCATGCATAAATATGCAGTGATATGGCAGAAGACACCAGAGCAGATGCAGAGAGCCATTTTGTGAATGGATTGGATTATTTAATAACATTACCTTACTGTGGAGGAAGGATTGTAAAAAAAAATGCCTTTGAGACAGTTTCTTAGCTTTTTAATTGTTGTTTCTTTCTAGTGGTCTTTGTAAGAGTGTAGAAGCATTCCTTCTTTGATAATGTTAAATTTGTAAGTTTCAGGTGACATGTGAAACCTTTTTTAAGATTTTTCTCAAAGTTTTGAAAAGCTATTAGCCAGGATCATGGTGTAATAAGACATAACGTTTTTCCTTTAAAAAAATTTAAGTGCGTGTGTAGAGTTAAGAAGCTGTTGTACATTTATGATTTAATAAAATAATTCTAAAGGAAATTGTGTAATTATAGACTTTTTATTTTAAATAAGTTAAGGAGTGGGTAGTATAATTAAGGTCCGTTGCAAAGCTGTTGTTATATTTGTATAAGATAAATGCTGGTCAGATGTAAGTGTGTTGTCTGCAATTCATCAGGATTAAATTATGTAGATAACTTAAGGGATATCTCTGCAAGGAGAAACACCTTTTTAGATCTTTTAGATGCTGCTTCTTCAATGCAAGGAAAGGAAATAACCCCAGCGAGGTACTCTTCAGGGACACAGGTCTAGTACAAGAGAACTCTTGACGGCTACTAAGTTCAGCCAGTCTTAAAAAACTGTGCTGTTTCTACAAAACTTTAACTACAGTAGTTTATAAGGATGCCAACGAAAGCTGAGGGTGTAGAGCAAAATAGTTCTAAGCTTCAGTTAAACTTCTTTAGGTAAGATCTTATTTACTTTTCCTTTCTTAATTTTCCTCCCTAAAAGATAAACTAATACTCTTAAATGGTCTTTCAGTATAGTGGTTCTTACGTAGTTTAACATAGCTATAAATTGAGTTTAACAATTTATAAACTCAAGAGAATAATTTTTATAAACCCTGTTTTCCAATCTGTCATTTACTTAAATTATTTTGGTTGTTTTTCCCTTTTTTTCCTTCTTTTCCCACCCCCTCCCCCTCCATGTGAAGATTTGGGTGCTTAACATATCATTTTTTTCCCTGCCGGAATTTTAGCATTGATATGAACCATGGACAAGTATATTCTGCTGCCACAAAGACTGTAAAGTGCTTCATTTCAACAGCTGAGGCAAGCCAAGTGATCATTAATAAAGCTTTTCTTGGTTCCTTCAGTGGTGTTGGTAGTAAAATGGTAGGTAAAAGTTAGGCTGCAAGTTCAATAAATCATGAGATTTCCCATCGTTACACCCTTGTGTATTCACATTTCTTGGATCAAACATTTTGAGTGAACTAGGGGTTTTTATTAAAGACATTTGTTGTATTTATGGTTGTAACTGTACATGCTTATCAGGATGAGACTGAAAGAAGGTAGGGCAAAAATGGTTGAATCTATTTTCAGATAGTAGTTCATACTTGAGTGAAGTGTCTTGTCTGCATTATGAAGCCTGGTATGTATCCAGTACTAAATAGGTGGGTTAAATGTGGTAATTCTAGTTCAGTGTCTTACCCTGAAGAGAAAGTTGTAGGTTGGCTGTTGAAATTCATTCCTTAGATATGATCAGTTTGATTGCCCGGCTTTATTGCCTTTACAGGAATGTGATACTCAGGGCTTACTCTATACACCAATGAGTCTTCTTTGATCCTAAGACCACCACTGAAGTTGTTTAGGTTCTTTTGGACAAACATGATAAACTTCTTCAGATACTTTTTTTTTCCTTTGGCAGGAAGGTGTCTTGCTGCAGGTAACTAATGAAGAAGTGGTCAACCACAGAGTCTTCAAGAAATAAGAAATTCTGTACCATCTGAAAGTAGTTCTTGTTGGTGCCTTCATTTAAAAAGCACTCTTTAAAATAAAAGGGAAATGTTTTCTGATAAAACAAACATTTAGTTGAGGTTCTTGATATAAAACAATTACAAAATGAGTGTTGTTTGTAAAACAGTAACATCAAATTGGCTAGAGAGATAAATGTATCATGTTTTAAATTAGGTTTTGTGAGTAGACAGATTACAATTCTATTTTAAATATAAAGTTTATAAAATAAATACTTTTTGTATCCAAATACTTGGTGTAATGTTTACACATAAAATGTGTGAATCTTGTTCTATAAATATTTGGTTGTCTAAAAGATCACCATCCCCTAAATTTTTAAAAGCAGTTTCACAAAGCTATGCATATTTTAATATTAACAGGTAAATGAGAAGAGCATTGTGGACATTATTGGCTGTCCCCAATAAAATGCTGTTCATTATGCACTGTATATTCAGCGTTTGAGTACTCCTAAAGTTTCTGGCTTTACTTTTACGTTTAGCAATACTGGTGGCATTTTGAAAATCATGGATTTTAAAGGTTAACCGGCTGGAGTGGTCCAGATTAAGTGGCTTTGCAGAAGCACTGAGGTTTACAATATGTGCTAGATTGTCAAATGTCAATTAGTTTTATTGTGGTTTACACTGAGTAAATGAATATCAGTGTTGCTTTTTAAATGTGTTTATTTGGACATTTATCTGAATTAAGAAAACCAAAAAGACCAGGTTAATTTGTTTCTATGATAATTTGTTTTGGTTTTGATAATGTGAGGTATCTAACAGGTAAGTCAAATTTAACAGCAGGTAACACATAGAAAGCAGCTTTCTGTTTGAAATAGCTGAGTTCGTCAATTAAAGACGTACAAATATCCCAACTTTAAGAAAATTTTGAAGGTTTAAAAATGTGTGGATGTACAAAGACGTTGAACTTTGAAATACATCAGGTTGATATGCATAACCTCAAAATACCAACTCCTATCCAGCCAAGGTCAAGGGAATATCACACAAATAGGGGAGAATTAGGTAATTGCACAATAGACTGAAATGAACTGATTGAAGGAGGGTTTACTGAAGCATGGGGGTAATGTTGGATATTCAACATAGGCTTATTTCCTGTGTGTATATGTTGTGTTGAGCTGTTTCTCTTGTAGAAATTGAAGTTTAAGGTAGTTCTTGTGTAGCTTTGAGACAGTGCCCTAAATGAAGAAAGGCTGCTTTTTGGCCAAGGCTTTATATTGTTGCTGTGTAACAACTTACCTCAATACTTAAGAGCAGTTCAGAGAAACAAACCAGCATCTATGGGTCAGCAATTGGGAGCAACTTAACTGATTCTGGGTAAAGCTCAAGGTTCCAATCACAGAAAACTAGGATTGGAGAATTTTTTTAATATCCAGAGTGGCATACTAACAGCTTTAAAGTTAATCCTGGTTGTCATCTTCCCTCGGTGAGTGATTTGAGCAAGAAAAGCTGTAAAATGAACACGCTCTACGAAGTAGTCGTGCTATCTTGCATCCTTTATGGTCACAGAATGTGGTGGGAGGGTTCTTTTCCCTGGTACAATTACCAAGCAGGCAGGGAGCATTGGGAACTCTCAGATGCCAGCTGTCACACTCAAGGGGGTGCCCTTACTCAGTTTATTCACTAGTGTGAAACCAGATTTCTGTATGTGTAAGCTTTTCCATGTAGCCCAATTTGGTAGATGCCAAATTGCTTGACCTAATAAATACTAGTTAGGCATTGGGAGCTAACAATGTAAGGCAACAAGTCTCAGTTTGTCACTGATGGTTGAAAAGTGGAAAACATCTGTCAGGACACCTGGACTGCATGTTACATAAATTCGCTCTCTTTAAGGTTTGGAACTAATATACTGAGATGTTGACAGGCCCTACATAATTTTTGACATTTCCACTATTTAGTAATGCACTAACACTGGCTTGTTTTGGGGTAGTGGAGGGGAATTGGTAACAAATCAGTTGAGTTGCATGGACTTAACAGAGAACAAATCGTTCAGAGACTGAGATGGGGAATGATTTAGCTACTTGAGTGCGTTTAAAAGACGTTAATATTACCACACAAAACCCTGTATACTGGTTCTGAAGCTCTGCTGAACCGAAGCCTACCTTGAGACCAGGGGACCACTAGAAATCTAGGTCTTTTTTTGCTTGGAGTTGCCGTACAATTGGCCTAAAATCTGATCACACTTGTGAAGATGCTCAAGTGATAGTTTTAATTGGAAAAGGAGATGTCCAACCCACTTGGGTTGTCTTTGTTCTTGTCTTCCTCATTCTGATTAAGACGTTAGATGATGCAATCAAGACTGCTCAACTAGGTAGGTAATGTGGAGGGTCCTAGGCAATGGTCAGCTTTCGGGCATTGGCTTTGTAATCTAGTTGGTTTGCACTGGAAGCCGAATGTGGAATTCCCTTCTGCCTCTAAAACTGGACTGTCAGAAAAGCAGTTGCAGTTTATATACCTTGAATCCAGCATGTTAAGATGGAGGCAGGGTTATGTCAGGAAGCCAGCCCATAGCCAATTAGAGCTTGTGACGCTGGCTGCTTAATGCGCCGATTAAAAGTCCCTTGATGGGAGAGGGGCCCATCAGTTTCAGGAACCTCCACAATACCAAAATGTGGATGCTCTAGCCCCCTTGTATGAAACGTGTATTTGCACGTGGTCTAAGCACATCTCATACACTTGAGTTGTCTAGGTTACCCAATATTTAATCCAAGGTAGAAGCTAGGTAAATGGTATGCTGCATTATGTATGGGGAATAAAGTTCAGTACAGACACTACCATCTTTAAATATATTCAGTTTGCAGTTACTAGATCTGTGTGTGCTATATTTAAGGGTTTTTAGAGTTTAAACTTCAGGCCAGGCATGGCGGTCCATAATCTGAGCAGCTCGGGAGGCTGAGGCAGTCCAGGAGTTTGAGGCTGGATCTTTTATTGGGG
This sequence comes from Homo sapiens, assembly GCF_000001405.40. NCBI lineage: Eukaryota > Metazoa > Chordata > Mammalia > Primates > Hominidae > Homo > Homo sapiens. Next base: position 26,187,426 of record NC_000007.14, on the reverse strand, counting down.
CCACTGCACTTCAGCATGGGTAACAAGAGTCACCATGATTACCGATTCTGCTCTCCACTGTCTTTTATTTTAGAGGTTTGAAAAGAATGCTATCTGATAAGCAGGCACTCTTTTGAGTGTACTTAGTAGGATTTCCTACTGAAATGTTTTATGTGTGTTCTTAAATTATAATTATCAAAAGCTTAAGACATTTGAAATACTCCCTTGTAAAAAGCAACAGACTAAAATGATCATTTGAACACCATGAGTCACTGAAGGGGCAATTTTATCTAGAAGCATACTAGAAGCATTTCTGGCAAAATAACAGGTCTTGGGAAACTTTATTATAAAAATCCAACGGTATATATAAACTGCATTTCTCTAGCCCAAGATACTTATGTGATACTCTACACTGTAGCTCCTATGGCAGAAATAATATCTGAGAAACTTCATTTTGAAAATTTGGACATATTAAGCATTATAGTACCCGTCAAAATCTTGATGTTCCCCAAACTTGAGTCATCTAGGTGAGGTCATTGCTGTCTTCAAAAAATTCAGCAATCTCCTGTTTACTGTTCTAGTGAACTTAAGTGAGGTTTTCATTTCAAATGCTATTATTTCTAGAATTTACCTTACCCTGGTTTATTTTCAAATTCACCTGTTTTTTTTCCCTTAATCGCTTTTGCCCATTTTAAACAGATGGTTTCACTGTTGCTGACTCTTTCCCTACTGTTTATATGGCTTACAGTGTTCTGGTGAGATCTCAGTATTCTAAGATGGTGAGGCCATCCCTTCAGGCTGGCTTTACTGCCAGAGATTTTATGGATTTAATATACACACAAGGAGTTACGTTTTTGCAAGTAGCCCATTCTGTCTCTGGTTACATGAGGAAGGCCTGTGGCTCAAACTACCAGTGACCGTAGGTCTTCAGTGCATTCTATATCACATAGTATTCTGTGTGTTAAGTATTGGGGTAGGGGGGTGGATTTGCCTTACTATGGATTTGGCATACTATGTTGACCTCAATTTGGCTTGAGTCTGAGCAGTTTGCTATGCTGCCTTATTTGTTATTCACCTATATTCCTGAATGTGGATATTTTGGAAGGAAAGTAAGGTAAATTTGGTTCAGATTCTGTATAAAAGGGAAAAGTTAATTTTTAATACAAATACAAAATTTATTTCCATAGAAAGCAAAATTTATAAGTTAAATATAAAGATTAAAATAGTGTTTGAAAAGCTCACTATAGTGCTAACAAACTAAATGAAAATAAGGCTATTTTGCATTTAAAACTGAAATACCTCTTAAAATAATTTGATCCCCAGTGTTTGCTCTTTTTGAAGTAACCAACTTACTCTTAAAAAGGATGGCTGCCAAGATGGAAAGTCTTACTGGGTTTTCATGTTAACCTATTCTTTGGACATAACTATGAATTTTGTATACAATGCACTTCATGAAAAGTTGTGGCTCCCCCAGATTGCCCACAAGTGTGATCTTGAAGTCCTAAACATTTGTCCATGTAAGCTTCAAAACAGCGTTAACTGAGTTATTCAAGTAGCAGTACTTAAAGATACAATTCTTGAAGCAGTTTCAATGGTTTCTGATCCAAATAATCAGTTTCTGAACATTACTACTTCACATAATAGAGTCCATCTTCAGTTTCTTCTCACTTTCTCTTTCCCTTTTGGGTTTCCTTTTTGTGGCCTGAGGCCACCAGTTCTTTGGGTACTATCAAGATACTTCCATCATGGGTACACTGGAGAGCATAGTGGTTGGGATTGACTGGCCTACCTTGGTCATCTCTTAATCTACTAAAAATATCATGATAAAGGTCATGCAGTTTCTGTTTCATTATGTTAATAGCTTTGTTACATTGTGCTTGCTCTCTCTTAAGAGTTTCCTTCTTTGCTTGCAAGTTACATACATCATCTTCTAAATTCAAAATTATGTCCAATTTGCGTTTACGACAGTTCTGCGCAGCAACTTTATTTTTCCCTCTTCGTCTGATGTCACGGATAAGTGAGACTTGTAGGTCTGTCAGATAATATCTACTTAACATGCTATTGAAAGAATCAACAGGCATGCCGACAATTTCATCTACAGAAAAAGGGATATGCAAAGCTTTAGCACGCTGTTCATCACGGCTCAAGTTTCTATCTGTGTCTTCAAGGTATCTACTCCTTATCTTCTGTGACTTCCCAGGCCACGGAAAAGGTTCAGAAGTAGATTCTGGTGCAGTTGGCTGTAAGTGGTAAGTGTGGTTATGAAATACGTGTTGAAATGTAAGATCTCCATGGAAATCAGAATCACTTTGATCCAAGTGACAAAGCTTACTGGGTTCTGGGTAGTAGCCACCTACAGCACCTTCTAAGTCATGATGGGAACTAGATTCATGGTCAGTGCAATAACCTATAGCACCTTCATCACACACAGAGTGAGAGGAATTAGACTTGATGACAGAGGTATTATTGTGACTTGAATCTAAAGAAAGGCCAGAATCAGAATCTGGTTCATCAAAAAGCTGAGAAACATCGATTGGATCAAAGTTGTCTTCTGTGGCCAATGACATTAAGTTTATCTCATCAAATATATTTATGTCAAGGTCATACAGTAGGTCTTGGCTTGTTAGATTCCTCATATGATTGTCAACCGGTGAAAGAAATCCTGTCAAATTAGTTCCAGGAAGGGTTTGCTCAGGATTGGTGGTATGAGAATTTAACTGCAGAAATGGTTCTTGTGACTGTGAAGTCCTTGCTGTTGGATCTCTTCTAAATGTATTGTTGGGACAAAGCAAGATGGCCTCATGAAGATTCACATCCTGACTTATAGCCTGGCTGAAGTTTACATGATAATGTGCTGAAGAATTCATGCCATCACTGATACTGCCTGGAAGAGGAATATCTCCCAATGAGATGCCCTGAAAAACGAAGGAGAAACACTTCAAACATGAATAGCCCTATTTCTGAAGCAGTTCTATTACCTAACAACTTTCTTTCCCCTCTTTTGTCAATTCCTCTACATTTAATAGAGATAGATGCTGTTGGCAGTAACTTCCTAGTTAAATACAGGCAATACAATACGAGATGTGAGTCCAAATCAGAATACCTGGAATTCTGAGTAACCTAGAAATTAAGATGGATTAGTATAAAAGCTGACTGGATTTTCTTAAAAAGTCTAATGTTACAATCTTGTAATTTGCTACTTTATAATAAGATGCAACTCATCCTAGCGGTTGGTAATCACATTGTGGAGGGTCAGGGATAATAAACTACAGTGAAGTAGTCTGGAGGAGAGAGGCTGTTTAAATGCCTCTAAGCGCTAAAACTACAAGGCTATTGTGAATATTGCTGCAATAAACATGGGGGTGCAGGTGTCCCTTTGATACACTGATTTCCTTTCCTTTGGATAAATACCTGATAATTCTTTTAGTTTTTTGAGAAATCTCCACGCTGTTTTCCATGACTAGTCTAAATTTGATTATACCTTTGGGATTATTTGGAAAGAGGAATGCTATACATATTTGGTTAATTCTAAGCTGAAGTGCTTCTGTAAAAATAAGCATTACTTTAAACTGCTGTGTCATCCAAGTAAAGGAGTTGTATTTGTTCACCAAAAGGTCAGTGCAGATATGTTCCTGCGAGGATAAAAGCCAAAGTTCCAATTACCTCCAGTGAATTTTCAGGCTGTGATGAAAGCAACTGGAATAAGTCTTCCAGAGAGAAAGAAGTATCTGTCCCATTCAGATGTCTCTGTAGAGAAACACAAAAAGTGCATCTTTCACATAAAAGACTGAACTGGTTGGGGCTTTAGGCTTTATCTTTAAAGGATCACCAGGTATTATTTCCACACTGGATTTTTATGCTATTATGTTCCTTGGTTGGAAGTTCTACTTTTTATTATATTTTGAGACGGATCTCACTCTGGCCCAGAATGGAGTGCAGTGGTGCAATCTCGGCTCACTACACCCTCTGCCTCCCAGGTTCAAAGGATTCTCCTGCCTTAGCCTCCGGAGTAGCTGGGATTACAGCTGTGCACCACCACGTCTGGCTAATTTTTGTATTTTTAGTAGAGACAGGGTTTCACCATGTTGGCCAAGTTGGTCTCGAACTTTTGACCGCAAGTGATCCACCCACCTAGGCCTCCCAAAGTGCTGGGATTACAGACGTGAGCCACTGCAGCTGACCTATTTCTCTGATTATGGTACTCAGTATTTCAACATGCATACTTAAAAGTCCAAAGCTAATCAGTATTTCTATTCCTACCATAAACAACTTCCATGTAATTTTTGGCTAATTGTTAGTTTCAGCTTATTTTGCCCCTCCATAGCCAGCCCTCCCAGTTGGTTACACAATTATATAATTTTGGCCAGGTGTGGTGGCTCACGCTTGTAATCCCAGCACTTTGGGAGGCCAAAGCAGGCAGATCGCCTGAGCCCAGGAGTTGGAGACCAGCTTGGGCAACACAACAAGACCGTTTCTACAAATTAAATTAGCTGGGTGTGGTGGTGTGCACCTGTGGTCCCAGCTACTCCGGGATGGTGAGGCAGGAGGACTGCCTGAGTCCAGGAGGTTGAGGCTGCAGTGAGTCGTGACAGCGCTGCCACACTCCAGCCTAACAGAATGAGATCTCGTCTCAAAAAATATTTTTACAGTCAATACTTATTTACATTTACTCCAATTTGTTTTTTTAAAACCAATTTATCGATGCTTCATCTCACTCCTGGCCTTTATGCTTTAGCCTCTTTCTAGTTGAAAGAACTCTTCAGAGTTCTTTTTAGAGAGGACCTGAGCAGTAAACCCAGTTTTTGTTACATGGAATTATTTTGAGACAGTCTTGTCCTGTCGCCCAGGCTGGAGAGCACTGGTGAGATCTCAGCTCACTGCAATCTCCGCCTCCTGGGTTCAAGTGATTGATTCTTGTGTGTCAGCCTCCCGAATAGCTGGGACTACAGGCATGTGTCACTGCGCCTGGCCAATTTTTATATTTTTAGTAGAGCTGGCGTTTTGCCATGTTGGCCAGGCTTGTCTTGAACTACTGACCACAGGTGATCCACCTGCCTTGGCCTCACAAAGAGTTGGGATTACAGGCATGAGACACCATGCCCGGCCTACATGGAATTATTTTGCCTTCATGCTTAAATGATGAGTTAACTGGTAAAAATATAAGGTTTAATGTTTTCCCTCAGTACTCTGTCTTATGGCATTTATTACTACTGGTAAGTTTGCTCTCAGTGTTATTTATAATGAAACTTTTCTATCTCAGGTAATTTAAAAAATGTTTCTTCTTAGTTCTTGACGTTCTGTTTCAATCTGGTATGTCTAGGACTTAATTTGTTTTCGTTAGGAGCTCTGTGTAGTCCTTTAATCTGAGGACTTTTCTGGAAATATTTTGCCATAAACTCATTTTAAATATTGCTTATCTTTCATATTTTATAGTTTCTTCTGGGACTCCTATTAGAAGTAACTTAGATTTTTCTCTTCTATCATTGTCTCAATTTTGCTTTCATATTTTGCATCTTCTCTGGTATATTCTAGATAATTTTCTTAGATCTTTCTTCCAACTTACCCTTTTCCTTAGCTGTTCACATCACTTCCACTGAATTTTCAATGAAAATGACTTTTTTCATATCTAGAATTTCATTTGGGCTCTTTTCTAGATCTTTTTCTTTTTTCATGATAGTCTGTTCTTGCCTTATAGATTCTGTTCCTATGAACAATTTAAACACTGATTTAGAGTCTTTTTCAGAGGACTAGGAATCCTGACTTTTGCATATGCTGACTCATGGCTATTTATGTCATTTTTAATTCTTAAAAGGTGAGCATTTTGGGGAGCAGTTTTGCATTTTTCTTTTCAAGAACCAGTGTTTATATCATTTTCCAGACTGTACTTTCTCTTGGCCGAGGATTCTTGATGGTGATGGTAGTGTGCATTCAGATCTTATATCTAGCTTTGGGGCCCCCACTGGGGTTCTGATTTCTAAAGGGTAGCTAGAATTGTACCAGTCCCCATTTCCTAGATATTCTTCCAGAGTTGTCATCTGGAAGAATGGAAATGCCAGTGATTCACTGGTCTAACTCATTTCTGTTTTATTTCAACAAGCTTTAAAAGCACCTACTAAGTAATAGCCCAATAAAAGAACAGAAATATCTTGTCAGAGCTACTATAAGAAATGTGGCTGGGTGCAGTGGCTCACACCTGTAATCCCAGCACTTTGGGAGGCCAAAGTGGGCAGATTGCTTGAGCCCAGGAATTTGAGACCAGCCTGAGCAACATGGTGAAACCCCACTTCTACTGAAAATACAAAAAATTAGCTGGGCATGGTGGTGTGCACCTATAGCCCCAGTTACTTGGGAGGCTGAAGTGGGAGATCACCTGAGCCCAGGAGGTTTAGGCTGCAGTGAGCCATGACAGCGCCACTGCACTTTAGCCTGGGTGACAGAGTGAGATCCTGTCTCCCCCGCCGCCTTCCTCAAAAAAAAAAAAAGTGTTAAGTACACGAAGATGTGACGTAAATGCTCAGGCTAGGAACATGGAGATAACACAATGAGGAACCAAGCCTGATAAGAATTAGGCACAAATGCCTGGCTTTGAATGATTAATATGTTTCTGAAAAGTTTTGTCCAAATTGATGTTTGTCCTATGTCAAATTACATTTTAAATTCTCTCCAAGGAAGCTCCCTACTTCATTTGTCTCCTCATTAATATTTAGTAAGTGCCTAGTCTGTGCCTAGCAGTGAATTAGTTTGTTACAGTTCTTGCTTTTCTGGGAAGCCCAGTGAGGGAGTAAAGACGAAGACATACCTGGGAGAAAGGCAATATACAATTCAGTGTTAAATAAGTGAAAGACTAGTGAAAACATCTTTTCCCTCAAACAGAGCTGTGAATACTCAGGGAAGTGGGCAGAAATGTTGTCCTCTTCAACATATATATGGTTCTGTCAGTATTTTAATATAAAAGTCCATGGGTAATGATTTGACAATACAGTATGTATGCTGTGGGGAGAGTGGTAAAACCATACAATGCATCCATTAATTAGGAAATAGATAAGTCAGAGGAGCTGGGGAGAATACCAGCTGGGAAAAAAGAACAGGCAGTTGCCAAATGCCAGGTTGCAATTGAGGGTTACAAAAGGGTTAAAGCTCCACTGGTCAGAGTGAAAATGGGAGGGTTCCTTGGGGTGTGCTCTCTACCCCCTCCCCTTCATCTGAAGAATGTCAAAAAGGGCCTCAAGGAGACCACTTAGAACTCAGTGTGTGTTTTCCGCAGTTTGGGGACACAGAAGCTTAGTGTCCTGTTTTTGCCTGGGAAATATAAACGATGAGAAACCATGCAAGAGCCATAGTTAGGGAACTGGAAAAGGGTCTAAGGGCATGTTTCCAGGTGCTAGGCGGCCAGCAAATGGTTGAGAGGGCCACCTGAAGAGGTGAGATGCATGTATACCACGGAACATTCAGGGAAGAGTCCTAAAGGACCAGCTGCAGTGGAGATGCATTTGCCCCTGTCAAGAGGAAGACTCCCAGCTGTGGGGCCAGGGGTCTCCAAAGAACCTATACACGAAAAGGTGCCCACGTGACAAAGAGTTGTATAATATTTAAATGTATCGCGTGGTCAAGAGAAACAATTTCCTATGTTCTTAGCACCCCACACCCTCAACCCCAGAGAAATCAGCAGGGCAGGCCACACAAAACTGAGGAAAGATGCTGAATTTTAGCCCAGTGTGTTTTGTTTTGGATTTTTCTTTTTTGAGACAGGGTCCTGCTCTGTCACCCCGTCTGAAGTGCAGTGGCATGATGACGGATCACTGCAGCCTCAACTTCCCAGGCTCAAGTGATCCTCCCACCTCAGCCTGCCAAACAGCTGGGACCACAGGCACACACCACTACGCCCAGCTAACTTTTGGTTCAGCGTTCTTGGAAATTACATTGGGTTATACTTTTTTTTTTTTTTTTTGAGACAGGGTCTCACTCTGTTGCCCAGGTTGGAGTGCACTGGTGTGATCACAGCTCACTGCAGCCTCGACCTCCCAGGCTCAGGTGATCCTCCCACCTCAGCCTCCTGGATAGCTAGGAGTACAGGAACACATCACCACACCAACTAATTTTTGTAATTTTTGTGGAGATGGGGTTTTGCCATGTTGCCCAGGCTGATCTCCAACTCCTGGGCTCAAGCGATCTGCATGCTTTGGCTTCCCAAAGTGCTGGGATTATAGGTGTGAGCAACTGTACATGGACACACTGGGTTATTCTTATCAATTGCTGCACTGGGATGGCCAGAGCGATTTTCATTAGTATCTAGAATTTATGGGACCTGCCCTAGATTTCACCAAGGGGCTCTAGGTGGAAGCTGGAGGGGCAAGGGAGTGGTAGGCAGGCAAAGAGAACAAACCTGTTTTCTGATTTCATGCAAAATAAGTAATGTTCCATGTAATATTACATGGCCAGGGCTACCATGATGACAGCTGTCTGAGAAGGGTCAGGGCATGGTACTCTCCATCCTCCAAGGTATTCAAAACACAGCCCTAAACTCCACATTCTGGGAAGGGGACATGCTAAAGCAGGTGATGCCTAAGAAAACCGTCAGGGCAAGACCCCTGAGGGTATGCCTTCCAGGTGGAAGTGCCACGTGGTTATTAAATATCTCGAGTGCCTGTTTGCCATGCTTGTGGGCAGGACCTCAGCAGGGCTGAAGAGAAATCAGAGTACAGCCCAAATGAAAGGAGGAGGAAGCACAGATCGCAGAAAGCATCCATCCCTTCAGCCTGGCTCCGGGAGTTCATCTTTGTACACCTCTTCTCACAGCCAAAGAGTAAGGTTAGGCAATGAGGAGTTAAGGAGGTGGTCCCACTGGACCATGGATGCCCAACGGTTCAGCCAGGCCTGCCAGGAGACTGAACAAAGATTTCAGCCCAAGCCTTAGCTGACATCATGGGTGATTGGCTGTAGGGTTGGTCCTCGGCTTGCTCTCCTGGACTAGGCCAGCCTGGCTACCTGTGCATGTGGCTGGTTGAGGACTCCTAGGTTCCCCATTTCTTCATCACTTGCCTTGGCAAACATAACTAGCAAAACCTGCTAGCAAGGTCCTGGAAGGGGGTGTGTGCACATACACACAAAATCTTGAGTTTAACCAGAGAAAACAATTGTATGGGCTAATTCATTTATAAATCAAATTACTACTCCCATAACTTAAAGACATAGGTATTTTCATATATCATATTTGTTAATAGTAGAGCATACTGTTTTACATGCTCATTCTTGACACAAACTGTCAATGCCACAAAATCTACATTAAAACCAAAACGGCAAGGCTTGAATATTCTGACAGGCTTACCTCATTTCTAGATTCAGTGGTCTTTTCTGCCTCCCAGTCAGGTTTCTCTGCTATTTTGTTTTCATCATCATCATTCTGCTGAAGTGAGTTCTCCTTCTGGGCTGACACCCTTTCTTCATTTTCCTCATGCTGGGAACTATGATCCACAGCTTCGTGCTTTTCTCTTAGTACCCCATTCTCCTATAAAAGTACGAAATTTCATCAAATAAGCAAACAGTCTTTAAAACTGCATTGTGCTTATTGTTCAGGGACCATGAAAACCCACAAGTCAAAAGCTAAGACCGGCATTTCAATATTTCAGTATCAAAGAAACATTTAATTCAGAAACAAAGGTCAGTTTTACATCCTGTCCTGAGACAGGCTGTTCTAATCTGTGCAATTTAAATTAACATGCACTTATAAAGCCCCTGAATTTAAAATACTCATGAGTTAGATTAGATTTGGAAATTAATGTTGCCAGCAGGCAGTTTTAGTTTTCTGTTGAAAATTGATTCCTTCCTTCCTCCCTTCCTCCCTCCTTCCCTCCTTTCGACGGTCTCCCTCCATTGCTGAGCCTGGACTCTACTGCCGTGATCTTGGCTCGCTGCAACCTCCCTGCCTCGGGCTCCCGTGATTGTCCTGCCTCGGCCCGCCCAGTGCCTGGGATTGCAGGGACGCGCCGCCATGCCTGACTGGTTTTTGTATTTTTGGTGGAGATGGGGTTTCGCCGTGTTGGCCAGGCTGGTCTCCAGCTCCTGACCTCGAGTGATCTGCCCGCCTCGGCCTCCCGAGGTGCTGGGATTGCAGAGGGAGTCTCGCTCACTCAATGCTCAATGTTGCCCAGGCTGGAGTGCAGTGGCATGATCTCGGCTCGCTACAACCTCCACCTCCCAGCTGCCTGCCTTGGCCTCCCAAAGTGCTAAAATTACAGCTTCTGCCCAGCCGCCACCCTGTCTAGGAAGTGAGGAGCGTCTCTGCCTGGCCACCCATCGTCTGGGATGTAAGGAGCGCCTCTGCCCGGCCACCCCGTCTGGGATGTGAGGAGCGCCTCTGCCCGGCTGCCACCCCGTCTAGGAAGTGAGGAGCATCTCTGCCTGGCCGCCCATCGTCTGGGATGTGAGGAGCGCCTCTGCCCGGCCACCCCGTCTGGGATGTGAGGAGCGCCTCTGCCCGGCTGCCACCCCGTCTAGGAAGTGAGGAGCATCTCTGCCTGGCCGCCCATCGTCTGGGATGTGAGGAGCGCCTCTGCCCGGCCGCCCCGTCTGGGAGGTGAGGAGTGCCTCTGCCCGGCCACCCATCGTCTGGGAAGTGAGGAGCGCCTCTGCCTGGCCACCCCGTCTGGGAAGTGAGGAGCGCCTCTGCCTGGCCACCCCGTCTGGGAAGTGAGGAGCGCCTCTGCCCGGCTGCCCATCGTCTGGGATGTGAGGAGCGCCTCTGCCTGGCCACCCCGTCTGGGAAGTGAGGAGCGCCTCTGCCTGGCCACCCCGTCTGGGATGTGAGGAGCGCCTCTGCCCGGCTGCCCATCGTCTGGGATGTGAGGAGCGCCTCTGCCTGGCCACCCCGTCTGGGAAGTGAGGAGCGCCTCTGCCTGGCCACCCCGTCTGGGATGTGAGGAGCGCCTCTGCCCGGCTGCCCATCGTCTGGGATGTGAGGAGCGCCTCTGCCCGGCCGCCCCGTCTGGGAAGTGAGGAGCGCCTCTGCCTGGCTGCTGTGCAATCTTCCAAGTGTGAAGTGACAGCCTTTCTGCAGGTGTACCCAACAGCTCCGAAGAGACAGTGACCATCGAGAATGGGCCATGATGACGATGGCGGTTTTGTCAAAAAGAAAAGGGGGAAATGTGGGGAAAAGAACGAGAGATCAGATTGTTACTGTGTCTGTGTAGAAAGAAGTAGACACAGGAGACTCCATTTTGTTCTGTACTAAGAAAAATTCTTCTGCCTTGGGATGCTGTTAATCTATAACCTTACTCCCAACCCCCTGCTCTCTGAAACATGTGCTGTGTCAACTCAGGGTTAAATGGATTAAGGGCGGTGCAAGATGTGCTTTGTTAAACAGATGCTTGAAGGCAGCATGCTCATTAAGAGTCATCACCACTCCCTAATCTCAAGTACCCAGGGACACAAACACTGCGGAAGGCCACAGGGACCTCTGCCTAGGAAAACCAGAGACCTTTGTTCACGTGTTTATCTGCTGACCTTCTCTCCACTATTATCCTATGACCCTGCCACATCCCCCTCTCCAAGAAACACCCAAGAATGATCAATAAATACTAAAAAAAAAAAAAAAAAAAGAAAAGAAAATTGATCAAACAGCTAATTGGAAGCAAACACTGATCAAATATGGAAACTATTTTTTTTTTTTTTTTGAGACAGAGTCTTGCTCTGTCGCCCAGGCTGGAGTGCAGTGGCACGATCTTGGCTCACTACAAGCTCGGCCTCCCGGGTTCACGCCATTCTCCTGCCTCAGCCTCCCCAGTAACTGGGACTACAGGTGCCCGGCACCACACCCGGCTAATTTTTGTTGTATTTTTAGTAGACACAGGGTTTCACCATGTTAGCCAGGATGGTCTCGATCTCCTGACCTCGTGATCCGCCCGCCTCGGCCTCCCAAAGTGCTGGGATTACAGGCGTGAGCCACCGCACCCGGCGGAAACTATTATTATAAACTATTAATTCTGGTTCTCTCTGAAGGTTGGCAACAGGGTGGGAAAGAGTTTACTTCACTTTATACGTGTCTATAACTGTGAATATTTTACAACAAACACATATTGCTTTATTTATTTATTTTTTTGAGTCTCACTCTGTCGCCCAGGGTGGAGCGCAGTGGCGAGATCTCGGCTCACGGCAGGCTCCGCCTCCCAGGTTCACACCATTCTCCTGCCTCAGCCTCCCAAGTAGCTGGGACTACAGGTGCCTGCCACCACGCCCAGCTATTTTTTTTTTTTTTTTTTTGGTATTTTTTAGTAGAGACGGGGTTTCACCATGTTAGCCAGGATGGTCTCAATCTCCTGACCTCATGATCCGTCCGCCTCAGCCTCCCAAAGTGCTGGGATTACAGGCATGAGCCACCACGCCCCGCCATATTCCTTTTATAATCAGGAAAATGATAAATGTAAAACATCTCCACAGATCTATACTTATTTACCCAGATAAGTCCTTCTACCTTAATTTACTTTATAAATAAGGAGACCTAAATAATTAAAAGGCTAGAGAATTCTTCTAAACATTCAAATATGGTTACCATTTAGAGTGTACTGCATATTCAGATAGTTTCAACTATCATGTTAAAAGCTCTCTGGATGTATTTTTTCCCTATAACATTAAAGCTTGTCAAACTTTTTCACTCTTTCTGTTTCTTCCAGGAACAGGACACACTGGCACATCCTTTTCCCACCAAACCACAGAAAAACATTTTTAAGTGAAGGTTGAAGAAATGGCAATTTACAGATGCCAGAAGAAAGGATAAAAATCAAGGCAAGATAAGAAAAAAGGAGGCTGATGTTCTGCTGGTCCACTTGGTTTACTGGCTTCTCTGTCTGATTGTGCCTAACTCTGACACTGTGCCTTCCCTCTAGACACTGTAGATGATGTTTAGTCCTAGCTCAATCAGTCTCTCCCTTTGCACATTTCCGTTACAACCCTGCTCATGTGCTCAAGATATTGCTCCTGCTACTCTCCCCTCTCTTCTGCATCAACAGTTCTTTCTCATCTACTGGACAATTCGCATCAGCCTACTATCATACACAAATACCCCCACCTTTAAAAACCCCTCCCTTGGTCCCACACTAGTCTTCAGATTCCATCCCATTTTTTGCTCCCCTTGACAGCAAAAACCTCCAAAGAGTATCTGTACTCAGTGTATTTTCTCTTCACCCATCAGCAAAATTTGACTTAGTTACCATCTCCTCCTGGAAACAGCTTCTTCACCTGGCATCCAAGTACCTCTCTATTCTCCTACCTCATCAAGAACTTCTGCTTTGCTGATTCTTCATCCCCTTGATATCCAAACATAGCAATGTCCCAAGGCTCAGTTCTCAGGTCCACCAAGCACTCTCCCACTTCACAGCCCTTGTATTTGCAGCCCTTTCTGCCTGTAAGCTCTCTCAACCCTCTTATCCTCCTGACCCCAGGTCTCTTCAAATATTTACCATCTCAGTTTTCTTTCTTAATCTCTCTATATAAAAAACTACATCAAAATCTTTTTCCCTTATCTTGCTTTATTTTTTCTCCATAGCATTTAGCACCAGCTGATATATTACCATGTTTATTTGTTTGCTGTTTGTCCTACTAGAATGCTAGTTTTTTGAAGGCAAGGGCTCTGTCTGCTTGGTTCCTGCTGTTGGCCACTTCGTAACCCAGATTCTGGCACATAACAGACCCTTGCTACATATTTGTTGAATAGCTGAACTCTTAGACACAATATCCTAAGACTTTGATAGAGATCTTACTTCTGATAGATTGTTCTTTCCTGCAACAATACTGATTCCTATATAAATCTGGGGAAGGAAGAAAAGGTGACTGATCACTTTTTACCTCTCATCTTTTGCCAAGGTAAGGTTTTTTGTGGTTGTTAAATCTGAATATAATTAAATTAAAAACTTTGGATACCCGAGGCAGCTAACTTTGTTTAAAAACTTGCTAGTGGTAGAGAGAGAAACTTCTAATCTCGAAATCAAATGATCTATTTTAGAACCATGAAGCAAAGTCCCCTAAATCTGTAATATGTGCATTAATACAACACACATGGACACACACAAACATGCAAACACAAGAATGTCACCTATATTACACAAATAATAACAGGGAAACAAGTGGTTGATACAGATCAAGCCCATAGAGAAATTGATCAAGCAAACTTTAGTCTGGGAAGGCTTTTTTTGTGGGGGGAAACTTTTTGAGTGTAATGAATTGGTAACAAAGGTATGTAAGATGTCTTGTCTGAAAACTCAGGAAGAGAAGGACTGGAGGCAGAGAAATTCTGTATGATCAAAATTCACACTACAGGAAGCCAAAATTAGGTATAATATAATAATGGATCATAACTCATTGAATAAAATGAGTTGAATAAAAGAATCAATGAGTGCACTCAAATATAAACAAATAAATGAAGGAAAAAGGAAATCTTTCTTATAGTAGAATACAAATAATAAATATAAAAGGAGAATGATGAATTAGAAAACCATCAATGGATGCTTAATTTAAGGAGTGAAAATTTTATGAGAAATAAGATACTTAAAGAGTCTCAAAGTATCACTCTGCAGATTACTTGTTAATTACAAAAAGAAAAATAATAACACTACAGGAGAAATCTGGCAGACACCATCTAAATCAAATGGTCAACTCTATCATCAAAATACGAAGTTAAACCAACATCGTGGTCTCCTGATATGGAGGACACAATACCATTTCTGTGATTTTCTCACCAAAAATTCATAATCTCAATCTAATCATTGAGGAAACATCAGATAAATCAACATTGGGGGTCATTTTTACAAACTAACTGATTGATGCCCTTCAACAATCTAAAGGTGAAGAAACACTGAGAGAGGAGTGTTTCCACATTACAGGTGACTAAAGAGACTCGGCAAATACATACTGACAGATTCTGAAAATGGACTGTAGATTAGATAGTAGCCTTACATTCAGATTAAATGTCCTGATTTGATAACTGGGTATAGAAAAGAAAATCACTGTTCTTAGGAAATATACACTAATAAGTATCTGGGTGATGAGGGATGCAATGGTTTCAATTCACATATGTATACAGAGAGACATCGTTATTAATATAGCTAAATGAGGCAAGACATAAATAGGTAAATCTGGGTAAAGGGTATATATATGCCATTTTTAAAAGTTTGAAATTATATTTAGCTAAAAGGTTCACCTAAAAATGCCTACATAGCAAAATCACTTTGGCTAAGGCAACAGCAAAGGGTTAGCCCAGAATTTCTCCCATTAAATTTTCTGTTTATTTGTGTTTTGCCCCCAAGGGCATAGACATATAAACTTTAATATTTTCAACTCTTCTAACATTTAAATTTCTTATTTCATTTTCTTATCTAATTGCTTTAGCTATGCTTCCCAAATAATGCTAAATAATAATGGTGATACCTGATATTCTTGCTGATGAATTTAATGAGAATGCTTCACCAATAAGGATGACTTGTATTTGAGATACAGTCAGTCATTTTAAATTGAGTATCAAATACAACACTAGTGCTGGGAATACGACAGTAAAAAATACAATCAGACCCTGCCCCCTTCACATCTTACATTCTATTTTTGTTTTTTTTGTAGAGATGGGGTCTTGCTATGTTGCCCAGGCTAGTCAAACAATTCTTCCTCCTTGGCCTCCCAAAACACTGGGATTATAGGTGTGGGTCATCACTCCTGGCCAGATCTCACATTCTAAAGAGAGAGGGAACCAAAAATACAAGTGAACTAATGAAATAACTGCAAGTTATGGTAAGTGAAAGAGCTAGCTAGCTATGTGAAAAAAGGAGACAAAGGAATTCAAGGCATAGATAATATCCGAATGGTATACTCATTTGCCTCTTACCATAGTTTATTTAACTGGCTTCTTTTTTTTTTTTTTCTTTTCAGAAGGAGTTTTGATCTTGTTGCCCAGGCTGGAGTGCAATGGCGCGATCTCAGCTCACCGCAACCTCCACCTGCAGGGTTCCAGCGATTCTCCTGCCTCAGCCTCCCGAGTAGCTGGGATTACAGGTGCCTGCCACCACACCCAGATAATTTTTGTATTTTTAGTAGAAACGAGGTTTCACCATGTTGAACAAGTTGGTCTCGAACTCCTGACTTCAGGTGATCCACCTGCCAGCCTCCCAAAGTACTGGGATTACAGGCATGAACCACCACGCCCAGCCTAACTGGCTTCTTAATGGTGCATAGTTGTTTCTAATCTTTTCTTGTAACAGATATTAAAATCTCCTCATCCATACTTCTTTGCACACGTGTGCAAGTAGGATACATTCCTGGAATTTATGCTGGGTCAATGGATATGTGTGTTTTTTATTTGATGGATTCTACTGAAAAGCCCTTCAAAAAAGTTTGTGCCAATTATAATTCCTACCAACAATGGATAAAAGTGCCAATCTGATAGATGAAAACTGGTGATCATGGCTTACTGCAGCCTCAAACTCTTGGGCTCAAGTGATCCTCTCACCTCTCAGCTTCCCCAGTAGCTGGGACTACAGAAACATGCCACCATGCCTGGCTAATGTTTACTTTTTGTAGAGATAAGGGTCTTGCTGTTTTGCCCAGGCTGGTTTCAAAACTTCTAGGCTCAAGTGATCCTCTCCACTCAGCCTTCCAAAAGGACTGAGTCATGCAGGCCAAGAGCGAGTCAGGGTCTTCTCTGATGTGCTTTTTTAGGCCTTGGTATCACTGTTATCCTGGTTTTGAAAAAAGAATTGGGAAGCTTTATTTAACATTGGAATTCCTGATACTTGGAATATTTGAAAGAAATCCCCTTGAATTCTGTCTGTGCCAGGAGTTTTTTGTTTTTCTGAAGAAACTGTTCTGACAACTTTTTAAACTTATTTCATGGGATATACCAACAGACATCCAAAAAGGCTGTTCCAACCTACACTGCCATCTGGTATGTGAGCAAACCCATTTCCTCACACCCCACCTACCTTGGGTTTGTTTCTTAATATTTGCTAATTAAAAGGTGAGAAACACAGCTCATTAGCAGGACAGTCTTGCAGGTATCAGCGTACATAGGAAACGAGGGGGTGAATATGAAGATAGTAGGGGCACAACTCTGGACTGAGGTGGGGACAGATTCGAAATGTTAGAGTGCCTGCCTGCTCTTAAAGATGAGCAACTGAAAGAGCCAAGGGAAGGAAGGTAGTGGCTACAGTGGATATTTCTTCTTTAGCCGGGTAGGGAGAGGAAGACACCAAGACCTGGGGACCATGTCACATCAGTCTTGAAAACCTGGTTTCCTTAGAGGGCCCCTTCCAGCTCTGACACTCCAAAGGTCTATGAATAAGTGACCGTATAATTTATCACCAAACCCATCCACTTTTGAGAGGGTAAGAGGGTACTATTAACCATTAGGCTGGGCAACAAGCATAAACCAGGACTATCCCATATGGTGACCCACCTGAGGCCACAGGGGAAGAGACTGCATAGCTCTTAAGAAGGGGAAGAAGAGACTGCATAGCTCTTAAGAAGCATTTTTTTTTTTGGTAGAGACGGGGTCTCGCCATGTTGCCCAGGCTGGTCTTGAACTTCTGGGCTCAAGCAATCCTCCCACCTCAGCCTCCCAAAGGGCCGGGATTACAGGCGTGAGCCACCGCGCCCGGCCACTCTCAAGAATCTGGATGGCAGACTGAATTCCACAGACTGAGGGAAGAAAAATACTTCAACCTGCACAGACTTAGGTATTGAATAAGTATCTTCTTAGATGGTCCTTCCTGTATTCATTCAACTTTTCTTTCTTGAGAGCCTATTGTGAAGCAAATATAATAAACACAACAAGCATTGTAAGTGATAAATGAGAGGAAGCATTTCCTCCAGGGCTAGTGGGATGCATGGGGAGATGTGCAGCCCAGGTCCCCTTCAAAGGAGGACTTGTGGCTATTCCCACATACCTGTGGGCAGCCAGCCTCCAGCAGCCAAGAGTCGCCTCCCCTAAGGTCACACCCATCCCAGTGTGCCCACATCCCATGACCTGTCAGGCGAGGGTAAAGAGACAAGGCCATCTTGGCCCAATGTGGGACAAGTCTGATGCATCCATGTCAGCCCAGGTGCTGGGTTCTGCCAGCCTGCATCACAGTTCGACTTCTGCTTCTGTCTAATCCTGCCTGTCTCCAGTTATTGATCCCAATGGCTCCCCCTAATAAACCTCCTTCACACTAAAGGCAGTCTCAGAGTCTGCTTCCCAGAGAACCCAACTTGTAACAGTTAGCAATTATTCTACCTTGAGGGAGAGAGAGGGAGAATCTCAAGGCAGGGAGGAGTGGAGGATTTACTACTGTAATATTTACAAAGTAAAAAAGGCCTACGGAATTTGTAATATAATTTGCAATTGCTTCTTGGCCTTTTGGCTAGAATCAAGTGTAATATAATGTGCAGTCTGCAAAGCCCAAAACAGCCTAGTGGCTAGGAGGTCCCAAGTTCAAAACAGCTGAGTAAAAAGACCTATCCTACCCAGTAGCTGGGTAACATTGGGCCAGTTGCTAAACCTCTTTGACCCTCAGTTTCCCGATGTGTGAAATGAGAAGATAATATCTAATTCATATTTTAAGGAATTAGTTGAAAACGGCCCCTTCAGGAACACTTCTCCCCTGCTGGTGGGAATGTAAACCACTATGGAAAACAGTACGGAGATTCCTTAAAGAACTAAGAGTAGAACTACCATTTGATCCAGCAATCCCAC
Organism: Homo sapiens; assembly: GCF_000001405.40. NCBI lineage: Eukaryota > Metazoa > Chordata > Mammalia > Primates > Hominidae > Homo > Homo sapiens. The sequence goes on along the minus strand of NC_000007.14, from coordinate 26,168,741 downwards.
TACTGGGTATCTACCCAGAGGAAATGAAGTCATTATACAAAAAAGATACTTGCATACGCATGTTTATAGCAGCACAATTCGCAATTCCAAAAATGTGGTATCAGCACAAATGCCCATCAATCAATGAGTGGATAAAGAAATTGTGAGATAGAAATATATCTATAATCTCTCTCTATATATATTATATATAATCTCTATATTATATATATATTATATGCATATAATCATATAATATATATATGATGGAATACTACTCAGCCATAAAAAAGAACGAATTAATGGCATTCACAGCAACCTGGATGGAAATGGAGACTACAGTGGCTCACGCCTATAATCTCACCATTTTGGGAGGCGAGGCAGGTGGATCACCTGAGGTCAGGAGTTTGAGACCAGTCTGGGCAACATGGTGAAACCCTGTCTCTACTTAAAATACAAAAATTAGCCAGGTGTGGTGGCGTGTGCCTGTAGTCCCAGCTACTTGGGAGGCTGAGGCAGGAAAATCACTTGAACCCAGGAGGTGGAGGTTGCAGTGAGCCGAGATCACACCATTGCACTCCAGTCTGGGTGACAGAGTATGACTCTGTCTCAAAAAAAAAGAAAAAAAAAGACAAGAATGACACAATGGATTTCAAGGACTTGGGGGGAGGCAGGAAGGGAGAGAGGGGGGTGAGGGATAAAAGACTACAAATTGGGTTCAGTGTATACTACTTGGGTGATGAGTGCACCAAAATCTCACAAATCGCCACTAAAGAACTCACTCATGTAACCACACACCACCTGTTTGGAAATAAAAAATTAAAAATAATTAAAAAATTAAAAAATCAGATATTCATTTTAAAAATAGCCCCTTCATATGTGTAAGCTGCTATATAAACATGAATTACTCCTTGCTACTGCTTTTTGATTCTGAAGATTTGCAATTAATGATTAACTGCCAATAACTCAATCCGGATTTCAAGAGAAAGCAAAACCAGCTAGCCCTAGTAGCCAGTAATTATTATCTCTGCTTTCTTTTTCTGTTTTTCTTCTCAACTCAATGACATGGAGCTGAGATACAGAGTATGTTTTACTAGTTCTGTTGCGTAGTCTTGAGGTTTATAGTTCATGCTCTTTATTTAAAGAATAGACAAGTTAAACCCATCATTAAGTTACTTTTTATTTGTGAGCAGGTGACTTTTACCCTTGTGGGGCTGGGACAATTAAAAAAAAAAAGTACATTTTCACACCTGCCACACAGGAAGCTATCGTAAACTTGTGAGCTGGGGCCCTTAGTCACAACTAAACACCTACTGACTTGTACAGAACTGGCACCTGCTGGAAAGGCCTGCCCTACCACATCCCTCTGGCTGGTAACTGACCCATCTGTGCTCTGTGAGGATCCAGAATGTTCTCAGTTTGGGCCCTTTAACCAAAACTGGGTGCTCCTGTCTCTAAAATCCCATGTCTTCTAGGTTTTCTCTTATGGCACTTATCCTGTTCTATCTAAAATCACAAATTATATGGGTCTTTTCTTTCCTACTGGCTGTAAACATGATACCTGCCCTCCAGCCATTCACCTTTGCCACCCGGGTAAGAAGCAGAGCAGAAGAGTCTTGCGCAAAGGTTTTCTGAATCAGTAATGTAGTGGAAAGGGGAAGAAAGGAGCAAAGCTGGCCTTTTCTTTTCTCCTTGCAAAGTCTCTGAAGCCCCTGTCAACTGGCAAGTGTGCCGCTTATGCTGTACTGGGATCTGAGTCATGTGGTAGAGGGTTTGCCCCTGAAAATACCCTTTGTGAACAGCCTCGACTGCTTTAGCTAGGCCTTTCATTTATTCATCTGGAGGAGGAGGGATGGAGACCTGCTTTTACCTCTAGGGTTGGAAGAACCTTCAAAGACAAAGAACAGTGTGGTGCCTATGAGAAGGATGACGTCAGAGGGAGAATGGTAAGGCCAAAGCACTCTGAGGCCTGTCTCTAGGCTGAAGGCAAGCTAGAGTCATCAGGGCTAGAGAGAAACATGGAGCCAGATAAAGAGAGACTGTGTCCTGTTTGGCCTGGGTGGTTTTTAATAGTGGTTTGTAATAATTCCAGCTTGTGTTGATTGAGCACTGGCTGTAGGCCAGGCCCTATGTACATTATCTCATTGAAGCTGCTCGGCATCCCTGTAAGGTAGGTATTGTTATTACAGAGGAGGAAACTGAGACACAGAGAGGTTAAACAGCTTGCCTTAAGTCACACAGCTAGTAAATGACAGAACCAGGATTTGGCGGCAGGCATTTTTATTTCACAGCCAGCTCTTGGCCACAGTACTGGTTCTTCTTTGCCCCTCCAGGTCCATGTGTGTCCCTGAGAAACTCTAGGGCTCCTGTGCTGGCTGGCTTCCAGCTGGGTTCACCAGGGGAAGGCTAGAGCAGAACACAGGTATAGCCAAGGGGGAGGTCAGAGCATTTCCTCCATGATCCACGATGACAGCCCCTCATCTTGGGCTCCAGCAATTCCTTCCATCCCTTCTCACCGGGAGCCTCTGGGCACTCCAACGTCCCTGTCTGCCCCTGACCACATGGCTGTAAGAAGTCATTCATTTAAGTCTCTTCCATTGAGCCATCCAGGGTGAATTCTTTCCCCCCCGCCCCACCCGCTCGCTTCACACTGCATCACACAGATTACAACAGCAGTGCTGGCAGAAGCTGACTGCATACAAATCCAGTAAAGCACCTGTCTGCTTGAATACTACTTTATCATGCAAAAACAGCTGGATACAATGCAAGGTATGGATCTTGTCGGATTGTGATTCAAACAAACCAACTATGAAAAATTATTCATGAGATAACAGGAAATTTGAACAGTGACTAGATATGTGATGATTATTAAAGAATCCTGGCCAGCTTTGACAAAATTCAACAACCCTTCATGCTAAAAACTCTCAATAAATTAGGTATTGATGGGACGTATCTCAAACTAATAAAAGCTATCTATGACAAACCCACAGCCAATATCATACTGAATGGGCAAAAACTGGAAGCATTCCCTTTGAAAACTGGCACAAGACAGGGATGCCCTCTCTCACCACTCCTATTCAACATAGTGTTGGAAGTTCTGGCCAGGGCAATCAGGCAGGAGAAGGAAATAAAGGGTATTCAATTAGGAAAAGAGGAAGTCAAATTGTCCCTGTTTGCAGATGACATGATTGTATATCTAGAAAATCCCATCGTCTCAGCCCAAGATCTCCTTAAGCTGATAAGCAACTTGAGCAAAGCCTCGGGATACAAAATCAATGTGCAAAAATCACAAGCATTCTTATATACCAATAACAGACAAACAGAGCCAAATCATGAGTGAACTCCCATTCACAATTGCTTCAAAGAGAATAAAATACATAGGAATCCAACTTACAAGGGATGTGAAGGACCTCTTCAAGGAGAACTACAAACCACTGCTCAACGAAATAAAAGAGGACACAAACAAATGGAAGAACATTCCATGCTCATGGGTAGGAAGAATCAATATCGTGAAAATGGCCATACTGCCCAAGGTAATGTATAGATTCAATGCCATCCCCATCAAGCTACCAATGACTGTCTTCACAGAATTGGAAAAAACTACTTTAAAGTTCATATGGAACCAAAAAAGAGCCCGCATTACCAAGTCAATCCTAAGCCAAAGGAACAAAGCTGGAGGCATCACGCTACCTGACTTCAAACTATACTACAAGGCTACAGTAACCAAAACAGCATGGTACTGGTACCAAAACAGAGATATAGACCAATGGAACAGAACAGAGCCCTCAGAAATAATGCCACATATCTACAACTATCTGATCTTTGACAAAAACAAGAAATGGGGAAAGGATTCCCTATTTAATAAATGGTGCTGGGAAAACTGGCTAGCCATATGTAGAAAGCTGAAATTGTATCCTTTCCTTACACCTTATACAAAAATTAATTCAAGATGGATTAAAGACTTAAATGTTAGACCTAAAACCATAAAAACCCTAGAAGAAAACCTAGGCAATGCCATTCAGGACATATAGCATGGGCAAGGACTTCATGTCTAAAACACCAAAAGCAATGGCTCAAAAGCCAGAATTGACAAATGGGATCTAATTGAACTAAAGAGCTTCTGCACAGCAAAAGAAACTACCATCAGAGTGAACAGGCAACCTACAGAATGGGGGAAAATTTTTGCAATCTACTCATCTGACAAAGGGCTAATATCCAGAATCTACAAAGAACTCAAACAAATTTACAAGAAAAAAACAAACAACCCCATCAACAAGCGGGCAAAGGATATGAACAGACACTTCTTAAAAGAAGACATTTATGCAGCCAAAAGACACATGAAAAAATGCTCAATATCACTGGCCATCAGAGAAATACAGATCAAAACCACAATGAGATACCATCTCACACCAGTTAGAATGGCGATCATTAAAAAGTCAGGAAACAACAGGTGCTGGAGAGGATGTGGAGAAATAGGAACACTTTTACACTGTTGATGGGACTGTAAACTAGTTCAACCATTGTGGAAGTCAGTGTGGCGATTCCTCAGGGATCTAGAACTAGAAATGCCATTTGACCTAGCCATCCCATTACTGGGTATATACCCAAAGGATTATACATCATGCTGCTATAAAGACACATGCACACATATGTTTATTGTGGCACTATTCACAATAGCAAAGACTTGGAACCAACCCAAATGTCCAACAATGATAGACTGGATTAAGAAAATGTGGCAAATATACAACATGGAATACTATGCAGCCATAAAAAAGGATGAGTTTGTGTCCTTTGCAGGGACATGGATGAAGCTGCAAACCATCATTCTCAGCAAACTAGCACAAGAACAGAAAACCACACACTGCATGTTCTTACTCATAAGTGGGAGTTGAACAATGAGAACACATGGACACAGGAAGGGGAACATCACACACTGGGGCCTGTTGTGGGGTCGGGGGAGGAGGGAGGGATAGCATTAGGAGATATACCTAATGTAAATGACGAGTTAATGGGTACAGCACACCAACATGGCACATGTATACATATGTAACAAACCTGCAAGTTGTGCACATGTACCCTAAAACTTAAAGTATAATAAAATAAATAAATAAAGAATCCTGGCCACGTGTGGTAGCTCACGCCTGTAATCCCAGCACTTTGGGAGGCTGAGGTGGGCGGATCACCTGAGGTCAGGAGTTCAAGACCAGCCTGGTCAACGTGGTGAAATCCCGTCTCTACTAAAAATACAAAAATTAGCTGGGCTTGGCAGCGCACGCTTGTAATCTTAGCTACTTGGGAGGCTGAGGCAGGAGAATTGCTTGAACCCGGGAGGTGGAGGTTGCAGTGAGCTGAGATCGCGCCATTGCACCCCAGCCTGGGCAACAAGAGCAAATCTCCGTTTCAAAAAAACAAAAAAGAATCCTTGGGAATTTCTTTTAGGTGTGCTAACGGCATTGTGGTTATGTTTAGAAGAGTCCTTATGATTTGGGGATATATACTAAAATATTTACAGACGGTTTTGAGTTAATGGAAGTAGTGGAAGAGTAAGAAAGGAACAATGCTTGGTTTTTCTCTTCTCCTTGCTAAGAAATGTCTGGGATTTGTTTCAAAAGAATAGAGGGGCGGACAGAGAGGGCAAGAGTTAAAGATGAAACATGACCGGCCATGAATTGGTAACTGTTGAAGCTACATGATGGGGAGGGGGGCATTATCCACCTCCATTTTCTCCACTAGTAATAAATGCTTGATATTTTCCATAATAAAATGTGATATGGACCTATAATCCCAGCACTTTGGGAGGCCAAGGCAGGTGGATCATTTGAGCCCAGGAGTTTGAGACCACCCTGGGCAACATGGTGAAACCCATCACTACAAAAATACCAGAAATCAGCCAGGCGTGGTGGTGCGCACCTGTAATCCCAGGTACTCAGTAGGCTGAGGTGGGAGGATCACCTGAGCCTGGGAGGTCAAGGCTGCAGTGAGCCCTGATTATGCCACTGCACTCCAGCCTGGGCAACAGAGTTAGACCCTGTCTCAGAAAAAAAAAAAAAGAAATAGTCTAAACTTACTTCTAAAGTCCCCTGGAGAAGGCAGAGAAACAGCTGAAAAACTTGGCAGATATCCACTAGGTAGGTGAAGCTAGGACATAAGAGGCCCATGTTCCATGGGGGCGGCAGTAAAGAGTATCATTTATGATTCATTTATTTAGTGTTAAATTATCCCAGCAGGCAGAATAGGCCAACTGGTCCTCAAAATACATGATGTTTTTTGTATTTTTCCTTATTATGGAAAATTTCAAACATACGTAAACAGAATACAGAATCACTGTATGATTATACAGTGCACTTTCCATGTAACTATTACCCAGTTTCAACAATGATCAGCACTCTTATCATCAATACCTTCACCCCTCCCCACTCAATTCTTCTTTAATAGTTTTTAGGCAGGATTTATACACGCAGAAATGCAGAAACCTTAGGTGCACACTTTGACAAATGGAGGCACCCATGTAAACTGACACCCCAACCACGATATAGAACTTTTCAGAAAGTTCTCCTCGCTAATATTTTTAGCTCAGCTTTGCCTGTTCTAGAACTGAAGAATGAATTTTTTTTTTTTTTTTTGAGATGGAGTCCAGCTCTGTCACCCAGGCTGGAGTGCAGTGGCGTGATCTCAGCTCACTGCAACCTCCACCTCCCGGGTTCAAGCGATTCTCGTGCCTCAGCCTCCCAAGTAGCTGGGATTACATGTGTGTGCCAACATGCCCAGCTAATTTTTGTATTTTTAGTAGAGACGGGGTTTTGCCATGTTGGCCAGGCTGGTCTCAAACTCCTGACCTCAAGTGATCTTCCTGTCTTGGCCTCCCAAAGTGCTGGGATTACAGGCAAGAGCCACTGCGCCTGGCATTAAGCATGAATTTTAAACTGCACTTATGTGCAAGCTAATTCTGCATTCATTGTTTTTGCATGCTAGATCCCCATTCCCCAACCTACCTCCACCCCCATCCAGAGAGATGTTCTTTAGAATATATTAGAAAATAATAAAAGGAGCTAGGGAAATTGGGCTTTGACTTTTAAGTACCTGGTAAGTCACTTTGGCCCAGTTTTTTAACTGCTCTGAGCCTTAAATTCATAGAAGGGCTTTCAGCCAGACACTCCTTCCATTCAGGTATTGCCGGACACTGAGGAGCCCTGGGGGAGGAGCGTCAAGGCAGAGGACCTTAAGCTTGGGATGGCACAAGAACCACCTGGGGGTCTGGAAAACTCCAGAGGTATTCATTCAGCCTGGTGGTAGATGGGTGGGCCTGGCAATCTGCATTTTAACTAGTGCCCCAGGAGGCTCTCATTTTGTCACTGGATTTCCCTTAGACCCTTGGAGAAACTCTAAAGAAAGGTAAGACCCAAAAAAAAAAAAAAAAAAAAAAAAAAAAAGAGAGAGAAGCTAAGAAATTAAGTTCTTCCTGCGGTTGAGCTTTAGCAGAACTTCAGTTGGCATTTAGAGTTCTGCCTCCTCAACAAGTCCAAGGCCTCTTTCACATAACAGCTCTTCAAATATTTGAAGTTGGTGATCATGATCCTTCCTCAGTCTGATCTTCTCAACATGGAACTGCCCCAATTCATTCAACCATTTCCAGTATGACCTCCCCCTTGGGGAGGGAAGGGTTCCTTTCATGCTAAAGTGGATTCCAGTCTTTGGTAATTTCCTCTAGAAGACAAGGGGTGTCCTGGAGGTTTGACCTGGAGCTCAGAAGCAATAAAAGCGAATCATCTGTTGACGATCTATTACTATGCCAGGAACTGTACCAGCCCTTAAACATACAGTGTCATTTAATCCTCACAAGAACTCTTCAAGAAAGATGTTAATTTTCTCCATTTACCAATTTGGAAATCATGGTTTCCCAGGAAGAGGTGGAGCTGGATGGCGTGATGGTCAGTTTTAAATGTCAAGGAGCTAGGCTATTGTTCTTAAGTCATTCTATTAAGTGCTAACCTGTGTGTTGCTCTGAAGGTATTCTGTACATGTGGTTAGCATCTACAATCAACCAGCTGACTTTAAGTAAAGGAGATTATCTTCAATAATCTGGGTGGGTCTCATCCAATTAATTGGAGAGCTTTAAGAGCAAAACTGAGGTTTCCTTGATAAAGAAGAAATTCTCCCTGAAGCCTGTAGCATTGCAGCTCCTGCGGAGCTTCCAGAGTTTCTGGGTGCCCTAGAGAGTTTGAATTTGCCAGCCTTCCCAATTATATCATCCAATTCCTTGAAATAAATCTGTGTGTATATGTGTATTTATTTATTCATATTCTACTCATTCTGTTTTTCTGGAGAACTCTGACAGATAAAGACAGGAACCCAGTTCTCCCCAATTTCAAAAGATCACGTCTTGCCTCTGTGACTTGCCCACATTCTGCCAACCACCACCTGCAACTCCACCAAAAACAACTCAGGGATGTACCTCAGCCTAGGCAGGCTTCAGCTGCCTGGAATTGTATTTGAATATTAACATAGATCCAGCCGGGTGCGGTGGCTCACACCTGTAATCCCAGCACTTTAGGAGGAGAGGCAGGAGGATAGCTTGAGCCCAGGAGTTTGAGAGCAGCCTAAGCAGCATGGCAAGACCTTGTCTCTGCAAACAAATTTTTAAAAAATTAGCCAGGTGCAGTGGTGCATGCTTGTGATCCCAGCCACTTGGGAGACTAAGGCAGGAGGATGGCTTGTGCCCAGAAGGTTGAGGCTGCAGTAAGATATGACTGCACCACTGCACTCCAGCCTGGGTGACACAGCAAGACCCTATCTCTCAAAAAAAAAAAAAAAAAAAAGCAACAAGATTTTAAGAATAAACTCTTCCTATCACAAGGCTGCCATGAACGAGACAGACTTTTGTTTTTACCTTTGAAGTTTTATAGTGAGCAGAAGGTATGGTTTACTCAGTGCTTAAGAACAGTGACCTGTTCTATTCCTAGCAAGGTCACTAACTTGCTATATAACTTTAGGCAATCCCAAGTTTCACCACTTGATTAATTATAATGCTAGCCTGAAAGTCTGCTTTCCACTGCCCTCATCCACTCAGACAGTTGGCATTAAATAGTCAGATGGCCCATCAGGATTTCAGATCTGACCTACTTTCTAGTTGAGACTCGGGCCTTGAAGGACCCAAGACACCTTCACACCCATGGTATCTTTGAAGTTCTGCAAACACAATGTCATGAATGATAAGTGCTCAACAGACAGACACTGGCTGAACTGACCTCTGCTCCTAACCCTGTCCCTGGGTGCTATTTCAGGTGAAAGCCAAGACCCAGTCTCCACATTCCAGCCACTGCAGTTCAAAGGAGAGGATGCCAAGTCCTATAGAAGAAATGTTACAGAGTGCAATAGGGCTCAAAGGGAAGAACAGGAAATGTTTTATGGATGAGGTGATGGTTGAGCTGAGTTTGAGAATTTAACCATAAAAGACTTGAGAGGAATGAAAGGAAGGCATTCCGGGCAAAGGTAAGAACAGACTAAAGGGCAGGAGATCATAGGGTTGTTGGGCAAAGGGATGAAGAAAGTTTTCTCCTGGAAAGAAGGCTACATGGAGAGGCCCAGCAAGAGCAGCTGGGGGCTGGGTCACATAAGCCACAAGGGCAGCCCTGAATGACAAAATACTGAATAAGTAGGCAATGGCGAGCTAGAGGAGGCATCCCACAAAACGCAGAGAGACGAACCAAGGTGTGCTTTGGAAACCTGCACCTGACAACACAATGGACGGGAGTAAATTGGGGAAGAAGCGGTACAAGCCCCACCTGAATTATTAATAGTGTATCAACCCTGCTCAACTTGCACTATCTCATTCAATCCTCACCACCACTTCCCTAAGGTGCTCTTACTATTCCATTTTACGGATAAGGGAACCAAGGCTCAGAGCACTTAAGAAGTGTGCCCCAGATCACACAGCCAGTGTGGCACTGGGATCTTCCCCAGCTGGTCTGACTCCAGGGCCAGCACACAAGACCCCTAGACCAGCCTGCCTCAAGTCAGGGCTTGGGCCCTGCATGCTCATTTCCCACTGTGTGGGTTGAGAAGTAGGGGTCATGGAAAGAAGGAGAATGATACAAGAGACTTGGCAAAGATGATTTCTCTGTAACCTACTAATGGAGGGGAAATACTGACTGGAAAAAGATGGTTTGAGCCAAGCTTCCTCAGGGTTGCACATCAAGCCAGCAAAACCCCAGATTTTCTCAGGAGCACACACCAAGTCCTATGCAAATGATCCTCCATATAGACCAGCTGCTTTCAGAAACAGCTCAGTTAGCTTTTAATCATAAGCAAGCTGAACACCCCAAGAATTGATGGAAGGAAGATGGTGATTGTTATAGATTGAACTGTGTCCCCAAAATTCATGTTGAACTCCTAACCCCCATACTTTGGAAACTGGGTCCATTGCAGATGTAACTAGGTAAGTTAAGATAGGAAGGAAGGTAGACCCTTATCCAATGATGTCCTTATAAAAAGGGAAATCTGGCCAGCCTGGGTAACATGGCAAAACCCTCGTCTCTACAAAAATTAAAAAATTAGCTGGGCGTGGTGGCAGGCGCCTGTAATCTCAGCTACTTGGGAGGCTGAGGCAGGAGAATCGCTCGATCCTGGGAGGCAGAGGTTGCAGTGAGCCGAGATTGCGCCATTGAATTCCAGCCTGGGAGACAGAGCAAGATTCCATCTCAAAAATAAAAAACAAAACAAAACAAAAAAACCCCAACAACAAAAAAGGGAAATTTGGATACAGACATGCACATAGGGAGAATGCCATGTGAAGATGAAGGCAGAGCTCAGGTGATGGAGAAGAAACCAAGGAATGCCAAAGATTGCCAGCAAACCACCAAAAGGCAGGAGAGAGCTGTAGAACACTTTCTCCCTCACAGCCCGCAGAAGGGCCAATCTGCTGACACCTTGATCTTGGACTTCTTGCCTCCAGAACTGTTAGAGAATAAATTTCTGTTTAAGCCACCCAGTCTGTGGTATTTGTTATGGCAGCCCTAGCAAATTCATACAGTAACTTATGACATCCTTTCCCATACAAAGACAATAGTGCACCTTTACAACTTCCTTTAGTAAACAAAATGAAAATCCCACTGTGAACGCTTGTCATAAACGCAATGTATGTAATTATAAGACTATTTCCGTAACATAGCTGTGAGTTAAAAACAGGCAAATGTCTGAAATTTCATCTCTTGTCCAATTGCCCAGGAGTTAGGGACTATTTTTTATTCTGAAATGAAAAACAATTTTTACTTTAACAATCAAGGACCTTCTTTCTCTTTCCTTTACTCTTAGAATTAAATATTGAGGCCAGGTGCAGTAGCTCATGCCTGTACTTGAGCCCAGGAGTTTGAGACCAGCCTGGGCAACACAGAGAGACCTTATTTCTATTAAAAAAAAAAAAAATCAGCCAGAAGCAGTGGTGCGCGTCTGTAGTCCCAGCTACTTGGGAGGCTGAGGTGGGAGAATTGTTTGAGTCCAGGAGGTTGAGGTAGCAGTGAGCTGTGATGGTACTACTATACTCCAGCCTGGGAGGCAAAGTGACCCTGTCCCAAAAAAAATTAAATATTGACTGGATCAGATTCTCTCTGTGCCCTGAAGAAACCAGCCCAACAGTTTCTTTTCTTTTTTTTTCTTTTGAGATGGAGTCTCGCTTTGTCACCCAGGCTGGAGTGCAGTAGAGCGATCTCGGCTCACTGCACCCTCCGCCTCCCAGGTTCAAGCGAGTCTCTTGCCTCAGGCTCCCGAGTAGCTGGGACTACAGGCACGTGCCACCGTGCCCGGCTAATTTTTAGTATTTTTAGTAGAGACGGGGTTTCACCGTGTTGGCTAGGATGGTCTCGATGTCTTGATCTCGTAATCCTCCTGCCTCGGCCTCCCAAAGTGTTGGGATTACAGGTGTGAGCCACCACACCCGGCCCAGCCCAACAGTTTCTTCAGGCAGTTAATCAAGAGGTCTTACCAGACCCCTCACCCAGCAGAGGGTCTCTGTACCAGGATAGGAAACCACATCAAAATGACTACAAGCCCTCTCAGTTTCAAAGTGGCAACAGCTCTCTGAAATACTGAAGCTGGCTGTAGGCAGCTGTTCCATACGTTTACACATTCAATTCTACAAAAACTGTTCATTTCTTTGTTTAACCTGTGTGTTACTTGGAAGAATGCATGCTTCATCCGTTGTGAATGACTGTGGTTATGAAGGGAAGCGTGTCAGCCCTGGGGAATTCCAGAGTCAGTTTTCAGATCATGATAAGCCCCAGTAAGAAGTGAAACCAAAACAGTACTCCTTTTGATACTTGGAAAATCCCCTACTCCAAAATATTTTTGCATATGTACATAAATTATGGAAAATTATACTATAAAACTCCTGCAACTCAAATGTAAGCCACCGGAATTATCTATTTTTTAAAATTAAAAATTATGTTCCTATGGGACAAAGCACTTCGTCTCTTTGAAGTTAACAGTAGCTAACATTTACTAACTAAGCACTTAAGTGACAGGCAAGTTCTAAGCCCTTTACATGGAATGAACTTTTTAATTCTCACATCAACCCTCTGAGGTAAGCCCCTTCTGATTCCCATTGTGCATGGGAATGCACACAGAATGAAGCACAGAAAGGATAAGCAACTTGTCCAAGGTCACAGACGTGGTAGAGCTGGGATTCAAAACCAGGCAGTCTGGGTCTAGCATACCCCACTTCTTCAATAACCAACCAAACTAGATATGCAGACAAGCCAAAAGGAATCCAGTGAGTGGGGACAGGTGAAGGAGGGTGGGTTAAGGACGGAGGGCAGAAGAGCGCAGCTACAATCCAGGCACCATGCTGCTCTTCCCATGGGCTTTTCCCACTTAATCAGCACACCTCCCCCTGGAGTACACATTCCTCTCCCACTTGACATGAGACACTGAAGCTTGGAGTGATTCAAGCAGCTTATGGGAGGGCATACTAGCAGGTGATACTCCCAAACCCAGGTCTAGCTGACCGCAAAGACCAGTGTTGTTTTTCCAGCCCATTTTCTCCCCAAAGTCATGGTTCCAAATTGCAACCTCTTCATTATGAATGGCACAATCTAGCACTGGAGAGTGATTAGCCTGGGCAGTGGAAGGCTGAGTCACCCCATCCCAGATGCACTGAGACGTCCTAGATGTCCCAAGAGCTTGAGTACCGTGTAGGTACTTAATTAATGTGCCAGTCTGAGAGTCAAGAGACTCAGGCTCTGGTCTCTCTTTTGGCACTGACATGTGGCTTTAGCCAAATCCCTAACCTAGGCTTCTAGTTTTCTTCTTCTTCTTCATTTTTTTTCTTTTTGAGACAGAGTCTCACTCTGTCACCCAGGCTGGAGTTCAGTGGCACAATCTCGGCTCACTGCAACCTCCGCCGCCCAGATTCAAGTGATTCTCGTGCCTCAGCCTCCCGAGTAGCTGGGACTACGGGCATGTGTAATCACGCCCAAGTAATTTTTGTATTTTTAGTAAAGATGGGGTTCACCATGTTGCCCAGTCTGGTCTCGAACTCCTGACCTCAAGTGATCTGCCTGCCTCAGCCTCCCAAAGTGCTGGGATAACAGGTGTGAGCCACCGCACTCAGCCCTATTTTTCTTAAGTACAAATTGTATATAAGGGTGCCTGGCCAGTGCACCACACAAGGTTGATGTAAAAGGCAACAAAAGTGAACTGGCCGTGACAACTGTAAGGAGCTGGACAGCTGATTTTTGCCAGATTGAATGTAACCAGGTCATCCCAGCAGTGAACATGGTGCACACATGCCAGCCCAGCCAGGAAGGCACTGCCAGGAGAATGGTTCTCGGGGAACTTCACTCTCTCCCCTAGGAAAGCTGGATTCAGAGCCTCCACAGTGGTTTGGCTGGCCTAGGCTCAAAAAATGCCTCCAAGGCAGGCCTGCCAGTCTAGGCCACCCATGGTGGCTCATGCCTGTAAACCCAGCACTTTGGGAGGCTGAGATGGGATGGGTACTTGAGCCAAGGAGTTCGAGACCAGCCTAGGCAACATAGCGAGACCTGTCTCTACAAAAAATCAGCCAGTATGGTGGTGCACGCCAGTTCTCCTAGCTACCTGGGAGACTGAAGTGGAAGGATTGCTGGAGCCGGGGAGGTTGAGGCTGCAGTGAGTCGTCATTGCACCTTTGCACTCCAGCCTGGGCAACAGAGCAAGACCCTGTCTTTAAAACAAAACAAACAAAAAAACAGCCAAGGGAAGGCCACTTTGTCTCCCAGGTGATGCCGGGAGGGAAGTTTCCGAGGACTGAACAGCTTCCTCTCTTCTCCCTCCAGGTCCCTGTGCACTTTGCACACAGGTTGGCATTCGGGTGTGGGTGGCAGAGTGCCATCTGGTACAGCATCCAGCACTAGGTTTCAACTCTGTGTTACAGAACCAGGAATGGTGGTAGTGCACAAGTACTCACTTATTAGAGGGCAGAGCATTTAGGTGAGACAGACCCCATGGGGTCCAGATTGGATGAGTGAGTGGGGAAGAACCTCCCACAGTATATCCTGAACACAGAAGGATCCCTCCAAGACTCTCACTGGCCCCCACCCCATTGGTTCCGGTCCCCAGGAAGAGGAAGGGCTCAGATCAGCATAACAGTGAATCACCGAGCACTTCCACACAATGACCCCTCCAGGAGGGTGGAGAAGCTTGTCTGGCAACAGCCTACACAAACGGCAATTCTGAAGAGCAACAAACAAACCAGTTTAGCCCCAATTCCCATTTTGCATAAGAATGCGCCCCACAAAAACAACACCCGAAGAACATTAGTTGATCACCACTGGTTGATCGTTACCAGTTGCAAACACTAAAGTTTGAGCCAAGACAGAATTTTAAAAGTCCCCTGGAAGGAACTTTGGGTAAAGTGGTTTTGTGGAAACTGGTGTTAAAGTGTCATTAGACTGAACTCAAACGTTCCATGGGGAGCACCAGATGTTTCAAGCAACAGATCTTGGTAAACTTGGTTTCAGAAAGAAGTTAAGCCAGAGAAGGGTTTGGACCCATAAACCAAAGGGAACTTGTTAGTCACTAAGTGACTGCCAAGGTACCTGTTTTCGTTATGCTAATAAGAGGTTACACAAATTCCAGGAAGGAGGATTGCTAGGTGCAGGGGATGGTTAGGTCACAGGGGGACCGCCTGCCGGCTGGCCTCTGAATAGACCCTGACCATGGCTCCTTAATCCAGGGAAGCAGCAAAAACGAACAGCAATTGGGCTGAAAACAGGGCGAAGGTCCTTGCGTTAGGCCGGGAGAGTCGTTCTTAAAAACATGCATCCTCCCAGAGGTCACGGCCTCCTTCACATCGTCCAGGTCGGGCACGGGTCCCAGAGAACGACACCCCAGTGTACATGAGGTACTGAGCGAAGACAGTGGGCATTGCTTCTCCCCTCCCCATCCCCGAACTACTCTTGCCAGCCATCACACACAAGGAAAGGTATTCTCTATAACCAAACGGATGATTTCGTCCACTTCTTCCTTAAACACCTAAAAACCACAGCGACAGCACTAGTAGCCCTTCATTCGGAATCAGAGCAGCAGCATCTGCGAACCTGCAAAGACCAGGGGCTAAGGGTGCCAGGACACAGCGAGAGTGGCCCCTGCTCAGATCCGACACAAGCCTCGGGGGCTCCCGGCGGCGTAGACGCCGCACTTCGCTCGCTTCCCGCTCTGCACCTACCTCGCTCGCACATCCGCCAGCGTCCGGCACCTGAGCCGTCGGTTCCGCGGGTGCCTTCTCCTCTTCCCCGGCGTCCAAGGGGCCACTCCGAGCCGCTCGGGGGTCCCCGCCGCCCCCCTGCACAGCCTGGCTGCCGCCGTCCACGCTGGCGCCGGCTCCTCCGGTGGACGAGGCGGCGGCGGCGCCGAGCAGCCCGTGGGCCTCGTCCGCGCTCCCGGCAGCCACGCTGTGCACCAGCCATGCATCCACGCTGGTGCGAGGGACGAAGGGGACCCCGAGCGCGCGCACCTCCCGGAGCAGCTGGCCCTCGGGCGGCGCGGCAGGGTCCAGCTCCCGGCCCTTGGGGTGCAAGTGGCCCGCGCGCCCCCACCCTCCCGAGGCCGAGAAGGGGCTGAGCGCGTAGGCGGAGCTGGCCGGGCCGCCCAGGAACAGCAGCTCGTCCTGCAGCAGGGTGGGCGGCGGCAGCAGCAGGTAAAGATCTAGGTCTACGCGGAGCCCCGCCAAGCTCAGCAGGAGGGTGAGGTGCAGGAGGCCGCCGCCGGCCGACCACCACCGCTTCAGGTGCTTCATCGCCGCCGCGCGCCCGGGAACGCCCCTGCCGGCGCCCGCGGGTCCCGGCGCCCCAGCCGCCGGGGTGACACGTGCGGACCCCGCGCGCCGCCCGCACCTGCCTGGAACCCAGATAAGCGAAACAATGGACCGGGGCGCGTGGCGGCCGTCGCGGGTTCCCAGCACCGGGCACAAAGGCGTTCCCTCGGCAGCCGGCACCGTGCCTGGCACCGCCGGGGATCGGGAGAAGCGAAGAAGGAGCCACCTGAGCGCCGAGCCCGTTCGCCCAGCCGCCCGCAGCCCGGCGCGGTGGCCAAGCTCCGCCCCCGGCCGCGGGCGCAGCCGACAGGAACACGCCCCCTGCCGCCCGGGGCCCGCGCCCGTGGGAGGGGCCGCACGGGGCGGGGCTCCCCGAGCTCAAAGCCTCTTTATGTCCGGGGAACGCAAGGCTTTCTGGGAGCAGAAGTTGTTCTGGGCACCAAGTGGCCCCTTGCCACCCTGTGGCCGTGAGCTGGGCCATCCTTGCTGAAAGCCAAGGGCGGGAGTTGGGGTGGAGGGCTAGGTGGTGGGTAGCTGGGTGGGAAGGGACAGGATGTGTAGACTGGGCGGAGAGTGACTGGGCAGCTACGAGGGGCCTGGCAGCTTGCAACGGGCTTCCACCCCAACGTGAGGACACTTGGCGGGCAGAGTGGGCAAGAGTAACCTCTCTGTCTCAGTTCCGCTATCTGTAAAATGGGGATCATAGAGCCTGTCAAACAGGGATGTGTTGAGGTCAGATGAAATATTTCGTGTAAAGTTCGGAGTTTCACATATAAATTCCACCGTTGCCATTGGGATCAGTCATCCCACCACTCCGCACACCCCAGTCCCAGCCTCACAGACCCCTCTCTCTTCTCTGGGCGTGCTCTGCATAGTGCTAGACCTCCTCTCGGTATCCTTTGCTCCTTATCCGTTGTTTCCTTGAGGGTTGACAGCACCAGCTCTACAGTTACCCTGAGTGAGTTCAAGTCCCCCCTCCACTTGAGGGGCGACCTTGGACAAATCTCTCCTTTTCTCTGTGCCTCAGTTTTCTCACTGTAAAATGAGACTAATAATAGCACCTCCCCAGCAGACCTTTTGTGAGCCCCAAATGAGATAATGCATGTAAACCACCGACCACAGCACTGCATGGGTAGGAAGTGCTCCCTGCTACCCATTGTTTGTGTTACTCACCCTCAAGGCTTAGCTCCAAAGCTACATCCTCTGAATTTTCACCAGTTGGCATTAATCTCTCCCCCATCTGTTGCACCGTGATTTCTCCGTTTGCCAACATTGTAACAGTTGGCCCATTCAACTCTGTGTTGTAGATGAGAATCGGTCTGATTTGCCCATTGTAAATTCTTGAGGACAAGGAACCTGTTTGGTTCACCTTTGTCCATGCACAGTACCCAGCACTGGGCCTTGCAAGGGTAGGTTTTACTAACCTTAGCTCCCTTCCTTGGAAGAAAAGGGGACAGGAGGGGATGCCCAACTGAGAATGGGCAGTTGTGTAAAAAGTTGAGCAAGACTTGTTTTAAAAGGCCCCTCCCTCCACCTGGCTTTCTCATCTCTCTCCTGGGCTAGTGTAGTAAGAAGAGAAAAGAATGGGGACCAGGGGAGCAGAAACAGGGGAGCAGAGGAAAGTTGCTTCCTCTGTGTTAAGCCTTGGAAGATGGGTTGGGGTGGCAAAGAGGATGAAGAAAGGTGATTGCCAGGTTATCAAGACCCCGTTCACAGCATTTAGTCTTTGAACAGCGGATTTAGAGTCTCAGCTTAGTAAATGCTGCCTTCAGCTTTTTACTGAGAACCTACTAACTGCCTGAGGCTGTGCTGGAGGCATGAAGGATATGAAACGGAGTTCTTTCCTTCCGTAAGCTTATGGTTTTACTAGGGAGATGAGATAAAAATTTGTGAGACACTAAGAAACAAGAGAAATAATGTACTCAATTGCCAAAATACTTAGATGTAAATTACTTCAAGGTTTATATAGGGAGCTCTAAAACTATTGAGAGTAGAGGCGGTGCCTTCTTCAAGGCGGTGCCCTCCAGAATCTTACACACAGTTGATGCTCAAAAAAAATATTAGTTGAATTGAGGAGGTTACACTTGAGATGTATTTTGAGAAATCTGAATAGACTGGGAACAGGAAGCACATACAAACTTCTAACATTTGTTGGGAAGTGGGCTAACCCCTCACCATTTTACAATGTGAATTGGTAATCATAGTGTTAAATATCTTTCAGACTATACACTTCAAAAGCATGGCTTAACTCTGGCTCTTGACTGGTGGGAAGAACAAGGGTACCTAAAAGACCTTGCAGGAAAGTGTTAACCAGGAGACAATCCTACATACCCTTGACTTTACTCACAATAAAAAGTCCCACTTTTAGGAGCATGGGGAGAATGGAATGAAATTAGAAGGAAAAACTTCTCTTTAGGTTTATTTCTAGAATCCTCCATCTAGGAATAGCCAAGTGAAAAGTCCAAACCATTGTCTTGTAAAAGCCTTGAAAAGTCATCTGCATTCATAAAATCCTGAAATCAGTGCTACTCAAAGGTTGACCTGAAACTGATGCTCATGTGTAAACTATTTGCTTCTGATCCAAATGAGATAAGTAATAGAATTGAGAATTTAAAGAAAAAAAAATTTTTTTTTGTAGAGATGGAGTCTTGCTGTGTTGCCCAGGCCTGTCTTGAACTCCTGGGCTCAAGCGATCCTCCTGCCTCAGCCTCCCTAACTGCTGCAATTACAGGTGTGAGCCACCATGCCTGGCCTAAAGAAATTTTTATAGCAATTTGACATCATTACAACATCAACAGATGAGCTGAGGTTTTGGGTTTTTTAAATGCCTTTGTAATTTCATTTTTCTAGAAATGAATTTCTATTTTATTTGACAAAAGTGCTGACTTGCAACAAATTGAAAAAATTTTTTTAAAGTTGATTCTTCAAAGGGTTAGTTTGAGAAGCACCACCTTAAATGGCATCCTGGTAGGGTAGGCAACTCCCAAGATAATGTCCAGTGATTATTCCCTTCCCTATATTCCCTAGTGTGGGCTAGACCTGGTGATGTGCTTCTAATAAACAAAATATGGCAAAAATGGTGGGCTTTCATTTCTGAGTTTAGATTACAAAAAGATGGAGTGGCTTTTATCTTGCTTACCCTCTCTCCCACTTTCTCCCTCTTGGAGCCCTCACTCTGGGGGAAGGAAGCTACCATGGTTGTTGTTTTTTTTTTGTTTTTTCTTTTTTTTTTTTGAGATGAGGT
This sequence comes from Homo sapiens, assembly GCF_000001405.40. NCBI lineage: Eukaryota > Metazoa > Chordata > Mammalia > Primates > Hominidae > Homo > Homo sapiens. The sequence goes on along the minus strand of NC_000007.14, from coordinate 26,149,236 downwards.
TTTGCTCTTGTTGCCCAGGCTGGAGTGCAATGGCGCGATCTTGGCTCACTGCAGCCTCTGCCTCCCAGGTTCAAGCAATTCTCCTGCCTCAGCCTCCTGAGTAGATGGGATTACAGGCGCCCACCAACACGCCCAGCCCAGCTGTTTTGTATTTTTTTTAATTTTATTATTATTTTTTTAAATTGATCATTCTTGGGTGTTTCTCGCAGAGGGGGATTTGGCAGGGTCATAAGACAATAGTGGAGGGAAGGTCAGCAGATAAACAAGTGAACAAAGGTCTCTGGTTTTCCTAGGCAGAGGACGCTGCGGCCTTCCGCAGTGTTTGTGTCCCTGGGTACTTGAGATTAGGGAGTGGTGATGACTCTTAACGAGCATGCTGCCTTCAAGCATCTGTTTAACAAAGCACATCTTGCACCGCCCTTAATCCATTTAACCCTGAGTTGACACAGCACATGTTTCAGAGAGCACAGGGTTGGGGGTAAGGTCACAGATCAACAGGATCCCAAGGCAGAAGAATTTTTCTTAGTACAGAACAAAATGAAAAGTCTCCCACGTCTACTTCTTTCAACACAGACACAGCAACCATCCGATTTCTCAATCTTTTCCCCACCTTTCCCCCTTTTCTATTCCGCAAAACCGCCATTGTCATCATGGCCCGTTCTCAATGAGCTGTTGGGTACACCTCCCAGACGGGGTGGTGGCCGGGCAGAGGGGCTGCTCACTTCTCAGAAGGGGCGGCCGGGCAGAGGCACCCCCCCCTCGTCCCGGACGGGGCGGCTGGCGGGGCGGAGGCGCCCCTCACCTCCCTCCCGGACGGGGCGGCTGGCCGGGCGGGGGCTGACCCCCCAGCTCCCTCCCGGAGGGGGCGGCTGGCCGGGCGGGGGCTGACCCCCCAGCTCCCTCCCGGAGGGGGCGGCTGGCCGGGCGGGGGCTGACCCCCCAGCTCCCTCCCGGAGGGGGCGGCTGGCCGGGCGGGGGCTGACCCCCCCACCTCCCTCCCGGACGGGGCGGCTGCCGGGTGGAGGGGCTCCTCACTTCTCAGACGGGGCGGCTGCCGGGCGGAGGGGCTCCTCACTTCCCAGACGGGGCGGCCGGGCAGAGACGCTCCTCACCTCCCAGACGGGGCGGGGCGGCGGGGCAGAGGCGCTCCCCACACCTCAGACAATGGGCGGCCGGGCAGACACTCCTCACTTCCTAGACGGGATGGCGGCCGGGAAGAGGCGCTCCTCACTTTCCAGACTGGGCAGCCAGGCAGAGGGGCTCCTCACATCCCAGATGATGGGTGGCCAGGCAGAGACGCTCCTCACTTCCCAGAAGGGGTGGCGGCTGGGCAGAGGCTGCAATCTTGGCACTTTGGGAGGCCAAGGCAGACGGCTGGGAGGTGGAGGTTGTAGCGAGCCGAGGTCACGCCACTGCACTCCAGCCTGGGCACCGTTGAGCACTGAGTGAACGAGACTCCGTCTGCAATCCTGGCACCTCGGGAGGCCGAGGCTGGTGGATCACTCGCGTTTAGGAGCTGGAGACCAGCCCGGCCAACACAGTGAAACCCCGTCTCCACCAAAAAAATACGAAAACCAGTCAGGTGTGGCAGTGCGCGCCTGCAATCGCAGGCACTCGACAGGCTGAGGCGGGAGAATCAGGCAGGGAGGTTGCAGTGAGCCGAGATGGCAGCAGTACAGTCCAGCTTCTGCTCAGCATCAGAGGGAGACCGTGGAAAGAGAGGGAGAGGGAGACTGTGGGGAGAGGGAGAGGGAGAGGGAGAGGCAGAGGCAGAGGCAGAGGCCAAGCTCTCCCTGGCCAAGCTGGTCTCGAACTCTTGACCTCAGGTGATCCACCCACCTTGGCCTCCCAAAGTCCTGGGATTGCAGGCATGAGCCACCATGCCCAGCAGGGAAGTTACCATGTTTTAAGGAGTCCTATGTAGAGGCTCATGTGGCAAGGCCAATATCCAGTGAGAGAGAAGCTGAGGCCTGCCAGCAGCCACTTGAGTAGGCTTAGAAGCTGATCCTTCTCCAGTTGAGGCTTGAAGTGACTAAGTTGGCTTCTAGCCCATGCCAACTCTTTGATTGCAGCTTTGTGAAAGGCCCTGAGCAAGAGGACTACACTGCACATGGATTCCTGACCCAGAAATAAACTTAAGATAATAAATGTTGTTTGAAGTCACTACATTTTTGAGTAATTTGCTACATAGTCATAGATAACTTGTATACCTTGTGTAAGAGGTGGACCTCGCCGGGCACAGTGGCTCACGCCTGTAATCCTAGCACTTTGGGAGGCTGAGGCGGGTGGATTGCCTGAGCTCAGGAGTTCGAGACTAGCCTGGGCAACACGGTGAAACCCTGTTTCTACTAAAATACAAAAAATTAGCTGGGTGTGGTGGCATGTGCCTGTAGTCCCAGCTACTCTGGAGGCTGAGGCAGGAGAATTGCTTGAACCCGGGAGGTAGAGGTTGCAGTAAGCCAAGATTGCACCACTGCACTCCAGCCTGGGTGACAGAGCGAGACTCTGTCTGCAAAAAAAAAAAAGAGGTGGACCTCCAGTCTTGAGTCCAGGAGTTCAAGACCAGCCTGGGCAACATAGTGAGATCCTGTTTCTATTTAAAAAAGAAAAAGAGGTAGACATCAGTCAAGTAGAAGGAAAAGCTGAAAATGTAACTGCAGTTGTGCCATACAGTTAATGATATAGTCAATGAATAATTTATAACTAGGAAGTAACTTTACAGTAGTACATTCTAGTCCCTAGATATATTTAAAGGGCTTAACCCTTTAAACGTGAAATTATAACTTGCCATGAAAGATAGTAACCACTAAAACATGGCCACCCCTACCTGGTATGAGATGAACAAAACATGGCAATTTCTTGTAGACCTCTAAATAGAAAAATCTTTTTTCCTCCTTTCTATACTCTCACACAACACTTCTGACAACCAATGTGTGGGTTTTCGATACCAAGCAATTCTTTGATTCCAGTTATCTGGGGTCATCAACATGGTGTCCTCCAACTCAATTCAATTCTGACACTATCTGCCTGGGGTTAGCATGAGACCTCACTTCAGATGCCAATCTCATCTGTGCCTTCTGAACTTCTGACTGATGGGCTATACACTGGGGGTTCCCACAACCCCCTTCTCAGGTTCAATAATTTGCTAGAATGGCTCACAACACTTGGAAACATTTACTCATGTTTACAGGTTTGTTATAAAAGATACAATAAATGGAAGAGACACATAGGGCAAGGTATGGGGAAGGGGCACGGAGCTTCCATAACTTCTCCAGGTGCACCACCCTCCCAGCATCTCTATGAGTGCGTCAACCCAGATGGTCTCCAAACCCTGTCCTTTTATTTATCTGTTTATTTATTTTTTATGAAGTCTTCATTGTGTAGGCATGATTTTTTTTTTTTTTTAAACAGAGTCTTGCTCTATTGCCCAGGCTGGAGTGCAGTGGCGCAATCTTGGCTCACTATAACCTCCACCTCCTGGGTTCAAGTGATTCTCTCGTGCCTCAGCCTCCCCTAGTAGCTGGAACTACAGGCATGTACCACCATGCCAGGCTAATTTTTTTTTTTTTTTTTTTTTGTATTTTTAGTAGAGATAGGGTTCCGCCACATTGGCAAGGCTGGTCTCGAACTCCTGGCCTCAAGTGATTTGCTTGTCTTGGCCTCCAGAAGTGCTGGGATTAGAGGCATGAGCCACCACACACCAGTCTTGCAGGCATGACTGATTAATTCATTAGTCTTTGGGGACTGAACTCAATCTCTAGCCCCTTTCCTCTCCCACTCTTATCACATTGTAAGTTTTAAGGGTTTTAGGCGCTCTGGCCGGGAGCCAGAGACAAAGACCAAAGACCTATGTATATATGGTGGGTTTGGAGTTTTTTTTTTTTTTTTCTTTTCTTTTCTTTCTTTTTTTTTTTTTTTTTTTTTTTTTTTTCTGAGACAGAGTCTCTCTCTGTCACTCAGGCTGGAGTGCAGTGGTGCAGTCTTGACTCACTGCACCCCCTGCTTCCCAGGCTGAAGAGACCCTCCCAAAGAGATCCTCCCACCTCAGTCTCCTGAGTAGCTGGGACCACATGAGGCTAATTTTTGTAGTTTTTGTAGAGATGGGGTCTCTCTGTGTTGCCAAGATTGGTCTTGAACTCGTAGACTCAAGTGATCCACCCACCTCAGCCTCCCAAAGTGCAGGGATTATGGGCTTGAGCCATGGCACCCAGCCAAAGATATATTTCTCATTATATCACAAGATCACAGCATCTATCCAAATCAGCAAGAAAGAAAACAGGTCAAAACCTTGACATCCTTCTTTTAGAAAGTGTCTGTTAATATTAGCCACAGGAAATTTAAATTTGTGGTAGAAATTCCATGATTAAGCAAAATAGCCTGTTAAAGTCCAAGACATAAATTAAGATATACATTGTATCATCTAGGAGGGAGAATTAAGTATAGCTAATTTTAAAACAGGCGTAGTCACTAGAATTAAAATTCTTGGGACATTTTGCCAAAGGCTTTCGCAAGAGAATAGCTTTATGAATGAACTGATTTGCTGTGTAATACCGATCTTGGTGATGAAGAATCAACTGATACTTAATGCAGAGGATGAGTTTATGCTTTTTTCTGGTTAGTTTATAATCTTCCGAAAGTTTGACTTTAAAGTTGCTTTGGACATTATGATGACGATGATCACTAAGTGCTTGCACATAGTATTCACAATAGTAGCTACGACGTACTGAACCCTGCTCTGCGCTGGCCCCTTTTTGTGCATTTATTCCTTACAGCACCTTTGTGAAGTAGGGTAGCCAGGGATAAAAACCAAATATCATAACAAAAGATGCTTTTATTTATTTATTTATTTATTTATTTATTTATTTATTTATTTATTTTAAGACAGAGTTTTGCTCTGTCGCCCAGGCTGGAGTGCACTGGCACGATCTCAGCTCACTGCAACCTCTGCCTCCTGGGTTCAAGCGATTCTTCTGCGTCAGCCTCCTGAGTAGCTGAGACTACAGGCGCCTGCCACCATGCCTGGCTAATTTTTGTATTTTTAGTAGAGACAGGGTTTCACCATATTGACCAGGCTGGTCTCAAACTCCTGACCTCATGATCCACCCACCTCAGCCTCCCAAAGTGCTGGGATTACAGGCATGAACCACCGCGCCTGGCCGCTTTTATCACTCTTATCACTTAGGAAGTTACAAGGGTTTTAGGAGCTCTGGCCAGAGTTCCTAAAATTATCTCCATTTCATATAGTCTAGATGAGGACACTGAGGCTCAGGGACACGCCACCCTCTGCCTAAGGAAATGCCCTCAATAAACGGCAGAGTCAGAATTGAAATTCACAATCTGTCAACTTTCTGCTGCCGTCCGCCACTCCTCTGCACTGTTTTGCTTGTTTGTTCATGACTCAGCCTCCTCCTTTTGCAAGAGGGAATGCCCTTCTTCAACCAAGCATTCTTTCCACAGCTTTGGAAAGTGTAAAATCTGCCAAAATCTCTTCTCTGCAAAGTGTCAGAAGAAATGAAGTATTGGATTTTGCCCCTTCATACGATGCCTTTCTTGATCTTTTACACAAAAACAACTAACTGTATTTAAAGCACTTTATCTTGTTGCTTGGCTCTTTGGTGATTCCTGCATGCTTTTGATTCCTATTGATTCATGCCAGCCTTGTTTACTTTCAAAGACATATTTTAAGCATCCATTGGTGACAGTCCCTGGGATACAAAGACTGTCAAGGCAAGAGCTTGTGGTCTTATTAGGGAAGCAGGATGTGTAGAGGGTGAAATGCATGCCACTGATTGAGGAGTCTGGGACTCCTCATATGAGAAACATATTTAGGACCAGGCTTGTCCCAGGGAAATCACAAGCTAAGTAGGCTTGCTGACTCCCACCTAGTCTCTTTGGTGTGAACTGGAATTCTTACACTCAGGTTAAGGTTCCAGGGTTTGCGATTGCACTCTGTGTGTGTGTGTGTGTGTTTGTGTGTGTGTGTGTGTGTGTGCAGAGGATGGAAAAGGAATAAAGAAAAGGGGTCTAGGGGACCTCGGAGTCAGGCTGATCAGTGGGGGTTACAGCATACATCATTTGGAAGCAAAGGGGAACTACCATTGGCAACTTTTGTCCTGTCCATCAGATCCAAAGTGCTGGATCTGGTTCTGTTTAACAACCCACACAAGCGTAGTGCACTAATCAGGATGGGATAGCCACTATAACAATCCCCAAATCTCAGTGCTTTAACCCAACAGGGTCTGGCTTTGTCACCCAGGCTGGAAAGCAGTGGCACGATCTTGGCTCATTCTAACCTCTGCCTTGCAGGCTCAAGCCATGCCCCCCAACCTTAGCCTCCCGAGTAGCTGGGACTATAGGCACACACCACCGCACCCAGCTAATTTTTGTATTTTTCAATAGAGACAAGGTCTTGCTGTGTTGCCCTGGCTGGTCTTGAACTCCTGGGCTCAAGTGATCCTCCAGCCTTGGCCTCCCAAAAGTGCTGGGTTTACAAGCTCACGTGAGCCACTGCACCTGGCCTCTTGCTTATTTTATACTTCAGAAAAAGGGTGTAAGATAAAGGGAGACCGTGTCCTTTAAAGTCGTTTGAGGACAGAGCCTCTTTTTTTATTGTGGCTCTGGGCTCCTCTGGATCCTCAGAGTCCTGTCCATTCAGCCAGTGGATGGAGCGAGTGAAAATCAAGCACGGGAGGTTTGTATGGGCCAGGCTGGGAAGTGGTGTTCATGACTTCCACTTCATACTTCATTGGCCAGAACCAGGCCACAGGGCCACACCTAAGTGGCGAGGTGTTACAGTAGGTAGCTAGTCAGACATGAACAGGGCAGGAGAGGGCTTCCCTTTCCCCACCAGGAATGTCAGGTGATGGTTAACTGTCTCTCTAAAATAATAATTGGTCACAGCCGACACCAGGGAAAGGCCGTCTCCCAACAGATAGGAAAACCTGAAACCGGTGATCAGCAGCTTCCCAATACGATCTCAGGAGTTGAGTGAGTGGGCTCACGCATGTGCCCTAAGAGGCAAAATGGCAGCATTTAACTGCTATATGATCTTCCTCTAGGAAGGCCTCAAGTGAGCATGCATACAACTTCAGTAAACACACTGCTCCCGCAGCCCCTCCCAAGTGCTGGCAGAACTGCACATGCTGACAGCCCACCTCAAGGGAATAATCAGGGGAGAAGTACCAGCAAGACCTCAGAAGTATGCCAACACAGAAAACTTGAAGTCAAAGGTCAAACCATGCACTTGATCTCTCAAGTTGTCTGCTTGGCCCTCTTCCAAGTATACTTTATGTCCTTGCATTCCTTTCCCAAAACTTTTTAATAAACTTTCATTCCTTCTCTAAAACTTGCCTCAGTCTCTCACTCTGTCTTATTCCCCCTTGTTTGCATTCTTTCTTCTGAGGAGGCAAGAATTGAGGTTGCTGCAGACCCATATGGATTCACTGCTAGTAACAAAGGGAGGCTGCAAGGAAGCCCTAACTCTGCCCAAGACCAAGAAGAGAGCATAGATGGCTATCTTTGCCACATGTGATAAGTTACTGTCCTTGGGTTTTATTCTGTATTCCATTCATTTGAAAACCACTTATTCAACACCTACTGGGTATCTTGCTTTTTTTTTTTTTGACTAAACATATTCTTTTAGCCACTCATAGTGAATTAATACACTAACACAAACCTCAATGACTTGTTCATGGTAGAGCAGCACTTTGCCCTGACAGTCTAGGTGTTTAGGAAATGCTGCCTGGTGAGAATGGTCAAAGTGGGGTATATTGTGGAAAGAGCTTGGGGTTTAGGTCTCATAGTTTGGCACAAGCAAGTCATTTTAGAAGGAACACCTACTACATCTCTGGACCTCAGAGCCGCTCACCTTCACAGTGAGGACTTGAACTGGACAGATTTCTAAGTTCCCTTTGCACCTTGAGTGTCTCTGAAAGCCCTGGCAACAAGTGAGGAATTACGCTAGATAATGACCAAACTCTGGTGTTCTTGCTTAACTCTGTGGCTTTCAGCCCTAAAAGCACCACCACATAGATTTGGAAAAGAAAGCAGAAGATATTTTGCTCTACTCTTGATTAAATCTCCAGATGGAGGAAGAATTTGAAAGGCCTCTCTCTGGCTTTGGGATGCATCTTACTCTTTTTGTCAGTACATGTATCTGCCGGATGACGTTGTGAACGTGTGACACTCATATTGATCTTCTTTCCCTAATTGCACACTACTTGATAGTAGGAAAGCTGCACGTAAGTAAGTTGGACTGTGGGCAAAGTCGCTGATTATTTACAAGGTAGAAAACCAAGCACCCATAACTGAAAATTAACAGAAGCACAGTTGGCAGAGGGCCTAATTATTGCTCCTTTGCTAGAAAAAAACCTAAGTTTTGAGGCCAGTGACCCTGATCAGTATTTAATAAAGTTGATGGGTTTTTATATTTGAATTGACCATTAATTTAGCACCTGAATTCTCTCAATTGTTTAATCATCTCCCTTAAGCGCATTTATATTTTTGGTAGCAGCTATAATACTCTCTTTAGTAATTCACATCATTAAACAATTCCTTTTCAACTGTTTCTTTGTCCTTGCTGGCTTTATCTAATTCCTAGTTTTATGATCAGCTCTGTGGAATCTCTATCTGATCTTAACCAGGCAGCAGCCTTCTGATTGTCAGAAGGCAGGAACAGAACAGAAGGTGAGACTCCCCAGCCATCTAGGCCCACTTCTGAGCCCCCTCAACCTCTGCCTGCCTTCTATCTGCTTTCTAAAAAGATAAATGCTAGTTATAATTTTAGTTTGCTGAACAAATGTGTCTATGCTATTGTAGTGGGTTGAATATACCTCCCATCCTCAAATTCACATTCACCTCAACCTCAAAATATGACCTTATTTGGAAATAGAGTCTTTGCAGACATAACCCTAAGGTAAGGATGGAGATAAAATCATACTGGATTAGTATGGGTCACAAATCTAATGAGAGTGCCTTATAAGAGACAGAAAAACTCACACAAAGACACAAAGAAGCAGGTGATATGAAGACAGAGGCAGAGATTGGAGTGATGCTGTCCCAAGCCAAGGAATGCCAGGAGCCACCAGACACTGTAAGAGGCAAGCAAGGATCCTTCCTTAGAGACTTCAGCCCTGCTGGCACCTTAATTTCAGACTTCTGGGCCCTGGAACTATGAGAGAATACATTTATGTTGTCTTTTTTTTTTTTTTTTTCTGAGACAGAGTCTTGCTCTGTTGCCCAGGCTGGAGTGCAGTGGCACTATCTCAGCCCACTGCAACCTCTACTTCTCTGGTTCAAGCAATTCTCCTGTCTCAGCCTTCCAAGTAGCTGGGATTACAGGTGCATGCCACCATGCCCAGCTAATTTTTGTATTTTTAATAGAGACAGGATTTCACCATGTTGGCCAGGCTGGCCTGGAACTCCTGACCTCAGGTGATCCACCCGCCTTGGCGTCCCACAGTGCTTGGATTACAGGCGTGGGCCACCACACACGGCCCATTTCTGTTATCTTAAGCAACCAAGTTTGTGGTCATTTGTTATGGCATTCCAGGGAAACTAATACAGATATGTTTTTTATTTTCCTTCCCTTTTTATTTTGTTCTTGTTATTACATAAGAACTATTTCCTTTTTTTTTTTTTTTTTTTTTTTTTGAGACGGAGTCTTGTTCTGTCACCCAGGCTGGAGTGCAGTGGTGCTATCTCAGCTCACTGCAACCTCTGCCTCCCAGGTTCAAGCGATTCTCCAGCCTCAGCCTCCCGAGTAGCTGGGATTATAGGCGCGTGCCACCATGCCCGGCTAATTTTTTTGTATTTTTGGTAGAGATGGGGTTTCACCATGTTAGCTAGGCTGGTCTCAAACTTCTGACCTCGTGGTTCGCCCACCTCGGCCTCCCAAAGTGCTGGGATTACAGGCGTGAGCCACTGTGCCCAGCCTACATAAGAACTATTTCTATGGAATATATGTATGTGTGTGTGTGTGTGTGTGTGTGTGTGTGTGTGTATCTATACATACATATATTTTTTCTTTCGAGACAGGTTCTGGCTCTGTCGCCCAGGCTGGAGTGCAATGGAGCAATCTCCATTGTTCACAGTAACCTCTGCCTCCTGGGCCCACCTCAGCCTCCCAAGTAGCTGGGACTATAGGTGCACACCACTATGCCTGGCTAATTTTTGTATTTTTGGTAGAGACAAAGTTTTGCCATATTGCCCAGGCTGGTCTCCAATCCTGGGCTCAAGCGATCCTCCTGCCTCAGCTTCCCAAAGTGCTAGGATTACAGGCATGAGCCACCATGTCCAGTCTTGGAATATTCTTCAGCCATAAAGAAGAAGGAACTCCCGTTATTTGGCACAACATGGATGAATCTGGAGGACATTATGCCAAATGAAATAAGCCAAACACAGAAAGACAGATACTGTATGATTTCACTTATGTGTAGAATCTTTAAAATTTTTTTAATTAAAAAAATTTTTTTGAGTGACAGGGTCTTACTCTGTTGCCCAGGCTGGAGTACAGTGGTGCAGTCATAGCTTACTGCAGCCTCAAATGCCTGGGCCCAAAACGATCCTCCTGCCTCAGCTTCCTGAGTAGCTAGGACTACAGGCATAAACCACCACACCCAGCTAAATGTGTTGAATCGTTAAAAAAAAAAAAGTCAAACTCATAGAAGCAGAGAATGGATTGGTGGTTTCCAGGGGCTAGGAGGTTGGTTAAAGGGTACAAACGTTGTTATAGGATGAGTAAGTTCTGAGAATCTAATGTACAGCATGATGATAATAGTTAATAATACTGTATTGTTTACTTGAAATTTGCATTGAGAATAGATTTGAAGTGTCTTCACTACACTCACACACGTAAATGGTAACTAATTGCGTTAGTTAGGTGATGGATGTGTTTATTCATTTGATGTGGTAATCATCTCACAATGTATATCATATATCAAGACATCATATTGTATACCTTCAATATATAGAATTTTAATTTGTCAATTACACCTCAATAAAGCTGGGAAAAAAATGAACTCTTTCCCTGAGTAAAAACTGGGGGACTCTGGGTGCCGCTGAGTTCAAGGTAGCCTTGGAGCAAAGGTACAGGAGGGAGTACTGCTGAAGCAGGGCATTGAGATACTGCCACTCTGGGCCAGCACTTGTCCAGCATGATGGAGCATGAACACAGGAGATGGTTTGGCACTGACAGTGGGTTCTTGTCTGAGAAAACCACTTGAATCCTTTCTTCTGTCCCTGTCTCACCTTCAAGGTTGATCTGTGCCATCTTCATTTTATCCTTCTCCTCCCACCCCCAACAAGGCTGCAGCAAAACACAAACCTAAGGCTTTTATAACAGAAGTTATTGGGTCAGGCATGGTGGGTCGTGCCTGTAATCTCAGCACTCTAGGAGGTTGAGGCAGGCGGATCACTTGAGGTCAGGAGTTCGAGACCAGCCTGACCAACATGGTGAAACCCCATCTCTACTAAAACTACAAACATTAGCTGGGGTGGTGGCACACGCCTGTAATCCCAGCTACTCAGGAGGCTGAGTCAGGAGAATCACTTGAACCCAGGAAGCGGACATTGCAGTGAGCCGAGATTGCATCACTGCACTCCAGCCTAGGCGACAAGGCAAGACTCCATCTCAAAAACAAACAAACAAGAAAAACAGTACATGCGAATTTTGAATTACAGTAAATATTCCCTGATTTTCTAGGCACACTACCGTAACCTTGCTATTACTAACATCTAGGTTGAAAAGGGTTTTTTTAAAAAAAGTTTCAGGCTGGGGGTAGTGGCGCACGCTTGTAATCCCAGCACTTTGGGAGGTTGAGGTGGGCAGATCATTTGAGTCCAGGAGTTCAAGACCAGTCTGGGCAAATATGGCAAAACCCCATCTCTACAAAAAATACAAAAATTAGCTGGGTGTGGTGGTGCGCACCTGTAGTTCCAGCTACTCAGAAGGCTGAGGTGGCAGGATCACTTAAGCCCTGGAGGCAGAGGTTGCAGTGAGCTGAGATTGCACCACTGCACTCCCGCCTGGGTGACAGAGCCGATCTTGTCGCAAAAACAATAAAAATAAAATTTTAAAAAGTTTCATATAGCAATTTGAATTTTTAGGAAGCATTTTTCTTCTGTCCTCTCCTCTCTCCCTTTCTTTCCTGTCTCATTTCCGCTTGAAAGTGCTTTGTGATCACAGTGTCCCAGTATTATTTATTACTTTGTGACTTTTACAAGCAGCAATTAACCAAGAACATTATTCTTCAAGATGTATGTCTTTTTATAATTCAATGGTAAGTGCATTTTCACAATTCTATTGAACTACACCTCTTCAAACCTTCAAGATTGCCAAGATGAGTTAGGAAGAAACAGGATCTGGATCAGTTTCCTACAAAAGTGTCAATATTTGTTAAAACAAAGAGTACCCCCAATAGAATGCCATCTGTCCTTGTCTTTGAGGACCTGCCGAAAAATCTTTTCCCAGCCAAGAGACGATTATTTGGCATAACTGACACACATTCAGCAAGATGGTTTACAGATCAGAAACTGGCTTATATAGGCCGGGTGCAGTGGCTCACGTCTGTAATCCCAGCACTTTGGGAGGCTGAGGTGGGTGGATCACCTGAGGTCAGGAGTTCGAGACCAGTGTGGGCAACATGGTGAAACCCCGTCTCTACAAAAGATACAAATAATTAGCCAGGCGTGGTGGCGGATGCCTGTAATCCCAGCTACTCGGAAGTCTGAGGCAGAAGAATCGCTTGAACTTGGGAGGTGGAGGTTGCAATGAGCCAAGATTACAACACAGCACTCCAGCCTGGGTGACGGAGCGAGACTCCATCTAAAATAAATAAATAAATAAAGAGTTGCTTTGTTATGTGAAAACTGAAAGTATAGTAATGTGTTTCATTTTTGAAAGTATAAATTAGTGATTGTTTACCAAAGTATTTCCCATAGGAAGCTTTTAAACAGCAGGATACCTAATTGATTTAAACATTCAATTCACTAACAAGTTATTTGTTGTACAACATTTTAGAAAGTAAGCAATTGATAGGTAAAACACAAGGCCCTTCTCATGGTTTTATTGTTTCAACTATGCTGTCTCTGAAGCAAATAAACTCACTACTTTCTCCTATTACAGATGGAAACACAGTTTTGTTGCAGTTTTCAGGCTGAAGCATAACACACAAAGTCTAGCACCTCAGAGTATTGCAGTTCCCAGATCTATGCTGGCACCTCACCCCCATCATCAATAGCCTTTCTTTTTACGAGGCAAGCGTGTTCAACATGCTTTTGAGTATGGTCAGTTATCTGACTTGAGTTCCAAAGGAGTGTCTTAGCTATCTGAATTCCTTTGGAGAAAACTCAAGATTCCTTCAAATAGTAACCTGAAGAGTAATTCAAAAGGTCATCTCAGGTAGGAGTTGTGAAAGTTGATCAATAAATTGGGTCATCTTTGTTCTACCCAACTAAAACAGTTGAGAGGCCACTGGGAGAAGGCTCTCAGGGCACATAACATTGCTCCAAGAATGTAATTCTCTGCAAGCCCTGCTGCTGAAACTGCCTGCTGTAGCCTAAAGCCAGTTTTATCTACTAGCTACCGAAACTACCTCCTGTGACTTGAAGAATTATTTTACCCATTGCCATCACTTACCAAGCAAAACTTGCCAGCTTCCTAAAACCTTACTAGTGCCAATGAACTTTCTCAAAGAGCAATATGTAATATTTCTCCGTTTAAAGAAAACTTCTGACCTTCTCTTTGTTCTTCAGACACAGTGAAGACCACCTGGTCTGTGTGTATGGCCCAAATTGCAATTCTTCCTTCCCAGATAAAACATTTTAATTTCAGAGATTTGTCTGTATATTTCATTTGAGTTCAACAGAGTGAAATTCTTCAAAATGCATTAGACAGTTTTCAGGGCCCATTTCTCCTACAGTGGATTGCTCAGTGGGATGTTTGCCACTCAGAATTTCTATCCATCTGTGTCTCTTCTAACTCTCCCTGAAAATGAATTAATTTGGAAACCTCAAACCATCTGTAGAGTCTGACTCCACAGCATTCTTGCAGCCCCCAAACACTCCATCCAGCTATGCCATTCCTTCCCAATTTATTTTCTACAGGTACTGCCACCCTTTATTTAGACCTTCATGAATCTCACTTTTCCCAAGAAAAGAACAGTCATCCCAGCCTCAGCCAGGGCCCTAGGCCAGTTGTCCCTCCCTTAGGTTGGTATAGGCCAGGAGTGTGGTCTTCTTCCACTGCAAGGCATTCAGCTGCTCTGCAGACATCTTAGCGCAGTTTAACTAGACACAGCTAATCTAGAGGATCTTGGCCACCATAGAAACACATAATTCCAGCCTCCAAAGATACATGGGCATGTTTACCAAATAGGTTTTTGTATGTGCTAAGTTAATTAATTAATTCAATAAATATCTCATGAGCAGCTGCTATATTTAAGGCATTGATCTGAGAACATTGTTCCATGAATAAAACAAAGCCCCAGATCTAATGGAGCTTGCAATCCACTTGGGAGAGACAGACAACAGATTTTTTTTTCAGTGGATACTAAGTGCTAAGAAGAAAAATAAAACAGGAGCAAAAGAATGAAGGGGAGGAGAGTGATGGTATGTAGATGGGATCATCTACCTGTGTTACATAAGGAGGTGGGCAGGGAAAGTCTGACCTGAAAGAGGGAGAAAGCCACACAGTCATTGGTGGTTGGGAAAGAGTATTTCAAGCAGTGTGAATAGCAAGTACAAAGATCCTGAGGCAGAAGAGTACTAACCATGTTTGAGGAATGGAAAGAGGCCAATGTAGGAGGAAGGAAAAGCTGTATTATGTACCAAGTCATATTGAACATCACAGGCTATGGTGAAGAATTTGTATTTCACTCTGAGAAGGGCAGGAAGCTATTAGAGGGTTTTGATTTTATTTATTTATTTTTATTGAGATGCAGTCTTGCTCTGCCACCCAGGCTGGAGTGCAGTGGCGTGATCTCAGCTTACTGCAAACTGCACCTTCTGGGTTCAAGCGATTCTCCTGCCTCAGTCTCTTGAGTATCTGGGACTACAGATGTGTACCACCACAACTGGCTAATTTAATTTTTTATTTTTAGTAGAGACAGGGTTTCACCATGTTGGCCAGGCTGGTCTCAAATTCCTGACCTCAAATGATCCTCCTGCCTGGGCCTCCCAAAATGCTGGGATTATAGGCGTGAGCCTCTGTCCCCAGCCTATTAGAGGATTTTGAACAGGAAATTAATACATACAAAACACAATATGTCACACATAGTGAGTACTGAAAAAAGCCTATCTTTAATTTTTATTTTTCCTTGACTCTAAAGGAGCTCTCTATTCTGCTTTATGAAAATGGTATTGTTGTTTTCTAATGGTATTGCCTTTTCTAAAATTGACAGAAAAGATGGAAAGCAAATATAAAAATCCTGGTCTTATAATCTCTAGGTGAAATTTCCACATCCTACATCTACAAAAGGTTGGATTATTAGAAAATTAAGACCCCATGTCCAAGGCTTTAGGTCCTTCTCTACATTTTGCTGCTTAGCAATGTATTTTTTTTAAAAAACTTCTTCTTATGGAAAATTTCAAATTCAATACAAAATTAGATAGAACAGCCATCTCCAAGCAATTATGAATTCAAGGCTATTCTTGTTTCTTCTATTCTGCCATCCATTTTCTTTCCCTTCCTTACACTGAATTATTTTGAGGCAAATCCCAGGCATATCTTTTCATCCATGAATGCTTCAGTATGTATCTCTAAAAATAAAATCTTTTCTTTTTGCATTGCCACAATACTATAATCACACCTAAAAGTTTAACTATAATTTCTTAATACAATCAAAAATCCAGCCAGTTATGACATTTCCCTGGTTGTTTCATTAATGTGTTTTTAAAAATAGTTGATTTGTTTAAATCAAGATTCAAATACTGCATTTGGTTGATAGGCCTTATAAATCTAAAAAGACTAAATCTGATTATTTACCCTACCGTCCTTTTTGTTTGTTTGTTTTGAGGCAAGATCTCACTGTCACCTAGGCTGGAGTGCAATGGCACGATCTTGGCTCACTGCAACCTCCGTCTCCTGGGTTCAAGTGATTCTTGTGTCTCAGCCTCCCGAGTAGCTGGGACTACAGGCACACACCACCACACCCAGCTAATTTTTGTATTTTTTGGTAGAGAAAGGGTTTCACCATGTTGGCCAGGCTGCCTTTTTTTTTTTTTTCTTTCTTTCTTGTCATTTATTTGTTGAAGAAACTTGGCCATTTGTTCCTTAGATGTCCCTGATTTTGGATTTTGTTGAATGCATTCCCATGACATTGGTGAATATATTTCACTTCCCTCTGTATTTCTTAGAGATAGTAGTGAGCTCTAGAGGCATAATCAGGTGGGATTTTTTGGCAAGAAAACCTCATAGGAGGTGCTAGGAACTTCCCATTGCATCCCATCAGGAGGCATCCTGCCTCGCTGCCTCTCTTTTTGTGATGTTAGGACTGATGGGTGGGTTCAGTTGGCATCAGCCTGATTCATTTATGATTAAGTTCCCTGTGAGACTTTTCATCTAACAGCTTTAGCTGCCATTGACAGTCACTGCCTACTGCAGTAGGGTTCCTATAGTGTGCTTTTCATAGAGGTGAGGTGCTCTGACCATTTTGCTTTTAGTTAACGTTAAAGCCGCTCTGTTTTGGGCAACCAAGTTCATGGGACTCTCTGAGGGGAAAAAAATGGGGATGGAAGTGAAGGAGGGATTGGTGACCAAAAAGTGAGGAAAAAGCTGCTTCTGATGGCCTCCTCTTGCCACAGACTCCAATGACACTTCCCCTGGGAAGTTCTGCAGGAAAGAAGCCCATTTAGCTTTGTTTGATTCTGTATTTTCCAAGTTCACTTGACTACGAACATTTTATTCTATGTGGAGTCCTAATAAGGGAAGGGGAGTTAGGCTGGTGGGAGCAGGGGAAAGTAAAAAGAAAAAGAAGATAAGCTTTAAGGCTGCCTTTCTTCATGGTCCAGGACACGTAGCCCTCCTGCACGAATAACTCACAATCTTCCTGCACTGACTTATCACCAGATCCTCGGCTGATAGAAAAATGCAAGTTAGCTCACTGCAATCTTGGTGTTATCAGTACAGCACATAGCCCTCTCTAGCACAAGCACCATCTTATAAAATCCCCAGCAAACTTTTGTCTCCTTGCAGTCAGCTCCTCTGTTGCTGATCTGCCCATTGCACCCTTGCAACGTATTTTCATACTTTCTCCTATAATTCTGCCTTTTTTTTTCACTTACAATTGTCTTGGTAAATTCCTTTACCCATGTGCCACCAGCCCCAGCTAGTCGCTACCTGCAACATTCTTTATCATACTTTTTACTACCCATTGGAGTAAGCTTTGGAGAATACTATTTTAGTGTCCAGGTTACTTAAAATAATGCCACTTATTAATATATGCATGTGTTCCTTAGCTGTCTGGAACCAATCTGACAGTCTTCTGAAGGCTGTGTTCACTAGTGGCCATAAGCTGAATGCGTTCTTATAAAAGCCCAGGATGGCAGCATTGGCAATATTTCTGGCAAAGCTTCACCTGGAAACTCTGAATTGACATTGTATCCCTGGGAATGAATGCCCGAGGCAAAGAAGAAAATATCAATTTCACGTATCAGCTCAATCTTACAGTGCTTGCCGGTAGCCCTTGTGATAAACTTTCAAGAAATGCCACATTGGGGTGCACCCAGGGACGCTAGTACTAGATATAGTTACTCTCTGTCTTCATTGCTTTCCTCCACACAATCTCCAAACCACACCTAGTGGACCATTCCCCTTCTGTTTCCCTCAGTAACACTGCTGTCAACTCTGTCACCGCTTGCACAGTGTGGTTAGCTGATAGCAAATGAGATATTGGAGAGGTGATATAGCAGAGGCCTTGACTGACTTTTACTTATTTATTTATTTATTTTTTAGAAGGAGTCTCGCCCTGTGCCCCAAGCTGGGATGCAATTGCACAATCTCTGCTCATTGAAACCTCCGCCTTCCACGTTCAAACGATTCTCCAGCCTCAGCCTCGTGAGTAGCTGGGATTATATGCGCGCCACCACACCCAACTAATTTTTGTATTTTTACAAAATTGTATTTTTAGTAGAGATGGGGTTTCACCATGTTGGCCAGGCTGGTCTCGAATTCCTGACCTCGTGATCTGCCTGCCTCAGCCTCCCAAAGTGCTGGGATTACAGGCGTGAGTCACCGCGTCTGGCCCTTGACTGACTTTCTGAAGGCAGGGATTTCATAGTGCTCCTTTCATGTGGCCTTTAGTAAGAAGCGTCCACTCTCATTGTGTTTTATTTACCAGCTTGCTTTTAAAGAGCCAGGACCAGTCCACTAGCTGTGCAGAGTGCTGACCTCTTGGATGAGAGCCCTGACCTCATAGGATATCTGAGCTTGTCATAATTCAGGTGGGTTCTGTAGGGAAGCAGGGGCTCGTGGGGAGTGGGAGGAAGCTGGGGAGAAGATGAGTTGAGAGCAGTCCAGTGTGAGGGAAAGTGGGGATCCTGGGCCAACTTACCATTAAGAGGGTCCAGTCCTGTGACTGCTGTGAAGTAACCAGGATTCCACATAGAGATGGGGCTCAAAGTCAGCCCAGGAGCAGCACTGTGGTCCCAGGTAAGAGGTTTGCTTTGATAGGATCCCAGCCAGGAGCTGGAGATACAGAGTTATGGCCAAGCCCCTGGGGAAGGGACCTGGTAAGAGCTGGGTAGGGTACCAGGATCCCAACCATGAACTGCCTTAGCTCTGATGGGCTCAGAAGTTAGGCAGGGTTGAGTATGCTTGTGGGAGGCTTCTCTGGCTAAAATAGTAGGACCCAGCCTGGCGTGGTGGCTCACACCTGTAATCCCAGCACTTTGGGAGGCCCAGATGGGTGGATCACATGAGGTCAGGAGTTCGAGACCAGCGTGGCCAAGATGGCGAAACCCCGTCTTTACTAAAAATACAAAAATTAACGTGATGGCGGGCGCCTATAATCCCAGCTACTTGGGAGGCTGAGGCAGGAAAATCGTTTGAACCTGGGAGACAGAAGTTGCAGTGACCCAAGATCACGCCACTGCATTCCAGCCTGGGTGACAGAGTGAGACGCTGTCTTAAAAAAAAAAAAAAAGAAAAAATAGCAGGGCCTAAACATTAACTGTCACATCCTAATATCTAACACTATAGGACAGGTTGGAATTGAGAGTCAGGATAGTGGAGTGATTAAAACTATAGACGCTGATGCCAGCCTTCCAGGGTTCAAATCCTAGCCCAGTTGTGTGACCTCAGGCAAGTCACTCCACCTCCCTGTATCCCAGGCTCCCCATCTATAAAGTGAAGGCAAATACTTCCCTCATAGTGTTGTTATGAGGATTAAAGGAGCTGAGATATGTAAAAGCACTTAGAACAGTGCCTGGCACAAGGTCAAATGCAGAGTGTCACCTGTTATTATTAAATTGTGGCCGTAGAGGACAGATCAGTGATTTTAGCCTGGTGCACTCTGAGGAAAGGACCGTAACTTCAATAAGGTGTCAGAGCTGAGTGCAAGCTGGATAAGCTGTGGTAAGGAGGGGGTGCTCCAGGGCAGGTGGACAGGAGCCGAGGCAGGGAGGGAGCAGACAGTGAGACAGTGAGGGAAAGCTGTGGTCCTTGTCCCCACAGACACAGCTATTTCGAGGATAAGGAGGATCATAGGCCCCCTTCCCAGGCTCATGGGCCCAGGTCATGGTTTGCTGCTCTCTCCCGGGTAAGAAGGGGGTGATGGCCAGGCTCATATCTGTGTCCCTAGGTTACTTGATTTCCCCTGGTGGCCTCCTTTCTAGAGGCCCTCACGTATCTCCCAACCTGTTCTCTTCAGGTCACTCACAAAAGTTTCAAACTTAATGTCAGGTTATAATTTTTCATTTTCTGATCACTCAGCTTGCTTTTGCTTTTTCTTTTTTACACAAGCAAAGAAGATTTGGCTCATTCTGGAGTTTTCTTGGGATTCTGAAATACATTTTTCCTTCCTCTTGATAATAGTTCGATGAAAGTGGGGTGGGGAGAGTGCCAAGTGCCTCAAAGTTGCAGGGGTTCAGAAGCTTCTGTGGCAGCCAGCTGCCTGGCCTGTCGCACCAGGGGCTCTGTGCAGTCACTCCCCCAGCTTTTCAGGGCAGGAATCCGGCCTTCTCTGCCAGCCCCATGCCAGCTGCCTAGCGCAGTGTCTCCAGCCCCACTTTCCTCCCCTCCCATGGTGATCTGGGGCTCTAAATGCCGGGCCAAGCAACTACTATTGCCCCCCTCCTGACACCATTCATTTTCATTTTTGTCTTGGAAAAATCTGGCCCCTTACACTTGTGGCTCTAGAAATATACTGATGATTTTTGTTTTAAAAATTTTTTTTTAGCTGAGCGTTGTAGCTCACGCCTGTAATCCCAGCAGTTTGGGAGGCCAAGCTGGGAGGATCACTTGAGCCCAGGAGTTTGAGACCTCATCTCTCAAAAAATTAAAAAAAAAATCAGTTGGACACGGTGGTGTGCACCTGTGGTCCCAGCTACTTATGAGGCTGAGGCGGGAGAATGGCTTGAGGCCAGGAGTTCAAGGCTGCAGTGAGCTATGATTGTGCCTCTGCACTCCTTATTTTATTTTTATTTTTAGAGACAGGGTCTCACATCCTCTGGGTCATTCCCCAGCTCTATGCTTCTGCACAAAATCATCATGGTTATTGGGCTTCTAGTTCTTCCCACCTCTCACTTCTATGTCCCTCTGTCTTCTCTCAGCAGCACCTCTGGGCCAGTCCAGCCAGGTGTAGAGTGAAGCTGAGCCCTTGATTCATCCTTGATTCCATTGTGAAGTCACACAGCAGCTTGGTGTGTTAAAGGCAAACCTCATGGGTGTCTAGTAAGCCTTGATTGTTTCTAACAGACTGCTTTGGCATTCTCTAATTAGCAGCCTCAGTCCCTGTGTCAGTCTGAGAGCTACCTCCCAATTCATAATCATTGTTAACCTTAAAAAGTAGGTACAAGTCAGACAAAGTGGTGGCACATGTCTGTGGACCCAGCTACTTGAGAGGCTGAGGCAGAAGAATTGCTTGAGCCCAGGAATTCGAGGCTGCAGTGAGCTATGACTGCACCACTCCACTCCAGCCTGGGCAACATAGCAAGACCCCTGTCTGTAAAAACAAAAAAAGTGGTATAGTATCTACTTGGTCCTGCCCATTTAGCAAGCATGAGATGCTAAAGCTCTCATTATTTGTTGCTAAGTTCTCTGTGAATCTGAGTCAGCTGGTTATTTTCCCTCTTCACAGAGGAGGTATGTGCTTCTCTGTGCTTGGCAGTCTGGGTGAGGAGCAAGGTGGCGAGGTGCTACTAAGGCCAAATACAAGGTCTGCCTCCCTTCCATGACAGTCTGCAGACATGGTTTCAGGGCCAGGTCTGGGCACTGCTTGAAACAGTACTTTCTGAAGGAAAGTATCACAGAAGGAAACTGCCTTGTAAGAATAAAAGGAGAACTTCAAACATGCTGTCAATATTTGATGAAGCAGCCAGTTCAGGTCACGCTGGGTAGTCAACTGCTCTTGGGTTGAGAAAACCATGGCTAATGAGAGGAGGAAGCACACCTGAGCCAACTTGCTCATGAGCTGAGTTATTCAAATGTGGGCACAAAGCAGTCACCTAAGTCTTGCACCTGCTGTGACTCAGCGCACACCCGAGTGTCAAATTGAGATTTAACAGGATGCCAGTACCAGCGGCAGAAAGAGCATTTCACAATGATGCCACCCAAATGGTGC
Source organism: Homo sapiens (assembly GCF_000001405.40). Lineage (NCBI taxonomy): Eukaryota > Metazoa > Chordata > Mammalia > Primates > Hominidae > Homo > Homo sapiens. The sequence goes on along the minus strand of NC_000007.14, from coordinate 26,127,460 downwards.
CAGGGAAGGGAGGAGAGAGCCCACTGCGTCCTGCCGTCAGCTATGCAAGACTTTCTGGAGCCTTTCATCTAACAGCCGGGGACGGGCTGATATCTGGCTTCCTTGGAGTAGCTTGCAAAACAAATTAGCATGGACCTGACATTTCAAATTTGCCAATTGTAGATTTTCAAAGTGTATTGAGCGGTGGGGCGTGGGGCGGGGGTTGGTTTCATGATTGCTGCTAAAAATTTTTGCCACTCACATGACTATATACAATTTTCACTGATTTAATTACTGCTTAGAAAAGAAGTTGCCAGATTGAGGTGCCCAGGAAAAGACATGAGCAGCGTGCATCACATTACTCATGGTGTCCAAGGCAGAGTCAGTATTGATCAAAACCTTTCAGCAGCCTTTAGTCTACATCCAGTGGTTTTAAAGTGACATGTAATTAGCTGACTTATTTTGTGGTCCCTTCCTCATGATTCTGCCTTGGACAAGTTCAAAAGAGATTTGCCTGCAGGTGTTAATATAAATCTTTCAATTCAGTATCCTGGGGGCTTACAGAAGTGCTCTCAAGTGCTTATGGGAGAAAATCTTGAAAAGATGGTAGATCCATTTATAGGAGAGGTGGCAAACTATGAACAGTTTAGAATATAGAAAAAAAGATGTATGTATCTGCTTTAAGCATCGTTTTATTAGAACTCAAGGCTTACTCCGTAAGTGGTAAAACCTAAGGCTTGGCAGCATTTTTAATACTCCAGGGACTGCAGCTAATGTGAAAAGGGCTGATTTGGTTCATGGCAAGATCCAAATGAGTTCTAGAATAATCAGAAAATCCAACTCAAAATAAGTGTTGACTGAGTGGTTCCAAGACTGACAGCTGTTCCTGGCAGGTGGGGTGTCTACCACCTGGATGCATTTGAATCATTGTCACAGAGCAGGCGAGGACCTAGCTGGCATCTCCTCCAGCTTCCCCTGCTTCCAGTCCTGCAATTGATTCTTTGACAATCTAGATGGTTGAACATGTCCAGGACCTCACAGGCAGCCTAGCTCTTGGGCGCTTGCCCTGCTCAAAGTTTGTAAAGTCTTCCTGTAGCTTCTAACCATGAGGCCTGATCTCTGGAACTTCTCACAGTGAATCTCACTTCTATAAAACAGGCTTTCTAAGATTTGAAGTTAGGTCTTATGTTTCCCATACTCTCCCTTTTCCTTTTCCAGGCTAGTTCTGTAGATTGGGGTGCTTCTGAAGTGGCTCACTTATTCAAAGAGGGTGAACTTCCCATAGAGCAGTGCTTCAGCCAAGCAATACCAGTAGCCATGCTTCTGAACCAGGCTCTCCAAAAGGCCCACATGCACTTTTCCAGACCAGCACCCCTTCCTCCCTGGCAGAGTTTCCAGACCTTTCACCATCCTGCGGGACAGTTCTCTGGGTGGCCTTGGACTGGCCCAGTTCTCTCCCTCTTTCTTGCTTGCAGTTCTCAAGAATAACTGTAGAATGTGCTGGGAGTGCAACATCCCAAGATAGGGAGGGACTGACTGGAACAGCCTGAATTCTCTCCAGCTCCCCCCTAGAAACAGGATGTCCTTCAATGCTTTATCCCAGCAACTCATGTTCCCTGGGGTATAAAACCCAGGTAGGTCACTTTTTGGGTGACCTTCAGCTGCTGTGCAAGTGAAGCACTTGTGGAAGACTCCATCCACCTGGGCAGCTTTCCTGAGCCCTGGGGAACCAGCTCACCATGAATCCTGGGCTTCTTTCTGTTGTCTCTTGTTGCCTGTCTGAAGTAATAAATCCCCTTCATATATATATATGAGTTATTAAGTATTAACTCACATGACCACAAGGTCCCACAATAGGCCATCTGCAAGCTGAGGAGCAAGGAGAGCCAGTCTGAGTACGAAAACTGAAGAACTTGAAGTCCAATGTTTGAGGGGAGGAAGCATCCAGCATGGGAGAAAGATGTAGTCCGGGAGGCTAGGCTAGTCTAGTCTTTTCATATTTTTCTGCCTACTTTATATTCTAGCCGTGCTGGCAGCTGATTAGATGGTGCCCACCCAGATTAAGGGTGGGTCTGCCTTTCCCAGCCCACTGACTCGAATGTTAATCTCCTTGGCAACACCCTCACAGACACACCCAGGATCAATACTTTGTATCCTTTCAATCCAATCAAGTTGACACTCAGTATTAACCATCACAAGTCCACCCCTTGTCAACTTGAACCCACACACATCTCCTGAGATCATACATAGTCTTCAAATAAAGACAATAATAAGGTCATAGTTATGCCTAACATAATACAACTATCCTTCATACAACCAGAAACACACCAATCATCAACCCAAATATTATTACATAAAATTAACAATACTTAAATGCTGATATGAGGTCAACAAATCTTACGTCACATGGTAAAGAAAATAGGAAATAAAGTGAAATAAAATTAGTATAAGTGTATACATGCACAAACATGTTTTTAACAAAAGAAGGAGGAAATACTCATGACAATTACAGTCCTTGTTCCTGCAGCTGATCACGTGGTCATAGCTGGTATTGATGACTACCTTCTTCTACTACTCATTCTGTATTCCCTTTGCCTTCAGCAAGCATCTCGGCAGGTCGTGTTTTTTTTTTTTTTTCCTGGTGGAGTGAACCAAACCTTCATTCCTGAAGGGTCTAGGCCATTTGTAGCCCTACCTGGCTTGGGCTGTTGTAGTTTCCCATTGACCTTAATCACAGGGCGTGGTAATACTAAGAGACATCCTAATGGATCTCCTGTATTCCATGCATACTCTTCCTTGCCTTTGCTGTGGAGTAGTAGACTGATTTCATCTTGATAATCGGGGTCAATCACCCCAGCCAACACTAACTCCCTTAGCCTGTTGACTTAAAGACAGGAGGATCCCAAAGTGTCCAGGTGGCACTTGTAACTTTCCAGTTTAATGGAATCGTTGTTGTATCTCCTGGTGGCAGCGTTCCTCCCTCTGGAACTAAGACCTCTAGGCCAGCAGAATGTCATGTTGTGGGAACAGGAGGCACAAATTTTGCTAGTGGATCACTTGAGGTAATGGTGAGTGGTGCCACTTCCACTTCCACCCCTTGATTCCTGGATCCATGAATCCTGGCTATGGGAGAAGCAGTACAGTATACTGGACGTTGATTCAGGGCATACACGACCTTCTGAAGAACTTTGCCCCAGCCCTGCAAAGTATTGTCATGTAGTTGGCATTGTAATTGTGACTTCAAAAGGCCATTCCATCGTTCTATCATTCCAGCTGCTTCAGGATGTCGGGGAACATGGTAAGACCGGTAAATTCCACGAGCATGAGCACGTTGCTGTACTTCTTTAGCCATAAAGTGAGTGCCTTGGTCAGAGGCAATGCTGTGTGGAACACCATGATGGTGGATAAGGCATTCTGTGAGTCCATGGAAGGTAGTCTTGGCAGAAGCATTGCGTGCAGAATAGGCAAACCCACATCTGGGGTAAGTGTCTATTCCAGTGAAGACAAACCTCTGCCCTTTCCATGATGGAAGAGGTCCAATACAATTAACCTGCCACCAGGTAGCTGGCTGATTACCCCGAGGAATGGTGCCATATTGAGGGCTCAGTGTTGGTCTCTGCTGCTGGCAAATTGGGCAGTCAGCAGTGGGCGTAGCCAGATCAGTCTTGGTAAGTGGAAGTCCATGTTGCTGAGCCCATGCTTAACCTCCATCCCTGCCACCATGGCCACTTTGTTCATGGGCCCATTGGGCGATGACAGGGGTGGCTGGGGAAAGCGGCTGAATGGTGTTCACAGAACAGTCATCAATTCACTTGATTATTAAAATCCTCCTCTGCTGAGGTCACCCGTTGGTGGGCACTTACATGGGATACAAATATCTTCACAGTTTTTGACCACTTGATAAGTCCATCCACACCTCTTCCGCAAATTTCTTTGTCACCAACTTTCCAATCATGTTTCTTCCAAGTCCATGACCATCCAGCCAAACCATTGGCTACAGCCCATGAATCAGTATATAAATCACACATCTGGTCATTTCTCCTTCCATGCAAAGTGCACAGTCAGGTGCACTGCTCAAAATTCTGCCCACTGGGAAGATTTCCCTTCACCGCTGTCCTTCAGGGATGTCCTAGAAAGGGGTTGTAGTGCTGCAGCTGTCCCCTTTCAGGTGGTGCTTGCATATCATGCAGAACCATCTGTGAACCAGGCCCTAGTCTTCTCTTCCTCTGTCAACTGATCATAGGGAATTCCCCATGAGGCCATTGGTGCACGCTGAGGGAGAGAAGGCAGGGTGGCAGGAGTGGAGACCATGAGCATTTGAGCCACTTCCTTATGTAACTTACTTGTGCCTTCAGGACCTGCTCGAGCCCGATTACGTATATACCACTTCCATTTGTTGATGGAATGCTGCTGTGCACCACCCACTTTATGGCTAGATGGGTCAGAAAGCACCCAGTTCATGACAGGCAGTTCAGGTTTACATGGTGACTTGATGACCCATAGCCAATGTTCAGTTTCCACCAAGGCCCAGTAACAGGCCAAGAGCTGTCACTCAAAAGGAGAGTAGTTATCTGCAGAAGAAAATTCTCCATTCTCCTCTTCCCCCAGCCCCTGGCAACGTCTGTTCTACTTTCTGTCTCTATGAATTTGCCTATTCTAGGTACCTCATAGAAAATACTTGTCCTTTTGTGACTGACTTATCTTACTTAGCATAATGTCCTCAGGTCCATCCATTTAACTTAAGGCTGAATAATATTCCATTATACACACACACACACACACACACACACACAAACATCACAACACATTTCGTTTATCCATTCATCCATTGATGGACACTTGGTTTGCTCCCACCTTATGGCTATTGTGAATAATGCTGTGACATAAGTGTACAAATATACGTTCTTATCCCTGCTTTCACTTCTTTTGGGTATATACCCAGACGTGGAATTGTATGGTAATTCTATGTTTAAAATTTTGAAGAATCATACTATTTTCTACAGCAGCTGTACCTGTTAATTCATTTTCTGCTACATATATTTTATAGTATAAATATAATCTTTAGATATTGCCAAACTTTTTTCTAAAGTGGTTTGCTAATATATATATAACCATCAACAGTGGATTAAGAATTCCTAGTGATCCATATTTTTGCCAATACTGAGTATTATCAGATTTCTTTATTTTTGCCAATTCAGTGGCTTTAAAATGAATATCTTATGATAGCCTTGATTTTAATTTCCTTGATTATCATTGTGATTACTCCTCATTTTATACGTTTGAAAGTTTTATTTTTCACATGGAAGTCTTTGGTCCATTTAGAATTATTATTTTTGAGATGGAGTTTCCCTCTTGTAGCCTAGGCTGGAGTGCAATGGTGCAATCTGGACTCACTGCAACCTCCTTCTCCTGGGTTCAAGTGATTCTCCTGCCTCAGCCTTCCGAGTAGCTGGGATTACAGGCGCCAGCCACCACACCCTGCTAATTTTGTATTTTTAGTAGAGACGGGTTTCACCATGTAGGTCTCGAATTCCTGACCTCAAGTGATCTGCCCGCCTCGGCCTCCCAGAGTGCTGGGGTCACAGGCATAAACCGCAGCGCCCAGCCCATTTAGAATTATTTTTTATGTATCGTGTATGATACGGGGTCTACTTTCATTCCTTTGTTACACGGACCACTGAGTGTGCTGGCTCCATCCTTTTCCCAGTGTACCTCTTACATGCCAGGTTTCTGTATCTGGTGGGTCTGCCTCTGAGCTGTCCATCTGTTCCCTTAGTCAATTTGTCCACTTAGGTTAATGGCATCTCCCTCTATAGTGATGGATCAAGAGGGACTGATGCTGGGTTAATCAAGCACTTATCCCGTACTGTAATCGCACCTGCATATGGACTGTGTGGTTAGAATTGGCCCGCTGGCTTAATAAAACATGGTCCATGCACTCATGGAGCTCCCAGACACATATTTAAATCCTGATGCAATGTAATAGTGTGGCAATGGAAGAATATTTGAAATGTTATGAGAAAAAAACAGTGAAGGAAACAATTAATTCTAGGAAGAGGGTGTCCAAGAAGGTAACAGTTATGGAAGCTGACTATGTCAAACAGTAGGTGTATAACATCATGGGTGAGAGCTGAGATCTAGAGGTAGACAAACTCATATTTGAATCCAAGCACCCACACTCATTAGCTGTGTGACCCTGACAAATCCCTGAGACCTCGATGAGCCTTGACATCCTTACCTATCCCACAGGGGTAATAATAGTGCCTACCTCAGAAGGTTGTTGGGAAAATTAAAATACATCATGTGTCAGGAGCACATAGCAGTACCTGACGTATTGTTAAGTGCTCAGTAAACATAAACCTCTGAATTCATCCAATAATACTGAGTACCTTCTGTGTGCCAGACATGGTAATAGGCATAAATACAAGTCTGAGCAAAGCAAATGGTCTCAGCACTCATGTAGTTTTCAGTGGGATAGATAGGTGCTCATCAAATAATGACACAATTAGATCATGAAAGACTTTGATGAGAACTACAAAGGGAAATTATATAGTAAGCTAAGACAGAGTTGAATAGGGAAATGTGATTTATGATTATTATTTTCACTACTTCTGAGCCAAAACTTGAAGGATGATTAGGAGTTTCTGGGGGAGTGGCAGGAGGGGAAGGTCATTCAGGCATTCTGAACTTCAGAGGAAAAGGCCTGGAATGGGGAAAGCTCTTCCCAAAGTCAGGGGCAAGGGCAAAGTACTCCTCACTGCCCAGAGGCTTCAGGGGGATTTTTCTTACCCACCTTTCCCAGGAGACAGGCAAGAAAAGGAAGCCGAGTGACTGCCTGTGGCTCCCAAAACATGTCTTGGCACTCAGTGAACCCCAGTTTTTGGTCAGTGTGAAAAATTCTCAGTGCCATTGGCCAGCTCCTTGGTAATAATAGGCTGAACATGAATGGCGAAAATGGCTCAAATTGAATTGCAATGAAGTCTTTTTGATGTAAGTGTTGATTAGAAAAGGATTTAGGACTGACTTTAATTCGGTGCTCCAAAGCTCAAAGATTAGAAAAAAAGCACTCAGAGAAAAGAAAGTTGTGATTAAAGGTTTTCCTAAGACATACGTGAAGTATTTTGACAGGCTGACAGTGAACACTATTTCTCATTTAGAGTAAATGTGATTAAGAGTTATATTTGCAAGAAGGGAAAACTAGGTGAGTATGAGGGATTTTGTTCTGGAACAAGTACAATCCAATAGCTCTCAAATTTTAGTGGAGCCTGCTAGCAAATTTAGGCTCCTTGGCCATCCCCTAGACTCGGTGGGAGTGCCCTGGGCCCAGGGCTCTGCATTTTTAACCAGTGCTCCGTGCCACCCTACCCCCAACCTGCCCAAGGGATTTCTGATGCTGGAGAATTCACTGTGAAAAACCTTATAGACTTAAGTCTTTAACTCTTTCCTTTCTTTGTCTTTGCTTTCAAATTCCTTTTTTAGAAGGATCTCAAGATTGGGCTCTGGCAGGGTATGGTGGCTTATGCCTGTAATCCCAGCACTTTGGGAGGCCGAGGCCGGTGGATTACCTGAGGTCAGGAGTTTGAGACCAGCCTGACCAACATAGTGAAAACCCATCTCTACTAAAAAATTATAAAAATTAGCCAGGTGTGGTGGCGGCCACCTGTAATTGCAGCTACTTGGGAGACTGAGGCAGGATAATTGCTTGAACCTGGGAGGCGGAGGTTGCAGTGAGCCAAGGTCGTGCCACTGCATTCCAGCCTGGGCAACAGAATGAGACTCTGTCTCAAAAAAAAAGAATGGGCTCTTTCTTTTCCATTTCTCCTCACCTCCCTCAGTGTCAGCTGGGCACCTTAGGCAGGATTTCTTGGACAGGTAGCATGAGCATGTGAAACTGGGAGGGTGGGAAACAGGAATTAAGCTGATCGGGCAGCCAGCCTATCCCAGCCAAGTCAATCTGCTTTTCTACACATTGTTCTGGCCAAAAACACCTATCTTTAAGCTTTATGCTGCTCACTGCTGCCAACTGGCCACCCAACCATGGATTCATATAAAAGTGTTGGAGTTAACAGCATAGGCTCTGGACTTGGGTGACTTCAGTTAGAGTCCCAGCTCTGCCACTTACTAACATGCAACCTTGGACAAATTACTGAACCCTTCTGAGCCCTTCCTTCCCTTCTGGTGTGGAAAGGCTTCTGTGAGGATGTAACAGGGTAATAAGTGAGTGTGTCTGGCACAGGCGCTGGCATATAGTGAGCAGGCAACATGGGGCACGCTCCTACCCATCGCATGGAAGGTGGACAGCACGCTCCTACCCATCGCATGGAAGGTGGACAGCACCAGGCAGACATCTGGTCCTGCACACAGTCCCTCTTGTTCTGACTGCTGAACTTTTGCTGTTACTTCTTCTCGGATAAACTTCCATCTCATTCTCATATTCATTTTATTTATTTATTTATTTATTTGAGACAGGGTCTCACTCTGTCACCCAAGCTGGAGTGCAGTGGTGTGATCACAGCTCACTGCAGCCTTGACCTCCCAGGCTCAAGCAATCCTCCCACCTCAGCCTCTGCCTCCCACATTCCTGGGATTACAGGCATAAACTACTGTACCCAGCCATAGTTCCCATATACATTTAACTAAATTATTTTCAGAGCTCAACTGAAGTCCCATTTCTATGAAATCTTTCACTGCAGCAGTAGCTTTAGCTTCCAGAGATGTTTTCTTTCTCTAGATTACTGTTATGGCTTTAATCCACACCTGCCCCATTTAGGTTCTGGTTACATTCTGCTTTATACTGATTTTTAATCATTACATGGGCATTTTGTCATCTCATCTAAAATAAAACTCTTGGAGGTCAGGGTCAATATTTTGCTTCTAGTAACTGCAGGAAAAACCTGTATACATGAAAAGGAGGTAGAAGTTTGCATTGCCAAGCTGGGTGTGGTGGCTCACGCCTGTAATCCCAGCACTTTGGGAGGCCAAGGTGGACAGATTTCTTGAGCCCTAGAGTTTGAGACCAGCCTGGGTAGCGTGGTGAAACTCTACAAAAACTACAAAAAGTAAATCAGACATGGTGGTAGGTGCCCGTAGTGCCAGCTACTTCAGGAAGCTGAGCCCAGGAAGTTGAGGCTACAATGAGCTGTGATCGAGCCATTGCACTCCAGCCTGGATGACAGAGTGAGACCTGTCTCAACAACAACAACAACAACAAAAGGAGTTTGCATTGACTAGCTTGAGGTACTCTCTTTTTCTTTCGAGATGGGGTCTTGCTCTGTTGCCCAGGTTGGAGTGCAGCGTCATGATTATACTTCACTGCAGCTGTGATCTCCTGGACTCACGCAAACCTCCCACCTCAGCCTTCTGAGTAGCTGAGACTACAGTTGTGCGCTACCTACCATGCCTGGCTAATTTTATTTTTATTTGTTATTATTATTTTTTTAGAGACAGGGTCTCACTATGTTGCCCAGGCTGGTCTTGAATTCTTGGGCTCAAGCGATTCTTCTGCCTCAGCCTCCTGAGTATCTGAGAGTACAGTCTCGAGCCACCATGCCCAGCTGATGTAATTTTTCTTGCCTAGTGAAGAGTGAAGGCTCTGAATTTTCATAATTCTCATATATGAATTCTTAAATAATTTTCAAAGAATCATGCATTCTTTATATTCGATTTCACATTTCACATATACAGAAATATGTGAAATTCATTAGCAAACTATATCTACCCCTTTCTCCTCAACACACGCACACTCCAAAGGAGGGACAATTGGAAGCCAAGATTATCATAAAAAAGCTGTTGGTACTAGGATGCTAATCTCCGCAGTTTCCACTGGGGGCCGGTGTCCTCTCCTCTTATGTGCACACATGCTGATGCGGGGGGTTGTCATCCTCAGTCCCAACCCCTTCCTGGTTGGTTGTGAATGGGTCTGGAGGCTTCTGGTGGCTGTCCCTATCACTGCCCCACTGTGGCTGTACTCTGAGGCAGAGGCTCTGCATCACTGCTCTTCAAATGTTTTGCTTAGACACTGTTCTCTTCCCATCCCCAAAAAGGACACCCTCTTCAAGCAAAATGCCCTCAGCCAGCAGTTGACAGTCTGCACTGAATATTATCACAGCTGCTCAGAAGCAGGTTGGCAGTTCCTGGGAGGCTGGGCTGGGGGCATTTGCGTGACACATCCCTGTGTGGCAGTCTTCACTTTCGGTCTTGAAATAAAGCATGCAACTTTTGAATTTCCTCTACCTTAGTTTTCTGTCTTCTGGGGACATTGTTTCCAAAAGGGCGGCTTTCAGAGGTCTCAACCTCATGGTCTGGGAGCTTGATCTTTCATCCCCAGCCCTTTCCCTTTTCCTCCTGGGAAGCCCAACGTCTTTCCTGCAATGTGACTTCTACAGGCCTGCTGTGGCATCCCAGTGACATCCAGGAAAGGCCCCCCCTTCATCTTGACACCAAATGTAAGCATCCAAGGTAAGCATCCTGCCATGAAGTGGGTCTGCAAATGGGTGAAAGAATCTTTTTAAAAAGTTACCATTTCTCTTAGAAGAAAAATCTCAGTTTAAACTCTGACAACCAGTTTCTCTGGTCAACTCCCGTTTCTCTAGTACATTTTCACATGAAGTTGGGCAGACTTGTCCTCCCACTTTTGAGAACAGAGAACACCTAATTTTCACAGTCCAGATTCCCTATTTGTATTAAAAGAATCTCTCCGTATGTTTGTCAAACCCTGAAGGCTTTCTTGGCTTGTATGATTTTATCCTTTACAAAACATCTTACTCAATTTAGGATGAGAAAACAAACCCATGACAAACTTTCACTGCCCATGGGTGTTTACCATAAACTCCCCTACTGCCTGCAGAGACTTTTTGTTGTGGTCCTGTAAGTTGACGAATGAAAAGAACTTACTTTTCCAACTTTCTTTGGCTTACTTTGTAGTGAGGTTTTGCAAGGTTCTCAGCAGGAGGAAATTAAGGAGGACCAGGACCAGACATCTATAGATCTGTCCGTTTCTAGAGAACAAGTACATTTTACAGGACTCTACAAAAGACAGTTCGCAGCACTGTACTTCAGAGCAGAGTCAAAAGACCAAGTCACGTGAAGTGGCTTACAGTGAGGAGAAAAAATGACCTGGTGTCTTTTAGTTATGAAGTTGCCAATACTCATCTTGAGGGAGAAATTCACGAGTTTCACCAACACTATAAGCTTCCAATTCAATTCAAAAACCCTGATGTTGCCAAATAGAAACGTACGCCCTTATTCATTCTCAAGTAGAATGAAATAAAATTGTCTATAAAATATTTATCAGCTCTAGGTTAGTGTTTGAATTATAATATCTCCTGCAGGCTTTAAAATGTCCTCTCTCTGCTTATTTCATTATTGAGTAGGCAGACAAAATTTTTTACTTAATGCAGTGACTATAATGTGTTTACTGGGATTAATTTACACACCCTTGAGGATTAATTTAATTCCTTTATGATAGCAATTTTTCCTGGGATATTTTTCCCCCAAGGGGTCACATCCAAATTTATTAGACTGTTATATGGGCCACAATTATTTGGGTGTAACTGAATAATTTATGTCCATGTTTGCCAAGCCTGGCTGCCCATCAGAGTTACCTGGGGAATGTCTTAAAAATATAGATTTCCACGTCCTTCCCCAGATCCAGTGAAGCAGAGTACAACCCGAGAATTCTTGCATTTAAAGATGCTCCCTAGCGATTTAGGTGTAGCAGCCTAGTTAGTGGACGAGGGTTTGGGAACTGATCAATATAGTTTAGTTTCGTGTGATTTTAGGGTAAAATGTTATTGCTATTAGCTGTAGAATTTTCTGTTGCTAACACCACATGCCCTTGTCGCTTTTCCTCCTGCCACTCACCAGAATTGCCCAAGCTTCTCTCTCTATATTAGAAGTAGAAATAAGAGGAGGAGAACAAGTGAGATGAGAAAGGTTTGGAGTGGAACCGTGTTGTCACTGATGGTGGTCACTGTGACCAGAGGAGCCAGCAGGAGCAAGCAGAACAGACCCCAGATAAGGTTCTCACTCTCCTTCCTGCTGGCCTAGCCTGTCCCAAACTTTTTGAGTCAGTGTTGCCCTATTTGACTGGGTCACTGTAAGCCCTCAAAAAAGTGAGGTTGGTCCTGGGTTACATCCCAACCTGAATTCACCTTGCTCAGTGACGTGAATTGTTATCTGGGCACAGGGCTTGAAAAACACTGACCAGTAAAGTTGATTGATGAGTAGACATAGTTACACCATTTCAAAGCCATCAAGTCTAAAACAACCACAACAAAAACTCTTAAAAAATCCTTAGGTGTTGTTTCTGTCTTCTTAATGCCAATGAGAGGCTTTCCTGTATTGCACGAAGGACATCCATCTATTTTATTTATTTATTTATTTATTTATTTATTTATTTATTTATGAGATGGAGTCTTGCTCTGTCGCTCAGGCTGGAGTGCAGTGACACGATCTCGGCTCACTGCAGCCTCTGCCTCCCGGGTTCAAGCGATTCTCGTGCCTCAGCCTCCCGAGTAGCTGGGATTACAGGTGCCCACCACTAAGCCTGGTTAATTTTTGTATTTTTAGTAGAGACAGGGTTTTGCCATGTTGGCCAGGCTGGTCTTGAACTCCTGACCTCAGGTGATCCACCCGCCTCCGCCTCCCAAAGTGCCCGGGGTTACAGGCGTGAGTCACCACTCCCAGCCTAGATCCATCTATCTTGAACTAAAAGTTAATCTTCTGGTTTAATCTAGGATTTTATGAAAATAAATTTGTCTGTTAGAAAAGTCTTACCTGCGCTACGAAAACATTTTAAGGCATGCGTTTTGGGAGCACATGGCTAGTTCCAACCACACAAAAGGCATATGGTAAAAAACAAGCTCCTTCTCATCCTTTCTAGGTTTTATTCCTTAGAGACACTCACTGATACCACTTTCTTGGCTATTCTTTGAAAAATGTTTTGTACTCATATCAAATACTAGCTCATACATATATAGGCATCCCCTTATAAAACCAGTTGTTTCCAGCCTTTTTGCTGTTATAAAAAATGCTCTAATGAACATGTATACATATACATACCTGTATCTGTGTCTCTGAACCATGGGGCAGTATATCTGAAGGAGAAATTTTGGGAAGTAAGATTACAGGCTCAATGAGTTTTGATAGATAGTCCAAATTGCCCCCAAGGGCTTGTGCCACTTTACCACTCATCAATGGTGTGAAAGTCATTTTGCTGTATGTTCTTATTGTTTCTAAAAGCATTTTGTTTTTTGAGATGGAGTTTTGCACTGTTGCCCAGCTGGAGTGCAGTGCTGTGATCTTGGCCCACTGCAACCTCCCCCTCCCAGGTTCAAGTGGTTCTCCTGCCTCAGCCTCCCAAGTAGCTGGGATTACAGGTGTGTGCTACCACGCCTGGCTAATTTTTGTATTTTTGGTGGAGAAGGGGTTTCACCGTGTTGGCCAGGCTGGTCTCAAACTCCTGACCGCAGGTGATCCTCCCGCCTTGGCCTCCCAAAGTGCTGGGATTACAGGCATGAGCCACTGCGCCAGACCCCCCCTTTTTTTTTTGAGTCAGGGTCTCGCTCTGACACCCAGGATGGAGTGCAATTGTGTGATCAAGGCCCACTGTAGCCTTGAACTTCTGGGCTCAAGCAATCCTCCTACCTCAGCCTCCCAGGTAGCTGGGACTACATGTGCATGCCACCACACCCAGCTAATTTCTAAATTATTTTTAGAGATAGGGGTCTCACTATGTTGCCCAGGCTGGTCTCCAACTCCTGTCTGGAACTCCTGGGCTCAAATGATCCTCCCATTTTAGCTTCCCGAAGTGCTGGGATTACAGGCATGAGCCACCACACCTGGCCCTCTAAAAGCTTTTCTGTTGATTTTGCGTGTTTTTCATGATATATAATAGTCATCTGCAGATCAAGATAATTTTACCTCCTTATTTTCCATTTTAATACCTCTGTTTCTTTCTTTTGCATTAGTAATTCTAGAGCAATTTAACCAATAATGGTGAGAATGGGTATCTTTGTCTTTTTCCTGCCTCTAATGGAAAAGCTTCCATTATTTCCCCATTAAGCATAAAAATTAAAAAAAGAATTTTTTCTTAACTGAAATTTCTTTTTAAAAAATCAGGAATAAAATGTTATCAAATGCCTTTTTGGAATCTATATAAATTATTCTATTAAAAATCATTTATGACATTAATTTAAGACTGTTCAGGAAATCTAGGACTTTCGATTGCCTTGAATCTGTCAAAAAATGTTATGGTTACAACATTATTTTTAATATGAAAAACCCTAGAAACTATGAAAATATCTCACACTAGGGAAATGGTTATAGCACTTTCATGTAGTGAAAAACTATGCAGCTCTTACAAAAAATAATGAAGTAGATTATCTATGCCAAGATGAATCAATCTGAGACCTGAGGTCAAATAAAAATGGCAAGTGCAATACAGTGTGTGTTCTTATTTGTGTAAACAAAAAGGGACATCACATGTAAATATACATATATATACAAAGAAAAATTCCAGAAGGATAGAGGTCAAGATCTGAGACAATATACTGTGTCTGGATTTAAAAAAATCTTGTGCATTTATTCCTTTTGCCAATGAAAAAAAGAACAGCAAAAAAAGTAACATAATCATTATGTGGGTGCGGTGGCTCACACCCATAATCCCAGCACTTTGGGAGGCCGAGGCAAGAAGATTGCTTGAGCCCAGGAGTTCGAGACTAGCCCGGGCAACATGGCAAAACCTGATCTCCACCCAAAATACAAAGATTAGCTGGGCATGGTGGTGTGAGCCTGTAATACCAGCTACTCAGGAGGCTGAGGTAGGAAGATCACATGAGTCTGGGAGGTTGAGGCCGCAGTGAGCTGCGATCAGATTTGGTGACTGAATGAGACCCTGCCTCAAAAAAAAAAAAAAAAAAGTAATGATTAAAGTTTTTTTTTGTTGTTGTTCATGTTAAAAGTTTGTACACCAGTAACCAAAAGGGGAAAAACAAGCAATATTCAACACAACTAATTATGGGTAAAATTTTCGTTCTTTGATGTGGCTTTCTTGTTTTGTTTTTCATTTTGTCCCTGAGGTGGCAGCCTCATCCTTTCATGCTAGTGCTGGCTCTATGATGAACCACCAGATTCTGAAATTTTCCCCCTACTTTTCTGTAGTAGGAGCTTATCCCAGCTGAGCTGGCCTCACTCTTGCATCCGAAGGAGTCACGTAGAGCTTTCAGAGCAATTGTTCTCCGAATAGAGTTCCCAACTCAAAACTTAATAGCAAATGGAAGCTTCTTTGGTCTTGTGCTGATAAAGACTCTTTCAGCCTGGATGAACAATAGGGAAATGATTTACTAAATTAGGGCCAACAATACGCTGATATACCCTTTGTAAAAAATTGTGATTATGAAACTTATAGGAGAAAATACCTGCCATAATCATAAATGAAAGCAGCAGATGAACAGATCACATATACATCATGAATCTAATTTTGCAGAAACAAAAGGGGGACATATTGATCAGCCAGCTTTTAGAGTGATTTGGTAAATTGGGTATTTGGGTTTTTCCCAAACATTATCTTAATTTTGGCATTACATGAATGTATTGTATTAAAAAGTTAAAAAGGAAGCAGTAAAAATTGTGAGATCCTAATATGAAAAAAGAAAATATGTTTTCTTGTTTCCCTTTAATGTCCTGATATGAAGAAGGGAAGTGCCCAGGCTCAAGGTCACGCATAGCTAAGAAAATCAAGACAGAATCATAGTGCAGAAATGACTCTTTGATTGCACTTCTGGGCACACAAATGGGGATTCTGCCGTGGCAAGGTTGGGCACAACTATGAGTATAAAATCCCATTATGGATGGATTCCACTTGGAACTTCCTAATGGACGGTGGCCACCATGGTTTGAGTTTATATCAGCGTGACTGGCCCTGCTGCTCATTCATCATTTACAAGTGCTCTGCCTCACCGTGTCTTGATACAAGGCCCAATTATTCTCTAGGTTGATATAAATTATTTGTTATTGGGGGACAATGGTTTAGCAACTTAGGGAAAGCTTTAGAAAATTCTCCTTGAATGTCCAGAGAGCTTGGACTCTGGGAAATCTGATTGGTGACCATTGTTGGGAGTAGATTTGCCTCCTTTCATTCCCTTACACATTTTATCTCTCAGCTAATATGGTAACCAGCACTGCTCTCTGCTCATTAATTGCCAGGCATATCAGGTAAGGCCCAGTCTTCCTCAATTTCTTTCTTCCTATTCTAAAATAAATAATGCCCAGGGGTTATTCTATTTCTGCCTCTTTCCAGGTGTGACTTTGTCTACGTAGGTAGATATAGCACTATCATCCGTTTGGCTAGTGCTAAACCACTCTGCTGCTTTGCTGACTGCTGCAGAAGCCTTGCCTCGACTAGAATACATCCTCTTGTCTCACCTGTACAGTGTCCTTTGGGAAAAGTGGGTCTTCATAAGATGACACTTGAAACCTTCCTACTTTGGTCAGTTCAGAGAATGACTAGATGGGGAGAGAAGTCACCAACTCTGAGGTTTTGTGAATTAGCAGCTGAGAGATTACTTATATTGCAGGGAAAAGTAAAACCATGAAGGTTGAATTGGAAAAAGAGCAGAACTTTGGGAAAATGTGATATGTAGGGACATTTTTTGCAACCAACTTTTAGTCACATAATCAACCTTCAGCAAAAAGCTGAGACTAGCAATGAAAGGCATCAATGGAGAAATTCCAGGAAATGATTGGCAAGGAAAAATCTCAGTAAAAGCAGTAAAGAGCACTTGTCTGAAATTTGAAAAATCTGAATTTTCTTTTTTTTTTTCCCTCGGGAGAAAGGGATTATAAAATTAAACCAGTTAGGCAGGGGCTCGGTGGCTCATGCCTGTAATCCCAGCACTTTGGGAGGCCGAGGTGGGCAGATCACATGAGGTCAGGAGTTCGAGACCAGCCTGACCAACATAGAGAAACCCTGTCTACACTAAAAATACAAAAATTAGCCAGGCATGGTGGTATGTGCCTGTATAGTCCCAGCTATTTGGGAGGCTGAGGCACGAGAATGGCTTGAACCCAGGAGATGGAGGTTGCAGTGACCCAAGATTGTACCACTGCACTCCAGCCTGGGAGACAGAGCTGACTCTGTCTCCAAAAAAAAAAAAAAAAAGTTCGTAGAAAAGTGGTATTAAAAGATGAAAAATATAAACTTTATAAACTTTATTTCTCAACGTAAACTCCATCAAATTCAAGACATCTTTGTAAGTGATGACACCAGCCATTTAGTCCATTTCTAAAGAACTGAGGGTCCTGGGAATTTAACCATTTCAATGCTGTTTTTTTTGTTTGTTTTTTTTTTTTACATTATCAACTGAAGAAAAATGGATGCCCTTTAAATTTTTATTTATTTATTATTTTTTGAGACAGGGTCTCACTCTGTCACCCAGGCTGGAGTGCTGTGGCATGATCTCTGCTCACTGCAACCTCTGCCCCCCGGGCTCAGGTGATCCTCCCACTTCAGTCTCCTGAATAGCTGGGACTATAGGCTCCCAACACCACACCCAGCTAATGTTTTTGGTATTTTTTGTAGAGTTGGGGTTTCACCACATTGCCCAAGCTAGTCTCGAACTCCTGGACTCAAGCAATCCACCTGCCTTGGTCTCCCAAAGTGCTGGGATTACAGCATGAGCCACCACACCTGGCCTAAATTTTTTCTTAAGATTAGAAAATTAAGAAGGTCAGAAGGAGCCAAATCAGGACTGTAAGATGGATGCCTAATGATTTCCCATTGAAACTCTAGAAAAATTGCCCTTGTTTGATGGGAGGAATAAGCAGGAGCACTGTTTTGGTGGAGAAGGACTCTCTGATGACACTTTTCTGGGTGTTTTTCTGTGGAAGCTTTGGCTAACTTTCTCAAAATACTCTCATAATAAGCAGATGTTATCATTCTTTGGCCCTCCAGAAAGTCAACAAGCAAAATGCCTTGAGCATCCCAAAAAACTGTTGCCATGACCTCTGCTCTTGAATGGTCTGCTTTTGCTTAGACTGGACTTTTATCTCTTGGTAGTCATTGCTTTGATCGTACTTTGTCTTCAAGATCATACTGGTAAAGCCATGTTTCATCTCCTATTACAATTCTTCAAAGAAATTCTTCAGGATCTTGGTCCCACTTGTTTAAATTTCTGTTGAAAGCTCTGCTCTTGTCTGCAGCTGATCTGGGTGCAATGGTTTTGGCATCCATTGAATGGAAAGTTTGCTCAACTTTAAGTTTTCGTTTAGAATTTTCTAGTTGAGAACCAGTTGAGATGTCTATAGTGTTGATTATTGTTTCTGCAGTTAATTGTCAGTCCTCTTTAAATAGGCACAAGCAAGATGAATTTTTTTTTTTTTTCCAAATTGAGATGGATGGTCTGCTGCTGCGGGCTACATCTTCAACATCATCTCATCCCTTCTTAAAACAAGGCTGGGTGTGGTGGCTTGTGTTTGTAATCTCAGCACTTTGGGAGGCTGAGGCAGGAGGATTGCTTGAGCCCAGGGGTTGGAGACCAGCCTGGCCAACATAGCGAGACCCCCCTCTCTACAAATTGAAAAACAAACAGACAAACAAAAAAACTAAGTTATCTATTTGCAAACTGCTGATTTCTTTGGAGGCATTATTTCCATAAACTTTTTGTAAAGCATCATTGATCTCACCATTTTTCCACCCAAGCTTCACCATAAATTTGATATTTGTCCTTGCTTCAGTTTTAGCAGAATTCATGTTGCTCTGACAGAGGCTCTTTTCAAACTTATGTCTTATCATTTTAGTGCCTTAAACTAGATCCTGCTCAGACACATAACGTTAGTCCAGTTTACTTTTGAAAT
Organism: Homo sapiens; assembly: GCF_000001405.40. Lineage (NCBI taxonomy): Eukaryota > Metazoa > Chordata > Mammalia > Primates > Hominidae > Homo > Homo sapiens. The sequence continues at coordinate 26,108,626 of NC_000007.14, read as the reverse complement.
CTATGCATAGTTTTTTCATAATATGTATTTTCCATGAACTTTTTGCGGGGGGTAGACAGGATCTTGCTCTGTCATCCAGGCTACAGTGCAGTGGCATGATCATAGTTCACTGTAGCCTCAAGCTCCTTGGTTCAAGGGATCCCCCGGCCTCAGCTTCCCAAGTAGCTGAGACTACAGGAACATACCACCATGCCAGGCTAAGTTTTATGTTTTTGTAGAGACAGGCCCTCCCTATGTTGCCCAGACTAGTCTCAAACTTCTGGGCTCAAGCGATCCTCCTGCCTTGACCTCCCAAACTGCTGGGATTACGGACGTGCACCACCGTGCCTGGCCTCTATGAACTTTTTGAAGACCCTTTGTGTGTGTGTGTGTGTGTGTGTGTGTGTGTTAGAGAGAGAAGAGGTATTTTTTATTTCATTCTGGAAAAAAATATTTAAACAAAAACTTAAAATCATTAGATAAGGAGTTGAAACCACTCAAGTGCACATGAATTATACCCCTGAAATCAATTTACCGGTCTCCAGGAAATGGAAGAATCCACCAGGTGCCCAGGGATAAATTGTGATTTGGGGTTTTGACCATCAGGTTTCTCATTTGTCCAAGCAGCAGGCTGTTTCCGGGCATCTCTAAGGCCTTCTCAATTCTAGCCCAAGGACATTCTTTAGTTAGTTATGGTGTCAGTATGTGGCAGAAATGCCGTCACCAAGCTCTGCCGGGGTTTCAACCAGTGCTCCAAGTGGTCCTCACGGAGTGGGTGGGGGTGAGAGGCTGGCTGAGCGCAGCACCCAGTCATGCTCCTCAGTGTCTTCTCTTTCCTACCTTCCCTTCCAGAGTGCCTGGCTTCCCCCATGGCAGCTTTGAGGCTATGCCCACATTTTACAAAAGTCTTCACATTTCATGAGCCGTCTTCAAGGTCCATATAAGACAATTTCGTGACTGAAGAGAGGCAAGTTTCCACTTAACATCTGGGCATTTTTCATTTGTCTATTTGTCCCATGATGCTTTTGAGCAATGGCCAGACTCAGACGAGTTTTGGTAATTGTGGTGGACATCTGTTTTGGTCTGACCAACATCCCTTTCCCTGCCATTGGAAAACAGCAGCCAGCTTTTCCTTTCGGGGAACTACCCTGACTCCACTGCCTGCAGTCTTGAGGGAACTGTCAATCAAGGAGCCTTGGGTAGGTGAGATCTGAGACCCATGGCAAGCCAGTCAGACTCTTCAGGGAATTTGATCATGAGTGGAATGACATCAGATTGGAAAAATAATTCAGGTCCAACAAAGCATCATTAATTCCTGTTACGTCAAGTAGCACAGTGATGAGACTGCAATGAACTGAATGCGTCCTTCTCAAATTTGTATGTTGAAAGACTAACCCACAGTGTGATGGTGTTAGGGTGGGGGCTTTGGGAGGTTATTAAGTTGTTAAGGTGGAGACCTCTTTTTTTGTTTGTTTTTTTGAGACGGAGTCTCGTTCCTGTCACGCAGGCTGGAGTGCAGTGGCGTGATCTCGGCTCACTGCAACCTCCACCTCCCAGGTTTAAGTGATTTTCCTGCCTCAGCCTCCCCAGTAGCTGGGATTACAGGCGTGCACCACCACATCTGGCTAATTTTTATATTTTTAGTAGAGACGGGGTTTCGCCATGTTATCCAGGCGGGTCTCGAACTCCTATACTCAGGTGATAGATGGAGCCGTCTTGAATGGGATTAGTGCTGTTCCAAAGGGACCCCAGAGATCTCTCTTGCTCTTTTCTGCCATGTGAAGACTCGAGAATTAACCTGGATTCTCAACCCAGAAGAGGGTCTTTGCCAGAACCTGATCATGCTGGCACCCTCATCTTGGACTTCCAGCGTCTGGAGCTATAAGAAATAAATTTCTGTTGTTTCTAAGCCACCTCGCCTATGGTACTTTGTTAGAGCAGCCCCAGCTAAGACAGAGGCAGTGAAGCCTTTGGAGTGTGGCCTGTGGAGCTGGACTGGGATGGATTGAGCCAGAGACCCACTTACTAAAGAAACCGCCACTTACTAAGTAAGCCCTGGGGCAACCTTATTAACCTCCTGTGCCACTTTCCTCAGACTGTAAAAGGGAATACTAGTCCTTCCTTCATAGGGTTCTTGTGACATGATTAGTGCAGGTGTATTAGCCAGGGCTCTTAAATAGGATCCATTCAGAGTATTTTAAGCAGAACCAAATTGATGCATGGAACTAGGAACATAAAAACCAATGGAAGGCTAGAGAAGTGGGTCCCAGGCTGCAGGAATGGGTTCTGGAGCACGCTTCCCAACTGGCCTGCTGGGAGCTGCCTCCTTTGCCATCATCGGGAAGGAAGATTGTATGTAGACCATCACAGGACGATTGACTTCAAGAATGCAATGCCACAGCTGTGATCCAGGGACCAGGAAGCCACTTGGCTGCTACTTAACCACCTCTCATCACTCAAGAAGTTGGAGACTGGGCCGGGCGCAGTGGCTCACCCCTGTGATCCCAGCACTTTGGGAGGCCGAGGCGGGATCACGTGAGGTCGGGAGCTTAAGACTAGCCTGACCGACATGGAGAAATCCCATCTGTATTAAAAATACAAAATTAGCCAGGCATGGTGGTACATGCCTGTAATCCCAGCTACTTACGAGGTTGAGGCAGGAGAACTGGTTGAACCCAGGGGGTGGAAGTTGAGGTGAGCTGAGATTGCGCCATTGTGCTCCAGCCTGGGCAACAAGAGCGAAACTCTGTCTCAAAAAAAAAAAAAAAAAAAGAAGTTGGAGACTGGACAGTGGACAGTACTCTTCCCAAAAGCATGAAGATTATGGGGGCTCATTTGTTAGTGCTGAAACAATGGTAAAAGTGCTTTTTACCATTGTGCTACAAAAAAGCATTTGTAAACAAGTGATGCAACTTGCAGGGAGTGATCTAACTCTGAGGACCCTCTCAGCTTTATAATTTTATAATTCCCAAGTCACATGCAAAAGTCAGTTCCATTAACTTGTAATTATGCATCATATCTTTTGTGATTATAAAGAGGGAGGATTGCAATTCATGGGCCTTCCAGCAGACTAGAAGCATTTATTACCTGCATCTTACTGACACTCTTTCAAGGAGTTACTGCCTCATTTTGATGCAGTTATAACAGTGTGATTCACTTTTGTCATACTGGCCTGGTGAACTGGAGTTGGCACCAGGCAGTTGTCACTGTGATCACATATGCTGTTGAGGCTGTCACTGAGCCAAAGGAGAAGCATCTGAACATGAGTCTGGCAGGGAGAAGGGAAAGAAGGAGGATGAGGAAGCTGGTGCTGATTGGGACCTCACAGTCAGGTGTCAGCTGTGACAGAGAGTTGGGAAACTCACCTGCCCTGCAGAAGGCTGGAGGTCGGAGTGGGGTAGGATGAGGAATACTTTGGGTTCAAAGATGGCAATGTCAGCTGCAACTCCAGCTTGCATTCCTAGCAGGAGAGCTGACCTAACAGCAGAACACTTCACAGGAAAACTAGGCATTGGGAATGCTCAGGGGCTTGACAAGTGGAGATGAGTTCAGGAGTCTCAGTTCTTACCCAGTAGGCCTTCCCTAGTGAGGAGGGCATGCTGGGCTGTGAGGAGAGGATCAGAAAGGCTTACAGAGCTAAGCCAGGCATTGGAGCCACTTCCTACTTCATGTCACCACTGGGATTTAGAATGGGTCCCAGCCGGGCATGGTGGTTTATGCCTGAAATCCCAGCAATTTGGGATGCCAAGGTGGGTGGATTGCTTGAGACCAGGAGTTTGAGACCAGCCTGGCCACCATGGCGAAACCCCATTTCTACAAAAAATACAAAAATTAGCAGGGCTTGGTGGTGCGCACCTGTAGTCCCAGCTACTCGGGAGGCTGAGGTGGGAAGGACTGCTTGAGATCAAAGCTGCAGTGAGCGGTGATTGCACCACTGCATTCCAGCCTGGGCAACAAGAGCGAGACCCTGTCTCAAAAACAAACAAACAAAAACAAAACAAAACAAAACAAAACAAAACAAAACAACAACATCAAAACAAAGAACAGGTCCCAGTTACTCTGAGCAGAAATTCTACTAAAACAGCATTTCTTTCACTTGAATAGTACATAGACCTTTCTTTTTCTTAAATCAGAAAAGAAATTTTTACAAGCTAAATATTGGATTAAGCAGTTTTTATAACTATTCAAATATGTAAAAAAATATGTAAAAAATATAAAATGAAATCATGAAATCATTTAATATATAAAGTGATATATAATCATATATATATAAAATGATATAATGATAAACAGTATAGTGTTGCATTAAGAACACAATTTCTGGAGCAAGACCCACTTGGGTTTAAATCCTAGACCTGTCACTTACATGGTGTGTAACCTCAGGTAAGTTAATTTCTCTGTGCCTCAGTTTACTGACTGGTAAGACGCAGGAAATAGTATCTATCTCATAGGATTGTTTTGAGGATTAAAGAGTCAATCCATGAAAAAGGTTTAGCACAGTGCCTGGCATGTGGCAAGCACTAATTAGTACTAGCTATTATTATAAAAACAAAGCTGATGTATGAATGAAGCCCAAACACCACTGCAAAACCAGTATTTTATAAGTAAAACAACATTAGTTTAATATGACAGATGATGCTCTTGTCCTGAAACTAATGGTATAGTTATTGTCTTTGGCCTTTGGGTTCAGTGCTAATGCAGAGAATACCTGTTAGCTTTGCCTTGTATGCTAGCTCAGAATAATCCGACCTCATAGTTAATTAAAACTCTGCCCCTGAGCATTCCTGAAATGCCGATTTTAATGAAAGGCCACTTGCTCACTCTGAGGAACTGTCTTGTTCACTCAAAAGTAAAGTTAGCATTGCCACATGCTGGAAATCTGCCTTTAAGAAGTGTCTAATTGCATAATTGCTAGAATGAGGAACAGAAAGATTTTTCATTGTTCATTCACTGCCATATTCATAACAAACTTTTAGAAGATGGTAGGTACAAAATGGGGTCCATGAACACGAGAATGTTGCTTTGATTGCTACAAGTTTCCTTTGAGCTTGGATAACAAAATGTTGGGCACTTTATTTAAATCATTTTGGATTATTCATGGTTCATCACCACATGATATCATTTGGCCTTCACTTGAAGAGAATGTTTATGAATATAAATACAGACTGTAAATTATATGGCAGAGGCTGGGTGTGGTGGTTAATGCCTGTAATCCTAGCACTTTGGGAGGCCGAGGCAGGCAGATCACCTGAGGTCAGGAGTTTGAGACAGGCTTGGCCAACATGGTGAAATCCCATCTCTACTAAAAATATAAAAAATTAGCCAGGTGTGGTGGTGGGCACGTGTAATCCCAGCTACTCGGGAGGCTGAGGCAGGGAGAATTATTTGAACCTGGGAGGCAGAGGTTGCAGTGAGCCAAGATTGTGCCACTGCACTCCAGCCTGGGCAACAGAGTGAGACTCCATCTCAAAAATTAAAAAAAAATTATATGGCAGAATATCAATTTTTTTTTTAAAAAAGATTACCATCAGGCTGGGCGCGGTGGCTCATGCCTGTAATCCCAGCACTCAGGGAGGGCGAGGCAGGTGGATCACGAGGTCAGGAGATCGAGATCATCCTGGCTAACATGGTGAAACCCCGTCTCTACTAAAAATACAAAAAATTAGCCAGGTGTGGTGGTGGGTGCATGCAGTCCCAGCTACTCGGGAGGCTGAGGCAGGAGAACGGTGTGAACCCGGGAGGCGGAGCTTGCAGTGAGCCAAGATCGCGCCACTGCACTCCAGCCTGGGCAACAGAGCGAGACTCCATCTCAAAAAAAAAAAAAAAGATTACCATCAAAATGGAAAAACCAAACCAAACCAAACCAATACTCTTGTGGAGAAATGGAGACCCCCAGGAATTCAAATCCTCTCTCACTTTGGTAACCCAGTGCCTGGCACATATACAGTGGGTGCTCAGTACATGTTTGTTTCTGAATTAGGGAAAGACTCGAATGAGGGAAGTGAAGGCAGTCACCCACTCCTGTGTGTTAGGTCAGTATGGTGGGGGCAGGTGAGATGCTGGGATCTAGAGGTATTGTGGACCCCCAGGGCTCACCGTGGTACTCCAGCTCTGGGGCACCTTCAGGGAACAATTAGGAGCAGGGATGGTTGGGCCTGGGATGTCAAGTCTGGAAAGGATGACCTAATTATCAGCACAGTGGGTAGAGGGTAGGGCCGAGATTCCTGCCATTGGGATTGCACCAGAAACTGGGACTGCCCAGCCCTGCAGCTGGCCCTGTAGGTAAAAACAGATCTGGGCAAACCGGTCCAGTGTGGAGACAGGGAATGAGATAAACTCCACCTGAAAAATGGGACGAATCACACCAGATACATTCATATGAATACTGTCACTGCCTCTATTTTGCTCAATTGGGGGAAAAATTAATTTTAACCTGAAATTTAAGGCAAACAGTACCCAATACAATAACAAGTTTCTCCAACAGAACAAGGCGACCCACAGGTACAGCCATGTAGCCCAGTGGTATACAGATTCCTGGGCCCCAGGCCCAGGAGGTTAGGATTAAGTCTCTTTCAGAGCCCTGGTATCTGTATTTTCAACAAGCCCCAATCCCCCACCCCCACCGGGTGATTCTGATGCAGGAGGGCTGCAGCCCTGCCTTAACACTGATCCAGTTTCTTTAAAGACTCAACAGACCTGGCTGAGCTAAATAAGCTGCTGAGTTAATTAACGAAACAGCCAATCTTTATTGATTTCCTCCCACGTGCAGGACTCTGTGCTGGGTCTTAGCAAGAGAGGCAATTGTTTCCCATCCTCCCTCACTTTCTGCCCCACATTCAGTACCTGCTATCTTTTTCCGGTAATTAAACCTTCCTCTTGTGCCCCAGTTTTACTCACTGGGCACCTGCATTGTTCCCCTCTGCCAGAATCCACGTTGGTATTTGTCTCTTTGTTCCTCTGGAATCAGACTTCCAGGCTGCACCCTGGACTTGGGTCTCATCTGAGCTCTGCCCGTTTCCTGCTATCGTACTTCCTGAAACTGCAGGGGTCACGCAGACTGGTGGCCCCTGCCTACCCTCGGCCCCGCTGTCTAAGCAGCCACGCTGGGTCCCTGGGGCACCATTTCTCTCCCTACCCTCGGCTGATTGGATAAGTTTGACCCCAAAACATTCCGCCCTGGTCAGGCTAGCGGCGTGTGTTGCTGGGAGACAGGAGCTGGTTCCTTCATTGGGAATTTGGAAATTTGGAGTCCAGCGATGGGTACTGAAAAAGCATGAGGAACTTAGGTGTTAGTTTCATAGTTTTGTTGGATTTATTACATAGTTGTTAAAAATTAAGTTCCCGTAACAAGTAGTTTAAAGGAACATAATAAAAAGTACAGACAGCAGAAAAGAGAACGGCCGGTTCTCAACTGCATCAGTTCCTCTTTCCTGAGATCGAGCTGTTTAGCTTAGCCTGGGATTCTGAGCCTGTGGTCGTTTCCTTAGGTCTTGTTTTTCAAAGGCGGCAGGTCCTGGCTAGAACAGCTCAACTGCCTGTCTCCACACACTGTGTCCCTCCGCACCCGCCTGGACGACCCCTCGCCCCTGCCAGCAAAGTCCATATCACGTCATTTCTCTTACTGGGATGGAGTTTCCTCCCCTGTGTGGGATGTGGCCCCAGGGGCTTGGGCACCCTCATTTGGGCATGAGCCCATCCCATGGCCAGCCATGCTCGTGATGTGGCCTAATTTTATGCTTGTAAAAAGTTAAGTTTTAATGTCTTAATTTTAAAAATACATTTTAAATGTCATTTTGAAGAGATTGCGGGTGGGGGGAGGGGGGTCTCACTATATTGCCCAGGCTGGTGTTGAACTCCTGGACTCAAGTGATCCTCCCGCCTCCACCTCCCAAAGTGCGGGGATTACAGGCGTGAACCACTGCAGTGGGCCTCTTAAGTTTTAATTTCTGATCTGTTCTTATATTTTGGAGAAGCAATTTCACTTCCTAATTTTTTAAAAGACTGGGAACCATAAATATGAACCTTCTCCATTTCTGTCCTTTTAACAAACTTCAGAATTACCCATGGAAATAAGTGTGATTTAAGAGGAAATGACATTTTTCCTTTTCAGGATGCAGAAATTTTTAGTTGAAGTCCTGATTATATGGAAATTCCTGCATAACTTTTGGTGGCGGGGCAGAGTAGAAAACAAAAGGGTTCCCTAATAGATTTGTTATGTAAAAATTGCTAACCTTTATTCTTTCTATACCCTGCCATTATAGAGTGACAATCCATAAAATCATACTTCCTGTCAATGCACAGGCAGTGCCTGTCATATTTCACCCTCCTAGAAGTCATTAGCCGGGTGCAGTGGCTCATGCCTGTAATCCCAGCACTTTGGGAGGCCAAGGCAGGTGGATCACGAGGTCAGGAGTTCAAGACCAGTCTGGCCAATATGGTGAAACCCTGTTTCTACTAAAAATACAAAAATTAGCCAGGCATGGTGGTACGTGCCTGTAGTTCCAGCTACTCAGGAGGCTGAGGCAGGAGAATCACTTGAACCCGGGAGGCAGAGGTTGAAGTGAGCTGAGATTGTGCCACTGCACTCCAGCCTGGGTGACAGAGTGAGACTCAGTCTCAAAAACAAAAACAAAAACAGGAAGTCATCATTGGTGTGTGATTAGTGCGTACCTGTTTTTCATTCTAGATCTATCTTTTCCTTCTTTTTTCTCCTTTGCTTTTCCCTTGTGTGTTCATCTCTTCAGCAGTTGAACCAGGTTGTTCTTGAAAAGAGTCTTTTTTTTTCTTTTTCTTTTTTCTTTTTTTTTTTGAGACAGAGTCTCACTCTGTAGCCCAGGCTGGAGTGCAGTGGTGCGACCTCAGCTCACTGCAACCTCTGCCTCCCGGGTTCAAGCGATTCTCCTACCTCAGCCTCCTGAGTAGCTGGGACTACAGGCACGCACCATCATGCCCAGCTAATTTTTTTTGTATTTTTTAGTAGAGATGGGGTTTCACCATATTAGTCAGGCTGGTCTCGAACTCCTGACCTTGTGATCCGCCCACCTCAGCCTCCCGAAGTGCTGGGATTACAGGCCTGAGCCATCGCACCTGGCTGAAACAGCATCTTACCTCAGGGTCAGACTTGCGTCTGCAGTGGCTGCTGTTGCATCACTGTGGCCTTTACTGGGCCGAGTTCTCTCCAGTTGAAAGGCAAAATTGTTCAAGAGCCCATGCTCTTGCTGTCTGAGACAACCATCCAGCCCTGGGACTTCTGCTTTTGCTGGAGCTGGAAGATGGCACCAATGATGATGTTTGAGTGTGTTCTTGTTGGTATGTTGGAATATAAGACACATTTCTTGGCTGGGCATTTGGCTCATGCCTGTAATCCTAGCACTTTGGAAGGCTGAGGCAGGAGGATCGCTTGAGGCCAGGAGTTTGAGACCAGCCTGGGCAACATAGGGAGACCCTGTCTCTACAAAAAATAAAAATTATTAGCTGGGCATGGTGGCACACACCTGTAGTCCCAGCTACTTGGGAGGCTGAGGCAGGCACATTGATTTAGCCTGGGAGGTCGAGGCTGCAGAGAGCTGTAATTGTTCCACAGCACTCCAGCCTGAGTGACAAGTGAGACTGTCTCAAAAAAAAAAAAAAAAAAAGAGATAAGAACCATTTATTGACAGTGACCTAACTGTAAGACTCCGTGCTGGGTGCTATAAATAGGTGAAGGACAACTTTTCCTTACAATAATAAAAGAGAAAAACAATTTATAAAAATAATATAACCCAATGCCCAGTGAAGGAAGTCCCACGCACTCTAGTTACCAAATCTCATGACACGTATAAGAGAAGAAATTATTAGGATGACTTCTGTAGGATACAAAATTCTGGAGCTGGTAGAAAGTTTGGAGATTGTTCCATGTATGGACTTTGCAACCCACACTAAGCACTAGATTTTACACTGAGACCCAGTACACATGGACATAGATATGTAGCTGAAACATATTTTACAAACAATATTTCCTTGCCACGTGCAATGCCCTCTCACATATTCCATTTTATTCTATTATTTTAAAATGCTGTTTGCAAGCCACTACATTGATTTCCTGGCCCATGAAAATCAAACTGTTGTCTGGAGTTTGAAAACACTGATTTGGTGCAGCTCCTCACCTACGCATTATATCTCTGAGGCCCAGGAAGGCAGTGTGGCATAGCTCAAGCTTCACACCACAGTGGGGGCCCAGAGCTTACTGTCATTTTCTTCTCTTACCATGTTGGGTCACAAGCTTGGGAAAGTTCTTGGAGGTGAACACCAGCCAGGTAGAACAAAATGACCTAATGGCTGATGTCAGGATTGCTGGCTTCCATTCTCGATGGGCAGCTGAAATATATCTTATGGCCTCATGTGGGCTTCCTTTTCCTCTGACCAATGGTTTGTTCTGGTTTGCCTTGAACTGAGCAGTTTCCTGGGACGTGGGGCTGCCAGTGCTGAAACCGTGACAGTTCCATGCAAACTGGGACAGTTAGAGGACATTTATGCCCTACTACCCATGGTAAATGAGGGAACACCATTTGACCTCCATGTGCAAACAGCCACAGGCACAAACAGCTATGATTTTGATCCTTGGTATGTTATTTTGACAACCACTGGGGAATGAATTATCTCTGCAAGACAATACAAACCCAGTGACATAGACTCTTTCCTGTGTGTACCACTATTCCCTGTGCTACCAGAAAACCCCACTTCGACCCTTCTCTACGATATTTTCCAGAATTGGCTTAGAAGTATTGGCCTAGGAATCCTTGTGGTTGCTTCTGGTTGTCTTAATAGGTTGTAGATATTCTCCCTCCTCCTCTCAACCCCAAGGTTGTAGATATTCTCCCTCTTCCCCTACCCAGGTTCAGTAACTTGCCCAAGGTTGTAGATATTCTGATGCAATGAATGAGTCTAGTGAAAAGGACTGGTTGTAAGAAATGTTAAGAAATGATGACTCAGCCAGGCACGGTGGCTCACGTCTGTAATCCCAGCACTTTAGGAGGCTGAGGTGGGTGGATCACGAGGTCAGGAGTTGGAGACCAGCCTGGCCAACATGATGAAACCCCATCTCCACTAAAAAATACAACAATTAGCTGGGTGTGGTGGCAGGTGCCTGTAATCCCAGCTACTCGGGAGGCTGAGGCAGGAGAATTGCCTGAACCTGGGAGGCAGAGGTTGCAGTGAGCTGAGATCGCACCATTGCACTCCAGCCTGGGTGACAGAGCAAGACTCTGTCTCAAAAAAAAAAAAAAAAAAAAAAGAAATGACTCTAAGGGTAACAACAAAGAACAAAGATATTTGATTTGGATTTAAGATCTCACATTTCTCGTGGCCTTTTCACTTCCTGTTTTCCTCCTTTGCTCTGCTGGTTTAGCCTTTGTATATGATGAGGAGGTTTCACTCACTACAATGTCACCTAGTTGAAAGATGACTTCTCTGTTCCTGATACAATAGAGGAGTATTGATACATTTTTATTATTGACTATTTAAAAATATATCAATTATAGAGGGCTACAAAAAAACTGTATTTTTTTTTTTTGAGACAAAGTCTTGCTCTGTTGTCCATGTTGGAGTGCAGTGGCACAATCTTGGCTCATTGCAAACTCTGCCTTGTAGGTTCAAGCATTTTCTCTGCCTCAGCCTCCTGAATGGCTGGGATTACAGGTGTGCACCACCATGCCTGGCTAATTTTTGTATTTTTAGTAGAGAGGGAGTTTCACCATGTTGGCCAGGCTGGTTTCCCAAAATGCTGGGATTACAGGTGTGAGCCACCATGCCCGGCCCTCAGTATTGTATTTTGTAGATACCTTTGAGGTTATTTGAACCATGGGTCAGGCCAAGGTGGGGGCAGATGCGAACGTAAATGAGGCACTATTATGCTAGATACATTGTAAATGCAGACCCTAATGTACAGATGTTAGATGTAATGATGCTTATGATGCGTTCTTCTTGCTTGTTTTGTCCCTTCTGTGGAGTGGATAGATTTACTAAATCAACCCTCAAAAATCATTTCTGGAACTATTTCTCTGGATTTGCTTTTAGAGCCAGTGTAAAAAGCCATGTAAGAAAATAAATTCTTATTACATGGCAATCACATTTCCCTTTTGGTTTATAATCTAGGATTCTCAATCACCAACCAATTCCTAATGCCCTTTTGTTATCTACAAGAATCAAATTTACCCTCCAAATATGAAGATTTGCCACTACAGCAGATATTAAAAAGAACAGGCCGCTGGCTCTGTGTAGTGTTTCTAAAGAGGAATTTTAAAATGCGTTGAACAATGATATCATTGTTGGAATAAAGATGTAGCCTCCTGAGGTTTGTACTAATGAGGATGTGTAAGTTCTGATGTTTTGTTTAAAAATCTGTCACAGAACTTTAGAGTTTCTCTCTCTATGGACGCAATACTGCAAATAACTTGAACTGTGTGTCAGTTTGCTGTTGTTTGCATGCATAGCCTGTGGAAATATGTGAGTGGCTTTCTATATGATTCTTAATGGAGCATGAATATTTTTCATAACTCAAAATCATCATGTCATGTGTTTCATTGGATTCTTCATCTTTTTTTGATATGAAAGTGTTATGTCAATCTTTTTCTTTCTTTTTTTTTTTTTTTTGAGATGCAGTCTTGCTCTGTCACCCAGGCTGGAGTGCAGCGATGTGATTTCGGCTCACTAGAACCTCTGCCTCCTGGGTTCAAGCAATTCTCCTGCCTCAGCCTCCCGAGTAGCTGGGACTACAGGCGCACACCATCAGGCCCAGCTAATTTTTGTATTTTTGGTAGAGACGGGGTTTCACCATGTTGGCCAGGATTGTCTCGATCTCTTGACCTCATGATCTGCCCGCCTGGGCTTCCCAAAATGCTGGGATTACAGGTGTGGCCAGCGCGCCCAGCTATGTCAATCTTTGGACCTGTTTCTGGACATTGGGCCAGATTTGAGCAAATAATTTATTGGGCCATGGAATAAATCTTTACTGAGCACTTACTATGTGCTTGGCTATATGGAAAAAATGATTTGAATGTCGCCAGGTTCTAATGAGTTAGATTTTCCTTCATGTTCGAGGATTTCCTCTAACGTCAAGCATGGAAAGAAATTCCAGCATTGTGAACACCATTTAAAAGAGAACAAAAAAATCCCCACAAGTCCTCTGTAAAGTGAAACCTTGCTTCTCCCAGCCAGCAGGATCATTCTCAGATGACATGGGGTATACTTTTCTTCCTTGAACTCCACTAATCAAAGCATTAACTCATCTTGAACAAGCTTTACCTGGTTCAAATGCCTTTCATCTCAGATGCCGAGGCTCTCCATAAACAGCAATTATGTTTCACAATGTCCTCGTTAGTCCCATTTGATGGAGAAGAAAAGCGAGGTGGAGCAAGAGTCCACGACTTCCAGAGGAGCCACCAAGGAGGAATGATGCCCATGGCCTGCTGAGCCAAGTTGCTCAGTCTGCTCTAGTGTAACAGCTTGGCGAATACAATACTCTAGTTTCTTGATTTGATTTTCTGGCCACCTGGGTTCACAAAGTGAGCTTTTTAACAACCATCTTAGAGAACAGTGGGGAACTGTTATGAGGTCCTGGAAATCTTTCCCTAAACATTCCTTTTCTCTTTGTATGTAAGATATTGAAAAATTGCTCTGGCCTCTTTTGAAATGAGAATAGAAAGACACATAGACCATATTTTCAGAACCCCAAATTGGGACACCTAGTGTGAAAAATTATAAGTTAATTTATAGGAACGATGAAAGAGAAAGTCAAGATTAAGATTGTAATGGAGAATCCTGAATACTCAGCAACCCTGGGCACAGGAGTATAGGTGTCTTTAAGAGGGTTATAATAATAGATAATATTTTAGATCTACTGATGTGAACAATACTGCATCCAGCAAAAGTTGGTGGTGATATGGGACGGGGAATAGAAACATGGTGACCTTCAAAGTTTAGACAAAGAGAAGGAATTCAAATACAAATTCATGATACTCAATGATGGAAACGAGAGGGAGGTTGGATAATCAGTCTACATATGCGAGGACTTTAAGCAAGTATACATAGTAAGCTCATTTTTTGCTGTGGAAGATTAAAGATTTTCTGAGTTTCAGGTATCATCAACGCTCAAACATAATTTAAGCATCACTTTTTCTTCAGTTTTGGGTGTTTTGGAAGCCGCTGTGATCATACAGACATACATGCTTTTGGAAAGAGCGTTTCATTTGGCTCCCCTTTCTTGGAGGCCCTCTGGTTTCTTCTTTAATTGAGGTGGTCTCGCTGTAGACTACCACATTTCCCAGAAGAAAACAGCCAAGATGCTTTGAGGCGAGGAGTTGGGGGGAATGGGTAAAGAAAGGTGGAGGAGGAAAGGCAGAGAAGGACAGGGGAATGGTGAAGAGGGGGTCTGGGGAGAACTGTAGGATCAGCACAGCCATCTTTAATTGCTCCTTTAGGGGAAGCAACTACAGATCCTCCTAAGAATATGTTGGGAGGTGCTCTCCTAATATGCCCAAGAGAACAGAGCTGCTTTGGGTTATCTGAGTTATTGTAGTCGTAACAATGATGATGGTAAGGTAATAACTCTCATAGTAATATCTACCTTTTTTTTTTTTGAGATGGAGTGTCACTCTGTCTCCCAGGCTGGAATGCAGTGGCTTGAACCTGGGAAGCAGAGGTGGCAGTGACCCGAGATCGTGCCACTGCACTCCAGCCTGGGCGACAGAGCAAGACTCCAAAAACAAACAAACAAACAACACACCCACACATACACACAACAAAACAAAAAAACACAGTACTTGGCCTTGGAGGAAGTAGACTGAAGGGAATATTGTTTAAATAGACTTTTAAAAAAACATACAATGGAATATATATACATATACCATGGTATATATTTTTAAAAAAACATACAATGGAATGTATATATATATACATATACAATGGTATATATTTTTTAAAAGACATACAATGGAATATTGTATAACAATGAGTAGGAATAATCTATTGCTTCTCACAACAACACGGATATTTCTTAGAGAAAATATCATGCTGGATAAAAAAAGCCAGACACAAGGAGTACATACTGTAAGATTCCATTTAGATCAAGTTCAAAATGAGGCAAAACTAGTCTATCTTGTTAAGTGTCAGGATGTGTTACTCTTAGGAGGGAATGAGGTGCTGGTTACATTGTTTCTTAATCTGGGTATGTTTGCTGTGAAAATCTATAGTTAGTTTATAATTTGTATACACATATATATACAAGATATTTAGTAAAAAATGCATGCATTTACTATTTGTAGAAAAGTATCCCCATTATACCAGCATGATGGATTTTGTTTTTGCCATTTGATAAATGAAGAAACTGAGATCTAAGAGTTTAAGTGACTTGTTGAAGGCCACATAGTAACAGGTGACAGAGCCAGGCTCTAAGCAGGCCTGTCTGGCCACCAGGACCATGGCTTCACACTCTCCCCCTGGGCTCTGACAGCTCCTCCCTGCCAGGTCTCCAATTCCTCTTCTCTTTGGCCACAAGTGGAGCTTTCCATGGAGAAACTTTTGTTTTTTGATAGGACAACTACAGAGCTAGAAGGCCTTTCTCCCACCTAGATTACACCTGGGGAGGATCTGCGGTGCAAAGTTTTCATAGGCCTGGTCTAACACTGTGAGCAGCTCTATCGCGTTAGCTGTGGCCCTCTCTGTTGCTGGCAACTTCAGCTCCAAATTCCTCTGAAAGCTTCTGTAAGGGGAGCAACATTTGAATAGTTGGATGGTGTTCACCTGACAGAATCTAGCTAAAAATAAAAAAGAGGTTTTAATGAGATGCCACTGGTGGCATAATATTAGCTGATTGACACGTTCTGGTTATTTCGGTGAAAAGAAACATTTAAAGCATAGCTGGCCCTGTTGTCCAACGTGGCAGTAAATTCTGGTCACTCATTAGTACAGTTCGAGCTAGAACAGGGGGTTATGCAAGGAAATAACACCGATGGCAGCTTCTACCCTGAATACAAAGGAAAGTGATATACAGTGATTACGTGAAATCGAGACATGCTTAGCACAGGAGAATTGGATCAATGCTGCATCAAGGCTGATGCTCTCTCTCATACACAGGAGAGGTTAGTATGAGAGTCAGGCCAACATTCAGCTGGAAAAACACCCAAGCTATGTTTGGGCTGAGATCCCTAATGTGCCCTCCATTTGAAAATGCATTTTTCAATGTAAGTTGATTCGTTGAACTGAAATAGAATTTTAAGTGCAATATTGAGATCTTCTGAATAAATTTACTGGAAGTTCTTGAGGTTTTATTTCTCTTAGGGTCAGTCTATTCCTAAAGTGCTCCTTTTCATGTGTACGTGTGTTTTTGAGTGTGAAATAGAAATCGATGAGTTTGGCTTAGTGGTCAGGATGTAAAAAGGTGTGGCCATAGAAACCTGAATCTTGACAAGAACACTTTGCCTCGGGCAAGGTTTTAGTTTTTGGCACTTCCTGTTTGGAGGTTCTAGACAAGAAGGTTTCCCTGTCTCCTGAGGGTCCTGCTGGCTGAAAAGGGTTCCTACAGGACCAGGCATGCTTTGACACAGGGGAGGCATTTCTCAAGGGTCACATGGATTGACTGAAAACGGGGCTCTAATTTGCTTAGGGAGAAAAAAACTCAGCAAATATTAATTAGTATTTTCTACTTAATTTTTAAATTTAGAGTTATTGAGGGGAAAAGGCATAACAGGAAGAAAGTAACAGAGCCTCTGGATCATACACGGTAGAGATACTTTAAATGAAAAATGACTTCCATCACGAGGTTAAATTCTTTTTCAGCATCTCTTCTATCACAAAATCTTCCAAAAGGAGATGTTCCATCTCCACTCAAGATGGACTTATTTATTCACAAAAGGTGGTCCACTAATAAACTTTTACTTTGAGAGCACAGAATTTAAACTTTTATCGAAATCTACTTTCCTTAAGCTAATTTTGCCAATTCATGAGTGGAATTTACAGTAAGGACTAAAGTTGAGGGTAATATATTCTTTGGTATAAGGTTGGCTTTTTTCTCCCTCAATTTTTTTTTATTGTGATAAAATACACAAACGTAAAATTTACCATCTTATCCATTTCTAGTGTACGGTTAGTGGTAGTAAATACATTTATAATATTGTGCAACTGTCACCACCATCAATCTCTACTCTTTTCATCTTATAAAACGGAAACTCCGTATCCATTAAATAATAACTCTCCATTCCTTTCTTCCTCCAGCCCCTGGCAACTACCAGTATAAGCTTGGTTTTATAAGATTTACAAGAAATGGGTATATGAGACTTGAATGCTGATTTTTAGGAGAATGAGAAACTATTCCATTACATTTCTCCATTTTAAAAATTAAGGAGGAAGAAAATTCTTTGCTTTTAAGCATGTTGGGATCTCTGGGGACAATCGGAGAAAGGGTTTTGTTTAATTGGATCTGAAATGGAGTGGCTGAGAACAGAGGGAGCCCTATTCATTTAGGCAAAACAGAGACATCTGCTGGTGGATTGGCAGACTTACTTTTCCACAACTTACAAAGACCCCTGAAAGGGTCGTATTTGCAAGACAGGGACAAATCTGTCACCGTTTTTGCTGTCTCGATTTTTAAAGAGCTGTTGTCTAATCATGGAATAAGAATGTTCATAAAAGAGAAGAAAATGTACATATGCAATTTACTAAGCTATGTTGCTTTGGTAAGACTTTTCTTGACTACTTTCTTTTCTTGACTATACCTGCATTGAAGAGCCAGAATTCTTTCAGAAAAGGATCACCAAGCTGTGGATTAAAAGGTGAACTTTTGCCTACACCTTTCAACCCACAGCTTGTGGCAAAAGGGCCCTCAACTCAAGAGCAGTTCCGTGAGAAGGGCTCACTTATTCCTAGACGAGCCAAACCGCACCCTGCTGTGTATGGCTTCTCGGGTAGGAAGTGTCTGGCTGGGGTCTAGCCCAGTTTCTCTGTGGGCTAGCTACTTAATGCTCAGCATGTTATTTTTTTTTTTTCTTGAGATGGAGTCTCGCTTTGTCACCCAGGCTGCAGTGCAATGGTACAATCTCGGCTCACTGCAACCTCTGCCTCCCGGGTTCAACTGATTCTCCTGCCTCAGCCTCTCGAGTAGCTGGGATTACAGGCACCCACCACAACACCCAGCTAATTTTTTTTTTTTTTTTTTTTGAGATGGAGTTTCGCTCTGTCGCCCAGGCTGGAGTGCAGTGGTGCGATCTCGACTCACTGCAAGCTCCGCCTCTCGGGTTCACGCCATTCTCCTGCCTCAGCCTCCCGTGTAGCTGGGACTACAGGCGCGCGCCACCACGCCCGGCTAATTTTTGTATTTTTAGTAGAGACGGGGAACACCCAGCTAATTTTTGTATTTTCAGTAGAGACAGGGTTTTGCCATGTTGGTCAGGCTGGTCTCAAACTCCTGACCTCAGGTAACTGATCTGCCTCGGCCTCCCAAAGTGCTGGGATTACAGGCGTGAGCCACCGTGCCCGGCCCAGCATGTTAGCTTTCAAAGGGCCTAAGCAATACCCATTTTATATGGATTAAATGAGATTTGAGATGCAAAGGTCAAGGATGGTCGATAAGGGCCAGTTTCTTCCCTTCTCACAGAGCCTTCCTAGCCACAGTCACTATCTCTCAGTTGGGCAGGCTCCTCTAATCTCAGAGATGATGCTGTGAGAATGCTGGCTAGGATTCTCAACTCCCTGAACCAGCGTGTCCTTCTGTTAGCTCAGACACAATAAACACCAAACAGAATTCATCACCTCTATATCAGTTCGTTTTTGCGCTGCTGATAAAGGCACACCTGAAACTGGGAATAAAAAGAGGTTTAATTGTGCTTATAGTTCCACATGGCTGGGGAGGCCTCAGAATCGTGGTGGAGGTGAAAGTCACTTTTTACGTGGTGGCAGCAAGAGAAAAATGAGGAAGAAGCCAAAGCGGAAACCCTGATAAACCCATCAGATCTCATGAGACTTACTCACTATCACAAGAACAGCACAGGAAAGACCAGCCCCCATGATTCAGTTACTTCCCCCTGGGTCCCTCCCACAACACGTGGGAATTCTGGGAGAAACAATTCAAGTTGAGATTTGGGTGGGGACACAGCCAAACCATATCAACCTCCAACTACCTCCCTGACCTCAAATGGCTTTGAAGAAGCAAAAAGGAGCTATTCTTGATAAGAAATTGAGGCATCCAATGCATTGCCAGAGCCTGTTTATGTCATTGGAAGCATAGGTGGGTGAAGTTGGGGCCTTGGTTTTCTTTTCTTTAGGATGGGGACAATAACACCCCTTCTCCCAGGTTTGCGGTGAGGATGCAGCGAGGTAAGCTCACAGGCTTGGTCTCGAGGTTACCTTGTAGGTACACTTACCTCATAGCCCCAACTAGTGAGCTCATAGCCCCAACTGGCCTGGCCCAGAGGAGGTACTCAGCATGGCTACTGAATTTTTAATAACATATTCTCACAGCTGTGTCTTTTCTCCATTTCTGTTGTCTCCAGGCCTGGATTAATGCAGCCTCTGCCATATTGGTCTCCAGGCCTTCAAGCCGCTGCCCTCTCCCACTGTTCTTACAGGCTGTTGGCCAAGCTAATGCCCCTTAAGTTCACTTCTTGTTGGGCTATTTCCTAGTCAAGAAACCAGACAGGCTTCTTAAACAACCAACCAAGCTCCCTAGCCTGTGTCTAAGTCCTCTGTACTCCGACTCTACCCCACAGTATCCAAATTTACGTCTTGCTAATCCCTGAGGCACAGTTTCCATTCCAGGCAGAAGGTCTCTGGGCACACCTTCTATATTTTGGCCCCAGGCCTTTGTTTATGCCGTTTCCCTTATCCTTCAGTCTGGCCTCTATCTTCAGAAGTAGCTTAAATCCCACCTCCACTGTGACCTTTTCTCTAATTCTACAGCCTAGGATGATTTTTCCCACAGGCTAATTCCTATTGCTTTAATACAACCAAATTCCTATTTGGATAATAAATCCCATGCTGCACCCATCAGTTAGAATTTAATTGTCCTAGAATTTTTCTTATAAGCATTGTGAAGTAAGGCTCTGTGCTGCTTTAACCTCTCTGTGCCTCAGTTTCCTCTTCTGTGAAATGGTGATGATCATAGTTCCTGTTTCATAGGATTGTTATAAAGATTAAGTCAACATGTGTAAAGCAAGTGTCTGGCCCCTAGTAAGTGTTTAACAGTGTTAGCTATTATTATTGTTCTGGGAACATAAAAAAGGGATCAGTGCAGCTTGTTTGATTATTAGGCATGTTTGTGGGGAAGCCATCAGGTGCTGGACGAAGGCTTTCACAGCCGTCTGACCCAATATTGTGTATCTTTTAAATGGCACATTAATTCATCTGACAAATATTTATTGAGTGCCTACCATGTTCCAGGTAATACTGTACTGTAGGTGCTGGTCTTAGCTTTGTTTATTTTTGTATATGTGGCCAGCTAGCTATTCATATCTTGAAAAAACAGTGTAGGTCAAATATGGTCATCAAAGGGGCTTTAAGTTCAAGTCTTGGCTCCATCTGTGTGGCCTTGAGCACATAATTGACCACATCTGGGCTTTAATCTCTGCTGCATAATGAGCGCTGAAGTTCAGTTCTCCATCTTAATATTTGTCAAAAGAACTAACGATGCTTTAAGTCACACATTAGCCAGGCAGAGATGGGTCCTCTCTCTGTTCTTGTTCCCAGCAGGCCTGGATATGGGATCTGCTTGTCTGGACCTGCACTCCACATGCTTGTTCTGTGACTATTAGTTAATCACCTTCTGTTTAAGGAAGGGCCTCTGAGGAACTCCCTGGCCTCATTCACATCACTACCCTTTTTGTTATTTTAGATGAATAGAAGAGAACATGATTTTGCTCCCCAAACGTTATGAGAGAAAAAGGGACGTGTGTACCTTTATCTATTTGTCATCTCCCCCTTTTATTTCCCTATTTTCCTGCCCTTTCGTAATTAAATTACACACATGCAAGCATATCACACAGCTCACTTATATGCTCCTTAACAGAAGGCCCTAAGATATATTTTTAAAAAATCCAAAACATTCCTGGCAGCGCCTAGCACACTCCTAGTCCCATATGCTTGCCTAATACATACTTGCTGAGAGATGGAAACTGCCCTAGTTGCCATCAGGGAAATGGAATGCTTTGTTTTTTTCCAGTGATTTCCAAGTGTGGGTTGGTTGTGAACTCTACCATCTCCTTCTCTCCCCTTCCCAACTGAGTCAGAATTTCTGGAGCCAGGACCAGGAACCCAGATGTTTGACAAGTATCCAGGTGAAGTATCCAGCATACTGAAGTCGGAGGCCCGGAGAGGCTGGCCCACCTGTGTCAAACTCAAATCAACTACAGCTGCCCGTGAGCTAGATGAGGCCCCATTGACTGTTGGCTCAGAACAGCAGCTTCACAGAAAGAGGCAGCAGATGCCATTTAGCTCTGGCTTGTCTAGCCTGGGTTGCCAGTGCCTGCTCCCAGTTGCTCAGTCCTGAAGCCTGGTGTTCCCATGCACTCCCTCAGTGGCCTCAGTCGCCAATGGCTCCTTTCCCTTCAATTGTCAGCCTTCGTCATGTGTGGCTTCCTGAATGAAGTTCAGTTTCCCTTGAATATGTGATTTGCAAACCTGGGCATGATCTAGTCGCTTGGATTTTTCAGGACTAGATTGCTATATTCTGGGGAGTAACATATTCTAGAGCAGCAGATTTAAAACTTTCTGGACCATGACTTAGTTTAAGAATTCCATTTTACTCTGAGACTTGAGCTATATACAGATACACACACACACACACACACACACACACACACACACACACACACACACATAAATATGCCCAGTGGCCAGGCACGGTGGCTCACGCTTGTAATCCCAGCACTTTGGGAGGCCGAGGCAGGCGGATCACTTGAGGTCAGGAGTTTGAGACCAGTTTGGCCAACATGATGAAACCCCATCTCTACTAAAAATACAAAAAAATTAGCTGGGTATGGTGGCACATGCCTGTAATCCCAACTACTCAGGAGGCTGAGGTAGGAGAATTGCTTGAACCCAAGGCAGAGGTTGCAGTGAGCTGAAATCACACCACTGCACTCCAGCCTGGGTGACAGCGAGACTCCGCCTCAATAAATAAATATATATGCCCAGTGAACAAATATATCCATCATATGTTTGTGCTTTGACATTTTCTATTTCATCAAGAAGACAGTCTTTAGGTGCAAAATCCAAATCTAGAGTCTCTGTAGAGAATGTGATGGAAGCTGTAGGTCTACCCCTCATCATTTTCAAATGACTTCAGGGTCTTCCATTGTTGTGCCAAACCCCTATTAACCTCAGTAGGGAAGGCACCAGGCTCAAGAGGCCAAAGAAGAGACCCAGAGCCAGCAAATGAGACACGGGGTTTTATTAAGGGATTACATACAGGGGAGAGAGTCCAGTGGCAGCGGGCTGTGCAGGAAAACCACTGCCGCTTGCAAACAGCTTGTAGCGTATATACCATTTCACTCAACACCCTACCCCCGAGGACCTCCACCTGGCAACCTTCATCTAACCCCAAACTCAGGGCTTCAGTCCCTGCACAGCCAGTGTTCCATGGGAGAGGCTGAAGGCTCAGATGTTCCTCAAAGACAAGGAATGAATCTCTGGCTTGGCCACGCCCGGATTCCCTAGTTCAGAGCACACATTCAGGTGCGTCTGCAATACAGGGCCATCCTCAGGGTATGCTGAAGTTATTGCTCTCAGGTGCGTTTACCATACAGCATCTTCCTAATCCATCTATAGAATCCAGCTGATAATATACTTTCTTGTCCACTCTGGAAAGCACACCTCTCTGCTAGTGAAGAAGGGTGACATTAGGGTAGACTTTTTAGAAGTAGATGTGGAATTATTTTCAAAATATGCTGCTTCCCGTCTCATACACTTTCAGAATGCCTGGGACAGGGTGGGGGTTCTCAGCCCCTGGAAGAGTAGTTGAAAGCGTTTCAAGTGGATTTTCTAACCTCCCCACTGGCCCTGGGGGGTGGGCGAGACACAAACCCTCTGAAAATACCTGTAGCTGTGACCTACTTCCCTAATAGCAGCAGAGCCACCCTTAACATTTTAAAAGTGGACAAAAACCTGAGAATCTTTCTGCTATTTGTAGCAAAGTACTTGTAATATATTCCACAACCAACAGTGTGTGGTCACACCATGGCTCCTTCAACCCTTAATAAGATTTTTTTTTTTTTTTTTTGAGACGAAGTCTCGTTCTTGTCCCCTAGTCTGGAGTGCAATGGCACAGTCTCGGCTCACTGCAACCTCTGCCTCCCGGGTTCAAGCAATTCTCCTGCCTCAGCCTCCTGAGTACCTGGGATTACAGGTGCATACCACCACACCCAGCTGATTTATTTTATTTTATTTTATTTTAAGTAGAGATGGGGGTTTCACCATGTTGGCCAGGCTGGTCTCGAACTCCTGACCTCAGGTGGTTTGCCCATCTCGGCCTCCCAAAGTGCTGGGATTACAAGCATGAGCCACCACGCCCGGCCCTTAATAAGATTTTTTAGAGACCTTTCTGCATCCGCATATGTAGAGCTGAAACTTGAATCAGACTACCCAGTGTCATCTGAAGCGTCTTTGAGGGACGCCTGCAAAGCTGGTTCCACTTGACCTGGCTACATCTTCCTCATGGGTCCTCCAAACACATCCCCCAGCTACTGGCTTTCCTTTCCTCATGCCATTCCTTTTCCACCCGGGCTTCCCAACTTCCTTTCTGAACAGTTCTCACCTTCCAAGATTTCTTTCCCTGAACCCCATGGACACTGTACTGTGCAACTCTCTGCTTTCATGACTGAAATTAGGCCTACGCGTCTTAACTCCAAATGAATGGAGGGGAAGGACTAGGTCTCGTCCCTCTTTGGGTTTACCTCCATGCCCTAAGAAGAGCAGCAGCTCAATGAGAACTCCCCCTTGAAGCTCATACCCTGAGTTTAGCACCAGTGCCTTCTGTTAACCTCCCCACAGGCGTCCAGAGGTGATGTAGCAAAAAGGTTGGGGGTGCCCAGAGGTGATATAGCAAAATGGTTATCAGCACAGTTTTGGTGCTGGGTAGTCGGAATCAAGTTTCAGCTTTACATATGCAGACGCGGAAAGGTCTCTTAAAAATCTTACTAAAGTTTGAGGGGGAGAAACAAGTTACAGGACAGTGTATTTTGCTACCATTTGTGAGTGAAAGAACATGTACACACATGTTTGTTAATGCATGGAATTTCTTTGGATGAATCCAAGAGAAACTAGTAGTAGCGACTTCCTCCATGGAGAGAGAAAAGGAGATTTGCTTATTTTTCACTAGAGACCTTTTGAGTTTAGTAATGTGTGCATGTATTGTCTAGTTTAAAACTTTACATTTTAAAAATTCCAGCTTTTGGCAGCCGGGCGTGGTGGCTCATGCCTGTCAGCCCAGCATTTTGGGAGGCCGAGGTGGGCGGATCACCTGAGGTCAGGAGTTCTAGACCAGCTTGGCTAACATGGCAAAACCCCATCTTTGCTAAAAATATAAAAATTAGACGGGTGCGGTGGCGGGGGCCTGTAATCCCAGCTACTCGGGAGGCTGAAGCAGGATAATCGCTGGAACCCGGGAGGCAGATGTTGCAGTGAGCCGAGATCACCCCACTTCACTCCAGGCTAGGCGACAGAGCAAGACTCCATCTCAAAAATAATAATAATAAAATAAATAAATAAAAAATTACAGCTTTTATGCTCACTAGCTGTGTAAGTTGTAGAAAGTTATTTGATTTTCCTAATCCTCAATTTCCCATCTGTAAAATGGAGCTAAGAAACCCTATGTAACTGGATTGGGTAATGCACACAAATTATTTAGCAGACTGCCTGGCTCATTTATTGTATGAATTCATGAGATGGTAGCTATTATTATTTTGTTGGCTGACCCAGGTACTTAGAATTCTGTTTCTTGCCTTCTTATTTTAACCCAAAGCCTAGAAGCTTGGAAAACAAGGATCATTACCTTGTGTTTCTCACATGTTGTAGCATTTGGTGATCTGCGCCAGGTCAGCATCTGGTTGAGGGCAGTATAACCACGCCGCCTGTGCTAGGAGCTGACCCTTCCCTTCATTTCTTCCCCTCCATCATCCTCCCTTTCTCTTTTTACCCTTAAGGCACTCTAATCTTTGTTCCTTCCAGTGATTATTCTGTAACTTGATCCCTCAAAGACGCCTCAGATGACACTAATGAGCAGCTTAAAAAACTGGAAATTCTTGAATCAAAGCACAAGATTCTACCCAAGGTACTTAACTTCCAGTTGGTTGCTTTCACCACAGTGAGGGAGCTCTACAAGCCGTGATTCATTTCAGCTCCTGTTGCCTGAGCCTATGTAACTTTATCAGAATTATTGTGAGTCACATCAACTCTCTGCCTAATTAACTTTTTCTGCTAAAGTGGTTTTAAGATAATGTACTTGCTTTTACTTAAATCATGGGAAATAGACCTTCTAGAGGTTAGAGCTTGATGCAAAATGATTGTCAACTCTTGCTATTTAATATTTTTCTGAAATCTTTTGGTAGTCATGGCCATACCAAAGTGGATTACTTTCCAGTCTTATTCAGGAACAAGATGTATTATTCTAACTTGTAATGGGGGACAGGGAAGTGTGGAAGAATAAGATTATGCGTCAGTGTCTAATCACATTAAAACA
Organism: Homo sapiens; assembly: GCF_000001405.40. NCBI lineage: Eukaryota > Metazoa > Chordata > Mammalia > Primates > Hominidae > Homo > Homo sapiens. The sequence goes on along the minus strand of NC_000007.14, from coordinate 26,082,948 downwards.
TAATAACAGCTAATATTTATTGAACACTTACTATGCACCAGACCCTGTGCCGAACATTTATTTATTCAAACACTTATTTAGTTCTTACCCTAATTCTACAAGGACTTGTCCTCATTTTACAGATGAAGAAATTAAGGGACTTGCCTGAGGAGTTAAGTGGCACAGCTTCCACCCAGAACACTGGCCACAAAGCACATCTTCTTAACCAATATCTAGATCATGGATTCAGATGCTTTTTCTGTAAAGGGCCAGGCAGTAAATATTTTAGGCTTTGTGGAAATATCTTACAGCAGAAGGCAACTATAGACAACATGTAAAAGAATGGGCATGACTCTGTTCCAATAAAACTTTGCTTATGGGCAGTAAGATGTGAATTTCACATAATTTTTTTGTCATGAAATATTATTTTTCTTTTGATTTCCCATCATTTAAAAAGGTAAAAACCATTTTTAGCTTATAGGTACAAAACAGATGCTGGACCAGACTTGGCTGCAGGCCATAGATTGCCAAGCCCTGATCTAGATCATTGAAAATAGGACAAATTATGCGAGAATGAAATGATCACTGTAAGAGGACTCCCCATCCTATTCTAGATCCTTCTGGACGTTAGCCAGGGTCTAAGTCTCACGCTGGATGTTCCTTTTTAAAGAAATCACTTTCCACTGAATCCCCCCTTCAACCTCAGAGTCAGCCTGCTCTCCTGGGTTGCTCAGCGCCTCTCCTGGACCCCTACTTAGACTGCCCCTTCCTAGGCAGTTTTCCTTCCTGCCTCTTCCCCCAGCCTCCTATCTCCTTAGAGAACTGGTATAAGCTAAAGTGCTTTTTCAAAATCTCTATTATGTGTATTTGCATTTTAAAGGAGGTTTCTGGACAGGGCAATTCAAAGATAGAACTCTGGAGCATTTAGCCTGGGAAGATGGGTGTTGTGCATTTGGGGGGTGTGGAAGAAGGAACTTTTGCGCAGAGAGATTCTTATCACTCTTACAGTCATACTGAACAGAGCCTGGGAGGCTGGCCCTGACCAAGAGCCCCAGGGCCTCCAAGACCTTTGGACTAGGCTTGGCTGTAGGTAGGGAAAGGCTATTGCTATACTGTGGGAACCCCTAGGGGCTCTTTACCTAACAGCTGTGATTAATGAGTTGAATGGAGGAGGGGATGACTTCCTTCCTTGGCCCACTCAGAGTTCCCTGGAGGTGACAGCCACTCCAGGCACTCATCTCTGTGGCAGGCACCCCGTGGGAAGAGGTTGCATCAGCTCCAAGGTCTTTTCAGTTGTATCAGGTGGTCCTTAAGAACTGTATGTGGTTGAGACTCTGAACTCCCGGACACAGCAGAGAAGCAGAAAGTTGCCTTCTCAAAGGGGCACGTGTTCCCTGAGCTGTTTTATATCCCTGAGCTTTCCTGTGTCTTATGATTGTTTTCCCTCTGCCCCCTCCCCAAATATCCATTACGGACACTTAATCTTGTGTTAATTATGTATATGTTTCTGAGCCTACCAAATTCATCTGCATGTAGAAGTTTACTTTTATCCCATGTCATAGTTGTGGGGGCCAAGGCTCTTGGTCCTGTAAAGGTTTGCTGAAAATCACTGAGATGAGGCAGGTTGATTAATTGGAGAAAAGGCATATACGCTTATTTAACGTGCATTCACAGGAGCCTTCAGCATGAAGACTCAAAGATACAGGGGAAATTGTCCATTTTTATGCTTAGGTTCAACAAAATATGGACAGCCATATGGGAATATGATTGGAGGAAAAGCATAGATCTAAGTCTAATAGAATGAGTGGGGAAGCCCAGCAAGAGCTGCCTGTCTAGATTCTCCCTGGCCTCTCTGAGCGCACATTTCTTCCTTCTGGGTGTGGGGCAGGACCCTCTCTGGAATGGGGGTCTTATGACCTACTATCAAACAGGGTAGGTCAGATTATTTATTTATGGCCAGTTTTAATTTTTATTATTTATTTATTTGAAACAGAGCCTTGCTCTATTGCCCGGCCTGGAGTGCAGTGGTACGATCTCAGCTCACTGCAACCTCCGCCTCCCGGGTTGAAGCAATTCTTCTGCCTCAACCTCTTCAGTAGCTGGGACTACAGGCGTGAGGCACAACGCCTGGCTAATTTTTGTATTTTTAGTAGAGATGGGGTTTCACCATGTTGGCCAGGCTGGTCTTGAACTCCTGACCTCAAGTGATCCTCCCGCCTTGGCCTCCCAAAGTGCTGGGATCACAGGCATGAGCCACCGTGCCCAGCCCATATGGCCAGTTTTTATACAGATAGGGTGGAGGGAAAGTTAAACTAATATTTTTAGGTTTTATGGCTGGCTTTGGAAAAGGCTTCTGGTTTCTATGGCTAGCCTCCGAGGAGAATGGGACTGAGAGACAGGAGGGCAAGAGAAGGTCAGAGAAAATCATTTGCTTCTGAGGCTGCTGCTGAGGGCTTCATTTTGGGGTGTTGTTTTCTGAGCCCCAGCACAGTCTTTCTGGGAAGGTGGGAGGGTACCTGACTCCTTTTATTGTAGATCCAGCTAAGACTCCATGGCTGTCCAGAGCTTTCTCTGTGGTTTTCTCATGGTAACTGCAAATGGTGAAAGGAGGATATTTGGCAGGACTGTGCTCAAGGAATAGCAAGATAGAAGAAATGCCTGACCACTGTCCTCCCAGAGGTAGAATATTCCCAGGGAAATGCCTTTCTTTGTCAAAGTCTCTTTTCTTTTCTTTTCTTTTCTTTCCCTCCTTTCCTTCCTTCCTTCCTTTCTTTCTTTCGCCAGCTAAGTATATGCATGTACTTTTGGACCTGGAGAACAATAGAATGTACTGTTGTATTTTTATTCTCTTTGATTTTTTAAATTCCAGAATTTTCCTTTTCCTTTTTTGGGGAAGAAAAAAAGTAAAATAAATAAACTGTGATGATTTGACATTTCCCTGTAGCTTCAGAAAGGAAATTTATATAATACATATCTGTCTTTGGCTGTTTTCTCCCTCCAAGGTCAAGTTTGGTTTTTAGATGTGGCTTATAATACTTTATATTGTTAGAGGGTTTGAAACTCATCAATATTTGAACAACATCCTGAATTGGATGGTATGTGGGTTGTGTTATATTTGGCCTCTGTGTCTGCCTCAGAGGTGGGGGTTTTAGGATGGATTGATTAACACAGAATGTTAAGCCTAATAATGAAATTGTGGATGGTTCTGAGCTTGGAGCTGTCTATTCAGACTTTCTGCCACTGAACAGTGTGGTGGCTCCATTCACCCCATGCTGCTTTTTCTAGACTCGTCTTCACTTACTACTCACAGATTCCAATTTCTATTCTTGCCTGAACAGAGGAAGGGAGCCTTGAATACACAGGCAGGATTAGGCACATGAGTGGATAACCCACTTACAGTAGCCCACTTCCAGACAGCCCAAATTCTAGAAGAGCATCTAAAGAGGGATGGGTATTATTTCAATTTATTTCCATTTAATTCTCTGCATCCTTGGTCTAAGCACAGCTGTGTCACTGTGGTGATGTCCCTTGCCTATTGGGGATGATGATGGGAGCTGGGATGGCATATGGTAATAACAGATACCATTTATTATTGAGCATCGACAGCAGAACTAAGAAGATGTATGTGGGTTATCTCTTTAGTCCTCACAGTAACTCTGCAAGGTGGCATTTTCTTCATGCGGCAGATGGGAAAACCGAGGCTAAGAAGGATTACTCAACTTGCCCCAAACCACACAGCTTGAGTAGCAGGGCTACTCCAGCTAACTCCAGCTGTCTGTGCGCTTTCAACTGTTACCCCGCTACACCTGATCCCGCGGGCACAGGGCATGCGCGGGCGGTGTGGGCGCGTCGGGTCCTTCTCCCTTTGTCTGCAGTGAGTGATCCGCGCGCCCCCTGCCTGAGCCATCCCGGCTTTGCTTTGTCTGTTGCATTGTTGGCGAGACCTCTACTGCCTGAGTAGTTTGTTCAGTGCACAGTAAAGAGCTCTTTAGTTTTATTGAAATTATGTTTATGTTAAAATTATGTTATCCAAAATCTTGGATTACAGAGCAGCAGAACTGTTTGCAAGGACTACTGTTTAGTGAGTTGTTACAGAAACACCTTGTAAAATAATGAGTTATGTGAGCTGGAAGAATCAAAGATGTGGAACTGGGCAATGTAAACAATTTATTCCTGCCAGTAACAGCTGTAAAATGATGATAGCGCAAGTCTCTTGACTTTATTCCCTTACTCTGATTTTTATTTTACAGTACATTCACTTCTAGATCTTGTTGCTAGTTTTTAAGAAAATTTTAATTTTTTTTTTGAGACAGGATCTTGCTCTGTTGCCCTGGCTGGAGTGCAATGGTGAGATCACAGATCACTGCAGCCTGGAACTCCCTGGCTCCAGCAAGCCTCCCACCATAGCCTCCCAAGTAACTAGGACTGCAGGTGTGTGTGCCACCATGCCCGGCTACTTTTTTTTTTAGTTGAGATGTGGGGGAGGTGGGGAGGGTCTGCCTATGTTGCCCAGGCTGGTCTTGAACTCCTGATCACGATGGATCCTCCCACCTCAGCCTCCTGGTGTTAGAACTATAGGTGTGAGCCACTGCTCCTGGCCATAGATCTTTTTTTTTTTTTTAATACCTCACTCAATTTTTTAGAATTTTTTTTTTGTATCAAACATAATGGATTTCACATTGTTTTAAAAAGTAATTGGGAAGGAATACTGTTTCAGAGGACAGCTTACAGAAATCTCTACTATATGACACAGTTTCTTGTTGGTAAACACCATTAAAAAAGTTCAGAAGATTCCATGAGAACTTATAAATTACCTATGGTCTATTTAGAATCCTAAACAAATACACAGTGATTTACAGTGAACTGAGAGAGAAAGATCTAGGAAGAAGAAATTTTAAATTTGCTTGGCTCTTTTCTTTCCTTTTCTGAGACAGAGTCTCACTCTGTCACCCAGGCTGGAATGCAGTGGTGCTATCTCAGTTCACTGCAACCTCTGCCTCCCAGGCTCAAGCAATCCTCATGCCACAGCCTCCCAAGTAGCTGGGATTACAGGCATGCACCACTACGCCCGGCTAATTTTCTTTGTATTTTTTGTAGAGACGAGGTTTTACCCTGTTGTCCAGGCTGGTCTCAAACTCTTGGGCTCCAGTGATCTGCCTGCCTCGGCCTCTCAAAGGGCTGGGATTACAGCACTGAGCCATCGTGCCCGGCCCCCGATTTTATTTTCAAAAATACATTTAGTGACAAAACATCACTTTCTACCTACATACTTAATTTTGGTTTCTCTCAGTTTTATTTTGTTTTTGACACATTTAAATTCCCTAAATACTGTAATAAAAATATTCTAAATACATTCTAAATATTTTAAGCCATTTTTTCCCTCTCTCCCTCCTTCCCTCCCTTCCTCCTTCCTTCCCTTCCTTCCTTTCTTCTTCCTGTGTTCCATCTTTCCTTCTCCCTTTCCCTCTCTTCTTCTTCCTTTTAATCACAAGGTGCCTTCCCCTGTTAGGAATGAGACAATCATTTTGTAAAAATATTAATTTAAAAAATTTGTTTAGAGATGTCCTTTGAAATGAAGCTTCCATACTTTTCATACTTTGGAATTTTTCAAAAATATTCGTCTTGAAGGAAGTCTTGTTAAAATCTAAAGGACCGAGAAACATATTTTAGTTCTAAGGTGTTTTTATAGAGACTCTGATAGCAAATGAATGGAAAGAAATACTGCTTTATGCACTACGGAAATGCAATGATTATCCTGCTGCCAACGTAACCTGGAGTGATATATAACCACCTCTCCCTGGCCTGGGAGATTAATGAAATGACTCTAATTTTGGCAACCCTTCCCACCAAGAGTGGGTAACATAACTCTAAGTTGATTTGAGCAAAGGGCAGAGCAAACTTTAAACAGAGCATCATGGCTTCTACTCACTTTGGTGACATTCGGAGTGCTATTTCAGCCCTATTTGATGAAGGTTGTCTGGGACCTCCTCAGCCTCTGTTTCCATGCCTGTACCAAGATGACACTGTGACTGCAGTCCAACTTGCCTCCTCTGTCAGATGACACGCCCTTCAGATGATTGCGTTCGCCAGTTAATAAACAGTCACTTTTTGAAACGGAATCTCTCTCTGTTGCCCAGGCTGGAGTGGTATTATCTTGGCTCACTGCAACCTTTGCCTTCCAGGTTCAAGCAATTCTTCTGCCTCAGCCTCCTAAGTAGCTGGGACTACAGGCACCTGCCACCACACCCAGCTAATTTTTGTATTTTTAGTGGAGACGGGGTTAAGCTGTGTTGGCCAAGCTGGTCTCCAACTCCTGACCACAGGTGATCCACCTGCCTCGGCCTCCCAAAGTGCTGGGATTACAAGCATGAGCCACCGTGTCTGGCCCACTTGGTGTTTTGATCAGTCTTATAGGAATGTATACCTTGTGTTTTAAGATTCAACCATTTTTTTGGTTACTGCTTCACTTCTACCTCTTTCAGTTATTCATGCTACCTAAGTCAAAAGGGGCTTCTCCTTTGCAGCCGGCCCATAAGATAAGACTCTCAAGGCGATCTGCTTCTGTGGTAGCTAAGAGAATGAGCTTTGGAGGCTCACTGGCTGGGTTCAAATCTGCTCCCATCAGCACCTCATGAGGGTGTTAGAATGATTAAATGAGGTGCTATGTGCAGGAAAACACAGTGCCTACCACAGAGAAAAAGGATTTTAGTGTGTTTTTTTTTTAAACAAAACCTTCTGAATGTTTTGGTTCAATGGTTTTCTTCTAACAGCTTATATTATATTATCAGAGCCCATTGATCATAATGGCCAATAACATCATGAAAGGAGACATGGCACTTCTGGTGGAGGAACATGACCCCTCCAGTAAAGCTGTCCTGTCAAAACATCAAGCCCATATCTATTCAAGCCTCCGTGTAACTACCACTTCTCAGAAAACAATAGGGCACAGGCGGCACAGCCCAGAACGTGGGAACCCCTAGAACAAATGACTCAATGTCTTCAGTAAGGGAATAGCCAGAAAAAGTGTGTGGGGAGGGAACCTCAGATTAAAATAATGTCAATGGGATGGCAGCCAACTGCCACATGTGGACAGGTCCATTTAGGAGACAACTGGGAAAAGTAAACATTGACTGGACACTTGATACAATTAAAGACTTATGGTTAATTTTTAGTCGTCTTTTTTGTTTTTTTTTTTCTTTTTGAGACAGGACCTCACTCTGTTGCCCAGGATGGTCTTTTCTCAGGCAATCTGCTTGCCATGGCCTCCCAAAGTGCGGGGATTACAGGCATGAGCCACCACACCTGGTCAATTTTTTTTAGTAGTGATAATGGTTTTGGATTGGTTTTTAAAAGGTCTTTATTTTTAGAAATGTGTATGTAAATATTTTAGAAATATGCACTTAAATATTTATTTCAAATTTACGGATGAGATGATATGATGTCTGAGTATAGAGGGAACGAGAGTGGCACCACTGCCTTGGTAATTGTTGGAGCTGCCTGGTCGGTAGATGGTGGCTTATCATGCTGTTCTGTCTACTTTTATGTATGTTGAGATTTTTCAGGAGATGAACTAAAAATGATCAAAACAAAGCAAAATAACTACAACAAAAACAACCGTGCCAAAATCTAGTGGACCCTCAATATAAAGCAGCACATTCCCGCAGTTCCTCCACCTGCTTTCTGCTCAAATCATGGTGCCCGTTTCTAGGTCATTGATTACAAGAGGTTTCCTTACTAGGGCAGGTGATTTCCCCTATCATGGTTTATTATCCTTAACAGAATTTGAGAAAATGGCTGTTTCAGGTTGGTTGCTGTCACGTGCCTCTGAGGTCAAATACTGCTATCAGGAGTTGACAGTTGCTATTTGGCTCAAAGTACTTGAGGTCATGGTCACTCCATTATCTTTCTAAGACTGCAATTTTTGAACCTGCCTTTACTGGATATCAGGTGCTCGGTTGGTTGTCTTTTTATAGATGGCATCAATATCAGGTGGCATATAAAAGCTTTCCCAAACCATGATTGCCTTATTAATCAATTCATAAAACTGATCAGGAAAGTGTTAGGGTATCTATTAATGTAGTAGTTAGGAAATAAATCTAAACCCTACCTTTCTCTGATAAGTAGGTTTTAAAAAAGGAATGAGGATGAAGTTCAAACAAATGCATCTTATTATTTAATTTGCTCTTCTCTCTTTTGACCTATAATTTTTGCTCCATGCAATGTCTTCAGTTGGCAACTAAAAATATTTCTCTTTTCTGAGTGCAGATAGCCATAATTTGACAGTGTGGGTTCCTTTTGTTATTGCCTTCATCTTGGAGAAACTGGACATAGATTTTGGGGTTATTAAAATAAATTTTGAGCTAACAGATTAGATATTTTTGAATTTAAAAAAATCAATTCAAATGGCCAGGTGCAGTGGCTCATGCCTCTAATCTCAGCACTTTGGGAGGCTGAGGCGGGCAGATCACATGAGCCCAGGAGTTCAAGACCAGCCTGGCCAACATGGTAAAGTCTCATCTCTACTAAAAATACAAAAATTATCCGGGCATAGTGGTGTGCGCTTGTAAGCCCAGTTATTGGGGAGGCTGAGGCATCAGAGTCACTTGAACCCAAGAGGTGGAGGTTGTAGTCCTGGGTGATGGAATGAGACTATGTCTCAAAAACAACACAAAACAAAACAAAACAGCAATTCATTTGGCTTAAATAAAATTCTGTCTTCATGCTATCACATTTAATGAAGATGGGCAGCATGCATCTTTCAGAAATACTAATCAGTTTATCAGGACTCTGGACCAAAACATTTACTGTTTAAGTCAAATAAAATACTTATCTTATTAAAATCACTATGTTGGCTGGGCACGGTGGCTCACTCCTGTAAACCCAGTGTTTTTGGAGGCTGAGGAGGGAGGATCGCTTGAGGCCAGGAATTTGAGACCATCCTGGGCACACAGTGAGACCCCATGTCTAGAAACAATTTTTAAACATTAGCCAAGTGTGGTGGCACATGCCTATACTAGCTACTTGGGAGGCAGAGGTGGGAAGGTCACTTGAGCCCAGCAGTTCAAGGCTATGATTGCACCACAGCACTCCAGCCTGGGTGACAGAAGGAGACCCTGTTTTTATAAAATAGATAAGTAAATAAAAATAAAATCACTATATTGGGGATTATTTATTAAAACTCATGGGCATGCTAAAAGTTAATATTATATTTGATTAGTAAATTACACATTCTATCAGAGAAAGAAGTATAATTGTTATAATTCATTAACAATTCCACATATTTTATGATGGATACTAAATTTCAAGAATTTAAGAGTTTCTGATCCCTACCGGCCTTGGAAGTTTCGAGACCCGCAGAACATTCTGTCACTCTCCTCCACAAGCTTGAATGTGTGTTTCCGGTTCCTGATATCAAACCGAATGCATGCTGGTAATTTTCCTCTCCTTCTCACGGTGGGCTCAGGGGCAGTTTGGTTCTACATCTGGGTGGACTAGAAGCTTCTTTCTGTTTCTCTAATTCTTCCACATTCTGTAAGAGCTGGTTTAAATGTTATTTCTTCTGTGAAGTTTTCTACTTTGTTACCACAGCCCCCACCCCCCAGCTGAATTAAGCTCACCCTCAGCACTTAATCTGTTGTGTAAACACTGCAGATTTAGAGTTTAGATCATCCTCACACTCAGCCCTGGGCGTCCCAGAGCTTGGTGGCTTGCCCCTCTTGGCAACCCTAGGCCCTAGCAGGGTTCCAGGGCCGCCATAAATGTCTGTTGAATGACGGTGTTTCCTGCTTCTGCTTTGACCTCCATTTTGTCTTCTGAAGCTTTGCCCTATGCTTTCGAAAGGGCTCTCCTTTCATTTATCCCCTTAACCCCTCCTACCAGCCCTGAGATGTGGCTAAAGGAGTTCTAACAACTCTGAGTTTAAAGAGGCAGGCAATTTACCTTACCAAGTCCTACACTCAGTTTCTGGAAGAAATCTGACTACTACCAGGTCTCTCTACTCTCCTAAGACAGGTGCTTTGTTCTGTTTTTTGTTTGTACCAAGCAGTTGTCAAAATAACTTAAATATTAACATTGCTTACATATTCTCCACTCCTGAGAGATAGATAAGAACTGAACCATCGCTCATTCCTCTATGGCAATCCTAGGGCTGACTTTGGGACTATATCCAAAACCTCAGGGAGGCGCCTGGTCTCAACTCTCTCCACAGGATTCTGAGGCTCTGGAAAGGGGGCAGCAACCTGACCTGAGTTGGGTGAATCACCCTGGGCTCTCTGAGTTTTCAGGTACTATGTGCTACCTTGATGAGGGGAGTATTTGAACTGAGGGAAGGAAACTATGTCACGATGTCTTACGTTTCTTTTTCTGACTGCTGTCGTTTTTCCCTAAAGTGTATCACTAAAATATGACAGATGGAGCATCTCCATTTCATAAGTTGAAGTGCTGAGACCTGGGCATGGTGGCCATGCCCTTTATGAAGGAGAGCATTGCTCAAAGCCTGACAGTCACTGATGCAGGTCTGAAATCCCCAGTCTGCCCTGCCTTTTGGGGTACCAATGGGACTGATGTTTCAAGGCTGAAGTTTTAGATGCATTTCCTATGAACATGCTCCCATCCAGCTAAAAAGAATTAGAGCAAGGACTCTGTGTGTAATTCACACATGACTCTGCATACCAGTTTATAATAATTGTGTAATAAAAATGGCTTAGCCGAGAGTTGCTATGCAGCACTGTTTAGCAGCTTGCTTCCAATATCGCATTTACAAAAATTACATATTTCATATAATCAGGCCTGTCTCTTACTTAATCATCCCACACATCATATAAATCTTTAAAATGGACAGGTCTATAAATCACTAGCATTTTTCATTTACCACTTATTCTAAGCCAGGCAGTTTCTTATTTAAATTGCCATACGAATAAATCTAATAATCCTTATTCACTTACATCATCTCAAACTTTAAATCTTATTCCAGCTGAGGTCATAAGTGAAATCAGTATTGAGGGCAGAACTAGCAGCTGTAACAACTATAATAGCTTGCCAAATTATATTAAAGGGCCTAAATAACATTAAAAAAATTAGGAAAAATTGAATTACATGATTAAAGTGTGATGTGCTGAATCAGGCAAATGTGGGGCCTAAACAGAGCTTCTGCCTGGGGTGTGGCTTCCATGCGGGATTGGTGCCAACTGGAAGAGAGAGCTACTTGCCTAAACCCTCTCCTTGATTAAAATCTAGATCAGGGTTTCTCAACTTTGGCATTACTGACTTTTTAAAAAGAGATGGAGTCTTGCTTTGTTACCCAGGGCAGCCCCAAACTCTCTGGGCTAAAGTGATCCTCTTACTTCAGCCTCCCAAGTAGCTGGGACTATAGGCGCCCCAGCACTATTCACATTTGGGGTCAGACAGTTCTTTGCTATGGGGCCTGTTCTGTGCATAGTAGGATGTTTAGCAGAATCCCTGGTTTCCATCCGCTAGATGCCAGTAATGCCCTTTACCCCCAGTTGTAGCAGCTAAAAATGTCTTCAGACATTGCAAATGTTTCCTGAAGGACAGTCACCCCCACTGATAACTACTGGTCTGGATAATGAGACAAGATTGGATTTGGGCCTCTCCCAGGGATGTTGGGACATCTCTGGGTCTTCCAGGGAGACATGTTCTGCACTGTGCCCCTTTCTTTAGCCTTGGTTTTGTGGCGTTAGAGGACAAACAAGGAGTTCAGTGTGTATCTCATTCAAACAGTGGTCCAGGAGAAGAAGCAAAGGAGAAGGAACCATGATAAGGAGAGTAGGGAGAACATTCAGTGGACAGGACAACTCTGAACTCAGGGCAAAGCGTCTCTGATGTTGAGGACAGATAATTTCCTTACCCTTTCCCATTGAATTCTCAGCCCGCTCTATGCCCTTTATGAGAATACAGGGGCATCACAGACCTGACATTCACAGCAGCTCACAGCATGACTGTAGAGTAAAAATGATTTTTGTATGCACCATAAGTAGTTCAGAAAGGTGATGTGATTTTTGTAGGATCAAAAGAAAATGGTGAATGTTTGTATAGGGGACATTTAAATCTCAATAATTGGCTTTTGAGAAACAGCATTATCAGGCATGTACCAGTGTTGAGAATGAGAGATCTGGTTTCCTCTCTTCTTATGGCTGGTAGATTGTATCTTATGATGGCTGGCAGAGATGCCAATAGTTCACCTCCGAGCTGGGGAAGGAACTGGCTGCAATTAGTTTCCCAGAAAGATTCTGCCAGGTCTTTGACAGACTAAGGAGTTATTCCCCATATAAATCATTCTTGCTCTGCCATCTTAAATGCACATGCTGTTTAGAAGGGCATCCATCCTACATCACCTAAGACCAAATAAAGCAAATAGTGCCATTACAATTTGGAGATGAAACTCACTGACAGCTCAATGTAACAGAATGCCGGGGGGAGGCATTTGTAATTATGGGTTGGCAGTACCTCATGCCTAACTAATGGGAATGGTGACATCATTTATACCGAGGATCAGAAAGACAGAACCAGGAAACAAAATTAGAATGAAATTTGTTGTGTCCAGGAAATATGCTTTTTGAAAGGTTTTTGATCAGCATTGAGAATGGCAAAGTCATTCCATTGTCTTAAACCTATGGTGACTTCTGACTCATTGAGCTGTCAAACCAATTCACTTTGTATAGGAAAGAGACCATTAATCCAGCTCAATTTTATGTGTAATTTTTGGGATCTCACTCCATCTTTCCCCTTTATTTCTCCATATAAAATATTATTTTCATTCATGTTCTTTAAAGATGAACTTAAAGCTCCCAGCTATTTCATTTAGTCGTCCTACAGAAGATACAGATGATGCCTTCTGGTATCTTCCCACCTAATTAAAATGCTCCAGGATGCTTGATATTTAAGATAGCATTATTACTCCAACAGTAAAGAGTATAATTTTTCCTCACAGCCAATTTTCTGTATCTCCTTGAGTAGATAGAGACAGGATGAGAAGCCAAGGAATAGCCAGTGCTTTCCTGGTGTAGCTGGGCCCAACTGCCAGGGTGAAGTCACTATCTCAATTTCCACTTTATCTTTCTATTAGCTATGAATATTAGCAGTAATTGGCATTGGTGGTTTGGAGTAATTTCTACATGTTAGGCACGCGAATGTGTTTTTTGGATTCCAGAACTAATATTTGGCGACTCCAAGGCCAGGGATAAAAATGAAGAGATGGAGAGACAAGATTTCCTGGCCTCTAATTGGCAGCACCCGTTGACTCTGCTCGTGACCAGACTCATGAACGCTTCATCCAAGGTTTCATGTCATCCGTGTGAGGAACCTCTCTGATTTGAGAAAATCTTTCTTAAAATGGGCTTCTAGTTGTAAAGCCATTGTCTTTTTAGGAAATCATCAAATACCTTAAAGCTAGACACGCAATCAGCTGCATAAATGACACACTCACTAAATCAATCCTTTATCAGGTAAGATGATGGAGTCAGTGCCTGTTTTATTGACAGATCATTTTGTATCTTACATAAAATATTTTGCATTTTTAAGGACCCCTTTTATTCTGGAAGAGTAAACACTTATAGGTCAATGTTAGCCTGTTTTTCTTGGTCACCATTGATGCTGATGGTTGATATGCATACTCCGAAGTTGGTCACCTGTATCAATATGGGGGGATAAAGACTGCTAGAAGGTTCACACTAGAGGCCCACGGAATGGGTCATTGCTAAAAAACAAATGGGCTACAGTGATTTGACTGGTTGCTACTTGGTAGTAGAGTCTACGTCTTTTCTGTTACCCATGTCCAGCCCAGGGCCTGTTACATATAATAACAATAATAACTTTCATTAAGCACCATGACGTGCCGGCGGGGAGTGCTCAGCACATGTGTAACCCATTTAAATCTCATGACAGCCCAGTGAGGTCTTGAGCTGGTGAATTGCTCATTTGCTCTCAGGTCCATCTCTGCCCTTTTCCTGCTCTGCTCTGTACCACAGCCATCACATTTCCCAGGCTCCCTGGCTTCTCATTAGGTTCAGCCAATAAGAGGCGCTGGCAGAGGCTGGAGGGCAGGAAGAGGGAAGATGTGAGGGCATTTATCCCTTTCCTGTGCTGATGCCAGTGCTGACTCCAGGAGCAGCTGTGTCTCCCCTATGGACCCAGTGCCCAGTAGCCCTGGCTTTTGGGCTCTGCTGTCACCACCTGCTCTGTCTGGTTGTCCCTGCAGCCCTACGGATGGTGGTGGCTTCCTGCTGCAGCTCGTATCCAGGTCATCTCACCATCCCATTTAGCTTCCCCACTCTTCCCTCACCTAGGGAACCAGTTCCACATATTAAATGCCCTCTTTGAAATGCCTAGAGTGGTTTCTTTTTTCCTGGTTAGAACCTAACTGATATAGATGTTAATAAATTACCTAAATTCTACATATGAGAAAACTAAGGCTCAGAGAGGTTAACAAACATACACAGGCCTGGTCATTCAGCCCATGCCTCTTAACCATGAAGCAATCTTGCCTCAAAATACAAATAAAGGCTTGGTGCGGTGGCTCACACCTGTAATCCCAGCACTTTGGGAGGCCGAGGTGGGAGGAGTGCTTGAGCCCAGGAGTTCGAGACCAGCCTAACCAATTTTTTGTAGAGACATGGTGAAACCCTCTCTCTGCGAAAAATACAAAAATTAGCTGGGCGTGGTTTTGCGCACCTGTAGTCTCAGCTACTCAGGATGCTGAGGTTGGAGGATCACTTGAGACTGCGAGGTGGAGGGTGCAGTGAGCAGAGATTGTGCCACTGCACTGCAGCCTGGGCAACAGAGGAAGACTGTCTCAAAAAACAAACACACAAACAAACCAAAACAACCCCAAAAAACAAAAAAAAGTTGTCAAGTTGTCAAGTAATTAATGAAGCAACTCAAATTTGGACACATCAGACTTGGACACATTGTGCTAAGAAAACTTTTACTATACTTGCATCTTTGCTAGAAGACATGTTTTAGCAAGCTGTGTATGTGTCCTTCCCTCCCTCCCTCCCTTCCTTCCTTCTTTCCTTAATTTCCCACCCCCCATCTCTCTCTCTTTCTTTTCTTTCTTTCTTTTTTGAGACAGAGTCTCCCTCTGTTGCCCAGGCTGGAGTGCAGTAGCACGATCTCAGCTCACCTGCAACCTCTGTCTCATGGGTTCAAGTGATTCTCCTGCCTCAGCCTCCTGAGTAGGTGGGATTACAGGAGTGTGCTACCATGCCTGGCTAATTTTTTTTTTTTTTTTTTTTTTTTTTGCATTTTTACTAGAGACAGGGTTTCACCATGTTGGCCAAGTTGGTTTTGAACTCCTGACCTCAAGTGATCCACCCACCTCGGCCTCCCAAAGTGCTGGGATTACAGGTGTGAGCCACCGTACCCGGCCAAGTTGTGTGTCTTTGATTAAGCATCATAAAACTGCGTTAATTACCTCACAGGATGATTCTAATATAAAATACAAGGCAAATACAAGGCAAGACTTAGCCACTTGGGTTCTCCCAAGAAACCATGCCCTGGAGGTGGAGTCTCAATTGTGCCATAAAGTTTATGTGGGAGTACCCATATAGGGGATTCTGTATATCTTGTTTTGGTTCAACCACAAGTTTGACAAATATTTTTGAAAGCTTGCCATGTGCTAGGCACTATTCTAGGCCCACGGATTTAGCTGTGAACAAAATAGACAAAAAAAAAAATTACCCTCAGATGCAGCCCACTTTCTGTATTGTTTTGTTTTAAACATCTATATTATTAAAAATGCTATTTCTTAGGAATCTCAATGTAGAGATAGAGTCTTAAATATCAATTGCACTTTAAAAAGTGTCATATGGTTGTTCTTCAAGAGCATTCTTTCTAGAGTTTAAAAACCAGGAAATACAGAACTTACCTGTGGGTTGAAGAGGGGAAAAGAAGGTGGAATGTTTGTCCTTGCAGGAGGTGATACAGTGAACAGGTTAAGAGCATGGCCTTGGAGTCAGACTGTCCAGGTTCGAAGACCCATGGCTGCACTTACCAGCTGTGCCACCTTGGGCAAGTCACTTAAGTTCTCTAGACCTCAGTTTCCTCATCTGTAAAATGGGGATGGCAGTACTGGCAAACTTAACACACAGAGTTCTTGAGAGGATCAAATGAGGATACATGTAAAGTCCTTAGAATGGTGAGAACAGCTAACATGTATTATTTTCACTTTGCAAGGATTAATTGAGATAGCAAATTTCATGGTGGTCCCTCAGGCCAATTCTTGAAGCTTTAAACCGAATAGTTCCATTAATGTGGATAATCGATCATTTTCCTTAGACTCCCCACCTTTGGATTCCTTTCTTCTCATTGTTAAAAATTGTCCCTGTCTTTCTCTTCCTCGTCACTCTCATATCCTTGTGCTGAATAATGAATAATGTCCCTTCTTCTGAAGTATTTGCACCAATGAATATGCTTTTTTATTTGGGCTTCCACCAATGAGGTTTTATTGTAGTTTAATTCAGTCCAAAGAGCTTTTCTTAAGTATCTACCATGGGCAACTGGATCACTGAGACATTCACTGAGGTGACCGGAAGAGGACTCCAACTTAGTCATAATTTACACAGAGCCAAACTGTCTCTAGCCATCTTTATCATTTATATTTACTGATTGTTTCTTTTACTTCATTCGTGATCCACCTAGCACCAGTTTTTAGATCATTTATTCAACAATCAAGCACTTTCTGTGTGTTCAGGCACTTTGCTGGTTTCTTGGGGTACAGAGGTAAACAAACAGGCATGATCCCTGCCTTTCCAAGCATCTGAGGGGTTGGATAGTACATTTGGTTGCATGAAAGAACATTCTTTTTCTTAAGCAGTGAATTTCCCCTGCCCCACCCCCATAGGCTATGGGAAGGTCCACTGGGCGTATGGAGAGATATTTCAACACTGGGAAGGCTAGAAAGACAGCGCAATGTGAAAGTGAACTTTGCAAGCATCATCTCCACAGTGTCTCGGGATCCTCAGAGCTGCTTCTTTCTTGGGAGAAGTGGGATGGGCTTTTGCACCCTGGCCATGGACAGTGCTGATGGGTTAGAGAATGGTATCCCTCCGTGTGCTGGAATCCAATCAGATACATTAATCTCCTTGGGGGACAAATCAAATTAATCCTCTCTCCAGATGGCAGCAAAGTGACAAGAGTGCAGAGATTAAAAGAGATTGTGAGGTTATACGGTGACAGCACCATCAATCGGGTTAGGAAACCCAGCACTCTATTTTCACCAAAGGTAAATGGCACCATCTCATTTTTTGCAAGTCTGATAGGTTTGGGGTCCTGGAGAAAAGCCCATTCCTATTCACTTCCCTCAATTTGACCCTTTCAATTTCAGAATTTCTATTTCTAAGGAACTATTTTTATTTATCTGTTAAATACTATTTCTTTGTGTTTTCTTTCTCCCTTCCCTCCTTCCTCCCTTCCTCCCTCCCTCCCTCCCTCTCTCCCTCTCTCTCTTTCTCTCTTTCTTTCTTTCTTTTTTTTTTCCACAGTGTTGCTCTGTTGCCCAGGCTGGAGTGCAGTGGGCGATCTCAGCTCACCGTAACCTTTGCCTCCTGGGTTCAAGTGATCCTTGTGCCTCAGTCTCCCAAGTAGCTAGGATTACAGGCATGCACCACCACTCCTGGCTAATTTTTGTAATTTAGTAGAGATGGGGGTTTCACCATGTTGGCCAGGCTGGTCTTGAACTTCTGAACTCAAGTGATCCACGTGCCTCAGCCTCCCAAATTGCTAGGATGACAAGCATGAACCACTGCACCTGGCCTGTTAAATGCTATATTGATCTCTTTGTGCCAAAACTCTTCCCTGATGTTATCATTTTTATTTTTATTGAATTTTCTAATACATTGTGGCCTCTGGGTTCCTGGGGAAGCAGATCCCGACTCAGAGATTGGCATTGCTGCTTAAAGTGTCCTGGGGGTCTTTTCTTCTCACTGGCGTCAACGCTGTGTGGGGAAGGGGAGGCTGGCGGCAGTGCAGTCACAGTGTGTTGTGACTCAGCCCTAGCTGACTCCATGGCTCGAAACCTGGAATGGCCCTTTTGAGTTGTCCCTTTTTGGGAAGAAACTGGGCTTTTATACCCCGAAGTCAACCAGCCATTGCTGCAGGCTGCCCCAGGATGCGGGCACGACCTTGGGCAAGATGGCTTTCCTCAGCCGAGCCGCTGGGAGCTGTCAGCTTACAACCCTCCCCGGGGAGACAGCACCTTGGGTCCTGATGGAGAAATCTGGGTGGCACAGCACAGCATTCATGACAAACATTTAGCAGAGACCCTTAGGATAAGCTGCACTTGAGAAACTCTTTCTTGATGCCATCAATGACTTTTTTTTTTTTTTCCTTGAGACAGAGTCTGGCTCTGTCACCCAGGCTGGAGTGCAGTAACTTGACCTCAGCTCACTGCAACCTCCGCCTCCCGGGTTCAAGAGATTCTCCTGCCTCAGCCTCCCAAGTAGTTGGCATTATAGGCGGGCACCATCACACTCTGCTAATTTTTATAGTTTTAGTAGAGACAGCATTTCACCATATTGGCCAGGCTGGTCTCGAACTCTTGACCTCAGGTGATCCACCCGCCTCGGCCTCGCAAAGTGCTGGGATGGATTACAGGCATGAGCCACCTGCCTGGCCCATCAATGACTTCTTAATGATCTCCTCCAAAGGCATACTTAGTTATCCTTTATCTCTTAGTAGTGTTTGACAGTGGCTTTTCCATCTTTCTCAATATTTTTGCTAAAATAACATGTCTCTTCCTGATTTTCTGATGCTTTCCTCTCTTTGGCCTCTTTTCCTTTTTCTTTTTTTTTTTTTTTGAGATAGAATCTCACTCTGTTGCCCAGGCTGGAGTGCAGTGGCGTGATCTCGGCTCACCGCAATGTCCGCTTCCCAGGTTCAAGCAATTCTCCTGCCTCTGCCTCCCTAGTAGCTGGGATTACAGGCACCTGCCACTGTACCCGGCTAATTTTTGTATTTTTTTTTTTTTTTTTTTTTTTTTTTTTAGTAGAGATGGAGTTTCACCATGTTGGCCACACTGATCTTGAACTCTTCACCTTAGGTGACCCGCCTGCCTAGGCCTCCCAAAGTGCTGGGATTACAGGCATGAGCCACCATGCCCGGCCTCTTCAGCCTCTTTTCTAATCCATAACTATGGTCATGTCTCCTAAATTTCATTCTTAGAGCTCTTTTTTTTCAGCCACTTCTGTCTTAGTTATCTGTCATCTCCATGGCTTCAAAGATAGCCCCCAAAGGAAGAGGTTCCAATCCATAAGGATACCCTTGATCTCTCTTCTGAGCCCTAGTCTGACATTTCTAATCACTTGTCCACTTCAAACTCAGTATGCCTGAAATCCAACCTGCCCTGCCTCTCAAACCAATTTCCCATCCTGAATTCTCTTTTTCTCTCCTTTCTACTGTTTTCCTAATCATTACGCTTGAGATCTCATGTTCATCTTGAACCCCTTTGTATGCTTCATTTACCATCTTGTTGTCATCAAACCTTCTAAGTTAACCTTCCAGAAATACTGCCCCTTTTATTTTGTTTCCACAACTGATATGTAAGTCACTATCACACCACATCTGACCTACTGCAGTAATAATGATTTCGGAGACATTTCTTCCTTTTGAGTAGTTTTGGTAAATTACCTAACACTGATGTAAACACCTTCTACACAACATTGACACACATTTATTCCTCATACCAACCCTATAAGGAAGGTCCTATTATTAGATCCATTCTACAGGTCATAAAACTGAGGCACAGAGAAAACCAAGGCACATGCCAGAGGTCACACAGCTAGTAAATGACACCAGAATTCTGAACCCCAGCAGCCTGGCTCTAGCGCTTGTGCTCTTAACCATGAAGCTAAACTGCCTCAAGCTGGTGCTTGGCTGCTGGTGACACCACCTTTTTCATCTTCATTATTATTGCTCTTGTGTACAAGCCAGAACAATCCTTCACTGTCTCTCGTAAGTTTAATTTGAAGTGTGCCTATCTTATTTTCCCAAGTTGATTGAAAGCTCTCTGAGGGCAGAGACCAAGATATTTTATTCTTCTCTGAACCTTGTTGTAAACAGCAGGAATTTCAGTTTGGTGAAATTCATTGATTGAATTGTTTGAAATATGATGGCAGTAGCCTCCAAAATGGGCCTCTCAGATTTCACACTCGCAGTTAGTTCTTGTTGCACACAGAATGGTCTATTTAGAATGGAAAGCAAATTTAGTTAATTCTCTGTTCAAGCCTCTCCGTGGATTACTGTAAAATCCAAAATTCTTACCATGTAAGGCTCCGCATCATTGGGCTCAGCTCATTTTTAAGTTTCGGTTCATCGCTCAGCTACCGGGGCCTTCTGCACTGCTAACTGCTCCGTGCACTCCCTGACCCCCGCCCAGCTCTCACACTCGCTCCGCCCCTTTCCTGGAAGCCCCTCCTACCAATTTCTCCCTCTTCTTCATTTTATTTATTCAGTTCTTCTGTCTAAAAATACATCATCCTCCCATCACTCTTTACTTCCTCTCCCTGCTGTGCTGTGATTCATAGTTTATCTGTTAGTATCAATTTCTATGTGACATTATAGTTTATGGTTATTTGGTTTTCTTTTCCTTTTTTTTTTTGAGATGAAGTCTTGCTGTGTCGCCCAGGGTGCAATGGCGTGATCTTGGCTTACTGCAACCTCTGCCTCCTGGGGTTCAAGTGACTCTCCTGCCTCAGCCTCCCGTGTAGCTGGGACTAAAGGTGTGCACCATCACGCCCGGCTAATTTTTTGTATTTTTAGTAGAGATGGGGTTTTGCAATGCTAGCCAGTCTGGTCTCGAGCTCCTGACCCCAGGTGATCCGTCCGCCTCGGCCTCCCAAAGTGTTGGGATTACAGGTGTGAGCCACCGCGTCCGGCCATTTGAATTCTTTTTTTGCAGTGTAAACTCCAGTAAGGCAAAGACCTGTATGTTTTGTTGAACAGATTATCCCCAGAGCCTAGAACAGTGCCTGGCACAGAGCAAGCCTCAACGAATATTTGCTGCATGAATGAATGACCTGGGGGGAAAATGAGGAGTTTGAAATGATGGCCATCGGGTCCATTCAGGTCTCTTCCTCCTTCAGCCAGCAGGGGGCTCTAGGCTCTAGAATTCAGAGGCGTAGACAGGCACCTTCACAGTGGTTTACCTGAAATCCCGCCTCCTAAAGCCAGAAAAATCCGCCTCCTTTTTCCCCTCCAAGTAGGATTGTGCCAACCCAGGCAAATATTGAACCTTGTGTTAACAAAGTTTTTTTTTATAGGTGGTCCTTCAAGGATTTCTTGGTTTTGGGTTTTGAAATGTGTAAGGTTTGCTGCTAGCAACTCCACATTTTTTTATTCACTCACAAAGACACATGGTCATAAATAAAATGCATGGAACCAGCGAGACAATAGCACAGCAGTAATGTCATTTTATGTAAGTACTTAAACACCGCAAATTAAACGGCTGACTGAATGAAGCCCATCAATTATATTTTGTGTTTACATCCTTTTGAAAGGAATACATCTCTCTCTGTTTTTGTTTGTTTTATGTTTGTTTTGTTCTGACACCTTCTCAATTACCTGGCACTATAATATTTCTTGTTGCGGACAGATGTCAGAAATACATTGGTAAATATAACATCTTCTTTTGGAAAATAAAACTCCCACTCCCTACTTAAAATAGGTGGTTTTAAAATTTGTATCAACTTAGAAATTGAAAAATCCCTGCTGGAAGAAATCGCTAGTGCATTTGAATGGACTTATTGTCTCTGGTTCATTTCCTTTAGAGTAGATTCTGGCAGGAGTGCCAGACTTATTGCCAAGACAAAAAGAACTATATATTACAGCTCCTGTCCTGCCAACACTAAGTAAAGCTAGTTTGGCAACACTTAACCATTGTTGAGAAGGCCCAAGTATAGTCATAAAAACATTAATATGGCTTATATTCTGTTACTTATGTCTGTTTCTGCACAAATGGTCCTCAAATTTGTACACAGAAAATTTGCCTCCCTCATCAGGCAGCAGTTTCCTGGAAAAACCACAGTAACCTTCTGTACATGAACCAGAGTAGATGGATTCCTGTAGAGGAAGGAGCAAAGAGGAGCCCATGGGAAAGGACGGCTCACCTCTGTGGAGAAGGCTGCCTATCAGTGTTTGTAACAAATAGACCCCTCACTGCATTAGTTTCCAAACAGGGAAATCTATTTCAGTCCAGACACTTTTATTTCTTTCTGGAAAAGAAATAATTGAAATTGCCAACTCTAGGCAGGAGAGAATGCATTGTATGGCTCATAGGGACTGAAGAAGCAGATTAGAAAAGGTGTGTGCTGAGTCTGGTGACCTAACTCAGCAGCTTTTGGCTAAAGGGGTTCCTTGGAATGCAGGGCTTCCTAATTGTGTTAAAATAAAATGATACGCTTAGTCAATAGTTAATGTTTGCCCAGTGTGGGCAGACTTCCTTACAAGGTAGTGTGTGTGGGTAACAATAACATCAACAGAATAGACAGAAGTCCTGCCCTCAGAGAGCTTATGAAACTGTGCATATATTAGGTTGATGCAAAAGTAATTGCGGTTTTTGCCTTTTTTTTAAAAAAAAAAGAATGGCAAAAACCGCAATTACTTTTGCATCAACCTAATAGAATATCACACACTTGAAAGAGGCTTAAGGTCATTATGAAGCATGATACTAATGACTGTGACCCCAGACTCAACTTCTTCAGGAAGGCGTAAATCTTGATCCTGTTTTTTGTTTTGTTTTGTTTTTTTTTTTTTTTTTGAAACAGAGTCTCACTCTGTCACCCAGGCTGGAGTTCAGTGGTAAAATCTCAGCTCAATGCAACCTCTGCCTCCCAGGTTGAAGCCACTCTTGTGCCTCAGCCTCTTGAGTAGCTGTGATTACAGGTGTGCACCACCACACCCAGCTAATTTTTGTATTTTTAGTAGAGATGGGGTTTCACCATTTTGGACAGGCTGGTTTCGAACTCCTGACCTCAGGTGATCTGCCCTCCAAGGCCTCTCAAAATGCTGGGATCACAGGCATGCGCCACCACATCTGGCCCTCTTGATCCTGTTTTTAAAAACTGAAATTGGGCTGAAGCTTGGGTATATCTGGTCTCTAGAAAGCATACCAGAATTCTGTGTATTCCGAAGTATTTAGGAACATGGCAGCCCTCCTGAGCACAAAGGCACTGCTCCCCAAGTGAGATCCGGAGGGGCGAGTGTACGTTTGGTCTCTGTATTTTAATAGGTATTAAACAGCCATTCACTCATTTTCCAAGGTGTTTACTGAGTACTTAGTATATACGAGCCAAAATGCGAGGGCCCTCGAGTTACTTCTGATTGAAAAGAGGATATGACGTGTACATAAACTGCTAAAATTGAATGGACACAGGGATGAGGGTCTCGAGGGAGGCATGTATAAATGGTGAGGAGTTTGGGGAGGGTGGATGACTCATAGATGAGAAGCCTGGGGAGGTTGTCAACGGCGGGTGCATCTTTTTTTTTTGAGGTGGAGTCTCGCTCTGTCACCCAGGCTGGAGTGCAGCGGTACGATCTCAGCTTACTGCAACCTCTGCCTCTCGGGTTCAAGCGATTCTCCTGCCTCAGCCTCCCAAGTAGCTGGGATTACAGGCTCCCGCCACCACGCCCAGCTAATTTTCATATTTTTAGTAGAGACAGGGTTTCACTGTGTTGGCCAGGCTGGTCTCGAACTCCTGACCTCGTGATCTGTCTGCCTTGGCCCCTCAAAGTGCTGGGATTACAAGTGTGAGCCACTGCTCCTGGCCAGCAGGTGCTTCTTATAGGACAAATAGGACTTGACCGCTTTGGAGATGGGCATGAGCCTGGGCCAAGTCCAAAGCTGTAACAGGCTGTGAAGCTTTGTTCCCTTGTCTTTGAGTATCAGATGCCCAGCTAGAACTCCATATTAATAAATTAAACACAGGAGATCGGTTGAACCTTCAGTCAAGCATCTTCCCACATTCCTAATCCTCTGCCTATCTAACTTCAGGAATATTTCTTCACATTATTTTAGTTGAAGGGCTCAAAACTTATTTCTTCTAGTAGGAACTGGTGAATAAATGGTGTCTATTTCCGAGATTCTTTTGTATCCTCCTTATAGACCATGACCACTCATGCTCACATGATCACCGGCCTTTCCCCAGATGCAGCATGGCCCTGTTGTGAACGGAATGATTGTGAACGGAATGATGGCCAAGGAGCTTTATGCTTCTGCACCGCCAGCTCACACGATGGTCCGTGTATTGCCCCGTGGAAAACCGGGGGTGGAAAGCTGTCTC
This sequence comes from Homo sapiens, assembly GCF_000001405.40. NCBI lineage: Eukaryota > Metazoa > Chordata > Mammalia > Primates > Hominidae > Homo > Homo sapiens. The sequence goes on along the minus strand of NC_000007.14, from coordinate 26,058,679 downwards.
CACGTTCTGCTGCCGAAGCAGCAAGCTGATTCACACATCTTGAAGGCACAGTGGAACATGGAAGGGTGCATATGAGACTTGATTTTGAGGATGAAACTTCCTGTCTGAATCGCTAAGTCTCCCAGCAGGGGTGTTAATGTCCCTGTGAGATGCAGGCTTCCCACAGACACACCCAGGTTGCGAGTGGGTTCAACATGGTCACAGGAGCTTCAAATGGTAAGATGGCAAGATCTGGTAGCATACTGAGACCACCAACCAGGAATGGAGGCTTGCTCCCAAGTAACTAAACATGGACTTGTCTCTGACACGGAAACAATGTGAAACACAGAAGGCTTTTGAGACTCAGAGGCACTCCAACAATGATACTTGAAAACCAGAACAGAGTTTGACACAGATGGATGCTTTCCAAATGTCATGTCATTTTTTCATATGTCAAGGGCGACCCAATGTTTGCTTCCTGTTCCCTAGGTGGGTTTTCCATGGGGACTGCTTCTAACCCCCAATCCCCACACACTCCACCTGGGCTGAAACTGCTGCCTCTTTTCCAATATATAGAAAGAAATGTGGCTCCACCCTGCATTTCCGTAAGACTCAGCTAGTTACAAATTTAGAACCTTGGAAACAATGATAAAACATTCTTCAAGAGAAAATAATCTCCAGGTTTTGTTTCATTATCTGTGAGACTATTCAGTGCTACATCTGCTGAAGGGCATAAAATCCATATTTTTGTTTTAAAAATGGGTCTACTTTGATGCAGCACCCAAATTTAATTACTCTTAAAGCTTTTTAGGATCCCAGATGAAAGATGCTACTGCAGTGTAAAGTTCTAATATTATTTATTTCCCTAGTCATCAACATTAGTTGGTTTCTCCTTTCTTGAAACCTATTTATCATTTGTATAAATATAGTATTTGGGGAGCTTCCTGCATTAGATCATCTCCTGTCGTTTCAGTGCCCTTGATGTTCATTACGCTTTCCTGGTGAGGCTTGCTGAGACATTAATGCAGTGACCTCTCCCATTTTAATATTGCTAGAAGGGCTTTAATGTTACTTATTGCTATTGAGATGAGATTTGACAATTATTTTTCTTGTTTTTGCCTCATGTAAAATACAATCTTCTTTCCTATAAGGGTGACCAGACTTTTCTCCCGATGTCAATACTGTCATTCACAAACATTTGTTCTTTCCTCCTATAACGCTAAACATTGACTAGGTTCTGGGGCTGCCAAGCAATTCTGGGGCTCTTAACCTTCTTCAAAAGCCAGCTCAGATTGTGTCTCCTCTGAGAAGTCACATCTGGCATGTCTTCCCCAGCCACCCACCTTGCCTAGTATAGTGGACAGTCTCTAAGGCACTCCCATGACCCTGTCTCCTGGCATTCACCCTTCATCTCCTCCCCTTAAGTGTAAGCAGCATGTGTGACTTGCTTCACATTAATAAAACATGGCAAAGGAGATATCACTTCCATGGTTACATTACATAAGACTCTAATATCTATCTTGCTGAGGAACTCCCTTGCTGGCTTTGATGAGCAAGCAGTCATGTTGGGGAGGCCCACGTGGCAGGGAACTTGACACCAGCAAGAAGAAACTGAGGCTCTCAGTCCACCACCAACAAGGAATTAAATGCATCCAACAACCTTGTAAGCTTAGAAGCAGATTCTTCCACAGTTAAGCCTTCAGATAAGGACCCAGCCCTGGCCAATACCTTGATTGAAGCCTTACAGAGGACCCAGCTACATGGATACCTACCCCCCGTGGATACCTACTCCCCGTGGGTACCTGCAACTGTGGATAGTACTGTACCCCGCATATACTATGCTTTTTTGACCTGATAACCGAGACAGCTACTAAGTGCCTAGCAGATGGGAAGTATATATGGTGTGGATACACTGGAAAAAGGAATGATGCATGTCCTGGGCAGGAGGCAGCGGCATGGTGCAAGATTTCATTATGCTATTCAGCATGATGCATAATTTAAAACTTATGAATTATTTCTGAAATATTCCATTTAATATTTTTGAACCACAGTTGACTATGAGTAACTGAAACCATGGAAAGTAAAACTGTGGATAAGTAAAACTGTATTGGTTTAACCTGCTAAGTTTGTGGTAATATTGTTATACAGCAATATAAAACTAATATATGTAGCTAATTTCTGCCTTTTCTATGGGCTCTATGTATATTGTGTATAGCTCAGTTACTGTATTTAGATTGTACTATAATCTTTTTTTGCATGTTCAGACTTCCCATATACAATGAGGACCATAATAATAACTATTGAAGCGGAGTAGAGAGGTACATAGAATCTCTCAAATATGCAAAAAGAAAAAGGTAGTTTGCTTTTATTTTCTCTAACTACTCTCATCTTAGTCTCAAGGCCCCATTTTCATGAGGGCTGTGTGTGTGGGGAGGAGCTGTTTCTCTTCTTTGAAAGCCTTTCTCTTATCCTTTCTCTAGAGGCATAGGGAAGGTTTACCCATCCTCATGGCAGTAGGGGAGGATGGCTGGTTCAGGTGATGGTCCTTGTGCTGTTGTCTGTGTTCATGCTGACCTCCTCAGAATTGTGAATTAATCATCTCATTTCCAGGCATCCTGCTGGCATCTGCTGTTGAAGGCTGCAGCTGACATAACTCATGGCCTATCCTTTGGCCTGATCAGGAGCTGGTAGGCTTCTTTTCGCTGATTGAGCTCCACATTGACCCTTGCTGGCTGTGCAGATGCTCTAATCCTCTTCCATATTCTCCATCCAATTCTGGCCTGGAATGTCCATTCTGTGGTCTCTGCTACGGATCACTTTCACACTAGCCTTGCCAGCCATATGGCAGTTCTCTTGGCCCTCAGTGGTCAACTAGCTTCTGTGTCACTCAGTGGGAGAGCCCACTGGACCATCTGAATCCCCTTCATTCTACAAAGGAACTGGGAGAGACGTGGAACACTTTGTGTCACATCTTGACAAAGGAATACCCTGTGAGATGGTCTTGTTCCACAGTTTCAGAGAAGTGGCACAAGCCCCATTCACTTTCAGCTTCTCTCTTATTTTGGATTATGTTCTTCTGGCCAGTGTAAGGCCCAAGGTGGAGGCAGTGCTTAGTCTCTGAGAGACTCAGGTAGCGTCTTCTCTTTGCCTCCTTCTCTGCAAATCTCTCTCTATTACCACCACTTCTCCTGGAAGGGCTTCAGATTCCTCATTCTCCCTGGTGGGAACTCACCCTTACGTCATTTCCTTCTGCTTTCTTTCCCTACCCTAGACGGGACTTGCCCTTTCTTCCCTGGGACACTAAGCCTCATGGCTTAGCCTTGATGATATGCAGGCTTCAGGAAAAAAATTGCTTAACAATTAAGAGAGATGCATCAGAAGTGAATTGAAAAATATTTTCTTTAAAAAATTATGTCATAAAGGAAAAGATGAATATATTTTACTCCACTGACTTTAAGAACTTATGTTCATCAAAAGATTCCATAAAGAGATTGAAAAGACGGGCCCCAAATTGGGAAAAGGTACTTGCACATGTATAGCTGACAAAAGGTTAGTTTCCAGAATACACAGAGTATGCCTTAGAATAGAGCCGAAAAAGACAAATGACCCAATAGAAAATTAGTTACGGGACACAAATAGGAATTCTCCAAAAGCATGAATGGCCAATAGACATATAAGATGATTTTCAACCTTATTAGTAATCAGGGAGATGGAAGTTAAAATCACAGTGAGATACTATTTATACCCATCGAATTGGCAAAAAATGTAGTCTGATATTTAGTGTTGGGCACAATGCAGACTCTCATATATGGGATTTGGAGTACAAATTAGAACAACCACATCAGAAAACAAGTTGTCATTACTTAGGCAAAGTTGAATGTATGCACATACAGTAATTCCGGTCAGAGATCCTGAGAAACTCTTGCATCGAAACACCAGGAGACCTGCAGAATAATGTTCACAGCAAAGATTTGGAAACAATTGATATGACCATCAACATGAGAATGAATTAATAATTAAGTTGTGGTATATTTATGCCATACAATGCCATTCACCAGTGAAACGAAATGAATGAACTACAGCTGCACAGTCAATATGGATGAATCTCAAAAGTGCTTTGAGTGAACAAAGGAAAGTCACAGCATGAGGCAGAAAAAGCAAGCATGAGTCCTTTTATCTAAAGATTGAAAGCAGGCAAACCCAAGCAATATTTTCTTCCTTTTTTTTTTTTTTTTTTTAAACTGAGACAGGGTCTCGTTCTGTTGCCCTGGTTGGAGTGTAGTGACATGATCTCAGCTCACTGCAACCTCTGCCTCCTGGGCTCAAACCATCCTCCCACCTCAGCTTCCTGAGTAGCTAGGACCACAGGCGCCCACCACCACACCCAGCTAATTTTTTGTATTTTTCATACAAAATGGGGTTTCATACAAAATGGGGTTTCACTATGATCACCAGGCTGATCTAGAACTCCTGGGCTCAAGCTATCCACCTGCCTTGGCCTCCCAGAGTGCTGGGATTACAGGCATGAGCCACCATGCCTGGCCCAAGCAATATTTTCTTTAGGATACAAGAAAAAGAACATAATAAGACACGAAAAAGATTACCTCTTTGTGGGAGAGAAATTTGGGGGAGAGGCAATTAGGAATGGGCAACCCAAGGCTTCAAAGGTCATGGTAACTTTCCATTTCTTAAGTCAGTTTATTTTATGTCTTCATTGTACAAGGCGCCATAGTGGTGCTGTACATAATTATTTTTAATTTCAGCAATATTCATGAAAGCTAGGCTCTTTTTATTTCTCTGATGAGATCAGGTGCATTCAGGGTGGTATGGCTATAGACTTTTTAAATTCCTTTGAGATGATGAAACTAAGCTGCATGAGGGTTAAGTGATTTGAACAAGGGCCCACAGGAAGTAAGAGCAGACTAGAGAGGTTGAACCCAGGTCTGTCCCAAGCCCACATTCTATACATTTGATCATTCTGTGTCTCTGAAATACAACCTATATTTTACTAATCTCTGCACTCCTGTGCCCAGCTCAGAGTCTGGCATGTAGAAAGCATTCCTTAAACATTAGCAATATGCTGTTTCCTCATCCCTTGTTTTCTCTTTTAGATAATTTTAACCATTTTACTTAGGTAGAAATTATTATAAATGACTGTCTTAGTCCAGTTGTGTTGCTATAACAGAATACTACAAGGTAGATAATTTATAAAGAAAAGAAATGTATTTGGCTCACAGCTCTGGAGGCTGGGAAGTCCAAGGACATGGTGCCATAATCTGCTTGGCATCTGCTGAGGCTCTTATTGCTGTGACATTCCATAGTGGAAGGCAGAAGGGCAAGAGAGCTCAAGAGGGGGCCAAACTTGCTTTTATAGCAAAGCCACTCTCATGATGACTGAACCCACTCTCACCATAATGACATCAATCCACTCCTGAGAGCAGATCCCTCATGGCCTAATCACCTCTTGATGGTTCCACCTCCCAATACTACTACAATGACAATTTAAATTAAATTTAACAATTAAATTTCAACATGAGTTTTTGAAGGGATATTCAAACCATAGCAATAAGACTGGGCTTTTGGTATTTTTTTTTCCCTGCATGTCTCAGTGGAGTTCTGGTTGTCAGATACCCAAATGTCTCTGGCTAATTCAAGAAAAAAGGAATTTTTGCAAACATGTTGAAAACCTGTGCAGATAGAGTTGAATCATCAGGTCTTGGGTAGAAGCAGGCAGCAGGAATGACAGAACATTCTCTTTGTGGCTCTTTCATTAGAGTGACTCATTCCTATTATTTTTGCCCCTGTGTTTCCTTGTTTCTGGGAGGGTGAGTGGTTGGCCTCTCTGGGTTACATGCTCATCCTTTGGATGAGAAGAGACAATGTGACTGGCCATCCTACCAAGACCACATGGGATGGGGGAAGGACTAGTCTCTCCAGAGGTAAGGTAGTTGCTTATTACCCCTGAAAAGAGATACTCCTATTTCCCTGCTCACAGGACAGGCCATTGAGAGTTAGAAGAAGAAACATTAATTCTTCACCATCACTCTTGGAGGAGGGGCTTAGAGCATTGGCAGCAGCATCTTCATGCTGGAAAAACACTTAGAAAGTTTTTTGTTTTTTTTTTTTAAATTAATAGACTTTATTTTTTAGGACAGATTTAGATTCAAGAAAAAATTGAGCAGATAGTACAGACAGATCCCATGAAGCCCCACTATCCACTAGTTTCCCCTGTTATTAACATCTCACATTAGTGTGGTACATTTGTTAAAATTGATGAACCAATATTAACTATTAACACATTATTATTAATTAAAATCCATAGTTTACATAAAGTTTTGCTCTTTGTGTTGAACAATTCTACAGGTTTTTACAAAAGCATAATTCTTGTATCCTACAGAATAGTTTCATACCCTAAAAATCCTCTGTGCTTCACCTATTCATCTCTTTCCCTATCCCATTGAGTACATTCAGACAATGGAATATTAGTCAGTGCTAAAAAGAAATGAGCTACTAAGGAGGTAAAAGATCTTCTCTATGATGAAAACTAAAAAGCACTGATGAAAGAAATCAAAGAGGGCACCAAAAATGAAAAGATATCTCATGCTTGTGGATTAAAATAAATAATATTGTTAAAATGGCCCTACTACTCAAAGCAATATACAGATTTAATGTAATCCCTATCAAAATACCAATACCAATGACATTTTTTCATAGAAATGGAAAAAAAAATTCTAAAATTTATATGGAACCACAAAAGATCCCAAATAGCCAAAGCAATCTGAGCAAAAAGAAAGCTGGAAGCATCACACTGCTTGTCTTCAAAAATATACTACAAAGCTATAGTAACCAAAATAGCATGGTATTGGCATAAAAGCAGGCAGATAGAGCAGTAGAACAGAATAGAGAATCTAGAAATAAATGCATCTATTTACAGATCACAGATTTTTGACAAAGGAGTCAAGAGCATACACTGGGGGAAAGAAAATCCTCTTCAATAAATGGTGCTGGGAAAACTATATATCTATATGCAGAAGAATGAAACGAGACCCCTATCTGTCACCATGTACAAAAATCAATTCAAAATGGATTAAAGACGTAAATGTAAGACCTAAAACTATAAAATGACTAGAAGAAAACATGGGGGAAATGTTTCAGGACATTGATCTAAGCAAAGATTTTATGGGTGACACTTCATAAGCACAGGCAACAAAAACGAATATAGACAAATGGGATTATGTCAAGCTAAAAAGCTTCCTTACAGCATAGGAAACAATTGATAGAAAGAAGAAACAAACCTGTAGAGTGGGAGAAAATATTTGCAAACTATTAAGCTCACAAGGCACTAATATCCAGAATATATAAGGAAATGAAACAACTCAACAGGAAAAAAAAACCAAATAATTCACTTTAAAAAGTGGGCAAAGGATCTGAACAGACATTTTGCAAAAGACTTACAAATGGCCAACTAGTGTGTGAAAAACTTGCTCAACATCACTAATCATTAGGGAAATGCAAACCAAAACCACAATGAGATGTCATTTCACCCCAGTTAGAATGGCTACTATGAAAAAGACAAAAATAACAAATGCTGGTGAGGATGCAGAGAAAAGGGAACTTTTATACACTGTTGGTGGGAATGTAAATTAGTACAGCTATTATGGAAAACAGTATGGAGATTTCTCAAAAAATTGAAAATAGAACTACCATATGATTCAGTAATCCCATTGCTGGGAATTTATCCAAAGGAAAGGAAATCAGTACACCAAAGAGATATCTACACCCCATGTTTATAGTACAACTATTCGTAATAGCCAAGATACGGAATCGACCTAAATGTCTATCAGCAGATGAATAAGTAGGGAGAATGTGGTATATATACACAATGGAATACTATTTAGCCATAAACATGAATAAAATCCTGTCATTTGAGGCAACATGGATAAACCTGGAGGACATTATGTTAAGTGAAATAAGTCAGGCACAGAAATATAAATAATGCATGTTCTCACTTATATATGGGAGCTAAAAAAGTTGAGCTCATGGAAGTAGAGTAGAATTGTGATTATTAGAGGTTGGAACAGGTAGTGGGGAGGGGAGGATAGGGAGAGGTTGGTTAATGAATACAAAATTACAGCTAGATAGGAGAAATAAGTTCTAGCATTCTATAGCCCTGTAGGATGAATATAGCTAACAGTAATTTATTGTATATTTTCAAAACACTGGCAGAGAAGGTTTTGAATGTTCCCAACACAAATAAATGATACATATTTGAGGTGATGTATATGTGAATTACCTGGATTTGATCATTACACATTGTATACATGTATTGGAGTATCACTTTGTATCCCATAAATACATACAAATACATGTGTCAACTAAAAATAAAAGGAAAAAAGTTAATAAAAAAAGAACAGAAAAAAAGAGAATGAGCTATCAAACCATAAAAATACATGGAAAAGCCTTAAATGGATATTGCTAAGTGAAAGAAGCCAATCTGAAGAGGCTATGTACTGTATGAGTCCAACTGTATGGCATCAGGAAAAGGCACAACTATAGAACAGTAAAAGATCAGTGGTTGCTAGGGGTGGGGGGAGAGGGATGAATGGGTGGAGCACCGGGCATGTGTAGGGCAGCAAAACCGCTCTGTACAAGTAGTTTGTGCATTTGTCAAAATTGCATGTGGAGAATTTGGAAAGAATCAGAGTGAAAAAGAAAATAAATCTTAAAGTGCACAGTCTTTTGCTTCATTTGTATATGCTGAGGAAGACAGAAAGAACATTCTGAAGGGTCGTGGGGAGAGAGATTAGTGACATGCTTGTGCCTTCTTCATGACCTCACCAATTATATCTCTGTATCTCAAGGTAGTTTACTAATATCACCTATTATATTACACTAATATAATTATATTCTAGTATATAACTTATTAGTAAATGATATAATGATTTAGTAGATGAAAATTTCAGACATAGATTTGGGGATACATAGATTTGACAAAGACTAGATTATGTTTAAATAAACAAGAGCTGGGTATAAAATGGAGAGTAGCCTGAATCTTTAGGATAATGATATTGTTAACTCTAATACATTCAATATTGAGAGTAATTTTTGAAAATACAATACATATAATAAACAAAAATATCCAAGAGAAGAATAACTGAAGGTCACAAGATTTGCTGAATACCAAATAGGAGAGGGTCTGGGTACAATAATGTACAATAATAATGGGTTCAATAAGGTGTTGTCTTCAGCAACAATACAAAAGCAAATTCAAATAGCTGAAAATGATCTACTTTGAAAAAAGAAAGCTAAACCCAAAGCACATGATTTAAAATATTAGAAATCTTACTGCTCTCAAGGAATGGAAAAGGAAGATAAAGTTAATCATAAATGTGGCACTGAGTCATGCTGGTGGCCCACAGCCTGAAATTCTGTCCCTGCAGTGACTCTGAGGGGTGTTTTGTGTCAGGTCAAGCCTGGCCCTGGGCTCCCAGATTACACAGTTATCGACTTATTATTTATGAAGTGATATAAATGTCAATTATTTATATTTTCACCTTGTGTCAGCTTTGGTCTAATACTTTCTACTGATAATATCTTATATGTACCCAAAGCTAGTATTTTCAAACTTTAAATAATGTCTTCTCATTTTAGAGTCCTGGAACTTAAAGAACAGATCTCTGTTCCATGCATCTGTTTCTTCTATGGTTTTGAGATTAAAGAGTAAACTTTAGTCTTAAATACTCTCAACTTTAAAATCCAAGCCCTCTCTCTCTGTCCCATGTATAGAAATCGCACCACCTGTTTAGACTGTTGCGGTTTCTTCTCCCTGAATCTTTTCCATGCCTTTTGCATCTTTCTTGAGGTCTAACCACAGAACTCATACAGTTTGTCAGGTAAAGATGCATCATGACTTTGAATAAGGGTGGGCTAATGCTACTGTTAAAAGTTTAATTCAGGGACTTAGTGTTCTGCAGCACTAACTGCGGGTCAGATGGATTGGACTCTGTTACCGACGTGGTCTTTGACAGCAGGGTGACCTTGGGCAAGTCATTTGACCTCCTTTGAGCCTCAGTTTCTTCTCCTGTTTTACATACCTCCCAGGGTAATCACAGGACCAAATGAGACAAAGTATAGACCAGAGTAAAGATACATATCTTTATTTTTTTCTGATTTAAAATTAATATGTGTGCCAGGTGTCGTGGTTCACGCCTATAATTCCAGCGCTTTGGGAGGCCAAGGCAGAAGGATCACTTGAGCCCGGGAGTTAGAGACTAGCCTGGGGAACACAGGGAGATTCTCTCTACAAAAAAAATTTAAAAAACTAGCCAGGCATGGTGACACATGCCTGTAGTCTTAGCTACTTTGGAGGCCGAGGTGGGGGGATCACTTGAGCCTGGGAGGTTGAGGCTGCAGTGAGTCATGATCGCCTCGCTGCACTCTAGCTTGGACAACAGAATGAGAGCCTGTCTCAATTTTTCTTAAATTAATATGTGCTTGTAAAAAAACAAAGTATAAAAGGAATATGAAATGAAAGAAAAATTTCTAAAGATAATGAGTAGGGGGCCGGGTACAGTGGCTCACAACTATAATCCCAGCACATTGGGAGGCCAAGGTAGGTGGATCACTTGAGCCCAGGAGCTCGAGACCAGCCTGCACAACATGGTGAAACCGCATCTCTACTAAAAATACAAAAATTAGCTGGGGTGGTAGCTTGTGCCTGTAGTCCCAGCTACTCATGTGGCTGAGGAACGAGAATTGCCTAAACCTGGGAGGTGGAGGTTGCAGTGAGCCGAGATCACACCATTGCACTCCAGCCTGGGTGACAAAGTAAGACTCTATCTCAAAAAAAGAAAAGAAATAATAATGACTAGGACTAGCTTGGTTATACACAGACTTTTTTCTCTCAGACTAATAACATGTAATATGATTATTATTTATTTCTTACAAAAACAAGGTCATTCAATCTTTTTCTTCTTTCATTTCATACATTGTGACGTCTTTCCAGGTCAGTGCATAGAGAGCTACACATTATTTCCATGCCTCCATAGGACCCTAATTTGCATGGTGCCCCATAAATTATTTAACCAATTTCATGGTGGTAGCTATTTGAGTTTGTCTCCAATTTTTTTTTTTTAATTTTTTTTTTTCAACCAATGTGGACCAGGTTGGCCTCGAACTCGTAGCCTCGCCTACCCTGAGTGCCAGCGCAACCAGCCGGAGCCACAATGGCTCCCTCTTGTCTCCAATTTTTTAGCACTGGAAACAAGGCTGCAACAAACAGTGTTGTGCTACAATATTTTTATATACTTGAGTGATTATTTCTATATATTCCTAGGAAAGAAATTGCTGGGTCAAATGTATGTGCAATTTAAATTTTGAAGGATATTGCTAACTTGGACAAGTGTTTTAAAGCCATGGGGGCTCTCCGGAAATACTAATTATTCAACTGGATTCCAGAAAGCAAGCAGTGAGTACAGGTGAGAGAATGAGACTCACAACAGAGACTGGGAACAGAGTAGATGCAGGCACAAGTCACTTATCCTATCTGTGACTCAGTTTCTTTATCTGTAAAGTAGAGATAAAAATAGTTTGCATCTGGTAGGATTGTTGTGAGGATTAAATGAGATAATATATGGTAAGTGCTAAGAATCCTGAGCAGCATAGAGAAAGCACTATATAATGAGAGATGTTATTAGGATTACTTTGGGCCAGAACTGTAACCCTGACATGGGCTGTTCATTGCCTCCCAGAGCAGGGCTGAACTCAGCAGGTAGCCAGGCACCCTGGGGAGTCCTCCTGGCATGAACTCTCCACCTACCTTCTTTATTATTATTTATTTTGTTTTATTTATTTAATTTTTTTGAGACAGAGTCTTGCTCTGTTGCCCAAGCTGGAGTGCAGTGGCGTGATCTCAGCTCACTGCAACCTCTGCCTCTAGGGTTCAAAAGATTCTCATGCTTCAGCCCCCCAAGTCACCTGTCTTCTTTAGACATGATCTGATTCGTTTCTTCCTCTTCCATGACCCTCTGAAATCATTTTACAGTTTATATGTGAGCTTGGCATGCGGGGAGCCAGAAAACCTTCTGTCATTGGCCTCTTTCAGGCCCTTTAAAGATGAGTCCAGCTCTGATCCCCATGAAGGGAGAAGCAAACTACTTTTTACTGAACCCCTGCCAGGTACTAGACTTTATCACACTTACAAAAATATATATATACATGACTTCCTTGAATCCTCACTCTACCCCACGATGTCAGTATGACTATCACCATTTTAGAGAGGAGTAATTGGAGGTATAATGATCTTAAGGAACTTGCCAAAGCCACGCAGTTAATAAGTGGCAGAACTGGAATTTGGCCCAGAACTGGCCTCAAAGTCCCTACTTGTTCCATGGTGCCTACGAACTCTGAGCCCAGAGATGTTCTTAGCCATATCCATACTCTGTATCCTGACTCAGAACCACTTCTGTGTCTATAACTTTTAATAGCCTTTGGTGGAGAATCTTGTTTCATATCCTTTAAAGTTGAAATGACCTTCATAGCTGGCTTGGGGTTGTTAACAAATCTATTTATTCCAGAGAATCACAGAAGCCTTAGTGTGATTGGCCCAATGGGCCCTTTCTTTTTCTTTTCTTTTTTTTTTGAGATGGAGTCTTGCTCTGTAGCCCAGGCTGGAGTGCAGTGGCGTAATCTCGGCTCACTGCAACCTCTGCCTCCCGGGTTCAAGCAATTCTCCTGCGTCAGCCTCCTGAGTAGCTTGGACTACAGGTGTGCGGCACCATCCCTTTCTAATGTATTTTTAGTAGAGACGGAGTTTCCCCACGTTGGCCAGGCTAGTCACGATCCCCTTGCCTCGGCCTCCCAGAGTGCTGGGATTACAGGCGTGAGCCACCGCGCCTGCCCCCAGTGGGCTCTTTCATAAGCATTCAAGGGTCTCAACTGTTTTCATGTACAGCACCATGCAGAAGGGAATGGTAGTGTGGCTGCTCCAGTCTTCTCTGGACAAATGACCTTTGTCCTTTGTCATGGTGATCATTGTTGGAGTTGTTTACATCCGCCTATTTGGATATAGGACTGTTCCACTTTCTTCTTAAGATCAAAGCAGAAAATTCAGAATCCACTCTCCTTTATGTTACCCTGGGCAATTTTTTTACATTGTGATGATCAAATGGCATCGATGCATATCTCAGCTGTTAGATGTCTTTGATGCATTTAAAGGATTAGTTTGCATCTTCTTCAATTCTCCTTTGCCCTTGAAGGAGCACACTTCCCCTTGCTTCCTTGGGATGAATTTCAATTGTTAAGCTGTCTGCTCCCTGGTCTTAGCAGCCTAATATAACTCTTTAGTCAAATGAGTCATGACTGGTCTTTGCATTCAGGAGTTTGGGTCTGATGATCTGCACAACTCTCTTTTCAGATCTTTTAATAAGTAATGTTAATATAAGCTCAAAATTTTCTGACGATTCTTTTTCAAACTCCTTCTTTTGGAGTATCTAAAGAAGTACTTGGATATTCTTGATATTTCTCTCAAATGGAGTGAGGGCCTGGTGGTTTTTTTCCCTTTCTTTTTCTATCCTGAATGGTGACTCCAATGTTCCTTTCATACTGAACTTCCTGCAGGCTTTCCTGTCTGTTACTTGGAACTGTGTCTAGGGTATTTTCTTTCTTTGTAGTTTCTAAAGCTATCTGTAATTGGAAGCTATCATTTATATCTTTCTTTTACATAGGACTGGCTGGCCTTGCCCATTGAGGGAACTGGCTGCAGTGATAGGTATAATTTGAAAGGGGCTGAGAAGGATTTCTCCCCCAAACCTTCTATCTTGGGTTTTCATTCATTCGATAAATATTAATTAAGCATGTTCTGTGTGCTTAATATAAACTGAGATGTAATAATGAACAAGACAGACCAGATCCTCGCTTGCATGGAGCCTCCATTCCCGAGGATGTTTATTGGAGGGTGGGGAATGCGGGGAGATGGATAAGCAAGCAAGGAGGTCTAAAGGGTGCCAAGTGTGATGAAGTCAATGAAAAGGGAGCTGTGGCAGGGCATGATGGGGAGGAAAAGCCTCTCTGAGGAGGTGATCTTTGGCTGACATTTAAATGATACAAAGAAGCCAGAACTTTTGGCAAGCCCAGGCAAAGGAAACAGCAAGTGCAAATGTCCTGAGTCAGGACAAGTTTGGTTGATTCAGAGAGCTGAAAGGAAAATAGCGTGGCTGGAGCAGAGTCAGCAAGGGCAGGAAAGACAAGAAATGAGAGCAGGGAGGTCGGGGGGCCAGACTATGTAGCCGCCTTGGGGTCAAGACGAGAAGTTCAGATTTTACGTCCACCATGCAATGCAAAGTCATTAGAGGAGAGTGCCATGATTTAATTTATGTTTTTGAGAGGCTTCTCTGGCTGCTGTGTAGAGAATAGATTATAAAAGGACAAGCTGGAAATCAGAGCCCAGTTGGGAGGATATTTCCATTCCTAATGTGAGATGATGGTGGCTTAGACTAGGAGATGGAGCGAGGCGTCTGGGTTTGGGAGATATTTTGGAGGTAGAGCAGACAGTCTTACTGATGGATTAGACATGGAGGGGAAGTCGAGGGAAGAATCGTAACCATCACTTTGGCTTTTGGTTTGAGGCTGAATGGATAGTGGATTTTACTTACTGAAATGGGGAACATGGGAGGAGGAACTGGTTGTTTGTGTGTGGGGAGGGTGAGAGCTTTGTTTAGGTCGGAAGTCTCAAGCAGGCATCAGGCTGGAAGAGCCTGCAGCTGAGAAGAGAAGCTCTGTGGATGCCTCACTTTACATTCCCCCATACTGGGAGTAGGACTCTATTTAGAGTCTGCAGCAAGAGAGAAGAGGGATCATGGCGGATGGGAAGCGGGACTAGATTGCAGCTCCCACATGGATGGACAGAGCAGTGTGTGGAGACTCGCATCGTGGTTTTTTGCTCCAGAACTACTGCAGGAATAAACCAGGAAGGCTGAGAGGACCCACAAACTCTCTGAAGGAAGTGGATTACTCCTGCAGGACCTGGGAGACACCCCAAATACTGTGCTGATATCCACGGCTGAGAGACCTGCAGACAGTTCACATCACAGTACTCTGTGCACACAACTCCCAGTGCCAGCCCCTGGAGCCTGGTAGACCTGCTGGGTGGCTAGTTCCAGAAGAGAGCTAGCAATCACTACAGCTCCCAGGAAGCCACATCCTTAGGAAAAGGGGGAGAGTACTACACCAAGGGAATACTCTGTGGGACAAAATAATCTGAACAGCAGCCTTGAGCCTTAGCTCTTCCCTCTGACATAAAGTCCGCAGCAGGAACACAAGGCCTGGACATGGAGATACTTCCTAAGTGCTTAATGGATTGAGTTGTTCTCATTAAAACGTAAATATGCTCCCAAAGTGATAACTCATTGCATGTCTTTAGTCATCTCAATTAGTATGAATTTACGTGTTTATTTTATGACAGCTATTTGAAAGCTGATGTTTAAGGAGGGGTAACAGAAAGACTTTAGCAGCACTGGGCTCCTTTGAGAGACAAGCTGAGCCTTATGAGTATCCCAGGAAGGAGAGGAAGGATGATAAAGGGGAGTCAAGAAAAAACTGCGGCAAGTGTAACTTTGCCTAAGGCTACTGTAATTCCTTCATTTCCAGGAATTATATATTTTTCAAATGTATACATTGAAATTATACATTTTTCAAATGTATAATTACTGCCTGCCTTGTTTTTTAAAAAACAAAGGCTGAAAACAACAACAAATGACTAATTTTGCAGAACATTTCCAGTTCATTTTCTTTATTCTAGTAAGGCGTTCTATTGCATAAGTTGTATTATGATGTGTTTATAATGTATAGAATTTCTACCTACAGACAGATTCATAAAATGTTTTGCTACTTGGGGACATTTTTGTATAATACTACAGTTAAAACCTGACGAACTAGTCTTCTGTGAGCTGGCGGTATATCCCATTTTTGAGAAAATAATCTTTGATAAACACCGAATACTCACTCTGTGACAGATGTTGCATTCAGCACTCATTTCTGAGTTCCTTGGGAATAGCAACTGACTTGGATCTCAAAGTCTGTCCGGGCTGGCCTTGTGGAGACTCAATGAAGTTTTGAATGAAAAAAATATATTTAAATTAAGGCCAATAACAATGAATAAAACTGTTCTTTGTAGTTTTGTTCTTTTGAATCAAAACGAAATAAAACAGCCTATAATTCCAACACACTGGGAGGCCGAGGTGGGAGGATCACTTGAGCTGAAGATTTCAAGATCAGCCTGGACAGCATAGTGAGACCTTGTCTCTACTAAAAATAAAAAAAAATTAGCCAGGCGTGGTGGCGCGTGCCTGCAGTCCCAGACACTCTGGAGGTTGAGGCAGGAGGATTGCTTGAACCCAGTAGATTGAGGCTGCAGTGAGCTATGATTGCACCACTGCATTCCAGCCTGGGTGACAGAGCAAGACTATCTCAAAAACAAACAAACAAACAAACAAACAAACAAACAGAAAAATAAAATAAAACAAACCAGAGGCTTCCACGTTAGGCTTTTGGGTAATTCTACCCATTGGGCTCACTTCTCCCTGTGGTGGAAGTGAGTTTTCCTTCTCTACGTTGGGTGCAATCATGGTTACATTGCTTTGATTTTCTAAGTAGAATGAAATCCAACTCTGTGTTTCTGTGATAAGGACGTAAAGAGAAGGAAGTTTAATCTTGATGATGTTTTGAGGAGCCCTTTGATTTGTTTAAGGACAATTTAAAAATAAATGTAAAATCATGACTATCAAATAAATTCAAAAATGAACAATGTGAAAGATTTTACTTAACTCGTTAATGAGGAAACAGGAAGATGTCACTACTGGCTCAAAGGAGAATTCAAACCATACACTATATCGGCCATCAGGAATGCTGAAATGAACTTACAAATAGGCGCAAATCTGGTCAATATCCACAGGTCAATAATCAACTGTGTTCCACCAGACAAAATTCGTT
Source organism: Homo sapiens (assembly GCF_000001405.40). Classification (NCBI taxonomy): domain Eukaryota; kingdom Metazoa; phylum Chordata; class Mammalia; order Primates; family Hominidae; genus Homo; species Homo sapiens. Next base: position 26,041,714 of record NC_000007.14, on the reverse strand, counting down.
TGCATTTCAGTGGGCAAGAATCATCCACGTTACTACCTGTATCAGTTTCCTAGGGCTGCTGTAACCAAGTACCACAAACTGGGGGGCTTAAACAACAGAAAAGAATTGTCTCCTGGTTCTGGATGCTGGAAGTTCGAAATCAAGGTGTTACCAGGGCCATGCTCCCTGTGCGATCTGGGGAGGATCCTTCCTTGTCTCTTCTGGCTTCTGGTGGTTGCCTGTAAACCCTGGTGTTCCTTGGTGTGCAGCTGTGGCACTTTCGCCCCTGCCTCCATTGTCACATGGTGCTCTCCTGTCATGTCTCTGTATCTCTTCTTCTTCTTTTTTTTTTTTTTTGAGACGGAGTCTCCCTCTGTAACCCAGGCTGGAGTGCAGTGGCACGATCTCGGCTCACTGAAACCTCCACCTCCTGAGTTCAAGCAATTCTCCTCTCTCAGCTTCCTAAGTAGCTGGGATTACAGGTACCTGCCACCATGCCTGGCTAATTTTTGTATTTTTGGTAGAGACGGGGTTTCACCTTGTTGACCAGGCTAATCTTGAACTCCTGACCTCAGGTGATCTGCCCGCCTTGGCCTCCCAAAGTGCTGTGATTACAGGCATGAGCCACCACACCCGGCCTTCTTCTCTTCTTATAAGGACACCAGTCATGTTGAATTAAGGGTCCACTGTACTCCAGTATGCCCTCCTCTTAACTAATTATACCTGCAATGACCCTATTTTCAAATAAGGTCACTTTCTGAAGTACTGGGTGTTAGGACTTGGACATATCTTTTGGGGACACAATTCAACTCACAACACTACCTATTTTCTTTTTCTTTTTCTTTTTTTCTTTTTTTTGAGACAGAGTCTTGCTCTGTTGCCCAGGCTGGAGTGCAGTGGCACAATCTCAGCTCACTGCAATCTCCGCCTCCCGGGTTTAAGCGATTCTCCTGCCTCAGCCTCCCAAGTAGCTGGGACTACAGGCGCACACCATCATGCACAGCTAATTTTTTGTATTTTAGTAGAGATGGGGTTTCACCGTGTTGCCCAGGCTGGTCGCAAACTCCTGAGCTCAGGCAATCTGCCAGCCTTGACCTCCCAAAGTGCTGGGATTATAGGTGTGAGCCACCACACCCGGCCAACAGTACCTATTTTCTACAACTACAAAATATTAATAGTAAAATAGCTCAAAGGTCAGGAAAGATGTGATAGACAAGATACCCAGTACCATTTTTTTTTCCCATTTCAGTCTTTTAACATTTTTCCTGACATTCTTCCTAGGGTTGCCCCCAAATCTGGCGATCTTTAGTCCACACTGGTCCCCATTGATATGCTTGCGAAAAGGCAAGAAGGTTTACTGCTCTGGGCTACCTGGGCATGGAGATTTGGCCAAGGCTCAAGGCCCCTGTGTTAAATTCAGGTGCTGACTCAAACTTGCCAGGTAACCAGGCACATGTTTCTGAGGTGCTGCCCCAGCCCAGGGTGCTGTGTGGGTAAAGCAAGTGTTTGGTCTTCTCTAAATGGCCAAATTTCGCTCCCGTCTCAGCCTCAGGGGCATCTACTGCCTGCTCCGCCCTTCCAAAGCTCTGAGCATTCCTCACCACTCCCTTCCAATCTCCCAAGGTGCCTGTGGAAACTCTCTGTCTTTCTCCTCTGAGTTTCTCCTCCTCATGCAACTCTGCTACATATATTCAGGGCACCTGCACAGTGCAATTGTGGGATGGCTTTTGCCATTGGAAGAGTCAACAGCAGCATGCACTTGGAGAGTGGGGAACAGACTGATGAATTCAAGGAAGGTTGATGTGGAAAGGAACAGGAGTTTCCAGTACCCTTTGAGTCGGGAGCAGAGGACCCTCTTCCCTGCACATTCTGATGATGACGGTTTTATGATATTGCTGCTTAAATTGCTCCCCTCACATTAAACTACCTCCCCTTCTCTCTGCTCTGCTTCTCTTTCATCTGAGGAGCAATGGAGTCCAGTTGGTAAGCATGGGAGTCCGGTTCCACCAATTCGGATGTTTTTTCAGACTTCTGTAGGAACACCTCTGGGCTCTGGCCATGGGTAGGGGCCAGTGATGCTGCGAAACATCTTGCAGTGCACCAGACAGGTGCATGTTTTGCCCATTTCAGTCTTTTAATATAGAAATCAAGGTGTCAGCAGGGCCCCCCGAACACCCGCCCCCTGCCGCCCAGCCCCAACAAAGCATCATCAAGTCCAGAATGTCAATAGTGCTCAGGTTGAGAAACCTTAGTTTAAAAGGAAGAAAAAATGACAACTACATTTTAAAATGACAAAATAATACATGCTCCTTATCGAAAAAATTGGAAATACAGATAAGCTAAAAAGAAAAATGCAAGCCTCCTGAATTCCCAGAAAATCACATTTTTTACTAAGTTAAATAATTTTTTTCTTAAGGATATATTAAGAGTAAATTGAATCCTTTCTCATTCTCGGTAAAACTCAGAAGCAAAATATTTATTTCTGTTCATTTATAAAATTCAATGGACTGAAGCAAGTTGGCTCAAGTTTTTATAGGATATCAGGAAGAAAAAGCAAAGTTACAAATAAGGACTAACTCTTTAATACACTGGACTGATTCCAGATGTATTTCTAGACATGAAAATGCACCCAAAGTGCAGAGAAGAGGACCTTGTCAGAGGTATAGGGAACTTTTGAGCCTCCTCCCTTTCCGGCACCTCGCTGGAGGGTGAACACATTTTAGACAACGGTGCTTCAGTAGAAGGAGCTGGCGATAGTTGCTATTTTTAAAATAGAAGGCTTCTAAAATAGTAAGATGTTAAAATAATGATCTGTGAAAGGGGAGAAGCCCTTTTGTGGAGTTGAAAGCTGGAGACAATGTGGCACCAACCTGGGAGTGTCTCTGAGTGACATTTTGGCTGTGTGGGATACAGGAAAGTGGGTGGCTTCATATGCATGGGGGTGTGGACTTCAGTAGGACTCTGTGCCTGGTGGCAGCTGAAAACTCTAGATGAGTGTGAGCTGACAAGTGTGGTTACAGTGAGAAGCAAGCCCCTGTTAACTCGCTTCTGCTCTGGAGTATCTTTGAAAAAGTGGAGTGTTGAGGGAACCGGACACATGCCCTCCACAAGAACTTCTCGAGCTCCCAGTCTGTGGAAGGCTTTGTGCCGGGTTGGATGTCAGGGGACACAGAGATGAATCAGGTTTTTGTCTAAATTGAAGAAGACAGAATTCGTTGGGTCTGGGGCTACCTCTTTCTTTTCCTAAACAGGATGTTGCCTACTCTTGAAATCTAGGGCTGGTGCAGAACTTTTAGAGCTGCTTTTGTCTGAGTAGGTTGTACCAACGTAATTAGTTCTGAGTGAATCTAAGCAGGAGCTGTCAGAAATTAATCAAAAGGGCTTTTTGCTTGTAAGTGGGAAGCAGGATAGGAGGAGTCAGGGCTCCTTAGCGAGTTACAATCTGTCGGCTGAAAAGTGTCTCAAGCCCTATGAATGGAAATGGCTGCAGAGAACAATAAATAAAATATAAAAGCAAGTCAGCACAGAAGGGGTGAGTCGCTGAGGGCTGAGACAAGGGTGGGTGGAGCTACAGCAATAGCGTGTTTAAGTTAAAAATTTAGGTGGCATCCTGTTGGTGGGAGTGTAAATTAGTTCAACCATTGTGGAAGACAGTGTAGCGATTCCTCAAGGATCTAGAACCAGAAATACCATTTGACCCAGCAATCCCATTTCTGGGTATATACCCAAAGGATTACAAATCATTCTACTATAAAGACACATGCACACGTATGTTTATTGCAGCTCTATTTGCAATAGCAAAGATTTGGAACCAACCCAAATGCCCATCAGTGATAGACTGGATAAAGAAAATGTGGCACATATACACCATAGAATACTATGCAGCCATAAAAAGGATGAGTTCATGTCCTTTGCAGGGACATGGATGAAGCTGGAAACCATCATTCTCAGCAAACTAACACAAGAACAGAAAACCAAACGCCGCATGTTCTCACTCATAAGTGGGAGTTGAACAATGAGAACACATGGACACGGAGGGGAACATCACACACCAGGGCCTGTTGTGGGGTGGGGGCCTAGGGGACGGATAGCATTAGGAGAAATGCCTAATGTAGATGACGGGTTGATGGGTGCAGCAAACCACCATGGCATGTGTATACCTATGGAACAAATCTGCACGTTCTGCACTTGTATCCCAGAACTTAAAGTATATAAAAAAAATTTAGGTGGCATCAGTGTGGTTTGTAACAAGACACTTTATACTTGCAACCCATCTAATTGTTGTGTAATTTTAAAAGACTATGGAAAGTTTCAAACATAAATAAAAGTAAAAAGAATAGTAGAAAGAACCTGACGTATTTGTCAGCCAGTTTCACCAATTTTTAATAAATAATGATTTTGTTTCAGCTGTACCCCTACCTACCTAATCCCCCAGTAATTTTGAATTCCAGACATTGTAACTTTTTGTTTGTAACTATTTCAGCATATTTTAAAAGAAATAAAATGTAATTTGAATTTTAGGTCTTCATATAGTACATAGCTATGCTTTATTATTTATTTATTTATTTTGAGACATTGTCTTGCTCTGTCGCCCAGGCTGGAGTGCAGTGGTGCAATCTCGGCTCACTGAAACCTCTGCCTCCCGGGTTCAAGTGATTCTCCTGCCTCAGCCTCCCAAGCAGCTGGGATTATAGGTGTGGTGCCACCATACCTGGCTAATTTTTTTGTTTTGTTTTTTTTGAGATGCAATCTCTCTCTGTCGCCCAGGCTGGAGTGCAGTGGCACGATCTTTGCTCACTGCAAGCTCCGCCTCCTAGGTTCACGCTATTCTCCTGCCTCAGCCTCCCGAGTAGCTGGGACTACAGGCGCCTGCCACCACGCCCCACTAATTTTTTTGTATTTTTAGTAGAGACGGGGTTTCACCATGTTAGCCAGGATGGTCTTGATCTCCTGACCTCGTGATCCGCCTACCTTGGCCTCCCAAAGTGCTGGGATTACAGGCGTGAGCCACTGCGCCTGGCCAATTTTTGTATTTTTAGTAGAGATGGGGTTTCACCATGTTGCCCAGTCTGGTCTTGAACTCCTGACCTTAGGTGATCTACCCACCTTGGCCTCCCAAACTATTGGGATTACAGGTGTGAGCCACCACACTCAGCCCAGAGAGCTCTCTTTTACATGTTTCCTGAAACCTTATTCTAAGAAGCATATCTTACATTATTGCTTCTCTTTATCTATAGATACATATATAAAACTAAGATTTATAGGCTGGGCATTGTGGTTCATGTCTGTAATCCAAATACTTTGGGAGGCCAAAGCAGGTGGATCCCTTGAGCCCAGGAGTTTGAGACCTGCCTGGGCAACATAACGAGACCCCCTCTCTACAAAAAATAAAAAAATAAAAAAATTTAGCCAGGTGTGGTGGTGCACACCTGTTGCCCTAGCCACTTGGGAGGCTGAGGTGGGAGGATCACTTGAGCCTGGAGGTAAAGCCTGCAGGGAGCTGTGATCATGTCACTGCTCTCCAGCCTGGGCAACAGAATGAGGCCCTGTCTCAAAACAAAACAAAACAAAACAAAACAAAAACAACAACAACAACAAAACCAAAAAACAAACAAACAAAACAAAACAAAAACAAAAACCACCCCCAAACAATTAAAAAACCCCTAAGATTTATGAACAAGTGGGCAATCAGCTCTGCATTTCTAGATTTGGGAACTTCCTTGCACCTTCTTGTACCCATTGACATCACCCCCTTCAGCCCTTCCTTTTTCTCTCTTGTACCTAGCCTCACTGTGTGCCTCCTCCATGCCAGGCACTGTTTCCTGGTGCCATGGATACAGCAGGGAGCAAGAAAGAGCACCATTCTTGTCCTGGAGTAAACAGCCAGTGAGAAGACAGTTTCCATACAGTGTAGCAAGTGCTGTGGGTACATCCTGGAGGGCCCTCATCTAGTCTAGGGATAAGAGGAAGTGCTGCCTAGAGAGAGTATCTCCAGCAGATCCTGGAATGTAAGTTAGTCAGGGAAGGGGTTGTATCTTTAGTATCTTCTTGATTGTATCTTTAGTATCATGTTACCTCATTTCAGCCTTGGACTCCTCTTAGGTTTTTTTCCATGGTGCTTTGTGAACTTCCTTCTGCACTTGCAGGGAAACAGATGATCATCCAAAGTATATTTGAGAAAAAGCTCACAGTCTAGTTCCTACCATTAGGGAAAGGTCTCTGGGAGACACACCCTGCAGAGTCTTGCAACATATGTAATATCAGTAGCAATCCATGTGCAATTCTGACAATTTCACTCTGAAGCACATTCAATGAACCAAATGTCAAATATATTACCCTTGTTCCTGGACAGAGAATCACTGGCAGATGAGAAGGGAGGAAGTTTTCATTACCACCACTTTGTCATTTTCATCTCTCATCATCTTAATATGTGTTTCACCAAAAATTTAGCAATAATAAAATTTCCTGATCTTCTTATAGATCCACCTAGAAAAGATGACCATATGGCTGCAGAGAATGCAACTGTGTGCATGGAGAACTGCAGTTAACATTCTGAAATCAACTTCGGCTGTTACCTAGCTAGGTTTGGGGCTAGGGGAGAGTTAAAATTTTTTTACAAAGTGCAACGTGGTTTACAAAAATTCTGCAGTTCCCATTTAGTTTTAGCCAGACCGCTTCGGTATGTGAAGATAAGTCTAACCAGTTGGGAACCTCATCCCAGACTGGGCCTCAAAGGGTCTGACACCAGGCTGGGCTCCACCCAATGGAGTTGAACTTTGTTTTCTTCTAAATTGGCCCATTCCCTTGGCTAAAGGTTGAGACTTGACCTTAGCAACATGCCAGGAGTTATGCTAACCATTACAAGAAACTATCCCTGGTTAGCCTTGGCAGAAATGGGAACATTTCTAAAGAACACTCTTTTGCAGTTGGCCCACGTTTGGGAGAAGAGGCTTAATAGGTTGAGTGATGTGAGGGAAATTGCTGCTTGGTGCCTCCTTTGCTCTTCTTTAAATTCGTGGTGCTTTAAAGGAGACCAGCTTTATTCCACAACAGAGTGGATTTTCAGAAGGAAGGACACCTACTTCTTCTATTAAAATGCCTATAACTGTGACGCTACTTCTGCCCACAACAGCCCAGAGCAGTGGTGAACACTCAGCGGGAAAGACAAAAACATGAGTCATTTTCCTCTTTTCAAAAGTGGTTTTTTTTCTAGCTACCCATTTCTACAATATAGAATAGGACTTAGAGATGTAATGGAGTTATTTCTAGATGAGAAGCAAAGGTAATTCATCTTTAATGTCAATATATTTTTGTTTAAAGAGCATATTATTATGTAATCTATTCTACAGAAATAAAATGCCCCAGCCAATAAGGCTAGATGTATGGGAAATAGCAAAAAATTGAAAATAAAATATTAACGCTTATTGATGGAGGACAGTTGAACAAATTATGATTTACTCACACATTGGAATATTATGCAACTGTCAAGAAAGAGAGTTCAATCTATACATATTAACTGGGAAGATGTTTAAGACATACTGTTACAAGAAAAAAATTTTTTTGTAGAGTACCTTGTATGTCATAATCCAATCATTTTAAAGAGACAAATCCCACATATGTATATATGGGATTATATATATATGTATTATCTTATATATGTTTGTATAAACCTAGAGAAATTTAAAGAATACATTCCAGGCTGTTAACTTGGTTTTCTTTTGTGGTTATGGTAGAAACAGAGCTGGGAAGAAAAGTCTATTTTTCTACAAACCACTTTTGTATTGATTGATTTGTTTCAATGGATATGTAGCAAAAAATAATCACAGAAAAGTTTAAGCTAAAATTAGAATACAAGTATGAGCAAATGGGTTGAGCTAAAAATGCAGCATTAATCTTCCATTTCTTATACATTATTGCTTACAAATAATTTTTATTCCATTAGCTTGTGGATGTGAAGTTCACAAGTATAAATCTAAGATGGAGACTTTCAGTGATAGGACAAACCATGTGAAGTTAGAGGCTTTAATTTACAGAGAAGGAGAAACAGCTGGGAAGGGATATGATGTGGGGACATTTAAGGTGAGGGCACACATTATCAAAGAGGGGAAGTGATGTGTAGGATTACGGCCAATGTGGATACATGGAAATTGTCACTGACCAGAAAAGCCAAAAACAGGGCCAATCATGCTACTTTCATGTTGAAAGAAAACTTGTCTGATTGGTTCCAAGGACCAATAGATAAGTCTTACAGACACAGTTTCTGAAACCAGAGCATTTATTGAGAGACACAGCAAGGAACAAACATGGGGAGGACTTGGGGAAGAGGGTGGGCAAAAGGTGGCTCCCTGATTTCTAACATGAAGAGATATGAAGAGAACAATATAGAAATAAAATCTTTACTCCAAAGTGCAGCATTCAATGCCCTTCTCTTCACTTCACCACCTCTGTGATCCCTGTCTAGAGTGGCAAGAAGCAGAAGCCCATTCAAACCATCTCAGGTGAAAAGAGGATTCATTATAAAATATAGGACAATTGCATAAAACCTGGTTGTAGAAAGTACACCTGGACCTCCCAGGTGCTAAAATATAGAGAATGGCTCCCTCTGTCTCTTACTCTTTCTCCATCTGGGTTACCCTGGCCTTTCTCATGATTGCTTCTGCTTTTCTTTCTTTCAAAATCCCTCTCCCTACTTTGACTTGAACGTGATTACTCCACATTGCATTTCAATTCAGAGGTCACCACCAGCATCTTTAAGATGTATCTAGTCTCTGTGTCTTTTATGTGAGACCTGAGGTGAAGCACCTGATTGGCTGATGGTCAGCTAATTAAATAGTTGGCTCTGAGGAAGGTACCCACCCTTCATGTTGCCTGTTCTGTCCTTGGCAGAGGCAATGGGACCCAGCAGAGCTTCAGAGAATGGGTATGGGCAGGTAGACAGGGCATGTGCAACGTGTCTGCTGCTTCTTATGTCTCTTTCCCAACACCTGCTTTCAACTATTTTATGTTTGGACCTTGGTCATCCCACTCAAGAAAACACTCAGTTTATTCTCATGCCTCTGCTTGTGCCCAAGGTGTTCCCACAGCCTTGCATATTCTTCCTACATTCTTTGCTCATCAATCTTTTTCATATTTTCATACCTAATTTAAATATTATCTCTAATTTGTAATATCCCCTGATAATTCAAGATTTAATGATTTATTTCATTGTAGCTGCCACAACTTGTATTTCTACTTTACACCCCCTGTTTTTGTGTGTTTATGTTTCCATCTTTGCCTTCTTCTCCTCGAATGGGAGCATACACTGTTCACCTTTGTCCCTCCAAGCCTTTCCCAGCACAAGGAGCAGGTTCTCATAAGTGTTTCCTGCATTTAGGGGCCCTATCGCTCATTGAATCATCAGTGTCTGCATGTATGCCCTCATGGCATCATCATGAAACTGACAGAAAATATTTTACTATTCTCTATTAAATCCAGAGATGTCATCCTGTATATCTGAGGTGATTTTTCCTTATTAAGGTATAAAAAACTAGGAAACCATGTGTTTACATTTTTGTTTTCCAGAGAAAAGGATAAGTACAAAAAAGATAGGGTTTTAAATGATTTCTCAATAAATCGAAATTATTTTAAAAATAGCATCCTAATGCCCAATCAGAGGGCCTAGGGTTGCTTAGTGCTTCACTTGGGCGGTGTAAACAATGGTGGTTTACTTATTCAGTGTCTGTAATGTGTTGTTGGTTTGTTTCATGCTGCTTGAATGATCCAAGTGCCAAGTCCCCTAAGCTGAGCTGCTCTCTGGTTATGTTACCCTCCACGCATGTCAGTCATTCTTGACCCTTTTTCTCTCCTCACACTCCACATTCAACCCATCAGCAAATCCTACCTTTGAAATCCATGGGGAATCCAACCATCTCTTGTCCCTGTTACCATGGCCATGGTCACCTCTGACTAGGATTACTGCAAACGCCTCCTACCTGGCCTCCTTGCAACTGTCTAATTTATCCTCAGTGCAGTGGCAGTGAGAGACGTTTTGGAACACCAGTCAGATCTTACCACTCCCTTGCTCACAAACCCATTTCACTAGAAAAAGATTCAAGTCCTTACCTTGGCCAGCTGGATCCCTCGTGGGCCCTCAACTTCCTCCCAAAGGCTTCCTGCTCCACTCCTCACTTCACCCCTGCCACTCTCCTCCAGGCCACATGGACTCCTTCTGTGTCCTGAACACCGGATTAGTCTCTAAGACCGTCATAACAAAGTCCCCAAACTAGGTGCCTGAACATGACAGAAATGGATTTTCTCACAGTTCTGGAAGCCAGAAGTTGGAAGTCAAGGTGTTGGCAGGCCACGTGCCCTCTGAAGCCTCTGTGGGAGGACCCTGCCCTGCTTCTCCCAGCTTCTGGAAGCCCAGGCGTTCCTTGGCTGAGGCAGCATCACTCCAGTCTCTGTATCCATCTTCCCATGGCCTCTTCCCTCTGTGTGTCTTTGCATCTCCACACGGCCTTCTCCCTGGGTATCTGTGTCCAGATTTCCCTCTTCTCAGAAGGACGCCAGCCATTGGATGAGGGCCCACGCTCGTGACCTCCTCTTGACTACATCTGCAAAGTCCTTGTTTCCAAATAAGGTTGCATTCACAGGTGCTGGAGGTTAGGACTTCAACATATCTTTTTTGAGGGATGGCACAACTCAACTCATAGCCAACACCGAGGCAGTGTCCTCTGCCCCAGGTATCTACTTGGCCCGCTCCCTCACCTTCTTCAGGACTTTGCTTAAATGTGCCTTCTGCTAAGTTTATGTTCTCAATGAAGCCTATTCCAAATTCCCCCATCTTAATACTACAATCTGCCCCACTCCTCCGCACCAACTCCTACACCCCTTAAAGCTGCTCCTTTTTTTTCTTTTTGAAAAGTACATATTATTTGAACATAGGCAAAACCTATTTATTTTGCCTGTCAACCAAAAATAAATTCTAAGGCCCCCCACCCAGTCATCTCAGCGGACTTCCTCCTAGGCCAGGGCACTCTTAAAATGTAACCTGAAAGACTGGTTCAGGCCACGATGGGAAATGGGGGTCGGACATGCCTCATTATGCCTCTCCAGCATTAATGTCTACACAGACCTTAAGTCTGATAAGAAGCATTTACAATCTATTCTCTCAGGAGCCTGCTACCTGAAGGCTTTCTCTGCAAAATAAGAACTTTGATCTCCACGATCCTTTACCTTAACCCAGACATTTCCTGTCTATTGATCCCAGGACTTTAGATGAACTCAACCAATTGTCAACCAGGAAAATTTTAAACCTACTTGTAACCTAGAAGCCACCCCCTACCCCTTCAAGTTGACCCACCTTTCTGAACCAAACCAATGTATTTCTTAAATGTATTTGGTTGAAGTCTCATGTCTCCCTAAAATGTATCAAACCAAGCTGTATCCTGACCACTTTGGGCACATGTTCTCAGGACCTCCTGAGGGGTCCTGAGACCCCCTCAGGACATGAGACCTCATAGGCCTTGGTCACTTATATTTGGCTCAGAATAAATCTCTTCGTATATTTTACAGAGTTTAACTCTTTTTATTGACATGCTTGTAGTCAACTGTCTGTCGCAATACCTGACCTTCAGGAATAGCGTAGACCTTTGGCTATTGTTCACTGATATGTCCCATCTCCTACTGCAGTACCTGGCACAGAGACACTCAGTACTTCATAGAACTAATTGATTGTTTTTTTCAAACAAACAAGCCCATCAAAAAGTGGCCTAAGGACATGAATAGATAATTCTCAAAAGAAGCTATACAAATGACCAATAATCATAAGAAGAAATGCTCAGCATCTCTAATGATCAGGGAAATGCAAATCAAAACTACAATGCGATACCACCTTACTCCTGCAAGAATGGCCATAATCAAAAAATCAAAAAACAGTAGATGTTGGTGTCAGGCCTCTGAGCCCAGGCCAGGCCATCGCATCCCCTGTGACTTGCATGTATACATCCAGATGGCCTAAAGTAACTGAAGATCCACAAAAGAAGTAAAAACAGCCTTAACTGATGACATTCCACCATTGTGATTTGTTCCTGCCCCACCCTAACTGATCAATGTACTTTGTAATCTCCCCCACCCTTAAGAAGGTTCTTTGTAATTCTCCCCACCCTTGAGAATATACTTTGTGAGATCCACCCCTGCCCACCAGAGGACAACCCCCTTTGACTGTAATTTTCCATTACCTTCCCAAATCCTATAAAACGGCCCCACCCGTATCTCCCTTCGCTGACTCTCTTATTGGACTCAGCCCACCTGCACCCAGGTGAAATAAACAGCCATGTTGCTCACACAAAGCCTGTTTGGTGGTCTCTTCACACAGACGCGCATGAAATTTGGTGCCGTGACTCGGATCGGGGGACCTCCCTTGGGAGATCAATCCCCTGTCCTGCTGCTCTTTGCTCCGTGAGAAAGATCCACCTATGACCTCAGGTCCTCAGACCGACCAGCCCAAGAAACATCGCACCAATTTCAAATCCGGTAAGCGGCCTCTTTTTACTCTCTTCTCCAACTTCCCTCACTATCCCTCAACCTCTTTCTCCTTTCAATCTTGGCGCTACGCTTCAATCTCTCCCTTCTCTTAATTTCAATTCCTTTCATTTTCTGGTAGACACAAAAGAGACGTTTTATCCGTGGACCCAAAACTCCGGCGCCGGTCACGGACTGGGAAGGCAGCCTTCCCTTGGTGTTTAATCAATGCAGGGACGCCTCTCTGATTATACACCCACGTTTCAAGGGTGTCAGACCACGCAGGGACACCTGCCTTGGTCCTTCACCCTTAGCGGCAAGTCCTGCTTTTCTGGGGAAGGGGCAAGTAGCCCAACCCCTTCTCTCCTTGTCTCTACCCCTTCTCTGCTTTCCTGGGGCAGGGGCAAGTACCCCTCAACCCCTTCTCCTTCACCCTTAGCGGCAAGTCCCGCTTTCCTGGGGCAGGGGCAAGTACCCCTCAACCCCTTCTCCTTCACCCTTAGCGGCAAGTCCTGCTTTTCTAGGGGGCAAGAACCCCCAAACCACTTCCCTCCGTGTCTCTACGCTCTCTGTTCTCTGGGCTTGCCTCCTTCACTATGGGCAAGCTTCCACCTTCCATTCCTCCTTCTTCTCCCTTAGCCTGTGTTCTTAAGAACTTAAAACCTCTTCAACTCTCACCTGACCTAAAATCTAAGCATCTTATTTTCTTCTGCAATGCCGCTTGACCCCAATACAAACTCGACAGTAGTTCCAAATAGCCAGAAAACAGCACTTTCAATTTTTCTGTCCTACAAGATCTAAATAATTCCTGTCGTAAAATGGGCAAATTGTCTGAGGTGCCTGACGTCCAGGCATTCTTTTACACATCAGTCCATTCCTAGTCTCTGTGCCCAATGCAACTCGTCCCAAATCTCCCGCCTGTCCCCTCAGTCCCAACGCCAAGCATCGCTGAGTCTTTCTAATCTTCCTTTTCTACAGACCCATCTGACCTCTCCCCTCCTAGCCAGGCCAAGCTAGGTCCCAATTCTTCCTCAGCCTCCACTCCTCCACCCTATAATCTTTTTATCGCTTCCCCTCCTCACACCTGGTCGGGCTTACAGTTTCATTCCGTGACTAGCCCTCCCCCACCTGCCCAGCAATTTATTCTTAAAAAGGTGGCTGGAGCTAAAGGCATAGTCAAGGTTAATGCTCCTTTTTATTTATCCCAAATCAGATAGCGTTTAGGCTTTTTCATCAAATATAAAAACCCTGCCCAGTTCATGGCTCGTTCGGCAGCAACCCTGAGACTCTTTACAGCCCTAGACCCTGAAAGGTCAAAAGGCCATCTTATTCTCAATATACATTGTATTACCCAATCTGCTCCCGACATTAAATAAAACTCCAAAAATTAAATTCTGGCCCTCAAACCCCACAACAGGATTTAATTAACCTCGCCTTCAAGGTGTACAATAATAGAAAAAAGTTGCAATTCCTTGCCTCCACTGTGAGACAAACCCCAGCCACATCTCCAGCACACAAGAACTTCCAAACGCCTGAACCACAGCAGCCAGGCTTCCTCCAGAACCTCCTCCCCCAGGAGCTTGCTACAAGTGCCAGAAATCTGACCACCAGGCCAAGGAATGCCTGCAGCCCAGGATTCCTCCTAAGCCATGTCCCATCTGTGCGGGACCCCACTGGAAACTGGACTGTTCAACTCACCTGGCAGCCACTCCCAGAGCCCCTGGAACTCTGGCCCAAGGCTCTCTGACTGACTCCTTCTCGGCTTAGCGGCTGAAGACTGATGCTGCCCGATCGCCTCGGAAGCCCCGTAGACCATCACGGACACCGAGCTTTGGGTAACTCTCACAGTGGAAGGTAAGTCCGTCCCCTTCTTAATCAATATGGAGGCTACCCACTCCACATTACCTTCTTTTCAAGGGCCCGTTTCCGTTGCCTCCATAACTGTTGTGGGTATTGACGGCCAGGCTTCTAAACCTCTTAAAACTCCCCAACTCTGGTGCCAACTTAGACAATACTCTTTTAAGCACTCCTTTTTAGTTATCCCCACCTGCCCAGTTCCCTTATTAGGCTGAGACACTTTAACTAAATTATCTGCTTCCCTGACTATTCCTGGACTACAGCTACATCTCATTGCCGCCCTTCTTCCCAATCCAAAGCCTCCTTTGTGTCCTCCTCTTATATCCCCCTACCTTAACCCACAAGTATAAGATACCTCTACTCCCTCCTTGGCGACCGATCATGCACCCCTTACCATCTCATTAAAACCTAATCACCCTTACCCCGCTCAATGTCAAGATCCCATCCCACAGCACGCTTTAAAAGGATTAAAGCCTGTTATCACTCGCCTGCTACAGCATGACCTTTTAAAGCCTATAAACTCTCCTTACCATTCCCCTGTTTTACCTGTCCTAAAACCAGACAAGGCTTACAAGTTAGTTCAGAATCTGCGCCTTATCAACCAAATTGTTTTGCCTATCCAACTCGTGGTGCCAAATCCATATACTCTCCTATCCTCAATACCTCTCTCTACTACCCATTATTCTGTTCTAGATCTCAAACATGCTTTCTTTACTATTCCTTTGCACGCTTCATCCCAGCCTCTCTTTGCTTTCACTTAGACTGACCCTGACACCCATCAAGCTCAGCAAATTACCTTGGCTGTACTGCCGCAAGGCTTCACAGACAGCCCCCATTACTTCAGTCAAGCCCAAATTTCACCCTCATCTGTTACCTATCTCGGCCAAATTCTCATAAAAACACACGTGCTTTCCCTGCTGATCGTGTCTGATTAATCTCCCAAACCTCAATCCCTTTCAAAACAACAACTCCTTTCCTTCCTAGGCATGGTTAGTGCGGTCAGAATTCTTACACAAGAGCCAGGACCGCACCCTGTAGCCTTTCTGTCCAAACAACTTGACCTTACTGTTTTAGCCTAGCCCTCATGTCTGCGTGCAGCGGCTGCCGCTGCTTTAATACTTTTAGAGGCCCTCAAAATCACAAACTATGCTCAACTCACTCTCTACATTTCTCATAACTTCCAAAATCTATTTTCTTCCTCATACCTGATGCATATACTTTCTGCTTCCCGGCTCCTTCAGCTGTACTCACTCTTTAAGTCCCACAATTACCATTGTTTCTGGCCCGGACTTCAATCCGGCCTCCCACATTATTCCTGATACCACACCTGACACCCATGACTGTATCTCTCTGATCCACCTGATATTCACCCCATTTCCCCATATTTCCCTCTTTCCTGTTCCTCACCCTGATCACGCTTGATTTATTGATGGCAGTTCCACCAGGCCTAATCGCCGCATACCAGCAAAGGCAGGTTATGCTATAGTACAAGCCACTAGCCCACCTCTCAGAACCTCTCATTTCCTTTCCATCGTGGAAACCTGTCCTCAAGGAAATAACTTCTCAGTGTTCCATCTGCTATTCTACTACTCCTCAGGGATTATTCAGGCCCCCTCCCTTCCCTACACATCAAGTTCGAGGATTTGCCCCTACCCAGGACTGGCAAATTAGCTTTACTCAACGTGCCTGAGTCAGGAAACTAAAATACCTCTTAGTCCAAATAGACACTTTCACTGAATAAGTAAAGGTCTTTCCTACAGGGTCTGAGAAGGCCACCGCAGTCATTTCTTTCCTTCTGTCAGACATAATTCCTCAGTTTAGCCTTCCCACCTCTATACAGTCTGATAACGGACCAGCCTTTATTAGTCAAATCAGCCAAGCAGTTTTTCAGGCTCTTAGTAGGTTTCAGTGAAAACTTTATATCCCTTACGGTCCTCCGTCTTCAAGAAAAGTAGAACGGACTAAAGATCTTTTAAAAACACAGCTCACCAAGCTCAGCCACCAACTTAAAAGGACTGACAATACTTTTACCACTTTTGCTTCTCAGAATTCAGGCCTGTCCTCAATGCTACAAGGTACAGCCCATTTAAGCTCCTGTATAGACGCTCCTTTTTATTAGGCCCCAGTCTCATTTGACACCAGACCAACTTAGACTGTGCCCCAAAAAAACTTGTCATCCCTACTATCTTTTGTCCAGTCATACTCCTATTCACCGTTCTCAACTACTCATACATGCCCTGCTCTTGTTTACACTGCCGGTTTACACTGTTTCTCCAAGCCATCACAGCTGATATCTCCTGGTGCTATCCCCAAACTGCCACTCTAAACTCTTGAAGTAAATAAATAATCTTTGCTGGCAGGACTATGCTGAATCTCCTTAGGCACTCTCTAATCAGATGTCCTAGGTCCTCCCAATTCTTAGACCTTTTATACCTGTTTTTCTCCTTCTCTTATTCCATTTAGTTTCTCAATTCATCCAAAACCGTATCCAGGCCATCACCAATCATTCTATACAACAAATGTTTCTTCTTACATCCCCACAATATCACCCTTTACCACAAGACCTCCCTTCAGCTTAATCTCTCCCACTCTAGGTTCCCACGCCGCCCCTAATCCTGCTTGAAGCAGCCCTAAGAAACATTGCCCATTCTCTCTCCATACCACCCCCACAAAAATTTTCGCCGCCCCAACACTTCAACACTATTTTGTTTTGTCTTATTAATATAAGAAGGCAGGAATGTCAGGCCTCTGAGCCCAGGCCAGGCCATCGCATCCCCTGTGACTTGCACGTATACATCCAGATGGCCTAAAGTAACTGAAGATCCACAAAAGAAGTAAAAACAGCCTTAACTGATGACATTCCACCGTGTGATTTGTTCCTGCCCCACCCTAACTGATCAATGTACTTTGTAATCTCCCCCACCCTTAAGAAGGTTCTTTGTAATTCTCCCCACCCTTGAGAATGTACTTTGTGAGATCCACCCCTGCCCACCAGAGAACAACCCCCTTTGACTGTAATTTTCCATTACCTTCCCAAATCCTATAAAACGGCCCCACCCATATCTCCCTTCGCTGACTCTCTTTTCGGACTCAGCCCACCTGCACCCAGGTGAAATAAACAGCCATGTTGCTCACACAAAGCCTGTTTGGTGGTCTCTTCACACGGACATGTATGAAAGTTGGCATGGATGTGGTGAACAGGGAACACTTCTGCACTGCTGGTGGGAATGTAAACTAGTACAACCACCATGGAAAACAGTGTGGAGATTCCTTAAAGAACTAAGAGTAGAACTACCATTTGATCCAGCAATCCCACTACTGAGTATCTACCCAGAGGAAAAGAAGTCATTATTTGAAAAAGACACTTGCACATGCATGTTTATAGCAGCACAATTCACAATTGCAAAATCTTGGTACCAATCCAAATGCCCATCAATCAATGAGTGGATAAACCATGGTATATATATACCATGGAACACTATGCAGCCATAAAAAGGAATGAAGTAACAGCATTTGCAGTGACCTGGTTGAGATTGGAGACTATTATTCTAAGTGAAGTAACTCCGGAATGGAAAACCAAACATCGTATGTTCTCACTGATATGTGGGAGCTAAGCTACTAGGACACAAAGGCATAAGAATGATACAATGGACTTTGGGGACTTGGGGGCAAGTGTGGGAGGGGGGCGAGGGATAAAAGACTACAAATATGGTGCAGTATATACTGCTTAGGTGATGGGTGCACCAAAATCTCACAAATCGCCACTAATGAACTTACTCATGTAACCAAATACCACCTGTACCCCAATAACTTATGGAAAAAAAGTAACTTTCTCAAGGTCAAAAAAATAAAATATAATATAAAATTCTAAAAAAAAGAGAACTAATTGATTGGTTTTTTTCAAAGGAAAAGGTAAATCTAGTTTTGGCATTCACTATTTTCTAACTATTTTATGTTTAAAAAAAGAAAGTATAATTTCAGGCTTATGCCATATGCTTAATCACATATGGCATGTGATTAAGACTTATTTTACACCTTTTCTTAGGCCATATTTCCATACATTTATTATTTGTTCTGGGTGCTTTAAGAAATGGCAACCCACGTAGTTACATTTCTCAATCCCATACTTAGGACAAAGTATATAATAGTCTTGGGATGTGGTTTCAATTAGCATAGCAAACCTCGTACATACTTTCTTCCTGGCATCCAGATTAAAGAAGCCGTTTTCACTTTCTAGCCCAGTTTTTATTTCTGCTTTCTCTTTTTCTCCCTAAAAAATCTATGGTATCCACAGTATGTTGGTAGGTTTAAAAAATAAGTCACCAAAGAGAATCTACATTATTACTCAATTTTTTATAGATTAAAAAGCAGTATAGATGTATATCCTATATGTTTTTATATGAAAAGGTGAATCTGTAACCATGGGATGGAGAAAGACTATGTATTTTGATATTGTTTGGATTTTTTTTTTTTAATGAACAGGCAAGTAAAAACTAAAAAAGCCTTCCTTGAGAGAGTAGGTTTTCCATGGCACAAGGAACAAAAGCTGTTGGATGCTGAAAGCCACGTGCTCTGCTGAGAGGAACCTGAAGAAACTGTGCTTTTCTGTTTACTGTCCTGGAAACTAGTCATTAACATGAAAACAGATCTCAGGCTTGTTTTTAAAATGCGTAGAGAGGCTAGGCATAGTGGCTCACGCCTGTAATCTCAGCACTTTGGGGGGCTGAGGTGGGTGGATCACTTGAGGCCAGGAGTTTGACACCAGCTTGGCCAACATGGTGAAACCCTGTCTCTACTAAGAAAAAAAAAGAAAACATTAGCTGGGTGTGGTGGCACATGCCTGTAATCCCAGCTACTCAGGAGGTTGAGGCACAAGAATCATTTGAATCGGGAGGTGGAAGTTGCAGTGAGCTGAGATTGCATCACTGCACTCCAGCCTACGCGACAGAGTGAGCCTCTGTCTCAAAATAAAATTAAAATAAAATAAAATAAAATAAAACAAAATAAAATGTGTAGAGAAAGACTGGAAGTAAATGCAAATACAGGACCAACCGTGGTTGTCATTGTGTGGTAGGATTGCGGACGATTTTTTTGTGTATTTTGCTTTTATTTTTATTCTCTACTGTATTAAAAAACATCCATCTGGGTGCATGTTGTTGACCAAAGACAGAAATATTTTTACTCTGTGTCCCTGCTCTTCAGGCTTGTAGAGGCTTCTGGGCCTGAGGAATGCCCTCTCCTGCCTGAGTGGAGATGGGGGTGTTCATGGACTTTCCACACTTTTCTTTGGGTATTCCCCCCTCCCCAACATGAGCAGACACAGCCTTAAAGCCTCTAGAGATATGGAAGCCTTGCAGGCTGATGAGGGGCTTCCTAAACTGGAGAGGATTTATTAATAGGAAAGAGCTAACCTGAGGCATACACCCCTCCCTTTTGGCTCCACAGAATTTTCCCAAAGGGGTCATGTAGAAAGAAGCCAGGTGGGAAGGACTGATGAAGATGCTTCTTGAAATAGTGGGACGCAAATGCTAGAAGTGTCTATTGTTCAGTCTCTCCAATTCCACAGGAGAAGTACCATTGGCAAGCTGGTTCATTGCCAGGGTTCTGAGCTTAGTGCCTCTGGCAGGATAGACTCTGGGTTTGATATGGAAATTGCCAAAGCAGAAGCTATGATAGTGGTTCACAAAACCTGATGTGCCTCAGAATCACCTGGGCAGCTTCCCTGGTCCTACCTACAGTCTGATTCAGCAGTTTGTCCTGTGGGCTTAGGAATCTGAATTGCAATAAATACCCCTATGCTGTTTTCGAAGAGTAATTCTCTGACACCAGTGCTATTCTGACACTAACTATCTGGAGTTAGCATCAGACTCCACAGGTTGAAGGGCTCCAGCCCATACAACTGTCCTCACTTCAGATGCCAGCCACAAGTCTCAGCACCCCAGGCTACCTGGGCTTCTGCTTAACTTGGCTACAAATTCAAAGTTTCCTCAGGCCCCCCAGCCTGCTCAGGTGTGACAATTTACTAGAATGATTCAAAGAACTCAGGAAAACCCTATACTTATAATTGCTGCCTTATTACAAAGGGTATAATTTAGGAACAGCCAAATAGAAGAGATCTGCAGGGCTAGGAAGGGGTGGGGGCACAGGGCTTCCGTGCCCTCTCTGTTGCATCCCTCTCAAGGCCTATCAATGTGTTCACCAAACTAGAAGTTCCCCCAACCTCATCATTTAAGAGTTTTCATTTTGTAGGCATGATCTCCAGTCCCTCTCCCTTTCCTGGAAGTTGGGAGTTGGGGCTGAAAGTTCTAACCCGCTAATCACATGCCTGGTCTTTCTGTTGCGGCCAGCCTTTCCCATAAAACTATGGGCCCACTGTCTCAGTCCATTTGTGCTGCTATAACCAAGTACCTCAGGCTGTGTAATTTATAAATAATAGAGTTTTTTTTTTTTTTGAGACAGAGTTTCGCTCTTGTTGCCCAAGCTGGAGTGCAATGGTGTGATCTCAGCTCACTGCAACCTCTGCCTCCCGGGTTCAAGCGATTCTCCTGCCTCAGCCTCCTCAGTAGCTGGGATTAGAGGCACCCGCCACCATGCCTGGCTAATTTTTGTATTTTTAGTAGACACAGGGTTTCACCATATTGGCCAGGCTGGTCTCGAACTCCTGACCTCAGGTGATCCACCCACCTCGGCCTCCCAGTAGAAATTTTTTTTTTTTTTTTTTTGAGATGGAGTCTCGCTTTGTCGTACAGGCTGGAGTGCAGTGGCGCAGTCTCAGCTCACTGCAACCTCTGCCTCCCAGGTTCACGCCATTCTCCTGCCTCAGCCTCCCAAGTAGCTGGGACTACAGGTGCCTGCCATCACACCTGGCTAATTTTTTGTATTTTTAGTAGAGACGGGGTTTCACCGTGTTAGCCAGGATGGTCTCAATCTCCTGACCTCGTGATCCGCCTGCCTCGGCCTCCCAAAGTGCTGGGATTATAGGTGTGAGCCACCATGCCCGGTCGAAATTAATTTTTTTATAATTCTGGAGGTTGGAAAGTCTAAGATCAAGGTGCTGGCAGATTCAGTGTGTGATGAGGGCTGTGCTCTGCAGATAATGCCTTGTAGCTGCATCCTCCAGAGGGGACCAACACTGTGTCCTCACATGGCAGAAGGTAGAAGGGCAAAAGGCCTAGCTGGTTCCCTTGAGCTCTTTCACACAGGTGCCCATCCCATTCACGAGGGTGGAATCCACATGATTTAATTGCCTCCTAGACCCTCCACCTCTTTTTTAATTTAATTTAATTAATTAATTTATTTTTTGAGATGGAGTCTCGCTCTGTTGCCCAGCCTGGAGTGTAGTGGCGCAATCTCGGCTCACTGCAACCTCCGCCTCCCGGGTTCAAGTGATTCTCCTGCCTCAGCCTCCTGAGTAGCTGGGATTACAAGCGCCTGCCACCACGACTGGCTAATTTTTGTATTTTTAGTAGAGACAGGGTTTCACTATATTGGCCAGGCTGGTCTTGAACTCCTGACCTTAGGTGACCTGCCTGCCTCAGCCTCCCAAAGTGCTGGGATTACAGGCGTGAGCCACCACGCCCGGCTTGCCCCCACCCCTTAATACTATCATGTCAAGTCTTAGATTCCAACATATGAATTTTGGAAAGACACATACGTCCAAACCATAAGAGTCACCTTATTAGCATAAACTCACATATGGCTTGAAAGGAGCTCCTTATGTATAAAAAAGATGCTCCTATCACTCACGGTATTTCAAGAGTCTTAGGAGCTTTGTGCTGGGAACCAGAGACAAAGACCAAATATATTTTTTGTTATACCACAACCCACAGGTGATCCTGATGCTCATGGCCATGCATTGAGAACAACTGTGTAAGAAGATATGGATAATGCTTGAAAACTACTAGTATTAGCACCATTTTGGTGAGTAAAGAATTCTATTTTTGATGTAGACTGTTCCCTGCACTCAGCAGGGTACCTGAGAGAAGAACATTATAGTTCAGGGAACAGTCTAAATCTTCCCCTTCAGGAAAACCCTTCAAGATAGAGTTGTAGCTCATCTCCCAGTCCCCATCAAGCCCCCTCTTCTCGGTGTTCCACGGTGCATTCTCATTTGAGGAATTCTCTTTGACTCTTTGCATAATGTTTGTGCTGCTCCTCAACTCTTGTGTGTGCCTGTTTCATCTTCCCAGATGCCTAAGGACCCTGCCTTGTATTTCTGTAATGAAAGATTACAGACGCAAGATTTATTATCTTTACAGCATATACTCCAAGGAAGATCTCAATAAATGCTTAATGGAAATAAGTAAAGGTATGAATGCTGGACCTAATACAGGAGGAAGACCCAGGTGATTTGTGTACAATTTGGACACAAGCTCTTGCCAACCACCTGAGAGATTCCAACAATGAGATGAGATTCCTTACCTTGAACCAGATAATTTGGAATGAATGTCTAGGCAGAACTTCTGCTTCAGAATGACCACAATTAACTACCAGACAACCAACTTTGGGGACATATCAGTAGGTACGATAACAGGGGAATGAGCCCTAGACTTAAAATCAGAGGATCTCAGTTTGCATCCTGGCTCTGTGCCTTGCTAATTGAGATGCTTGGGGTAAGTTGCTTGCTTGATGGTTTTATGCACTTAGCCATTCATTCAATGCCTTTCACTGAGAAACTACTGTGTGCCTAGTACTGTGCCGTACGTTTTACACATTATCTCACTTAATTAATACAACACCTCTAGTAGATAATCATCTTCCCTATACATAATTTTAGAGAGGAAGAAAAATCACATGTTGGGGCTCTCCTAGCAATTGTACACTTAAGTCTCCAGACTTTATTTCCAGGGTCCTGACCTTTAATTCCTGGGGCACAGTTATTATTAATTTTCCTGCATGACCTCTGAGACCTCATGGGCCCATAAAGGGAATCAAGCTTGGATGAAATTTTAGAGTTGGAAAGAACATGAGAGATGGTCTAATTCACCTGCATTCAAATGAAGATTCAGAGTCAAGATCCCAAATTAGAAAATGGGAGGTGACATTTCCAGAATAACTCCTTCCCTCACTCTGGGGCTCTCCAGCTTTGGCTTCTCCTGGGTCAACAGGTGGTCCGTCAGAGAGGCAACATTCATGGTGAGTGGTGTCCGATCCAAGATGTCTGCAGAGGCTGGCCATCCTGAAGTGTTCATTTAGATACTAAGGACCGATGGTCCCTGCCTCTTGCCTTCATCTGAACCTGACACTCCAAATCGATGCCTAACGGATCTTTCCATTTTTACATCAGACTAACCAATTAAAAACAACCAAACAAACCTATGTGTACTGGTGGGAGGGAAGGGGAATGGAAAGTACTATGCATTTGTTAGAAGAAACCCTCAAATGTAACTGAACTGGATGAAAGTTATGAAGTTCTCTATGCACACAAACTAGAAAACCTAGAAGAAATGGATAAATTTCTGGACACATACACTTTTTCAAGTCTGAACCAGGAAGAAATTGATTCCCTGAACAGACCAATAATGGTCTCTCTAGTTGAATTAGTAATAAATACCCTACCAACCAAAAAAGCCCAGGACCAGATAGATTCACAGCCAAATTCTACCAAATGTACAGAGAAGAGACGGTACAATTCCTACTGAAACCATTCCAAAAAATTGATGAGGAGGGACTCCTCCCCAGCTCATTCTTTTTTTTTTTTTTTTTGAGATGGAATCTTACTCTGTCACCAGGCTGGAGTGCAGTGGCACGATCTCAGCTCACTGCAACCTCCACCTCCCGGGTTCAAGCGATTCTCCTGCCTCAGCCTCCCAAGTAGCTGGGACTACAGGTGCACACCACCACACCCAGCTAATTTTTATATTTTTAGTAGAGACAGGGTTTCACCATGTTGGCCAGGATGGTCTTGATCTCTTGACCTCGTGATCCACCCGCCTCAGCCTCCCAAAGTGCTGGGATTACAGGCGTGAGCCACCGTGCCTGGCCCTCTCCACCTCACTCTATGAGGCCAGCATCATCCTGATACCAAAACCTGGCAGAGACCCAACAAAAACAGAAAACTTCAGGCCAATATCCTTGATGAACATCATTGCAAAAATCTTCAACAAAATACTTGGAAACCAAATCCAGTATCACATCAAAAAGCTAATCCACCATGGTCAGATAGACATCATTGTGAGTATGCAAGGTTAGCTTAACATACACAAATCAATAAATGTGATTAATCACATAAACAGAACTAAAGACAAAAACCACATGATTATCTCAATAGATGCAGAAAAAAGCTTTTGATACAATTCAACACCACTTCATGTTAAAGACTCTCAATAGCTAGGTATTGAAGGAACATACCTCAAAATAATAGGAGCCATATGTAACAAACCCACAGCCAGCAGCATAATGAATGGGTAAAAGCTCAAGCATTCCCCTTGAAAACTGGCACAAAACAATGATGCCCTCTCTTACCACTCCTATTCAACACAGTATTGGAAGTCCTAGCCAGAGTAATCAGGCAAGAGAGAGAAATAAAGGGCATCCAATAGGAAGAGAGGAAGTCAATGTATCCCTGTTTGCAGATGACATGATTCTACATCTAAAAAACTCCACAGTCTTGTCCCAAAAGCTTCTTAAGCTGATAAACAACTTTAGCAAAGTTTCAGGATACAAAATCAATGTACAAAAATCACTTGCATTCCTATACACCAATAACAGCCAAGCCAAGAGCCAAATGAGGAAGGCAATCCCATTCACAATTGCCACATGAAGAATAAAACACCTAGTAATACAGCTAACCAAGGATGTGAAAGATCTCTACAATGAGAACTACAAAACACTGTTCAAAGAAATCAGTGAAGACACAAACTAATAGAAAAACATTCCATGCTCATGGATAGGAAGAATCAATATCATTAAAATGGCCATACTGCCCAAAGCAATTTACAGATTCAATGCTATTCGTATCAAATTATCAATGACATTCTTTACAGAATTAGAAAAAACTATTTTAAAATTCATGTGGAACCAAAAAAGAGCCCAAAATGCTAAGGCAATTCTGAGCAAAAAGAGCAAAGCTGGAGATATCACACTCTCTGACTTCAAACTATACTCCAGGGCTACAATAACTCAAACAGCATGGCACTGAAACAGACACATAGACCAATGAAACAGAATAGACAGCCCAGAAATAAGGCCGCACACCTACAACAATCTGATCTTTGACAAAGCTGACAAAAGCAATGGAGAAAAGACTACCTATTCAATAAATGGTGTTGGGATAACTGGCTAGCCATATGCAGAAGATTGAAGCTGGACACCTTCCTTACACCATATACAAAAATCAACTCAAGATGGATCAGAGACTTAAGTGTAAAACCCAAAACTAAAAGAACTCTGGAAGAAAACCTAGATAATACCCTACTGGACAGGAATGAGCAAGGTTTCATGACAAATATACCAAAAGCAATTGCAACAAAAGCAAAAATTGACAAATGGGATCTAATTGAACTAAAGAGCTTCTGCACAGCAAAAGAAACTATCAACAGAGTAAACAGACAACCTACAGAATAGAAGAAAACATTTGCAAACTATGCATCTGAGAGAGGTCTAATAGCCTGCATCTATAAGGAAATTAAAGAAATTTACAAGAGAAAAACAACCCCATTAAGAAGTGGGCAAAGAACTTGAACGACACTTTTCAAAAGAAGACATACATGCAGCCAACAAGCATATGAAGAAAAAGCTCAATATCACTGATTATTAAAGAAATGCAAATGAAAACCACAATGAGATACCATCTCACACCAGTAAGAATGCCTATCATTAGAAAGTCAAAAAATAACAGATGCTGGTGAGGCTGTGGAGAAAAGAGAACACTTATACATTGTTGTTGGGAGTGTAAATTAGTTTAACCATTGTGAAAAGCGGTATGGCAGTTCCTCCAACAGCTGAAAGCAGAACTACCATTTGTCCCAGCAATCCCATTACTGGGTATATACCCAGAGGAATACAAATCATTCTACCATAAAGATACACACTCATGAATGTTCATTGCAGCACTATTCACAATAGCAAAGACATAGAATCAACCTAAATGCCCATCAATGACAGATTGGATAAAGAAAATGTGGTACATATACACCATGGAATACCATGCAACCATAAAAAAGAATAAGATCTTGTCTTTTGTGAGAACACGGATGGAACTGGAAGTTATTATCCTTAGCAAACTAACGCAGGAACAGAAAACCAAATACTGCATATTTTCACTTATAAGTGGGAGCTAAATGATGAGAACTTATGAACACAAAGAAGAGGACAATAGACACTGGGGCCTCCTTAAGTGGGGAGGGTGGGAGGAGGAAGAGGAGCAGAAAAAAATAACTATTGGGTACTGGGCTTAATACCTGAGTGATGAAATAATCTGTACAACAAACCCCTGTGACATGAGTTTACCTATAGAACAAACCTGCACATGGACTCCTGAACCTAAAATAAAAGTTAAAAAAAAGTTATGAGGTTCCCAGTGAAAACTAAGGGTTTTTCTTCAACTCTTGCCACTGGTGAGGTTAGAAAACCAGAGTGGAAAAAAGTCAGGGTTAAACTACTGGATGGCTAATCAAAATAAAGAAACACTGTTTAACTCTCACTTTTAAGTGTATAAGCATTTGTTGTTATGCTAAAAAAACAAATCCTGTGGGAAGTGTAGTTACATGCGGCAAGTTTGGATACACTGCACCCCTTCCCCCCATCCCCAGAACAAAGCCGGCCAACAACAATACGAATCCTACAGCTGGAATGCATTCTGGATTTCTAATCTGATTATTTATCCATGATTATATGTTTTTTTTCCCACAGCATTCCCATATCCATAAACATACATTTAAAATCAAGACCCCAAATCCCTTAAATAAAACCTATTTCATGAGTCACACTCTTCATCTAATTCAAGCTTAGTGGCTTAAAGAAAAAACAACCACTAACTACAATCTGAATTCACAAGTGAAGCCCTCGACTCCTGTTGACTCACCAAAGCCTTATTTTATGAACATCAAGATGCGATCTTTTGCGTGTGGGCTCTCCCAGAAGAGTGCTCTGATAATGCAAAGGATTGCTCGGTTTGACTTTGGAAGTAATCAAGTGGCCTTTCCGTTGTGTGGTTGTTAGCAGCAGATTTGCCCTCCAGATTAAGTTTGCTATAAGATGATGTTAAAAATCATTCTGCTTTCTCAGGGTTACTCATGTCACAAGCAGTAGAGAGGAATTTATGGGACAAGAGAAAACACCACTGCACAGTGGGATCGAGAGCCCAATGCACAGTAGGATCCTACAGGTTTGGAAAAGCATGGTTCTTGTGTTGAACTGAATTTTGCCTCTGGCTTGGTCCTGTTGCTAAGAAATAAGAGACTATCTGCAACAGGCGCTGGAGAAATATAAACTGTACATTTGCTTCAGGGATTTTCCTCAATTATCTGTGCCCGGACAAACAGAAAACGGCATTTCTTGGATTCCTGCCCATTTGGAGTGGGGAAGCATCCTGCTACATTGGCAAGACATCAACCAGAGTCTACAGGAGAATGAACAAAAAGAATGGCCTCTTATCCACGTCTGGAGAAAAATTGCTCACAGGATTTGAGGTCCGCTGCACACCACCAAGAGAACGCCCCATCAGAAAGCGTAAGAGAGCCTTCCCTGCCCTTTTTGGAGCGTTACCTCCACAGCCCAAATGTCACCCATGCTTTAGAAACCCAAAGCCTTGCTAAGAGCCAAGAAGAAGGCTGACAAGCAAGTCCTCATTTTTGACCAAAGCAGTAGAACTTGTAAAGAATCCTGATTGTGTTACAATCTGACACCGAGAGGTTTCCCACCACTGAATGGGCACATCTGGGTGTTTAGTGAGGCGAGGGGTTGCCAGACATCCAAAGGCTTCAGAGCAAGGCAGGAGGACAGCTGCTGGGCGAGGCAATCAGAGAACACAGGTAGGTCCTCAGAGCTCCTTGGAGAACACAGGTAGGTCCTCCTCCACATGCATTCACATTCAATTCAAATGAAACCACTGTGGCAGCAGCAGCAGTGACAACAAAACATTGTTCCAGCCCTTCCATATGTGGCCTCTGCTCTGAATTCAGACATCTGTGTCTTCCCTGTCACTGAGGCTGGTGCTGTTGGAGGTAGGCAGGGAAAATCTGGTCACTGGAGGATTGCCACATATTTTTGTCTTAAAATGTCATTAGGCCGGGCACGGTGGCTGTAATCCCAGCACTTTGGGAGGCCAAGGCAGGTGGATCACAAGGTCAGGAGTTCGAGATCAGCCTGACAAACATGGTGAAACCCCATCTCTACTAAAAATACAAAAATTAGCTGGGTGTGGTGGCACATGCCTGTAATCCCAGCTACTCAGGAGGCTGAGGCAGGAGAATTGCTTGAACCTGGGAGGCAGAAATTGCAGTGAGCCAAGATTGTGCCATTGTACTCCAGCCTGGGTGACAGAGTGAGATTCCGTCTCAAAAAAAAAAAAAAAAAAAAAAGAAGAAAATGTCATTAGCTCCATGTCCTGCTCATACCAGTGATCAACCACCCACAGATGCTGCTCGTTACCCTGTGCTGAAATAGAATCAATAACCAACACAACAGTGAGCATGACCTGGCCATGCATTTTGTGCCAGGCCCTATAATATGTGTGAGGATTCAGCGAACTTTCCTGATAAGCTTGTGAGGTTGGCACTTTGACTGAACCAGCCTTACAGATGAGGAGGCCAAGGCTCATGGAGGTGAGGTGACCTGTCCAAGATCACATAGCCAGTGCCTGGCAGGGCTGTGATTTCACTCCCACCTGGCTGGCCCCAGGCCTTGTGTTCTGAACCATGGGTGTGAGGATGAGTTTCCTGCTCATCACATAATTCCCAGTGATGTCCCCTGGTTAGCCCATGCTGGGTATTTCTGATATGCAGGCAGCACTGAGGGGATGGCTCCATGTGTCCAGCATGGTCCCACAGCTAGACCTCCTGCGAGAGCCTTTTGATGTCCTCCCCAGGGGAAAGGCTAACCTGCTGCAGCGTTTTAGAGCCACTGCATGGTGGATCTTTGAAGGCAGGGTGCAGGCAGGTAGCAGATGCTTAAAAAATACTTGTCAAATGACAGAACTGCTTTTCCACCACGTGAGACCTCCCCAGTCCCCAAACTCCACCTCTGGAAATAGGGGTCATTGCTGGTGTTCTGGGGGAGTCATAGGATGCTCTCTGGAACTTTCACTGATAAGTTGAAGTACGTGAAGTTGGCAGTGCCAGAATCATATTGGCAGAGGAAGAGATGAGGTCCCAAGATGAACTATCAAGCTGCACTTTCACCCAACAGCCAACTTCACCTGAGCGGGAATCTGGGTCAAAAACTGGAGAGAGACACTAAAGGGCCTGAAAATCTGGGATTATTCTTCCTTTTTCTTCAAAGCCCAGAGGAAGAGGCGTTAGGCGTTTTTAACTTTAGAGGCATGGCTGAATTGAATGAATTCTGAATAATCTAAGAATGATAATCCATTGAGCACAAAACAGTGGGAAATACAAAGTGGGTTTTCATGCACATTCTTCAGTCTCAGGTTTGTAGTTATAAGTGATCTGTGTAAACAAGGACCAAGTGGACCTTTCTTTTAAAACCTTCAGAAATATTTGTTTCCTTTAGCAGGCAAAGCCCTTCATATCAGTATTTTAACACAAGATCACCAAAATTTCACAAAAGAATCCAGTTTTAAAATTAATAAAACATTTTGTAACTAAAACAATAGCAGAGGAAATTGCTTCAGGAAACAAGAAAATGCAAAGAAGCACTTGTGGTGACTTCTATGGCAAAAAATACAATACAAATGTAAAATACTTCCTATGTGGTTTCGTGAAACTATTAATATACATTAGAAATCTAGTTAAAGCAACCTGTTAGAACAGAGTGGATTTCTTCAGTACTTACAAATGGCTAGAGAAAGACATCTTACGGGGAACCAAGGCATTTCACATGAGGACAGGAATCATCTGGGGAAGGACTGGCCAAAATCCTAATCCCTATGGAAAGATTCCCGGACAGTATAAAGACAAAGCTGATGGCTTACACGGGGGGCAGCAGGTCAAAGAGACTGTGGTTTCAATATTGCAGGTGTTAATGCTTTGTTCGCCTGCAATGTGGTCCCGGTGGCGGACACTCTTTTTCGTAACCAGTGGATCTGTGTGTCTGATTCTTCATTTTGTTGCCATTTGCACAGTACACAATGGTGTGTCCCATTTTCTCCAACATTGGTCTCCCTTGTGCTGTCTCTTCATGAGGATCTGCTTCGGTTGACTCTGACCCCATCAGTTACTCCTCAGCTCTGGAACGGCACTGGGCAGGCACTACAGTAGGGGGAAATATGACTACCTTGGCTTTAGCCACCACCTTCTCCCTCTTGGATTATTGCACTAGCTCACCCTTGCCTGTTACAGGCTATTCTTATGTATAGCCTGTAACAGGCTATTCTTATGTATAGCCTGTTACAGGCTATTCTTATGTATAGCCTGTTACAGGCTATTCTTATGTATAGCCTGTTACAGGCTATTCTTATGTATAGCCTGTTACAGGCTATTCTTATGTATAGCCTGTTACAGGCTATTCTTATGTATAGCCTGTTACAGGCTATTCTTATGTATAGCCTGTTACAGGCTATTCTTATGTATAGCCTGTTACAGGCTATTCTTATGTATAGCCTGTAACAGGCTATTCTTATGTATAGCCTGTTACAGGCTATTCTATTATGATTAAGAAAGATCATGTCAGCCCTATGCATTTTTTTTTTTTTTTTTGAGACAGAGTTTTGTTCATGTTGCCCAGGCTGGAGTGCAATGGTGTGGTCTTGGCTCACTGCAACCCCTGCCTCCCGGGTTTAAGTGATTCTCCTGCCTCAGCCTCCTGAGTAGCTGGGACTAGAGGTGCTTGCCACCACACTTTGCTAACTTTTGTATTTTTAGTAGAGATGGGGTTTCACCATGTTGGCCAGGCTGGTCTTGAACTCCAGTGATTCACTTGCCTCGGCCTCCCAAAGGGCTGGGATTACAGATGTGAGCCACCATGCCTGTCCCACCCCTGTCTTTGACCTGGCAGGGGCTCCCCGTCTTACTGACAGTAAAGGGCCCAAGCCCTTCCAATAGCCCTTTGTGATGTGACTCTCCAGCCTCTCATGTTCTGACCTCGTGTTCTACCATGCCCTCAGCCTGAGCTTCCTCCACTCCAGCCACACTGACCTCCTTGCTGTGCCTTGAGCTCCAGGCTTCCTCCCCATATCTACATGGCTTTCTCACTCACCTTCTTCAGTCTT
This sequence comes from Homo sapiens, assembly GCF_000001405.40. Taxonomy (NCBI): domain Eukaryota; kingdom Metazoa; phylum Chordata; class Mammalia; order Primates; family Hominidae; genus Homo; species Homo sapiens. The sequence continues at coordinate 26,010,051 of NC_000007.14, read as the reverse complement.
GGCTCAAGTGTCATCTTTTCTGGTTATCCCATGTAATACTACAAACTGCCCCACTCCTCCCCTCTCCCATCCTGATCTCTCTTAGACCTTCCTTTGTTTTCTATTTTTTCCAAGACAGGAATTATCCTCCAACACCCTATATAAATTACTTACTTGTCGCTCTGAAAATGCCAGCTCTACGAGGGAAGGGACCTTTGTGTGTTGTATTCATGATGTGTCCCAAGCCCCTAGAACAGTGCCTGGCTAGCCAAGTGTGGTGGCTCACACCTGTAATCCCAGCACTTTGGGAGGCTGAGGCAGGTAGAGTGCTTAAGTCCAAGAGTTTAAGACCAGCCTGGGCAACATGGCAAAACTCCATCTCTAAAAAAATTTTAAAAATTAAAAGATAAATATAAAAGAACAGTGCCTGGTGCATAGTAGGTGCTCAATAAGTACTTGTTGAATGAATGAATGAAACACACATACAAATAAGCCCCCTCCTAATACCCCACACATGAGTCAGTTGCCCTCACCAGCGAGGATGTGGATTGCATTTCCTAAGAACCAGAAGTTTTGCTGGCTACACGTTTTTACAGTAAGTGGTCACCGGATTCCATTGTCAAGGTACTCACTGAGGGTGGTGCTGAGCTGAGCTTTTATCAAGGAAGGGAATAATACAATTGCGTTCCCCATCTCCTTAGTGGTATTAAATGTAAGATGAGGCCAGGGGCAGTGGCTCACGCCTGTAATCCCAGCACTTTGGGAGGCAGAGGCGGGTGGATCACCTGAGGTCAGGAGTTTGAGACCAGCCTGGCCAACATGGTGAAACCCTGTCTCTACTAAAAATATAAAAAAATTAGCCAAGCGTGGTGGCAGGTGCCTGTAATCACAGCTACTTGGGAGGCTGAGATAGGAGAATCACTTGAACCTGGGAGGCAGAGGCTGCAGTGAGCTGTGATCGTGCCACTGCACTCTAGCCTGGGTGACCAAGCAAGACTCCATCTCAAAAAAAAAAAACAAACAAACAAACAGATGAATACGCTAACGTGATACAGATTACCAAGGACAAAACCAAGGAACAAAGAGGGTTAACATATAATCAACTGTAAAGCGACTGCATCTTACACACACCAGAGACAGTCATTTAGCAAATAGCTTTTAAGCTCTAGCTTTTGCTACAACATATCCTGAATCTCCCAACCCGCCACTGCCTAAGCCCTACCCTGAGTTGACTATTATGCAGATTAAGGGTATGAAGAAGGAACCCTGGTGCCGTCATCTCCTTGTTAGTGTTGTGCTTATGTCACTTTGATCACATCACATGCCAGGAAGGGATAGGGGCTGGCAGCGAACAGCATGGTTCTTGGGGCATGCAGTAGCCTGGTTTCCCATCCTGTCCCGTCACTTAGGAGTCATGAGGCCTGAGTACCTTCCTTAAGGCCTCAGGGATGCTGAGCTCCCCCAGGTTTCCTCAGCTGGGAAATCAGCCTTCCACGAATGAGGTAATCCCTGCAAAGCGCTTAGAACAGCTCCTGCTTATGGTAAACCCTCAATCAATGTTAAAGTCTGTTGTTACTCAGGAATCCACTGCATAACCTGAATGTCTTGCCTGACCTTCATGTTCCTCATCAGTGGCACCTCCACCCCACGCCTGCCCCCCACCCCGCCCCGATCTTGCCATCTTGTTTCCCAGTACCAGCTCCTTTTTTTTTTTTTTTTTTTTTTTTTGCTATGTTGCTCAGGCTGGAGTGCAGTGGCGCGATCTCGGCTCATTGCAGCCTCTGCCTTCCGGGTTCAAGCGATTCTCGTGCCTCAGCGTCCCGAGTAGCTGGGATTGTAGGTGCACACCACAATGCCTGGCTAATTTTTGTATTCTTTGTAGAGATGGGGTTTCACCATGTTGGTCAGGCTGGTCTCAAACTCCTGGCCTGAAGCATTTCACCCATCTCAGCCTCCCAAAGTGTTGGGATTACAGGCGCCTGCCACCACGCCCAGCTAATTTTTGTATTTTTAGTATAGACAGGGTTTTGCCATGTTGGCTAGGCTGGTCTCAAATTCTGGACCTCAGGTGATCTGCCCACCTCAGCCTCCCAAAGTGCTGGGATTACAGGTGTGAGCCACTGCGCCTGGCTGCTCTTACTTCTTGTGCCAACTCAACTCTGGAGTGGTCTTCCCCACTAATTTTCTGGTCCTTCCAAATTGAGCCCAAGTCACTGCTCCAGGTCCCTCCTCTCCTGCCTGGCTCCTACTGCTCCCTCCCATCTCTCCCTCCTCTGCAAGCTCATTGAGCTTATCTCTTGACTCACGCATTAGTGCTGTTGATTGGAAGCCAGCTGTACATTATTTTTGCCTCGCTCAAGGATCTCTGAGAAGGAACACTGGTCCTGCAATTGTTAGCCTTTGCTTTATCTTCATTCTTGTTTTTTCAGGTGCAGTGAGGCCTTGGGAAACAGCCTGCTTAGCCCAGAGGTAGAGGAGAGGGTTTCATCCATTCACTCATTCAGCAAATATTTATGGAGCACAAATGACATGCTTGGCATAGAGGCATATATCATTCCTTCCCAACGGGAGCTCTGTCTTCTTGAGATGACACTGCAATACACATGAAGTTCTAACTTGGCACTCTGTGTGAAAGGGAGTTGTATAGGAATGAGCATGGTTTTGGAGGGAGCCTCGCTGGCATTGAATGCTGGCTCAGCCACTAACTGGTTGTGTGACCTTGGATGGTTAGCTTAACCTCTTAGAAACTCAGTTTCCTCATCTGTAAAATTGAGTGATGGCCTGCTCTTCCCAGAGTTGTTATTTTCTATTGCTCTTGGGCACCCACTTGGCTGGGTAGCCTAAGGATGGGTGGGTGGAGGTGGAGGGGTCAGGTCCCTCAACTTGCCACTGATGGGATCTTACTTTCTTCAGGCCTTGAGATCTCAGTGTGAAATAGCTGTCTCTGGGATAGGTGCTCAGTTTTCCAGCCTCTTCCCTTGCCATCCTCTCCAAGCGGTGTCTAGGGCTGATGCAGTAGTTCTCAACCTACTACAGTGTTTGTCTTCAGGGGACATTTGGTGTCCCGAGGTGTTTTTGATGATCACTACTGAAGAGGGGAGGGGAGTGCTACTGGCATCTGGTGGGTAGGGGGCAGGGATACTGCTAAACATTCTACAATGTGTAGGCAGCCTCCATCAGTGAAGAATTATCTGGTCCAAACGTCAATAGTGCTGAGGTGACCACAGAGTAGTAGATCTCATGACAGGGATCTTATTGCTGCAGTCCATGGAGCTGGTGCAGCTTCTCTCCCGTTTACCTGGCTCTCCACCTTAGCTCTCCCTAGCAATGCAGACCTTTTTGAATTTCAGCTTTGACCTGTAACTGACCTGTCTGGTAGAGTTGCCTCACCCCTTATCACCTTATCTCCTGGACTCTCCACTCCCCTTTGCTCCATAGGAACCAGTGTTGGTGAGGGACACTTACTCAGGACTCTTCCCTACCTGACTTACACTGGGCTGCCACTTCCACCCCGCTGTGCCTACCCTGTACTGGCAGGGTGACGCCCAGGACTGGAGTCACCTCCTGCAGTTCCCAATGAAGAGCAGAGTATCAAGATCCCTCACCTTCCAGCCTTCCCCCAATCCAGCTGAAGCCCGGCTCCACCCCGTACCAGGATTCCCATCCAGAGGTGGATGAGGGGGCAGGATTCAGGGTCCAACTGTCTGCTGCCATCCATCAGCCCATCCTTCATCGGCTCCATCTTCTTCCTCTTGGACCCGAGAGGCTTGCTTTGACTTCCCATCCTGCCTGGCTCGTATTCTTGTCCATCCAGAATGGCATTTCTTCTCCCTCTTCCCTGGAGCTATGGAATGTGTGCAGGGAATGTGACTAGGGCGTGGGATGAAAAAACACACCACTCATAGTTTCCAAATATTATTCCTGTTACACAGTCTACGTGGCATATATTCTCCCAGGCTTCCTAGCACAGGCGAGACCATGAGACCGTGGAGTGCCTTCGGTGAGAATTATCATTTCTCTCACTCTGGGAACACAGCAAAGGAAGTGATAGAGAGATAGGATGGCAGCTTCTCAACATATGTCTGTGAATGTATCATTCCTCAGTTTCTCCAGGAAACTCTTTCTTCACTTCCCTGAGTTAGGGCGGTGCCCCTGATGACGTCACGTGGGCCTTTCCAAGACTTTGAGCAGCAGCAGGTCAGGTCAGCACCTGTGCACTGTTTGCCTGGTTTATCTTGTTTTCTATGGGAAAAGCTGCAGCTGTTAACTCTTAATAAAGAGTTAACAGCAGTCACCTCATGACAGAGGTTGAGACTTTGGCCATGTGTTTTATTTAATAACAGTGCTCTACTCTGCTTCTGCCAAGCTATCTTTGGGAAACGTGTCTCAAGCATTGTGCTAATCTTACTGTGAACTCTTGAAATCTTAAAATAAGAAAAGATATACACATATATATCTCTTAAGAAAACATTATTTCATTACACTATAATTTTTGATTTCAGTAATTATGATTTGGCAAATTTATTTTTATCTTGCAAGTGGCAAAATGCAATTAAATGATATCAAGTGTAAAAGAGAAATAATGACGTTTTCTTTCCATAAATCATTTGAAAAAACTGTAGGACTTTATATTCTTTTAATAGTTTTTGCAATTTAAGCCTCGTGTTTATACCACTTTATGAAGGTGATTTTTTTAAAAGCATAAGTTTGTTTTACTATAAATTATAATTCTGTAAACATCAGAAATGCAAACTTGTGGACTTCTGTTCATGTTTATATGTCAACATACTTAAGTGCCAGCAGAAGTTCTGTGATCAATAAGACACAATTTATATGCATTATTTTGAAGCGTCCTTGGCTGGAAATGTTGGTTGGCAATATCCAAATTATGGCTGAATATGAACGATGATAATCAATAAGAAGGGTAACATCAATATGGCTGTGGTGGCAAGCTCTGTTTCAGCAGGGGAAGTAAAGCAGCTATTGATTTGAATGAAGCAGATAAACCTAACCATAATTTTAAGTAGACTGGTGGGTCCAACTGAGAGTTTTATGATGCTAAAATTAACCCTTGTGTTGCTAGGGGCATGTAATTGCTGCTAGCAGTCTTGTGTGATTTTGTGTAAAGTTTGCCCCTACAGTAAATTTAGACCCAATGAAATAGCTGAAGTATTTTGTTTGCATTTGGAGTTAACAAATAAAATATACCAGACTTTTATTCTGATATCTAGTAATGTCAATCAAGAAGATAAACCAATGCAATTTATTAAATATCTTGAATTTAGGTTGCGTTTTAATCTTAGGTCAATGATTTCCATCTCTGACTGCTATTACCTGGAGAACTTGAAAAACAAAACTAAGCAGCAGACCCATTGAATCAGTCTCTCTGGGTCCTGGGCATGGGTATTTTAAAAAATAAACGATGATTTTGATATGCATCAGGGATTAGAACTTCTGACAAATAATCTTGTGAAGGAAAGCTTTAAGTAGTTCAACTAGTTTGCAATCCAATTAGTTTCTATTATAGTTTAATTTTAGCTGAAGTACAGGTAGTCTTTTTTATTTTTTTTTAAAAAAAGCAATCTGTGTAAGATCAAAGGCGGGTGTAACTTAGATATCCTCAGGGTGTCTGTGGCATTCACAACAATGGGTGAGCCTCATGATGGTCACCTGGAAATATTTCAGTTGATCAATCCATCAAGATGGTGAGGATCTGTGTTCTCAGTGAGCCCTTTCCTCCTCATGAGGTTGGAGTCGCTTCTGAGGGATTCCCTGAAAGAGCTAAAAGACTGTGAGTATAAGGTATTAAAAAAAAAAAAAAGAAAGAAAGAAAAAAGAAAAGACTGTGAGTATAAGGTATTAAAAAAAAAAAAAAGAAAGAAAGAAAAAAGAAAAGACTGTGAGTATAACGAATCAGGTTTTGCATCTCATTCCTGCCACCTACTTGTCCTGCCCCAGGGCTGTGGTCTGTAGATCCCCAGCATCACCAGGTGCAGGGTAGCAATGCAGAGTAGCAATGCAGAGTCTCGGGCCCTACCCAGAACCATGAACCCGATTCTGCTTTGTAAATCCCCTCTGCTTCCTGGCAGGGTGTTTGGGAGGATCAAGTGCATGATATAAAAGTATCTTTGTATTTTTTATTGTAGTAAAATACACATAAAATTTTACCATTTTAACCATTTTTAGGTGTGCAGTGGCATTATTCACATTGTTGTGCAACCATCACCACCATCTAGCTCCAGAACTTTTTCTTTTTTTTTTTTTTGAGACAGAGTCTTGCACTGTCACCAGGCTGGAGTGCAGTGGTGTGATCTCAGTTCACTGCAACCTCCGCCTCCCTGGTTCAAGCAATTCTCCTGCCTCAGCCTCCTGAGTAGCTGGGACTACAGGCGTGCACCACCACACCCAGCTAAGTTTTGTATTTTTAGTAGAGACAGTGTTTCACCATGTTGGCCAGGATGGTCTCGATCTCTTGACCTCGTGATCCATCTGCCTCAGGCTCCCAAAGTGCTGGGATTACAGGCGTGAGCCACCGTGCCCAGCCCAGAACTTTTTATCTTCCCAAAGTGAAGCTGTGTGCCGTGGAACACGAACTTTAAATTCCCTTTTCCCCTTGGCCCCTTGCAACTACTATTCTACTTGTGAGTTTGACTATTCCAGCTGGCACATCTATGTGGAATCATATAACATCTGTCCTTTGGTGACTGGTTTATTTCACTTAGCATTATGTCTTCAAGGTTTATCCGTGTCGTAGCATGTGCCAGAATTTCATTGCTTTTTAAAGCTGAATAATATTTCAATAAATGTGTAGACCACATTTTGTTTATCCATTCATCTTTGACATTTGGTTTATTTCTATATTTTGGTTATTGTGAATAATGCTGCTATGAACACAGGTGTACAAATATCTGAGTCTTTGCTTTCAACGCTAGAAGAGGAATTGCTGAATCATATGGTAATTCAATGTTTAATTTTTTGAGGAATTACCAAATATTTTCCACAGCAGCTGCACCTTGTATATTCCCACCAGCAAATGCCCAAGGGTTTCAATTTCTCCCTATTTTCACCCATACTTATTTTCTTTCTTTCTTTTTTTTAATCGTAGCCATCCTAATGGGCGTGTAGGGGTATCTCATTGTGGCTTTGATTTTTCGTTTCTCTAATGATTAATGATATTGAGCATCTTTACATGTGTAAAGTATTTATTTATTTATTTATTTTTTGAGACAGAGTCTTGCTCTGTTGCCTAGGCTGGAGTGCAGTGGCGCAATCTTGGCTCACTGCAAGCTCCGCCCCTCCAGGTTCAAACCATTCTCCTGCCTCAGCCTCCTGAGTAGCTGGGACTACAGGCACCCGCCACCACACCCGGCTAATTTTGTGCATTTTTAGTAGAGACAGAGTTTCACCGTGTTAGCTAGGACGGTCTCGATCTCCTGACCTTGTGATCCGCCCACCTCAGCCTCCCAAAGTGCTGGGATTACAGGTGTGAGCCACTGTGCCTGGCCTACGTGTGTAAAGTATTTTTAAATACCATATATGCTGTTGCAATTTTGAGATTATTATACTGAATTTTGAAAGCACTCACTGCTTTGTTTAAGAAATCTTATAGATGTCCATCAGCTGTCTTAGGAGTAAATTAGCCAGATTTTCTTCTGGAGCATAAGTGAGCTATAAATATTATCTGAGACTTGAATTACACAGTCTGAAAATATTAGGGTGTTTGCCTCAGTTTCCTCATCCATAAAATGGAGGAAATAATCCTACTTTATAATTTTGAGAAGTGAGATAATACATGAAAAGTGCTTAATGAGTATGTAAGAAGTGTCAACTGTACAAGGTGGCAGGAAAGGGTCATTACATGATGGTTCTGAGAAGAGGAGGGACCTGAGCTGGCTGATGCAGAATGCACTGGATGGGGAGGGGCAGGGGAAAGAAAAGGGAGTATTTGGAGACCAGGAAGCCAGTCAGTGCAGTCATGAGTTGTTCACGGAGTGTTTGGTGAGCTTGTTCATGGTAGTGAAAGGCATTGGAAGATAAGGCAGGGAGGGTGGGCTGAGACCAGGTGGTAGGGGCACAGAGGAGTTTGCCAAGAAGTGTGGGCTTTTGAAGGCAGTGAGGAACCACTGAAGGTTCTGTGTTCAGAGTGAGATGATCAAAGCCAGGCTGCGTTTATTGTTCTTCCAGGCAGCCATGACCCTCGAGCCATAACAGTTGCATTCCATACCCAACGCTTTGATCTTGACCATTGCCGCTGTTTATCTTTTGGGGAGTACCTTAGATATTTACAAAGTGCCATGTAATCAGTTTCATTAGTCCAGAGATAAGATTAATTAGATGTTTAAGGCAAGTCAGGACTGGACTTGGCTTTGAAAACCTCAGGCATTAAAGGAAGGCTCAAATGGTGATTCTCTCTGCAAATCTGTGAACTTGTGATTTCCTCAGTGATATTTTTACTATGCAGAACACCATACCAAGAGTTCCTCCAGTTGGTAAAGCCTGGTTCCTGTCTTCAAGAAGCTTACAACCTTATCAAGGAGGGGTGGAGTGCTGCTTTAATACAAAATGGAGTGCAGACATATCTTGTTTTGTTGCACATTGCTTTAACACACTCCACAGATGTTGCACTTTCTACAAATTGAAGCAACCCAAATTTGTGGCAACTCTGCATTCAGCAAGTCTGTCTATGCTATTTTTCAACAGCATGTGCTCACCTCATGTTTCTGTGTCACATTTTGATAATTCTCACATTATTTCAAACTTTTTCATCATTACTATATTTGTTACAATACTGTTGGTGATCAGCTATCTTTGATATTGTTATTTTAATTGTTTTTGGGCACCATGAACTGCACCCATATAAGACAGTGAACTTAATGGATAAACGATGTGTGTATGTGACTGCTCCATGCATCAGCCACTCCCCTATGTCTCTCCCTTTCCTACGGCCTCCCTATTTCTTGAGAAACAACAATATTGAAATTAGGCCAATTAATAACAATGGCCTTTAAGTGTTCAAGTGAAAAGAAGCATTGCACATGTCACTTCAAATCAAAATCCGGAAATGATTAAGCTTAGTGAGAAGAACATGTTGAAAACTGACATAGTCCAAAAGCTAGGCCTCTTGCACCAGTTAGCCAAGTTGTGAATGTGAAGGAAAAGTTACTGAAGAAAATTAAAAATGCTATAGTGCTATTCTAGTGAACACATGAATGATAAGAAAGCCTTACTGCAGGCTGGGCGCAGTGGGTCACACCTGTAATCCCAGCACTTTGGGAGGCCGAGGCGGGTGGGTCACGAGGTCAGGAGATCTAGACCATCCTAGCTAACACGGTGAAACCCCGTCTCTACTAAAAATACAAAAAATTAGTCAGGCGTGGTGGTGGGTGCCTGTAGTCCCAGCTACTCGGGAGGCTGAGGCAGGAGAATAGCGTGAACCCGGGAGGCGGAGCTTGCAGTGAGCGAGACTCCGTCTCAAAAAAAAAAAAAAAAAAAAAAAAGGAAAGCCTTATTGCTGATATGGAGAAAGTCTGAGTGGTCTGGATAGAAGATTAAATCAGCTACAACACTCCCTTAAAACCAGAACCTAATTTAGTGCAAGGCCCTAACTTTCTCCAATTCTGCAAAGGCTGAGAGAGGTGAGGAAGCTGCAGAAGAAAAATTGGAAGCTAGCAGAGACTGGTTCACGAGATTTAAGGAAAAAAGCCATCTCCATAACATGAAAGTACAAAGCAAAACAGCAAGTGCTGGTGTAGAAGCTGCAGCAAGTTCCCCCGAAGATCTATCTACAACCATTGATGAAGGTGGCTACACCAAACAGCAGATTTTCCATATAGGTAAAACAGCCTTCTATTGGAAGAAAATGCCATCTAGGACTTTTATAGCTAGAGAGAAGTCAATGTCTACCTTTAAAGGACAGGCTGACTCTCTTGTTAGGGTCTAATGAAGCTGGTGACTAAGTTGAAGCCAGTGCTCACTTACCATTCTGAAAATCTTAGGAGCTTTAAGAATTTATTCTTACTTATTTATTTATTTTTAAATTTATTTTTATTTATTTATTTTTTGAGACGGAATCTCGCTCCCTCGACCAGGCTGGAGTGCAGTGGCGTGATCTCGGCTCACTGCAAGCTCCACGCCATTCTCCTGTCTCAGCCTCCCGAGTAGCTGGGACTACAGGCGCCCGCCACCGCGCCCGGCTAATTTTTTTGTATTTTTAGTAGAGATGGGGTTTCACCGTGTTAGCCAGGATGGTCTCGATCTCCTGACCTCGTGATCCGCCTGCCTCGGCCTCCCAAAGTGCTGGGATTACAGACTGAGCCACCGTGCCCGGCCAAGAATTATTAATATACTCTGCTTGTGCTCTAAATGGAACAACAAATCCTGGATGATAGCATATCTGTTTACAGCATGGTTTACTGAATTTTTAAAGCCCACTTGTAAGACCTACTGCTCAGAAAAAAAGATTCTTTTCAAAATATTACTCATTTACCTGGTTCAGCCTATATTTTATATAAGTCTATAAATAAGGTGTTTGAAATGGTCACGTGAACCAAATAAACGGATTTTAAATCAAAGTGCTATTAGGATGATTAACATAGTTGTTAACTTGTCTTCATTGCCTTGGAGAATTCTGAAGTCTTCAGTTTTATAGAAGAATCCATAACAGTTATGCACATGATGAAGGACCTCCACAGTAGTGATTAATTCAAGGATCATTTCTATAAAAGGTACTTTTGGGGTATAAAACTTAGTACACTCTGGTAGATCTCATTCAGGGTTCAGTTAGAAAAAGCTAAACCAGCCGGGCATGGTGGCTCATGCCTGTAATCCTAGCACTTTGGGACATTGAGGTGGGTAGATCGCTTGAGCCCAGGAGTTTGAGACCAGCCTGGGCAATATGGTGGACCCCTGTCTGTACAAAAAATACAAAATATTAGCTGGGCATGGTGGCATGCGCCTGTAGTCCGTGCTACTCAGGAGGCTGAGGTGGGAGGATCACTTGAGTGGGGGGAGGTTGAGGCTGCAGTGGGCGGTGATTGTGCCACTACACTCCACCCTGGGTCATAGAGCGAGACCCTGTCTCAAAATAAAAGAAAAGACCTTAGATATTTTATGTAGGAAGAAGTTTAATGGAAGGAATTAGAAGTTCATTAAAATAAAAAAGTTTAAAAGGCTGAAGGAGCAAAAGTCACGGGAGGCACCGTGAGCTTTTAGGTTCACCCATACAGTCTTACTCTGAGAAACTGCTGCCACCACTGAGATGAGGAAAACAACAGAAAACTGCTGCCCATGGTCACCGCTGGTCATAGCCGTCCTGAAGCACCCAGGCTGATAACTAGGAAGCGAAAACTTAGAAGTTGCTGTGAAGCTCACATCTGCTAAAGCTTGAACTTCCGAAACTTGCACAGGGGCATATCATTGGCAGAATGTATTTATATACAGTTTTAAGAACCGTGAAGGAAATGGAGATGGACATGTAGCAGTTGCCAGACTTCCGGTCCCGGGTTATAGGAAAAAGTATTGAAAGGGGTAGGGGGTGAATGTGGTGGCCAAAAATAATAGCCACCAATAAAAAAAAAAAGAAGCACGGAATAATATTCTCATTTTACAGATGAGGAAACTGAGGCATGGGATGCAAGTAATTTGCCCAAAGTCACATAGTATAAGATTCAAAACCAGGTCTATCTGATTTCAGAACTAGAGGTTTTTAACCCTTAATTATACTGGGGGCTATCTGTTACAGGGCAGATAGCCCAAAAACTTAGTTTGCTTCCTTGGCTTTGACCAACTCTCATAAGCTCACATTCTACTAGACTACATAATTTAAAACAGAACTGTTAAAAAAGGATTATTTTGGCAACTTCTTATTTGGTGGTATTTCCAAATTTGCTAACCTTTTCAAGTCCTTCCAGAAAATGTGATGTGGTTAGCTCTTGCAATTATGGTAAAATTCCTAGATAAGAAGTCTTGGTTTGATGATATTTTAGGGAGTAGGTGAAGGATATTTGTGCCAGAACTCCTAAGTCCAGGCTTTAAGCCAAATTATACCACAGATAACATCTATGAAATCTCTAAAACATGCCCAATTTTTCTTCTCTGTTTTACTCTTTGAGTGCTGATATTGTTTGGCTGTGTCCCCGCCCAAATCTCATCTTGAACTGTAGTTCCCATAATTCCCACATGTGGTGGGAGGGTCCCGGTGGGAGGTAATTGAATCATGGAGGTGGTTACCTCCGTGCTGTTCTCATGATAGTGAGTGAGTTCTCACGAGATCTGATGATTTTATAAGGGGCTTTTCCCCCTTTTGCTCGGCACTTCTTGCAGCCGCCTTGTGGAGAAGGAAGTGTTTGCTCCTCCTTCTGCTGTGATTTAAGTTTCCTAAGGCCTCCCCAGCTCTACGGAACTGTGAGTCAATTGAACCTCTTTCCTTTATAAATTATCCAGGCTCGGATATGTCTTTATTAGTGATGTGAGAATGGACTAATATCAGTGCCTTGTCTATCTTGGCTGAAATAAAGTTTTAAGCAAAGGAACAAAGTTGACATTTACTGATTATGATCCCCCTGCCCCCCGCAAAGCCAATATGCTAAGTAGAGATAATGCATATTCAGTATAACTCATTTATTCATTCGTTAGCAAATACTATTACTATAACCTTGCTGAAGACCAGTGGGGATTCATTCATTCATTCATTCAACCAATATTCCTTGTGCTGTGTACTGGTTATTCACTTATCATCCCATTTCCCCATGTTCACACAGATCCAGTCTCCTCCCTTCTCTGCCCTTCGCTGGCCCCCAGCAGACTGCTTCCGGCATTATTGGGGTCTGCTTGCTTGCTGGCTTCCATTTGGGTTTGTCTAATGGGAGGAACCAGCAGGCAACTGAAGGGCAAGAGAAGCAGAGGCAGTGTTCCCTCCCTGCTCCCCCTGATTTGTGATGGTGGGTGTGGGCCTTCATGACTTCCGCTTTGGCTGGGCAGCCATGACTCTATAGTCTCCACTCTTGCTGGGTTCCACTGACACTAATTCCTCCCCTTGTCCCTTCAGCCCTAGGGGTGGCAATGGCTTCCCACTCTTGCTGGTCCCTGGACACCTCACTATTCCTCGTGTATCGCAGTAATCTTGCCTTCACTTCTGAAAGGAGCTGCTTCATTACATTTCCTTCATTTAATCCATCTGGAGTATCTGACGCTCCTGAAAGACCATCAGAATAATCAGCTGATCAAACAAAGCTGAGTTTATTATTTACTATAATAAGGGAAAGTATCACCTTGGTGGAGACTTAGTAGTGTGTCAGAAGAAAAATAGTCATTGAGTTTTGGGGCCTGAGTTCAAGTGGTTTAATTTTAATCAGTAATCTGATTAGAATTAGGCAAAGTTTATGATAAAATTGTTTAGAGTTGATGGATGCAACAAAGAAGAGAGTTTTAAGGTGAGACTTCATGAATAACTGTTTGATAGGCAAGTAGATTTGCCCAGGTGAGTGACCTACTGTCTTGGGAAGGGGACTGTTTACCTGTATGAATAACCTATTGTCCTGAGAAGATGGCTGGTTGAGCAGTCTATTTTTGATAAATGAGTATTGGAGGTATCTTATTGGTTTATGGCCTTATCTTCCTGAGCCAGAATTTCTTTGAACAAATAGTAAAGTCACATTGATATAGAGGCTGTAATCTTAGTGCTAATAATTAAGCCGTGGGGCTTCAGACATCTGACAGGGAATTTAGTGCCCACTTGTGGTCATTCTTCAGCCTGAGTTGGAGGCTAGACCATTACCGTCTGGGAGTGTGAGCATTGTGGATCCCCACTGCTGCTTGAGTTATGATTGTGTATCGGGCTTCTGGGGACGGTTATTTCGATCTCTGTAGGTGCCAGGTTTTCAGGTTCTTATTGATGGGTGATCATTTGTTAGCTCACTTGATGAGACAATGGCTGCAGAGCAGCATTAATGATTCTGAAGATCACAAATGTAAATATTGCAACACAAACAAACACTAAGAGAAGGATTATGGTCAGAGCTTATAGTGCATTTCCGTACTAGGAATCAAGAGTGCTCAAATTAAAACGAAAGAACAGATCTCATTCCTAGTCTGAATAGTCCTCAGAACCAGATAGGAGGATATTAGCTAAATCACCTAATTTTATATTATCTTTTTCTTCTGATCTTTTCTAGTAATAGCAAAGAACCCAGAGAGTTCTGCAGGGATGTAAGGACATTCTTCTACTAATGCAGCCCCTGCTCCCCATCAAGAGGCTGGTATTAGATCTAAAGTGGCCCTATTTGACAGATGATGGGAGAAAACAGCTTGGAATAAAACATTATATTGGCTTAGGAGGAAAACAGAAAGGGCTGTGGTTCAGCCTGGAAATAAAAGCTGGATTTGATTAAGAAGCTGTTTTCATTATGGGTGGCTTAAGGATGCCAAAATTAGCAGGGAAATGTTCTTTCTTTTTACTTCTAATATTTGCTCCTTTAGTCCTAGTACTTGTAATCTGCTCCATGGTGAGACTGTTTCTGTATCTACATTTTTAAGGCATTTTACACTAGCCTCTCGTATGGCCCTTCTAACAGTAATGTGACAGTGTTTAATTGTAATTATTTGCTTCCTGGTCTGTCTTCCAGCTGGACCTGTGAGGTCGTCAAGGGCAGAAAGTGTGTCTTAATCATTGGGCTCCTGCAGCCCTTAGCCCAATGCCTGGCATGTGGGAGGTGCTCAGGAAGGCAGTTAGTGACCACTGCGGTCCTCTATCTCTGTAACCCACTGTTACCTAGGGCTCAAGGGCAGGCTGGGTCCTCAGCCTCTACCTACCATGGAGAAGGAATTTGTCACTTTTCTTGATTCCTCAAATTAAAAGGTACCAGAGAGAAATGAACGTTTTTCCTGAGCTTATTGCTCTTGCTGGTGGTGAGAGTTCAATGCACAGCATTCTGAATGTCACTTCCATGAGGCAGGTCACCTCTCCTAGCATTCCCTCCTCGCAGCAAGTGCACCCCACACTCTGCCCCAGCAGCTGTGCTGGAGAAACCACCTCTCCAGAGGCAGCCTCACCTCCTCCATACCTTCAGCAAACAAAGGCCCTCCTGATTACCAGGGACTGCCCTCCTGAAAATGAGGCTAAAGGCCTGTAAATAACTAATGAGTTTCCCCTTTCACAGTTTTTTCCCTGTCTCACTTAGATGTCCAAGTGGCCTTTGCTCTGCTCCAATTCCCTTCCCCTTTCTTCTTCTCTTGTTAAATTGCTGCTTACCCTTAGAGACGGATGTGGGTTATCACACCTCCTTAGTGGGAGAATGAAAACAATAGACATTCATGCCCTGCCTACCATGTGCCAGGCACTTTCTCTAAGCACTTGAGATGTATTTACTCATTAAATCCTCATAACGACCTTATAAAGTAGGTGCCATTTTACAGGTAAGAGAACTGAGGCATAAAGAGCCTCCTCCATATCCTCACCAACACTTGACATGGTCAGTCTTTTTAATTGCAGCCATTCTAATAGATGTGTAGTAGTATCTTGTGATTTTTATTTTGTATTTCTTTAGTGACTAATGATGTTGAGCATCTTTTCCTGTGCTTATTTGCAGATCCTTTGTGAAGTGTTCTTGATTTTCTTTGTAAAGGATCTGATCAAATCTTTTGTTCGTCTTTTATTGGGTTGTCTTTTTTCTTATCGTTGAGTTTGGAGTGTTCTTTATATATTCTGGGTATAAATTCTTTATCTGATAGATGCTGTGCAAATATTTTCTTCCAGTTGGTGGAGTACCTTTTTATTCTTTTAGTAGAAAAGCAAAAGTCTTTAATTTTGATGAAGTCCAATCAATCTATTTGTTCTTTTATTGGTTGTGCTTTTGTTGTCCTAAAAAGCCTTTGCCTAATCCAAGGTCACAAAAATTTTCTCCTGTTTTATTCTAGAAATTTTATAGGTTTAGGCTTTCTATTAAGTCTATGATAAATTTCCAGTTAATTTTTTAATACAGTGCAAGATATAAATCCAAATTCACCTTTATTTTTGCATATAGATAGCCAATTGTTCCAACATCATTTGTTTAAAAGGCCATACTTTCTCCATAGGATTACCTTTTTGTGCCTGCCCAAATCAGTTGTCCATATATGTGTGGATTTATTTCCAGACTCTCTGTTCTTTCCCATTGATCTGTCTCTCTCTACATCAAACACACCATTTTGATTACTGTAGCTTCATAATAATTTTTGCAATCAGTGAGTGTTGTCCTTTTAATATTGTTCTTCTGGTTGGACAGGATGGCCTACACCTGTAATCCTAGCACTTTGGAAGTTCGAGATGGGCAGATCGCTTGAACAATATCGATTCAAAAAAATTTTTTTGTTCTTTTTCACACTTATTTTGGCTAAGTCATTTGCATTTTCATATGAACTTAAAGTCAACTTGTCAGTTCCTACATAAAAAGATTGCTGGACCAGACACAGTGGCTCACGCCTGTAATCTCAGCACTTTGGGAGGCTGAGGTAGGTGTATTGCTTGAGCCTAGGAGCTCAAGACTCACCTGGGCAACATGGAAAAACCCTGTCTCTACCAAAAAATACAAAAATTAGCCAGGCGTGGTAGTGCATGCCTGTGGTCCCAGCTACTTGGGAGGCTGAGGTGGGAGGATTGCCTGAGCCCAGGGAAGTCAAAGTAGCAGTGAGCCATGATCATGCCACTGTACTCCAGCTTGGGTAGCACAGTAAGACCCTGTTTAAAAAAAAAAAAAAAAAAAGCTTGCTAGGATTTTAATAGCAATTACACTGAATCTATAGATCAATTTGAAGAATATTGACATGTCAACAATATTGATTCTTCTAATCCATTTGCTATTTATTTAGGTTTTTAAAAATTTCTTTCAGACATGTTTTATGGTTTTCAGTGTATGGGTCTTACATGTCTTTTGTCAGATGTATCCTTAAATATTTTATATTTTTATGCTATTGTGAATTGTATTTTTTTCAATTTTCATATCTGATTGTTGCTGGCATATACATGTATAGTAGATTTTTATATATTGCTCTTGTATCCTGCAACCTTGCTAAATTTACTTACTGGTTCTAGCAGGTTTTGTTTTGTTTTTTTTTGTAGATTACATTGGGTTTTCTATATAGATGATTATCTGATGTTTTATTTCTTCCATTCTAATCTGGATGAATTTTTCTTTTATTTTCTTTTTTCTTCACCTGATTGCACTGATCAGAACCTCCACACAGTGTTGAACAGAAGTGAGGAGAGTGAACATAACAGTCTTGTTCTTAATCTTAGAGGGGATGCATTCAATTCTTCAGCATTAAGTGTAGTGTTTTAATTAAGTAGATAGTTTTTTAATAGATGTCCTTAGCAGGCTGAGAAAGTTTCCATCTCTTCCTAGTTTGCTGAGAGCTTTGATCAGGAATGAATGTTAGATTTTGTTAAATGCTTTTCCTGTATCTACTGAGATGATCATATGTTTTTATTTTTAAATTTATTAATCTCATAAATTACATTGAATTAATTTTCAATGTTAAGCCAGCCCTGCATTCTCAGGATAAACCCCACTTGGTTAGGATGTATTATCCTTTTAACATATTGTTGGATTAGATTTCAGAATAATGCTGACCTCAGAGAATGAGTTGAGAAGTATTTCTTCCTGTTCAATTCTTTTGGTAGAGTTTGTGTAGAATTGATATTATTTCTTCCTTAAGCGTTTGGTAGAATTCACCAATGAAGCCATCTAGGCCTGGGGTTTTCTTTTTGGGAAGATTGTAAACTACAATTTCAGTTTTTAAAATAGATACAGGGCAACCAGGCATGGTGGCTCATGCCTGCAGTCCCAGCACTTTGGGAGACCAAGGTGGGCAGATCACTTGAGGTCGGGAACTCAAGACCAGCCTGGCCAACATGGTAAAACCCTGTCTCTACTAAAAATAGAAAAATTAGCTGAGTGTGGTGGTGCTCACCTGTAATCCCAGCTACTCTGGAGGCTGAGGCAGGAGAACCACTTGAATTTGGGAGGTGGAGGTTGCAGTGAGCCAAGATCACACCACTATACTCCAGCCTGAATGACACAGTGAGTGAGACTCCATCTAAATAAATAAATAGATAAAATAGATACAGGGAGAATCAAGTTATCTATTTTTCTTGAGTAAGCTTTTGTAATATATCTTTCAAGGAATTTTCTATTTTATCCAAATTGTTGAGTTTATAGGCATAAAGTTGCTTTAAATATTCCTTTATTGTTCTTTTAATGTCATAGAATATATAGTTGTGCCACCTCTTTCATTCCTGATATTGATCACTTGTGTCTTCTCTTTTATGGTCCTCATCACTTCTGGCCATAGGTTTGCCAGTTTTATTGATCTTCTCAAAGAAGCAGCTTTTGACTTTACTGATTTTCTCTATTATTTTTCTGGGTTTTTTTTTTTTTTTTTGACAAATGAATTTTTTTTTAGAGGCAGAGATAAGGGACAGAATGAAAAAAATCTTGATAGTTTCCAACAGATTCTGTCCTTGGTTCTGATATATTCTTCTTTTTTGCTTAAACTAATTGTATTAGTCTGTTTTCACACTGCTATACAGATACTACCTGAGACTGGGTAATTCATAAAGAACAGAATTTTAATTGACTCACAATTCTGCATGGCTGGGGAGGCCTCAGGAAACTTATAATCATGGCAGAAGGCAAAAGGGAAGCAATCACCTTACATGGTGGCAGGAGAGAGCGAGCTCAGGGAAAACTGCCACTTTTAAACCACCAGATCTTATGAGAACTCCCTCACTATCACCAGAACAGCATGGGGGAAACCGACCCCATGATCCAATCACCTCCCACCAGATCCCTCCCTCATTTACTCCCTTGACCTCTTATTTTTCTCTCTCTTTTTTAAAAATTAGAGACAAGGTCTCAATATGTTGCCCAGGCTGGACTGGAACTCTTGGGCTCAAGGGATTCTCTCACCTCAGCCTCCCAATTAATTTGGACTACAGGCATGTGCCACTGTGCCCAGCTGATTTTTCTTAGTTTTAAAAGATGAGAGAGCTAGGAATTTTTTTAGCGTTTCTCAAACTATAGAGAAACGCTATAAATAAATAAATACATAAATAAACGCAATTTTATTTTTTTAAATTTCTGTGTTTGAAACACATTTTACTCTTCTGAATTCTCTTCTGATTGTTGTTCATGTGTATTTATACATCTTGCCTGGTCATTCTTTAAAAAAACCTGTATTTCTGTTTGGGGCCAAACATTGTCTTATGAAGATTTCTATGTAGTAAAAGTCAACAGAATTTCGGATTGTTGCAGCTATGTAGTACTTAATTGTGTTAACATGTAAATAGCTTGATTTAATACAGGACAATAATTTACACTACAGGAACTTTTGGAATGACCATCTCTGACAAGGTGAGTGTTCTGCTTGGTCAAGCACTTTGCAAATGTTAAAAGCTGACAATTTATGAAGTTAGACAGTTGAGGAAAATGTTTAGAAGAGCAAGGATTGGCTATCCTACCCTTGGAGCCATACTAAGTGGTTTCTGTCAAAAAACTGAGTATCAGACTGGGACATAGGCACTCTTACGTCCTGAAGGGAGGCTCAGATGAAGGCTGTGGCCAGGAGGATTGAAGTCAAGGGGAGAAGAGTCTGGAGCCACATTATGTCAGAGCTAGGAACAATCTTGAGTATCTCCTAATAGAATTCAACACCCATTTTACAAATTGAGGAGACTGAGGCTCAGGTGCTGACTTTCGCTGTTTACATGAAACAAGTTACAAAACTTGGATCTTCTGATGAAACATTCTTAGCTTGATTTGGAAGTTTTAGGAGGTAAAGCCCTGAGGGCACCAGAAACGCAGAAGAGGCAAGAGAATACAGAAAGTATGCAGTCTAGAAAGTTCAGACTTAAGTCAGGGAGTGGGCCATTTTTTATGGTCAAAATGAGAGAGGAAGTTTGAAATACAGAGATCCTTCAACCTGAAAAGTTGACGCAGTAGATGTAAGATAACCACAAGTGGGGCAAAGAGTTTTGGGCCTAGATGACCCCTTATACCGATGGAGCTGGGATCAAGTCATGAGCTCGCCCAAATTTGCAGGGAAGCCTTGGCTGAGGAAGGAAAGGTGAATCCTTCCACTTCGTGGTTCTGACACAGAGACAAAAGCAAAGAAAGCTCTGGATTGGTGGGGACAGAGGGGGGAACAAATTTATTCTATCACATAGGACTGCCAGATAAAATACAAGATGCCCCGTTAGATTTGAGTTTCAGACAAGCCATGAATAATGTTTTAGTGTAAGTACGCCCCATGTAATGCTATAATCATAAAATACTATGTAATATATAGTACAATAAATAATAATAAAATAACCATTATGTGCGGTTTATCTGAAATTCATATTTAACTGGGTATCTAGTTTCTTTAAGTCCTAAATCTTACAACTCTACTATTATAGCCAGAGAAATATGATCACTTTCTGTGGTGGTATAGGTTCAAAATAAGGATTTTTGGAGCCCTGTAGCTCTTTCTGGCATCTTGACACCCTACGTGCTTGCACTCATCAAATATACAAACATTTGCTGGAGTTTCACCTTTGGGGTTGAATAAGTAGGTTGCAGTTTTATAAAGGACTCCGTTGCTCAGATGGCTTTCAGGCTGAATGTTCATACTTTTATACAACTCTGTAAGTTTACAGAAGAGTGAAAGTTCACAAACCGGTTACGGAGCCTGCAGATGGTTAAAAAATTGTTCCCAGTGTGGAAAGGCTACGAGATGATCAAAGGCCTGCAGGACAAACACTTCCTGCCTCCAGCAAGGAGCAGCTGCTGCTCTAGTTATACAGAAAGCTGGCTCAGGGTTCACTGGCACTCAGCTCAATTGATGTAAAAACATGCGTGAAAAAGAGAGAGAAAGAGCAAGAGAGAGAGAGATGGTAGTTTACTCCAACAGATATCTATTCTCTATTAATTTACAGATGAGGAAACTGAGGCACAGGCGATGACTTTTCCTGTTTATATAATGCAGGCTACAAAACTTGGATCTTCTGATGACACAGTCTTAGCTTCTAATTCTTTCAAGGAGAATTAGTATGCAAAAATCTAAACTTTGAATGTAAGCACAAGAGTCACTGGTCCTACAGGCAAGGCGGTACCAGCATGCTGCTTGCAGCTTGGTTTGTGGCAGGAAAAACAAAGAAAAAGAAAAATATGGAACATCCATCTAAAGGGGCATGGTTAGCAAATCATTATATAGTTACACTATGTAAATATTTGATAACCATGGCTGTTACTAAACAGTGAGATGGAACCATATGTAATGATCTGAGGGATATCTGTTCTACCTTGCTAAGTGACAGAAAAAATAAAGGATAATGTGTATAATCTAATTGGTTATAATAAGAATGAAAACAAGAGCTGCAATTCCATCAAAAACTCAGTGAGTATATGTGTATGTCTGTATATATTTTTGTGAGAAGAGTGTAGAAGAATCTGCCTCCAACCATCAATATTAATCACATGAGGGAAAATAGCAGCTGAAATATTAGGGAGTTGGTAAGAAGATTATTAGCTGTTTTTTTGAGACAGGGTCTTCTTGCTCTGTCACCCGAACTGGAGCACATTGTCGCAATGACGCTTCACTGCAGCCTCAACCTCCCAGGCTCAAGCAATCCTCCCATCTTAGCTTCCTGAGTAGCTGAGACCACAGGCACATGCTACTATGCCCCGCTAATTTTCATATTTTTTTTGTAGAGATGAGGTCTTGTTATGTTGTTCAGGCTAGTCTCTAACTCCTGGGCTCAAGTAACCCTCCTGCCTCAGCCTCCCAAAGTGCTGGGATTACAGGTGTGAGCTGGGATTACAGCTGATTATTAGCTTTTTGTTGGTACCTCTCTGTATTATTTGGCTTATTTAAATAAGTGTGCATTATTATTACTTATGATTTTAAAAAATCAAAGAAAATATAAAAAGTTATATGACATGTAGGTTTAAAAAATTTATTGCTGGGCTTTTTAAAACAGTAGACTCCCCACCAAACTCCTTATTTTTCATTTCACTTTATCCATTTAAAATATGGTTTAATTCACAAAATTTTGGTTGATAAACAATTCTTTTCCAGGAATAGACTTCAGCACTGTAGTATGCTTATACCTTTTATCTGGAAGCTAACCAGAAATAGGATTTTGGCTTACTGGAGAAAATGCTGGATGATATGAGAATGCTGAGATGGGTTAATGGTAACAAAATGAGCTGTCACAGGAATCCCAATACAAATGCTGAGGCTCAACACTGTGAAGTTGCCGAGCAGGAGCTCTGGACATCTTCCATGCAGTGAAAAGATAGTATACGTTGGCATATATTAGGTTGGTGCAAAAGTAATTGTGGTTCTTGCCATTAAAAGTAATGGCAATAACAATGACTTGTAAGCTTTGCTTTTAGTGATGGGTCTAATCTCTGTTTGCATCATCCCTTCATTCAGCCAGAATCTGTAAGCTCAGTTTTTGAGGTCCCTATTCTCAGTACTAATCAGCATGCTCATTTGTTTTATAGGTTGATCCTATAAGCCTATAAAACAAATTAAGCCTCTGCTCTAGAAAGTTCTATGTTGTTAGATTCAAGAACAAAAAGCACTGCATACTGTTTATATATGTAAATATTTTATATATTTAGTTGAACATTTATATATTTTTTTCTTTGTGTTTTCTACAATCATCACAGATTCTTTGGGAATATATATATTGTTACACATATAAAATGTGTAACAATGTGGCTAATGGGAAAAGGGTGGATGTTTGATACAGTTGGTAGGTAAGTACAATGAATGTTATTACCTTTGTATCTCCTTTAATTGCCAGCTGAAGTATTGAGTTGGTTTTGGGTAAGAGAAGACTTTCTGCTTCTAATTTATTGCAGATTACTAAATTTTTTAGGCACCTGCCCAGTCCACAAAATTTCAAGGAGAGGATGTCAATACCAAAACCCAACCTACCTAGACAGTTACTGTGAATAAAATGGGATAAAATGTATAAATTGCTCTGAGATCCTTGGAAATGGCTATATCAATCCAAGGAAAAATTGCTGTTGCTAATTAGTAGCCCTGTTGGCCTCAAAAACAAAACAAGTAAAACAACCGAGGTATATATTTAACAATATTCTATTTTGCATTCATCAAAGGTATTTGTCATTTATGTGAAATTTGACAGGACACATAAGGACTCTGGGCTTTCTCTGGAGGAAGTGCCAGGGCTCTAGGGATGAACTTGACCCACTGCAGCCTTTTAAAGAGTGCAACACAGAGCATCTCATACTTTGCTTTCCTTCAGTGTGGTGGGACTGGACCTGACCTGTTTGATATGCAAAAGTCCCTTTCCCCTGAGGGCCTTTCCACAACTTCCTGGAGGTTGTGCTTCTGGACCAGACCACTTCTCAGTACATCTGCATGATTTCTAGAATCAGATTTTGAATCCATGGCTTAAGAAAAGAAAATTCCTTTGACTAAACTTTTGGAGGAAATTGAAATATATACTGCTTTTAAAATGCACTTTACACATGTGAACCCATTTTATGGACATACCAAGATAACACTGGAATGTACGTAACTTTGTTTACTTATAAAGTTGCTAGATTTGGTATTTTTGAGACTAAAAGAACTGCAGATATTTTTGTGAGAATGTGGGCTTTCTTTCAATCGCAAAGTCCAAGTAAAAATTTAATTTATTTAATTATTCAATTTTTGCCAACATTTATGATCAAGCCTCCTTTTTCTCCTGTGCAATGAGAAAGGGTTTGAGCAGGGACAGCTCTTCCTTGGCAGAGGGGCTGCCTGGGGTGGTTGTGTCATTCTGAAACAAGTCCTGCCTTCCTGTGGCTGTGTGTGCTCCCTCGCTCTTGTGTTCACTGCACTCTATTCCATTCTGTACTCTTAGCGGTAGGAGAGAGGGGTGGTAAACCCATTAACAAAACCACCTTAGTATAGCTGAACATGCACATGCATGAAGTCCAGAAGAAAGAACAAAACAGCTCTTTACATCAGTTCATGTCTGTTCCAACCCATAAGGGTCTATGAGGCAAAGAACTTGGAGGGTCGTGTTTGCTCTGTTTAACTCACACCAGCTCCTTAATAGGTCTTGATAGAATACAGGACATCCAGTTATCTTTGAATTTCAGATAAGCAATGAATGCATGCAGTATTTGAGGCATATACTTATTTAGCATTGCATGCATTCATTATTTATCCAAAATTCAAATATAACTGGGTGCACTGTGTTTTTATGTGTAAAATGGCAAACCCACTCTGGGGTCTTCATTCTGGACTCCTGGGGCAACCCCACATCTCTTCATTTACTCACTCATTCTTTCAACAAAACATTTATGGAGCATTTACTCTTGTGCCAGGCTCTGTTCTAGGCTCTGTGGATACAGTCTCAAACAAGATAGGCACAATCTCTGCGCTGTGCTAGAACTTTCAGTCTTGTTGAAAAACAGACTTAAAAAAAAAGTAAGAAAAAAGAATTGGCAAGATAACTTCAAATAGCTGTGAGTGGTATAAAGGTGAAGAGTGAGGCTGGCCCAGGGTGGTCAGAAAAGGCTGCCTGGAGGTGTTTACGCTGAACTAATTTGAGGGATGTGAAGGAGACAGTCATGGCAGGAGCTGCAGGGAGAGCATTCCAGGCAGAGAGAACGGGAAGCTCGGGAAGCTCGAAGGCCTTAGGGCAAGAATGTGATTAGCTGTGCAAAGAACAGAAAGAAGGCCAGTGTGGCTGTATGAGTGAGCTGGGGGACAAGTGGAAACATCTAAGGTCAGGGAAGAACTTTGAGTTCAGATCACACAGGCATTGTTGGTGCTGTGGAAAAGCTGCTGGGGGTTCTTATGATCTGATTTATGGTTTAAAAGACCATTCTGGCTGCTTGTTGAAGAGTGAATTTTCTGGAGAAAAGAGTGGAAGTCAGGAAACCATTTAGGAGGCAAGGGCCCTAAAATGGGTGATGGGGGTGCACTGGACAGGGTGGAGGGAGGAAGTGATTGGTTTGGAATTTGTTGAAGAGCACACAGATCTGGCTGGTGGGTACAATGTGGTGGTGGGTGAGGCACACAGAAGATCCAGGTTGATGCCCCCACTGCCTCTGTAGGGAAAACATTTCTTTTCACTCTTTTTTTTGAGACGGAGTTTCACTCTTGTTGCCCAGGCTGGAGTGCAATGGCACAATCTTGGCTCACTGCAACCTCTGCCTCCCGGGTTCAAATGATTCTCCTGCCTCAGCCTCCCAAGTAGCTGGGATTACAGGTGCCCACAACCATACCCAGCTAATTTTTTGTATTTTTAGTAGAGACGGGGTTTCACCATGTTTGCCTCGACCTCGAACTCCTGACCTCAGGTGATCCACCCGCCTCGGCCTCCCAAAGTGCTGGGATTACAGGCATAAGCCACTGCACCCGGCCTTCACTCTTTTTCTCTTCTTCTCCCCTTCCCTATTGATCCTGCCATCCTCCTTTCGTCACTGGCCACTCCTGCCTCAGATGTGCCAGCCCTGTCCAACTCTCCTGGGCCAGGGTTTCAGTGCTTTAGTCCCAGACCTGCTTTTTTGTGGCTGGTTGGGGCTGGGACTCAGGGAGAAGGGACTGTGGAATGTAAGGCCAGGGGAGGAGAGGGGAGAGAGAGTCCTCCCTGACAGCTGACCTCCCTTTTTTTTTTTTTTTTTTTTTGAGATGGGGTCTCTCTCTGTCACCCAGGCTGCAACTTCTGCCTCCCAGGTTCAAGGGATCCTCCCACCTCAGCCTCCCAAATAGCTGGGACTACAGGTGTCCACCACCATGCCCAGCTAGTTTTTTTTTTTTTTGTATTTTTAGTAGAGATGGAGTTTCACCATGTTGCCCAGGCTGGTCTCAGACTGCTTGGCTCAAGCAATCCACCTGCCTCAGCCTCCCAAAGTGCTGGGATTACAGGCATGAGCCACCGTGCCCAGGGCCATCTCTGGATATCATTCTAAATGTGTTGGGTCTTTCTCCCCTTCAGCCATTCTAACTTCAGTGTATTAATCCAGGCTCCAGGTGGGGCAAAGGATGCCAATTTGCCCTATTTCCTATTTCTCTAAAGGATAGCTACATTGCAAGTCAACATTTCAGAGAAATATGAGAACGGGGTGGTGCATGGCACTTACTTCTTGAATCCTAGGCTTGCAATAGTTCTGTCTGGATTGTGATTCCAACCAAGAAATGTCTTCGTTGGTTGCAAGGTCAAGGTGAGGAAGAATCATAAATCTACACAGGGAAATAATATATGCTGGAAGGAAGGAAGAAGAAAGGAAAGGAGGCAAGGAAGGAAGGAGGGAGAGAGAGAGGGAGAGAGAAAGACCTTAGAAAAACATCTGAGCAAAGTTTTACCACTTTATTTTCTTAATCTAATAGTGAGCAAACCCCACAAGCACAGATATAAAGCAGAACTAGTGTGAGAGCCAGTACCGATTAATATCTGGGATAGAGAAGGGCAGTGATTTTGCAGGAAAAACAAACAAAACAAAAAAATCCCTAACTTGGGTTTGATCTTGACTCTGTACCAGCTCGTGTTGAGAGCCCTAGGAGGGCAGGAGCATGGTTATCTTCCTATCCTCATAGTCCTGTGTTTGGCAGAGAATGGTTCATGGCTGGCATTCAGTGCATGCGGAAGGAAGGAGCCAAGAGTCCCGCTCTGGCCCCATTACCTCATGTTTAAGGGAAGGGGCTGGACCATGGGACCTCAAAGGTCCCTTCAACACCATGCTCCCACACTTTTTCTGTTTTCTCTCTACTTCCACGCTCCCAAATTTCTCTGTAGCCAATGCTGCTTTAAAAGTTTTCTTCCTTTTCCTTGCCTCTCTTATATGCTTTAGATATTGGCCAGAGTTCCCAGTGTTTCTCACTTCTGAGGGTGGCTGCTTATTATATTTAGACCTTTGGGAGGACAGATGAATAAAGCTGTTGATTGGTGGGTCAAGGTCATATACACCAAAATTTTCATATTAGTATATAATCAAACACCAGAGAAAAGATCTATGAAATTGATATTTTTAATATGGGTTCCACAAATGGAGCAGACTGTGATTATCGCATCAAGCTCCTGTCTCCATGAAGCCACATAAAGCTGCCTTCAAAGACACTGACAACCAAGTTCAGCATGGTTTGGAGACTGGCAGGTGGCCAGAAAAATGGCTTCCTTCCCACTGTTTATAGAACTCAAGAGAACTACATGTGTGTTACTACAGGAATGAATCAATCCTCTATTTCCTGACCCAGGCCTAATCCTTATTTACAGATTGGGAACAAAAAGTAGATTATTAATCAGAAAAAGTGTTATCCTACCAAGGCCATTGCAGCCACTGACGATTTTTTTCCTCACAGGCATGAAAGAGGGTGGCATTTTAGAATCAATTACAAAAGAATTACCCAAATATTTCTCCAATTTTCTCCTAATTTTTCAGAGAAAAACTTGAATATCGGTGAAGTAGAGGAATAACGCACACTCATTTAACAGGCTTCTGACACTGCTTTCTCAAGAAGGGCCAGTTATGATGCTTTTTGTCACAAGTAACAGGAAATCCAACAAACTCAGTTTTAACAATAGGTTAATTTATTTAACACAAAAACATAAGTTTAACACAAAAATCCATGGATTCCATTTTGTTGTCAAGGACACAGTTTTTCTCCATCTTTTCTGTGGTTCATTTTCTTAAGCCAGCTATTCTCAAGGCCTCAAAATAGCTGCCATTGCTCCAGGAAGTGCAATGGGATAACAAAACCCATAGCAGAAAAAGGAATGTCCCTCCCTATCTCATATTTCATTTTAAGAAAAAGAAAAGCCCTCCCAGAAACTTGTTGCCAACCCCCCATTTTCATTGGCCAGAATGGCATCGTGCTCACACCCTTACCTAAACCCTTTACTTGGTGAAGGAATGGGGCTGGGAACTCTGGCCAATGTCTAAAGCATGTAAGAGAGGCAAGGAAAAGGAAGAAAACTTTTACTACACCTGTGCTGTCTAGTAGAAATGTAATAGGAGCCAGATATATAATAAACATTTTTCTAACAGCTATATTTTAAGAAAAAAAAAGAAACAGATATTAGTTCTAATAATGTATTTTATTGACCCCAATATATCCAAAACGTTAGTTTAACATATAACTAAATAAGAAATTATTAATTTTATGTTTACATTCTTCCCCCCTCAACCATACTTTGGAATCCAGTGTGTATTTAACACTCACAGCATATCTCAGTTTGAATTAGCTGCTAGACGGTGTGGGCAATAGCCACAAGTGGCCAGTGGCTGCCATATTGGATAGTGCAGGTCTAGGCCTAATGAGATTGTCTGCCTGGGTGCAGAGAGAGGGTCCAGCCTCCCCTGATGTCGTCGCCCCGCTAGAGGACAGCGAACAAAATTGGGGCTGTCTTAGCAAAGGGAAAGAGGGGCAATGGCTGCTGGGCTGACAAGTGATCTGATCTTCCTTCCAACCTATAGCTTTTCCCATATCCCCTTGCTTGGGGAAAGTTACCACCACCTCCTTAGTCAACAGGAGAAATGGGAATCATTCTAGACTCCTCTCTTTTCCTCAATTCTCCAATACAGCCACTCATCAAGTTCTGTCAATTCTGCCTCCTAAGTATCTCTGGAACGCATCTCCTCTGCCATGGCCGTGATGCAGGACCCTCTGCCCCAGTCCTGCCTGAATCCAGTCATGTTGCTGACTTCCATCAGGCTCCTCAGCAGCTGCCCCAGCCTTTGGGATACAGTTCAGACCTTTCTGCAGGGCACACACTAGCACATTACACCTCATTCCCATGACCGCTTGGCTCTGGCCACGTGGAACTGCGAGTAGTTCTTAGAATGTCCTTGCTCTTTTATGACTCCATGTGAGTCCCTGTCTTCAGACCACCCTCTCCCTTCTCCTTCTTCCACCCCCTCTTCCATGTTTCTCTTCTTGGGACCTTCCTTACCTCTCTCAGGAAGAGATTAAGTGTTTCTCCTGTGAGCACCCCACACTCTGTGTGTCCTGGGCTCTAGCATGTGGCAAACCATATTACACCTGCTGTACCCTCTTTCCCTTCGATGGCGAGCTCTCTGAGGGCAAGGGCTGTGCTTTGATCTCTGTAACCTCACTGCATAGCACATAGGGCCTGCCTGGCACCTGGTGACTGTGTAGTGCCACACCTGGCAAAGTAAAGGCTCTGTGTCTATTGAATGGATGGATGGATGCATGCATGGATGAATTTTATGCTCCTCTCAGTCCTTTTCCATCCATGACTGGAAAGCAACCCTTCCCAGCATCTTGCCTTTGGGAACTGTATTAGTTGCTTGGGTTTGGCAAAACAAAGTGCCACAGACTGGGTGGCTTAAACAACAGAAATGATTGCCTTGCAGTTCTGAAGGCTAGGTCTAAAACCAAAGTGTTGGAAAGGTTGGTGCCTTCTGAGTGCCGTGAGAATTTGCCCCATGCCTCTCTTAGCTTCTGGAAGCTGCAGGTGTCCTGTGTCTTGGAGTCGGTGTTCTCCTTAGGCCTTCTCATCATTCTCCTTCTGATGTATCTCTCTGTGTCCAAATTTCCCCTTCTTATAAGGGAATCGGTCAAATTGGATTAGGGCCCACCCTAATGACCTTATCTTAATTTGATCATCTGTGATAGGATTCCAATTTCCAAATAAGGTCCAATTCACAGGCACTGGGGCTTACAACAGCAACATCTTTTGGGGAACCTATCCAACCCATAACAGGAACCATAGGTGAAGGCATGTGTATTCATTTTCTACTGCTGTGCAGCAAGTTGTCACACATAGTTAGCAACTTAAGAGGCAATTTGATTATCTCATAGTTTCTGTGGGCCAGGAGTCCAGGCATGGCTTAACAGGGTCCCCTACTCAGTCTCACAAGGCCACAATCAAAGTGTGGCCTTGAATGTGTTCTCATCTGGAGGGTCTAGGGAAGAATCGGCTTCTAAGCTCATGCAAGTTGTTGGAACAATTCAGCTTCTCGGTACTGCTTGATGGACGGTCCTGGCTTCGTCCTGGCTCTCAGCGGGAGGAGCCCACAGGTCCCTGCCTCCAGGCCCTCTCCATGGGTGGCTCACAATGTGCAAGTTTGCTTCTTCAAGGCTCAGGAGAGAGTCTGTCTCTCTCTGACTCCAGATGGAGTTGCTCATACGCTCTTTCTCTTGCTCTCTTTCTTGCTTACTCTCTCTCTCTTTCCAATGATGGCAGTGACATATAGTCACAGGTTCTTCCCGTCCTGAAGAGGAGGGGCTTATACATGGTGT
Organism: Homo sapiens; assembly: GCF_000001405.40. NCBI lineage: Eukaryota > Metazoa > Chordata > Mammalia > Primates > Hominidae > Homo > Homo sapiens. Next base: position 25,979,823 of record NC_000007.14, on the reverse strand, counting down.
GACTCATTGGAGGTCACCTTAGGGTGTGTCTGCCACAGTAGGTATGTTGCTTCCTTGGCCTCCCCAACTTACATATAGCAGCTGTGTTCTATTTCTGTCTTTCAGATTCCATGAAATCCACCAGGGAAAGGGTTGGGTGGTGGTGGTGGTGTTGTATGCTCAAGAGACTCAGTGGCCCCACAGGAGAGCATCATTTAAAAAATTAAACTCTAATGATTTTAACTTAATATTCAACTGTGTGAAGCATTCAAATGCAATACTTAGATTGTATTTTTTCAAAAGCAACATTTGATGTTGAAATAACTATACAGGAATTGTAATAATAATAGCTGATATTATTAAGTGCTGACCACATGCCAAGCACCATTCTAATACACTTAGGTTATGGTATCTCATTTCATCCCCACAACTAGCCTATGTGATGGGAACTATTATTATTCCTATTTTACAGATGATGATATTGAGGTATAGAGGGGCCAATAAAAGCCCCACCATAGGTAGCAGTTTGAAGATGGGAGGTTCAAATCTCCAACCCCCGCAGATTACTTGATGGCAAAACCCACATACTGAAATATGAAGGTTGGCTGGCTGCCCTTGGGTAGCTGTTTCTCAAAGGGTTAGGATGAACACACCTAGCATTTGTCTCTGGGATTCTCTTTTCTTCAAACTTTCCTGCTGATTGATCTATTCTTTATGAATGATTAAGTCATTCAAATGACAGAAAGAGGTATAAAACTAACTTACAAGACAAAAGCTGCTCATTCATACTTAGGTATTTTTCATCTGGCATTGGAGAGATTCCAGTGATTCTCTATATTGAAGCATCTTTAGTTTTACTTTATCCAACTTCGACTCTCCTGGCTTGTTTTGCTTGTGTCTACTCAAGTTTGGCAATATTTGAGAGTACTGTCAGCAGTCTCGCTCAGTAGTTTAAATGTCTGCGAATATAGAATAATATTTTATTTTATAAAAACGATGGCAATAAGCAAGAACCGAAAGTTATAATTTCCACAAAAATGTTTGCAACCACAGAATTTTTTGAGAGTATTTTTGTATTTGTGAAGTGTATGATAGTGATCATACTAGTGACCTAAGATTCATTGATCCTCAGAAGATCCGTGTCATAAAGTTGGCCACCTCCCTGCTGGCTGACATCCCCGGACATCTGTGCTTTGACTCAGATCCTAGTTTGTCATCCATTTTTGGTGTGAAATCTCAATGAGAAAGAGCCAACCATTAAAATTGTATGTCAAATTCTAGTATTTTTTATTACATACATACCGTTTCTCTGGGTAACATTTTCTGATTCACAAAATTTGAGTAATGGGCTTGTTAGTCTCTTACATATATGGTTATAATGAATTAATTCAGGATATGCTTACAGACCTGAAAGTTTTGCAAGACAAAAGCAACAAAGTTTTTGTTTTTCTGTAAATAATGACTGGAGACAATATATTTTCAAATTAGTAAAATGTCATTTCAGGTGCTGCAAGTTTTCCATGATCATTTATACATCTGCTAATTAAGCCTCAGCTACATAATATATTTTTTAAAAGAAGAAATTAAAATTCTTATGGTATTTATACACCAGCAAAAAAAAAAGAAAAACCTGCTTCTTGGTGCTGAGAGACACAGGTTTTATTACTAGGCATTTGGTAATGCCTAAAAATTAATCTCACTATTGCCTTTATTACCCAATCAAAATTGTATCATCCTCCCTTTTTCTTTCCCTGCCCACTTATCATTTCAAGGAGAAGGAAAATAGAAAATAGTTTGCAGTTGTCAGCTGCCATGTTCTTTAAGTCCAAGTCCGTGGTCCGAGCCTGCCCATCTGACACTGGCTTCTCTCTTCTCCCACCTCCTCTCCCTATTCTTTTTTTCCCCTTTCTGGATTCTTGAAGATTTAAAGGGTAGAATAGTTTCTCGGATTCTAAAATTGCATCCTGTGGTAAGAAAAAATAATTAATCTTTTATGCAGCATATTGTTAAGAGAAGTACTTACTTTTCTTTAAAAAGTTTACCATAAACAGGCCGGGCATGGTGGCTCATGCCTGTAATCCCAGCACTTTGGGAGGCTGAGGCGGGCAGATCATGAGGTCAGGAGATCGAGACCATCCTGGTTAGCATGGTGAAACCCCGTGTCTACTAAAAATACAAAAAAATTAGCCAGGCGCGGTGGCAGGCACCTGTAGTTCGAGCTACTTGGGAGGCTGAGGCAGGAGAATGGCGTGAACCCAGGAGGCAGAGCTTGCAGTGAGCAGAGATAGGGCCATTGCACTCCAGCCTGGGTGACAGAGCAAGACTCTGTCTAAAAAAAAAAAAAAAAGTTTACCATAAACCAAATCAAATCTTTGTAAATTTGGGAGATGAAACATAAGAAAGATGTATGGCAATTAATCAAAACACAAGGCTGATTTTTTTTTCTTTTTTATACTTTTTCTGAATGTCAGCTTTGACAAACCATTACTGCTAAGGGCCTGAATAAATGCTAATGATTCAAAAGAAAGAAGAAACGCTTGACACATTGATTAATTAGGCTGTATTTGTAGTTCTACTGTGAAAAACACTTGTTCACTTAAATGAGATCCTTGACTTGTCATAATTTTTCCTCTCAAAACGCAAATATCTTCTTTTTCTGTTTAAATGGTATTGCGCACTGGTTCTCAGCCCTCTCCTCCCCAAGCTTCAGAATCACCTGTTGAACTAGTAAATCTGCAGATTACTAGTCCCACAGTTTCTGATTCAGTAGGTCTGAGATGGGACCAGAGATTCCAGATTTGTTATCAGACAGAATGATACAGCTGCAAATGATAGCAATCATAAAGGAAAAGGTTAGGGATCACTTGAAATGCTATCCCCAGAGACAAGCCCTGTTAACTATTTGGAGTACCTTCTTTTAGCCTTCAATGCACTCATGAGACAGACACTGCCAAATACCTGCCCACACTCAAGCTTGCATTCAAGGCAGCATGTGCTCAACAGAGAAATTAAAGTGTGCAGGCTCTCTTGCAGCTAGGAGCCATCATGTGACACAGTGTTGGCCAATGAAAGGTAAGCAGAAGTCTATTGGGGGAAGGCCTTCTGAAAATGCTATCATTTTCCTCATTAAAAAAGGGGCAGGGGGTAGCTGGTCTGTGCCTTTTTGTGCTTTGCCCTTCCCCTTTTGCCCTGCCTGAAGTGTGGGTGTGAATCCTGGAATGGCAGCTGCCATCTTGTGACCAGACATGGAGGATAGTAGTCTGGGAAAATAGAGGGTAATTGTTCCTTGAGCAGCTGCACCAGCTCTCCCCCGCCTTCTTTTTCAATGTGAGAAAAATAACCTGAGGTGTTTAAGCCACTGCAGTTGTTCTCTGTTACATAGTGCCAAACACAATCCTAACAGAAATAATTATATACATAACATAAATGCACATATGTATTCAGGTAGTCTCAAGGCAAATGTCATTTTATCGAGTAGTCAGAAAGGCCTCTGACTACTTGATCTACACCAGCACCCTCGAAAATATCTATCTCAGTGGCCTGCCCCATTTTTCTTTACTAACGTCATATATGTATTTGTTTCTTGTTTGTTTCTCTCCACTACAAAGTACACTCCATGAGAATAGGAACTTTGGTTGGTTTGCTGTTGTATTTCTAACCCATTGAAATGCTTAAGAAATACTTGTTGAATGAATGAACAAATGAACATAAAAATGGGTTATACTCTCATCTAGTGTTGTGTAACAAATTTTCCTACACTTAACCATATGTGACTTTCCAAATCAGTTCATATATACCTTTTATATTTGTTTTTGTTGTTGTTGTTTTTGTTTTTTTGTTTTTTTTTTTGATGGAGTCTCCCTCTGTCGCCCAGGCTGGAGTGCAGTGGTATGATCTAGGCTCACTGCAACATCTGCCTCCTGGGTTCAAGCAATTCTCCTGTCTCAGGCTCCCGAGTAGCTGGGATTACAGGCACCTGGCCTCACACTCGGCTAATTTTTGTATTTTTAATAGAGACGGGGATTCACCATGTTGGCCCTGCTGGTCTTGAACTCCTGACCTCAGGTGATCCTCCTGCCTTGGCCTCCCAAAGTGCTAGGATTACAGGCGTGAGCCACTGTGCCAGGCCTCTATATTCTTTTTAATGTCTACATGGTATTTCATTGCTTGGATATACTGTGCTATAATTGTTGTTTTTCCCCCAATCCTTCATTAATAGACATTCAAGTTCACATTTTTCCTTTACATATGAAAAATACACAATTCCTGAGTTTTGCTCTGGGAAGGCGAAATTTGATCTTTTCTGTCCCTTCTGCTCACAGACTGTACCAGAATGATTAACAATAGGAACAAGGAAATCCACACCTGTAGTGTTTGGTCTGGCTTTGCCAGCTTGAAGAAGGGAATTTCAATAATTGCTAGTATATTTCCCCAAATTGGATTATTTTTAAAAACACTGTGTACGTGGCTCCTATAATTCAGTTCAGACAAATTTAGCCCCCTTTCACAGTCTAGCATAAGAGAGCTCAGATTTTCATAGGCTTTTTGGGAAATCCAGTCTTCTCTCTCTTAGGAGCAAATACTTGTTCAAAAAGACACATATCTCCCCCCAAAAACTAATTTTCAGAGATGTTCTAGTCTAAATCCCTATAGAAAATAATTAAGAAGAATTAAAAAGAAAACAACTCTCCAAGAACATGATATTACTTAAAATAAACCCAATTTCCTGTACTAAACACATCGCTTAACCTAACTGCACTTGAGTTAATGGCATCCTCATAGGGTTTTCTAAGAGCAACGGGTGGCTATTGCTCTATAAATAGAGGGATCATTTTGGTAATTTTCCCCCAAATAAAGGAAGCTGGCTATAAAGGTGCATTGATCTCTTTTTACCTCTAGAGAAAAAAATTACAAGCAATTTAAAATGAAATGAAACTTTTTCAGCTTCAAAGTATTTTAAACCCCACTGGGCACTCCAATAAATTTATAACTAGTTTCCCTTTTTGCTTTTGCTTCTAGGAATTCAAACTAAACTTGCTTCCCACTACTGAATAACCAGCAGGACTTTAAGACACAAGATTGCATTAACTCATTAGCCCTTAACTATACATAAGGAGAAATTTAAGACATTCAAATGGACAAAAATCTTTACTGGGTATCCTTTCAAGGGAGCCTCTGGGGAATTATCTGATCCTATAGGAGTGTGCAACCCTGTTGATTTTACAACTCCCTGGAAAAGTTACAGAGAACTGATAGCAACGCAAGTAATTGTTGTCCATCGAAACATACATACTTTGTCTGCAGAATGCAACTAATTATTGCTTTATGGATAAACTAGTTTTTGTGAATTCATTTCAACATTTCTTTACTGTATGCAAATTTGTAGTTCTTTGACTTCTTTGAATAAGCTGTAATATCTCATTGATTCTCTCACTTAATTTATCTTTGATGTGTGTTCATTTTATATTTTTGTGTGAATCATAATTTTGCCTTTTTTGAAAATCACTTTTTAACCTGTGTCAAACTATATAACCTTTCTTTTTTTCTCTTCATCCTGATTGTATTTAAAAAATAAAATGTACTTTTTGAATTGTAAGGTTAACACATATTACTTTTTAAACAGTGGACAAGACAAAAAAAGAATATGGAGTGAATTCACATCACTGGTAATCACACTATCCACATATACCCACTACTAATATTTTGAATTACCTCCCACTATTCTTTCTTTTTTAAGTTAAAAGTTAATTTTTATCCAAATAACACATCTATGTGGTTTAAAAAGTCAAATAGTACTACAAGGAAATATTTATAATGCAAAACTAGGAGTTTCCTGCCCCAGCCTTCCCCAACCCCAACAGTCCCACTGTAACTCTTTGGCTGCATCCCCAGGTGTTCATGTCCATGTCTTGAAATTATATGCTTATCTTGCTTTTTTTGTTGTTGTTGTTGTTTTTGAGATGGAGTCTTGCACTGTTGCCCAGGCTGGAGTGCAGTGGCGTGATCTGGGCTCACTGCAAGCTTCACCTCCTGGGTTTATGCCATTCTCCTGTCTCAGCCTCCAGAGTAGCTGGGACTACAGGTGCCCGCCACCACGCCCGGCTAATTTTTTGTACTTTTAGTAGAGACGGGGTTTCACTGTGTTAGCCAGGACGGTCTTAATCTCCTGACCTCGTGATCCACCAGCCTCAGCCTCCCAAAGTGCTGGGATTACAGGTGTGAGCCACCGCGCCTGGCCCATCTTGCTATTTTTTAAATTTCAGTTTTAGATATTAACTATTGACTTCCCATTTTGGTAAATGAGGACTGAGCTCTCTCCACTGCCTTTTTACCATTTCCCCACTCCCCATTTCCCTAACTCAGTTATATCACAGTTTTTAGTTAAATCAAGCAACTCAAAAGTTAGCATTTACATGATTTTGACTACACGAATATTATTTGCTTCTGAGCAAACAATGAATAAACCATGTTCTTGTCCACCCTTTGTTTTTCCTGGAGTTAAAACCTGCTTAATTTTTTAATCAGTCTAATTTGCTGTGTCATTACAATTTTCCTTGAGTGCTCTATATCTCTGTCACTTGCCTATCAATAATATTTTTTGCAAATTTTTTGAGACAGGGTCTCACTCTGTCACCCAGGCTGGAGTGCAGTGGCATGATGATGGCTTGCAGTAGCCTCCATCTCCTGGGCTCCAGTAGTCCTCCCACCTTAGCCTCCTAAGTATCTGGGACTACAGGTGCATGCCACCACACCCAGCTAATTTTTAAGTTTTTTTTTTTTTTTTTTTTTTTGTAGAGATGGGGGTCTCGTTATATTGCCTAGGTCGATCTCAAACTCCTGGGTGCAAACGATCTTCCCATCTTGGCCTCCCAAAGTGCTGGGATTACAATCATGAACCACGATACCTGGCCAGTAATATTTTTTATATATTCACATATATCTACCCAATTTTTTCCCCTGGAGGTCTGTCTTCTGGAGCCCTCGGTCCTCCATTTTTGAGACTGCATACTTGAAGCATAGTTGTTATCCTGGGACCTCCCTTTACTATCATCTAATGAATTCGTCTCTTTTTGAGTCCTCTCTTGTCTGCATTCTATGTCTTCAACTTGCCTGGTTTTATTTAAACCAGCAGTATCTTCCTGAGAAGGAATATAAGGGAAATCAAGCTCTAAATACCTTGTATGTTTGAAAATGTCTTTATTCTACCCTCACATTTGATTTGTAGCTTAGTTGTTATACAATACTAGATTTGAAAATATTTCCTCTAAATAAATGTGAAGCTATTACTCCATGGGTTCTAGCTTCCAATGTTACTGTTGAGAAGTCTGAGGAAAAAAGTCAGCATTTTTATAACATGAGCTATGGGCCAGGCTCTATTTTATGTGTTTTATATCCATTATGCCAGATAAGTGGGAGGTAGTCTTATTATTTCTGTTTTAGAAATGAAGAAACTGAAGCAAGAGAGGTTCAGTAACTTACCCAAAATCACACAACTAGTATTTGAGTTACAAGCCCAGGTAGTTGGCTCCAGAATCCATGTTCTTAACCACTGTGCTATCTTACCTGTCATGTCATTCTCTTTCCCAGTACTTTCTATGTGGCTTGTGTTATCTTTCTGGGAGCATTTAGGTCTTCCATTTGTCATGTTAGGTACTCAGTGGACCTTTACCATCTGGAGGCATGTTTCCTTCCATTCTGGAAAATTTTCTCTTATTATTGATTATTATTAGTTGATAATTTTCTTCCCTCTGTTTCTCCTATCTCTATTTTGCAACTCCTATTATTCAGATATTGGACTTCCCAGGTTGATTTTTAAATGTTCTTATCTCTTCTTTCCTATTTTCTGACTCTTAAACATTTTGTATTACTTTCTAAAAGATTTTATTGCCTTTATCTTCTAATATTCTGAATGAGTTTCAATTTTTATCATATTTGTAATTGTCAAGAGTCCTTTCATGTTCTCCAGTTGTTCTCTTTTTATTGAATTCTGTTCTTCCTTATCTTTCTGAGAATACTAGTTAAAAATATTTTTTAAAATGTTCTTTGATTCCTTTCATTTTCTCTTTCCTCCTGGTCCCCTTGTTTGCTCAGTCTGTGTCTTCAGGTCACAGGCTTTCACCAAGTGTCTAGTTGTTCTTTCATATTTAAGAATAAGATGCTAAAAGCTCACTTGACGTTCTGTAAACAAGGGCAAGAATTGTTGATTGGTAGGAAGAGGATAACCAGGTGGGTGCCAGCTTTTTGTTGGGAGAACCTTAAATATGCGCATCACAGGATATACCTCTGGACTGTTTGGGTCTGCAGTGCAGGTCTTCCAGTCCTCCTGTCTGTACTGATATTCCCTGTTGCTGATGTTCTGAGACCTAGATAGGAGAAGGGGCCCACAGCTCATGGCTCTGTGGGCTTTCATTTCATATTCCTGGCTTTAGCTTCATGCCTACCCCCTACTCCAGTGCTCTTATAAGGCTGGTGTCTTCTAGGTTGAGTCTCTCCTTTCAACCCATCCAAAAATAAATCTCCTGAGTCTTTTAGGAGGCTGTTTGGGAAACCCTGTCCTCTGGCTGTATGTGGTGGGGAGGAGGTCCAATGCTTCTGAATAAAGCCTGTGAAACCCATGTCTGTGTCCGGCTTCCTGCCTGACATCTGCCTCCCCTAGCATCTGGCGTCTCCCAGTGCAGGGTCTCCAGGGCTCTGAGGAGTCAGTTGGCTTACATTTTATTGGGCCTGGGTTGTAACTTTGTTCTTTTCTGCCAGGTCAGTTACCGCTCCTCTCTTGGCTACCCATCCACCGTCTCCTGTTTACTACTGTCTTCCCTGGAGCCTCTTTCTGCATGTGGAGTAGTAACTTTTTATTGTAGTCTTAGTGAGGTCTTAGGAGAGTGACTAGATGAACGTATGTGTTCAGTTTGCTGAGATTTTTACTTTTTGTTGTGGGTTGAATTGTATCCCTTCAAAATTCATATGCTGAAGTCCCACCCCCTAGTGCCTCAGAATGTGACCTTATTTGGAAAGAGGGATGTGGCAGATATAATCAGTTAAGATAAGGCCACACTGGAGGTGGGTGGACCCCCTAATCCAATGTGATTGGTATCCTTATAAAAAGAAGAAATCTGGACACGGACATGTGCACAGGGAGAATGCCATGTGAAGACTGGAATTATGCTATCACAAGCCAAAAGCAAGGAAAGAGGTTGGGAACAGATCCTTCCTTAGCTCATCCAGAAGGAACCAGCCCTTCCATAGCCTTGATCGTGGACTTTGGCCTCCAGAGCTAGGAGATAATTCATTTCTGTTGTTAAGCCACCCAGCCTCTGGCACTTTGTTACAGCAGTCCCAGGACACTTATGTGGGTTGAGCATCCCTTATTTGAAGTGCTTGGGGCCAGAAGTGTTTCGGATTTTAGGGTTTTTATTTTTTATTGTTTTGAATTTTGGAATATTTGCATATACATAATGAGATATGTTAGGAATATGACCCGAGCCTAAACATGATATTTATTTATGTTTAATATACACGTATGCACATAGCCTGAAGGTAATTTTATATAGTATTTTAAATAATTTCATGCATAAAACAAAGATTTGACTGCATTTTGACTGTGACCCATCACATGAGGTTAGGTGTGGAATTTTCCACTTGTGGCATTGTGTCAGCATTCAAAAAATGTCAGATTTTCAGACTAGGGATACTCGACCTGTACACACAAAAAAACCTTATTTTGATGTATGTATTCTTGCAGATCACCTCAAGTCTTTGGGAGAAGGTGCAGAATAAATAAATATAAATAACATTGAACCAACAGCAGTTTCTGAGTGTGGACTGAATTACCACAGGGTGTGCAAGGGGAGTGTGTCCACCGTTTTGTAGCTTAGCATGGTTTCTGGAACTTAGTTCATGTTCAACACATGTTAGTAGTAGTAGTAGCAGTAGTTGTTGTTATTAGTATTATTATTATAACTACATGAACCGGGCATTTTAAAATTTATTTCAATATTTAATTTAGAGAAGTACATGTATATATATTTTGGAGACAGAGTCTCACTGTATCTCGAGTCTGGAGTGCAGTGGCATGATCTCACTCAGCTCACTGCAACCTCCACCTCCCAGGTTCAAGCAATTCTCGTTCCTCAGCTACCCAAGTAGATGGGACTACACGCACCCACCACCACGCCTGGCTAATTTTTTTATTTTTAGTAGAGACAGGGTCTCACCATATTGGCCAGACTGGTCTCGAACTCCTGACCTCAAGTGATCTGCCCGCCTCAGCCTCCCAAAGTGTTAGGATTACAGGCGTGAGCCACTGTGCCCGGCCCTTGGCAAGGCTATGTTAAAACAAAGGATGTTATGGGTTACCTAATAACTTGACATAGTGTATTTTTTTGTTTTGTTTTGTTTTGTTTTTGTTTTTGTTTTTGTTTTGAGACTGAGTTTTACTCTTGTCGCCCAGGCTGGAGTGCAATGGTGTGATCTTGGCTCACTGCAACCTCTGCCTCCTGGGGCCAACCAATTCTCCTGCCTCAGCCTCCGAGTAGCTGGGATTACAGGTGTGCGCCACAACGGCCAGCTAATTTTTGTATTTTTAGTAGAGACGGGGTTACACCATATTGGCCAGGCTGGTCTCAAACTCCTGACCTCAGGTGATCCATCCGCCTTGGCTTCCCAGAGTGCTGGGATTACAGGCATGAACCACCGTGCCCAGCCCATAGTGGTAATTTCTTAATGCCTTTGTGGAACCAGCTCAGTGGTTGGGACACTTTTACAGGTGAGTGGGCTTTGAAGCATAAGGCTCTTCAGGGCAAGTCCCTTAGGAGCAGCCTTATAAAGACGTAAGGCAATGCTGACCTCTCTCGTGGCATGGGTCTCCCCTCTGGGCAGCAGCCCCTGCTGATGGCGGGGATAGTTCAGAAGGAATTTGGTGGCCGGGAACGTCCTCTGTGCTGAGCGCACCCTCTAGTCCTTTGCCATGCAGCTGTGGCGATTTGCGTAGCCTGTGCTATTTATAACTGCATATTTGCTCAGAAAGAACCATCTCATTTTCTGACTGCAGCTGCCCACACGGGTCTGGCCGCCGCTGGGGTTTTCCAGCAGGCCACCACGCCGCCACATCACTTGAGAGCATCTTCCGTGGGTTCTGCCTCGTTCTCCTGCCCTCATGACGTTCTGTGGTTTCACTTTGGCTCACTCATTCATCTCACAGCCATGCATTGAGCACCTACTATGGGCCAGACACTATCCAAGGCCCTCAGAAAACTGAGTGAGACACATGTGCTGCAAATCCCTCCCTCAAGTAGCTTGCAGGCTATGAGGAAGACTGATAGGCAATTTACTGTGCAGGTTCTTAGCCTTTGGTGTTAGTTTCTACCTTCTCTTCCTCTGTTTTCAAACCAGATCCTTGGCGGGAACCTGCCATGCCGCAAGCTTGTTTTTGTCTTTCCATTCACTGTCAAACTCTACCACGTGATTGCACCCACTCATTAAATGCCCTGCAGCCTGGCTTCCTGCCTAGATCACCAGTCACTCATACCGGCTACCCTCCCTTTACCCTCACGTTTCAGTTCTCTTTTGACTGTGAAGACCTAGTGTTGGACCCAGTGGAACACCTGTGTGTCTCCGCACGTGGCGCCCGCGCTGGCTAGCCTCACTCCTTTGCTCTGCTCCCTCTGACATGGGTTCTGTCACCTCCTCTTCCCTTGGGACCCAGGAGCCCTGACTTCAACCTGATCTTCCTTCTCTCCAGTTCCCAAACCCAGCCAGTCCCAGGCCGTCGTGTTCCCTCCCATCTCTGGAGGACTCATTTGGCAAGTGTCATGATTTACCTTGTGGTTTATCAAGGGGTACTGTTGATTGGTAGTTATTTTTGTCATCTCATAATTTGAGTTTTCATGCAGATTGTGAATGGTCCTTGTTCACAGAGCTAATAAGCAGTCCCTTCTGGCTGAATCTGCTGAGGACTGGCAATAGATATTTTCCCTTCTCTTTAGCTAGTTAGCTAGTGTGCCAGGCCTGGCCTGTGAGGCCATTCCTTCCCAGCTGTGCTGTGTAATGCAGGAGGCTGGCCCTTGTGGGCTATTTCTTAGGATCCGGTGTCAGCTGCTTTCTGGCTGGGTTTGGCCAATGGAAGGCACCAATGGGAACTGCATGGTGAGAAGAAGAGAGAAGCCACAATGTTTCTCCTTGCCCTTCCCTGTCTTGAATGGCATCTACAGCTCCAGCTCCTACCAATCAGGCCCCTGTGGTTCCAGCTTCTGCAGGGTGACCTGGCTTCTTCTGGCTTCTGGTAACACTGCTTCCTCCTTTGATCCTCCACTTTAGGGGCAGTATAGCTTCCTGTCCCTGCTCATCTCTGGGTTATGTCACCGTCTCCTAGTAACTGCTCAGCTTTGTTGTCTCCTGAGCAACCAAAATACTCAGAGTGGTTTCTGTTCCCTGGCTAGATTATGGCAGACATGGTTATTCCTGCCTTCTTCCCTTCCTTCCCTCTCTTCTTCCCTTGTTCCCTCCCTTTTTCCTTCCTTCCTTCCAATTAGTTATTTATTGCTGCATAACAAATTACTCTAAAACCTAGGCAATAAGCATTTAAGAGCTCACAGGTCCTGTAAGTAAGGAATCTGGGCACAGCCTAGCTGGGCACCTCTGGCTCAAGTTGTCTCATGCAGTCAAGCTGTTGGTAAGGGTTTTGGTCTTATCTGAAAGCATGACTTGTGAGGGGGCTTCATCCCCAAGATCACTTGCTTGGTGGTCCTCAGCCCCTTGCTATGTGGCCTCTCTGCAGGACACCCTTGTGATGTGGCAGCTAGCTTCCACCAAGGCAAGCGGTTATAGAAAGGGAGAAGGGGAGAGAAAGCCCGAGACAGAAACCACTGCCTTTTTATAGCCCAATCTTGGAAGTGGCATCTGATCTCTTTTTCTGTATTCTATTTGCTACAAGTGAAGTTAATAATAAGGCCAGCCCATATTCAAGAAGACACTACACAAGGGTATGAATACCAGGAGGTGTTGATAATTGGAGGTCATCTTAGAGACTTCTTGTCTTTCTTTCCTCCTTCTCAACCTACCTCCATCCCTTTCTTCTTCCTTCTGTTCCTTCCTTCTTCCCTCCCTCTCTTCCCTCCCTCCCACTCTTCCCTTTGTTCTTCTCTCCTTCCTCCATCCTTCCTATCCTCCTTCCCTCTCTCCCTCACTCCCCCTTCCTTCCCTTTCTTTCTTTTTTCCTTCCTTCCTCCCTTCCTCCCTCTCTTGCCTCCTTCCCTCCTTCCCTTCTTGCTCCCCTCTCTCCCTCCCTCCCTTCCTCCTTTCTTTCCTCCTTCCTTCCTTCTTTCTGGAAGTGGTAGAAATTATAAGGAGATTGTTTTGGGATCTTGTGCCACAGATTGTCTTTCCAAAGCCAACTCTACCTTTTGAATCCTGCATATTTCTTTGTCTTCTCCAACACCATCAGCAAGATATAAATGAAATGGGTGTCTATGGGCTGGTTTGGGAATACCATTTGTAATACTGCATACATGGGAACTTGTACTTGACACTCTATATTCCAAATATATTAGTGAATTTTTTTTGGACACAACCTATTTGTAAATTGCCAATTCGCTGGAATAACAACAATCACAAAAGATTGTTGTTTTTGAGACACCATTTGACTCTTAATATCAGAGATATTGTCATGCGCTTCCTGATTGGTTTAATTTCACCTGGGACTGATATTAAAGGAGGTATATTGTTCACATTACAGATACAGGTTCCTCAGTGCACCTATCTGTTAGGGATGAACTGAAGCATGGAAGTTAAAATAAGGGTAATATTATTTCTTCAAAGGTACTCATCCCTTTTGGAAATGGTACTCAATTCTTTTTCTTTAAATGTCACAGAATTGCTGATGTCATCAGTAGGAAATCTAGTTTATGGACCTTCCCTCCCAATGATAGCAGTCATTCCTGTGAAATGACACCTCCTTGCTAATATTGAATTGTGGGGTGCTACACTGAGTCACTCAAAGAGGAGCTGAGAAATGAAACAAAGATTACATAGACCAGCCATCTACCGAGCTGTAAGATTTGGTATTCTATTTTCTACTGAGGATTGATTATTCTCCATTTCATGGCAATTTCTGTGTCAGTCTTTGAAAAGAAGTAAAACAATATAATAAGAGAGAGACGATAACTTGTAATTGTTGATTCCTTCACAGACACTGGGATGGATTAAATGCTGACATATTTGCCATAAATACGGATATGGATGTCTGCCAATGCGAGAGTCACCCACGTATCTGCCAAAACAAACATAGTTAGGCACTATTTAAGATATCCGTCTTCAGAAAGCACAGAACTATATCAATTTTTAAAATTGATTTTTAAAGCTTATAATCAAACCCTCTGATCTATTCTTCCTATTTCCCCAAAAGGAGCTGTCCCAGGAATTAGGACATTCACTGTGCTTTGCTGAGGTAGGGTGGACCTAGGGGAGGGAGGCAGTGCTGCCTAGGGGTTTCTGGAAAGGAATTGCATAGCTTGGAAAATGAGCCAGAAACCTATACTCCAAGGTGATTTCCAAATGATCACAGCAGGAAGTTTTGTGGCAATTTTGCATATATGACTTTTATACCTAATTTTCAGTGCTTCTGCACATGTGGTTCATATGTTTACCCCAAAGCATTTCTTGCCTCCAGCTGGAATATGCTCAGAAATGACCTGTGACATTTTTACATTCACAAACTAAAAGTACCAATATCTATCCCTCAGTGTATCCACAAATGTTGTCTCTTTCCCTTTGTGCCATTTTCTGTTCGGTTGCCATTTCACAGGAATGGGTTGAAAGATGCCCCCAAGGTGATCTTCATGAATCCCAGTAAAGCAAAGACAGCCAATGTAAAGACAGAGGCCAATTGTTGTAAAAGGTCACAGCTGCTTTCATCAGCTGACATGTGAACCGCTGGAAAGGTACCATATCAATGAAAAGAATAACACGACAGCAAAATCAGGCACACTGCCTCCTCAGTTCTATATCCTGTGCAGGTTTGCAACCCGCCTTGCTGCTGGTGAGGCAGAGAGTGAGAGAGTATTTGCATTGGCTGGAAGGGACTTTTTTTTTTCTACAGGATAAAAATAGGTGGAACAGGAAAGCACCCATGCTTTTATTGAAAGAAAGTATGCTGGTTGCCGAGATTTAGGGCTATATTTTTAAAGACGAACTTCTCTTACTGGAATTATTACTCTTACAGGGGTGGTGAGGTCAGAGTCAACTGTAGTCAACTGTAGTTGCTATGGGTGTAGTTATTTGATGGGGAGACATCCAAGAATGATGGGCTGTGATGTGGTTGAGGTTTGCAGAGGACGTTCTAGCCTCACACTATTGCTACTTGGCTTTTTCTGTCCGATGCATCCCACTTCTTATTCATACCTCAGTGGAGTCCCCTCTTGTGTAACTGAGAGGCCCCTTTGAATCCCAGAGCTGCTCACTGCCCTTCTTTGACCATGAAGGCTTAACTAAAGATCTTTGGAAGGACTGGTTGCTCAGGTTTTTTTTCTATTGCATTGGAAACATCAGTAAAGAGAAGTTTACATGAGCCTGCACATTAGAGCCAAATTACAGATGTAATTTAAAACAAACATATATACATATCCACACACATACACACATATACATATACACATATATATGGACTTAGCCCTCTAGACACTGGAATTTGAAACTGAAAATATGTATACGGGGATTTGGGGAATGACATTCTATTTAATTCTAATTTGAAAGACTTTAACTTTCTACCATTAAAAAAAACTATGTTTTTGTAACAGCATGCACTGTTCACAGTACTAGCACAGCATTTTGCAAGAAGAGTGTTTATTATTAATAATTAGCTAAGTTAGATGATTTTGCTACCAGAGTTTTAGTCTTGGCTCTGCCACCGGGCAGTAACTGTGTGTGTGACCTTGGCCGGATCACTTAACCTTCTTGGCTTTGGTTTCCTGCTCTATAACACATGAGGATTAAAATAGATCAGTAAGTCTCAAACTGTAGGCCTCAATCCACTAGTGAATCATGAAACCAATTTAGTGAGTTTGATCAGCATTAAAAATTAAAAAAAAAAAAAAAAAAAAAAAAAAAAAAGAGGCTGGGCGCGGTGGCTTATGCCTGTAATCCCAACACTTTGGGAGACCGAGGTGGGCGGATCACAAGGTTAGGAGATCAAGACTATCCTGGCCAACATAGTGAAATCCCGTCTCTACTAAAAATACAAAAATTAGCCGGGCGTGGCAGTGCACACCTGTAGTCCCAGCTACTCGGGAGGCTAAGGCAGGAGAATTGCTTGAACCCGGGAGGCTGAGGCTGCAGTGAGCCAAGATCACATCACAGCACTCCAGCCTGGGCGACAGAGTGAGACTCTTCTCAAAATAATAATAGTAATAATAATAAATAAAAATAAAGAAAAGAAAAGAAAATGTTGGAACGCATTACATGTCATATGACATATTATTGTTGCCAAAAGTTGTCATTTCCGTTAAATCTCTGTTTATATGTTTATGTGTACATAGGGTTGCAATGTGAAATGTTTTTTCTACTATGGGGTATAATAAAAGAGTTTGAAAACACTGAAATAGATGATCTTTAGGGTCCATTCAGGCTGAAAATCCAAGACTTCCTGAAATGAGCACTCCTAGCCATACGCATCAGTAACTACCATCAAAGTGCTCAGAGCATGGTTGAGAAAGTAGGAGCGGAGGAGTCTGTGTAGCTCCAGTCTCATGGGGAGGCACCATTAACCTACTGAGAAGGACCCTTGAGAGAGAGAGTATGTACTCCATCCCCTTGGTGGCCAAGGCCAGGGAGAAAAGCACCTCAGGCTCCATTGCATCCTGATTGTGTCCGACGGATACTGCTGAGATCCCAGTGGCAGCCACCTCTCAGCCCTTCCCACACCTTTTTTCCCTCTCCCTTCGATTCTCTCCCTGCTACCCAAAAAAGCATGCAAGAGGGAGACATGATTAAGGTTATTGTTGCAGTGATCTCAGGCACAAGAAAAAAGCACCACTGCATTTTTCCTCTTGTTCTCATTGAAAACCCAGAATCTGAGACCATCTCTAAAAATGTCAGAGATCATTGAATGGCTGACAACCTGCAAAGCGTGCATTTGAAGATCATGTGACTTGTCTCTAAAAAAATCTTCCTTGCACAAAATGTTGACCTGGTTCCATTTATTCTGAAAGAGATTTGGTCTTGACAGGACAACTCTCATTATTGTTAGCAGGAACCATCTTCACAATCGAACTAAACGGCGAAAAAATTTGTGGGTGGCAAATCCCTCTCTTGTTTCATGATGGAGGACTGGGACTGGGAGGAAGGAAGAAGATGAGTGTACTCCCCTTCCCTAATTTTCTCCCTAAACGTCATAAAAATAGGTAGTTGGTGTTATCCCATCTTTCTCTGACTCACCCATAGGAAGGGGTGTCTTTTTGTAATTTACACAAAGGTGCCATATGGGCCAACAACAGTTCTGGGTATAAATTATTGATTGCAAAACTCTGTGATAGGTGTCAGAGGGAGATTTGTTGAAAGCATAAAGGGGAAAGCAACTGAATGCTGCCTGGTAACTCAAAAGAAAGTTCAAATTCCAGGCAGAAGGAGCAGAACACTGGAACATCTGGGGTTCTGTATCATGCAAAAGGCTTTTTCTCCACTGATTGGAGAGCCAATGTCATGGAGAGTTGCAATCAAAACCTGTCAGTGAGCAGAAATAAACCCGAGGATCAGCACCAACTTCAATAATGCAACTCATATTTAATAGGCAAAATTGAATCCAGAGCAGAGCTATCCCTACTATCGTTTGGCAAACTTGAACTGAATTGCGTTGAGAATGCATTCATCAGCTTTTGATTTAACAAGAGGTTCCTTGATCCTGAGTAAATCAAATACTTTACTGTGACATTCACGATAGATGAAGAAATAAAATTATTAAAGGCGAATCTTATTGGAAGATTAAATGAGTTTATAAGCCATTCTCTTCCCTTTCCCTCTTCTTTCATTATTTTAGCGAAACACACTTTCTGACTCGTTCAGATTTTTGAAAGTACCATATGATTTTGTAGTCTATATTTAAAAGGATACTGCTTAAAAAGGCATATGTGTTTCTGATATAGATTTTTGGTGAAAGTGACTTTTCTCCAAAAAGATAATCAAATTAAGAAGTAGATCATGTTGGTGGTGGCTGAGGAATATAAAGAAAGGAAAACATTGAGTTTGATGATATGACTCAATATTTTATATGCTTTAAATAAGAAGGTTTCACACAGGTGCCTAACAGATTGCTTCTTTACAAAATAAAAATCCCCACAATAAATGTCAGGCTACAACGGACATCTGAAAGCAAAAGTAGGTTTTATTTTTTTACTAGAGGGCAGCATTAGGATGTCATTGACTGTGTTAACACCCCTTGGGTAATTCCATAACCCTTTACAGAACAATTATTGGTTACATGACAAAGGCTTAGGCAAGTTATTTGATGCATGTCTGGTCTTCACTCCCTTTGTTTACATCTTCCACTCTAAGCACATTTATCCATTCAACAACTATTTATAGAATGCCTACAATGTGTATGTGCTGCTGTCTGGGGACAACAGGGGTGAAAGACAAAGTTCCTGCCCTCAGGGAGCTTACAGTCTTGGGGAGAAAAAAGCATTCGGTAAGCATATACTATGTTAGATGGGAAGAAGGCAGGGGAGGGGGCTGGGGAGCTCTGAGCACTGGGGTCGGTGTGTCATTCCATATAGTTCCAGGCACTGTTCCCAAAATGGTGGCTATATCATTATTTTACTGCTAAAGATGAAGAAAAAGCTTTGTTGCTAATGAAGAGAAACAAGAGGGTGGGCAGAGAAGCTATAAAGGCCAAGAAAATGGCACTTGTCTGCACGCTTTAGCCCAATGGAGATTGGAGCAGGAAAGAAGGCACCAAGTAGGAAATAGAGTGAACTGAAAACCAGGGATAAGCATACTAAGAGCTTGGAAACCGGCCTTTCCTTTCAGAGAACGGCGCTATGTCTTCCTTAAAGAGTTCATAGGGTTTTGATGTCTCCTGGCAAGAGGGGCTGAAGGAGACACAGGCTCTGCCTCATGTTAGGGCAGGAGGAACGAAAAGGAGGAAAGGCAGTGAGATCAAGAGTAAGCAACTGGGGTGCTAGGCAGAGGTCTCATGTTTAGTAGGATTGCCAGCAGCCAGAGGGAGGGCCCTGCAGACATTCCAGCTTTGAGAGTCGATCTTCCAAATCTCTCTTCCCTTGTAAAGAAAAATCTGAGATTAGAACAGAACCTGGAATAAAGATGAACAATTCTCAGGAATGTACTGTTATTTCCACAGGACCTCAAATTGAGATTTTTAGAGAGATTAAGGATGCTGGTACATGTGGTTGTGTGGTTTGCTAGAGGGGGCTGGTATTGGTAGACTTATCTTCAAAAGGTGCTGTCAAGGGGGCTTGTAATTTTTTTTTTTTTTTTTTTTTGAGAGTCTCGCTCTGTCACCTAGGCTGGAGTGTAGTAGCATGATCTTGGCTCACTGCAGCCTCCACCTCTGAGGTTCACGTGATTCTCCTGCCTCAGCCTCCTGAATAGCTGGGATTACAAGCACACGCTATCACTCCTGGCTAACTTTTTGTATTTTTAGTACAGACAGGGTTTCACCATGTTGGCCAGGCTAGTCTTGAACTCCCGACATCAAGTGATCCGCCTGCCTCAGCCTCCCAAAGTGCTGGGATTACAGGCATGAACCACCATGCCTGGCCCATTTGTACATTTTTAACAGAGTATTAGTAAACTACACTATAGATTCCATCTATAAGATCAGCATCTAGAGGGTAAAATGAATATTGATTATTAAGTTTAAAGGTTAGAAGCTATAGTTTTTCTGAATATGATGTTAGAAAAATTAAACAGCTTGGAATTTGTAACAGAATTCCCCAGTTATTTGTAAATTAAGATACAAGTAATGCCAGTTGATGAATATTTTTTTCATGTAGGTGGAAAGTTTTGCACTTAATTTATTCTTACCTTCAGACTTCGAAGCAAGCACCTTTTGTGTGCAAACTGAAAGCCATATGATTTACATCTCTAACCCAGCTCCTTTACTTCCTCTAGCTTGGAAACAATGATCTCTTTTGAATATTTAGTTTAAAGCACTCTATTTGGAAAAGAATCTTTAGGAAAATATTTTCCCATTAGTAGGTCCGTTTCAGGAGAGTCCACAAACAAATAGGTCTAAGCTGCTTTCAGGAACAGTCTTTTACAATCTCCCGTTCAGTTAAACTAAACAAACACACTGACTAAAGACAAGCTCACTGGGCAGGATTTTGAGTTAGGCTTCAATCTACTGTAGATTCTCAGTCTCCTTGAGCTGTGATTCTTACACGTGTAGACTCCTCTCTGGAAGTTTGAGGGTGGCTGGTCAACGTGCTACATTCTTGACTTAGGCTGTCTGGGGCAGTAGTTCCCTTCTTTTGGCTAAGCTGCACAGATGATGGCCTCCCTTGGGGGTTCAGCTTTGACTCTTAACTCTCCGTGGAACCAGCTATGAGCTCAGTGAGAGGGTTTATGTGGGCCTGGGGAGATGTGGACAGGTCTCTTGCCTTAGGAGTGACATTAACATCAGATTGTCTTCTTCCTTTGATGGATGGCATCATCTCTAACATGACACCTACCCAAATTTTTAAAATTTCCTGACTTCTTGGTAGAAGAAGGCTAAAGAATAACCCTTTCTCTCCCACTAAGAAATAATCCTTTATGAAACACTATTCTACTGTCAACTATTGGATAAAGTTTATCCAATTTTCTTGTTTCTCTTTCTCTTCCTTCATATTTGATCTACTATGCTGGGCTTTACCTCAAGTTTATAAACCTTATTTGAATATCATGGATATCTCCTGGCTTAAAGCTTCATCACATAGTCGGTTTTTCCATCATGACTAGCCCCATCCTAGGTCATCTCCTTATCATAACTCAGGTGGGGCTCGGGACCCACCATGAATAACCAAGGCACTCCTATCTCTCAGAAAATTCTAAGGCTTTAGAAGATCCCAGGAGCCCAGGCAAAGACCAAATTCTTTATTACAGAATAGGAGGCTGGGTGCCATGGCTCACACCTGTAATCCCAGTACTTTGGGAGGGTGAGGCGGGCAGATCACTTGAGGTCAGGGGTTCGAGACCAGCCTGACCAACGTGGCAAAACCCTGTCTCTACTAAAAATATAATAATTAACTTGGCGTGGTGGAATGTGCCTGTAATCCCAGCTACTAGGGAGGTTGAGGCAGGAGAATCACTTGAACCTGGGAGGCAGAGGTTGCAGTGAGCTGAGACTGTACCACTGCACTCCAGCCTGGGTGACAGAGCAAGACCCTGTCTTAAAAAACAAAAACAAAAACAGAATAGGAGCCACATCTCCATATCTGATTCATCTTTTAATTATCTCCAGGGCTTAGTACGATGCTTTGTACATAATAGGCACTCACATTTATTAAAACAATGGGCAAAGGTGAGCTAGAGGAAAATAATGCTAGCAATTTATGTAGGATGGATCATAGAGACCAGTTAAGACTACTGTAATAGACTGATGTTATTTCATGGACTCTCTCAATATTTCATTGATGGTGAGACTGAGGAATTATAAACTTTTAAAAAGTTAAATTGTTCTATTGCTCCCCTTCTTCCCAACTATAAAGTCCTGCAGTAATTTTCCATATGTTAAGTTTATCCAAGAAAACCTTCTACTGGGAAGTTAAAGCGAGTCTCAACTGCAAAGAACTTTGGTCTTCTCATTTATTTAATTAATTAGAATGAATAGCATGTAATAATGTTGCAAAGAGAGGCCTCCTACTCAGTGTTGCCATTCCTAATATCCTATCTGGAGCTTTGAGAATACTTGTCATGAAGATCCATTCACAACATTTACACCCCATGATATTGAGGATTTGCTTCAAAATAATCCTGGGGAGCATGGGGGAAGTACAAATGAAACACAAATGGTCCTGAGTTAATAATTATTGAAACTGGTGGTGGGTGACAGATTTCTTTATACTTTTCCTGTAATTTTTATATCTATTTTTGTGGGATATATTTATACTGCATTCTTTATCCTTCGGTATATTTTTGGCAATTTTTCATGACAAAAAGTTTTTTTTTTTTTTTAATCTATGTCTCCAAAGCTGAAGACCTCACACAAAGTGTACAGGACTGGGGGCCATTCCACCTTAGGTAGCAGGTCTTAAAAAATGGTACTCCAGGCCAGGTGCGGTGGCTCACATCTGTAATCCCAGTACTTTGGGAGGCCGAAACGGGGAGATCACCTGAGGTCAGGAGTTCGAGACCAGCCTGGCCAACATGGTGAAACCCCGTCTCTACTAAAAATACAAAAAATTAGCCAGGCATGGTGGCAGGCACCTGTAATCCCAGCTACTCAGGAGGCCGAGGCAGGAGAATCGCTTAATCCTGGGAGGTGGGGGTTGCAGTGAGCCGAGATCGTGCCACTGCACTCCAGCCTGGGGGACGAGAGTGGAACTCTTTCTCAAAAAAAAAAAAAAAAAAAAAAAAGCCAAAAAAAAAAAAAAACCAAAAAAGGTACTCAACCCAACTGATGTGTGTCTGTAGCATCCAACATCCAAAGGTGGATGTAAGCGGCAATGTTTGGGTGCCAAATATTACTGCTGCCCTAAGACCACCTTCATCCCTCCTCCATGTGCTAAGCATCCGCTTCATTTGGTGAACCCTATGTAAGCCAGTCCTTTCAGTGGAAACAATGATATTTAAAGTACCTGTGAGTTCTGATAATTACTTCCAAATGCTGCGTTTAGAGTCAAGGAAGTAGAAAACTACATCAAACAAAACTGGCTTATTCTTTGGGAGACTATGGAATCAAAGATGGAATCAAAGTCAAAAATAACACTAATGCCAGATTGTTGCAGGACTGTGAGACCAAGCCACTCTAGATGATGTCTTGGCCAGATGGACAAACCTTATAAAACAACAGAAGACAAGTCAGGAGCACACAGAATGTGATTTTTCAGCATTAAAATCAAAACTGTAATCAATCAGAGTAGAGACAATTTCACATGGGCTAAGTGGGATATTTATGAACTGTATAGCTCAGCCCTAGCTGCAGAAGCTGCCCAAATGGCTAGCTGCAGGCAAGATGAAGGAAGGGCTCCGGAGGCACACAGAGGGCACGCTCCAAGAGACTTTTGGAGGTACTGCTCCTGCTGGTATACCCCCCAACTCTGGGAGTGCAGTGTAGTTCTCAGAGAAAATGAGGCTCATTTGGAGCATAAACTGAAAACATTTTTTGCACAAGCCCAGATGTGGGTGGCTGTTATGAAGTCTGTTTAACTAGAGGGATTACAAATAGCAAATTGCCAATAAAGAGTTGGCTTTTATGAGTTTGAAGGGAAACTTAGTGATTAGCCTCAACTCCAAGAAGTAAAGCATCTTAGATTAGAATACAGAAGCCCCTAAACAGAATTCTTAAAAAAAAATTTAAATCTAATATTTGGTACATATAAAATATATATATCTCTCACATATGCAAATCACAAAACATAATATACTGAACACTTACTAGCCTAAGTGTTATGTCCAATTTAAGAACAGGAACATTGCCAATTGCATCCACCTTTGGGCTGCCTTCTCACCCTCCTTCCCTCCACGTCCTACCAGCAACCACTAACCCGAATTTTCTATTTATCATTTTCTTGCTTTTTATCACTTTATAAATTTCTTAAAATTATATTGTTTGGCTGTGTTTGAGCTTTATAAAAATGGCATCGTTATATCTTAGTCTCCTGGGACTTGCTTTTTTCCATCTTCTTTTTTTTTTGCTCAACATTATGTTTCCAAGCTTCATCCATAGCTTTGTGAGGAGCTGTAGTTCATTCATTTTCAGTGCTGTATAATAATCCGTTGTGTGAAAAGACCCCAAATGCCACTGATTTACATCATCTCCATCTATTGATGTTGTCAGGCTTGTGAATTTTTGCCAACCTAGTGGGTATAAAATGATATCTCACTGAAGTCTTAAATTACATTTCCTTGTTTCTAATGAGGCTTAACATCTTTACCTAAGCTTATTTGCCATTTGCTTTTCTTTTTCTGTGCAATGCTTGTTTATGCCTTTTCCACTCTTTTTTTTCTATAGCGCTGTCTTTTTTCTTACTGATTTTGTGGAGTTCTTTTTTTTTTTTTTAAGTGAAAGCAAGTTTATTAAGAAAGTAAAGGAATAAAAAAATGGCTACTCCATAGGCAAAGCAGCTGGGATTCTTTATGTACTAAGCAGCATGGGTTTTTAAAATCCATTTATCAATCTGTTGATTTTTAACATGTTAGGTGCAGAGCATTTAGAACTGGAAGGACCATTTGAAATACATAGTTCATCTCTCTCATGTTACTGAGGAGGAAAACTGAAGTGCACGGAGGTAAAGTAACTCGCCCAGTATCACAATTTGTGTTTGTACCATTGCTGAGGTGAGCACCTGGGCCTTCTAACCCCAAATTAAATTATTCTCCTATGTGACAACCTCCTTTAATGGTTTTTTCTCATTTATATTTAAAATTTTTAAAGTACCCAAGTAATAATACACGTTCATGGTAGAAAAAGAAAAAAAATTAGCAAAATGAGGAAAATAAAAATCAGTTTTAATCCCACCTTCAGATGCAACTATTCTCTGTTTTGTATTTCCTTTCTAGATAATAACTATAACGGATCATTATTATGAAATGCTTACTCTGTGCTAGTTATTATGGAGTGCTTCTTACAAAATGCTAGGCATTTTGTAAACACTCTTCATGTGTGGATGCTTTAATCTTCTGCACAACCCTATGATGTAGATTATCACCATCAGTGATAGGCAGTGTGGCAGGCAGAATGACAGCCTCCCTGAAATGTCCACATACTAATCCCAGGAACCTGTGAATGCGTTATGTTACATGGCAAAGGAGAATTAAGATAGCAGACAAAATTAAGGTTGGTAATTGGCTGATCCTGAAATAGCAAGAATATCCTAGATTACCCAGGTAGGCCCAACGCAATCAGAAAGGAAGAGGGAGACACAAGAGGCGGCATGAGAGTGATGCGATGTGAGAATGATTCAACCAGCCTTTGCTGGCTTTGAAGGTGGAGGAGGAGGCCAGAGCCAAGGAATGCGGGAAACCTTTAGAAACTGAAAAACCAAAAAATGGATTTCTCCTTTTGGTACTCCAGAAAGGAATGCACCCCTGCTGACACCTTGACTTTAGCCCAACATGGTAGACAGAACAATGGCCCCAAAATATCCACATTCCAATCCCTGGAATGTGTGACTGTGTTACCTTACATGTCAAAAGGAAGTTTACAGATGTGATTAAGACTTTTGAGAAGGGGAGATTATCTTGGATTATCTAGGTGGGCCCAATGTAATCATAAGGATCTTTAAAAGAAGCAGGCAGGAGGATGAGAGTCAGAGAGAAGATGTGATGACAAAAGCAGGGAATGGAGTGCTGTGCTTTTAAGACAGAGGAAGGGGCCAAAAGCCAAGGAACACAAGAGGCCTCTAAAAGAGGTAAGGAAACAGAATCTTCCCTTGAGTCTCTGGAAGAGTATGGCCCTGTTGACACCTTGATTTTGGCCCAGCAAAACCTATTTTGGACTGACCACCAGAACCGTAAGATAATAAATGCATGTTATTTTAAGCCACTAAGTTTGTGGGAATTTCTTACAGCAGCAATAGGAAACTGGTACACCTAGTTTACAACTTGCTAGGGCCACAGAGTTGGCCAGTGGCAGAGACAGGATGTGGTTTCAAGCCATCTGGCTTCAGAGCCCATATCTGTTACCATTATGACATAAACATACATGGACACATAGAGATTTAAATAGTACATACATCTCAATGAATGCAAACCTTCCATAATATTTTGATAGTCATTCAGCACCACCATATTAAATAGTTGTAGTCCACTCAATAAATATACCACTCCCCATATTTTATATAATAAATCCCTTATTATTCAATACATACGTTGTTTCTAATGTTTCAATATTGTACTACTGGCAATGATAAACATCTTTCTAGTGCTATTAATTATTTCATTAGGAAAAACTCTTAAAATTAGAAACGCCAGGTCAAGTTACCCCTAAGAAAGACTGCATTGGAATATAACGGAAAATAAAACATGCAACTGGAAGTCGGAGCATCTCTGCCTTCTTTTTCTGTAACACCTTTGGTATTAAGCTATTTTTCTTATCCATGGTACACACTCAATCGTATTTTTGTTTTTGAAGGTTTTAGCTATAACACTATTTCTTCTGTAGACTCATAGGTGTTAGAGCAAGAAGGTATTTAGAGGTGATTTAGTCTAATCCTTTAAATCACAGGTAAATTCCCTGAGGCCCAGAGTGGTGAACTGACTCACTAAAAGCTCTCCTTACAGGGGTGCTTGGTGAGAACGCACCTTCCTGACTCCAAGGCCAGCTATCTTTCCACATCTGCTGCAAATGTCATGAGGCTAGCCCCCAAGTTGGGACCATTATTAATTTTTCCCCTCAAGTCATGCGAAACATCTCTTGTCCTTTTAATCAGAAGCATATTTTAGGGGCTGCGGAATAATAAGCACCCACATATCCAGTATTAAAAGATAAACTCTGGCCCTTTCCTGGAGTGAGCCTGTTTTCATTTTATCATTGTGAAATGTGGTAGGATTGATGGCAGACAATAACTCCCCACCTCCCCCAGTATTTTATTAAGATCCGTTCTTACAAAGGATAACCGGAGGTTTTCCATCATCACCTCGTTGTCTTTTTTCTAACTTGGTTCGTCTGCTACCCAACAGTAGTAAGGTTACCTCATCCTGGAATCTGATGTACACAACGGTATGCAAACTCTTTCCTTCTCTCCGAAGCAAACAATGAAATGGGAAAACACTGCCATTTTCTGACTGACCTCAATCGCTGAGGGTGGACCCCGCACGTTACATCAGCAGGCTGGCTCCATTACACTGCCCTGCGCTGTGCTCGAGCTACTGAAATATTGATTTTTACAGAGCCGGCGCACACACACTGAAAAATCAATATTCCAGTGCACACAACAGAACAGGCAGCAGAGCGGGGACAAACTCCGAGCCCCAGCAAGCACTGCCGCCGGGCCTTGACCGAGGAGGGGGTGGGGGGCTGGAGGAGACAATGCCTGGGGAGAGGCCCCTGCAAACCCGCGAATGGTCAGATAAACAAACAAGTGTGGAGAGGGAAGAGAAAGGAGAGTGGAGAGAAAGATCCTTGAGGATAAAACAGTTGGAAGGAGCAATGATTTATCTTTCCATAGGGGGAAATGGGGAGAAGGAAAGTAAATTAAGAAGAGTGGATGGGAAGAATTTTCCAGGTAAGAATCTTCCCATAAAAATGTATGTTTTTCTGTATCACCAGGTCAGACTTCAGATGCAACCATTATAAAGATGATACACATACTTTGTTACCTGAGGGAAAAAATAACTAGGCCAGTTCTCAGAAATATTTATATTTTTTAAAATGCAGTCCCCTTCTTTTTCCTTGGTGACTACAGGCCGGCATCAGAGAGTCCGATTTATAACATGGGCTCTACCTTTGCAATGCAGTTACTTTCTTTTCCTTGGGGAGAGGGAAGGAAGGAAGACATCCTGGTCACGTGGCCATTCATCAATTTCCCTTTCTTTCTAGAACAGCATCTTCTTTGGCGTGCTTGGGGAACCACGTTAAAATTGATTCTACGTGCCCGTGACCTCTTCTCAGGGAATTCTGAGCTCCCCCGAGTCACACCCCCATCTAGATGAGGAGAGGAGGACGTGTCCCCTGGTTCAGTCTCGGGTGCCCAGTACCCAGCAGACGTCAGGGTGGAGGCAAACCGGCCTTTCGGTTAGTCCTTGTAGACGTGTTAAAAAAAAAAATCCAGAACTGGCATTTTTACTACTTTTAGTTAGCTCTTTGGCCTCTTTTTATTTGGGGATGGGTGGTGGGCAGTTTATTAAAAGAAACGACTTTTAACCTTGATGAATTCTTGATTTTGCTTTGTCCTAGAATTCCCTTACCGGGAATCTCGCATTTAGTTCTCAACTCCCTGCCAGGGGAGGAAACTGTCCTCCCGAGGTTTCCATTTCGCACTCTGCCCTGCAGCAGCTTCGCCGCCGCCTCCTCCCCAGCCAGGAGACACCGGGCCCAGGCAGGGCTCCGGCTGGGTTTGGAGGAGGGGGCTCCGGGGAAAGCGGGCATTCAGGGGCATCTTGCAAAACGCGGGCTCCCTGGGCCCAGCGGGGCTGGCCGGGGACAGCGCCCGGCCCGAGTGTCGCGGGAAGCGGAACAGGCAGCCTGGCAGAGGCTGGTGGGCAGAAGGGCGGGGCGGGACGTCGAGCCAGGTGGCCACCTGGAGCGCCCCGCCCTCCCAGCGCCGGCCGCGCCCCCGCCCCCGCCCCCACGCGCCACCGCCCACCCCGCCCCCGCCCCCAGCCCCGCGCGGCCGCTCTATTTGCATAAGGAGGCGTCTCCCGGGCCCGCCCGGGGCGCACGTGACCCCGGGGGAGGCGGAGGGAACCTGCTGACTTGACACGAGCCGCTGTGCGGCTCCCCTTGGCGCGGAATAGCGAGAGCAGCCGTGACCTCCGACCCCGCCCGCCGGCAGCCAATAAGAGCGCAGGTCGTCTCCAAACCCAAAATTTCCACGTCGGCAAAAGTCAAGATGGAAGGGAGCGGAGCGGAGCGCGAGGGGGGAGCCGGCCCGGGAATGCCTGGCGGCCGGCGCTGGAGGGGCAGGCTGGGGAGCCTGCGGCGGGCGCACGAGGGGCCACTCGCGAAGGTGTCCCGGCCCAGCGCGACCACCGCCCCCAACCCCGGGAGCCTCTGGGCGCCCCGCACTCCGCCAGCCGCCCGTGCACCCCGGCCCGGGGGACGCAGCCCACTGCCCCTCCGGCCTTGTCTCTTAGGGGTGGCGGGGGATGGAACGGTGGCGAGGGGTTTGGGGGAAGATGGGAAAGCACTTTCCAGACCTGTTGCACGCGCGCAACAGCTGTTCAGGTGCGGTATGTGGGGGGAGGGGGTCTGCTAGGATGGGGGACAGAGTGGTCGCTTATGCTGCAGGGAAAAGGGGGTGCCGGGAGGGGGAGAAGAGCAGTCTTGGGGACTGTGTGCAAGGTTGTGCGCGAACGGGGTCCGCGGGAAGCACTGCCTAATGGGGCAGGGAGAATCCCAAAGAGTGGGTGGGTGGAACGGAGGGGATGGGACGACTTCGACCCGAGTTCCCGGGGCTGGGCGCGGGCGGCTGGAAGACCGGGAATAGAGTACTGGGAATGGCTGGGGAAGGGGGTCTCAGGGGAGGCCCCGCAAAGCGGGTCTTTCTTGGGTCGTCCCATCTTAGGGGCTTTTCCCGGGCCTGTATTTGTTCCCCACCGTTTAACTCTTTCAGCTCCGAATATTCGTCCTCGTGCAGCGCCCCCGCCCCCAGCTTTCCAGATGGGAAGGTAAAAAGTTGCCACAAGTTAGAGTGAGTTAGCTGCTGGCAAAAGTTTAAATAACTACCGAGGGAGGTGAGGGTTCGACCAGGAATGGGTTCTAATCTGAGGACGGGTAGGAAGGAAGGAGAGTGTGCGATTCTTGCAGCCCCTTTGCTGTGACATTGCGACCAGAATTTGTCGAATCGGGCTGTTAAAACACCATTTCTGTTGGGCATTTGCTCCTGCTGACTGCGGCAGTAACTTTCCATAATTAATGACCCGTTCCATTATCGGTCGCATCCTGAACTAAATTGCTTTTAACGAGTTATTCTTCTTTGTCTTAGCTGGGGGGTGGGGGAACACACCTGCAGGAAGAAACTTCTGGAGGAAGACAGCACGTTTGGTCTTTTGAGGCAAAGTTCTGAGACACTCCGACTCTGAGTATGATAGAAGTCAGTGCACTACAGAACTTTGTCTCTAGAGGCTGTGGTCGCCGATGCCGCCAGTGCTCCAGACGCCAGGCCGAGTGGCCCTGGTGGCCACGTCGCTGCGCCTTTCCCTTGGGGGAGGGGCAAGGCCAGAGGGGGTCCAAGTGCAGCACGAGGAACTTGACCAATTCCCTTGAAGCGGGTGGGTTAAACCCTGTAAATGGGAACAAAATCCCCCCAAATCTCTTCATCTTACCCT
This sequence comes from Homo sapiens, assembly GCF_000001405.40. Lineage (NCBI taxonomy): Eukaryota > Metazoa > Chordata > Mammalia > Primates > Hominidae > Homo > Homo sapiens. The sequence continues at coordinate 25,949,709 of NC_000007.14, read as the reverse complement.
GGTGGACTCCTGACTGTAGAATTTTTTGGTTTAAAGAAGAAAAAAATAAAGCTTTGGACTTTTCAAGGTTGCTTAACAGGTACTGAAAGACTGGCCTCACTTAAACTGAGCCAGGAGAGCTGCAGATTTATTAATGGGTGTGTTAGTGTGCAGTGCCTTGCAGGAATTTAAACTCTCTACCCTTAAAGAAGGAAATGTATTTGTACAAAAGCCACAGATAATGGTCCTTTTACTCAAGCGACCTGCTGGATAAATGACAGCCTGCAGGGATTGAGTTTGGAGATCTAGTCTCAATTCTGCTTCCGATTTAGATGCAGTTCACTTTTGTTTTTTAAAGTAAGTTTTATTAATGGAAAGGAAGAACTTTTTCCAAGAAAGCATTTTGAAAGCCACTGGGGGAGGGGGACATTTATGCTTTTGGGCTGTGGAGATCCTTTAGGTGGAGAGACTGCTCTCTCATCCCTAGTGGAATGGAGGTTTGGGTTGGTGAGTTTCTATCAATAGCCTGCTCTCTATAGTGGGTCAGTGACTGGCACCAAATTGTAGTCCTGTTCCATGGACATTGCCCTGTTTTGGTTTTATGAGCTTTTGGCCAGGCACAGGACGCAGGGTGGTAGGGAAAAAAGGAAATGGTTCCTGTGCCCGTGGTGCTGACAGGTAAGGGAAGGGCCTTCTGATGTATTTTATGGGATGCTTCAGAAACCTGGGGGTTGCTTGTGTCTCTGGGAAGCCCTTGGTAAAGAAAGCCACCATTTTTTTTACTTAGGTATATTCCAGTGGTTTATCATCGGGAGAGGGATGATAATGGAGGAAGGCTCAATGAGGGAGAAAGTATTCAGCTGCTTGATGTTAGAGCTTAATGGCAGGACCTACCAGTTGCTTTTCACAGAAATGCTGTGTATTGATCCTAAGGCAGCATGTGTTCTCTTTTGTGTGGCCATTATCCATTCTCCCACTTTTCCATCAGTGACTGCTTTGCTTTTGTTCCTCAATCCTTTACCCAAAAATGGCTGAATTATTTCTGTGCAGTTAAATAAAGTGATCCAAACTCAAGTACGTCTTGTGTTCATTTGAGATGTAAGGTATGCTTACTTGAGGAAGAGGATTCTCTTTCCTAGTTCTTATGTCTGTACATCTCCACAAGATAGTCTGAATATACTGAATTTTAAGAAAACTTAAATCAACTTTGTAAGAGAATGGGAGGTAAAGAGTGGAGCGGTTGACTGGGAGAGTAGTCATCCATACAAAGGAATTAGGTCAGGATCTCTCACCTCCAGAGAAAGGCAAGGTTTGGAGTCCCTGACATGATTCAGTCTGGTTTGACTTCTATGCTTAAGTGATTTGCATTTCTCCTGTTTGTGACCACAAGTGAGTTAAGGACTAACCAAGCAGGAGGGCTGTGGTTTACTCTGGTGCTAAGGATGCCAGGAATAGGAACTGGGAAAATCGGCAGTCTTGGGGTGCTTACTGTAAACCTGGCATGGTCTCATAGACCTCAGTCGTTTAGCAATCAGTGTATTTTCACCTCCCGAGCATCAGGTGTTACTCTAGACGTTACGAATGCAACAGTGAACAAAATAGGCCCCGAACCCTGCCCTCTTGGAGGTCTTTCTCATGCAAGAGGTAGACAATACAAATATAAAATAATCAGAAGGGTGATAAACGTCAGGGAAGGAAGAACAAGGAACGCTGGGGAGGCCGTGGTGTTCATTTAACCCAGATCGCTGGGCAAAGGAAACCATCACTAGCAACCTACTTTGCATGGCCTTGGCACTCCTGTCTTTATTTTAGATACTTTATGTGAATGAACCAAACAGGTGCAGCTGAAACTTTAGTCATGCATTGCTTAATGATGAGGATAGGTTCTGAGAAACGTGGTGTTAGGCGATTTCATTGTTTTTGCAAACATCACAGAGTGAGTGTTCTTAAACCTGGGTGGTAGAGACTACCACACACTTAAGCTGTATGCCATAGCCTAGTGCTCCTGGGCTACAAACCTGTGCAGGATGGTACTGTACTGAGTGCTGTAGGCAAATGTAACACAATGGTAAGGATTTATTTAACCGTACAAAAGGTACAGTAAAAATACAATATAAAATGTAAAAAATGTTACACCCATATGGGACACTTAGCATGCATGGAGCTTGTGGGACTAGAAGTTGCTCTGGGTGAGTCAGTGAGTGGTGAGTGAATGTGAAGGCCTAGGACGTTACACTATTGTAGACTTTATAAATATTATAAACTTAGGCTACACTATATTTAAAAAAAATGCTATGACATGACAGCTGTGACATCATTAGGCTGTAGGAATTTTTCAGCTTCATTATAATCTTACGCGACTACTGTCATATATTTGGTCCATTGTTGACTGAAATATCCTTATGCAGTGCGTGACTATCACTCAACACTGAAAGCCTTTAATTTTTTAAAGAACATTTTAAATTTCAAATGCAAGGGTTGGGAAATATGGGGGGGCGTGCAGAGGAGCTGGGAAGCCATGGTGCTGGGTCACTGATTCCCCATTTTATATAATCTCCCACCACATCTTCCAGAAGTAAAATTCTAGGATTCGACATAACTTGCATTTCAAAGAGTGTTTATGCCAAAGAATTCGAGTGCTTTCAAATATTCTTTAAATAGTTGGGAGCGGGGTGGACGACGTATTTGTTGGGATCCCACAAGAGTGCTATAGTCTAGTCTGCAGGTGATGTTCAGGAAGCACTTCTTCCCCTAAGCTTGTCTCTTGTTAATTGATACAAAATTTTCTTGTTCATGGGGCCTTATATACAGGGAGATCTTCTGAGATAATCACTACTGACACAGGAGCAACCTTAAATATGAAAGCAGTGGACAGGGAAAAAAAGGCAGAACTCATTGTTCCCACAGCTATAGTTGATGTGTAAGGAATGAACAACCCATGTTGCTTTGGCTGTGTTGGAGGAGCCAGCTGGAAGGAGGACAATGTCTCTTCTGCAGACCCCTGGCAATATTAGACATAGGTCTTGCAATTCTGATCTGTGAATTAATTAAGTGGGCACTAGGAGAGCCAGGAGTGTCTCCACACAGCAAAGAGACACCCTGAAATTACCTCTGATTTGCTTCTTAGATATTCCTCTCTCTCTGTGTTTGCCAGTTAATAGAAGAAATACAAAAAATAGCTGGTTAAGTAGTACTTAATTTGTGCAAAGCACTGTTGTAACCATTCACGTATGTGAAATCATTTATTCTATGAGGTCAGTACTGTTAATATTGTTCCCATCTTACAGATAAGCAAACTGAGGCATAAAGGGATTAACTAACTTGCCCAAGACACACAGCTAGACAGTGGCTGAAGCAAGGTACAGACCCGGGCAGTTTGGATTAGTCTGTGATCTTAGCAGCTGTGCTGTACCGGTCATCATTTAGTTGCCCAATTGGTTACGGCATAGTACAAAGCCTGGGAGTCTAGATTCAAAGTTAAGAACACTGAACATAATTAGGGCTTAGCTCAATGCAGATCTTCAGTCTGTCTTTAGTATGTGAGGTTGGTTTCCAGGGCCTAGTGGTAGCACTACTTTGGGGATTATTTTTACTACTTTGAATCTCCTGATCACCTTTGCCACTGGACAGAATTGAATGCTGAGAAGAATTGCAGTTTCTTCAAAAAGTGTCCTAGTTGGTATACTACAAGAAAAACAATAGAAGCAGAAAATAAGTTGCATTAATGCATTCTTTCAAGAAACTTTTAATTCTTTACCATGTGTCAGCTTCTGGATGTAGGCCATTTCAGTGTGATACACATAGCATGCTGCTAAATCAACCTGAAATATCCAGGAAGTCTTCCCAGAGGAGGTGCCAGCTGGATATTGGAGGATGAGTAGGTGGTACCTGAATGAAGGGAGGAAAGGGCATTTTAGTTCAAGGGAACAGCAAGTACAGACTCATGGAAATATGCAACAGTATGATGTGTTTGGGAATTAGCAAGTCTTTATGTGTGGCAGGCAGATGAGCAACAGGTAATGAGGCTAGGAGATTGGCAGGGGAAAACCAGGAAGGGTCTTGTGTGGTACCTATAAACATTTGAACTGCACCCTGGAAGCCATGGGGAGCAACAAAAGCCTGTAAGCAGGAAAATGGCCTAATCAGCTCTGCTTTTGTAGAAAATATATTCTGGCAGCAGAAGGCAGGGTGAGTTGTTGGGAGGCAAACTAGCCAGTTATGAAGCTGTTAGAGTCATGGAGAGAAGACATGCTGAAAGCCAGTGGCATGGACAGGAGGGGTGTGGGTGGGCGTAGGATGAGAGCAGGAAGACCCACTGACCTGGAGCAACACACAGGAACGTTCAGGGCAGTCTGTTCTTGAGGCCCTTACGTACATTTTGCTGATTAGTACTAACCCAGGGAATAAAATTGGCGCTCAGCTGCATTGTGTATGATATTTCGAAACATTAAACTTGCTTGGCTGTAATCCCAAATTAATTCTGGAAGTGTAATATTGGAAACATCTCTTTAACTCTTTATGGCTTATTGAAAATTTCACCCTCATTCATCAAATCTAAGAAATTAACCATTGCCAAAGCACGCTCCAAAGGGAAGGGGGCACTGAAGAGAGGTTGCTGAAAGGAATATTACACAGGGTGTGGGCAGGGTTGAGGGAAGCCAACCAGGAAGAGGGAAGTACTCTGGTGCTGGCAGCAGTGGGAAGCTGTGACCACTCCCAGCCATCAAGGGGCGACTGGAGAGAACAGCTCCTGGGGGGAGCTGAGGCTGTAGGAGAGGGCTGCCTGCCAGGAGCTGGGGCATTTGGTGGAGGAAACCAAATGCCATTGCCAACTCACAGCTCAGCAAGGGGGGAACCAAGGGAGTGAATACCCTGATATGGTCCAAGGAGGGTGGCCTCCAGGGGTTAAGACGGTGGGGTGTGGACATGGAGGGTCAAATGGGAAATTGCCAGCATAGTTTTTGGTTTGTTTGTTTTTTTTTTTTGGTCGCATGTCACATCTATGAATACATTTAAAAAAACCTATAAGAGAAATAAGTTGGTTGAAGAATTCCTAAAACTTCTTCATATTCAGGGTCCTCACGTCTGTATATATTTTTTTCGCATAGTGTCATCTTCTGTGCCATCAAGAACACAAGCCAAGATGCAGTGTTTCTTAAAAGAGTGTTCCACTATTGTCTCTGCATCGAAGCCACTGATGCTCTTTCTGCAAAGTTTAATGCTGGGCCTTTTCCCTCCTGCTTTTAATTGTGGTGAAATATACATAACATATAATTTACTATTTTGACCACTTTTAAGTGTGCGTTCCTGTGGTATTAAGTACATTCCCATTGTTTGCTGTGCAACCATCATCACCATCCACCTCCAGAAGTTTTTCATCATGTCACACTGAAACTCTGTACTCATTAAACAGTAACTCACCGTGATGCTGGGGTCTCCTCGGCCCTACCAGAAGGGACCAACAGAAGATCGTTAGTCTGAATTTGAACAAAGGTAGAAAATGTTAGTGATATCATGCCTGCCGCCTGGCTGAGAGCACTTTTAAGATGTTATTGGTTATTAAATGCATCCTAATTTCAGAGACGTTAAAATGTAGAAAAAAATAATGTTGTTTGGAATCAACATATGATGAATCCTTCCAGAGCAAACCTCACAACCAGTGTTCCATGACTGGCTTTCAAGTGGAACTGGCTTTCAAATTTGTTCTCTCCTCCAGGGAGGCCAGGCAGGGCCTACTAGGGCAGCAGGAATCCTTAGGTGAAAAACCCTTGGCTTTGAATAGCACTATCCATTTATCCCAGTGTGCCCTAAAATGTTATCCTTTTCTATGTGTAACATGATATGAAAAAGGCTAGGAAATATAGCTCCGGAAGATCTTTATCTTTAGTCTGGCCAGATTTCTGGAGATATATATATATATATATATATATATATATACATATATATATATTTTTTTTTGAGACAGAGTCTCTCTCTGTCTCCCAGGCTGGAGCGCATTGGCGTGATCTCGGCTCACTGCAACGTCTGCCTCCCAGGTTCAAGCGATTCTCCTGTCTCAGCCTCCCGAGTAGCTGGGACTACAGGCGTGCCACCATGCCTGGCTAATTTTTGTATTTTTAGTAGAGACAGGGTTTCACTTTGTTGGTCAGGCTGGTCTCGAACTCCTGAACTCAAGCAATCTGCCCACCTCGGCCTCCCAAAGTGCTGGGATTACAGGCATGAGCCACCGTGCCCAGTCGTGGTTGTATATTTAATTCAATATCATCTGTGTGCATCAGGCAGGGGATGCTGATGGGAGGGCTGTTCAAATAAGCTTGGACCGATGTAGCAGAATGCTGCCATTCTAGAGGATGAAGAATGATCCATGCCATTGAGACATTTTCTGCATTCATGCTATGAAGAGGTTAAACAGAAGTGACTATAGGGTACCCATCAGAATAAAATCTGTGCATCTGCTTTGAACCACCAATTGCATTTGTATTGGTTAGGTAGTTTTGGTTCTAATTAATGTAGACCCAAACTCAACTGGCTGAAAGGAAAAAATAACTTACTTTACAGGAAGCCCAGAGGTAAGGAGGCTCCAGTTTGGTTAATTCAGCAGCTCAACACTGCATTAAAGATCTGGCTTCTTCCCATCTTTTTCCTCTGCCATCCTCGGCTTCTTTGTCTTATTCTCAGACTAGGTTCTCTTGTGGCAATGTGATGGCTGCAGCCCTCACAGAAGAATGTCCCTGAGCACCTTGTTTTTTCAAGACCTCCAGCCATTTTCTGCTATTTGCCGAGGGGCAGAATTGAGTTGGATGCCCAGGTATTAACCAATCACTGCTGATGAAAATGGGATCACTTAAGTGGCCTAGACCAATCAGGACCTAAGTCTGAGTCACGAGGAACTGGGGTGGACCCTGAACCAGGTCAATTCTGATAGCAAAGAAGAGGTGGAGGGGTGTCTTTTGGGTAGACAAACAACAATGTCTGCTGAACCATGTATAGGGAGTGGTCTTAAAAAGCTGCAACTCCATGGTGGTTGTACACTCATTGCAGTATTATTTTTAAAGACAAAATTGAGAATTAATTAAGATTTCCATTAATAGAAGACCAATTAAATAAATTGGGATAAAGCCATCAACAAAATATTTACTAGGAAAGAATGAGGTAGATATGTAGGCAATCAACATGGAAGGTGAATGAGATGTAATTTTATGTAAAGAAAATGTTGTAGAACAGTTAAGTGGGATTGGATCCCATTTTTATTCCTCTGTGTGCACTCATGTACATATAGACTCAAATAGATACAGAATTTGTGTGCTCTGGTCTGAAGGGGATCAGGATGGGGGCGGTGGAAGTGGTGCTGGAGAAAGGAAGTTTTGCTTAATAGGTTATACACTTTTGATCATTTGACTTTTTAAAAATAATAGATTTTTTTTACTGAAAAAATAAGTTTGTCATATAGGTAGAAGGCAAATAGGAAATAATATGGCAATATTATTAGCAATGAGATATGTTTGTCTCCCGCATTACAGTCACATGTATAGACACATTAGTCCCAATTTTATTAGTGTCATTTTTGAAGTCTCCTGCCTACACTGGATGTACCTGAGCTTTGGAAGTTAACAGTGGGACCTCTTGAGCTGTGATGCCTGATATGGTAGCAGCTAGCCACATGTGGCTTTTTAAATTGAAATTCATTAAAATTAAATAAAATTCAAAATTTATTTCCTCAGTTGCACCAGCCACATTAAAGTGTTCAACAGCTGCATAGGGCTAGTGGCTGCTGTGCCAGAAATCACAGATTATAGAACATTTTCCATCATTGCAGAAAGGTCCATTGGACTGTCCTGCTCTAAGCCTGGCTGCTCGAGGCCAAGCATAGGCTTAGTCTCTTGGTAGCGAGGTGGCTTTAGGCAAGATATTTAACCTTTGTTTCTTAGCTTTCTACTCATTAAAACAAGAATAATGATAGTATGCAGCTCACAGAATTGTTGAACAGATTAAAATTGTTAGTGCTGGCCAGGCGCGGTGGCTGACGCCTGTAATCCCAGCATTTTGGGAGTCCAAGGCCGGCAGATCACTTGAGGTCGGGTGTTCGAGATCAGCCTGACCAACATGGAGAAACCCCATCTCTACTAAAAATACGAAATTAGCTGGGTGTGGTGACGCACCTGTAATCTCAGCTACTTGAGAGCCTGGAGCAGGAGAATCACTTGAACCCGGGAGACGGAGGTTGTGGTGAGCCGAGATTGTGCCATTGCACTCCAGCCTGGGCAATAAGAGTGAAACTCTGTCTCAAAAAAAAAAAAAAAAAAAAAAAAAAATTGTTAGTGCCTCACACCTGGTAAATCATCATTAAAGTTACCTAGTACTATTATAATTGTTATTAGGAACCTTTCCACCAATATTGATTGAGCACTTACTAAATGCTGGGCATTTTCCTCATGTCGCCACTTTATGGATAAAATTGAGGTATGATAAGGGAACTGGAGCTTCCCTGTCACACTACAAGGGGCGGGGCAGAGGGTCAGAGCCAGGTCTGGTTCCAAGGCTTGTGTTCCTTGGTGTTTAATCTGTTAGGAGGGTAGGACTGAGTCACTAACCCTCCCTCTGGCGCCAATAGCCACTCCTGCCCTTCCTCTTCCTTTCTGAACAAGAACTGACTGGTTCAAACGAACTACAAGGTTTCAGACTTCAGATTCATTCTCTGTCTCTCTTTCTCTTTCCTTCTGTGTCTTTCTGTTGGTGGAGAGGCTGGAGATAAAAGGACAATGAAGTTTAGTAGCAGCTGTGTACCCAGTTTTCTGTGGTGTGTGAATTCTCTCAGTTTCTTCTTGTCGGTTTTCCAAAAGCTGAATAGTTCTTTTAAAAGAAAACCACTCTGTGACCAAATGAAGGAAGGGGAGCTCTTGCCAGAGGACAAAACAGGAAGAGATTATCTTGAAAAGCTTCTAATCAAAGTTAAAAATCATCTTATGTCTCTACTTGAAGGTTCAGTTGCACATACGCCTTGCCTGGAGGTGGGAGGTGCGTGGATAACTGGAGACATTATTAAAGAGGCTCATGAGAAGAGGATGGAGGTGCTGTTTTCACTTAATACATTTGGGAGGGGATTTGTGTCCTTCAGATACGTCTTGGGCTGGACCTGGGTTCATCTTCATTGGTAGAAATGGCACCCTTAATTAGGGCTCCATTAGAATTGTTTTCCCAACTCTGCTGCATGCTGTCAAAAAGATATGCTCCGTCTCCTCAGTGATGAATGAGGCTGACCCCCTGCTGCAGCATAGAGACAGAACTGGTATCTGCGGATTAGGTCTTGCTGTGTGCTTCATTTCTTAAGCTGCACTTTCAGTTGGCTACTGTTTTCCTATGAGTCAACATTTATATTGAAGTTATTACCATGAGCTGAAGTGCTATAGAAAATACGCCTTCAGATTTTTCAGTCTTCCTAAGCTGTGAGAGAGTGTGTGTGTTAGAGAAGAGGAAAGGCAACCAATGCAGCTTTTGAAAGGCCGTCAGAGAACTGGTTTGTTAGGGTGTTGAGATGTATCTGGGGATTAGACAAAAGGAAGAGGATGGTTAAGTGATTAAGCAAGACCAGCCTGGGCTGTTAAGTCATTTGATGTTAACAGTTGATGGATCAGGATTTATCTGTACCCCGTGAAAACGGAAAATTGAATTCAGTTTTTCTTTTTAGCTTTGAAGTAGTGGATTTCAAACGATTTTAGACATTTTATAATGGATTATGGATAATTTACCTTGAAAAACTGTACTTCACCAGGAAAAACAGGAAAGAATAGGAAGCTTATTCTCTCATATCTTTTCTTCCTTGATTCGCTCATATCTTTTCTTCCTCCCCAAGCTAAATCATTAGGTTTGTTTTTCTGTTTCTGAAACAGAATTTGTTGAAACTAAATTGTCGTACAATGCCTAGAACATTGGTCACATTGGCTTCAATTCTAGTCTCCATGAGGGCAGGTCCATTTGTGCATAATTTGTTGCTATAGCCCAACACCCAGCACTGTGCATGGCATATGGTGGCCATTCCGTAAATCACTGAATGAGTGAATGAGTTTGTGGGTTCTAATCTGTGTGTGTGTGCCTGTGTGTATCTTGACTATGAGAGTTAACATAATTTCAATTTCATTTCACTAATGTTGGCTCCTCTAATGTTTAATGTGAAGTTGAGATAACTATGTCCTTCCATATACCTGCTTTCCAAGTTTTTCTCTTGTGGGATTGAATTAAAGCCTACATTTATCTTCCATCATTTCTTTTTAGGTTGATCCTGGTTTGGGAAGCTTCCAGCTTGGAATGATTACAATAGAAAGAAGCTGTTCTCCTGATTCTTCCTGATGCTGACACACCTTCTCTTTTTAAAAACAATAGCATGGCACCTTTGATTACTGTTATAAAGTCCAGAGGTCTTCAGACTGGGGCACACCCACCCAGGGGGGTATATAAAGACTTTGTAAGGGGCACTTGGGCATCGAAGTGTTGGGTTATGTGTCCTCAACTTTCCTATCGTCGAGTTCCTAAAACAGACTTGCATAAGAACCTCTGGGCTGGGAGTTATTTACCCTCTCCTACATCTCTTCCTTTCTATCATCCTTTTGCTACTCTACAAAGGAAAGGCACCACCCTCCCCCATCCCAAATCTTACTAAAGTATATTGCCTGGGTGTAGAAACCTTTATGATAGCAAAGGGACAATTTCATTTCATAATACATATTTATTAAATACCTAATATATACCAGGCACAGTTCTGGATGATGAGTTACTGCAGTGAACATAACAGTAAAACATTTCTGTCCTCATGGGGCTTCCATTTTATCAGGAAGAGATGGGCAAGAAGCAAAAAAGATATTATCCATGCTGCTTCTTTCAATTAAGGCCCTAAAATTTTCCCATTAACCTGATGAAGAAATACATTTCCGAAAAATTTTCCTGGTTATGTTTAGTAATTATCAAAACTTACAAAGTTACATTATTTTGATCAGTTGTATACTAGTAATAATTATAATGAAGACTCAATCTAGCAAAATTAATACTTGGAAAATCATGGCAATGGGAAATTAAATTTAAATCACAATTTATATATGTATTTTGATTATAGAGAAGTATAATAATCAGTAAAAAGGCTTTAAGTATAAAAAATTACATCATAAGGCCGGGCGCGGTGGCTCATGCCTGTAATCCTAGCACTTTGGGAGGCCGAGGCAGGCGGATCACGAGGTCAGTAGTTTGAGACCAGCCTGACCAACATGGTGAAACCCCGTCTCTACTAAAAATACAAAAATTAGCCAGGCGTGGTGTCATGCGCCTGTAATCTCAGCTACTCAGGAGGCTGAGGCAGGAGAATTGCTTGAACCTGGGAGGCAGAGGTTGCAGTGAGCCAAGATTGCGCCACTGCACTGCAACCTGGCGACAGTGCAAGACTCCGTCTCAAAAAAAAAAAAATTATGTCATAATACTTCTGTAGGGAAAGTAGAATGCATTATAGTTTCAAGAAATAAGAAAACATCGATATTCTGATTATTAAATAAGAGCGTATTTGTATATTTTAAAATGAATAATTGTTGGAATCAAATTGCCATGACGTTTAAGCTTCATTGGAGATATATAAAAGAATAATGTTGCTATTTTATTTTAACATTTGAATTTTTAAAATGTTTATTTTAAGTTCAGGGGTTCATGTGCAGGTTTGTTATATAGTTAACGTCATGTCATGGGGGTTTGTTGTACAGATTATTTCATCACCCAGGTATTAAGCCTATTACCCATTAGTTATTTTTTATGATCCTCTCCTTTCTGCCACTGTCCACCCTCAAGTAGACACCAGTGTGTGTTGTTCCCTTCTATGTGTCCATATGTTCTCATCATTTAGCTCCCACTTATAAGTGAGAACATGCAGTATTTGGTTTTCTGTTCCTACATTAGCTTGCTAAGGATAATGACCCCAGCTCCAAACATGTTTCTGCAAAGGACGTGATGTAGTTCTTTTTTTATGGTTGCATAGTTTTCCATGGTGTATATAGACCACATTTTCTTTATTCAGTTTACCATTGATGGGCATTTAGGTTGATTCCATGTCTTTGCTATTGTGAATAGTGCTGCAGGAGACATACACATGCATGTGTCTTTATGATAGGATGATTTATATTCCTTTGGGTATATACCCAGTAATAGGATTGCTGGGTCGAATGGCAGTTCTGTTTTTAGGTCTTTGAGGAATGACCTCACTGTTTTCCACAATGGTTGAACTAATTTTTACTCCTTCCAACAGTGTATAAGCATTCCTTTTTCTCTGCAACCTTGACAGCACCTGTTATTTTTTCACTTTTTAATAGTAGCCATTCTGACTGGTGTGAGATGGTATCTCATTGAGGCTTTGATTTACATTTCTCTAATCATCAGTAATGTTGAGCTTTTAAAAATATGCTTGTTGGCCACATGTATGTTTTCTTTTGAAAAGTGACTGTTCATGTTCTTTGACTACTTTTTAATGGGGTTGTTTGTTTTTTTCCTGTAGATTTGTTTAAGATCCTTATAGATGCTGGATATTAGACATTTGTCAGATGCATAGTTTCCAAATATTATCTCCCATTCTCTAGGCTGTTTACTCTGTTGATAGGTTTGTTTTTGTTTTGCTGTGCAGAAGCTCTTTAGTTTAATTAGATACCATTTGTTAATTTTTGCTTTCATTACAATTGCTTTTGGAGTCTTTGTCATGAAATCCTTGCCCATTCCTATGTCCAGAATAGTATTCCTAGGTTACCTTCCAGGGTTTTCTATAGTTTTGGGTTTTATATTTAAGTCTTTGATCCGTCTTGACTTAATTTTTGTATAAGGTATAAGGAAGGGGTCCAGTTTCAATCTTCTTCATACTGTTAGCCAGTTATCCCAGCACCATTAATTGAATAGAGTCCTTTTTCCATTGCTTGTTTTTGTCAGCTTTGTGAAAGATCAGAGGTTGTAGGTGTGTGGCCTTATTTCTAGGCTCTCTATTGGTTTATATGTCTGTTCTTGTACCAGTACCATGCTGTTTTGGTTACTGTAACCCTGTAATATAGTTTGAAGTTGGATAATGTGATGCCTCCAGCATTGTTCTTTTTGCTTAGGATTGCATAGGCTTTCAGGCTCTTTTTTGGTTCCACCTGAATTTTGAAATTCTTTTTCTAGTTCTGTGAAGAATATCACTGGTAGTTTGATAGGAATAACATTAAATCTATAAACTGCTTAGGGTGGTGTGGCCATTTTAACAATATCAATTATTCCCATACATGAGCATGGGATGTTTTTCCATTTGTTTGTGTCTTCTCTGAGTTATTTGAGTAGCGTTTTGTAGTTCTCATTGTAGAGATCTTTCACCTCCCTGGTTAGCTATATTACTAGGTATTTTATTCTTTCTGTGGCAATTATGAATGGGATTGTGCTCCTGATGTGGCTCTCAGCTTCGTGGTTGTTGTATAAGAATGCTAGTGATTTTTGTACGTTGATTTTGTATCCTGAAACTTTGCTGAAGTTATTTATCAGGTGAGGGAGCTTTTGGGCCAAGACTGCAGAGTTTTCTAGATATAGAATCATATTGTCTGCAAACAGGGATAATTTGGCTTTCTCTCTGTTTATTTGGATGCCCTTTATTTCTCTTACCTAATTGCTCTAGCCAGGACTTCCAATACTATGTTGAATAGGAGTGGTGAGAGAGGGCATCTTTGTCTTGTGACAGTTTTCAAGGGGAATGCTTCCAGCTTTTGCCCATTCAGTATGATGTTGGCTATGGGTTTGTCATAGATAGCTCTTATTATTTTGGGATATGTTCCTTCAATACCTAGTTTATTGGGGGTTTTTAACATGAAGAGGTGTTGAATTTTACCAGAAGCCTTTTCTGCATCTATTGAGATGACCATGTGGTTTTTGTCTTTAGTTATGTTTATGTGATGAATCACATTTATTGATTTGTGTACATTGAAACAGCCTTGCATCCCAGGGATGAAGCCTACTTGATTGTGGTGGATTAGCTTTTTGATCTGCTACTGGATTCAGTTTGCCAATATTTTGTTGAGGATTTTTGCATCAATGTTCATTAAGGATATTGACCTGAAATTTTCGTTTTTTGTTGTGTCTCTGCCAGTTTTTGGTATAGGATGATTCCAGCCTCACAGAATGAGTTAGGGAGGAGTACCCCCTCCTCAATTTTTTGGAATAATTTCAGTAGGGATGTCACCAGCTCTTCTTTGCACATCTGGTAGAATTTGGTTGTGAATCCGTCTGGTACTGGGATTTTTTTTTGGTTGGCAGGCTATTTATTACTGATTGAATTTTGTAGCTCATTATTGGTCTGTTCAGGGTTTAAATTTCTTCCTGGTTCAGTCTTGGGAGAGTGTATATATGCAGGAATTTGTCAGTTTCTTCTAGATTTTCTAGTCTGTGTGCATAAGGTGTTCATAATACTCTCTGGTGGTTATTTGTATTTCTCTGGGGTCAGTGGTAATATTCCCATTGTTGTTTCTAAAATGTACTTATTTGGATCTTCTCTCTTTCATCATTAGTCTAGCTAGTGGTCTATCAATTTTAGTTATTTTTTCAAAAAACCAACTCCTGGATTTATCGATCTTTTAAATGGTGTTTTTTTGTGTCTCAGTCTCCTTCACCTCAGCTCTGTTTTTGGTTATTTCATTTCATTTCTGCTAGCTCTGGTATTGGTTTGCTCTTAGCTCTCTAGTTCTTTTAGTTGTGATGGTAGGTAGTTAAATTGATATTTTTTTCTAATTTTTTATGTGGGTGTTTAGTGCTATAAATTTTCCCCTTGACACTGCCTTAGCTGTGTCCCAGAGATTCTGGTATGTTGTCTGGTATGTTCTCGTTGGTTTCAAAGAACTTCTTGATTATGTCTTAATTTTATTATTTACCTAAAAGTCATTCAAGAGAAGGTTATCCAATTTCTATACAATTGTATGGTTTTGAGTGATTTTCTCAGTCTTGATTTCTGATTTTATTGTGCTGTAGTCTGAGAGAGTGGTTGTTATGATTTCAGTTCTTTTTCATTTGGTGAGGAGTGTTTTATTTTGGATTATTTGTTTGATTTTAGAGTATGTGCCCTGTGGCAATGCAAAAATATTATGTTGTTTTTGGGTGGAGAGTTCTGTGGATGTCTATCCAGTTCCTTTGATCTAGTGCTGAGTTTATGTTCTGAATATCTTTGTTTATTTTCTGCCTCTGTGATCTGTCTAATACTGTCAGTGGGATGTTAAAGTCTCCCACTATTATTGTGTGGGAGTCTAAGTTTCTTTGAAGGTCTCTAAGAACTTGATTTATGAATCTGGGTGCTCCTGTGTTGGATACATATATATTTAGGATAGTTAGGTCTTCTTGTTGAACCCTTTGCCATTACATAATGCCCTTCTTTGTGTTTTTTGGTTTTTGTTGGTTAAGTCTGTTTTGTCAGAAGCTATGATTGCAACCCTGCTTTTTTCTGTTTTCCATTTGCTTGGTGGATTTTTCTCCATTCCTTTATTTTGAGCCCAGGGGTGTCATTGCATGTTTGATGAGTCTCTTAAAGACAGCATATCATTGGGTCTGGGTTCTCTATCCAGCTTGCCACTCTGTGCCTTTTAATTGGGGCATTTAGCCCATTTACATTCAGGGTTAGTATTGATATGTGTAGATTTGACCCTGTCATCATGATATTAGCTGGTTATTATGTAGACTTGTTTGTTTGGTTGCTTTATAGTGTCACTGGTCTGTGTACATATGAAGCGTAGTTTGCTGGATATGAAATTCTTGGTTGGAGTTTTTTCTTTAAGAATATTGAATACTGGCCCCTAATCTCTTCTGGCTTTTAAGGTTTCTGTTGAGACATCCACTATTAGTCTGATGGGCTTCCCTTTGTAGGTGACCCTGACCTTTTTGTCTAGCTGCCTTTAACATTTTTTCTTTCATTTTGACCTTGGAGAATCTGATGATGATGTGTCTTAGGGATGACCTTCTTGTGAAGTATCTTACTGGGGTTCTCTGCATTTCCTGAATGTTGACCTCTGTAGCTAGGGTGGGAATTTCTCATGGATGATATCCTGAATTATGTTTTCCAACTTGGTTATACTCTCCCCATCTCTTTCAGGGACACCAATGGGTTGTAGATTTGGTTTCTTTACATAATCCCATATTTCTCAGAGATTTTCTTCATTCCTTTTCATTCTTTTTTTCTCTATTCTTGTCTGACTCTCTTATTTCAGAAAGCCAGTCTTCAAGCTCTGAGATTCTTTCCTCAGTCTGGTCTATTCTGCTATTAATACTTGCGATTCCATTATGAAGTTCTTATAGTGTGTTTTTCAGCTCTATCAGGTCAGTTATATTCTTTTGCATACTGGCTATTTTGTGTGTCAGCTGCTGTATCATTTTATTGTGATTCTTTACTTCCTTGGATTGGGTTTCAATGTACTCCTGAATCTCAATGATCTGTGTTCCTATCTTTATTCTGAATTCTATTTTTGTCACTTCAGCCATTTTGGCCTGGATCAGAACCCTTGCTTGAGTGGTAGTGTGGTCATTTGGAGGAAAGAGGCATTCTGGATTTTTGAGATGTCAGAGTTCTTGCACTGGTTCTTTCCTCATCTTTGTGGCCTGGTGTTCCTTCAGTCTTTGAAGTTGCTGTCCTTTGGATGGGTTTTAATTTTTTTGGCCATGCTCCACTACAGACACTCCCTCACCAAACCCTCTGGGCTCTACATCGACTGGTGTGCTTCCCCTACCACTTCTCTAAGAAGCTCTTCCTGCCAACTCAATTGTCTGTAGTGGTTGAGGGTTCTCCTCCTGTTGGGATTCTAGAGGCCCATGGTGGGAGTGAGTTGGTCCTTTCCTGTTCAACTCACTCATTCCCCTGGAGTCACTGGGGGCCAGGGATGAGTCAAGTGCACAGCAGCCCCCTGCAGGATTCCCAGCTCCCTTCTCTTCAGCCCAGCTTCTGTTCAATGTTTTCAATGACCAGAAATAACATCCTTTGCAACTATTTAGACTTATGAAAAATATTAAGTATCTACTTAAGTATGTGCTGGGGGCACATAGTTTTTCAAAGTTCTTACAGGGGAAAGGGAGTGGCTATGTAAACAAACAGTTGAAATCCAAACTACACGTTATGTTAGAAAGAAAGGCAATAGATGGAGTAACACAATAAATATATGACAATATTGCCTGGCTGTAATTGACATTCAGCAGAGTCATACTGACGCTTTTTCTGGAGGGATAGAAAAAAAAGTGTGAAGATCACTTATAAAATATTGACTAATCACTGCTTTTTAAATGATCAATATGTAAATATTAGTGTGGTAATGAAAATTTGCAGTTATTTTGGATTGTCAACACTAGAGGCCAGGAAGTCATGCTACCATAATTAAGATACAGTTATAGGTTTATGAACCACTCTGCAGCTGTAATCCTGAAATAATTCACACTCAGGCACTAGCATAGATAAACTGTGGCAGCTTCATCATAGGGAGTTTGTAGGAACACTGCTAAAGTTTGGTAGAACCTTGCTCTAGGAACAGGCTAGAGCACCACATATACCGCATCCTAAGTTGTGCAACATGGCAGCCCTGTTGTACTTCATGTCATATTTGTTGAACACTACTATATGCCAGCTGGGTTTGGGCAAAATTCTGAAAGACACAATCCCGAATGCCATCATCCTGAATGTTGGAATCTTGAAAAATCAAAATCCCAAAAATAGTTCTGGAAAAAATATTTTAAATCATTTAAAAGACATTTATTTACATTTTAAAAGGAGATTTATTTGAGAAGCGTAAAAACATGACAGAACACTTCATAGGCCACTTTCCACAATAAAACAGGCAATAATAACATACATATTTTTACAAGAGTAGACACTCAGCTATACCAATGGCAGGTATAACAGTTATGGGCAGACAAACCATATTCATAAAAAAATAGGTCAAAAAGCAAAATGTATTGACACATAACACTATGGTTGGTAATTGCATGCACTCATTTTTATAACTGTGGTCATCTAAAATACGGTGACAGACAACCTAAGTTTTGACAAGATTGAGCAAAAACCGTGATGGGTCACCAACACCCACATAGTCACCCAAAGAGCCAAGATCTCAAGAAATTTTATCTTTCACAAGTGCAGATGTACAAAAAAGACATCTTGTCATTTATTGAGGAAGTTTTTACATTTTTATGTACACACACAATGCTTCCACATAAAGTCAACGTTGTGATAATGCCCTTTCATGGTGTCAAATTTGCAAAAAATGCATAAAATGAACTAGAACTCTCTAAAAGTTTTCACCAATTTATACAAGTCCAGTGTTGGAAATGATGTGAAGATGAAATACATAGCTTATCAAATTAAAAAAAAATTATGCTGACAAGTTAAAATTGTGGAAAAAAATGAAAAAAAATCATGAAAAGTCAAAAAAAATTGACACATGAAAAGGTATATTACAGGGCTAGGTTATGGGCAATTGCAAAGAGGTAGTCCATAAAAGCTGGCCAACTTTCATGATCATTCACTATATTTTTGAAGTCTTGAGTCATAAATGAATAGCTGCTTCTTTTCTTGAAGGTCATGGCTCTCCTCAAAGAATATTTTCATCTTCATTTTCTATGCAACACTGCTCTTCAAATTCTATGATTTGATATACACTGACATGAGCATTCCCTATTACATTTTCTCATTTTCTGTACAATGCTTCTGTGTTGTTTTGGGTACATGGAAATCCATTCTGCACGCACTCGTATATAAACCACACATTTGGCAGAAACAATACTGGTGATCAAAGGCAACACTGTTGCATGTCTTCTTACCCTGCTTTGCACGTAATTATTTTCAAACCAGTTAAAAATTGCTGGCTTCTTCAGACAAATGAAGCTTTAATTTATTCAAAGCTCAGAATTTCATCGACTGGAAGTAATGCCATTGCAGGCAAATGACACATTTTTAAACTGAAGTTTTCCTTAACGCCTTATTGAATGGCCCATCCACTCATCTGAATTTTCTGCCAAATGCACATATAGACAATACCAAGATAATAGTTCCACCCAACATGATGCAACTAACATGATGCAACTATCCTGCATGTCACTAAAGATGCACTAATCCCTTCCCCAGAATTCTGCTTTTGGGATTTCAATATTTGGGATTTAAATTTTTCAAGATTGTGATTTTTGGGATATTAGATGTTAGGGATTTTGACTTTTTTAGATTTCAGTATTATGGACTGTGTTTTTTGGGATTATGACCAGACTGATGCTAAGCATTGTGTGAAAGGGTAGATATATACTATTAAATCAAAGGACATGGCCAGCCCTGGGCTGGGTCCAGTGTCAACCTCATGGGGAAAATCAGGTGAGCTTTGTGGGAGTCGGGGAGGGAGACAGGTAAGGAGAAACTTCCACATATGCTTGTGTGTGGCATAGAATATGCATGCAAAATATGGAAGCTGTTACTAATTGGTAAAGTAATGCTGCTGCTTACTAGTACTATTAGTATTAACTCTAACCCTAGTTACTGCTGCCAGTGTATCTGCCAATATACCCAGATCCTGTATATCTTATTCAAAGGCACATTGGAAAGTGCACCAATCAGGAGGCTCCCTTTTTAAATGCACCAGGTACTGTTTTAAGTACTTTATATACCTCGTCTCAGTGGTTCCTCAGAATAACCTAATATTAGCTTTGTTTTACAGATGAGGTAACTGGGGCACAGAGAAACTAAATAATTTGTTCAAGGACACACAGCTGGGAAATGATGGAGCCAAGATTCAATCCCAGCGAGTCTGGGTCCATAATAATACTGACTCTTTTCTTAATCACAATGGAATTAATCTTTAACGTTTATGGAGCACTTAATCGAGATCAGGCTTTGTGCTAGCCACTTCACATAAATTATCTAATTTAATTTTTACAATCAAGTAACTCTGGTGTAATTCTCCAATTTACAAGGAAATGGAGGCATAAAGCAGCCGAGTAACTCTTCAAGCATTACAAAGCTGGCAGATGGCAAAGCCAGGATGTGGAGCTAGGATCCCAATCTGGATCCCTCCCCCACGCCCAACCACCCCGGCAAAGACCATTTTGCAGAGTTCTGCAGCAGGCTTGGAAGGGGGCCCCACCTGATGGTGTTATCACAAGCAGGGACCCTTCCTTAGGGTCTCCTGGGCCACCTTTCATTCCATGGTTCACTTGCCGTCAGAAGCTGCCACAGCATCTCAATTCACCATTTAATTTACTTCAAACTGCCTCATGCTAAAAATCTCTAGTGTCACGGTCACTGAATGGATTAAAAAAGTGCCAAAGTTGCTTTAATGAGTGGGGTATGGGTTGCAGAATCTGCATAGAATCTGAATCTTAACAACAGACAGTGCAAACTTTCGTGGGTTGATGTCTTCACAACGGTACATTTTAGGATAGGGTCACCATCAAAGTATACTGTAAAAATTAAGGCCGGTTCTGTCATCCACAAGGGTCATAATTTGACTTTGAAATATTTGATATACAATGGTGGCTTTTGGCCTGCTTGTTTTACAAACGAACACTCACAGGTACATGGACATGCCTCCAAACAGCTGTCACTGGAATGGCCCCTGGCCAAGTAGTGCACAGCACAGTTCACAGTTGAGATTCTGGCTGGTGACACCAGCCAACTGCTACTCAAGAGTGAAGGGACATGCAACTGTGGACATGCCAATGTGCTGTAGGAGCTCCAAGCTCAGACAGCATCTCCCCGTCAGCAAAGGGTCTGTTTATTTAATGAACATTTACTGGGGACCTGTTTCTCAACAGATACTGTTGAGTATTAGTTCTACAAAGATAAGTAAGATGCAATTCTTATCTTGCAGAAACTCAGAACTTGATATGATAAAAAAATGTGTCAATAAATCACTGCACCATATTGTGGCCAGTGGGTATATATTAGGCTTGGGGGTTGGCACCCAGGAAGCAGTACCTGTCTGGTACCAGGAGTGGGAGTCAATGAATACTTCCCAAAGATGGATAACCTAGGCCTAGGGGAGACCCAGAAATCCCTAGATGGAAAGAGCAGAGAAAAGCATTCCAAATAACACAGCATGCACAAATGGATGGAGTCTCTAAATTGCATGGTGGGTTTGAGATCTTGTAGGGCTGTTATAGTATGTGCAGGAGTCGGAGGATGAAGTGAGAGAGACAGATGGGGACCACACATCATGGAGGGTCTCATATACAATGCCAGTGGATTTGAATTTTAAGCTGAAGGCCACGAGGCACCCCTGCAGGACTCTAGGCAGGAAGAAACATGCCTATATTTTGACTAGGAATAGGAATCGGAATGATCGATGAGCATTCTGAAAGTGGCTCCTGCTGTAGAGTACAGCATGATCTGGAATGGGTGTGGGGGTATCAGGCAAGGTGAAGGGGCAGTAAGTCTGGAGGATGGTGGACCAGTTAGAAGGTGACAGCAAGACCCTCTTGTGAAATTGCTTAAAAGAGACTTGGAGGTAGAAAAGTCAGACTTCGTTTTGGCCTGAATGTGGAGAGTGAGAGAAAAAGTGAAGTTTAAGACGACAGATTTCTGGTTTGAAAAGTGTCTAGCCGACCACTTTTGGAGGTGCTGGGGGTGGCATAAAAGAGAAGAGAATATAGAAGGGAAGGAATGGAAGCTCAAAACAGAATGCTGTGACAGGGACCATTAGTTGTCTCCCAAAGTCAATCATAAAAGTCTTTGATTTTTAGTTGAGCTATATAACAAATACGTTTTTCAGGGTTTTTTTGCATCTAGGTATGACCATGTGACTAAGTTCTGCCTAATGGGAGAAAACTAAAATGTCATGTGATAACTCCGGGAACCATAAAAGACAGCTGGTATGTGCCTTTTACTCTCTTATCCTTTGTTTCTTCCTCCATCCTGTTGCCCGGAACATAATTGCCTCCATCTTGGATCATGGGGACCAAAAGAGAATCTAGGGGTAGCTTGGCCCCAGCTCATAGGAGCCCGGATCCCTGAGGACTTAGTGGAACAGAACGCTATACCTACCCTTGACTGCCTGCTTCCAGACTTTATTTACATGAAAAAGACAAAGATTTATATGGTTTTAACCACTGTTACAAATTTGATTTTCAGTCACATGTAGCTGAAACTAACTCTAATTGACGACATTACTTACGGGCTTGATACATATCCTAAGTTGAGGACTTCCCAGTATTATCAGCTCGAAAAACTGGTTTTCTGGTTATTCAATGAAAAGTCTTAGACAACCTATTTCCATAACTCAAATTTGTATTGCTACCACATTCTCAGAGTCTTCCTGAGAAAAGTCCTGGTCAGAAGTGAGGGGTGTGGTAAAGTGCATGTTTTGATCTAATCCCTGACTTCCTGTATCATTTCAGAGAACTACAGTGGGTATGTCTATTAATCATGTCTTTTCATTCTGTATTTCGGATGTTTTGACATCTTGGGGCCTTGATAACCCTGGAAGGACTGCCCCTCCAGAGACAGCTCATTCCTGGAGAGAGCAAACAACTCTCCAAGCACATCTTTCATATGCGAACCAACCAATCCAGAGCCCCTACTCCCAACCACAACCTCTACTGGGCTATTGCACTATGGGCCACTATTTACCTTCCCTAATCATCCCAGGGCCAAACACCAGACAGCTAGGGACAGCCCTTAAGCCCCAGAGCCTGATGAAATTATTCAAACTAGCCTAAGCCTGCTTACCCTGCCTTGCTAATTTCTTCCTGTGGAAACCACAATGAAGGCTCTTGTCCATGTTTCCCCTTCACTCTGTCTGTCTCCTGACAGCCCTGGTGCTTCCCCGTGTGGCCCTGCACAGCATGCCATGCCTCCGGTTTCCAGGGACCTGTAAGTATAAAGTAGACTTTTTTCATTATGACAGTCATTTCTACGTTTGCATATCTTACCATCTCTGATTAAAACAATCCCAGGTACTCTTAAAACAGTGTGTTCCTCAATTTTTCTGGCTGAAAGACCAGTGTACAACTCATTAGCAAGACATGCTGAGAAAGTATTCTGGGAGAGAGAAAGATGCAAGAGGGAGAGGACCCAGCGATATTCATTCATATTCATGGCATTTGATTTACCAAAGTGATGACTCAGGACTGCTGAGATTCCTGTTTTAGATTTGATGCATAATTAGTTAATAAAGGAATGTTATTTAATCCTTAGAGTAAGTACCTAATCCTCTAGGTGCTTACTGTTTCTTTTCTCTGAATATTTGTTTTATTAATTCATGTCTAGGTAGCACTTATAAACTGCATGTGGTACTTTTACACAGGTAAATTATATGCTTAATAAGAAATAAAATATCTGCCCCTAGGAGCTTGTAGTTAAGAAAACTATATTGTCGAGAGTTAATACAATATGCTAGCTGGTTATGACTAAGACTGCCTTTCATTGAGAAGAGGAGAAATCCTCTTCCTGAATGCCACAATAGCGTGTGTTTGAGTCCTGAAAGAGTCATCCCCACGCACGGTGCTGGAGACCCAATCCATTGCCTTCCTTCTTGTTTCCCAGTGCTGCTGCTGAAGCAATCGTGCACCAAGAACAGCAGTTTGTTAGTTGAAGTTGAGAAATAAATGACTCCCGGGGCCCATTCAGCTCAAGTGTATATATAGTTCAAACAAACCCAAGATATAAAAATCTGTATTTACACAGCAGATAGAATGAGAATAATTCACGTTCCAAAGGATTCACCACTGCATGCCCTTTCAAAGTGAACTAACCTCATATATTTAAAATATGATTTGATTAGGAGTGGTGAGAGAGGGCATCCCTGTCTTGCGCCAGTTTTCAAAGGGAATGCTTCCAGTTTTTGCCCATTCAGTATGATATTGGCTGTGGGTTTGTCATAGATAGCTCATTATTTTGAAATATGTCCCATCAATACCTAATTTATTGAGAGTTTTTAGCATGAAGGGTTGTTGAATTTTGTCAAAGGCTTTTTCTGCATCTATTGAGATAATCATGTGGTTTTTGTCTTTGGCTCTGTTTATATGCTGGATTACATTTATTGATTTGCGTATATTGAACCAGCCTTGCATCCCAGGGATGAAGCCAACTTGATCATGGTGGATAAGCTTTTTGATGTGCTGCTGGATTCGTTTTGCCAGTATTTTATTGAGGATTTTTGCATCAATGTTCATCAAGGATATTGGTCTAAAATGCTCTTTTTTTGTTGTGTCTCTGCCTGGCTTTGGTATCAGAATGATGCTGGCCTCATAAAATGAGTTAGGGAGGATTCCCTCTTTTTCTATTGATTGGAATAGTTTCAGAAGGAATGGTACCAGTTCCTCCTTGTACCTCTGGTAGAATTCAGCTGTGAATCCATCTGGTCCTGGACTCTTTTTGGTTGGTAAGCTATTGATTATTGCCACAATTTCAGATCCTGTTATTGGTCTATTCAGAGATTCAACTTCTTCCTGGTTTAGTCTTGGGAGAGTGTATGTGTCGAGGAATTTATCCATTTCTTCTAGATTTTCTAGTTTATTTGCGTAGAGGTGTTTGTAGTATTCACTGATGGTAGTTTGTATTTCTGTGGGATCGGTGGTGATATCCCCTTTATCATTTTTTATTGCATCTATTAGATTCTTCTCTCTTTTTTTCTTATGTTTATTGCGGCATTATTCACAATAGCAAAGACTTGGAACCAACCCAAATGTCCAACAATGATAGACTGGATTAAGAAAATGTGGCACATATACACCATGGAATACTATGCAGCCATAAAAAATGATGAGTTCATGTCCTTAGTAGGGACATGGATGAAATTGGAAAACATCATTCTCAGTAAACTATCGCAAGAACAAAAAACTAAACACCGCATATTCTCACTCATAGGTGGGAATTGAACAATGAGATCACATGGACACAGGAAGGGGAATATCACACTCTGGGGACTGTTGTGGGGTGGGGGTAGGGGGGAGGGATAACATTGGGAGATATACCTAATGCTAGATGACGAGTTAGTGGGTGCAGTGCACCAGCATGGCACATGTATACATATGTAACTAACCTGCACAATGTGCGCATGTACCCTAAAACTTAAAGTATAATAAAAAAAAAATTAAAAAGAAATATGATTTGATTTTAAAAACATCCTCTTCATAGGCATTTTTAAGGGAGGGGGAATCCATGGTAAAAATGAAGTCAATGGAGATAAGGCTCATAGACATGGAATGTGGCAGTTTACTTTTTAGTTCATTTGTGACTTTACCTCCACATTCTCTCAACTTCTAAGTTGAGACATTCTTTAGAAAGTGTCATGGTGTACAGAGATGGAGGCTTGATTGCAAGAGATTAAAGGATTAATTGAATATATAAAGCTCTAGTATTCCTTAATGTAATGTAAATGCTAACAGCCTTTGCAAGGGTCTAAATAACTTTGCCTTTGATAGAGAAGTTTATGGCTTTCTGAGCATATTATATGCATTACTGCATTTGCTCTTCATAACAATTGTATGGAGTAGGAGGCAAGGAAATGTTTTCATTTCCGTTTTACTGATCAGAGTCAAAGCCACATGGATTACAAGAGGTGGAGCTAGGGCTAGAACACAAGCCCCCTTCTCCCAGGCCTTCACATGTGACATCACCTTGAGAGTGCCCATTCTAGTTGCAGCTGGTTTTAGAGTGTACCAGTGACCCCAGATTTATCATTTTGACTCCCTAAATTTCATCTAATATTCATATCTCTGCAAGAAAGCCACTCTTCCTTACAACTTCATTGGTGTGTTTTAATCAGCTTTGGCATGAGGATTTAGCAATTCCTGGATTTCAGCTGTGACTGTAGATCTTGACATTGGAAAATATTTACACTTGAAGCCCTAAGGGGCAGTAACATGAGTTGTGTTGCATCCCTGCCAAATACACATTAACTTATTCAGAGTAAGTAGGAGAAAATATTGAAGGATGCATTTATCTATTTGTGGTGATGAATGTTTATATAGAAAGGGAATTTTAAAAATACTTGGATAATAATTTAAAACTTTACAGAAATTGTATTAATGGTGCCCTCTTTAGTAGTACATAACAAATAGTGTTTTAGGAATTGAAAATACAATGCAAGCATTATAAAATAATTCTGCCATAATAAAACATATCTTTAAAAGAAATACTTGAAAAAGACAGATACAGTTTTTGTCCAACAAAGACACAAGTTAGGATAGATACTTCGGGATAGTCAACTTTTGCCTAGAGTGAGATCTCAGGGAAGAACTATCTTCACGTTCTCCACCCAGAGGGGAATTCTCCCCTGAGTAATGGACAGGCACTGAACCCAAATCAAGTTGATTCAAGTATAGGTAATAGCAATTACCCTTGGGTAGCAAGAGCCTTCTGTGGTATATCTTTTTAGACAACAAGAGGTCCCGTGGGATAAACTGAAATGCTGTTGAATGCCTAATGCTAGAAAGAGCATCATGTCCTACCTGTCTGGGTACAGAGAAAAAAAAATGTGGGTAATGGCGAATGCCTGATTCTTAGAGCAAGATGGAAATCCGTAACTTTTCTGAACCTATCATAAGCTTTCAAGACCAGTGATGAAGTGTCATGTGAGACCTTCATACTGACTGATCTTTGTTCAGTTTTATGCATAGTTTTCTTAGAATTTGCAGCCAATATCCCTTTGACCTCTATTTTTTGACTTTGTGAATATTCTTCATTTTTGAGTAATTTCTTGACTTCTCAACAATATCCGTGCTAAATGCAAAATGTGATGATACAAGTAATACCTAAAATGTAATTAATTAGCACAATATGATGGCAAAATGGTACAGTTGGTCACAAGTGTTCAAATCTTCACTTTGCTTCTTTCTAAACTTATTTTCTTGGATAGATTACTTAGATATTTGTGTCACACTTTTCTCATCTTCAACGGGAATAAAGATGCCTCATTTGCTAGGGTGTTGTGAATAGTCCATGCAGTAAAATACATATGGTATGTACTAGGTCCTTGGCACATGAAAGATACTTAAAAATATGAGTTTGCAAAAGCTGGAAGTAAGCTTCAGCATGAGAAGATTCGTCCTTGATCTACCCATGTATTCTAACTTTCAACCATAAATTCCTTACTGCTGACAAGTGGTCAAGGTTTTGTTTGCTGTATATTCAACATGGGTCAGCCAAAGCGTGCTACTCTTTGGGATATGGATGTTAAACAGGTTTTATCTCCTGTGCCATCCTGATTCATTGGTTCTGCCTGCCTGAACGCTGTGTCCTGAGGATACAAGACTGTGTGTAGCCTTGAAGACAAAGAGCACAATTATTTATTAGTCATGTCTGCTGTGGAGTTGGGAGATAACTCATTACTCATGCCTGCTGTGGAATTGGGAGAAGGGAGTGGTGGTGGCATGCATGCAGGCATTTGCCTTCCTTGGCCTAAGATACTCATCCTCGTTTCTTTCCCCAGGACCACAGAGACTTATAGGTACCTAATTCTACTACTATTGGAACGCATGCAAGGTGCCTAGAGGTAACTCTTTATTATTGGAAAGGCAGCTTATGTGAGAAGAAGGCAGGGCAGAGAGCTGGAAACTTGTTCTCCCTGGCTTCATGTCTCCACTCATGCCTTCTTGTCTCCCATTTCCTAGGATGGACCTTCCCCTTTCACAATTACATGCCTTCACACACACTCTTTCAGCTTCTGAGAATGCAGTTCCCTACGTTTTGTCACTTGGCAAATTCTATTTATCCTGCAAGATCTAGCTCAAGTGTAGATTCTCAACATAAGGAGGCCTGATAGATTCAAGCCCAGGACTTCCTAGTATTCTTAGTGCCTAGCTCACAGTAGGCCCTCAATAAATGTTGCTTGAACAAAGTACATAGATATAAAGAGGGGGATATTGATGAGTTGAAGGTGAAAATTTTCCTGGGAAAATAATCCAGATGTGAATACTATATTGCTTCTCTCTGGAGTTTGTGAAACCATCTTGTTTGGGGTCCTTTATATTTTAAAGGGGTGGCAGCCCTGATTATATGTTGAGATAAAAATCAAAGTTTTAATACTATATTTGAAATGGACTTCTTGAATTATGATGATTGAGTCTCATGGGCAGTAAGACAAGCAAGACTTGAACTTTTAAAAAAATGTAAAATACACATGACACAAAATTTACTATTTTAACCATTTTAAAGTGTATAATTTAGTGGCATTAACTACATTCACATTGTTGTGCAACCATCACTACCATCCATCTACAGAACTCTTTTTATCTTGCAGAACTGAAACTCTGTACCTATTAAACAGCAACTCCCTGGTCTCCCACCCGACTGCCCTGGACAACCACCATTTTACTTTCTGTCTCTGTGAATTTGACTACTCTAAGAACCTCATATATGTGGGATCATATAGTATCCTTTCTGGCTGCCTTATTTCACTTAACATCATAGAGTCCTCAAGGTTCATTCATGTTGTAGCATGAATCAGAATTTCCTTATTTTTAAGACTGAATAATATTCCATTATTTATATACAGCACAATTTGTTTATCCGTTCGTCTGCTAATGAACATAGGTTGCTTTCACCCTTTGGCTATTGTGAATAATGCTGCTATGAACATGGGTATACAAATATCTCTTCAAGTCCCAGCTTTCAATTCTTTTGGGTGTATAACCAGATTTGGAATTGCTGGGTTATATGGCAATTCTATTTTTAATTTTTTGAGGAACTACCATAATGTTCCCTAGTGGCTGCATCATTTTACATTCCCACCAACAGTGCACAAGGGTTCCAATTTCTCCATATTTTTGCCACTTGTTATTTTCTGGTTTTTTGATAGTAGCCACTTGAATGGGTGTGAGGTGGCATTTTCTTTTGGTTTTGATTTGCATATTTCCTAATGATTTGTGTCTTAGTCCATTTGGGCTACTATAACATAATACTGTACACTGGGTAGCTTATAACCAAGAGAAATTTGTTTCTCACAGTTCTGGAGGCTTGGAAGTCCAAGATCAAGCAGCCATGTTTGGTATCTGATGAAGGCACACTTTCTCATAGACAGTGCCTTTCACTGTGTCCTCACATGATGGGAGGGATTTAAGAGCTGCCTTGGGCCTATTTTATAAGGGGCACTGATTTTATTCATTAGGGCTCTGCCTTCATGACCTAATCGGCTCCCCCAAAAGGCCCACCTCCTAATATAATTACCTTGGGGATTCAAATTTTAATGTATGAGTTTTGGGAAGACACAAACATCACTAGCAATTAGTGATGTTGAGCATCTTTTCATTGTTTATTGGCCATTTTTATATCTTCTTTGGAGAAATATCTATTCAAGTCCTTCACTCATTTTTAAATGAGGTTGTTGGGCTTCTTGTTGTTGAGTTGTGAGTTGTAGGAGTTCTTTATGTATTCAGAATATTAGCCCTTTATCAGATGCATGATTTGCAAATATTTTTTCCCCATTTCCTGTGGTGTCTTTTCACTCTTTTGATTCTATCATTTAATACACAGAAGTTTTTTAATTTGATGGAGTTTGATTTTTCTATTATTTTCTTTTTTTTGCCTGTGTTTTTTGCATCATATTCAAGAAATCATTGATAAATCCAATGTCATCATGCTTCTTCCCTGTGTTTTATTCTAAGAGTTTTATAGTTTTAGTTCTTACATTTAGGTCTTTGATCCATTTTTAGTTAATTTTTGTTCATGGTATAAGGTAAGAGTCCAACTTCATTCTTTTGCATGTGAGTATACAGTTTTACCAACACTGTTTGTTGAAAAGACTTCCCTTTTCCCATTGAATGATCTTGGGGCTCTTGTCAAAAATCATTCAACTATATATGTGAAGGTTTATTTTTGGGCCGTTTATCTTATTCCATTGGTCTATATGTCTGTCATTATACCAATACCTCACTCATAATATAGTTGTTATTACTATAGGTGTGTATTACGTTTTGAAATCAGGAAGTGTGAGAACTCCAACTTTGTTCTTCATTTTCAAAATTGTTTTGGCTATTTGGTGTCCCTTGAAATTCCATATAAATTTTAGGAGGGATTTTTCTATTTCTAAAAAAAATGTCATTAGGATTTTGATAGGGATTGTATTGAATCTATAGATTACTTTTAATAGTACTGATATCTTAATAGTGTTAACTCTTCTGATCTGTGAACACAGGATGCCTTTCCATTCATTGGTGTCTTCTTTCAGCAATGTTTTGTAGTTTTCAGTGTACAAGTATTTTGCCTCCTTGGATAAGCTTATTCCTAAGTATTTTATTATTTTTGATACTATCATAAATGGAATTATTTTCTTAATTTCCTTTTCTAATTGTTCATTGTTAGTGTATAGAAATCTAGCTGAGTTTTGTTCATTGATTTTGTATCCTAAAACTTCACTTTTCTAACTGACTCTTTTGGTGGAATCTTTAGGGTTTTCTAAATATCAGATTATGTCATCTATAAACAGAGATAACTTCACTTCTTCCTTTCTAATTTAGATGCTTTTTATTTATATATTTTTTCTTGCCTAATTTCTCTGGCTAAGACTTCCAGTATAGAATAGAAGTGACAATAGTGGGCATCCTTGTCTTCTTTCTGATCTTAGAGAAAGAGCTTCAGTCTTTCACCATTGAGTACAATTTTAGCTATGCGATTTTCATATGTGGTTTTTATTATGTTGAGGTAGTTATTTTTTATTTGTAGTTGGTTGACTGTTTCTATCATTAAAAAGTGTTGAAATGTGTCAAATGCTTTTACTGCATCAATTGAGATAATGAGGTTTTTTTTTTTTTACTTTATTCTGTTAATGCGATATATTATATTGATTGACTTTTATACATTGAGCCATCCTTGCATTGCAGGAATAAATCCCATATAGCCATGTTAGTATAATCCTTTTATGTGCTATTGAATTCTTTTTGCTGGTATTTTGTTGAAGATTTGTTTGTACCAATGTTTATTAGGGGTAATGGTTTGCAGTTTTTTTTGTTTTTGTTTTTTGTTTTTTTTTGGAGTGTCTTTGTTTAGCTTTGGTATCAAGGTAATACTGGCCTCATAGAATGAGTTTGGATGTTTTCTCCCCTATTCAATTTTTTTGGAAGAGTTTAGAATGACCGGTGTTACTTCTTTTTTAAATATTTGGTAGAAATTCCTCAGTGAAGCCATCTGGGCCTAGGCTTTTCTTTGTTGGGAGGTTTTTCATTACTGATTCAATTGCCTTAGTAGTTATGGGTTTATTGAGATTTTCTGTTTCTTCATGATTCAGAAACAGAGATTTTCTGTTCCTTCCTGATTCAGTACAATAAGTTGTGTACTTCTGGGAATTTATTCGTTTCGTATAAGTTATCCAATTTGTTGCTGCACAATTGTTTGTAGTACTCTCTTATAATTCTTTTGATATCTGTAAAATCAGTTATAATGTTCCCTCTTTCATTTCTGATTTTGGTTATGAATATTACTTCCTTTTTTTCTTAGTCAATCTAGCTAAAGCTTTGTCAATTTTGTTGAATTTTTCAAAGCACCAACTCTTGGTTTTGTTGATTTTCTATACTGGCTTTCTATTCTTTATTTTGTTTATCTCTGCTCTAATCTTTATTATTATCTTCCTTCTGCTAACTTTGAGGTTAGTCCTTTATCTAGTTCCTTAGGGTGCAAATTTGGGTTGTTGATTTGAGATCTTTCCTCGTTTTTAATGTAAGTGCTTTAGAGCTTTCTAAATAGGGCCATCTACATGCATTTATCCTGGTAACTTTACAGGAAGAATCAGTGAGCAGTTGGCAACATTCCACCCCAGGTAAGGGACCCTCATTAGATACTTGCCTACTGCTCATATTTCAGTTTCAGAGTTCCATGCATTTCCCACGTCTGAGATTTTGGAGAGGCTTTTCCTGTTTATATAACCACATCAAGTTTTCACTAACTGATTGTATTTTGGACTCAAATAATTTTGTTTCATTGTGATTAGGTCTATATCCAAGACCTAATCATTTTGTTTGAAACACAGTACTTAAAGGAAATCAGTCTACTCTTTTGCTTCTAAAATATCTAATATAAAGTACTGCCTTAACTTCATTAAGAGTAGATCCACTGCCATAGGATTCAAACAAAGGTGAAGACAGTAGTAACTGTTCAAGGAAATAGGAGACTTAGAGTTTCACTGGTTCTCTCAATTTGTAGCCTGGGTGAGAAACGTGTTTGGCTGGTGTCTACTTATTTGATATAACAAGAAAACTCATCACAAGGGCTGGAAATACTTCTTTGTGGCTACAATACGGATGGGAGGGGTATGTAGATTAGCACATTTTCTGATGCGTTTAACAGAAAATCAGACTCAAAATGGCTTAAACTATAGAGAAATGAATCATGTCTTATCACTGGGAGTTCAGAGGCAGGCAGACTCTGGAGTAGCAAAGCTTAGTTATGTGATCAAGGACCCAGGATCCAGTCTGGATCACTTCATGGTCATAAGATGGCTGTAAGCAGCCATGGGGCAATATGCTTCCTCATTCATAGCTTAAAAAAAGAGGGGGAAAAGAAAGAATGCTCTTTTCCTCACTCTAAAACATAGAATTAAAGTCCTACACTGTCAGTTATGGCCGTATGTGGTTATCAAGGACTTGAAATGTGCCTATTCCAAATTGAGGTGTTCTGTAAGTATAAACAACACAACTAAATTTTGAAGACTTAGTATGAAAAAAGGAATGTAAAATATCTCAATAATTTTTTTATTGATTCTGTGTTTACATAACATTTTGGGTATATGGTATTGAATTACCTAAATATATTTCTAAAATTAATTTTACCTGTTTCTTTGTACTTTTAAAAATGTGGCTACTAGAAAATTTTAAATTGCATATGTGGCTTGCATTATATTTCTACTGGGGCTGGGCGTTGGACACAGTTTGGACAGTGACCAGACAGGTCCCATGGGCTGATTGGCCTCAGCCAATCATGGGGGTGAGTGGATGTTGGGGGGTCAATTACAATGTCCATCACAAAGCAAGAGGAGTGGAGGAGAGCTGTGCATCACTGTACTCGTTCGGGACTGATAGAGATAAAAAATGACTTCAATACATTTAATCTACTCTGGGATTTGGAATAACGCAAATCCTCCCAAACCCACTCCTTTTTTCCTTCTCTCAGGCCTGTTTTCTCAAGCCCATTCTTTACTCTAGGAGTGGACAAGATAGATTGAAGAGTGCCAGGAAGTGGAGGGTGGGATGAGGGTGTGGCCGTGGAGGGCTAGCGGCACAAATAGCTAAGGTTCTAGCACAAGGTGAAAAGACGTATAGAAATGCCAGGTCCGAACTGCTTGGTATTAAACTGGTTATTTCCCCCTTCATAGGATGGAGCATCCCAGTAGATACTACTTTTCTGCTTGCCGTATTTGGGCAGCTTGGTCAATTAAGAACACGGTGAATAGGAAAAGGTAGCTGGGGGATTCTTTCCTGGAGCCCGTATCTTTGGGTGGAAAGAGGCTAAGAGGGGTGGTGTAGGGTTGATTTCCTGTGCAGTCCCTAGATTGTGATTCCTCACAACCTATTGCTATTCTAATGTTTTTCGTATTCTCTTAGCCCTGTATGTACTAGCCATTTTTACTGGCCACATTGTTTATTATGGAGTTTCCCCAAATGTTCTCTGGCTCCTCTCTTTATGAAACCGAATGTGTGTTACTCCTCATTATGTAGTCTCTTCCCACTTTTTTCAAGGTGTCATCCAGACTACCTGCTTCAGAATCATCTAGGAACTCGTTTCAAAGCAGATTCCCTGGCCCTTCATCAAAACTACTGAATCAGGATCTCTAGGGGTGGGATGTAGGGATCTCCCTTTCTAACGAGCTCCCAGGCCACTCCCATCCTCACTAAAGTCCCAGGGCTTCAGAGACTTGTATAGAGAGAGTGGGTGCAGGAAGACGTGAAAGGGGTTGTTTCTCAATGTGGATCCTTGCAAGGGGTAAGTCCTAAGTGGGAGAAGTGGGCATCTCTCGGTTTCCGCAAGGAAAGCAGGGCTAGTATCTCAGCATCTGGTGGACTGAAGAGTGATGGTGATGCCTGTCATGCCCAATAGCATGGCAGAGAGAGTGTTCTTATGAGGGCCACAGCAGCTGAGACCAAGACGTGACGCCTCTCTCCAGGGGCTCACAGGCTCCTGCAAGGAGGCCACACCCTGGAGAACGCAGTTGGATTTGTTTCTAGCAAATGTGGCACTCATAACAGATTTCCAGAAATAACCGTGGAGACGGGAGGATATGAGGTCCTTCGGTGGGCAGGTGAAGCCTAACAGGTCTCCCGGGCTCAGCATTAATGTTAACCTTCAGTTAAGCTGCTGAGGCTTGAGGGCAGTTAAGTTACAAAAAATCTGCAAAACCCAGGAAAGCATCACTTCTGCCTAAGCAGCTTGAAGGCATCATAATGCCTCTACCCCAGCACTTCTGTGGCTTTGATTGACACATTTGGAGCCACATCTGTCTGGTAGACGTGGGTAGAGACATTCTTGCTTGTTTTTCTAGTGCAGTCCGGATTTGTGTGGCTCCACTATAAATTCAAGAACCCACCCTTTTCCCTTTATGGAAGGGCCAGAGCTTCTTCAGGCTGGCAGAGCAGTTGGCGTTGACCCAAAGTAGGGGTGCCCTGGTGTTTTCTGCCATCCAGGTAGTGCTGAAGATGTGGAGTGGGCATCTGAGTCAGCTCCCTGTCACAGGCCAAATAACTCTCCACTTCTCCACTGCAGCACTGTAGAATGGGGAGGGTGGGTATGTGTTTGAAGGAGACCCAGAAGGAGTGGGGAGCCGTAGGCCACACTGTGAAACTTCCACCGTTCCCAGAGAGCCCAAGATCTGAGTCTGTTTCTTGGGGTGGAATTGAACAGTGAAAGACTGGATCAACAATTTCCTTTCCATGTACAGAAAGCAACCTCTTCTTCTTCAGCAGGATTCAGCTTCTTTCCTGCAGGTTTCCTCCCTCCAGTTCCCTCCACTGAAGAATCCTTTGAGATTGGCTGCAGTACCATGCAGAAAACTGGAGTGTTAAAGCTTCAGACTTCTAGAAAGGTGGAAGCTCCTGATGGCGGTGGAAGTCCACAGATGGCGGGGAGGAGGGCGAATGGAAAGTGTTTGTGGAGCAGAGAGCACCATGAGCTCTGGACCTCAGAATGACCCAGAACAGGTCTTCTCCTTTGAAGAAACATCTCTCTCTAATCTAAATGGTCAGCTCTCTCTGGATACATACGCTTATTTTGGCCTGTGACAACATGAATTGTTAGACATATCCCTGCCGACCCTTTTTTGTTGTTACCTATGAATAACACTTTTCTATTGTACTAACATTCAATTGCCAGGGAACACCTTGGTATTCTCTATAAATGCAGGAGAGCTTCTGTTAGGGCATTCAAGGCAGTTTGGGGTTCCCATTATATGCAGGCTGTGTCCGACGGAAGGGATTTATTCTGCAGCTGAAATGTCTAAGAGTTATTATTTTTCCCACGGAGTATATTTATTTCTTTTTGACAGTGTTTGAGGTTATGGACTCTATTTCTAGCTGACAAAAGAAAACAGCATACAATAAAATCTGTGACATTAGACTGGGTAAAACCAAATGCACTCATTTGCTTTCAGACAAGGACACCCGTTTCAATAACTGAAAGAATTGAGAATGTTTAATGTTCTGAGAACATGCTGAGCTGAATTTAAGTGAAAGATGATCCCTGGTTCTTTCATTCATGCTTTAAAAATAAACTACGTAATTAAATGGCTACAGATACTTCTTTTGTGGGGAGGAAAACAGCAGTCAGATTCTTTGCAATCATGCCAACAGGGCAGTAGGTTTCCTAACCCTTTGGCAAAATTGAGAATCAATACCAATAAGAAAAAAAATAATAACAAAAGGGGAAATCTCACAGGAGTCACAGGCGATAAAAGATTTACAATGTGAATAAAACATTACAGGTCAGCATTAAAACAGATGATACGTCTCTCTGACAAGACAAAGCAGCCAGCCTCTAACCAGAGGTGCAAAACCGCATCCAGGGGCCAATGAGAAAGCCCCAGACCAGCCACTTCCCTTCCCCTCAAGGAAAGGAGCCTCCTTCTCGGGGAGACATTCACTCCACAAGCTGCATTCACAGTTTGACAGTTCACCTTGTTTGAAAGTAAAATTCTCTGGAAGTACAAATCTTGCCCATGCATAATTTCTAGGACTAGTATATTTGGAATTTGTGAACAAAGAGACCAGACTTGCTTTTGAAAAGGAAAAGATGCTTATCTGTTGGTTCATTTTGTAGGTGAATAAGACTTTTAAAAATACAACCTGGAGAAATTATGAAGTCAAAAAAGGTCCATAAAGACAGGCTGAATTCTGACTAAAAGGCAGTGGAAGCCATCGCCAACTGGAGGGGTTTTATGAACATGGTGGAGGGGAACTCTCGGAGGGTGATCATTATTCAGGGCTCATTAGTTCTTGCTGAGTGGACTCTCAATCATGGGAATTTCCATATTCCAAAGCCAAATTCTTGAAAAGAAAACTCAGAAAACGATATTTTGGTGTCCAGCCATTATCAAGGGAATACATTTGACAAATATAAATCAAATTTTATTATTTTCTGCCAAATCATGGAGAGTAGGTCTATATGCTCACCACTCGAAAGAATGCAGTTCACCTCCAATCAGAGACAGCATAACTGGATGCCCAGGCAGCCTGATCTCACATCCCTTAAAGTTGCCAGTGGACACACAGCCATGGCCAACAGTCTCAGTTTGGCAATATGTCTTGTCATGATAAATTAAATATCTGCTTCAGTAACTAGACTCTATACTGGAAACTTGCACACCGATTTTATAACACTTTACATTTAAAATTTAGAGCACTTTATCTTATTTATTATTATTATTATTATTATTTTGAGACAAGGTCTCACTCTGTCACCCAGGCTGGCGTGCAGTGGCATCATCACAGGTCGCTGTAGCCTAGACCTCCTGGGCTCAGGTGATTCTCTCACCTCAGCCTCCCAAGTAGCTGGGACCACAGTGCACACCACCATGCCCGGCTAATTTTTGTATTTTTTGTAGAGATGGGTTTTCACCATGTTGCCCAGGCTGGTCTTGAACTCCTAGGCTCAAGCCATCTCCCCGCCTCGGCCTCCCAAAGTGCTGGGATTATAAGCATGAGCCACCACGCCTGGCCTAGAGCCTTTTAAAAATGGTTCATAGAAGCAAATTTTTGTGTTTTTTTGTGTGTGTGTGTTAACATGAACTACAGAGTTTATCACAGACGATTAGTAACAATATCTAATTCCTGTTCCTGTTTCTCAACTGGCCATCTGGCTTTTCTTAATCTTTTGAAGTTCACTTACTATTGCTAACGATTAATGAGCACATACAAATGTACTAGACACTGGGCTAGGCCCTTTATTTACTTTGTTTTTTTTGCATTTCATCCTCATAGCATCCTTATGAGGTAGAAGCTGTCTACCTTAGTGATAAGAAAATCAGGGCTTGGAAAATTTGGCCAAGGCCACCCACTGCTACCACCAAAATCCAGCCAAGGCAGTTTGAAGCCAGTCAGAGCTCTTAACAGGCACTCCCTGTGGCCTCCCTCCGAGTGCAGGCAATGTAGACTTGTGGCAATTTCTCTCACCTTATTGCTCAGCTAATACCTCTACCCTGAAACTGCCAATATTTTTAGTCCTGATGAATTTCATCCAATTTTCTTCCTTTTCATTTTGCCTCACCCATTTATTTCCCGTTTCTAGAATTGTTTGTCTTGCATGATATGTAGTTATCTAGAAACGCTTGTTTTCTCAGTGTTAAATGAACTCATATCATTGTTTGACTTATAATCTGTGTTGTTCTAGCTTGCCTGGCTTTAGTAATACAGTTTTTACTTCAATTTACAGGCAACCTGCGGAGGAAATAGCTTGGCCTCTGTTATTTACATATTGATGTGTGAGATCCACAAATTATAATGGTGGCGTCTGATAATGCAGTGTCTGTACTGCCCTTTTCTTTATTCTTTTTGAAATGGTGACACAAACCTTTATCACCTGGTTTGGTCTTTTCCTGGAGCAACTTGCTATTTCTAGGAAGATCTAAAATGCAGGGTTTCTTCTTATTTTTTTTTTCTCTTTTTATGGCTCTTCTTCCTTTAGAATGAAGTATTGTACAACTGTTTTCCAATTGGGAACATTCTAATTAAGAAACAGAAAGAACTTAATGGTGTAAAATACATTTGTGTACGATGAAGTAAAAATATTACTTCTTTCTTTTTTTGTGAGACAGAGTCTGTCTCTGTCACCCAGGCTGGAGTGCAGTTGCATGATCTCGGCTCACTGTAACCTCTGCCTCCCGGGTTCAAGCCATGCTCCCACCTCAGCCTGTTGAGTAGCTGGGATTACAGGCACCTGCCATCATGCCTGGATAATTTTTGTATTTTTAGTAGAGATGCGGTTTCACTATGTTGGCCAGGCTGGTCTCGAACTCCTGACCTCAAGTGATCCACCTTCCTTGGCCTCCTAAGGTGCAGGGATTACAGGTGTGAGACACTGCACCTGGCCTCATCTTTATTATAGCATTATGATAATAGCAAAAAGTTGAGAATAATATAAATGTGCCCAAATAAGGAACTGGTTAAATAAATTATATGACATCCATATGTTGGAATATCATGCTACTCTAAAAGTTACATTGTAGAACAGTTTTTAAAGATATAAGAGAAATGTTTACGATAGATTAAGTGACAAAAACAATTAATAAAATAGTATGAGTTCCTTAATCCATGAATTATTTATATGTGTATTTTTTCATTTCCAAAAAATTAAAAATTTTTTTGCTCTCATTTGTACTGTTGGATTATAATTTTTATATTACTGTGAATGGATAACATAGTCTGTATGATAATCAGTTCTTTGGAACTGGTTAAAATTTCCTTCTGATTTGGGAAAGGTTCATATTTTATAAATGTAAATTCCTCATGAGTGGAATTTTTTGGTACCTGATTCTATCTCTGTAAAACATACATATGATATTATATATTATACAACAAGCTACATATGTGTGTGTATGTATAAAATCTATAGACCATCATTTTTATATGTATGCACACATTATATGCGTGTGTATATACATATATATATGAAATATATGTATACCCACAAATATTTATACGTGTGTGTGTGTAGACTAAGCCTGTCAATAGTGTTATTCATATGATTGATTCTGGTTGTTTTTTTGTTTTTGTTTTTGTTTTTGTTTTTGAGATGGAGTCTTGCTCTTGTCACCCAGGCTGCAGTGCAGTGGTGTGATCTTGGCTCAGTGCAACCTCCACCTCCCAGGTTCAAGCGATTCTCCTGCCTCAGCTGCCTGAGTAGCTGGGATTACAGGCATGTGCCACCACGCCTGCCTAATTTTTGTACGTCTAGTAGAAACGGGGTTTCGCCATGTGGGCCAGACTGGTCTGGATCTCCTGACCTCAGGTGATCCATCCACCTCGGCCTCCCAAAGTGCTGGGATTACAGGCGTGAGCCACCGTGCCTGGCCCATATCATTTACTCTTTACATAGCTTCTGGCTGCTTAATCACTCAGATTTTAAGAGAAGCATATTAGAATCTCCCAGTCCTACTGTAGTTTTGTCAATTTCTCCTGGTAACTCTATTTTCATTTTATATATTTCAAGTACATTTATTAAGTAAATGAAAGTAATTGTTGGTAGAATTTTTTTGTGATGGGTTGCTCCTATCAGTAATGTCTCTCCATTCCCATTTATTTTCACCTTGAATTATATTTTTATTAATATTAATATTCCACACTAGTTTTCTGTTGATTATTATTTGCCTAGGATTTCTTCTTTCGTTCTTTTTGTTTCAGCCTTTCTGGATCATTTTAGGAGTATCTTTCTTGTAAATAGCACATGGCCAAATTTTGGTTTTAAATCAAATCTGAGAATCTTTGTGTTCTAATAGTTAACAAATACAGTTATTTAATCTATCCTTCATGTCTTTTAATTTTTGTTTTATATTTTTGATGTCTTCATCTCTCTGGGCTATACTCAAGGTAATTTCTTCAGATTCTCTCCTAATTCACTAAGTTTATCTTTAATACGATCTGACCTGCTATTTTAACTCATCTATTGAATTTATTCTTTCAATGACTATTCTTAAGTGGTAGAATCTTTGTTTTTCAAATCTACCTGTTCTGATTTCATAATACCACGTTATTTTTATAATATAGCTTTTTATCTCTGTAAACGCTTTAAAATACTTATTTAATTTTTTTAAAGTTACAGACATTGTTCTTTTAGCTTTAGTTCCTTAGGTTTGAATTTTCCTGTTTGTTGAGGCTATAGAGTGTCTTTCTTGGCATTGCCTACCTCATATGTTTTAAAAATGCAGTCTTATCTTGCATAGGACTTAGCCTCTGTAGAACCTCCATGTGTGCTCTGTGCTGGGGAGCTCTCCCTGTGGTAAAGTTCCAGGCCTTAGGGGGCAGCCAATTTTTATACCAGCATATTGACTAAATTCTCCTTTCACGTGGTAGCTCAAAAGTAATTCCCATACACAAGATTGGGCTTGGCATCTCAATCTTTGTCAGAAATCTCTCAACCTAAGGTATGTGGTATTAGTCTTAGTGCAAAATTCTCTTCTGGATTTTGCAATGTAAATAACACATCTTTGGCTAGTTCTAGTATGCAGTTTACTATCAGCTGCTATGGGATTAACCATTTTCTTTTATTAATTTGATGTTTTATGATGTAAATATCAATAAACAAATGATGATCTATTGGTTGACCTTGTCTGTATAGATCAGGATTTCTCAAGATCACCACCACTGGCATTTTGAGCTGTGTACTTTTTTTGGGGGTTGGGTAGGAGAGCTGTCCTGGACATTACAGAATGTTTAGCAGCATCCTTGGTTTTACTGACTAGATGGCAGTAGCAAAAACTCCCCAAGTTGTGATAATGAAAAATGACTCCAGACATTGCCAAATGTCTTGCGGGGAGCTGGTGGTGGGCAAAATTACTCCCAGTTCTGCTATATAGGGAAATGGCATATCTTCTTTCAAAATGAGTGAATAAGTGTGAGTTTCACTGAGTCAATAAGCACATTTATTTAGCCTTTAATGTGTATAAGACACCATTCTTTTGTGGAAGCAGTTTTATTTAGGCACAGAGAAAGAAAGTTGTAGTCTACTGCATTCTCATGAAGCCATTTGTGGCACATGACAACATTTTAATATAGTGTAAGCATTTTAACAACCAAACATAACAGTGGGCTTCAATCTGTACAATAGAGACAATCACTCTGTCCTTTTAGAGCTCTTGGGAGAATGTATGCAAAAAGGTCAAACACTGCTGAAACACAGCTGGCACTCAATAAATTGTAGCTTTTACTATTATTATTATCCAGTCAGAGCTCATGCATATAAACCAGGGCCCACCAACCAGCTTGACTTGTCTGCCTCTGGCTACATGATACATGTCACACCCACACATCTTCCTGAAATGTTTTTATAGAACAACCTCAGAGTCCATGACCAATCAAGCCAACAAATGAGTTAAAGAAAATCACATACAGCAAACCAGTGCTTGGCCAATAGTTAAAGTTCATGTTCCATGGTATCTCCATGTGTCTGGGGAGCAGTGACCTCTGCATCTGTGTATGGCCCACACATGTTATTCATATCTTGGGTGGCACATAGATTCTACTGCTGGAGGAATGAATGATTGTTCGATTTCTTCAGCCTGGTTCGTGATCTGTTTTAACATACCAGAGCTCCATCTGAGCAGGCCAACAGGAAGGCTGCTTTTGATTTAACAGTGCTCTGAACAAGCTCCTTCTATGGCTTTCCAAGAATTAATTACAGAGCTTAGTAAAGGCGCCTGCCACAGAGTCCCATGGATAGCTTTATGAGCAATAACAGCAGCCGCATTGATGCCGGCAGAATTAGAATTTTCTTGGAGAACTGCTTAGAAAGAGAGGACTGGCTTGTGGAAGTGTAGGACACATGGGTCTCCTATCTATACTTATGGGGGAATTTCAAGTCTGGAAGCAAGAAGAGATTGGTTCACTGTCAGACAATATCTGTATTTTTGAGTCTTACACACCTAGGCTTGTGTGATTTGGCTAAAAAAGGAGAAATCATTCTGATACTTAGCAACTGAAGCACTGTGGAGGGAAGGAAGCAACCAAGTGCCCACTGGGGAAGGGTGCAAAGCTGAAGACCGTGGGGATCTAATTGCGTGGCCGTGCAGCGCAGCATCCTTCACACTGCAGTGCCTGTGACTCGGGGGGATGAAGCAAATGCATACAGTAGCTGTCCCCAACTGCAGCAACAGAGCGAGTTCCTGAGAGCACATTTCATGTCTTGCCAGAAAGTTTCAATTGGTTGTGTGAGCAGGTTGCAGAGGTGGCCAGTGGGAGGCAAAAGAGAGAAGGTGACTCCCTGCTGAGCAAAGATGCGGGAGCCTTCCCCAAAACAGACAGCAGCTGCCTCTTGGCAGGGCAGGCTCACTGCCCACTTTGTGTGTGGATGGAGCTGCAATGGCTTTCCATAGCTACTCATTGAAAGAATAAAGTAATGAAAGACACAGCACTGGTAACCTCACAAATCAAACGTTTGTACAATTTTGAGATTATAGTAGCAGGAGGGCCTCTGCCTCCCAATTCCTGATGGTAAAGATGGTAGATTCCAAAAGGATAGCCATTTTTATGTAAATATCTGCCAGTGCAATTGAGCTTACATAAGGAATACCTGGGAGTCTCTTTCACCGAGGAGCCCTGTATCTCCCTCTGTCCTTATGTCCAGGGCTGCTGGAAGCTGGGACAGCTCTGTGGGCGTGAACTACTCTCCCAGGGGCGGGAATAAAGAGCGTGGCCTCTGGGTTTCTGCTGCACCTTCTGGTTTTGTCTGTGTGCATATTTTCATGCACATGAGAAATTCCATTCTTGCTTTTTACCCAAACATTTGTGAATTTTCTGTGCAGAGGCCTGCGGCCTCTGGTCAAAAGCTATAACTGTGACAGAGAAAAATTAATTTAAAAATGGAAGTTTCTACCCTGATTTTTTTTCTTTCTGGGGTCCTTTAAAAATAAATGTGGTTGTCCCTCTGTATCCGTGGTTCTGCATCTGTGAACTCAACCAAATCCACAATCTGTGGATTGAAAATATTAAAAAAAAATCCATAGAATTCCAAAAAGCAAAACGTGTATTTGGCCCACACCGAGTACTACCTTTAATCTATGTGAATGAAGTGAAATCTAGGTCTTGTATTAAGTAATATAAGTAATCTAGAGTTTATTTAAAGTGTACACGAGTGTGTGTGTAGGTGAAATGCAAATACTACACCATTTATATCAGTGACTTGAACATCCATGGATTTTGGTATCGTTGGGCATCCTGGAACCTCTACAGATTCTGAGGGATGACTGTAATTGTCAAACGATCTTTTGCTCTTAGTCATTTCACTTGTTTGGGAAAATGAAATTCTCCAATTGAATGAGCAGTTGGTTTTCACCAGCTTTTGCCAGACATCACAAGCCCCATTGTGGTTTTGTTTAGCCTCATGGCTTTCAGAGGGAGCTACCTCCCAAATTCACACCTGCAGTTCAGGCCCCCCTCCTAGCCTCCAGGCCCACGTCTCTACCTACTCAACCCCTCCACTTCAAGGGCTAATTAGACATCTCAAATTAAACCTGACCACACCCGAACTCCTGAATTCAGCACTGCAAATTAGCTGCACCCACATTCTCCCTGTCTCAGTAACTGGCAACTTCAGCCTTCCAGCTGCTTAGACTAAAAACCTTGGCATCCTCCAGACCTTTTCTCTTTTGTCATGTTTCCCCCATCCAATCTGCCAGGAAAACCCATGGTATCCAGAATCCAGCCATTTCCCTACCTGCTTGCTCCCACACTGGTCTGGGCTAGCGTGGTCTCTTACCTGGATGACTTCAGTCAGATGCTTTAATGTCTCCTAGTTGGTCTCTTGGCCTCTACTCTTGCCCCCTGAAGTATGTTCTCAACACAGCAACCTGAGGGCTCCTTTTAAAATCCAAGCCTCGTTATATCACTTCTCTGCCCACAAGCCTCCAGGCACTCTCCATTTCACACTGAGTAAAGCTGGAGTTCTTAGAGTGGACTCCCAGGCCCTACGTAATCTGCACACCCTGCCCCAACTTCCCTGCTTCTCTTTCTGACTCGTTTCCTCCTGTTTTCCCTTTTGCTCACTCAGCTCAGCAACAGTGACCTCCTTTCTGCTCCCACCTTAGGGCCGGGCACCAGCTGTCCACCCTGCTGAAAGGTTCTTCCATCTGAAAAAGTGCTCACAGATCCTCAGTGAGGCCTGCTCTGCCCATCCTATTTAAATTGACAACCTGTCCCTCTTCCCTTCTGAACTCCAAATCCCACTACCCTTGGCTATTTCATTTTTCTCTAACCCACATTACCTTTTAACATAATATATAATTTACTAGCTCATTATGGTTATTGCTTACTGCCTGCCTCCATCAGTTAAGAACGTAATCTCCATGAGGGTAGAAATTTTTGTCCATTTTGTTCAGGGATGCATCCCATGTGCCCA
The DNA here is from genome assembly GCF_000001405.40 of Homo sapiens. Lineage (NCBI taxonomy): Eukaryota > Metazoa > Chordata > Mammalia > Primates > Hominidae > Homo > Homo sapiens. The sequence continues at coordinate 25,905,230 of NC_000007.14, read as the reverse complement.
GAAGCTTCCTTGTACATAGTTGTTGTGCAACAAGAATTTGCAATGAATAAAACACTTTCCTTCAGCATAACTAAAAGGGTTTTGGGTATTACAGAAATGGATAAAATATTTGAATATAGAAAGGATATTATTGAAATAATCATTTCGAATCACCTTCACTTTTTTTTTGCCTCTTGATGGGTGGCATATGATAGAAGAGTCAATTTCTTTCTTTCTTTTTTTTTTTGAGACAGAGTTTTGCTCTTGTCACCCAGGCTAGAGTGTAATGGTGTGAACTTGGCTCATGGCAACCTCAGCTTCCCGGTTTCAAGCGATTCTCCTGCCTCAGCTTCCAGAGAAGCTGGGATTACAGGTGCCTGCCACCATGCCCGGCTAATTTTTTGTATTTTTAGTAGAGACAGGTTTTCACCATGTTGGTCAGGCTGGTCTGGAACTCCTGACCTCAGGTGATCCACCTGCCTTGGCCTCTCAAAGTGCTGGGATTACAGGCATGAGCCACCACGCCTGGCCAAGAGTCAGTGTCATTAAACCATTAGATTCGTTTGTCTGGAAACTCCTCAATGCAGGAAGAGACCAATCAGAAAATTTGGACACTATATGCTGACCCTTGACACAGAGCCCTGCCCAAGGTAGATGCTCTGAAATGTTAGTTAAATGAACAATGAAGAAATTTAAGGGTTGGTCTTACCATTCATACGGACTGCTATTCTAGGCCACTAAAACAATTGGAATTATTTATGTATTTTTTAATAAGATGTAAATTCACTCATAGAAGTTATTTTTAAAAATTAGGGGTGGAGGTAGGTGGGAGGTCTATGGTGGAAAGAGTATATATGGGAGTTGGAAATCTTGGACACTGATTCTGGACCCAACATACTGTGTAGAATCTGTATTTTTTTTTTTTTCTCTAAAAACCATAGAAGTAGCTGGAAAATCTGCAATTGTTTTCAGCTCTAAACATTCTTTCTAAGAAAAAAAGCCATAGTAACCTTTGTTTCCTTCTCTTCCCTTCCCTTCCTTGCCCCATCTTCCCCATTTCCTTCCTCAACCATGTGGGGCTCAGGCTAGGTGAAAAGCCACATTAGTGTTGAGGTTAATAGCTCAGACTGGGGAGGCACCTAGCCTGGGTCTGAATTCAGGGTCTGCTTCTTACAGCTGTTTGACTTAGGATAAATTACTGAACTTCACTGCGCATAATTTTCTCATCTGATAAATGGGTTAAAAAATTCCTACCCTACAGGACTATGGTATGAACTACATAAGATCACGTTAATTGCATGTTAAAAGTCTGGCATAAGGTAAGCATTAGGTAAATGGGAGCTATTATGAGAAGATGAGTGGGAAGGGGAGAGGCCACATCTAACATCTGAGAGTTGGAATAATTCAGAGGTGGAACATCTATGTGAATAGAGTTTTCTCTATTGATATTTGCAAGAGGTTTGCAAATGGACCAGTAGGGTGGAACTTCTCAACTCATTGATTTTAGGATACACATAGAAAATAATAAATGGTTATATAACTGCATTTTTGAAACAAAAAGTGTCAAAGACCATTACCTCCAAAGAATTGTCCCTGCCTGTTCCCTTCTTATTCTTTACAGAGAAGAATGGGGCCTCTTCATGGATACGGTTGACTAAATGCTGTCATTCATGGTCTAGAGAACAAAATGCCCACCTTCATTAGAAAGTAAATGCCTGCCTCTTGAGACTGATTTGGGCTCTGTATAATATAAGGCTATGATTTTCTAGAATAAGAGTAAGTTAAGAAAAAAAAGGCCAACTGAGTGTTTTTCCTTCAGAGCAGAATTCATGAACAAAACTGATGGCCTTAAGACTGTATCATTCACGGCAGCCGACAAACTCCCCTCTCTTTATATGGACTATCATTAGCCTACTCTGAGATCTGAGTCATCTGAGTCTTGCATGTGTTTAATTAGGTAATTTTTGTAGATGAAGGAGAAATGATTAAATTATCTGGACTCCAGAAAAAACCCAAAAGATCCTTATTTCAACCATCCATCAGGCCTTGACATCTAGAGTATTACATGCTATAACTCAAATGAAAATATTTCACTTAAAAGTACGGTGCCCCTGTCCATGATATCATTAAAGGAAATCATTAAGCATTTATGCAGCACTTTGTGCCGGAAAAGTGGTTTATAGTTATTTTTATTGCTCACCGAAACCCTCTGAGGCAGGTCCTTCTCTACATCTTAAAACCAAAACAGAGAAAAGAGATGGAATTACTTAGGATCTCAGAGAAAATAAATGACTGGATCACAATGAGAACTTTGAGTGCCAAAGCCAACTGTTTTAATCCACTGAGCCATTAGGTTAGATGTTTATTCACTGTGTACAGTGTTATCTGATTTGGAACTGACTTTTTAAAACTACTTAGATTATTGACTGTATAGACCTGGTACAAAAGCTGCACAATTTACAATCACTTCCATTCATCGTGAGCATCTCCAAAGAGCACTAAGTTCCTAAAGAAATTTAATTAAAAAGAAAAAGTCAATGTACTTTAAAAGATAGGCCTTATTATGCTATGGCATTCAATAAACATTGAAATCTCTGTTTTGTGCCTTCATACTGCATTTTGCATTCTAAGTAGGAGGGCACTTCTGCATCCGGTGACCCAGGAATCCAGGTTCGTGCCATCTCAATATGTGGTTTCCGGGATCACTGAAGCAGAGGTGAGCGAGTGTGGAGGGACCCATTTCTGTTCCTACATACTCTGGACCAAAGTGATACATAGTCCATCAGCCCTTTTTCTCATGGTCTTTTGGCCAGAGGTAGTCACATGGCCCCCAGCCCAACTGTAACCAAGGCTGGAAATGTTGCCAAGCAGAGGGCCTAGTTGGAAAATACTTTTGCCCCTTCCACAGACTGATTTTAGCTTGATTTTGATTTGGACTTGGTTGTTTTTTTTTTTTTTTGAGATGGAGACTCACTCTGTCACCCAGACTGGAGTGCAGTGGCATGATCTCGGCTCACTGCAACCTCCATCTCCCAGGTTCCAGCGATTTTCCTGTCTCAGCCTCCCAAGTAGCTGGGACTACAGGCATGTGCCACCATGCCGGGCTAATGTGTATATTTTTTAGTAGAGACAGGGTCTCACCATATTGGCCAGGCTGGGCTCAAACTCCTGGCCTCGTGTGATCTGCCCGCCTCGGCCTCCCAAAGTGTTTGGATTACAGGCATGAGCCACTATGCCCAGCCTCTGATTTGAACTTTGAATTCAAAATGGTAACGAGAGTATTTATTCAACTTCTGCCTGAAATAGTTGACATGATATCCCTTATATTTCTTTTATGGGCTCCCATTTCCTTAGTGCTTTATTATTTTCAACACCCTTCCACATGACTCATCTCATGTGATACTAGCAGAAAGAGAAATTCTGATAGTCCAGGAGACTGCTGTATTTCCCTTTTGTTTCCTCCAGTTCAGCAGCTGTGGTACCTGTGAAGCAAGTTTATGGAAGATATATCCTGTTAGCTCAACCCCTGGAAGTGGTCTTTTACAAAAGATTGAAGTCAGAAATAGTATTTATTTCATCATTGGAACTAAATCTTGGTAAACTATGACCACATCTTTTGTTGACAATTAACAACATCAGTGACAGACTCAGCTTCATTGTGATTGAGTTTCTGGAAGCTGAGAATATTCTAGTTTGAAAGGAGGTAGGTAGGAGGGGCCTGGCATGACTGAGTTTGGGGTCCAGGGCAAAGCTAGACCATTCCCAAAACTGCTGAAAGACTGGTGTTGGAGGCTTTACCTGCTAGCTTTTTAAAATTAGCCATCAGATGATTCTAAAATTAAAAAGAAGCTAAGATGGAAGTGAAATGTGAAATGGCATGGAAACAAATGGGTAGTTGAAAGTTCTGGATCATGGGATCATTTCCTTTGGTGGTGGTGAGCACAAACTTAGATTTCAACTTTTCCCCCTAATATATGTTCTGAAGACATGATTGCCAATAGGGCAGATAAATCCCATGGAGTGGTTTCCGAAGGAGGCCAATGATGAATTTGTTTACAAATTAATTGGTCAGGGCTCTGACTTTAGCCTTTAAGTCCTCAGCAACTGCTGACAACTTTGGCCTAATTTTGGGAGGAGATTATATTTGGCTGGGTTGCTGAGCTCTTTCTCAGAACCTCTTCTCAGGACAGTTGCCAAATGCTCTTTTTGAAACTGTGTTCTGAGGAAAGTTGTTTTGAGTCGTCGCCTGGGGCCTGATGCCCCAACTGGAGACACACATGTTACAATCTTTATATTCCATTAGAGTTGAAAGCAGATATCATCAACCTCCCATAGCTCCCAATAACTAGAAAGATTCTCTGAACCTTACCAGTTGCCTGATGGGAAGCAAGGAATCTTACCTCTCTATTGTTGGGCAATTTCTTAGTCCAACACAGTCCTTCTCAATGCTTTTAAAACCAGGGCTCCCTTTGAGAAATCATGAAAGATTTCAAGGCTAGTGTGCTGGAAAGACTGGTGTACCTCCCTGAACCTCGATTCTATTCTTTGACTTGAATAATTTGGGTAGGTTTCTGTTTCTTGCAATCACACATGCCCTAATTAAGCCTCTAGAAATGGGAACATATCTAGAAGGGTCACTAAAATATAGCTGAGTTTCAGCCCTCCAAAATGTGAATAAGACATTATTGCCCTCATAACTTTAATGTTTCTCTAGGAATCATGATGATATGAAAATGCAGCCTCTTCATTCATTTTGTTTTAAAAAACAGTGCTGTTTAATAAGAAAAAAGATATATATCTAGCCAAGGGGTGGGAGGGTGACGCAAGAGGAGTTGGGTGAGAAAAAAAAAGGAGAAAATAGCAAAATTGTCCACGTTAGCCTTTGCCGCTGGCTTTTGAGCTATTCTTAATCCTGTCAGCACAATTAATGAGGGAAAAATAGTTCCCAGAAGAAAAGTAGCTGGAGGCACTGACCTGCCCTCCAACCCCCTCATGCCAAGAGGTGCAAAGTCTAGAGAAAGTTTCCCCGGTGAGAGTTACTGGGAAAATGACTCTCGGTCCTGGGTAAAACTTTCTTTCTTTGTCAACCTCAAGGGCAAGTTAGTTTATGGCCAAGAATATACACGGTGCTTCAAATGCAAAGGAAGACACTCTCTCTTCAAATGGTTTACGGCTTAGATGGGGAAGAAATGTCTACACTCTAGAAATGAAATGATGAAAGGACCTTACAGAGCAGGGGTACTCCTGAGCGAGCCAGGGGATTCACAGGTAAGCATTCTTGGAAAGTAAAGCTTTCACACTGGAGTAGTTGGGAAAGACTTCAGGAGAAGGTGGGTCCTGGCAAACCTTAGAGGAAATATGGCTCCATGTGGATGAGGAGAAGCAGGAAAGAATGTGGATAGAGTATCCTGTGTTGGAACGGCAGAAACGGAGTGGCCTGATCCGAGGGAAGGCTTTGTATTCAGTTGCAACAGTGAAAATAGAAAAAATGTCTTGAGTTAATACTGCCTCCATCTAAATGCCAATTAGACTCAAATCCACCCTCCGTAAGCGTGTTAATGGCTGGGTGCAGTGGCTCATGCCTGTTATCCCAGCACTTTGGGAGATCAAGGTGGGAGGATTGCTTGAGCCCAGGAGTTGTCGACCAGCCTGGGCAACATAATAAGATCCTGTCTCTACAAAAAATAAAAGATTAGCCAGATTTTGTGGTGCATGCCTGTAATCCCAGCTATTCGGGAGGCTGAGGCAGAAGGATGACGTTAGCCCGGGAGGTTGAGGCTGCAGTGAGTCATGATCATGCAGCTGCACTCCAGCCTGAGTGACAGAGCAAGACCCTGTCTCTAAAACATAAAAATAAAAAAAAAAAAAACACTTTTCATTACCAGCTTAGTTTGCATAATCCAAGACAATATACAACTTTATTTCACATATTAAAGTTAGGCAGGCTCACCTGGGATTCAGATGCTGCAGAATTTTTTGGGGGTAAGCTCAGAAAGAGATGGGAGAAAGTATGCTAATAAGAAAGTCACCTATCTCTTATATTTAAGAAGGAAACCTTAAGTCAATATTTCCATAAAATTTTATTTTTTGTTTATAATTTACATTATAAACCCAGTTTCTAATTTTAGCACGGAAATTTAGGTACCAGTAGCAACAGATAGGTGCCTTGCCATAATAAGTCCTCATATTTTGCATTTACAGAGCATTTTCACGTTCATTACCTTATTTTGGTAGTCTGTTCCCAATTTTTATTCTTGCTGCTAAGGGTTTTCTGCGATGTCACAGAGCTACATAATAGGAGAATCCAAATTCAAGGCCAGGTCTCCTGACTCCCAGTCTAAGCCCTTCCCAAACCTGGGCCACACCACCTGTTTCAGTGGAGGTGTCTATTGTGTAGGCCCAGAGGCAAACACAGCTATCCTGGATGTGGATGAGGGCACAGCAAGCCAGCCAGTCTCACTCACTGTGGTGGGAGCACAAACTGATATGCATCCTTTGGAAAAAGCAATTTGGCAAAATGTATTGAGAACCTTAATACTGTTTCTACACTTTGACCCAGTAATTCTACTTAAAGGAATCTATCCTAAGAAATTAATGTGATATTAGCCGAAGGTTTACATAGAAATATGTTTACTGGAATGCTACTTATAATTCCAACAATAAAAGGTTAGTTAAGAACATTGTGGTTCTGGGTGCAGTGGCTCATGCCTGTAATCCCAGCACTTTGGGAGGCTGAGGTGGGTGGATTGCTTGAGCCCAGGAGTTTGAGACCAACCTGGGCAACATGGCAAAACCCTGTCTCTACCAAATAATACAAAAATTAGCTGGCATGTTGGTGCACACCTGTGGTCTCAGCTACTCAGCAGGCTGAGGTGAGAGGATCACCTCAAGGGTGTAGTGAGCCATGATCATGCCACAGCACTCTAGCCTGGGTGACAGAATGAGACCCTGTCTTAAAAAAAAAAAAATTATGGAAATAATGTGAAAATATTTATTATATAAGATCAAATGAAAAAAGTCATCATCCAGATAGAATAACTAGCAGAGAAACAAGATGTATACCAAAATGTTAAGGCCTAACTGTGACTAATGAGATTACAAATACAATTTTTTACATTTAATACCCATTTCCCATGTTTTCTATAAATAAGATGTAATTTTATAATCAGAAAAAAAGATTATATTTAAAAATTTTTAAATTATAAAAGCAGCCAGTGAGACTAAACACTAAAAATAAAGAGTGATTTGGGGATTAAAAATGGTCATTTTATCTAGATTGGTTCATAAACTGTATGGTTCATGTTCAGGAAAAACTAACAAACAAAAATATGGTGCTAATTTGTTACATTTCCAAGGAGAAGATTAAGGATGTATGATTTAAAGATGAAAACCACAATTGCAATAGAGCATGTGGCAAATATTTCAAGCTAGCAAAGTTTGACTAGGTAGTGGAATCACTTTCATGACTAAAGAAAGCTATACTGAATGTGTAGGAGTGAGGCTCTAGGGAGCCTCACTAGGAGAAGCTCTTGCAAGATCCCTGCACCATGTGGTAAGCTGGTTTCTTCCTCCGTGGTCTTTGGCCCTGGCTTGTTTTGTGTGATAAAAAGGAAGAGTCATCGGAGAGCTTCATATACAGCGAACACAACCTCAGAGATACTTTGGAGCTTTCTGGGTGGGGGAGAAAGACGTGGCAAAAGCAGCTGAAGGATTCAGGGTTAACACTTTGCCTTTTGAAGAGACTTCAGTTCTTGGAGGGCTTCCAGTCTGAATTTGGGGAATTCATCAACAGGAAAACAAATAGCTGGCAGGCTCTGTATTTACTCTGCCCTTCTCAAGGTTGCAACATAAATCTCCCAACTTGGAAAGCATTAAGGCCGAGGAGACATTTTGTGAGTTCAGGGACTCTCCTCCAGTCTGCATGAACCACGTCTACCCTCATTTCGGGAAAACACAGGCACCAGCCCTCAAGGTGCTGCGGGAGACAGTACTGACACTGTTTGACTCGCTTGGGGCAGACTGGGGAAATGAGAGCTGGAAAACTTGAGTTCTCAAGTGAGAGCTGTTGGTCTGCTTTGGAAAAAACCCACTTACGCCAGGAGAATGAAAGCCCTGAGAAGTTCTCACTGGGTGAGTTTATGGCAGGCTTGCCATGAAAAATACCCAATGGTTCTTTGATGGTGCCCGAATTGTAATATAGCTAGATCAATTCTGGAAGCAACCTTCTTCAACACCACTGGAATATGTATGCTCCCATGCCCAACGTTTCCAATTAGCAGAGAAGCTAATGCTGGAAACCATTACATATAATCCAGAAAAACTGTCTATGTAACATTATAAAAATTGAATATGTGTCAGAAGTGGATTTAGATTCTTTGGGTTAATATTATTTTTGCAATTAAGTAAGGAACTGACATTAATTTACTTGCTCTGTGTGATTAGGTTAATTTACTCCAGAATAATCTTGCATTTTAAAAATTAAAAATGGTAGCTGTATCTTCTCATTATCAATCAAACTAGCAGTGGCACTACAGAAACATCGTCATTTTGTACTCAACTGTGCTCTTATAGACAGTCAAATAAGCACTAAAAAATGACAAATTACCATGCTCTGATAGATCTTCACGTTTAAGTACCTACAAATAACTGTCCATTTGTGAATGGTTAAGCTTAATCCATTATTTTTCCTATAAGCAAGATAACCTCTTTCATAAATAGATATCTACAAATAATACTTAGAGCAGTTTAACTCTTAGATATAATAATGCCACAGTATGTAGAAAACGAAATAGGCTTACAAAAATAAAGCTAAATAGTTTATCCTTTTTTTGACCTTCACAAATGTAAGTGTTCTATCTATGGCTCTATAAATTGTTTAAATCCTTTAATGATGCAAATGCGCTGATAATGTTCCTATACTTGCTGGAACTATGGTTCTGTTAATATTTTGAAAATTACTTTAATTAACCTTATCTCATTTTGTAGTAGTTATAGAACACTTTTATATTTTTTAACTGTGCACTAATTTGTTTCATCATTAACCTTGGGTTTTACCCTTGGTAATTATGGTAATTCATAATTTGGGTTGTGTCAGGTGCTAGTGGATTCAAACAATACATATTGTGGGAACCATCAATAGCTTTGGTAGTCAGGATTCTTTAGTTTGCAGGGGACAGAAAAAAGGCTTGGCAGGCTGGAGGGTAGAGGGGCAGGGTTCCGCAGAAGATTCCCAGGAATGGTTTTTAGTTGGCCAAGGACTCTGGTGGAGGAAGGGGGATGCTGAGTGGCCTAGGTCAGGCACTTACCCGACCCTCCCTAACTCCTCCTTCTGAAATCAGAGAGGGAGGAATCTGTGATAGAAGAAGGAGGAAAAGGAATGGATAGCCCCAAACACTGCGCACTATAATAGTTAATCATATTGATAGTGAGCGCGCGGTCTCTCTCTCTCTTTCTCTCCAGGCAGCCAAAGACTGCCACCATATGCAACTGGGTCCTGCATTTTTCATCTGCATCACCAATTTGTCACTCGAAAACCCAGGTCTCAATCCTCCCTGATTTTTCCAGAAACACCACTAGTATCCAATTCAGTAGGTCCCTATCATGGGCAGTGCGGGGGCGCCGGGCGTGGGCGACGCTCGTGTGTGACTCGCAGCTGGGCAGCCATCCCCGCGGGCGTCCTGGCTCCCCTTCCCTCTGAAAGCGCCGGGGCGGGCCAGCAGGGGGCGAGTTTCATTTCCGCACCGGAGACCCAGCCGGAATCACAAATGCCGCGAACTACACCCTCCTTTCCTGATCTGGCCAGGAGTCTGTGTCATTAAAACTCTCAGTTCTGCTTTTCCCTATATTAACATTATCTTCATTTTGAGCACATCACGTTCAGTGACAGAAAAGGAGATCCCATGAGTCACTGGAGGTAGACTTAAAATAGCTTAAGGATGATATTTCATGGATGTTAGTGACATCAGTCGAAGAAGCAGTGCTTTCAAAGAGCAGAATTCCTCATATTCACTCTTCGGATACCCAGCAGTTTTCCAGGTCTTGGTCTATACCCAGCCTTTTTCTTGGAGGAAGGTGCTCATCTTCCCACACAGGCTACACAGGGGGCAGGGAAAGTTGGGACAGGTGGCACAAGGCCATGTGAAGCCCCCCGTCCTCCTGCCGGGGCATCTTACATATTGCTGCCACTGCCGAGGGGGCATATCTGTGTATAGCTGCCCAGCAGAGTACAGGGAAGGTGTTATGTGGGAAGGAAGACTCCTGGGTGGGTAGGAGTTTGGGCTAAGTCCCTCCTGGTCCAGGTAACTTAGCTGGCCCCTGCAGATATGAGTGGTGGGAGACGGGATCCGGCGGGTGAGAGAGGGGAACCACAGAACCACAGGCTTTTCTCAGGTCGGGGAAAGACCTTAGAGATCACTTAGCTCAATGTCTTCTTTTCCTGACGCCCAGGGAAATTGTGAACAAATTCACCACCACAGAACTAGGCAAGTCCCCTGGTGGGCAAATGGACACCTTCACAGAAGCCATTTTCTTTCCTTGTGTATTATGTATCAAAGGCTAACTGTTTAACAAGCAACCCCGTGTCACAGTGGCTTAACACAAAACAAGTTATTTCTTGCTCTTGGACCACTGAAAGCGTTTCTTGGACAGCTTCCATGCAGTGATTCAGGGACCCAGGCACCTTTCATTCTGTGGCCCCACCATCCCTAAGGGCCTTAATGTTTGCTGCTGAGTACTCTGCATCTGGCTGTGACAGGTAGAGAGAGAGAATGAAGGACTGTGCAGGAGGTGGGCAGGCCTCACTGCCACTCACATTCCACTAGCTAGACGCCACTCTCAGGGCCAACCTTCCCCCAAGGGGAGCTGGGAAATGTAGTCCAGCTGTGTGCACAGGAAGCAGATAGGATGGCTCGGGGCAAGCACACAGCAGTGTCTGCCTCACCTATCTTCAAAGAAAACAGTCTTTGAGTTCTTTTGGGTTATTTACACTGGGTAGCAGAAGGCACATGATCTTTGGAGGTGGACAGACTTGGGTTTGGATATTGGCAGTGTGACCTTGGGCAAAGAAGTAACCTTTAGCCTCAGTTTGCTCAGCTGGTAAATGGGGCTATCTTGTGGGTATTACCTGAGGTAAGGAATGTAACTTGTCTATGTTACCACGTGGTCTCACATGTTTGTTTGTACAAACCAATGGGGCTGGGAGTATTGTTGGGGGAGGAGGAAACAGACTTCCTGTGTCCCATTTCCCCCACTCTGGATGGCAGCACTGCCCAACAGCTTCATTAGACGCCAAGAGTGGTGGCACTTTCTTCTGTCACTTGTTAAATTTCGATGTAGTTCATTCTAATCAATATGGGACTTTGGAAGGAAAAAAAGCATTCCCCAAACCCACAAGCAACCATTTTATTTGATTCATAAAAATTCAGTCACTGAGAAGGCAGTTCCAGCAAGAGAGTTTTGATCCTTCTTGCTCAGGCTGAGATGGTCACATCTAGAAAGCAGTGATTTTAAAATCCTATTTTCTTCTGAAAAAAAAAAAAATTTTTCTGAAGGGCAGTGAAAAGAGAAATAATCTAAGCTGAAGTGTCACTTTTCACTTATGGATATTGATGCTCTAAGACTAAATCTGGCTGACAGGAGTAAAGAGAACTGCCTTCTCATCATGGGTGAGACCCTGCAGGGTGAGATGTGGCTCAGGTATCATGGTGTGCCCAGGGACTGGCACATTAGGGGCTTCAATAAATATTTGCTGGTTAAATTAATAGGTGATTGAAGACAGTTACAGAAGTAATAACAACGAAAACAATTTTTTGGCCTGAAACGTCACTTTTTTTTTTTTTTTTTTGCGGGGTGGGTGGAGGGGAGGCAGTGGAATCCTGCATTTTAGTTTTTGGATTCCCTGAATGGTTTCTTCAATCATAAATGTTTGCTAAACACACACACACACACACACACACACACACACACACACACACACGCTCATACACGCTCATACACATGCCGACATTCTATAGGAAGGTAAAATAAAGAGGAAGCCCAATTGTGTCTGCCTTTTTAGGGCATTGTCCTTTAAAATAACCTTCCAAGCCTAGCTAGTTAAGCTTAGTGGCGATAAGATATTGAAAGCAATAAATAAATCCACATACGGATCTCAGAAGGTTAACAGTTTTTTAAGAAATTATTGTTCAAATCCAAGGGTAAAATGGCGCCTGAAATTACAAAACGTGGTCCTGTAGTGCCCTCTGGTGTCTTTTGCCTGGAATTGTCAAAGTCTGCCATTGCACCTAGCTCTAGTTATTAGCATAATCTTGATTTATTTGAGTCCGGGACTTTGGGGCCCTGGCTGATTTGGAGGGGAAGTGGGGGACGCAGGAAGCTGGGACTACTTTCTTTCAGGCCTTTTTTCAAATGGGTTACCAGCACAATGTAAAAATAATTTTATATTAACCCTGGTATAAGATTTAAAAATTGAAACGAATCATTATCTTGAAAAGAAGCCTTTTAGCTCCAAAAAATTATTGGCTTTTTTTCCAGAAGGCATATTATGCAGTTTCTTTTGTCCATTAAGCTATTCTTTGCAAATCAATTGGACAGAGGACATTTTTTAATTTCAGAAATTAATTATCACATGTAATAACTGAACCATTCTTTATTTTTTCTTGATACCCATTCAGTTAAATAAAAGACATGTGAGCTAGTCTATGAAATAGAATAAAGATTATGAATAAAATTAAAATATTCTAAAAGACAGTATTTTTTATGTTAAAAAAGTGTTGAAATTTATTCCATAAGGATGTTCATATTTTGAGGAAGGGGAAACTAGTCAAATTATACATATTTGGCAAGTGAAAATGGTGTAAGGCAATCACTGAGAGTTTTAGATTGTTAGTATTTGTTAATGAATCTGGCTTAACTCTAAATGCTGCAGCCAACATGGTAAAGTGCTATGAAAAAAGAAGGGTCTTCTTTCACCACCTTCTGTGAAGATGAAAGTCAATTTAATTCAATTTGTAGGTATTTAATGGGTGGCTCTGAGCACCAGGGACTGGGCTTAGGCCTGGCCTGGGTGGAATCCCTGACCCTCAGGAGCTCCAGGCCCAGGAGGGGGACATGTTGGCAACACCCGCCATTTGCAGTCCAGGGGATGCAGGCTGCGCTGGAAAGAGAGCATGCAGGAAGGAGCCTGTGAGATTGAAGGAATCAGGGGAGGCCTCCCTGGAGGACATGACCTTGGAAGATAGGAGTCAGCCAGGTGGGCAAGAGATGCAGGGCATCACAGACACAGGAAGGGCCAGCAGAGCACTTCTTTGGAGCAGGGATATGGAGGGGAGGAGAGGTCAACCTAGAGAGGGTCCCCAACATGCTCTACTGAGCCAAACAGTTTTATAACAAGAGCCTGGAGTGCTCTGCAGGGTTTAGGCCAGAGAGGGATACGTGCAGCCCAGTAGCCCAGAGAACATGGGTTGGAGGGGAGCCAGCTGAGGTTGACCACAGATTCTCAGTGGAAGGACAGTGCATGTCTCAAATTCTTCTCGCTTTGTGACAATAGTCACCAACGTTTATGAAGACCCTTGCAGGCAGGAGTGCAGAGCAGAGAAGAGACTGGAGCTTCGGCACTTGGCAAGACCTCCCTGAAAGGCTGGCTTGCCCACTGCCAACTTTGGGCGGGTTTCCTGACCTCTTGAAGCCTCAGTGTTTTCCCCAGTGAACTGGGCATGATGAAACTACTTTCCAGGATTGGAGAAGGTGTATAGGATGTGATTGGCAGAGGGGCTGGCACATTGCAAGTGCCTTGTAAATGATACTTGACTTTTATTAAAGGGAAAATGATTCACATCATAAAAGCTCGAGATCAAGCCAGGCCCCTGCATATAATCTCATGGCAACTCCAAACCATCTTATAGCATCTGGTTATGTATATTTTTATATGATTATACGATTAATGTCTGCTCCTTCTTCTAGCTCCACAAAGGCAGGACTGTGTCCTGCTGACAGCCCATGTGAACCTTGTCACCATGGTTCATGTGCATGGAAGGTGCTAGAAAATAGCCATCAAATGAAGGACAAGGAGAATGGCTGGGGACAGCTCTGCCAACATCTTCTTGCTTTGGTGATGACAGAACTAAAAAATGGTAAAGGAACCCAAATATTTCCCATAATACTGTGATTCTGGGACTGAAAACTTGTTTTGTAACGTACAGTTGAATTAGGGGCATTAGTGTCCTCATTCTAGCCAAGTGGGAGGACAAAGTAGTGGTTGACAGAACTGGCCTCTGAGTCAGAAAGACCTGGATTAGGGTTTCAGTTTCATCACCAACTTCTCTGCGCCTGCATTTGCTCATCTGCAGAATAGGGATGAGATGCTTTGTTTGCAGAGTCCTGAGGACTAAACAAGGCAACCTACTTAACACCCTTAGCACAAACTCAACTCCTGTTTTTAGGTGGTATTGATTATTGACTTTATGGATGAAAAATGTCTTTCAGATTCTGGTTCGCTGTTCTGTAGCACGGGAAAGACAAATAGTGGTTTCCATGTTTATTCTCTGCAGTAAAGAAAAATTATCCTGTATTCAGTTTTAAAGGTTTAAAAATCTCAAAAACAACAACTTCTCTGCATCTCTAAATTCACATCAAAATTTTTCAGTGTATTGACAGAAATTGTATATAGCTGTAATTAGTTAATACTATGTGCTGTTTTCAGGTTTTAGCATTGTTTGAATATATATGTGTGTATGTGTTTATGTATTTTTAGGAAGTAAATTAATTCATTCCTCTTTATACATAAATATAAAAATATTCATTTTTATACAAACATGGAAACAATGAGAGACTGAATGAGTTTGACTTCATTCCCATGCCAACCTAGTACTGGGTGCTGGGACTAAAATCCTGGTCTCTGGAGGGTTTTATGAGTAAGTTTGGTGTCGTTTAATTCTTTGTACAACGTCTTCCTGTTGCTTGTTTGTTCCTTCCTTCCCCCACTCATCAGCATGGGTCGAGGGCTCACCACCTGCAGCCAGAGGACTGCGTCAGGACTGTAGATACAAGGAGGTCCATGCACCGAAGGAGCTTGGGGCACGGGCAGAGCTTCTCAGAGGGGTGTGGGTATCAACCCTATGGTGTTTTGGAAATTTGGACTGACGTTTTTGTCATCATAAAATTGAGTGGGCAATGAAGATATTCCGTGGGCAGAGGCCAGTGTTGCTGGAGATCCCAGAATGCCTAAGAGTAATGCCTGGAGGAATGCCACCATGCTCCTCTCCACACTGTCCTCTGACAGCCAAAGGCTGTCCTGCCTCCTGCACGTCTGTCAGATGTCCCACCAGACAGTCACTGATAAGTGAGGAAGCTGGTTATAATTATCTAAGCCTCGTTCCCGAGTCTGTTTTATAATTAAACACAAAGGCACGTGTATGTGTGTGTTTATATGTTTCGTTTTATATTCATATAAGTATGTAAATGTTTAGTTTTTGGCTCTGAATTTTCCACCATGCAAATCAAGAGAAGATTGTATTTCATTGTGTTCAGGGTTTCATTAAGAGTTTTTCTTCTGTATGGGATGAATGTCATCCATGCTATCTGAATCACCTGAACAGGATGCTCTGTGGGGCCACACTGTGGGGCTCCTGCAGCACCCATGGGGTTCCACACAGGGGGCAAGTGCTGACCATGGCTGTGTGCCTTCTGGTAGTCAGTTGGAACATTTACTTGTTGATACATGTATATATTTTTATCACAAATTACTTTTGTTTTTCCTTTCTGTTACAGATAGGGCATTGTATTGATGGTGTTGTCATTGTTGAAATTATGTGCTTAGGTAGATTATCTCCGAATTTCATTTCTGGGAAGAAAAAAAGACGCTTTACAGAATATCTGTTATAAGAAGGGGCTGGAGGGTAAGGCATAGGGACCGCTGATATAGGGGACGGAGACAGGAAAACAGGTGGGTATCGTGCTGGAGAAATGGGTTGGAGGGCCCCTGCCTGGGAATGGAAGCAGAGACCCTGAATACAAATAGACTAAAGCAATTTAATATATTATTTTTATTTTAGTTTTTGAGACAGGATCTTGTGGTGTCACCCAGGCTGGCATATAGTGGCATGATCTCAGCTCACTTGTAACTTTCACCCCCTGGGCTCAGGAGATCCTCCTATCTCAGCCTCTCTAGGAGATGGGACTATAAACACATATTGCGATGCTTGGCTAATTTTTACTTTTTTTTTGGTTTCACCATGTTGCCCAGGCTGGTCTCAAACTCCTGAGCTCAAGCGATACTCCTGCCTTGGCCTCACAAAGTGCTGGGATTAAGGTGTGAGCCTCCGTGCCCAGCCAAAAGCACATTTACTTTAAAATGCTATTAGCATACATATTAACTAGAAAGAAAAATATCATAAGCATTCAAATCAAAATATCTTCCAGCTTGCATCGGGAAGTGGAAAGAGTTGTGTGTTCTGAAGTTGATGGTTCCTTAACTTCCACCCTGACTCTGAACCGTAGTTTCCACACCTGTAAAATAACTGGGTTGGGTTCAATCTTCTCTGGTGTCTTTCTTTGCTAAAATTTTATGAGTCATCGACAGCAGCTGTCTGATAGTAAATCTGTCTCATTTTTCTTATCATGAACTTCATAAAGAGGCATGGATTTTTTTCATGTTATTTTTCAGTAAAAAATTTAAAGACTACTTTTAAAATAAAAATTGGGCAGAAGGTGAAATAAAACCCTGTAATTCTATAAATCTGCAAGTTTGTGGAAATTTTACTTAGCGTATAACTGCTAGGTAGAGTTTAATGAAGATGTATGAGTTTCAAATCCATCTCTACCAATCATTAGCTGCATGACCTTGCTTAACTTCTTGTCTCAAAATGGGAACAATAATTATCCCTACCTCTAGTACTATGAGATTTAAATGAGATAATGCTTCCAAAACACTTAGAACCTACCATGCCATTCAGTTCTGAAAGATGAAAAAGTTTTAGAGATTGAATGCATAACAGTGGGAATATACTTAGCACTAGTCAACTGTACACTTAAAAATGCTTAAGATAGTACATTTTATGCCATTTGTTTTTTACTACAATTAAAAAAAAATGAATTGGCCAGGCATGGTGGCTCATGCCTAAAATCCCAGCACTTTGGGAGGCCAAGGCAGGAGAATCACTTGAGCCCTGGAGTTGAATGCCAGCCTAGGCAACACAGTGAGACCTCATCTCTACAACAAATTTAAAAATTAGCTGGGCATGCTGGTGCATGCCTGTGGTCCCAGCTACTTGGGAGGTTGAGTTAGGAGGCTCACTGAAGCCTGGGAGGTCAAGGCTGCAGCGAGCTGTTGTTATGCCACTGTACTCCAGGCTGGGTGACAGAGTGAGATGCTGTCTCAAAAATAAATAAATAAAATGAAAATAAAAATTGGATTGCAATACATGTATACAAATATATGTACTAAGTGCTTAATAAATATACTGCACCTATTATTTTACTACTTGTTTTTGTTTTCTGCTGGGCTCTCATGTCGCCCATACATTCCACAGACAAGGACCAAGTACTGGGCTAGGCTGGGGAAGTTAGAGAAGAACATTATTGCTGACCTCAGGAAGCTAAGGCTCTAGAAGGGGAGATAGGGGAGTAAACAGCTGCCATGGAAGGTGCCAAGTGCTACGGCAGGTATGTGACAGGCAGGATATGAGGATTCACCTTCAGCTGTCTGTGTGCCTATTGTGGGGAGAGCCCAAGGTGAAGGGTAAAGACAAAGTGGGGGAACCGCCAGGGGAGGCTTTCTACAGTGCCTGGGGCCTGAGCTCAGGCATGGAGGACACAGTGGAGCTGGCCAGGCTGAGATGGCACAATCTGGATTCTCTGACTTGATGATTGGGGAATGCTGGTTCCACATCTGCACTGAGATACTTATGATAAGGGTAAACAAAAATCCCTAAACAGGGGACGAGATGGTACCAGGAGTGAAAATGCACAACCTTGCTTGCCCAAGAAAGACCAAACCCCAATAACTGGAAAAACACATTCCTTCCCCTAAAGCCAAGGCTCCTCCATGCGAAGGGGAGGATGGTAAGGCCCCCTGTGTGCACTACACATGGTCTAGGCAGAGTGCTGTGTCCACCGCTTGCCCCTCCCCTGGGCCTGGCCTTCACACTGTCCAGGATCTGTTTAGGGGGGCAGCCCCATCTACTTGCAGTTCACCAGTCACATGCAGCAGCACAGACCCGTTCCCCTCCACCTGCCTGCCACCCACAGTGACAGGAGATGAGATGGGAAATAATGGGCCTTCCTCTTGCCTCCCACATGAGCATTTGAGTTAATTCGTATCTGGGCCTCATGACTCAACATATTATTTTGTGCATTTGCTTTATCACAGACTAGTGGTTCTAATAAAATTAGTGCTATTCCACATTATTGGTTCACAATTAGAATTACATGAACAAAACAGATACAATCTCACCCAGTCTTCTAGGGCTAAACCATGGAACTGACCGCAAAATTTCATCTTTTTTTTTCACCTCTGTAGTTTCATTTTCAGGTTTTTTTCAGCCCTTAAAAGAACAAGACCTATTTCAAATGGATTTTCCTACAGTTCTTAGGTAGGGTGAGTGTCTAATTCAGCACACAAACTGGGACAATCATGAGAGTGAAAGGCAGGCTATTAATAGTTAAGCAAGGACAATAGCATATGCCAGAGCTGCCACAGGCAAACTGTGACAGGTGGTCACCCTATTTTTAGGGGCAGGCTGACCCTCTTCAATAGTCATGAATTAGTCTTACTAAGCAATGCTGCTTTTTCTGATGGCTTTTTTTTAAAAAAAAAAAACAACACGTTAATTTGGGGCAATCATCTCAACACATTTGAGAAATTAAAAGGAGAAGCAAAGATATATTTACATCCAGACATATGTGATTGCTTGGGACTTCCTTTGATGTGAAACCTGCAAAGTATAAGGGGAAATCTGGGCTGGCATTTCTTTATGCTTGTGACCTGGATCAAAATATGAAAATGTACTTATTTTAACCCAAGGCACTGGAAATGTTGTACAAGTAGCACTAGAGTCTCTCTCCATTCCACAAAAGTCAGATTTGAGCAAAGGGAAAGTTCACCCTTTGGCTTGAAGACGGAATGTACATCAGTAAATATGAGACTGTTTTTCTAGGAAATAACGCTTATTTAGGAACATCCAGGTATTATCCAGAGAACCTGACCTTGACTCCAGGTTGATTCAAGTGAAACTGGCTGTCTAGTATTCCTGCCTTCAACGCTGCCATCTGCCATCCATCCGTTCCGTAATCTCCTCTAGCCAAAGAATGGTTTTCCATATGAAAACTTGAGATATTATGCTTTCGGTTTTGCCGGTGATCCTGAAACACGTGAACCTGAGGCAAAAAAAGTAAAGTGCTGTACCTTTGGTCCTTAAAGCAGCAGTGATTTCTCCAAATGCGAGGGCTGCATGTAAAAGCATGCCACCACCTCCCCCCTACCATGGCGCAGGTTTGCGTGAAGACCCACTGTGATAATATACAGGACGGGATAGACTTTGCTAACTGTAAAACACCACAACAATATGAGTTATTTTTCTTGTTTGAGTGTTTCCTGGATGGAGTTGAAATATTTTGACAATCACAGATTGAACTGTAGATATCTCAACCCGTGGATGATGAATTGTGTTTTAAAAAGGTGATGCTCCACTGAGTTGTAGGTTACATATTTCTCTGTCAGAAGCAGCCCACACTGAGCAAGGTAGAGAGTGGTCTCGAGTTAGGACATGTGTGGAGTCCTGGTGAGCTCTAGAGAATAAACGACTGCTAAGAAGGTAGACAACGAGATGGTGGGAAGGAAAAAAAAAGGAGGGAGGGAGTGGTGGGGGAAGAAGGGAGGTACAGGGAGGGAGGTGAAAAAGAAAGGAAGAAAAAGAAAAAAAAGAGAAAGAAATGAAAGGTTCAGCAAGGACTCATGATGATTTCAACAGCACAATTTGCAATTCATCCTAAGGCAGCTGGGGCACCCACTCATCCATGACCATCCAAGGGAAAATCTTATTAGAATGAGGTCGTCTTTCCCCTCAAAACAACCAAGACAGAAAATGGCAGGTGAATTGGAATTGCACTCCCACCTTGCAATGTGTGGATGAGATTTGATTTCTCTCCACCGTGTGTGGTGGGCCTCGGGCACCCAAGGCTGGCGTCCACACTGATGTAGACTGAAGACCCCAATAGGAAGATGGTTGAGGCCTGGGAACTGGGCACCTCCTACAAGGAACTGCTGATAAAACAAACCTTCGTTAGGGCACAGGTGATCATCTTTTATCAAAATTGTTCTCCCTCCTATCTCATAACAAGCCTGTCTGTGTTGTGTGTGCGTGCATGTGGAGGGTGGGTGCGTGCTGCTGAGTGGGTGCGTGCCTCCGTGTGTGTTTGATGTCTCATCTGGTGTGATTAAGGGAGAAAAGGGGTGGGGGGGCTGTTCTTTGTTTATTTTGCAGATAAATCTCATCTTTAATCTGGATGCACAGAAATGTCTCATGCAAAGGAAAGGAAGCCCCCTATGCCACCCCATGACATCCATATAAATCACAGGTTTTATTTCTCTGCTGTGAGGGGGCACTGCAGAATGGAGCAACGTTGCAGACTCTCATTGGGTGATGCTTCATTACTTGGTGGAAAATCCCCAGGGCCAAAACGTTATTTAAATGTGCTATGAAAATAAATGTGATTTATATATGTGTCGTCTGCTGAGACGTTCTTCTCTGTTACTGCAGGTGATGTCGTGCATCAGGATTAGCGCCTCAATTTATCGCCGGCTCAAGCTCCACACATGCTCCATGACAGGGTGTTGTCCGCATCCCCGAAAGTTCCAGGAAGGAGACAGTGTTTGCTGAGTGGTGGGCTTTAGATATTCAGCAGTGTGGTTGGCTTTTATGGGCTGAGAATGTGTGTGAGTGTGAGCGCATGCGTGCTCGTGCATGCTGGTGTTGGGCCTGGGGCACTGTGTTGTTTGAAAGGCGCAGGGAACAGACACTTTGTACTCAGATGCATCAATTTCCAACGGCAGCAGAATGCTGTTTCTGGTTGAAAGAGAAAGAAGAAAGCGAAATCTTCATTTCAGCTTAGGAATGGGGTCCACATGTTTAGCTCAAAGTGAGTGGAAATCTCTGAAAAGCAGGTTTGGGCTAATGAATGTCAGCAGGCCTTCAATGTAAATGGGATTTGATTAGCAGGAAGGAGTGTGGTTGGGATGTTTCCATTACCAAAGAATGATATAGAGGGGCAAGGCTTGTCTTAAGGGGATGAAGAAGGTCCCTCCAACTGCCCAAGTAGATCCTTTTCCAGTAGGCTTTCAGACGCTCAGAAAACATGGGGCTGACCTTGGCTTCTACCACATGCCATGGGGCACGAGACCATTGTTCCAGACAAGTAAACCTGAGGTGGGGGGAGGTGGCAGAGCTGCGACTGGACACCACGAATGAAATATTCTACAATACAAAACATGCCACATCAGTCCTCAACATTGCCTTGCCTCTATGCCCCTCATTTTAAAGATGACAAAACTGAGGACCACAGAGGTCAATATCCCAGAGTCTGGAACTCTTCATCCTTGGAGAATCCAGGTCTTCTGCTTCTGGAATCCTTCTTCTTTGGGCATTCTTTTAACTGGTAGCAACTCATGTCTTGCCAGTCTTGTCTCTGGCTCCCCTACTCTGTTTTTCTTCAAGATTAAGGGTTTAAATGATATCTAAAGTAGGACCTACCTAGAAAAAAGACCTACATAAAATTCCTTTTAGATTGATATGGGGAAGCAAACAAAGGAACTTACAAATATACTCTCTTAGGCTATTATTTTAAATAAGCAACGGTTGCTCAGGAGCACTAATGGGAAACCGTAAAAAAACCTTTTTATTTTGAAATAAATTCAAATCCACATAGAAATTTCAAAAATAGTGCCAAGAGTTCCTGTAAATTTTTCTTCAGCTTCCCTCACTTTACCGTGTTTGCTTTATCCTTCTCTCTCTCTCTCTCTCTGTGTGTGTGTGTGTGTGTGTGTGTGTGTGTGTGTGTGTTTTATTTCTTTTCTGAATGGCTTGGGAGTACACTGTACACATTCTACCACTTTATCCCTAAATACATCAGTACACATTTCCTAAATTCATTTACACAACCACAGTACAGTTATGAAATCCAAGAAATTAACATTGCTATAGTATTATTCTCTAATTTATAGACCTTGTTTGAACTTCAGTAAATGTCCTACTAATGTCCTTTCTAGCAAAAAAAAAAAATTGTTTTCCACTTACTTTGGGATTGTGTGAAACTCGTGTCTCATTTATGGGGACTTACGTGAGAGGGTTGAGTGTGCTGAAGTTTTAGGCTGTTAAACTAAAAAGTAAACATTACCTTAAAAATACGTGTATGTTATATCTATAGTATCTTCACCTTGATAATTCTTCTTTGATAATTATGATTAAATGTCATAATGGGAAAATTCAAAACCTTTATATCTGTGAACCAAAAAATAAAACCAGATTCTGCATTCCTCGTGCATTTCAATTTGGTGTAAGTCTCTTCAATATCTGCTTGCTTGCTAGCTGTGCCTTTCTACTTGCCTGCTCACAAGATTTCTGAAAGTCTTGGTGATGGTTTTGGCTCTGAATCCAGACTGAGTAAAACAAAAGTCCAAAGCGTGTTTTGGCAAAGTGTGGTTAGCAAGGGTGATTGGTCTACAAGTGCGTTTCAGTGATGCTCAGTTCCTGGAGGAATGTGATGCTGGAGGCGCCCCTCGTTATAGCCGCGAGGAGGTCATTGGCTCCTGTGATCACATTGTGTGTCCCAAGACCCAGGTAGAGCCAAGTCACGAAATGAGAAGACAACATTGCTGGAGGAGTTGATGTTTTCCACCGAGGAGGATTAGTGAAACACCTTTATAATGCTGGTGTTGACAGACGGGACTAACATGGCTTTTATAGGCTATCAACTGAGTTATATCAGGCTTCTCCTGTGGGTAGCAGTTATGTTTCAGCCGACATGATTTGACCTGTAGTTTATCCAAATCGGTGTAATAATAAGCTATGTTATAAGGGCGTTTACTTTGCCATATATGCTCAAATATAGTAAACTTGTTATAAAACCAAGCAAATAAGGGCTTCTGTTTCTCCCACTGGAGCCCAGTGAGGGTGTGAGAGTAATCGACTTGTTCCTCTCCAAGACATATCCATCCAGAAGGTCTGTAAAAGCTCTTTATTCCTCATAGGGAAATGATTTTAGTCTTAGGAAGGAAACACATGGCTTTCTTCTTACAGCTTCAAGCTCCGTCTTGCCAGCTGCATTTATTTCTCTTGGCCTGACACTAATGAAAGGAGACTTTGATGAGCTGTTTGAGTGGTCACTCCAGAGAGAGGGATGCAGAAAGTCTCGACTTTTTGGAAGGCGCTCCTTTCGAGAACGTTTCTGCCTTATCTCTAACACACATCCCAGAGAGACATCCTTGGCTTTTGATGAAAAGCTCATGGGGCCCGATTTACCTGCCAGAATGGTTTTCTGTGGTTTGGGCTTCTCGGAAAAGTGATCTTGGGAAGGTAAAGTAGCTCCCTCCTTCAGCCGCCTTGTGTATCTCCCAGTCCCTGCTGGGCTTGGTATACTTTAAAGAAAATTCCTGCCTTTTTTATTTAAACTTTTTTTTTTAAGGTGTTAGCAATCTGTCTTACGTTCTCCCACCCCTGCTGGGATTTATGATCCAGTTCGTATTTTACTACACGATCTTGGCAGGCTCCCCTCGTTGAAATTCAAACCGAAGCAACTCGATGGGGGAACAGACATAAAAATATTAATTTGGTAGATATTAAAAAAAATCACACTGGTTATAAATCAGGGGCTGTCCACTGGTTCCTTTCATCATCTAAATGGTCCTTCTAACCAGACTACAAATCTTACTGGAAAGCAGGAGGGGGTTTGGAAGGTGGGGGTCCCCTTCCTGAGGCTTTGGAGACAGCTTACATCCAACACTTCCTCAAACCTGGCTTTGTTTTCTAAAGGTAATAAAAAGTGAGTACTTCTGGTACAGGCAGGCTAATTAGCTGGACTCACAGAACAGACTTGGGGCTTATAAGAAAGTTGGCTTGGTCTGAAAGAAATCAGGTTGTGGAAATGTTAAATGTTGATTTAAAATAAAGTTGGGGAGACATAAGATGTGTGCTATGCTGTGGAGAAGGACTCACCTGCACTCATCGGCAGCAGAGCACTCAGTGATGCTCTGCAGTGGAGCACAAAAAAGGCAGGGGGCCCACTATGTTAGGAGGTGGTGTATGGAGAAGTGCTGATGCAGGGTCAAGGTGGTAAAGGCCAGGGGTAGCACACCATGGCATGTGTGTACCCATGACCGAACCTGAGGATGGGACAGTGTGCCTATGTCTCTACTGACACCTCCCGTGCCAGCCTCAGATTTTCACAGGGAGCCATAACTAGATAGAACCAGGGAAGGGAGGGCAGTTACATTCCTGTTGGGTAGAATTAAGAAAAAGTGGCAGAGAATTTCTCTTCCTGTAATGATATTTTAATGGACTCTTTCATTTCCATCTTACGGCTGATCTTTACCATTAAAAGACTCTTGATAGGTACTTTAAAGTTTCATGAAAACTTCAGGAATTGGTTTTAAAAAACTGTGGATGGCTGGAAGGCTAAATACTTCTATAAAGAGATGCTAATAAAAATAGAAAGCTGTCCTCATTATAAATAGCCTTATATGCAAAAAAGTATGTAGCCATGATGGAAAATTCATTAGTATTCTAGAAGTCCAAAGCTCCTTTTAGTGGCAAACATTTTAATAAAGCAACTGAACCCCAAATTCAACCCCACTAGGCCTATTGTTAAAGTGCATGATATCATGAAGCTCAAAGCACATCTACATCTTGAGATTTAAGGAGAAAGAAAATTCAGGAGCTGGAAAAGGGGCAACAAGTTTTCTGCAAAAATCAAAGCAAGTTCTTGATTCAGAATATTAACGTGACAGCAGGAAGAAAAAAGGCTGTAAACCAATGCTGTTTTTTTTTTAAGGGAAAATATTTCTAACTAACAATTGGTTCATATTATTTATCTGCCCTCTTCATAACAGCATTAAAGCAGGGGTCTCATTTCTGCCTGAACAGTATAATGATGAAAATTATTTCATCTTAAACAGAGATTTTTCTACTTGGTTACCACGCAATCTAATACTGACAGTGCCTTGGACTTGAAAAATGATATTCTCATCTCTGAGAAATAGAAGGCGGAAGAAGGCACAGTCATTCCGAGCTTTACTCTAAAGCAATTATGAGCTCTTCACAACTCTCAGACAAGAATTGATTTCTATTTTTAGATTATTAAGCTGTGGGTGCAAGGAAGTCAGAATATGTGACCTAGTTTTGACCTTCTAGATTGAATTCCTCTTGAATTGATTCAATATTGAAAAGGAAAACTTTTAAAATGCATTTCTGCCTTATATTCTCCCCCAAATTCCCTTTATTTCTTTCCCATCTTTACCAAAACCTTCATGTTCATAAAGACAGATGAATAAGTAGGATAGTGAATGTGGGGTATTCGAATAAAACATAAATACATCTGAATTAATGAATTAGTTGTCGTGTCCTAAAGAAACTCAGAAATAAGGAAAACCTCCAAGAGTTGATGATGTTATGTTTGATGTTTTTGTTGCCATCATCAATGTGCTCCCTTTCATGC
Organism: Homo sapiens; assembly: GCF_000001405.40. Classification (NCBI taxonomy): domain Eukaryota; kingdom Metazoa; phylum Chordata; class Mammalia; order Primates; family Hominidae; genus Homo; species Homo sapiens. The sequence continues at coordinate 25,879,550 of NC_000007.14, read as the reverse complement.
ATCCAGAGGGGTCTAGCAACTCACACTGTTGGCAGTCATATCACTAGTTGTTTTTGGAAATAGTGTTTACATATACATTTATGTCCTAAATTGGATTGCCCCAGGAAGCCTAGAAGGGTCCTCTGACTAGATTAAGGGCCCTTCCGAAGAGGCAGAAAGACCACTGCTTCCTTCTCTGAACCCTTCAAATAGCTCAGACGTGGTCAAATTGGGCCAACTTCCAATTTTAGTACTGTCTGGAGTGTAGACTTTGGAGCCCAGCAGCTTTCTCCCACCCCAACCTGGGCCATTGATAAGGCCAACACCCTCACTGTGCCTCAAGAACATGTATTCATCCCTGCCTTCCTTCACTTGGATTCTTCTATAGGATGTTCTCTCCTGCTGCTCCAGCTCTCAACTGTTCCCAGAATCTTCCATGTGCTTCCCCTGACCATCCACCTAAGCTTTTGCTCATGCTGCTCTCTTTGCAATCTCTCTTGCGTTTCTGGAAGGGCCTTTCTGGTTTGGCACTCAATAATGAGGCACTCTCTTCAACTGCGCCCATTTCAACCAGAGATAACCTCACTTCTTTGAGTCTCAGGTTTGCCGTTTCAAAACGATCACATATGCAGGGTTGTTGTGAAGATGAAATGGGACAGTGCACAAGGCCTGCCCACAGCATGTACTTAATAAAGAGCCCTGGCTTCTCCTTTCTTCCCAGGGGACCATGTTTCTCCTGTCTTTCTTTGCATCTGACAGTATTGTTACTGTTGAGTGGTTAAGCAAAAATTGAGCTGCTCTGCATTATTATACTTTATAATAGGCAGATGATACTTTTCATTAGTTTTTCAGAATGGAATGGTCAAAATGCTTGGGTAGGGACAAGCCTGGTCTGATGTAGACTGGCTAAGAGAAGCCATGCCTGAAAGAGAAGTAATGGAAAGTTAGCTACTCATGGCAGAACACTTCACAGTCCTGAATGCCAGGGTTAGAGGAACCTTGGAGAAGGGCCAATCCAAACTTCTCCTCTTCCCGGGTGCCTCCATTCTCTAGGATGAGCTGTGGCAGGGATCGGCCTCAGTAGTTGGATTTAAGCAATCACATATGCAGTAAGTAGGGAAATGAGATTAAGATAAGAACAAGGCCCCCTGGAGATGTTAATGCCTCCTCCTGGCAAAAATAAGGGGACTCTGGAGCAGATTAATTTTCTGAAAAGGGCTGTGACATTTCCATTGGAACTACTGAGCTGATTATTAACCCTAAACAAGAGCGGCAACTCCTCCCTGTGAAACGCTGGTCCTGAAGGGGTCTTCTGGGAGAGCAAAGCTTTAGAAAGAGATATCCCTACCAGCCTGTGAAGTGGGCACACAGCCAGCCCTGTGATGACACAAGAAAGAACCATCTCAGCTAAGCAGACCTCTTGCCAAAAGCAAAGACCAGAAACTTCAACTCATGTTTAACGTTTGTTGTGTTTGGTTTTAAGTGAAAGCAGACTAAAGTACGATGTGTGTGCATACATAAAGCCTATAACATTAGTACAGACAGCTGGCAAATCATTAATTAACAGCAGTGATGATCTTCAAATAGTGCTCTGGAGAGGCCAGAAAAAGAGGAAGTTCCCTGGACCTGGTTGCAGTTTCGCCCATGACCTGAATTCATCCTCATTAAAAAAAAACAAAAAAAAAGAGAGATGGGATGGAGAAAGGAGAAACAGCCACGTAGATGCCACCTTAACACCTTCTACCCCTCTTCTCTCCTCACCGAGAGAGAACAGTGAACGAGCCACACCACCCCTCTGTCTGCAAGGCGTCCCCCAAACCAGACAGACGCCAAATGAGCTGTGGGCACATGAGGCTGTGCCCAGCACAGGATAATTGTGCCATAAATATAATTAAAGTCAGCAGGAGGACCATCATGGAGAAAACCAAACTTAAAAAAAAAATTAGTACTACTGAAGAAAATATCATACATTCTTTTTATTTCAGTCTAATTTTGTTTACATGATTCATACAGTTTCCAAGAGTATCCCTGGAGAACATTAGACTGGCACCACATGCATAAACATTCATATATAACATGTAAATTAGAAACAATCTCAGGATTTATATAGAAATTACAGCCACTTCTAGCAAATTAATTCAATGACAGAAAAAGGGTTACTGTCTCTCTTCAAATCAAGAGGGGGAAATATTGGGCAAAGCAGATTTATTTATTCCAGGGTCTTGTTCCTTGCCAGGAGCTGATGTCCCCTTGGCCTGGAGATTTCCATTTTTTTTGTTGGATATGTATTGGTGATTGAATTTACTTTGAATATAGGAGCAGTCAGTGAGGACCATAATGGGCTGTTTTAAGTTATAGCATAGCTAATACAGTCATAAAGTCAATTGGGCTAGAAGAGTTTGCAATAGGGAAATGATGGAAGAAGGCAAGTTAAAATATTCAAGATTATTGAATCTTAGAGCTGCAAAGCCCCAAGAGCGCAAACTTACCATTTCATAGATGAAAATACTGAGCCCCAGAGAAGATGTAGTCCACCCAAGAAAACAAAGAACATGATTGATAAAGTCAAACCAGAAACTGAGTCTTCTCCCCTGTAGTTAAGTGCCCTGAACACTTCATGAAGTCCCTCATCTTTGATATTAAAATAGAATGGGCAAGTGACATTTTCTTGGAGAATTCTGTGCTGAGCTCTTTTGTTGGTGATTTTGCTACTAGGAACTGTGGCAGACTGTCAAAAAGGCCCCAATTCTTCAACTTCCCTGTGTGTCCTTCTCAATGTGACTTTGTAGTCCTTGAATCTGGGCTGGGCAAAGTCACAAACTTGCTTTGGCCAACAGAAGGCAATGAAGTACCAGCCGAGTCTAGACTCCAGAGAACCAAGCAAGTTCCACTGTGCTTCCCCTGCCGGCCACGGAGCTGTGCCTGTGCTAGCCTGCTAGAGGGATGGGGAGACTCACAGGTAGGCTTGCCAGATTCAGCAAACATTTGGGATATACTTACACTAAAAAAGTATCTATTGTTTATCTGTAATTCCAATTTAACTGGGTATCCTGCATTTTATCTGTCAACTGTACACATAGAAGAGCTCCCAGAGACATAGTTCTGTATTAGTCAGCCAAGCCTAACCCCCAAACATATGAGTGAGCCTGGCCAAAATCAGCAGATACATCTTCCCAATCCCTGGTTGATGACAAGTGCACAAGTGAACCCAATTGACACCATCAGAACCGGCCTTAGACTCAATAACAAAAAATCAGTATTGACTGACATGTAGACACTGAGGTTTGGTGGCTGTTTGTTACACAGTATTATTGTGGCAGTAGCTGACTAATACAAGGACCGTCAGTGTAAAAAATGTTCTGGGAAAATAAATTAGATTGGAGTGATCTAATTGGTCACTTCAGATGCGAGTGATCTAATTGTTGTGATATCTCCTATGTATTCTATACAGAAATAGCAGGAAAGCAATATCTTGACATGCATTCCAATACTACAATATCCAGCGTAAGTACACATTAATAGATGTATCTTGTGCGTGTTTCTGCCTTTGTGGGGCCTTGCAATTGTTCTGGCATTTTGTTTTAAATGACCCAGTTTGAGGTTTTACATCTTTGTTACAGAAGAAAATGCCAGAATGAGACAATGTAGCCTTTTCAACTTCCTCTAGCCCTTTGATACGTTCTCTCTGGATTAGTGTTTCTTCTGCTGTTTCTTTTCTGCCTTTATATGACCCCTTTCTCACCCTTCAGGGAGGTGGATGATTTAAGTGAAGGTTGGTTCTCCCTGCCCTGTAATTGTGCTTCATCTCCACTCATGGTTACATTTCCAAAGCTCAGATTCATCTATCAGAGGCCCTGAACTATGTATCTTGTCGTTGTATTAGGTTGGTGCAAAAGGAATAGCAAAAACACAATTTCTTTTGCACTGAGGTTGGTGCAAACCAAGGTTGGTGCAAAACTTTTCAAAGCACATTCACATTTATTACTTCACTGATTCCCCATAATCTCCCCATGAGAACAATTGGGCCAGGCATTGGTATCTCCCTTTGCAGATGAGGAAGCTGAGTCTCAGAGAGTTCAAGTGATTTTCCCAAGGTCACACAGCCTATCTAATGGAAGAATTAAAACTAGAACCCAGATTCTTGTTTCCTAACCTGGGACTCTGTCTGGTATCCTCTGCTGACTCCTTCATTCTGGGGCTTTGGCTAATTGATGTCATAGCCAGGTGTTTGATGGGTACCTGAATAATATTTCTGTCTAGGAGTGATTCGAGTGGAAACAGGGCATTCTTAAAGAGGCCATTAGAAATCCCCAGACCTCCACTAAAGCAGGTTTTGGTGCAGATGACTGACGACTGTATAAATGCCTTCACCTTGTAACAGCCGGTCTCAGCCTCCAGAACAGAGTCCTACATTGTGGATTAATCGCTCCATATCTCTGTTTTAAAATCATGTTATGGTCTTTTAAAGGTATGTTTTAAGATGTAATGTTCTGCAAGGAGACATGGTCCATTTAAAAGCAGTGCTGCTTTAAGGTTGCTGGTTGAGGAGAACAATTGAATGCAGATGAAGGGAAAAGTACCAGGAAACGTCTTTTTCTCTGAATCTATAAAGCAAAGGCATAAGCCACCCACCAAAATGTTAGACTTGCCTTGATTCTTTTTTTTCTTTTTAGAGATGACCTCTTGCTAGGTTACCCAGGCTGGACTTGAACTCCTGGGCTCAAGTGATCGACCTGTTTCAGCCTCCTGAGTAGCTGGGAGTACAGGTGCATATCACCATGGCTGGCAACTTGCCTTGATTCTTTGCTTCATCTGAATTTTGGAAGATTGGTGACATTATCATTGGTATCAGTGGAACAACTATCCTGATTTGCCTCGGATTGAGAGATTTCTTGGCATGGGGGCTTTGAGTGCTAAAACTGAGTCAGTCCCAGGTAAGGCTTGGTCACCCTATCCCATCCCTGCACAGCCCTTTGAGGCAAGCTGACGAACACACCTTTCTCCTCCACCAAGAGGCAGCTCATGTCTCCCACCCTGTCCATCCTAAACAAAAGAATCCTCATACAGGGGAAATACACAATATGGATGTGCTGAAGTAATACAAGAAAGAATGACATGCCCTGGTCTTCCAACACTGGTCTGTACCCAACTAGAAAAGAGGACTGGCTTGGGAATTAGCAGACAAGCTCAATTATTAACTTTTGTGTTAACTTTTGCCAAGCGACTAATTTACTGCCACTGAGTTTTCCTGTCTGTAAAGAGGGGCAACAACTAGAGGTCTCTAAGCTTTCTTCTCCATTATACACTCCAAAGCTTGATTGTATAGGAACCAATACAGTGCCTCCACCCTGCCCGAACTCATTGTATCCTTAAGTCCCAGAAATTGCACACCAAGCCATCTTGGAGGCCTCTCTTTTAGCTCAGCCCAAATAATGAACCCAGCTCAGGGTCAGACATGGGGTAGAGTCTCAGCGCTTTTGCTCAGGGGTAGACCCTTTAGCTTAGTGCTGTCTGATAAAATTTTCTGCAGTGATGAAAATATTCTGCATTTGAACTGTCCAATATGGTAGCCATTAGTCACATGACTATATTTTAAATTTATTAAAATGAAATTTAAATTTTAGTTCCTGAGTCAGAATAATCACATTTCAAGGGCTCACTAGCCACATATAGCTAATGGCTACAATATTGGACAGTGCCAACTGAGAACACTTCCATCATTGCGAGTTGTTCTATTGAGCACCATAGTTTTAGAGGACCATTTTGAACATTTTCTCAGTAGCTGGGGAAGTATCCAGAGTAGAAAAATGAGGAGAAAGACAGGAAATGGGAGGGAAAGTGGCCATCACCAGCAATAAACTTCATCTATTGGCATGGAATTGTGGGAACAATGTAGCCAGCTTATTGGAAATGGGACATCTTAAATCTTATTATAGGCAACAATCTTCCAAAAGTCAATTAAAATGCGTGAAAATATATCCTTCAGTGACACCAAGGTGGAAGTTCAGGCATGGAAACTTTCTTTTCACGAACACCCCTAACTGGGCTAACTCTTTGTTTAACAATAGAAAGCACCAGGCAGTACCATTAATCAGCTAAATGTAAATGTGGAAAATTACTTTTTTTGCAAGAATCATGATAGGAGATTTTTTTCCCCCAAGCATTTTGTAGAATAAAAAAAAATACATGGAAAGTGTTTTGTTTATTATTGAAATAAAGCAAAAATCAAAATTCATGGTTAAGTGTTCAACTCTTGAAAGCAGCATTACTGTCCTTGCTTAGGGAGTAAATAAAGAATATTTTGTAGAATTGGAGCCCCAGTAAGGATGTTGGCAACAAAGCATTGCAATTCCAGCAGTAGATTCTTAGTTCCAACTCTGGCACTGGAATCTCTGTGACCTAGGGCAACTGACTTAATCTCCCTGGCCTCAGTTTTCATCTTGAGTTGGAGAAAGATGGCATTGGACAGGGTCCCTGGCATCATTAACATTCTAGGATCACTTTTGTGACCACATTCCTGACTTCTGCCATAGACATTAATGCTTACATCTTTTATCATAGCCATAAATATTGTTTCTTTTAACACTCACAGATGATCAGTGTTGTCAGTTGCCCTCACTGAAGGCTCCCATAATCAAACCTCTAAGCACTGTAGGCCTGGCAAACCTTCAGGTTTTCTGAAACCCTCATACAGGGGGATACTCAGCATTAAACTACTCTGCTCAGAGTGAGGAGTGAACACCTCTCAGAGAAATAGGAGCCCCAGCAACCGTAGACCTACCCAGAGGTGAGAGCAGAGGCTCCACCCTACTTGTAAGTGCAGCTGTAGTGTTGGAGCCATTTCCAACTTGGCCACTCATCAATGACATGACTTGGAACAAGTCCTTTCACTTCTCCAAACCCCAGTTTCCTAATCTGTAAAGGAATCATAATACTGTGGTTGCAGGCAAGGTAAGTTAGGAAGCTAATGAAGCTTAGGTTTCAGGGTCTCTCACTTGCATGGGCCCCTTTCAAGGCCCTGTGCATTGTTATTATTATTTTTTTTAGAGACAGACTCTTGCTCTGTCACCCAGGCTTCAGTGCAGCCATGCAATCACATCTCACTGCAGCCTGTAACTCCTGGGCTCAAGTGATCTTCCTGCTTCAGCCTCCTGAGTAGCCAGGACTATAGGCGTGAGCCACAGTGCCTGGCCATTTTGACATTTGTATAATTTCATAATCTTTTCCTCAAAGAAGGGCCCCCAAATTATATACGATTCAGGCCCTACAAAACCTTTAGCAAGACGGCACTTGGATACACTGCTGTCTCCTGAAAGAGATTACTCAACAAACAAGATCTGGTGAAGCCAGCCTGGTCTGCAGCTTTTCTGTTTCTTCCAGATGCCATCCTCTCTCACATCTCAGCACACCTGTGAGCAGTGCTGGCCTGTGCCTCTGGACACCACAGGAAAGGTGACACTTATCAGTCACCAGCCCTTCTTGGGCACTACAGTGTGTGTTCTTAGAGGCCACAGAATTATGGAATCTGAGAGCCAAAAAGAACCTCCAGGGACCTTTTACTTTACTCACTCCTTCCAACAGGTGTTCCTTCCTCCCCTTTCTTTCAAATTCTCCCCAAATAGAGATTTCACAGTCTCCTTTAAAAGCCTGGTCTGGTATTACATCATCAATATTCTTAGGGATATTTTCCTTAGGACTAACCCTATTTTCTATTCTAATTCGGATATGACAATGCTTTGAACCTTCTTTTTAGTTCTGTTTTATGCAGATTACTGGACACTTTCACAGACATACTTATGTGTTTTCCTGAACCTACTGAATTAACATCCTTCTTTTAGAAAGAGGTAACTGAGGTTCAAGGTGATACGAGATTTGGCCAACGTAATAGATGGTGGGGTCAAGACCCTGGGAGGAAAGTTCTATTTATTATGGCCATTGTCTCCAGAGGGGGATTCTTGACCTTGGAGATGTCACACAATCTTTGAGACAGCCAAAGTTTATAAACAGCTTGCTTGATTCCCAGGGGCTGTTGTTTCTGTTATAGGATGGCTGTCTCCATTTCTGTCAGCTGCCACTGGCTTTGTCACTAAAGCCTCTTTCCTGGGTCACTGGGCTCAGAATTCTGTTTTTCTCCTTGGTGAAAATCCAAACTTTCAGTGGGGTGCTAAAGGAGGTACTTGTGCCTCAACTCTTCACACACACTACCCCCTCTCCCACCACCATCCCCATTCATTATTTAAAAATGAAATCACAGTCTATTCTTTCTTCATTCATTCATTCCAAAATTATTTATTGGGTGCCTGTTATGGGCATGACAGTAATCCCATAACCTCCCCCAGAATGCAAGAAAGCAAGCATTTAAAGAGGTCTAGATATGGCAAGCGACATCAGCAAGGTGGCAGAAGAGGAAACCCCAGGCCCTCATGTCCCCACAGAGACATTGACTTATCAATAATATGTGGACCAAATTGCTTTTGTGAGAATGCCTCAAGAGGCCTAAATAGTCTGCTTTCTAGAAAAAAGGAATTTCTAGTTATTTAGGCAAACAGTGCACTTAGTAAAAAAAATTTTTTGTTGCTTTCTGTGTGTCAGGCACTAAGACCTTTATGAATATTAATGTAATTTTCACCCAATTCCCATGAGGTGGTGGATTCTATAATTATTTATTATTGTCCCAATGAGGGAAGTAGAGACACAGAAAGGTTACAAACTTGCCTCAGGCAACACAGGTGGCCAGTGCCTGCCACAGAAAATCCAGCAGCACTGTTCCCGGGGCATCGCTCCAGACTGTATTTAAAATTGGAAGCTGGCACAATCTGGGGATGTTTCTGAGCTGTTCAGATGAACAGATGCTTGAGTTATGCTGGTTTTAGGGATCTGCCTTTCAAAACAAAAGTGTGTTCCTCAAAGGAGTAATTGAATTCACCCGGTTTTAACTCTTGATTCAATAAGCAGAAGATAGAGGAAAGGAGCTGGTTTAGGTTTTAGGTCTCTATCTTTGATCCTAACTCTTGCTGGATTTTACCAGACAAAAGAAGAGAATGACCAATTAAAGAGGGGAAAAGGTGATGATTGGGTGAGATCTTTAAGAATACATGTTTATCACAAATGCAACTGAATAGGACTTGAATTTCACCATACTTACACATGGAAGCAGAAACTACCACTGCAAACATTTCCGTATCAGTAATCCATACACTCTGACACAAAAATAAACATTCTATAGATAGACATAGGTATAGATACAATTATAGCTTCTTAGATTTCTCTACAGCTCAGAAAAAAAGGAAGGTTTGGAAAATATTGTGTTGGTGTGAAACTAATTGAGATTTTTGCTATTACTTTTACAAAAATGGCAAAGACCACAATTACTTTTGCATCAACCTAGTAGTTAATGCATAAAATTGGGGAAGAAATTAGAAAAACCTGGGTGGCTTTTTGTTGAGAGCAGGGATTTCTCTGATTCAGCACACTATTGCTCACATTAACCGGAAATATGATAAATGTCTCCCTCCTCCTGTGCCATGGAGGTAGACCTGGAGAAGAATGCACGTGTGAAGATTTGGTTTGCTTGGAAACAATGTGGCATCAATTCTGATGCCAGAGCCTAGAAGTTCTTTTATGGATTTTTTTTTTCAAATGCCTTGATGCCTTTGCAAAAGAGGCTGAAGAAGAGTCAGATGTTTTTGAAAGATCAAATGTGTGTCAGCCCTTCTAGTAAAGCAATAATAATTAATTTCCCCACTGCAATAAAATTGTATAATTAGAATGGGTTGGGTGTGGGTAAAAATAATTTTTCAAACATGGGATGAGCAAATGGAAATGCTTTCTTTTTTTCCAGGCTCTTCCTTTATTTTTGGAGTTTGTGTGAAATATAGAGAGGAAGGGAGCCCATCTGTTTCTGATACTCCTGGGTTTGATGTATCAGAATGTTTTGAAGCAGTAATTTGATGTCTACTAAGTATGCTTCTAAAGTATTTCCCATAAGTTTGAAGCTTATTCCTTTATTGACAGGAAGTTTGTTTTTATGGCATTTTAGGGTTGGTTTGACACTCAGAAATGAAAAAAAAAAAGAGTAATTGGTCAATTTCTAAGTTGCACTATGTTTTAGGTAGGTTTACTTTTGTTGATTAATCTACTGGGAGAAAATTTGAGAAGAAACAAAAATGAATGGAGCTGTAAATTATTATTTTTTTGCATTGCGGTTCATCTTCCCTTCTTCTTAATCCTCCATTGCCAACCTCAATCCCCTACAATATCCCTCCTTTATATTAGGAAAGAGTCACCCCCGGGGAGATGGAAAACAGTTCACAATGTTTTCTATATGGAAACACTTCAGAATGAAACGCAGAGAGTTAGAGGCTCATCCCTGGCACAAAGGTCAGGAGGAAGGAGAACCAGGTGCCACCAGGATGACACCACTGTCTCCTGTACTATCCTCATGACACATTGCTTATCGCTGGGAATATATGTGTGGCAGTGTGAGGGAGTTGTGGGAAGAAGAGGCAGTGCTCAGGGGATCATGCTATACCTGCAAGAAGCACTTCAACGTGGTAAGCCCTCTTCCCTGAGTGCTTCAACTGCAACTTACCTGCTTCACAAGTCTTACACTCCTGCTTCTCTCTGCCATCCCTGAAACTAGGAAAAGGGAGCAGAAAATTTGAAATTCAGTTCTGTCACTTCTTTCTGAGCACTTTGGTACTTTCTGAGGGAATTCTATTCTATTTAGCTCTAAAATTGCTTATCAATACAGAAAAAGCTCCAGTTTGGTGTACATTTTCTACAAATCTTTTGGACATTTCCTAAGGTAATTTTTGAAGGTGCTGAATGGCATACACAACTGCACAGTAGGACTAAGGGATTTGATTCCAGAAGGAGTAATGACTGCTTGGCAGTCCAGGGGGCTTCTCATCACCTCTGTCTGTGGAATGAACTGTGGGCTGACATCGCAGTAGGATCACAATTTTTGGATCATGATTTTTAATTTTTTTAAAATGCTAAGCAGGCTTCTCCAGTCATGGAAGAAGACACTACCTTCTTTAGCTTAGCTCATATCATCACTTCACTTGATTATCATGCCTTTAATTTCTCTCTCACTTTCCTTCAGCTCAACTGTATGCCCATCACTGAGAATAAATGCAATTTGAGTTATTATAACAGTATTTAAGACTATGCAGCCATATGATATATTTTCTACATATACATATATGTTACCTGTAAATAGATAGAGAGAGGATTCAAAAGCTATGCAGCAAACTGAGGAGGAGGAAGTGGGAATGTGGGAACTTCAGCCTTTTAAATGTTTTAATATTTTGGCTTCTAAAAGCAAGATTGCACTTTTGGATCACTTTTATTTGGTTAAAAAACAAGCAACCAATCTGAAGACAAAACAAAATAAAGCAATATAAACACACCAAAGAAAAGGGAAAAAAAGAAAAAAAAAGCAGAAAGAAAAGAAAAAAATGAAAAAAGAAATGAACAAAAAACAACATCTCTCATAGAAATGTGCCCTACAAAGATAGTTACAGCCACTGACAGAGGTGTAAGAATATATGCATTGCAGCACTGTTTCCAATGCTGAAAAATTAGACACAATTTAAACATCTCCTAATATGGAATGTGTTGAATGAATCCAGTTGTGATCATTGAAAGTAGCCCTGTTGGCCAATCTAAATCACCTTATAGAAGAATCCTGGACCACGGGAAGATTTCCATCATCTACCAAGACTAATAAAACACCCCAACAGTTTACAAAACAGAATGTGCAATATTTAACTTTTTGAAATGCAAATACATACACAGAAAAAAGATGTCAAGAATATATATCATCGAATATATATCAAATATATATCAAGATCTGAGTAGTGGTTTTCTTTCGTAGGGAGTGAATTTTTCTTCCCTGCTTTCTTTGTGCTTTTAAATTTTACTACAATGCACATATATTATTTTAATATTTCAAAATATGTATATAGTTTGGAAAATGCACTAGCCCATAGATGACAATTTTTAATATTGATGACTCTTTTAAAAATCAGGACAAGCTGATACCAGATGCAGTGAATTCTCTGACAACTTTATATTTGAATTTTGTCATCAATCTCCTGTTCATTTACCTCTAATATCCCTTGGAATATTCTTATCAATGATACTGACATTTTGTATATGTTGTGGAAGGCAAACTAAAAAGGGAGAGAAAAAACTATAATTATTAAATATATTTTTTCTAGGAGTGATTTTTTTTTTCTTCAAAAATATGTCCCAAACCACCTCTGGAAGTCACAGTACTATTTCAAATTGGCAATTTTACAAAGAAATGTAATTTTGCCTGGCATACTGTTGCTCACCATCATAGTAAATACAAATAACACTCAGATGCTGAGGCATCAAGGACTCTGGAGCCTGTGAACTTATGTAGTAAATATTTTATAATTTTTTCTATACAAAATTCATTTTACAATCTAACTTAAATACATAAGATTGTTTAGTTTTTTGGGGGGTTGAATATGACTTTGAAAAGTCACTTGAACTTTATCTGTCTGATGTGAAGAGAAAAAATTGAGGCAATTTTCAACGTAATCCAAACTTAAAAGAAAAAAAAAAAAACCTTGTTCATTTTACATTTTGGAGACAGACTGTTTCTTTCTCCCTTTAGATACATTTTTGTATTTGTATGGGAAGCTGGTATTCTGGCACTATTTTGTTTTTATTTTTGTATATGACATTTTTATAGCGAATGAAAGTTAAAGTTTTCATAACTGCTTTGCCATCTTTTAGAAACAGCCACAGAATATAACATCCCTAAATACAGTAACTGTTAATAAAGCTGCCACTTATTTTTTCAAGTCTGTTTTCATTACTTGATTATGGCACTCTGGGTACAAAACATAGCTTGTTTTCATGAAAAAAAATGATAGACATATAATTATCTTTCTCTCTCTCTCTCTATATATATATCTCAAATAGTGAATTCATGGTTTTTCTTTTTTTTTGTTTTTGAGACAGAGTCTCGCTGTCACTAGGCTGGAGTGCAGTGGTGCGATTTCTGCTCCCTGCAAACTCCGTCTTCGGGTTCAAGCGATTCTCCTGCCTCAGCCTCCCGAATAGTTTAACTTCTGCTACTACAGGCGCGCACCACCATGCCCAGCTAATTTTTGTATTTTTAGTAGAGACAGGGTTGCACCATGTTGGCCAGAATGGTCTCGATCTCTTGATCTTATGATCTGCCCTCCTCGGCCTCACAAAGTGTTGGGATTACAGGCGTGAGTCACCGCGCCCGGCCCATGGTATTAAATTTTTTAAAAATACCCATAATGAAAGGAACCTGAAACAAACAAAATACCTCTTTCATGTTCTTAATTTCCTTTCTTGGAGATAGTGTTTGTCCACAAAGGCAAATGCAATCTTTTGAAAAGTATATGGAAACAAACACCTTCCAGCTGTGAGCATGTAATTGGTCAATCAGTTCTTATTCAGAGATGTTTTTAAATGTCACTGTGTATTCTTATTTAATTCTTGGATCCCTGCATCCATAAAAATAGTGGCCTAAACTGTTGCTGTTCTATGGAGATATCAATTTCCATGTCTTTTTCTTACAAAACCATACTGGAAAAATGGATGGAATTACCCATTTCACATAATTCGTAAATTTAAATAAAATAACATGGAACACAGATTTCGACTTTCTCACAGTTGGCAATGTAATTTATATATTTGGAACGTGGTTCATTTCTATTATTTGAACCCTCACTTAAATATGTTAGAGTTAGTTATTACTGTAAGCTGAGAGAACCAACATGTAAAAACAGATTGATTTCCACAACCATCTGCCACCACAATGAAATAATTTGGCTTAGAAACTTACAGGATATGTGATATATTATAAACAGTGTATTGTTATGAGTTTACAATTTAATGATAAACAGGGCTATTTGTTTTGTTACTGAAACCGTAATATCAAGATGGGGAACAACTAAATAGAGACTGTAAAATGAAACGGTGAGATATGTACTTTTGCTCAATTTAGAGGCCACAAACATAGCTAATCATGCATTTTGTTAAATACTTGTTTGATGATATTCTTAATTACATGTCCTTTGTGGTTTGCTGCTATTTTCAGGTGCTATTAATAAAAATCAGTATTCCTAAAAGTGCAAATAGATTGGAAGCAGATGCTGTTAGTAAAACATAATTGGGCTAAAGAAAAAATGTTGCAATTTGAAAACAGACCAATGTCTTTTATGTGTTGGTTTGCCGTGATTATGCATTCATGCAGGACTTGAAAGAGGAGTAATCAACAAATGCATATTAAGAAGAATAGAAAATATAAAGAAGAAGCATTTTTGTAAAGCTCAGATAAAATGTTTATTTTATGTGAACAATATTGGAATTGCTGGCATAGGTTACAGAAGTTAAGCTGAACAAGAAAACTTAAATTAGTCTTTGCTACATTAGAATGTTAAAATGCAACTTTTAAATCTTTGAAACATATGCAAAAAAGTAAATTACTTTTGAAAATATTGTTTTAACCCAAAAGATTAATGATTTATATTTATAAATGATAATACTGTGTTTTTAAAAAATGCAAACTGGGAATTTTTTATGGCCAGATCATTATGATATTTTACTTCTACTTTTCAGTAGTTCTGAGTGGTTACTTTATGAATGTGTATTTCTTATAATAAAAAGAAGTTAAAAATATGAATGTAATAAAACTGTGAATTCTTACAAAGTCAAATTATAGTCCAAGCAGAAAATAAGAACAAAATAAATCTGAGCTTTGAGAAGCAAGTTCTTAATATAGAACCCAACTGGAATTTCGTACTAAAGCAAAACAAAAAAATGACCTCACTACTAATACATAGAAAAAGATAGGAAGAAAATATAGGAAACAGATTTACTTACTGATTGTGAGAATACATATAAACATTTTGGGTTTTTCTTGTTATGCCTTTTGGCATTTCTCAGATTTTTTCAGGAACATATATACTTCATAACCAGAAAAACCTTATTCATTAAAGAAAAATGAAAAATAACATGATAGTCTGGTTTAAATAATAAATAGTTTGGGTTTAATGCTTAGTTATATTACTTAAATTATAATAGTACTTTATTCATTACCCCAAAGCTTATTAAAACAGCACTAACACAGTCATATAAAGCTAACGCCTAAAATTAACACTAAAATGTAATTATTTCCTAGTAGATTGTAAAATTAACTTTTTATAATTACTAAGAACCAGGTGTATAAAAGTGCTAATGTTTTATTACTCTACTTTACCTAGAGTTCAATTTCAAATAACAATTTGACAAATTATCAACTGACAATGTTTTTGGCTTTAAGATGGATATACATTACTGTAATTGCTTGGAATATCATAGGAATTAACATTTATTTTTAACACTGAATCACTTGTTAGCAATGGAATAATGTCTCTGGATATAATTTCATGGAGGAGGCATAAAATAATGCCTCAAGTTATTTACTTTTAAGACTACAAAATTAAATATGAATTGAGTTAAATGTAATCCACATACTGATGTAAATTTAAAAAGACAGTAATTAAGCAAATTTTCCTACCTTTGTTACATGTCAAAAAGTATTTAGAAGAATAAACGTTACACCATACTGACCTAACAAGAAAACTTTTCCATTCCCCTTGATCTTATAATTTTCCACAAACCATTATTCTCCACTGAGAGCACTCTTAACTTCTTACTAATACAGAAATTCTTCGGAATCCTCTATCATTTCTGTGCTGGAGGCCCAGAAATTGCAGAATCGGAAAGGTGTAATTTGTTTTCCAGTGGAGAGAGAAAGAATTTTGGCTGTGAATTTTAATTTCTGTTTAAATAAAGGCCCATAGCCTGCCAAAAGAAGTAATTCTTTCTTACTTTTTTTTTCGTGAAACGGCCTTGTTGACAACTCAGATTTTAAAATGTAATCCAAATTAAGGAACAAAGACTTCCAAATTTAATTTGGAGCAAACAAACTACCATAATAACTTTTCTGAAAACTGTAAAAATGTTACCCAGTATAAACGCGCAGACAATATGTTTTAAAACTTAGGTTCCTGAAGATCGTGTTCATCCTTTCATTTTCCAGGTATTTGTCACTTGACATCTTATTTCATAAATCGTGAAAAGGTACGTCTATGTTCAGTTCGACCTAAAACAGGGAAAATTTTTGTAAAAAAAAAAAGAAGAAAAAAGAAAAAAAAAGATCAAATCAATCACAAGAAGAATTCTCTTATTAAAAAACTGTCAACCGAGTATCCCTGGGGCATTTTACTGTTGGAAACAATTTTAACACATACATCATTCATAAGCAATTCATAAATGCTTAGCTCGAAAGAATTTTCCATCCTTTCTCTGCTTCAGTGCAACTCGGCTCTCCCTAGCTCTGCTAGTGGAAAATTAGGAAGACAGGGAATTCATAGCAAAGGAAAAAATGAATTCTAGTGAAGGAATAATTTTTATTGCACAAAAATTTTGCTTCACACACGGCCAGCCAGGAGCAGTGGCCCTTACACAGATTAAAATAAAATTAATTTGGGGGCGGATAGATTGGTGATCTCTACTTATTTCATGTTACAACTCTTAACGACTTGTAAGAACCAACGAAAAAAATGCATTTAGAAACAGAATTCTCTCAAAAGGGCGAATTAAGACGAATTTTTTCAGAAAGCCATTTATTTCCTTCAGGCCCTTGGCTCAGTCTGGCGAGGCTGGCGGGAGACCCGCCCATACCCCCCGGGAGACAGGCGGGACACCGGGTTCTCGAGTTACAAAGCAGCCCTGGGTGCCCGCCCACTATTTATGCAAAATAAACACGCCCTCTTTATTAAACCAGCCAATGATCAAACGGCATCCTGCCCGGCGGGAGGTGGGGCCGAGGAAGGAAGCACTCAGCAAACCCAGCTCCGCGCGCCTCGGCCCGCTCCGCCTCTTCCTCGTGCCCTTCCTCCTCCGTGCTCCGCCCGCAGCTAGGCCCCTCCCACTCAGCTGGCGTCTGTGCGCTCCGGGAAGAGGTGGGAAATTGGGCGGAGCCGGGGGCGGGGGGAGATGCTCGCGGTTTCTCATTTACATGCAGCCACACTATTGGCTTAGGCTGGCGGTGAAAGGACAAATTAGGGGCGGGTAGCTTGTCAAAGTGCACTTCACGGATTGGCTTAGGCTTACGATGACGTAAGAAGGCCGTTTAAGCAAATGAGAGCGCAGGGCTAATGCGCCTCCTCCCTCTCGCCCCACCTCTGTGTGAGCGACCCAGTGAAAGATGAGCCCTTGAGGCACATTCCCTAGTAGATTTAAATGACAAATCTAGAAAGAAGCGGTTTAAATATTTATGAAGAGGCGGAGAGGTGTAGAGTGTCTTCCGGAAACGCTTCTGATTGGCTGGTGTTTTCAAGCAAGTGTTAGCTTTATGAAATGAGTGAGTACCCCCAGATCAATTCAATGATTATGTTTCGTGCTTCGGTTTTTCTTCTTCCAAAAGCGCCACACCATATACATCTATTTATTTTCTCAGTAATTGGTTGCATGTGTGGTCCGAGGGGCTCACTTTTGTCACATTTTCACTCTCAATATATTTTGTTTTTTGTAAATCATGTCTTATTTTCATCAATTTTAAAATGCAAAGATCTGGGACAGATGGAAACAATTAGAACCTCCGCTCTGCTGATGTGTATAATCTTATTAGTTTAATGGGTCACAGGGTGCAGGACCTATTTCCTATAGATCAAAGTGAAAACAAACACGGTTAATATCCCATTTTGTTTTAGAACCACATCGGATCGGGTTCCCTCTCTGGGCCGTGGTAATGACAATATTAAGAGAGCTTGGGTTGCCTTGAAGTTTAGAGGGAAAATTGAGTCATGAAGCATTTTGGTTTAAAAATGCATTGATATTAACACCAGGTAGCCGGTTGCCAGGTCCCTGAGCTCTCTTGCGTTTATCACAACAGCATGGCTTTTTAAAGGATTTCAGTAATGCTCGTTTTGATCTTTTGCCTTAAAGCAAGTGAAAAATCATGCTTATTTGGTTGTTAATTATACCAGTTCTCAGGTTTCCTCTATTCAGGCTCAGTGCAAAACTTCCGAGCCCTTGGTGTAATTTTCAACTATGACTTCTTAATGATTTTTTTTCTTCATCTGTGGATAGTAGTCACAGACTCTTTTCAGAATTTAATTTAAAAAAAAAAGTTAAGGAGCCACATGACCGCCACCCAAAATGCAGCATTTCATTTCAGGGAGTTCCTGACCGCCTAAGGCCACTCCATAGACTCCTAAATATCTGTGAACTCCGGTATCAGAACCCACACCTTAAGGAAATGTCTTTCATATTTTGAGTTGTGTTCGGTTGTGTTATTCCGAGGCCAAAATATAATCTTCTAAGCACCTACGGGGTTGGACCAGAGCCTCTCTCTTCGTGACAAAGACCCCCTTTGGAAACCTCCCGCAGCAACTTCTCACCCCAATAAATTAAATGCAGCCGCAGTGTGGTCCATTACACTGGAGTGTGAGGTGACGGCCCCTGTCAAAGGTGAACGGCCCAGTACAGCCCCTTAAATATTCCTACAGATAATAAATATCTGTGTAAGGAAGGGATGTAAAAGTTTCCTATTCGTTTGGAAAGCTCGGTACTACAACAATGAATAAACATTGCAGACTGATGAATGCCCCCAAGTCCCTCCACAGAGGCGGCGGGGAGAGAACCAGATCTTAAAAAATTTTTCACTCTAGGCCTGGAGGCCGGGTGCTGCGGCCACCCGTGCCTCGACGTGTTCCTCCGCACGGGCTCTAGGAATGTAAATACCACGAGTTGAGACAGGTCTGGGCCCCGGACAGAGCGGTCCGTGGTTTTAGCAATTCATTTTAATTCCGAAGCGGTCCAGTGCATTTGCTTTCACTTGGTTGCGCGGGGCTGGAATTGATAAGAGAGAAAACCATGTACTTGTCCTTGTGGGTTGGGAAACAGGGTCACTGAATCCTGGGCTGGCTCTCACAGCTTCCTGGCAGAGTTCACACACGCACTCAGAGGCTGCGCCAGCCCTGTACCGCAGGACTGCGGGCGCTCCCTTGCCGGCACTCCTCCTTCGGTTCAGAAACCAAAGTGGAAACGCATGGATCAAGTTGCAGGGAAGTCTGACATCTGGGACAGATGTTGCTCCTCTGCCCGTGGCGGTTCCTCAGATAAATCCTCATTGCTTTATTTTAATTTGCCTTTGAATTTCGTTATTTTTGCCTCAATGCAACACATAGTCTTTTTTTTTTCTGCTTTATTTAACTCTCACGGTCCTCTGCGCTATTTTTATCAATGGTATAACTTTATTTTGGGAAAGGGATTATTTCCCCCTCAGAAATGGGGGGAAATAATCAAATCTCCAGTCAATTATGTCTTGAAATTTAACTCTGCTTTTACTGGTCCATCATAAAACATTTAAACCGTTAAAAACATGTCCCTCACTGATCAACTTTAGTTGTTTTGTGTTTTAAAACATGGAAATACAACCCCTGTGTGTGTATGTCACATTACGGACAGACCATATTAATCTCTTTCTCACAGAAAAAACATCTGCGTGTGTGAGTCTAAGTAATTATTCATCTAGGGTAACAAATTCTAGAAGGCTTGACCTACCTTCCTTCCTCCCTTCCTTCCTCCCTTCCTTCCTTCTTTCCTTCCTTCCTTCCTTTTTCTTTTCCTTTCTCTTTTTCTTTTTTTGTGCTTCTTTGTATCTAATACCCAGGGGCATTAACAACATCTCCTCTGCCTCGTCTTCCCGTGTGTAGAGGGACCCGTCTCACGTCCAACAATAGATACCCCTTTTATTATATATTTTTCCTTTTGTTTTTCTTGACCAACAATTTCCCTTCAGTTATTTATTTTAGCTGGGTAACCCCAAGCTATATGCTCCGTGTAAACCAGAATGGTGTGGTCGGTTTTGTGACAGGTAGTGGCTTCCTGAGCTGGCTCTGATGCGCACCTCTGAGGCGAGCCAAGGCGGAAACTGTCATTCCTAGAGGAAAGCGATGCCCGTCTGGGAAGAATCTGGGAAACCCCAGCATTCCTATGAGCTGCGGCCCACTAAGCGCCCCTGACCGCAGTGATCACTGTCTCCTAGATTTTTTGACAATGTTGTTTTGCTTTGTTTTAAAATATTATCGTTACTGCTGAGAAACGTGGACTCTTATGATGAAGACCTGCCGGGCCTTCCCCAGCCATTTCACTCCCTGGCCTCCTCCAAGATGGCTTTCATTTAGGGAGGGTCAGACTCATCTAGGTGACATTTCCCCGAGCCTTTCAGTCAAGTTGGTCTACAAATTCACCAAATTAGTGCTTGGTCTACATCTAGGGCTTCCTGCACGGAAAGGCCAATAGAAAAGTCCACGACTTGACTTTTACGCCACATCACTACAGCCACAAAACGGGGACCTCCTCGGGACTGGAGGCGGATCCTCCACGGGTCCCCGGCCAGGCCCATCCTCCTCGCAGCGCGCCTGGTGCGGCCGTACCAATTCCGCGCCGTGCAGCCTGGAGTTACAGGCCCCGACCGAGCCAAGATCTGAGGCTGCCGGGCCCTCCCTGTTTACTGGGGGCTCTGCTACCGGAAGTCATTTGACAAATCTCAGGCAGGCCTTTCTAATCTTTACTGCTCGGCAGAGCTTTGCAAATCTCTAAACACGCTGTAACCTTCTTCAAACAGCACGCCAGACACACTTGAAGGTTTTTTTTTTTTTTTTGAGGCCGGACGGAATGGAAACTGCATCTGCACGGGATCTCTCCACAGTCTGGCCCGCAACACTGCCAGCACCTTCCCTAGACCCTCGCCTCCCCGCTTCCCCCGCACGCGGATTCTCGCGCATCCGTGCGCCCACTCAGCCCCGGGAGCCCTCCTGCCCCGGGAAGCCTCAGACGGTCTTGGGCTGGAGACTCACCCTGCGCCCCTGCAGCGGGCTGCGGGGAGAGAACCTTGGGGAACCAGGCAGGACCGGCAAGGGTGGACCGAGTGATTTATGACCCTGATCAAACTTTTTAGGAAGCAGAAATTAACCTGAGGGAGATTAGGCCTGAGCTTTGAAGTTCACGGTTTTGTTTTCCTTCAGCCCAGTTCTGCCATCAGATGGTTCTTGGTTCCTTCTACCCCTCTCCTCCTCCCCCTCCTTCGGTCTCTCGTCACCCCACTTTATCCTCCAGCAACCCCTCCTGCGTTGATTTTCTTAATTTCAAATACAAATATCTGAACACCAGAAACTGAAGTTCCTGACAGTGACCTATTGAACAGAGGCATCGCATACTCCCTACATCCCAGTCTTCTTGGAATTGCGTTTTACGTTTGAAAGTGCGATTTTGGTTTGGAGGTCGGGAGTAGAAAATTTGTATCTGTTCTTTTCTTTTGCTGTTTCCTACTTGCCTTTCAATACCCATACTTATTCCGCCCTCGGAGACTGGCCCTTCCCGGCAGAGCAGAAGCGCACGAGGGTTGAGTAACTCTGCAGGTGAGAGCTAATTTTTCAGCGCATCCACCAGATACCTCAGGTTTGTGGATTTTCCCCCTAGTTGGCCAGAAAACTCACACCCAAACATGCAAGTCCTCTATGGCCTCTCCGTCCTCTTACCTTGGCCCTCTTTATTTCCATATCTCCCTCCTCCCCATGCAGATCTCTAAAGGGAATCTGTCTCCTGCGGTTCTTTCCCGCAGGCGCCTGCTGAAAAGGCAATTTCCTTGGGGGTGTGCCTAGGGAGAGAGGAAAACAGAAACCAGGATTGTTTGGGGGCCTGAAACCATCCAAATTTTATTGCATCCGCTACAAAGTCAACTAACTCTTAATGAGCATCCAAGCGGAAAAAGGCCGAAGTTTACTCCGTGTTAGGGCGGGGAATGGGGGTGGGGGTGATGGGAGTTTGCTTATTTCCTTCTGGTACAACCAAAGGTTGCAACACCTTCCTGAGAGGCTCCTCCCAACGCCAAGAGTACGGACGCGAAAGTCAGAAGGCATCGGGTTTCAGCCCCCTGAATGATCCAAGATCACTCCGCCACGAAGACCTTCGAAGTTGGCCCTGTCTACAGCTTGTAATTAAAAGGATAATGTGTCTTGTAATAAAAAACAAGACCCACACAAACAAACCCAGCGTCCAACGGCCCTCCACCTCGCCACACTCTTCTCTAATAAGGGCCAGTGACAAACATTGCCATCCAGTTTAACCCAAAAGGAGGAAGCAGTAGATCTTCCTTTTAATAACTTCCCAAAGTGTTACAAATAATAAAAAGGACGCATAAATCATCGCGGGGGCGGCAGAACGGGGACGACAGAAGGATTTACTCCTCTCTAGCCCTGGCTTCCAACCGCGCTCTCATTGGCTACTTCCTTGTGGCCCGCCCCCGAATCCGCTCTCTTATTGGTGCGTCTGGTCCCAGACGCAGAGACAGGGCGTAGGATCGGTGGGGGCTGGAGTCCACCAGTGCGCATGCGCGCTATGGCGCGCATGTATGATTGACAGCAGGGAGAGGTGTTTGTGCGCGCGCGCGTGCGTGCGTGCGTGTGTGTGTGTGTGTGTGTGTGTGTGTGTGTGTGTGTGTCTCTCTCAGGGTTGAGGCAGCGAAGGTGGTGGTGGCGGGGCGACGGTGAAAGTGGTGGCTGTGAGTGCTGGAGCTGAGGCCGCTTTTGCCGCCGCGGTGAGGTGTAGTCCTGTTTGCCGGCGTTTTCCGCTGAGTCAGAAGCGCTGGTGGTCACAGACTGCGCTCTCACCCACACTGAGGTCGATCTGGAAGGAATTTACTGAGGGGGCTCTCCAGCAGCTGGCTAACCGGGAAGGAAGTAGAACTAGAAGACATGCTTTACTCTTCCTGAAGAAGATACTTAAGCCCCTCAAGAAGAGATTTAATTTGAGCGCTGTGTTGATTTGTGCATTCCTTGTAAAGCACACACTAAATTAGCTTCACATCCCAGCCGTACCTTCATCTGCAGCACACATCTCTCCCCCAGCTCCTCTCAGCACTCACTTAGCCCTGTTCAGTTCCCCTGTAGGCACAGGTACACATATATCAGCCTCTTGTAATCATGAAGACGAGGGACGAACTTACAAAGACACCCGGCACACTGTGACAATCCTTAACTGGGAGAAAAAAAAAAGAGAGAGAGAAAGCAAAGAAAGGTAGAATAAGAGCAAGAAAAAAAGAAAAGGAAAGAAAACTAGAAAGATGCAGCAACCAGTAAAACGATGGTGGCAAAGATAAAATGCCGATGGAAAAAATCCGTTAAATGCAAAGTTTGAAAAAAACTTCCTAACTCGGTTAATGCTGTGGAAATAATTCCAGTTCATCTCAGTGCTAGTGAACGCCTAGTACAAAATTCTTCAGAGGCGAGGGCTGGCTTAGTGCAGAGGAGAAACGTCGCTCCGTTGCCCTGTTGCATCCAAATTCTCCTTTCAGACAAGTTTCCGCGGCGTGATGGAGATGGGCAGAAGTCTGGAGAGTGCTTTCCTATTATAAGCTGTTAACTTGTTGGTTTGTACTCACATATATTTTAAAGAAATAATAAACATCTTATAGTTCTGCACATATTCTAAATTACAGTGGTTCTAGAAGAATTTTGTAACTGACAAATTAGAGCTTCGGTTTTACGAATTCTGAATTTTAAAACCGGTAATGACTTCTCAGTCCCTGAGATCCTCTTCTTTGTTTTTTTATTTTGGGGTGTGTGGGTACGTGTAAGATGAGAAATGTACAAACACAAGTATTTCAGAAACTCCAAGTAATATTCTGTCTGTGAGTTCACGGTAAATAAATAAAAAGGGCAAAGTGACAGAAATACAGGATTATTAAAAGCAAAATAATGTTCTTTGAAATCCCCCCCTTGGTGTATTTTTTATCTTAGGATGCAGCACTTTCAGCATGCCCAAGTATTGAAAGCAGTGTTTTTACGCTACCACGGTAATTTTATTTAGAAACCCCATGTTCACTTTTAGTTTTAAAATGGTCTTTATGACATAAAATTATCAGCATTCATATTTTTGTGTTTTAATATTCCTTTGGCTACTTATTGAAACAGTAAACATTACGAAAATTAGTAAACAAATCTTTGATAGTTGCTTATTTTTGTTTAATTGAATGTTTATTTTATTAGGTAAATATACAATCAAATTTATTTAAAAATAATGAGGAAAAGAATACTTTTCTTTCGCTTTGCGAAAGCAAAGTGATTTTTCATTCTTCTCCGTCCGATTCCTTCTCTTCCAGCTGCCACAGCCGACTGACAGGCTCCCGGCGGCCTGAGGAGTAGTATGCAAATTTTGGATGATTGACACCTACAGTAGAAGCCAATCACGTCAAAGTAGGATGCTGATTGGTTGACAACAATAGGCGTAAACCTTGACGTTTTAAAAACCTGACACCCAATCCAGGCGATTCATGCAAATAAAGGAAGGGAGTCACATTACCAGGGGCCAGAGAGACTTGAGTACGACCTCACGTGTTCAGTGGTGGATATTGCACAGACGTCTGCAAGGTCTATATAAACGCTACATAATGTTCAACTCAATTGCTTGCCTTGGCCTTTCCCAAACTTGTCACTGGAATATAAATTATCCCTTTTTTAAAAATAAAAAAATAAGAATTATGTAGTGCACATATATGATGGTTCATGTAGAAATCTAAATGGACTTCCAACGCATGGAATTTTCCTATTTCCCCCTTTCTTTAAATTAATCCTCAGTGAAGGAGGCTGTTTTCCCCTAGATTTCAAAAGGACGAGATTTACAGAGCCTTTCCTTGGAGAAACCCGCTCTAGGCACAGATGGTCAGTAAATTTAGCTTCTTCAGCGAAGTTCCACATGGCACCGCCAGATGGCATAAGGATCCCCTTCTCACCATCTCCACCCCCACCTTGTACCCTGCAAGTAATTTAGAAAAATTGAAAACCAAACACTTTTATATTTTATAACTAAATGAAGTGAGAACATACTGGCACTGTTAGAGAGCCACATATTACAAAAATAAGCTTTGTTGGTTGTTGCTTTAATGTGAAACTTCCTCCGGAGATTTTGCCCAGGAAAGTTTGCGAGTAAAATATTCATCCAGTGAAAGTGTTTGCAAAAATATTTCCTTAAGCGAAGTAAGCACCTTAAGCACGCTTTAAAAAGGTAAGAGTAAGAGGCCGCTGCGTTTCTGAGCGTGGTGTTTGCAGGGCCGGGCGAACTTTTTAGGGACTAAACTGAAATCGAGGGGGAAACTCAGTTTCCCAGCGAGTGGTCTCACTGGAGCAGAGCCTGGCCGGAGCCACAGGGCCGAGGTTGCATCTCTGCTTTCTCTGCTTTCCGATCCAGTTGCTGTTAGAGCAGCGTTGCTTTTTTAGGAATTCATTTTGGGGTCCCTATGACAGATAGGCAAGACTTTCTTTCCACTCACAAGTCACTGTAGTAGGGGGCAGAATCTTTGTTTTGCCAACCTCGGCGGGGGATTTGAGGGTGGAACCCTGGAAAGTGTAGACCTCCACTTCTCATCTGCCTCTCCTTTTATATCTGCTTTTCTGTTTGGGTTTATCAGGAAGAGAAGGGTTCGTGCTGTCCCCACATCAAGGTCAGAATAAGAACTTACGGTATTTGCAGAGGGAGACGGGAGGAAAGAAGAAAATACTGTACTCAAGTGAGAAGTTTCACAGCTTTAGATGTACATTTTTACATTTTACAGGTCGACAGCTCTCTAGCTGGGAAACTTCATGACTTCTTCTCCCATTTATACAAGCAGAATAATTGCACACTCACTTTTGATTACTCTACCCTATAATTATGCATTTTAAAATTGCAACCGGCCTTTAAAAATAAGTCTACCTAAAAAAATCTTTCAGAATACAGCCATTAGCCCTCATTTTACAAGAAGGTGGATTCATTGGATCTGTTGTTTTGTGCTCTGTCGGTTGACTTTTATTTAGCCAGAAACTAATGAGTTGGGTGCCGACGTTTACTTATATCTCCCTCTGACATCCTAACTGTGGGTGAATTTTCTAGCCCAGCACCAGATCCTTAGTGTCTGCAGGGCAAGAATCTGCACATTTTCACCAGCCCCTGTTTCTAGTGACCAACTTCGCAGGCTGTAGGAAAACTCATCCTACCCAGGCACATATAAGCAAAAAAAGTAGTAACACTTTTTAGTTTAGAATCAACACTTCTGATTCGTTAGTTCAAGTTGAAACCATACGTTTCTTATTTTATTTCACTATCTGGCTTTTTTTTCCTCTTGAAAAAGATCGGAGGGTATCAATAGTAAAACTGAAGTAAGAATTGCTAAAAGTAAAGCAAGAATTTTAGGGGGTACTTTTTTCCCTTAGGTGGTAAGAAGGAAGACCTGAAGGAACGAGTCTTTTAAAAGAGAACCTTAAGTTTCTAAGCACAATCTTGCTCTCTTAATATTTGTCTTCTGCCCTGCAGAAAACGGGGCAAAAAGTGTTTAAACAAATGGAGATGGGACCTGTGGGCTGTCCAGGCGTGGCTTAGGACTCGGGAGCTATCAGCTCCCCTCCCGAATCTCTGCTTCTAAGTCTCTTTTGCAGCCCCCCAGTAAAGGCGGGCCCCAGGTGGGAATTTGGCGATCCCGGCGCGTGGGGACGACTGCGCTGGGGCGCGGGGCGCTCCGGGTGCAAAGGCCCAGGCACAGGGCGGCGGGCGCAGGGGCAACGGTCCCAGGGCGAGGGATGCCGCTGTCCCCAGCTCTCCTGAAACCCACTCCCGGGCGAAAACGTGGGCAGAAGGCGGGAAAACGCCGCAGCCGGCGCTCAGAGCAAGCTTCCAGCAGACGCGGGAAGTTGAGGCTCGGCGCCCCCGCCCCCACCCCAGCGCCCAGTCTCCGCTCCCCTTCAGGGCCTCTTCCGGGCTGAGTCCTGGGAGTGGGTTTCCCCGGCCGCAGTGATTTTGCAAGAGTGCGGCCGGCCGGCTGTAAATCAGCCTTTCTCCACTCCCGGGGGGCAGCCCTCCCGAGCCGGGGCGGGGGCGCGGAGGACGCGGGGGCCGGGCCCATGGCCACCCTAGGCCCTCGGCCGCAGCTGGATCGGCCGCCTCCGGCGAGGCGGCGGGGGTTAAACGCCGTGAATCCATCAATCAAGCGCACCGCCGCCCTCGCGAAACCCGGAGCACCGCCCGCGGGGCCTGCTTTGTGTCTCGCCCGCCCGCCTGCCCGGGGCCTGGGAAGCAGGGTCGGGCCGCTCCAGAGTCCGGGGGGCGCGGCGCATTCCCACGAGGGGCCGGGGCGGCCTGAAGGCTGCTCCACCCAGTCCCACCCTGTAACGGGTTCACTGGGGCCTGGAACACAAATCTCCCAGGCTGCTGGTTTCCTTATTTGATCACTCCTTTGCGTCTTCAACAGAATAAGGCCAACTCATCACACTTTCCCGGCCGCCTGGAGCCCCGAACCCTGTCATCCCCCAAAAGCAGCATGACCAGGGTTGGTGAGATTAGCCATAAACAACCAGATGATGTGACTGGGCAAATCACATCATCTCTCTGTGCCTCAGTTTCTCGTCTGTAGAAAGAGGGGGCTGTTTTAGGATCTCCGCATTTTTTTGTACAGCTCTAATGTTCTTTTGTTTTAGGTGGAGAAGCCTGAACCCTTTTTGCCGGACAAATGTCCCCAAGTTCCCTTTTCTTCCACGTTTATTTTCGTACTGCCGGTTCCTTCCCTCCCCACCCGCGAGTCAGCCCCACTGCGTCCCAGAGAGCAGCTCCAGCCCGCAGGGCAGGACACCTGAGCCTCGGAGCTGAGCCCTGGCCGCGTTTGTCTCGGAGAAACCACCAGGGGGCAATAGAGCCCAAGGATAGAGGAGCAAGGCTCCACAAGGCCTTTCCAAAAGTTTGTCCAATTTGGCGTGAATTCCTTTTTCCAGTTTGTGTGATTTGTAAATTGCGCAGAGTGATTTCAAGATCCCCCGTTTGATCATTAGCGCTAAGGTAGATGGATGCAGCCCGGGGTTCATAAAGAATGAGGCACAAAAGCACTAATGAAGAGCAGGCTAGCGCACCCGCAAGACCTAATGGCAGAACAAAATGGGGCGAACGTGAACAAAGCTCACTTGAAGTGCAAAACTTTGGTTCTAAGGCCATGCATACAGTGGGTTCTCAGGCCATGGGGCAAAAGGCATGGAAACAGTGGGCCGCACGCCGGTGTGTCTTTTCCTAAGTTTTGCAAATATCGGGTTCGTTTTGCGATGGTGAAGTGGGAGGTAGCCCGGGAGGTGAGAGAATGCAGAGGAAATCAGTTAAGAGAGATTCTCCTGATAGGAAGAGGAGGTGGCGAAGGTTTAGGTTAGAGAACCCCAGTTCTTCATGCAGCAGCCACCTTCGCCCATCCTGGGAAGTTTCTGTCTGCCTGTAGAGCAGAGCCGCATCCCTGCCGCTGTCTCCGAGGGCAGTGTCGGATGGTTCTTTCATTTGTTTCCTGAGAATGGTTTACAATATAGATTAGCGGGGCCCCAGAGGAAACTGGGGTTTGCTCACTGCAAACAGCCAAAAGATCTTCAAGAGAGAACGTGTTAGGCTGGAATATCATCTTTTCCCACATGTGCAAGACTCTTGGATTGTGTTTGCTTTCAAAATCCATAAATGTTTTTATTAAACTATATCTTTCTTGTGGCCCCTGCGCACACAAAGTACTTGCAGCATATGTAAACGCTTCCATTTTGGTTCTCCTTCAGGAAAATTTTGTAACTCCGCAGTAAATATTTGCTCTGGGGTGAACCTTGGCAAGCGATAAACTCCAAAATCTGGTTTCACTGTACGTGTTTGTGTGCACATGTGTATGTTTTAACAGTATGTATATATTGGAAAATTTGCGGGAGAGCTTGATATTTTTACTTCTTTGCTGCGCCGCAGGAAAGTATAATGACTGTAATTACTTGGATAACATTTTAAAATTAACCAAATTCTCTTTCACATTCGATTCTTCCTTGTGTGCTGCCAGCCCTTCCTCCCAAATCATGTCAATTAAATATTCTTACAATGTCACCCTTTATAATGCCTTTAGTGTAGTGATTTTGGGGGTATATTTTAAAGTGATAAAGTGCAGTTTTGCTTCCTAAATTCTGTCTTAATAATAAGAATGTAAAAATTAAACAAATCATGATCTTTATTATTCTTTTATGTTTATAGTTTCTTTTCCTCTAATGCTTTAATCTGTAAGCCAAAAAATTTCAGAGAGATAAATGGAGACAGCTCAGTAGCATGGCAGGCAGAGTCAGGATTTTGGATTCTCATCCCTGAAGAAAAACTTGAAGTTATTCCTCTGTGATGAAAAATACTTTATTTTTATGAAGAAATGGAATCTGCTGAGGTTGAATAAATTAGAAAACTCTATGGAAGATCATTAAAATATGAAAACTGTTAGCATTGGGCTGTGTGTTAGTCATCTTTAAGAGAATAATCGGGAATTATTAACTGACTTTGACCTCATGAGCCTTGACATAATAACTGTGGCATTCGCGGTGTCCCTGGTGTTTTAAAAACCACCCTCCTCCCCCGCGTGCATTACAAAAATATGTCCTCTTCCTCTCATGTTGATTATATGGGTTTTATTTATTCTAATGACTGCTGTAGAGAGAGAAAATGCAGCTCTGAGCAGGGAGAAACAAGAACCCTTGTACACGTTTGCTGTGGGGTGGGCTGGCCACATAAGTTGAGTAGCCTTTGGCCAGATAAGCAAATGCACACTTCGCCTCCCAGTGAAAACATCATCCCCAACAAACATCATGTGGGCCTGAGTCACTCTCTGGAGAATCTGCTTCTCAGAGTTTGGTTTGGCAGTTCAGGCAGATATAATCCTTCCTTTCATTTTCCCCTGCCCTTTTGAAGAGCAATAATTTTCAGTCCCCTCACACCAAGGGCACTTTGAGAGATGGCCTACAGCTACACGGAGGAAGTTTCTTTGGCACAGCCTTTTGGGAGCTGTGAATATTTGAGGCTGTCTCAAATGGGGACTGTGTCCTTTGAATGAAGTGTTACACAGATGTGTGAGTGAATCCATGGGAACAGAGGCAGATGTTAGGGAGTTAGAGAATTCTGAGCTCTGTGGGCCGTGTCAGTCTGAAGAAAGGCAAGACGGCTGTTAGGTGCAGCCTGTAAGTGCTGTTCATCGAACTGGCCTCAATTCGTCTGCGCTTGGAAATAACTGAAATTGTCTGACCACTAAAAGTGTGATACAACTTGGAAGAGGGGCAGGAGAATACATTTTACTGGGGGCCATAGATCTGGCTTGGGCAAGCAATCTGTGTGTATTCAGATCCTGCATGTTTCTGAAAGATGATAGATGGATAATCGAAGCACACTTCTGCAGAATTTTTTTCTAGAGTATTTCAGTCCAAAAGAGCGCTAATGTGAGCTACATAGCTCATTTTACATATTACATTATATTACACATTAAAAAAAAGGTGAAATTATTTAATAGTATTTTTCATTAAATGCAATATCTCAAAAATATCACTTCAACATGTAATCAATATAAAGTTAGTATTGAGATATTTTACATTTTTTGCCCCTTCCCATATATTCAATAGCTGGTGTGTATTTCATTCTCAGAGCTCATCTCAGCTTGGACCAGACACATTTCGAGTGCTTGGTAGCCTCAGTGACCAGTGGCTGCTTCACTGGAGAGTACCAGTTCCAGATCATCTGGGTGCGTGTACAAAGTCACTAACAGATTTCCTCCCACATTTCTGTGAAGGTCTATGAAATTTTAAGTATCATAGGAAAGATTGAAGAAAATAGGTTCTAAAGCAGATGTATATTTTGAACACTGCCATTTTAGCTCTGAGGCTTCAAGCCATGATTAAGGAATATGTGACCTTTGAAAGAAGTAGGTGATGCCTTTTATAGATTTTATTCCATTTAAAAATATATTTTTAATTATAAAAATGAATCCATACTTACTATAGAATACTCAATACAAGGTCTAGAAAATAACAAAAATCATCTAGAATCCCACCATCTATAGCTAATCACCTTTTGAAGTTTTGGAGTATTGCTGTTCTCGTATGTGGATCGGTTTCATAGTTGTCATTATACTGCAAATGCCCTTGTATATCTTGCTTTTGTTCACAGTGTTATATCACAAGTATCTGTATTTGTTGTTAAAAGCTCTTCATAAGAATAATTTTGATCATCTGGATGATTCATCATATGGCTGAGCCATGGTTTACTGAAGTCAGTGACTTTGGTAGGGTAGTAGTTGCAGTAAGCTCACTAAATGTGACAAGAACAAAAAAGTTATTTTATTGAAAAGTCACCCTACTGTGTGGCCATCCTCATCCCTCATATTGGCGGCCTTCCTTCCATGACTCTAGACAGCTCCGGGAAACCAGAGCCCTTCTACTCTTAAGCTTATTTTTTAGAAAAAATATCTTAGAAAATAATCTCCCTTTCCCCACCTAATCAATCCAGATGTTTAATTACCACGTTGACACAATTGGATTATGACTTCAGGGCAAAAAGCAACTTTACTAAAGAGAATTTGAATGGAAAACAAGAGCATTTTAAAGATCCTCATACAGCAGTTTATTTCTCTTGTTAAATTCATGTCCCTCAAGATATCACAGTACCCACTAGGTACAGATACTGGGCCGCCCTTTGTTAAATCGTAGTTGGATTTATTTTTGCTTCCCTTTTTGGCCCTCTTTCTCACCATTTGTCATTTTCACAGGCTTTAGTGACATAAATCTTGTGGAATGTTGGCTATGCACATAGCATGAAGGATTCAACCTCTCCCATTTCAGGCTGGTTGGCCAATGTAAGCAACTGAGGGTGGCAGAGATCAGGGACAGATAAGACAGGGAGAAGAAGGGGTAGAGGGACTTTGGAAAGAATACCTGAAGTACGAAAGTGACACCTTTAAGGTTAAGGGTGATGGCAATTGACTGATGATTACCAGGTAACAATGGAGTCCACTGGAAGCTGCATAACCATGAACTGTTATGATTATTTTTTCCTATCTATGTGGAAAGGCCTGGTTTGCTTCTCTGCACACAGTCCTGATTCAGTGTGGTGCCCGCATATTGTAAATGTCTTATCCAAGAATCCAGGGACCTGGCCCTGAAGGAAAAGCTGAGGACAGAGTATTTCTGCAACAGGCCTAGGCTCTTGCAAACTTGCCTTCCCAAAGCTCCAAGCCCAACTGGCCTGCAGGGGAGGCGGTCTCGCTGACAACCTGCCCTTTGGCCTTATACCTTCTGTCACAAAAGAGCCATTTTTCCTGAATTTGAAATTGAAGAATTTGATGGCACACGAGTGCTGGGGGGATTTTATTAAGCTGATAAATATGACTACAATTTACTTAAAACCAGTGGCTCTTCTCACTGTCAATGTTGTGGAGTTTATGCCTTTTTCTCTCAAGCTCTCTTTGGCCCAAGCAATTCAGGGCAGAGAGTTTGAAGGGTATTTTGTTTCTGATGTGGGCAGTCTGAAAAATAGTGGACCTTTTAACATTGCACTGACAGACACTCTCAGGGCTAATATAATTGATGTATTCATAGGAGCTTAAGCAAAATAGCTTTCCAAAAGGGAGAAAAACTTGTCTTTTCACCTAAGCACTGACCGATTTGTGGTTTGGATGCTTACACGAGATATTAAACAGACCCGATGGAAAAGGCTTGTTTGCCTCAAGTCTGACTTTCCCTCCTCTTGTAATTTTTGGCCTTGAGTCAAATTTTTGTCCATTCCCCTGCACTCCTTGGGTTGAGGCCAGCACAACGGGCTTGCACTCTCCATGGTGTTGACAGAGTGTTTTTCAGCTGTACCAAAGGCCACAGATTTTCTGTCAGACTTCAAGATACACAGCCTGATAAACATGTCTGCCTCTGGCGATTGGCAGCATTCTTTCTGGAAAAGAAAACAAAAATTGTTTTATATCAATAAGGAAAGTGGTATGAATAGCATAGAATAACACAACTTGGAAGGTGTGCCTGAGGCCTGAGCTTTTTTGCAGTATGTTTAGCTCTTCAGTTCAATTTATTTTTGAGTTCTGTCTTCACCCCACCAGCATCTGATTACTTTCATCAGCCATATGTGTCTGGTTGTGTAACAAATAAACAAATCAACAACCGATTTGTTTGGAAGGTTGGTTGGTGGTAAATGACTCCAGAATGGTGTTTGGAAAAAGTATTTTGGCTTTCTGTAGATATTTTATTTTTCATATGGGATGAAATGGCTGATTTTCGTTAACTCTCTTGTTCACTACAATTTAAAGAAACTGCATGATGTTTCTTCTCTCTGATATTTTCTAGTTGAGTTTTTTTCCCATCACTTTATTCTCTTGGCCATGTGTCAGGTCACCAAATTGGGAAATCAGCCCATGTGGATGACACAAAACTCAACTCTGTGTTACCTGGAAATCTCATCTTTGTAGAGCTGTAGCCAGCTCGGTGCAGATTCCCACAATCAGAGGACTGGATAGCTTCTTCTGACAATTTCTTGCAATCAGAGGGGATTCTTGCTTTGCCATCTTGACTTCAACGTTGACTGTTGGAAAGGAAGAGGGAGGAACACATCCTCAGAGTCAGCACCCTCTTTCTAAAGCTGCTTTGCCATTGAGCAGATGCCCTGGAAGCCTGAAGGGAAGGCTGACTTCTTCAGGTTGAACTTCCCTTTGGAAGATTGATTAAATGCTGATGATCTCTTCAGCAAGCCCATGTGGACCCAATGGCTCAAAGCCAGCCTCAGAACCTCTCCAGTGCAGGCTGCTGGCCGGATTGTACCACCTCACCTGGATGCCGGCTGCTCAAAGGCAGACGAGGCTCATGATGCCTGCTCTTGGGAGTTCCTCAGTGGCACTCAACATTAATTACCTCTCCCCCAGGCCCTTCTGCAAAGTCCAGTGCCAGATCTCTGATGTCACTGCAGGACTATGATTAAACACCAGCTCCAGATCAGCCCAGTGACAGGGAGGGTCATCAGTAATGGATTTGAAAGGGGCTTCAAGGCCCAGGGTAATATGTTATTCATTACCAATGTCGGCTGAGGAGCTGTGAACCTGTCTGTTGGTTGGTAGCGCTTTATATGACACCTCCCCAGGGTCAGTTTCTGTTTGATGAGTGGGAGTGTGCTGTAAACATGTGATGTTAGTATCTTATCAGGTAGCAGAGCTGAGTAGAGATGAAATAGTTCAGCAGTCTTAAGCAGCTTTAGAGAGCTGCCTCAGAAATAAAAATTGTTCCTTCATAGACATAGTAATTCATACATACATACTTATACACACATATATGCATGTGTATACATACATACATATGCATATTGTATGTTTGGGGATGAGCTCTGAATTTAGGACATCTTGACAAGCTTTTCTGTGCAGCTATTCTGCTTGCAGAGGGCAGGGTTCCTAACCTGGGGTGCATGTTTGATGGCCCATGGATGGGCCTGGACAAGGTCTGAGAACCTCTATGATTGTAAGTAAATTTTTGCATGGAAGGCTAAGTTACTTACCCTCTCCAAGCTTTTTCAGTCATCTATAAGATGGAGAAAATAATATCTGCCGCATTGGGTTAGGGTGAGGACTAAATAAGAAAATGCACTTAAAGCACTTAACACAACCTGTGGCCCCAAAGTGCTCTCTCAATATTAGATGTTATTATTACACTTGTTGTGTTAATAAGATATACCTTTGTGAATTTTAATTGGATCTGGGAGCCACAGATTTTTACCAGATTTGCAGAGGAAACTTTGAACCAAACAGGTTAGGAACTGCTGTCTTTGATAGCTAGAATCACTGGAGAATAAATCTCTTGCAGAGTCAAACTCACTTTGTCAGAAATGGAAGATGAAGACATGTGATTTGTGAGGTTGACCAATCTGGGGAAATTCCTGTGGTCCCCAGGAAGCTGGAAGACCCTGCCAAGTTTTATGTCACTGCTGTTTTTCTTCTACCTTCTATTAGTTGAAAAAAAGTCTTTTCTCACTCTCTTCACATTTTTTTTCTCTGAATAAAGCCTATGGGGTATAGCCATCTCATCTGTACACACACAAAGCCTGTATTCCCACGTTTCACATTCTTTTGGTGTTTTGGTTATTGTTATAATAACAATACCCTGTTACCACTCAGTCTCAGTTTATAATTATAAGATAAAAATTTCAATTGAAACCTGCAGCTTTTCGTGTGACATAAGTAAACATTGCTATTTCCATTTTACAGATTTGTGAGCTGATCCAGAGAAGGGCAAACTTTTAATACACATTCCAATTCAGAAATAATAACTCTCAATTCAGATTATGCCAAACCCATGCACCGCAGAAAACATCACAAAGACTTCCTGCAGTCCAGTGGCCCCTGGAATCGATTTACCACAAACCCTGTTGGGAAGGAAGTATCTTCCTCCTGTCATAAATCCTCAGACCCTGTAGATATGACTGAATGACTGAAACTACATGCCTGATAATCGCCATGATTTTTCACATAGCAATGAAGAGCAATAGCTGTGAAAGTTACAGAACACCGAATTACATGTAGTAAAAATAGACAGTCAAGCCCTTCATCTAAAAATTGACTTAACTGCTTGAGGAAAGAGATGGCTATAAAGTTAAATGGTGTAATTTCATGTATGGAAATGGCTGTCCTTTCTTATATTTAAAATTTACCTTAGGACATAATTACCTCTGCACAAAGCCAGTTTCTAAATGGGAAACATTCCTCCAACAGGATGTTCTTTCCATCTCTTGGGGGCCCCCATGGAATAGCGCTACTCAGCGATCTAGGGGAGAAAGTGTCAGTGCTCAGAAGCAAACTTCCTCAATGAAAGTCTCACTGGAAACTGGCCTCATCCATCATTATCTGTTCTCATCCCAAGGCAGCATGCCGGCTTTCCATCCTATGGAATTTGGTGGGAAATCTCCTCTGAGAGGATGCTGTAGAGGGTGAGAAAAATGACCCAGTGTGCAGAGGGCCCTCTGCTGGAGCTGCCGAGGAGGAGACCAGAGGAACCATTGTTTGGCCATCTTCTAGCTGACTTTAGATCCATGGCTGCTCTGAATGTAGGAACCTACTGTGTACAAGCAAGATGATAATTCAAGATCATTGTGCAAATGGCGTTCTGTTTTCCTATCTGCAGTAACATAGTTTCTCCCCGGAATTCAGCTCATTAAGGCTTTCTTTGATCTACTCCTGTTCATAAACTCCATAGAAAAGTCTGACATTGAATTTTTGTCTGAATTTTTCTTTTTATCAAGGAAGCCAAGGCCTTTTGCATTCTTCTAATTGTCATTACAGGGCAAACCCATGCAATAATGTCATGACTTATAATGCCAAATATTTTTGCTTTTGGTGGTCCCCTGAGTCTCAGAGACAGAAGCAGGAGCTACTTTGTTTATTCATGATGCATTTATTGAGCCCTTACATCATTTGAGGCACTGTCCCGGACCCTGTGGAGACTGAAGATGAACGGGACCTGGATCCTGCTCTCGAGGGGTGGGGATGAAGTGGTGAGGCTGAGGCATGCGCATATCAAGGCACGAAGGCATGTCTGAAAATGCGGGTGTTGCAGAGGTGCAGGAAATTCCTATGGAAGGTCAGAGTCAAGAGAGATTGTATGTACCTTGTACATGAGATGAGGCTTCTTGGAGGAGGTGGCATTTAACTAGGTGAATAATATGGGCAAATCCAGAAAAGGTGATATCAAGTGGGAATGGTATTTTTACTCCATTTTCCTTGAAAAAAATGACTGTAGGTACATGTATTTTTTATGGAAATTAGGGTCAGAAAATGATCTGAGTGGATTTTACTTCAACTTCCAGCTCTAGATTTTTTTTGTACAAGGCATGTGACTTTAAAGCAAGAAAAGTGTAAAAATTAAAAATGCAAGACAGAAGAGCAAGTC
This sequence comes from Homo sapiens, assembly GCF_000001405.40. NCBI lineage: Eukaryota > Metazoa > Chordata > Mammalia > Primates > Hominidae > Homo > Homo sapiens. The sequence goes on along the minus strand of NC_000007.14, from coordinate 25,842,744 downwards.
AATATGGGCGTTGTGGGTCACAAAGGGCATTTCTTCCACATTAGAGTAATTCATCAGGTCATTGTGCCAGATAAATATAATATCTGAAATCAAAAAGCATGAGCAAAGTTTGAAAACTCTCCATTTCCACATGTGACCTTTACCTATTTATAGAAGGAATCACAGTGGAATAAGGCAATCATCCTTTCTCGGAAAGCAAGAAGGATGCATTTCCTGGCACCGTAAATAGAATGTCTGTGAGTCTCTGGCCACCCCCTCTCCTTAGCAGACAGCAGACAGTGGACGGTAACAGCCCCTGTCTTTTGGGTAGGAATAATTAATGGGGCAAGCGTATGTCTGTGGCTTTTGAGCAGCTAAGGTGAAACTGCTTGTCCATTTCAGCTTTCACTTAAACCACTGGGACACTTACTTCCTGAGTCAATGGTGAGTCTGCAGTGCTAACAAAAGACTCCCATTGATTATTGCCGTGTAGTAATTGCTGCCAGTGTGAGGCTGTCCCTCACAATTTGTTGACATCTCTTGACAATTTAAATATGGCCCATGCTAAAGGCCTGAAGCCATCAGAATGCAGGGTGAGGAATGAAAAGGCAAATATGAACTTTTCCAGCAAACTCAAGTGCAGGGTGCAAAAAAGCATCTCCAGTGATGACATTTTAATTGTACATTAGGAGTCTTTTCAGTGGAGCCTCCTGGCTCTGCTTATGCTGAGAGGTTGCTAGTAAGCTAAATCCCAGTAGTCCCCACAATACTTTGTAAATAAGAGGAGGCAGTGATGTATCCATTAGTACATGAACATCCCCTCGGATTTTAAAACAAAGGCATGTTAGGAACCACCAGAAGGAAAGGTTTCATATCATGGGTGAGGTGGAAGTTGGCAGCTGCATCTGGAAAACCAGTTTGCAACTCAGCTGCGCTTGATGCTCTGCAAACTGACCAGGGTTCAGCAAACTGTGGCCGTGGCCCAAATCCAGCTCCATGCCTGCTTGTTGTAAATAAAGTTTTATTGGAACACAGCCATGTTCACTTGTTTATATATTGTATATGGCTGCTTTCCTTCTACAACAGCAGAGTTGCTGTTGGACAGACTGTATGGCCTGCAAAGCTGAAAATAATCTACTATCTGGCCCTTTACAGAAAGAGTTTGCAGATCCCTACCCTAGATTAATGTATGCTGAAGGATGATTTTCATATTAAGCCACCAAATTAAATGTTTTGTAGGAGATTCTGTAGTCCTAGAGAAGCTGTACAAATATGTGTGGGCTTTGAGGCCTAGAAATCTGGGCTTGAGAGAAACAGGGCTATACCCTTCCCTTATTATAAAAACTTTTAAAACTTTTCTGCATCATTCTCATTCTACTTCTCTAAGATACTCATGTTCTTAGCTAAAAGTTCCCGCCTCCTGTGACTTTAGGGATCATGGGAAAACTGGTGGAATTTTATTTCCCTTGGAGCCTTACAATCTAAACTGCTAATTCTTAAATGGAGGTGTAAACGCTTTTGATTGACATTTGGTTTAAGTATGACCATTAAAAACTCCCAGTGCCACAGGTAGATTTAGTAAAAGTTAACCATGCTTGTTCTGGCATTCCATAGTTAAATTTAAGTTTTATGGACTGCTTAGAGAAAGAATTCTTTATAGCTGGGAAGGAATTAACCTTTAAGGCACCAGTTTGCTGTAATTGTTAAAATTAGCATAGTTACTTGGGTGAAAAACTCTAAAATGTTCTATACTCTTGCTTGCTTTGGCAGCACATATACCAAAATGTTCTCTACTCTTTTATTGTAAAGGTCCCTAGTTTAGGTCTGTCACCAACATGGATGCTGAATTGAGACCCAGCACTAGAGGTCACTTCCTACCCTCAATGTTATAAAACTCTTATACATGTGGAGAAGATGTCCTTTGCCTTGGATGAAAAGCCAGCAGATTGTAGTGTTGAGAAAGATCCTGAGGATGCATCCAGGAGCAGTAGGGAAGAACTCCACGATCGATATCAATGGTTGATATCTGTGATGCTTCAAGACAGAAAGTGATGGCAACTCATGCTGCGTAATTGTTTTTCTTGCTCTGTGGTTTCAAGGGCTGTGGAATTGCAGAACTGTCTTCTGTTTCTTTGTTATGAGCTCCCTGCTCTGTTGTCAGCAGGTCTGGGACTCCATGTTCCTGTCACTGGGTCTTATCACCACTTCTTATTCTGTTACTCCATTGCTCTATTTTTATGTCTTCTATATTTATTTATTTATTTTTGGCTCCTCTAACTGGAAAAAGTTCTCTTGAGAAGTCTTTCTTTTTTAGACACTTCTGGTTGATAAGCATGCTTCTTTCCACTCCCCAGGGCCGGTGCATACAAGTGTGTAGACTGTGACCTGGACAAGGTGGCCTGGAGAAGAGGTGTGAGGGAGGCTTAGATCCAGAGTGCGTCCATTCCTTTCAGCTTTATTGGTCTGTATCCATTTTTAAGGATGGATTTTCTTTTTTTCTCTTTTTCTTTGTTTTGAAATAATTCACTCTTAGATTACTATTTTATTAAATTAATTTTAATCAATTTGTTTTTTATTTATTTATTTTTTGAGCCAGTGTCTTGCTCTGTTGCCCAGGCTGGAGTGCAGTGGTGAGATCTTGGCTCACTGCAACCTCTGCCTCCTTGGTTGAGGCGATTCTTGTGTCTTAGCCTCCCTAGTAGCAGGGATTACAGGCGTGCGCCACCATGTGCAGCTACTTTTTGTAATTTTAGCAGAGATGAGGTTTCGCCATGTTGGCCAGGCTGGTCTTGAACTCCTGACCTCAGGTGATCTGCCAGCCTCAGCCTCCCAAAATGCTGGGATTACAGGCATGAGCCACCATGCCTGGCCTAATCCTTTTGTTTTGATGCTTAAATTGCCCCACATTTGGCCAGTGGGAACCCTTTCAGGTTGACTTCTGTGTTCTATTGACATATTGCTATCATTTTTGTGGGCACCTTTTTAACTTTCTTGCAAGGCAAAATGTTCCAGACTCATCTTTACCTTCACCACCCCAGCCCTGGAATCAACCATTTCTCCAAAGATCCCTGGCTCCTTTCAGTTAGCAATGGTATTTATAAACTAAGACTGGGGTGCCAGGTGTGCTCACAGCTAAATGGAATGTCATTGCTTTTAGGATGCAAAAAAAATAAAAAAATTTTAATGACGTCATGAGTTTATATTGACACTTCCAAGTCCAATCTAATCACATAAAGCCCTCCCTTGCTGTCCCCACTCCTTTTTTAATTCTTTTCTTTACAGTTAGAACCAACCCTGGCTCCCAACAATATCAATCCACCTATTATGTCAGAACTATAACATTTGCATACTTATTCATGTTCTCACCCTTAGTTTAATCCTAGCTCTACAATCATATATATTAAATACTCACCAACAGTCCTTTTGCCAAAGTTTCCCCACTTATCTCTCGGTTGGATGGCTGGATGAGTCTCATCCTCTAGTGGACTCCTCAGGAATAGCAGGTGTTTCATTATCTTTCAGATGGGAAAGCCTCTCCTGACATTACTTCTGGTTTCCAGTTCTGTAGGTCAGCTCTGGCTTGCTTTGGGCTCTGCTGAGCTCCACATTTCTTTCCATCCCAGGATGTAGGCTGGAGGAGCAGCCCCTCTCTGGAACACTCTTCTCATAGCAGAGGGTAGGAACAAAGAGGTTGACCCAAACGATTCAAGTACATTTAAAGCTTCTGCTTAGATGTGGTGTACATTTGCTCTCATTCCATTGGCTAAGGCGAGTCCCTTGGCCAAGCTTCCTGATGGGCCAGGAAGTACACTCCTCCCACATGGAAGCATGGCAAAGGTGAGGAGTGGCTGATACTTTCACAGAAAAGAGAGATGTTAAAATGCTGAAGTGTAAAGTACATCTTCAAGTGGGCGATTTTGTTTAGCAGAATTTCCCAACTTAATTGACCACAGAAATTTTTTTTTTTCTTTGAGGTACATCTTTTAGCACTCAAATTCCCTGGCGGACACTTTGGGAAATGCTGCTCTGGTCCATCTGGAGGTGTTATAATTGACCTTAGAAAAGACTTTCTTTTGGAGGTCTGGGTAAATGGAATATATGGAGTTCTGAAACTCATGTTTCATTGAGTGAGAACCAGACGTTAAAACCTTCCCACATCAGCAAGTCTAATGTTACTTTATTAGCTAACACTTCTTCAGCCTTAAAGAGCTGTCAAAAATAGATTTGGATAATAAACCTTAAATTCACATGCTTTCTGATCTTTGTGGATCATCAATGATCTCTTTAGGAATCATCCATGCCCCTAATCATCTTTTTTATTTTCTAATAATCCGTTGCTAAGGAATTATCATTTTCTATGTATTTCATCAAATAACAAAATCAAGAATCTCCATCTGGTTGTTTTTATGTCTCTCTCTAGATGATTACTGTCTTTCTTGGTAACAGATATGTGAGTAATAAATTGCTTTTAATGATGATGAAAAATTGCTTACTGAGCATTTGATATGTGCATGGCAGGGTGCCTTCACTCTGTGGACTTTGGCTACATGGAAAGCAGAGAAATAAAATTTAAATTAGGAACACATATTCTTTCTTTATAGCATAAGGTAAGTGTCTCATAACCTTGAAGTTAGGGGATACAGGTCATTGGCTAAAAGGATGGAAACCAGGGCATCCACATTCTAGTGCCAATCTGGGGGTACACTTGAACAATTTATTACAAGTCTTAGTCTTCTTATTTGCAAAATAAGAGATACTATGTGGAGTCTTCAAGAGGTTCTGCTAATGAAGACAGAAAAGATGAAGAAAGTATTGCAGAAGGATAGAAGTGTGCTACACAGTATAGTTTAAGTTGCAGTTCTTTTTATCCCAAATGTTTGATCTTTCAAGCCTTATTTTTCTAATTTTTAATTATAAAATATATATAACATAAAAGTGGCCATTTTAGCCATTTTAAGTGTACATTCATAGTGTTATACAACCATCACCACTATAAATTTCCAGAATTTTTTATTTCATACTGGAGCTCTGTACCCATTAATAAAAACTCTCCATTCCCCCTTACCCTCAGACCCTGGTAGCCTTTATTCTACTTTCTGTCTTTATGAATTTGCCTAGTCTACGTATCTTATATAAGCAGAATCATACAATATTGTCCTTTTGTGTCTTGTTTATTTCTCTTAACCTAATGTCTTCAAGCTTCATCCATGTTATTGCACTTAAAAAGGTGGGAATGTGATTTTTGGCTCTGCACTTAGCTTAGATCTGAATCAAATTAAGCCTCATCCAGGATGCTTCAACAATTTATAATTTAGTGAGGTTAGACTTGTTTTGGGCTCATAGGTGGTTTAAATTGGGCTTAAAAAGATTTATGCAAAATTCCAGTGCAATATTAGTAAGATCCAAAAAAGTCAGAACTTCGTTCCTTTTTAAGACTGAGTAATGTTTCACTGGGATAGTATTCCATTGTATGAACGTGCCAGGTTTTGCTTATCCATTCATCTGTTGATCTATGTCCACTTGGATTGTTTTCACGTTTTGGGTATTGTGAATAGTGCTGCTGTGGACATGGTGTACAGAACAAGTCTCATATTGAAGGGTTCCAGTTCACCTCTGCAGTCTTAAAGACTTGACACTCAACTGGGCAGAGGTACAGTATCTGGCGAGTAAAAGAAGGCAATTGGCAAATGGTTACACTTCTGGCTTGAAATGTTATAGGGTTAGTTTCTTTCCCCTTTTTTTCAGGGCAGATCTTTTCCTGGAATCAAGTTTGACTCCTAAAACCACCTTGGTGTGGTGGTGGAGCCCCAGGCGGATAAGAGCAGAAAGCCATTTGAATCCTGCTGCTTTACTTATTAATGGAGCCATTTGCTGTTGCGGAATTGAAAGTATTACAACTGAGTGACAGTTGTTTAATATTCTGATTACATGAACTTTGTGTGTTATGGTTTTGCCATTTGACATATTAGATTTCATAATGCAATTGAATTTGTGTGCTGGAACCATGTTTATTAACAGAGACTGACATGGTTCTCCTAAGAATTTACGTTAAGCTGACTGCAGTGATGTGGGAAGTCTATGGTGATAGTTGGGGGAGGCTGGAGCCCGTATGGACTAGAATCTTTTCTGTTTAAGTTTCACAAGAAAACTTCTTGGAGATGAAATCCATGTTTTCACTCATTTTGACATATTTTACAATGATGGATGTGAGATGGGGGAAGACTGGCTCAAAAATAGGAGATTGCTGAGGTCAAAAGTCAAAGGAATTGCTGTTTTTAAAGAGATTGTCCAAGGGGGAGCCACAGAAAAGCACTCAAACTGTCTGATTTTATTATTGTTTTCTCTCATAATGCCTTCCTGGCTGTGGGTATAAATCCATACTAGTTAACAAAAGTTTTGGTCGTATACAGCATTTTTTCAGGAGAATAAGATCTGCTCATTCCAAGATAGGTAACTGGGTCTAGAGCTATTTTTCAGTATAGTTATGGCCTAAAAACGTGGCAACATGATTTTTGCCTCGGCCCTCAGCTTACATTTGAATCAAACAAGGCCTCACCCATGAGGCTTTAATAATTATTAACTTAGTGAAATTGGGCAGGTCCTGGTCTTTAAAGTAGTTTAAATTGATTCTAAACAGATTTATGTAAAATTCCAGTGTAATATTAGTAAGATCCAAATAAATAAAAACTTCATTTCGTATTCTGGGAAATTATGGTTTTAAACTAGCAGAGAGAGTCTGTATGGTTAAAAATTATACAGCAAACAGACGGGCTATACCCATATCCAGGTTTTAATTTTTAAAATTATTATATATTAATTTTTTAAACTTACGAATATAATTAATTATGAAGGTAATATTACAGCAAATATATAAAATAAAATACTGCTTACCCATAATCTAACATCCTAAAGCAGCTTCTAATGTGTTTTGGCACAATTATTTATAGTCTTTTTCCTCATTGTAACTATTTAGCTATTTTTCTTTACATATTTATAATAATAATTTAAGGACAGTGTTTTATCTTGTTCTTCTCATTTAATATTGCATTAATATATTCCCCATGTTTCTACATTGTCTTCATAGCCATAATTTTAAGTGGCTTAATGAAAGGGAAGTGTGTAATGTAGAGCTTTCTGCCTATTTCCAGTTTTAAACTAAACCAGACTATAAGCATATGCAGATTTATCGTTCAAGATTTCAGGTATTCTCAGGCAATCCAGAGGTCCATGGAATGTGGTAATTAGTAATTTTACTGAAGCATTGGGGGAATGTGAGTCGCAAGACTGGAACTCAGGAGCTCACCAGCTAGAACACCAACTGCTTACTCAGTATAAAGATATTAACATAGTTTGCCTATTCTCAATTTGTCCCACAAGCATTTTACAGGGGGAAATTATTGTATTAGTTAATTTTTGCTGCATAACAAACCATCCACATTTTAGAGGCCTAAAACCACAAACATTTATTATTTAGTGCGTTATTCTGTGGCTGGCTGAGATGGCTGGGAGAGTTCTGGCCCGGGCAGACTCGGCTGGAGCTAGATGGTCTAGCATGGACTCAATCACATAGTTGGGTTGGCAGGCTGTTGGCCAGTGCCTTGGCTTTTCAGTATGTTTCCTCTCTAGCATCATAGCCCTATCTTGGGCTTATTTGCCTTAAGGTCTCATGGTTTCAGGTGCAGAAAGAGAAAACAAGATTTATGTGCAAGCGTTTTTCAAGCCTTTTTTGCTTGCATCATATTTGCTAATATTCTGCAGGCCAAAGCAAGTCATATGGCCAAACCCAGATCAAAGGATGAAAAAAGAGACTCTATTTCTTGATGGGTGGGGCAGAAATATCACAGGGCAGAGGGGCATGCAGACAGGAATGGAAAGAATTATTGGAACCATTTTTGCAAATAAACCAACACAATTTCATATATAGATGTACAGTCAAATTTGGGAATCTTTAAAAGTCCCTGGCAGATTCCTCCACAAACCCAAGGCCCACACAACTTGTAATTCATGGGAAGGGGGAGCTTCCAGTTATGGGCAAGTATTGTAAATAATACTTTAATGTACTTCTTTGTGTATATAGTTTTTAAAATATTTTGAGTTATTTGGTCAGGATAGAGTCCCAGAAGAATTCTTGGGGTAATGAAAACGAGTATTTTTATGTCTTTTAATATTTGCTTTCCAAAAAGTTGTGTTGAATCATGTCCTGTCAGCAATGTATGTTTGATTACCTATTTCACTATACTTCAGTGTTAAACTGAATGTTAACATTAAGAAAATTTTATAGTGAAAAGTTAAAAAATGGTATCTAATTTCTAGGGGTGTGGATTCTGCCATAAGAGAATTCTGCAGACTGGGTGGCTTAAACAATAGAAATTGATTGTCTGCTAGTTCGGGAGGCTTGAAGTCCGAGATTGAGGTGTAGACAGGTTTAATTTCTTCTGAGACCTCACTCCTCGGCTTGCAGATGGCGGCTTTTCTCTGTGTGCATGAAGCCCTAGTGTCTCTTCCTCTTTTTATAAGGATAACAGTCATATTGGATGAGGGTTCCACCCTTATGACCTCATTTAACTTCAGTTAACTCTTTGAAGGCCCTATTTTTCCAAATACAGTTACATTGGTAGTTAAGTCTTCAACATAGGAATTTTTGGGGAACACAATTCAGTCCCTAACAGGGTGGATCTAAAAGCTGTATGTGGCCTGAAGCTTATACAATTTTGGGGCCTTCTTTAAAAAGAATGTAAAATCACGCATACAAAATTGCTAGGTCCCCTGCCTAGGGTTTGGGAAGGGGCCTGTGCAAGCGAAGGGCCCCGAGACTTAAGGTTCATGGCTTACAATGAGCCCACCTCTGCTCATTGTTGTTTTTGTGCTTTACTTAACAGAGGGCATGATTGCTACTTGCTTGTATTTGCCAGATATAGAGTTAAGGCTATTGGTTTGATTATAGAGCAACAGGAGAGCAGTGTTATCATTTAGGGTGGAAGGGTCTCAGGTTTAAAGCTTTGAGTTTAAACAGACACTTAGGGTTTTTAGGAGGCCTTTCTTGTTCTAGTGGAGCAGAAAAGCACTTGCGTGGTATGTTTTTGTGACAATAAAGTCATGAAAGAGTGTGTCTTATTGTCGAAAGTGCCATCTCTCCCATCTGAGCACCGACGGCTAAAACATGATCAAGAGGGGACACATCTTCATTCTTTAGTTAGATACAGGGCTTAGAATTGAGGTACCCTTGGGAGAAGGAACACACCAACTTAAATTTGCATTAAGTTATACATGCCTGACGCTAGATTTTCTGGGAGCAGATTTTCATATGGGGAAGCAAGATGGTATTAAGTACGTAAACACGTGTGTTTGAAGAGAAGGTACTGAAAAATGGAGATTGAAGTGCAAATGACAAGCTTCACTTTAAAAAAATTTAGATAGGGCAGTGCTGCTTTCAGAGGACTTGGTTGATGTGTCTTAGTAGAGACCTTGTTCGCGTGGGGAGTCTGTTGTTTCAGAAATGTGTTTCTGCTGCTATTTCTGCTTCCAAGAATGTCAGATAAAGGGGCCTGAACACAACTGGGGACATGTGGGAAGGGGGAGCCTCTAGTCATGGGCAGGGGTGGGGCTGTGATGTAACAGGCATTGGCTTAGACCAATGGGAATGCAGAAACAGATGGATGGGGCAGAGATCCTTGGGTATAATGACTAATTAAGCATGATCTTTAAGTAGAGGTTGCAGGAAGTTTGGGGAGTTGATTGGTAGGACTGAGTAGAAAGCAGAAGTAACACAGGAGGTGGAGGTAAAGAGAAGAGAAATTAAGAAGGAAAATCTCATCAAATGACATATTTAAAGATAAATTAATTAAATACAGAAAAGGTAAATATAATTTTGTTTTCTTCTGGCTAAGTAATATAGATACTTCACATAGCTATGGAGATGATTATTCAAAATCACCGTGAACCTCTTGGCTTCTGGAAGATAGCCAATGTGATTCCCAGAGCTTAGAGGGGCCTGTCTTAACCACCAAACTGAGTTTCCACTGACACCGATACGAAACATGTAGAAAAATATTAGCATTTCCTATTCAAACAAATACGATATAGTCTGGGGACATAAGGTTATCTAATTTTCTTCCAAAAAGATAACATTTAAGAAAGCACATAGTTTAAACAGGAAAAACACTTTGCACAATGTGACCCACTGATCCAAGCCCGGGTAGTTCTCATTGCCCGGGGAGAACAAGCAGAGCATTGTTTCAGCGATGAAAAGAAAAACATCCTCTGATTTTCCAAGTTTGTTCTGAACCAAATTTTTGGTTGAAATAGAAAGATGTATTTTTTTTCCTTTTCTTGCCACCCTTCTTTATTTTTTAACCCATTTTTTAATGAAGCTATCTAAGTGGATGTTGAAACAGTGAATGTTAAGAAAGAGTACATTTCCTATGTAAACAAACACAACCCGGCTTAGAGAGAGAGGAAAGCAGTCTTGTCAACCCGAAAGGAACCCAGCACATGGTAATTTTTGTAATTGAAGTATCCCAGGGATTCCAGGGTACATGAACAATCCATAAAACAGGAATGAGACCACACAAAAACACAACCATGGCTCCAGGCGGGCACTGTTGAAAAGAAGCAGACTTTTAGCAGTAGGAAGCAGGGAGCTTGCATCAGAGGATCTTTGTAAATGCCCCTCTAAAATTAAAGTCCTCTCTAAGCTCCTTCCAGGTAAAAATGTTGTTTACTGGGGCTGAAGGCTGTGAAACACGAGCAATATAGAGAGGAAGACAAAAAGACTGGTGAGGTCATGACCTTGAGCCTTTTTGTTTTCTTTCTCAAGGTCTTTTACATGCATCGTTGGATTGCAGTCTCAAGCCTGGGATTCCAACGGAATTAACGTCCATTGAAAACTTACTGTGCTCAAGGCACAGAACGGGGTAGTTTTATACACATTCTCCCATTTGGATTTTTCAAAGACAACATCTAATCATCCCCAGAGAAATTTCAGCTGAGAAGACAGGATGGTGAGACAGTTCCTAAGTCTTTCCTAGACACAATTGTCTTTGCAAGTCCTCTGCCACAGTCAAAGGTGCTTTCTTGCCTACCTACTGGTAAAATCCTTGACTGTCCGATTTCTCTAAATAACTATAATTGGAGCAATCAGATCATTAAAAAAAAACAGCAGGAGAGATGTTAATGTTCTAAAATACAGTTTCCATTCTAATTGCAGATGAAGTGCCCTGGGGGCCAGAGTCCAGACAAGTATTTTGGCACCTCCAAGGACTCGCAGAACACAGAGAGGAAAAGAGAGACCCTGTTATCTTTCCGCAGGGGTGGCCGTTCAAACTCTCAGAGATGGAAGTTAAGATTTCCTTTGGTATAAGTGGCAGTTTGACTGGCTGCAAGGAGAGCCTCAGTTTGTTTAATTTGGAGTAAAATTTTATGAGTTAATCTCTAGTGAGGGAAAGCAGCAGTAAACACAGAACATACTGGTCATTATTCTAAGTATTTCTACATTCTTTCTCATGCATGAAAGGAGAAAAAAAGTCACAAAAATGAGGAGGCATGGTGCTCAAACATGTGTGTGTGTGTGTGTGTGTGTGCGCGTGTGTGTGTGTGTGTGTATGATTTTGTTTTGATCAAACCATCTGGTGTGCAGCATACCCCAGGATGTGAAGGCAAACATTTACCAAGAGATTCACATGATTTCTGCTGTGTATACTCATATTTGTAGAAGACGCTTATGTTTTCAGAAAGTGGAGATAAACATAGATCTCTCTGCATTTATTAATGCAGCCCCAGTTCTTTGCAGACCAAACCGTTATTTATTTTAGTGGGCCTTAGAAACTCAGGTGTGTTAAAAAGCCAGAGAGACATGCACAATCTGGAAATGATCAGTGTCATGCCTGAGGAAAACATTACCGTGCTCCTCAAGTTTAATAATATGGGCAAAAAATTCAGGGATATTGCGATACGATGGTGTGCTGAGAAGTGGATTAAATCTCGATTAAATCACAACATAAATAATGCCTTAACTAAAAATGTTAAAGGCGAACTTGAAATGGTCTTAAAAACAAAAGAGGTAATTTACCTGATTTATTAGGGGAGAGAAAAAGTAGCTTGGTGTGTGTTCTGTGGATTTCATGTTTAATGGGATGGACTTTTAGGGAAATGGCTGGGGATCTGAGGAAGCTAAACGAAAAACCCCTATATGCTGGCTGGAGTTTTAAGAAGATAGAGGGAGGGAAAAATCACCCATCAACCAACCAACCAAACCAAACCAAGAGTCTGAGTGCCCCAGCACTGGAAGCAAGACAATTGTTTCCTAGGGGACTCCTGGCTACCAGGAGACTGCTCAATAAGGGAGCGCTTAAACTTCAAAAAGGAAAAAGCAGATTTATTAGGAGGCACACATGAGGCTTTAAGGGAATGCTCCTGGTAAGTGGGACTCCTGCTGTTCTCATTCTTGTGCCTTTGTATTGCTGAAAACCCTTCTGCAAGATCCAAATATGCCTTTGGTTTTTTTTTTTTTTTTCCACGTGTGTTGTCACTTGAACATTTTGCACCACCCATCTCTCTGAAAAGTTCAGGATGTAGGGTACTTCCTTTTGAAGGTCTCTCAATTCTTCATAAGGAACTGATCATATTCAGCTTCACTATGGGGGGGCAGTCCTGGGGTGGGCTGGGGGTGCTGGCACACATGTTCCTAGTGGGTCATGTGTCCCCGTGGGCAAAGGATAACACCTCTTGGGGCTCAGTTTCCTCATCAGTAAATAGAGAATCTGCTCTTTAAGGGCCTTGCCAGGTCTAAGATCCTGTGATTCTCAGTAGGCCAGAAAACACAACTTCTGAGCAATCAAACCTCTGAGTGACAGGATGGAATATTTTGCCAAAGGTCATGCAGCAAATGCTTGTCAGTCCTAAAGAGAACTTGAGACTGTACCTGTCTTGTGACAGCTGGACTCTGACATCTGACAAGGCAGGGGACTTTGCAGGGCAATGGCCACTCTTGTCTTGCTGACCATTGTCTGCCTAGAGCATGTGCCATGTAGTAGGCAGAAGATATTTGTGAAATCAATCAATGAAAGTTTAAATAGAGAAATAAGGGATTTCCTAGGAGCAACTCAGTTTTGAGAGTCGAGTTCTCTCAGCTGTCTGGCGGGGAACCCCATGCAAGCAGTTAGCATGAACTTGGTGTGGAGGAGGGTAGATGCCCCAGCATGCTAGAAAAAGACTTGGCAGAATGATAGTTTGAGAGATTAAAACATTTCTGTCATTGAGACTGGTGGCAGAGCCTGGACTACTGTGTCACCGATCCAGACACAAAGTGTGATAATTCTGGAGGCAGTACAAGGAAAATTGGATGATAGCTTTGACTCTGGACATTGATGAGTAAATTGACAAACCTTGAACTGTCTAGGGTTGTGCAAGAGTCACCAAGACTGATCAGACAGATGAAGAAAGTATGTTGCTTGCTTGAGACTCTTCATAAAACACAAGTCACGTGTCTTTGAATTAGCACGTTGTGACACACTAGACACACACCAACAGGAAAGGAAAGCTTTGGGAGATGATACTTATCTTTATTCTGTGCAATACAATCTGATATTTTATGTTCTATTTTGTTTTTATTTTAGTTTTTTCTTTATGAAAAATTTTAATTTTTAATTTTTATGGGTATATAATAGGTGTATACATTTATGGGGTACATGACATATTTTGCTACAGGTATAAAATGTTTAATCACATCAGGGTAAATGGGGATATTCATCATCTGAAAAATCCATCATTTGTATGTGTTATGAACATTCCAGTTGTGCTCCCTTAGTTATTCTAAAATGTACAGCAAATATTGCTGACTGTAGTCGCTCTGTTATGCTATCAAGTATTAGATCTTATTCATTATATATAACCATATTTTTGTGCCCAATAACCATCCCCATTTTCCATCTCCCCACACTACCCTTCCCAGCCTCTGGTAACTATCATTCTAGTCTCTATTTTGATGGGTTCAATTGTTTTAACTCCCCCAAAATGAGTGAGAACACATGCAAAGTTTGTCTTTCTGTGTCTGGCTTATTTCACTTAACATAATGCCCTCTAGTTCCAACCATGTTACAAGTGACAGGATCTTATTCATTTTCATGGCTGAATAGTACTCCATTGTGTATATGGACCACAGTTTTTTTATTCATTCGTCTGTTGGCAGACACTTAGGTTGCTTCCAAATCTTGGCTATTGTGAATAACATAGGAATGCAGATATCTCTTTGATATACTGATTTCCTTCTTTTTGGGTATATACCTAGCAATGGGATTGCTGGATCCTATGGTAGCTCTATTTTTAGTGTTTGAGGAACCTCCATACAGTTCTCCATAGTGGCTGTACTAATTTACATTCCCACCAACAGTGTGCGAGGGTTCCCCTTACTCCACATACTTGCCGGCATTCATTATTGCCTGTCTTTTGGATAAAAGCCATTTTAACTGGGATGAGATGATATCTCATTGTAGTTTTGATTTTCATTTCTCTCTCAGATGATCAATGATGTTGAGGATCTTTTCATATGCCTGTTTGTTATTTGTATGTCTATGTCCTATTTGGGGAAATGCCTATTTAGACCTTTTGCACATTTAAAGATCAGATTGTTAGATTTTTTTTTCCTGTAGACTTGTTTGAGCTCCTTATATATTCTGGTTACTAATCCTTTGTCAGATCGATAGTCTGCAAATATTCTCTCCCATTCTGTGGGCTGTCTCTTCACTTTGTTGATTGTTTCCTTTGTTATGCAGAAGCTTTTGAACTTCATGTGATTTCATTTGTCCATTTTTGCTTTGGTTGCCTATGCTTTGGTTGCCTACGTAGTATTACTCAAGAAATATTTGTCCAGACCAATGTCCTGGAGAGTTTCCCCAATGTTTTCTTGTAGTAGCTTTATAGTTTGAGGTCTTATAGTTAAGTATTTAATCCATTTTGATTTGATTTTTGCATATGATTTCTGCATTTAATTTTGCATATAGTTTGAGGTCTTATAGTTAAGTATTTAGTCCATTTTGATTTGATTTTTGTATATGATGAGAAATAAGGGTCTAGTTTCATTCTTCTGCATATGAATAGCCAGTGTTTCCTGGGACCATTTATTGAAGAGACTGTCCTTTTCCCAGTGTGTTTCTGGCACCTTTGTCAAAAATGAGTTTACTGTAGGTGTATAGATTTATATCTGGGTTCTCTCTTCTCTTCCCCTGGTCTATGTGTCTGTTTTAATGCCAGCACTATGCTGTTTTGGTTACTATAGTTTTGTAGTATGATTTCAAGTCAGGTAATGTGATTCCTCTGTTTTGTTCTTTTTGCTCAGTATGGCTTTGGCAATTTTGGGTCTTTTGTGATTCCATATAAATTTTAGGATTTTTTTTCTATTTCTGTGAAGAGTGTCATTGGTATTTTGATAGGGATTGCATTGACTCTGTACATTGCTTTGGATAGTATGGACATTTTAACAATATTGATTCTTCCAATGCATGACCATGGAATATCTTTCCATTTTTTGGTGTCCTCTTCAACTTCTTACATCAGTGTTTTATAGTTTTAATATAGAGATCTTTTACTTCTTTAGTTAAGTTTATTCCTAGGTATTTTATCTGTGGTTATTGTACACGTGACTTATTTTCTTTCTTTCTTTCTCCTTCCTGCCTGCCTTCCTGCCTGCCTGCCTGCCTGCCTGCCTTCCTTCCTTCTTCCTTCCCTCTTTCCTTCCTTCTTTCCTTCCTTCCCTCCCTCCCTCCTTCCTTCCTTCCTTCCTTCCTTCCTTCCTTCCTTCCTTCCTTCCTTCTTTCCTTCTTTCTTTCTTTCTTTCTTTCTTTCTTTCTTTCTTTCTTTCTTTCTTTCTTTCTTTCTTTCTTTCTTTCTTTCTTTCTTTCTTTCTTTCTTTTTTTCTTTCTTTCTGTCTTGCTCTGTTGCCCAGGCTGGAATGCAATGGTGCGATCTCGGCTCACTGTAATCTCCACCTCCTGGGTTCAAGCGATTCTCCTGCCTTAGCCTCCTGAGTGGCTGAGATTACAGGCACATGCCACCGCACCTGGCTAATTTTTTATTTTTTTTTGGTATTTTTAGTAGAGATGGAGTTTCACCATGTTGGTCAGGCTTGTCTCGAACTCCTGACCTCATGATCTGCCCACCTCGGCCTCCCAAAGTGCTGGGATTACAGGCATGAGCCACCGCATCTGGCTGATTTCTTTTTTAGATTGTTCACTGTTGGCATATAGGAATGCTACTGATTTTTGTATCTTGATTTTATATCCTGCAACTTTACTGAATTCATTTATCAGTTCTAACAGTTTTTTGGTAGAGTCTTTAGGTTTTCCAAATATAAGATCGTGTCATTTGCAAACAAGGATAGTTTGACTTCTTCCTTTTTCCAATTTGGATGCCCTTTCTTTCTTTCTTTTGTCTGATTGCTCTAGGTAGGACTTCCAGCACTATATTGAATAATAGTAGTGAAAGTGGGCATCCTTGTCTTGTTCCAGATCTTAGAGGAAAGGCTTTCAGTTTTTTTCCCATTCACTATGATACTAACTGTAGGTCTGTCTATTTTAGTTTTTAAAAATGTTTGATACAGTGCACTAAGTTGATTCCATGACCAATGCACAATTTGAAAACAATACTCTGAGATGCATTTTAAGATGATTATGGCAGGTCCAGACTAGGAATTTCATCTTGTTTTGCTTTAAAAAATAGCTTTATTGAGATATAGTTTGCATACCATAGAATTCACCCATTTAAAGCATACAATTTAGGCTGGGCACTGTGGCTCATGGCTGTAATCCCAGCACTTTGGGAGGGCCAAGGAGGGTGGATAACTTGAGGCCAGAAGTTCGAGACCAGCCTGACCAACATGGCGAAATCCCGTCTCCACTAAAAATACAAAAAATTAGCCAAGTGTGGTGGTGCATGCCTGTAATCCCAGCTACTCCGGAGGCTGAGGCAGGAGAATCACCTGAACCTGTGAGACAGAGGTTGCAGTGAGCCAAGACTGCACCATTGCACTGCAGTGTGGGTTACAGAGCGAGGCTCCATCTAAAAAAAAATTAATAAAGTGTACAATTTAATGGTTTTTAGTACATTCACAGATCTGTGCAACAATCTTCACAGTCAATTTTAGAATGTTTCATTACCCCAGAAAGAAACCCCCTGTCCTTTACTTGTCACACCTCATCCCTTCATCTTCTTGGCCCCCCAGCCACAGGCAACCACTAATCTATTTTCTGTCTCTATAGATTTGCCTATTCTGGACATTTCATATAAATGATATCATACAATAGGCTGTCTTTTGTGACTGCCTTCTTTCACCTAGCATAGTGTTTTCACCACATTGCAGTGTGTATCAGTACTTCACTCCTTTTTGTGGCTGAATAATACTCCACTGAATGGGATATACCAAGTTTTGTTTATTCATTCATATAGGCATTTTACCTTCATTTATAATTTAGGCTATCAAATCTCCCTAAACTTACTAATTCTTAACATCCAAGAAGATGTGTGCATGGCAGGAACCCGGGACACCTATCTTGGTGAGAATGTTTCCTAGCCCCATCTATAACCTCATGTTTCACTCTCTGAAAAGTCTGCCTTTTTTCTCTTTGTTCTCATCATTGGCAGGAATCACAGAAAGGATCAGGTGTGTAGGGAAGAACTAGTTCTGATGGAAGTGAGGGCCACAGAGCACTTGCTTCTCCCTTCATTGGCAAATGGACAGTTGCAGGAGCAGTGAACATATTGATTCATTGGTCAGGATCATGAAAAGTGCTCTTTGGAACATCCTGTTCTGTCCTTAGAAGAATGCACAATGCAATGAGCCTCCTGGCATGAAGAAGACCTTGATCTGCCCCACAACAATTTCAGATAAAACTCTTTGCTCAGAAGAAAGTTATTCCCAGCTGAATTTTATCACCCCTAATTCTTTACATTTGCTACTTTAAGGCTCTTTAGACCCACCAAAATCACAGAGGCAAACTACTAAGCTGCAATTTCAGTCACTTTTAGGGTCAATGTTATTATTTTTCTAAAGTCTCATTTCATGCTTTTAAATGAAAACATAAGTGATACGTATACCAATCCCCAGAGAGGAGACAGTGGGTATTATACCCTTGTCCTCCAAGGACCTTACAGTACTTGATAGAGGATTTGATTTAATGTTCACTGAAAAGCCATCTTTGGCTTGACCTGATTTCTGGAATTTTCTCGGTTATTGAATCTGTGCAGTTTTTCATCTTCTTGGCCTTGTCTCTGACATTCCATGCTGACATGGCTGTGTCTGCCTCCACCATGTCTGAAATGTTCTTTGCATTTTCGTTGGGTGTTTGCTAATCCATTGTTCTGCATGATGGATTCAGAGAAGAAACGCTGTAATGCAGAGCCAGGGCAGAGGGGAGATGGTGCCACTCGGAGGGAACTGTCAGGCTTCCATACAGTGAGAGGTAACCGGAGCAGGATGACAGTGGTGCTGTGCAGCCTTAGCTGATGTCTCAGCCTCACCTGGAAGTGGCAGGTGGCGGTTCCAGACGGTGGCTGTGTATATGTGTATTGAGGGGCTGGGGGTGCAGAGAAAGAGGACTCTCTTTCTCAAGCAACAGGCCCTGAGAATAAGTCATATGGATTGTTCCCATGAAGGGAGAATAGAGTAGGAGTTTTATACTTAGAGGGACTTGTGTTTGGACTACTCTCCTCATGAAATTTATTCAACAGATACTTATTGAATGCTCAGTGTGTACCAGGCACCATTATAGGCATGGAGGATGTGTTTCAGGACAAACTAGAGAATGTTCCTGTCTTTATGGAGTTTTCCTTCTTTTGTCAGGGGAGACATCAATATAGCAAATATCTATGTATAATTTTGTATTGCCTAGAGATAAAGCTTTTGAAGAAAAATAGAGCAGGTGATGGATGTAGAGTGAGGTGCTATGATAGATGAAGGGGCCAGGGAAGATGCATTTTAAGGAAGTGATACTTAAGCAGAGGTCTGAATGAAACAAGAGACTGAGCAGGTGACTTTCTGGGATGTCTATTCCTGGCTGAGGGAGCAGCATATACAACTGCCCTGTGAATAGTGATTGCTTGGCACATTAGAGGGGCAGCAAGAGGGACAGTGACTGGCACAAGGTGAC
The DNA here is from genome assembly GCF_000001405.40 of Homo sapiens. Lineage (NCBI taxonomy): Eukaryota > Metazoa > Chordata > Mammalia > Primates > Hominidae > Homo > Homo sapiens. The sequence goes on along the minus strand of NC_000007.14, from coordinate 25,823,629 downwards.
TAAGGCTGTTCACTAAGGGAGAGTGGTAGGAAGTAGGGTCACAGGATAGCCAGGGGCCCAAACAGGTGGGCCTCACAGAAGTATGAGTCCTGACATGATGAGCCCCACTCTGTGCCTCACTCTCCCCATTTTCTGCAGCCATGAAGTGATAGGATATAAGGAATGTTAAATGCACTTGGTAAAATGTGAGTCGTCTTCTTCCTCTTCTAAGAGATGACAACAGGTCCATTTTTCATGCGCTTATCCTCACTTGACTTTCTCAGTCCACCAGGATTGACACATAGTGAGGTTGGTCTTGGTTGGGGCATTTGGAAAGTCTTGATCATCTCTACTTTTAAATATCACTATGTCTCCTGGGCACTGACTTCAATGTGGTGGAGAAAGGGAGGGCAAAGCTTACACCATGAGAATGTTTTCCCTGGAGGGCCAGTAGGGACGGCATTTAGAGTTGGTCATCAGGTTTGGTGCCCATTTCCTCTTTGGCTGGGCATGAAGCTGGCAATGGCCCCGGGGTGCCAGACAACCCCTCGGCTCCCATGTGGATCTTCTGTGATTCTAAGACTATATTGTGAATGGTCACTTTAGTCCTCGGCACCTTTTTTTTTTTCCCTTAATCAGCATATCTTTGGTTCCTGACAACACAGGACAAAGCTCTTCAGAGAATAAATAATAACATGAATGTAAGCAAAGTATAATGGTGCCCAGGAATGTAGCCAGAAGATGGTGAGAACATTGGTTCACACCTAGACAAGCAGTTATGACATAGAAACTTATTTATGCCATCAAAGGTACTGAATCACCCTGATTACACTGAATACTAGGGATCAGCTGCAGAATCTGTAGCTCTCAAGCCCCCCCAGAGGGTTTTCTACCAGCTTACAAGGAAGTAACATTTAGGTTAATGGTTTCCAACCTGGTATGGGGAGGAGGTAGGAGCCCCTGGGAGTGTGCGAGATGATACATTTTGGGGGTTGGAAGAAGAAGAAAATTTAAAAGAAAATTTTCTAATTTTCTTTTAAAAAAATCTCATCAATTGGTGATTTTTTTCATTCCTTTTTTCCCTTTCACTTCCCTTTCACCTTCTTTCTCTTCCTGTTCTATCATGTACTAATCTACTACTTAAGAGATAGACTCTGGAACAAAATGGCCAGGGTTTGAATTTTGGCTCTGCCCCTTCGTAATGGCATTCCCATTCCTTTGGGTAAGTAACTATCCATCTGTGTGCACTAGCTTCTTCATTGGCAAAATGAAAAAATAACATTACCCGTCTGATAGAGTTCTTATAAAGATGGAAACATTCATATATGTAAAGTGCTTAGAAGAGGGCATAGCACACTGTTATATATTTTGACACTATTTTCCTATTATTTCAATAGGGCTATAATTTATAAGTAAATAATTGAATAATTTATATTCGATTAAATTATTCAAATAAATTAAATTATTCAAATAAGTATGAAAATATGAGGTGTGGCCAGCCAGTTTTCCCAGCATCATTTATCAAATAGGGTTTCCTTTCCCCAACTTATGTGTTCGTATACATTGTTAAAGATCAAGTGTATGTGTATGTGTATACAGTTTCTATAATTTTTCACTGATGGGATGGATGGCTTAAAAAATCTGGAGATCTCTCTTTGAGGCGATGAGAATCATTTTTATCTAACGACCATGACATTGGGTTGTGTAAGGACACAGTTTGTTGATGTCTCTGATTTTATACAAATGGAGCAGGTTTTAGTATCAACACTACAGAGGAAACATTCAAGATACAAAGAAACAAAGCCTCAGAAAGGCACCCAGCTCCTTTCTAATTATTAACATTTTCTGAGGGTGGTCTAATGGAGAGCTGAGCTGCAATGAGAACACAGAGACTTTCCAGTCTTCAGAGCCCTGAAAAAGCAAATGATTCTGGAATAATTGCACTCTTTGCATTCTAGTAACAGATCCAGAGAGAGATTAATTTTGAAAATCAAGAAAACCTTGGAGATCCTTCAACTAAAGAGTTTTTTTCCAGGGGAAAGAGAAAAGGAATAAAGCGAAATTCATTTTAATTCAAGATATATTTGCCAGATACTGTCATTCTCTTGGGCCTCCAATTCTCAGTGTTTCAAGTTAGAACAGCCTCAGTTAACCCATTGTTTATCAGGCTGATGACTGACACCCAGCGTGGTCTCAGCCTTCTACTTTTGAGCTAAGTTCCCTTGGGAACCAGGTGTCTCTTGTTTCACTTCCCTTTTGTCCCCTTCTCCCCATGGACTTGAAGTGCCTCTTCTTCTCTACCTAAGTGACTTGCAGGTTTGGGGTAGGGAGAGCCAAGGGTGGCCCATTTTCTTTCCAACCAGCCTTTCATGAACAGCGGATGGAATTCTACCTATAAGGGAATTCCAAGTGTGGGTTTTATAAAACTAAACATTGGCTCTGGCTTATGGATCAGTAGCAGTCTCTGTGTAGAATAAAATGAAGTGTCTGTATCCTGACTCTTAGAAAATGGCCACCCTCTTACAGCCACTCAGAGTAAACCAGATCATTAATTAGCCTGGCTGTCCAGGAGAAAGCTACCTGTAAATTCTCCAAAACAAAAGAGAAAAAAACCCTAACCCCCCAAACCAGAATGATAACACTTCTTAACAACAATATTTACAAAAATTGTATTGGAAAAAAGATTTAAACATATACAGAAGTAGAGAGAGAAGCATAATGAACCCTTTTTGTACTCATCACCCAGGTTCAAAGATGACCAGTCATGGCCAACCTTGTTTCATTTACAGGTCCCCCGGCATATTTTGAGGCAAGTCCCAGACATGGTATTATTTTATTTATACATATTAAAAAAGACCATTTAGGATATTGAACCATATGGTGAATGGTAAGAGGCAGAGGAAATCAAACTAAGCCAAATGAAAAGCATTAAGTGCACCTGTGAGATTATGTGAGACCTTTATAAAATAACTGGGTAAAAAAAATGGCCAAACGGTAATCAGTCTCTCCATCCTAAGGCAGCCACTAGGGGCGCCTCTGATCATGGGTCTCAGCAATCGACCAAGAAGTAAACTTTTTATTATTTTTTTTTTGTAGTGCTCTTTTGCACTCTAGTAATATTACAACCATGACTAAGGACACATTAAAGGAGGAGTAAGCTAGACACTGGAATCTGGTTGTAGTCTCAGGGGATTCTGATGTTCCCGTGAGCTTAAAGTGGGTAATTCACTCTTGGAATGATGGAATTACTAATTCAGATATATCAACCAGAAATTTTGAAATTTCTGGGAAATAGTAGCAGCGTTGGTATAGAAAAAATAATAATGGCCAATTTGCCTTCTAAAAAGGAATCTGCAGCCAGGCGTAGTGGCTCAAGCCTGTAATCCCAGCACTTTGGGAGGCCAAGGTGGAAGGATCTCTTGAGCCCATGAGTTCGAGACCAGCCTGGCCAACATGGTGGAAACCCGTCTCTACAGAAAATACACAAAATTAGCCAGGTGTGGTAGTGCATGTCTGTAGTCCCAGCTACTTGGAAGGCTGAGGTGGGAGGATCGCTTGAGCTGGGGAGGTTGAGGATGCAGTGAGCTATGATCGCACCACTGCACTCCAGCTTGGGTGACAGAGTGAGACTCTGTCCCTAAATAAATAAATAAATAAATAAACAAACAAACAAACCTGGGGAAGTTTCCAGTGGCCATTAAGTTACTCTCAATTGTCCCCCTGCTTGAGAGAGCATAGTAGACATCGATTCCCTTTTCTTCCTCGAGATACAGTCTAAACAAGAAATGGCAAGTGAGTGACTTTGTTTTTATTTTTGTTAGAAGCTTGAAATTACAGAACGGTTTATCCTGCACTTCTACACATTTGTTTTCTTCTTGGAGATCCTAAATAATTTCTTTATTTTACACATTTCACTCAAACAATTCTATTTTTCTCTATTGCCATTATCTTAACACATCATGTTCAACTTCCTTCTGCTTTTTAAAAATTCTAATAATTTCCATTTCGTGATTAGTGCCACAGGAAAAGATACAGTTTTAACTTTAAAACAATTTTTCTTTCACCTAAGTAAACCATCAAAGACAATAGAAAGGAGAACAAATGTGTTTTTCAAAAGCCAGGCTCCCATTGTATCAGCTCATTGCAGGCAGCACGTATACAATTCACTTTTGACGGAATCATAATAAATATGAGACAATGTGGTATAAACCACTTTTTTATAATACAATACTCACCAATAAATTCCACTTATAACCTTAAATCAAATTGGTGCAGATGCAAAAATTATGTAAAACTGGTGGTACCTGCTCCTGACCTTGTGGGGGCCCTCCCAGATCTTGACTCAATAAACTTTTTCTTCCCTAATGATCTGGCAGTTATTCCTACCAAGAGAATACAACGGGGGTGCTGAGAAGTGGGGAAGTGAAGCAGTGATTCAGAGACCACCAGGGCCCTTAAGAAGATTAATTTGTATGAGGTACCTGAAAAGTTGGAAAAATCTCAATGCATTTCTGAATACACATATTCATTTTGAGCTGATTTCTGTTCCTCTTGTGCCCTGTAAAATTTCAAGGAATGTAGTTGAGGTCTGGAGATTTCCACAAAGAGATTAAGAGGGGCTATAAACCGAAGAAATAGTGGTTTTGTATAACTGTTGGGCATGAAATATTTTCAGTACCAAGATGTCCTGACTTTCAGTATAGAAACTGAGTAAACACCTTGTAAACATTCAGGGAACATTTCTATTAATGCTCTTAATAATAGGGTACATGATTTAAATCTAAAAAGAACCCGTGTCTGTTATCTCAGAATAATGTGTGAGTCTGTTTTTATATTTATTTCATAAAGTAGTTGGTGACATGGCTTAGTTTGCTGTTAGACAGCGAGGTCTGATTTTGCATTTTGTTTGGGAGTCAACCCATTTTGGGTTCTCAATAAGCATGTTTAGTTACTATTCATTGAATTTTATTATCCTTACCAAACACTTACACTTTCTCTATGTTTAAAAGAAGTTGGGTCCTTTATATTGGGTCTATATGAAACCCTGAAACCTTCTCTTGCAATGTGTCAGTCATTCTACAGTGGAGAGAGAAAGACTATTTCTTGCCTCTTTCTTGCAGTCTAGACACTGGGCTCATTCTATATGGGCTTGGATGGTGATAAGGAGCTTATTCCTTGTGGGGTAGTGAGGGTCGGGGAGTTCATGGAGTCTTGCCCAATATTTTGCTTATTTCTAGCTCAGAGCAGCCCCAGGGTGTGAGAAGCAGAGAGTGACTGAAGCAGACGTAGAGTCAGGTGGCCTGCGATGCAACCTTATACCTGCTGCCTTAAGCTTCGTGGACTCGGGCAACTACACTTACCCTCCTTGAGCCTCTGTTCCTCTCTGTAAAATAGGGATCATACTATTTACCTTCAGGGTAGATGTTAGGGTTAAACAAAAGGCCTTGCAAAGTGGTATGTAAAATATAAACAGTTATTTTACTATCATCATCTAGTTATATATAGAGTGGGCCAGGATTGCTGAGGGATACTGAGCTGCAGACTTATTTGAGAGGGAAAGAAAGGGCTGGAATTACAGAGAGATGGTTGGGACCTGGTCTTGATCCCAGGTATACCAGTTGCCTTTTGTTGGGTGTGGCAGCTGAATCCAAACTCTGTTTCCAGAGGAAAACTTTGTTTTATTGTTCTGCTGGAGTCTGAGGAATCCAAAGTGAATAAGACCCAATCCCTGATTTCTTGGTTTGCAGATGCCCTACAGAGAGAGATTCACAAGGGCATATTCTTGTGGAACAGTTGTGGCTAACCAGACACAGGGAGATGTCTGTGAGTGCAGATTTACTTCCCAGATGAAAAAAAAACATGTTTCTTCTGATAATCTCCTTCCCACTTAACTGGAACAGTGGTGTGAGGGCATGATGTTAGAGTTCTGGTAGCCACCTTGCAACCATGAGTCAATTAGCAAGAAGATGAAAAGCCAATATACTGATGATGGTTGATTGAAGGAAGGAAAAGGCATGAGTTTTGAATAATAAAATTGAGCTACTGAAACAGTCTTGAATTGATTCCCTTTCAGACTTCTTATTTGTCTTTTGGTTGAGAGCCACTGTTATTCAGGTTTTGAGTTATTTGTATATAAACTCATTGGCTAATGAAGTGCAATATTCAAAGCTGGGCATGGGAAATGTGGTGTGAGGAGAATGGGGAAAGCCTTTGCAAAGTTAGGAAGGGTGAATAACAATTCAATGGACAAAGAAGAAAGGTCAGATGAACATTTCAATTACAAGAAACAGAATATGTAATGAGTCTAGAGGCACAGCATTGCGTGGAATATTTTGGATACTATAAGTGGTCTAGCTTGGTTAGATGCAGTGGTTCTTAGCAGAACTACACCCAAGGGATAATTAGTAAATGTCATAATGCCCAGACAGTGATTCTAGTGTTTAGTGGAAGGAATATTAAATATCTTGCAGTGTAGGTTGTGAAACTAACACAGATATCAAGCAGGAAACCCATGTGGAAACATGATCTGGGCTGTCTTCCTTGTGGACATAACATCTCCTTTTGGGGAAATAAGTCTTCATTCTTCAAATGCTGAGGAAGAAAAGGGGTGATTTCATTATTTAGGGGAGAGAGACTGTAACCATGCTTAAAGAGTGGCTGGGGTCCTCCTGACAGCCACTCCTTTGAATACCATTAGAATGGTCTTCGTAAACATTTCAATTTCTCATTTAGAAATTTGTCATTTTTGACATTTTTTAAAAAAGCCAACTCTGGAACAAGAAATAAACTATCCACATGAATGAAAAAAGTTGTTTTTATGTTTAGCACAGATCCAGTTCTTCATGCAATAGTTTAATTCTAATAGGAAAAACCCCAGGCAAAACTCTGAAGCTAGAGTAGTTGATTTTTTTTTTTTAGGATTTTAAGGACTAAAGATTGGGCATATTTACAAATTAAAAGAGGTTGAATGCTTGCTTTTTGATTACAAAATAATACACACACATGATAAAACTATATAATCTATACAATGAATGCTTCCAACAATTTTCTTCTCCCCAGATAAACACTATTAATAGATTGATAAATTAAAATATATTTATATTGATAAAGCAACATGTTACTTCCATGCAGGATTGGATAAGAACTATTTTTACATTATTTTGGGCAATGTACTATGTAGGAGCCATCTTTTTTTTTTTTTTAATTCTTAATTTTTTTTTTTTTTTTTGAGATGGAATCTCACTTTGTCGCCCAGGCTGGAGTGTAGTAGGGCCATATCGGCTCACTGCAACCCAAGCCTCCTGGGTTCAAGCGATTCTCCTGCCTCAGCCCCTTCAAGTAGCTGGGCTTACAGGTGTCTGCCACCACACTCAGCTATTTTTTAAAAATATTTTTAGTAGGGACAGGGTTTCACCATGTTGGCCAGGCTGGTCCTAAACTCCCAACCTCAAGTGATTCCCCCCTCAGCCTCCCAAAGTGCTGGGATTACAGGTGTGAGCCACTACACCTAGCCAGAGCCATCTTTTAAATACACAGTGGAGACTTTTCCAGGAGGAGGTGAAGAGGAAGACTTCTGCTTTTTTGGTTTCCAGGTTCATAGGGCAGAGCTAATACTCAGCTTGCATGAACCAGTCCAGCTGGCAGATGTGGTAAGCGTCTCTTCTGATTGGTTGGGGCCTGTATCCAGTGGTTAAATATTTTGAATATTACCCCTCTACCACGGACTGAACTTTGTTCTTCCCACCAAATTAGTAGATTAAAGCTCTAACCACTAAGTATGTGACTGTATTTGGTGACAAGGCCATTACAGAAGTAATTCAGGCTAGATGAGGTCATGTGGGTGGGGCTCTGATTGATAGAATTAGTGTCCTTATTGGGAGAGACATCAGAGCACTCATTCTCTCTTTTCTTCCTCTTGCTCTCTCTCTTCACCATGTGAAGAAACAGTGAAAAATTGGCCATCTGCAACCCAAGAAGAGAGCTCTTATCAGACACCAACTCTGCTGGCATCTTGATCTTGGACTTCCCAGCTTTCAGAACAGTGGAAAAACAAATTTCTGTTGTTCAAGCCCCCCAGTCCATGGTACTTTGTTATGGCAGCCTGAGCAGACTAAGACACCTCCCATTAAATATTAATTCTCCTTGAAAATTCCAGCAGTTCATTTAGTCATCTTTAGGGAATGGTAACTTGAAAGAGATTTTTTTGGTGGCCATTTGCAGCTTATCTGTTATCTGTAATTACATAAAAGCAGATTGCAAGTTTAAATTTCGATGGCATCAAGCTTCCAGGTTCAGTGTATGCCACCTCTGTCCCCTCTGAACATCCTGTGAGAGAAGGCATTCCTACTAAAGAGGAATTCTTCATCCAATTCCCAGCCAGGGGATAACCTCAGCCCACAGCCCACAGCCCACAGACATCTTCCTTCCCCCCAGCCTCTAGAAAATCTTAAAGCGTGGGTAAAGAAAAAAGGAAAATCTTCCCCTTGGACATATCATGCCTCACATGCCTTGCTGTATGAAGATAAACCAAACAATCATTTGGGATAAATGTATCCTGGGGTGGGTCATGGGAAGGGGAGGAGAGACAGAAAGACAATTTGAGCCAAATTATAGTTGTTGCAAAAATTTGCATTTGTCCTTAATTTTCCATTAACAAACATTTGGTCTGGCTGTCCATGAAGGATATTTTCCTTTTGTGTGTTCAGAAATAGGTGAATGTGTTATTTAGTAAGTGTTGACAGAACACACATAAGCCAGGTGATGTTAGAACTTCCATTTTGTTTTGTTTTCAGTTTGGATTTATTTGAAATCTCTTGGCTTGATGAAAATATTCTTAAAGAGAAATTGGCTTATCTTTCTTGGGGCTTTCTTGTGTTAACCTAAGGATGACTTTATTTTACAACCTTTTAGATATTTTCCTTGATAGGGCTCTTCAGTATTTCTTATAAAAATAGTTTATTATTATTCACTTTTACTTCCTTTTGAATAGCTTTTGAGAGATTCCTTATGTACATATGAGATCTCTTTGGTTAGATTGAAATTTATTTCAATACATGATGCAAAGCTATTTTTAAAAACTCATTATTGGAAAAGTCCAAAGGATAGTTTATCACATTGACATCCTTTGAAATGTGGGACAGATCCAAGCCTTCCTAAATAGTTGAATAGTTGTTTAATTTCTCCATCCCAGTATTCTTACCCAGTAGGATTTTCCTAGAGTGCCCTCATGACACCTGTGCACCTTGGTCTCAAAAATGACCAGACCATGTCTGGAAGTGAAGGAACCTTTCTTTGCCAGGTATGGCAGTCATTGTTGGAACTAACTACTGAAGGAATAAGGTTGTTCACTCTCATTCCCTGAGACACAGGGTAAGGTAAAGGTGAAAGCTGAATAATGTTTCGTGGTCATGTGGTTTCACTGTAATAGTTAGGTGCTGATGTACACCTTCCTCAGCACAAAGCCAAGATCATCAATGGGAAGGACTCTCATTCTCCATCAGTGAAGGGAACACTGTTTCCACATCCCATTCAGATTCAACAAATCTCATGTGCTCTCTTTTCTTATTAAAAAAAATCAATGAATGCTCATTTTATTTATAGGCCATTTATTCTCTTGGAGAAAACAAAACTGCAGAATCTTGATGCTGTGAGGATGTGGCTTCAGACGATGGTGGGTTTTTTGGGAAAGAGCCAGGAGGATTGTTTCTGTAGGAGAAACGTCAGCATTTTTCTTGTGGGACTTTAATTGGAAATAGGATGGTGGTTCGGCCTAGAGAAGAGATCAAAATGAAACAAGCTGGTGTTTTCATCCTCGTCCCTTAATGGACCATAATCCTGGTCATAAAAACCCACCACTTAAACTTTGGCAGTCTTACCTTCCCAGGAAGCTTTATTACTAAGTATTAGCTTGAGTCAAGACATAGCTTCTCTGAGCCACATTTGAGCCAAGTCTACCGGTGAAGAGAATGCTTTTGTGGGCAAGTCAGTGCTTCCCTACGTTCCTGCAATAAGCTATGCATGGTCTTCTGAGACTGCCTGATGTTTATCTGAGTGGAGAAAATATGCTTCAGCCCATTCCATACAAACCATATCTCGGGAGGTGTGGAGAATTCCGAGCCACAGGTTTTTCCAAGAGTGGCAAGCCAATACATAATCATAAACTACTTTAGGAACTTTGTCCATGCGTTGAGTGAATTCAGAGTGCTCTGGATAATCTCGTGCAGAGGAGTCAGGACCTGCAGGCCTATGAGGAATGGTGTTCCTAACCAGCCCTCACTCACTTATGCCTTGTGCTTGATCTGTTTACCTTTGTGCCAATCAGATCCACCCTGGGCATTCTTGACCTTGGCATTTGGCCCTGGACATTTCATGGTCAACCTGATTGGTTCCATCCGTCCTGCCAATCAGTTCTTCCCCTATGCAAGCAGCAGCATGCTGAGCAGTCATCCATAGTTCTTGCTATATCCCCCAACTTCTCTCCATAATAATAACAAATGGGATTTGCTCCAGTGAAGACCCATTCATGACTACTTTATGTAGCTTGAATGTCAAAAGCGGACCCACTCCAGGGACTACCTAGACTGAGGATAAGCCATTATTTCTATGATTTTAACAAAAACAATTAATGTCCAAATTACATCCCCCCATTTTTTTTGTAGGTGCAATAAACTTCTGGTCACTCTTGTAGCTTAAAACATTTAAAAATGCACTAGAAGATGAAGGGTTTTCATTCAAGTTGACTGTCTTATTTTTCCAAATATATGATTAAAGCCTTGGATTTACGTTGCCCTACTTGCTCCAGAGCACTTCGCAGATCCCCCAGATGAATGCTGCTTGCTAGCCTGCATCCATGCAACAGTGGTGGTAAGAAGCCAGCCTGGCCCTGCCTAGCGAGGTTTCTGAGGATGAAGTGAAAATCATTTCTGTGTCTGAAATGAGAGGGAGGATATTGTGTAGCCAGGAGGAAATTATCCAGGTTGGATTTGGGCCAGGCCAGTAGGGTTCATTTGCTCCTCTTGCAAAAATTACCATCTGGTCTTTAATGAACCAGAGTGGTCAGGCTGGCATTAATTTACACCTCATCGCAGGGAGATACCTCTGAGAATAAGCATGCCTGTTAATGTATTGCGGTTCCTTGGCTCCAAGGGAAGGAAGGGTGTGGATGCTAAGTGGAGATGGGAACTGTTTGCTCAGAAGAGAATGTATTCCAGAACGAAGGCAGGAGTTTGCAAAAAGGCCACCCTTCGAAATAGAAGCCAGTGAGAACCAACACAAAAGGATGAGCCCAGACACTAGTCATGTGCTGAGTACATCGGCAACATTTACCTGTTCATTTGGCAAAGGCTTTTGGAAGGCTCACCAGGCAGTAGGCACAGTGCTAGTGGCATGACAGCATACAGAGATGAATGGGCTGCGGACTCTGCTCACAGCTTAAGGGGAATGTGGATGCTGGCATGTGCCTTCATAGAGGCATATTCAAGATGATATCACAGCACAGGTAGGGCAGAAAGACTTTTCCTGGTGGCGGAAAATCTAGAGTGAATCAAAATAAGGGGTTTTCAAAATTCATTGAAGGTAACTGTCAGGAAGAAATGCTTCAATATGACATTTAAAAAAAACTATAATAATGGTTTATATTCATTTGGTCCTTCCTACAGGTCGGTTGCTGTTCTAAGCACTTTACATATGTAATAAACAACATTAATCCTCCCAACAGCTCTGCAGAGTAACTGCTATTAGTATTCCCATTTTCCAGTGGAGGGAAATAAGGCACAGAGAGATGAAGCAACTTGGCCAGGGCCGACCAGATGTGGCAGAGTCTTGATTTGAACTTGGAACAGGACAGAAACTTATATAAAAAGATATGAGAAAGAAATCGTACAAAATAAAAAATTATCTTGTAAAACAATACAATTTTGGTTATTAACAAAGAACTATATTTTTTAGAGACAGGATCTCGCTCTATCAGTCACCCTGGCTGGAGTGCAGTGACGTGATCATAGCTCACTGCATACTCAACCTTCTGGGCTCAAGTCATCCTTCAGCCTCAGCCTCCCATGTAGCTGGGACCACAGGCACATGCCACCATGCCTGGCTAATTTTTAATTTTTTTGTAGGGACAGGGTCTTGCCATGTTGTCCGTGCTGGACTTGAATTCCTGGTTTCAAGTGATCCTCCTGCCTCGGTCCCCCAAGGTGCTGGGATTACAGGCTTGAGCCACTGTGCCTGGCCTTAATATTAAATACATTAATAAAGAGACCAAATCACCTTGTGATTCTTTTCTTTTGATCAATGGAATATTTCTTGTGTTATTATGAGGAGAAAATGAAACACAGTTAATTATAACTTTGAAGCAGTCTTATTTCAATAGCTGTTAAAACCATTCTGTCCAATAAAAATTTCTGTAAACTCTGTAAATAGTTGAAATAAACTAGTTTTTAATAAATCAGTAAATTTGAAAAATTCAGTGAATTGGGCATTTAGATAAATGGATCATTCAGCAATTGATTTTTAAGTAAATCAGATTTTGATAAACTGTTTTTCTGTTATTGCTTTAGAGCCAATTCTCACACCTGGGAGACAATAGGTAAGGCTCAGCAAATGCTTCCTCTCCTACCTGTAGTCTGCAGACTGGGAAGACAATTTATTTCTAAGCACAATGACACTATAAGTGGCAACCAAAGAGATCTGCCAATAGGATGTGACAAAGAAGCAGCAAGGTGGGTCTGGAAAAGAGAGTTTAGTGCTAAAATTTATGAATGAGCAAATTCAGTATTCAAACCCAGCTCTAACTCCAAATTCCATGGCCTTGCTATGGAATGCTTCACAAAAACATTGTTATATGAGTGTCAAGATTCCAGTAAATATCTTGCACGGAGGCAGAAGAATAGACTGAGCTCTAAAATGTCATAAGGGCCCCTTCCTGGGCTAGCTTTGTAGAAGTATACCCATGGTGTCTTATCTCTTAAAAGCACCATGCAAAGAGGGCCAGAGAGAAATGTGAAGGAGATAAAACAAAACAAAACAAAGCAATGAACCTACCCATAGCTCTGAAGTCAGTAATCAATGATTGTATTAGGCCATTTTTTTGCATTGCTGTAAAGAAATGCCTGAGGCTGGGTAATTTATAAAGAAAAGAGGCTTAATTGCCTAATGGTTCTGCAGACTGTACATGAAGCATAGTACCCACAGCTGCTTTTGGTGAGGCCTCGGGAAGCTTACAATCATGGTGGAAGGCAAAGGGGGAGCCAGCATATCACATGGTGAGAATGGGATTGGGGGGATTGGGTCACTTGTAGTCAGGAGTTCAAGACCAGCCTGGCCAACATGGTAAAGCCCTGTCTCTACCAAAATACAAAAAGAAAAAAAAAAGCTGTGCATGGTGGTGGGTGCATGTAATTCCAGCTACCCAGGAAGCTGAGGCAGGAGAATCGCTTGAACCCGGGAGGTGGAGGTTGCAGTGAGCTGAGATTGTGTCACTGCCTTGGAGCCTGGGTGACAGAGAGAGACTCCACCTCAAAAAAAAAAAAAAGAATACTAACTCCTCTGACATCCTGCTGGAGGAAGCAAGAGATGGGCTGTGCGACCTCCTCCAGCCCCTTCCACTCTTGTAAGACTGACAGCTGCTGGATATTCTGGGACCAGTTTGTTGTACCAATGACTTGGCCATACTGTCTGTAAGCACTGCCAGGGGAATGGCTTGCCTGAAGTGTTTCCGTAGATGGTTCCATCTTAGCATTTTCATATCCATGCTCTGCAGAGTTTCCTAAGGAAATTCTTTGGAATCCGTTCTGCCAGTTTTCAGGCACACCATTCCAATGTGTTCAAGTTGGGTCTGGCATCACTACACATCAAGTAGGTGGCAATGCACAGACTCAGCACTGCTCTGCCCAGAGTGCATGCATCTGGTTTGCAATCAGAACAACACTGAGATTTCATTAGGGTATAAGGCAAGTTCTAAAACGTACTCTCCTGCCAGAGTGCCTTGATGATAATAAATTCGAGGCACTAACGTCATACTGGTTAGACTCTCTTGAAGACAAGCCCTTCTTCCAAGAATGTGGTAATGCGTGGGCCTCTGTCTTGGATATTTCTGCATTTCATACCTATTACATGTGCCCTGTTGTGGATCTCTACTTTTCTTTCCTATAAAACCTTTTAAAAAAGGACGACATTTTTAAAAGAGAGAGTATTTTCTCCAAAATCCTCTTTGGTGGCTGTCTAATGAAATTTTTTATTAAGCATAAAAATAGGCTGTTAACACTGGAGACATTCTTAAAACAGGGTTACCACTCACTAGAGGCCCAAGAGGATGTGTTCAGAATGCAGGCTTGTAAGAGACAAAGCTTTTGTGGCCATAAGAGCTATTCTGCTTCAGAGTTGTGAAAATTTGTTTTTGAAACTGTGTTTTGTGGATTTACAATACTGTATCGGCCTGGCAACAAGGAGCTTATGCAGTTTGGCAATAATTTTTTCACTGCCCTTCTCCGAAAATCATCTTCATTACAGATCACAGAAGCCTCAGAGATCTCCACTTCCAATGACTGGCAAAGTATGGTACAAATTAAACAGCTCTGGTGGTGTACAGGGAACTGCCAACATTTTCTTTTCTGGTGCTTTTATCTTCAAAGGGCAAAATTGGCCCTAACCATATGTTTTTTATACATCTTGTACGTATCTGTACAATAATAGTTAATCCAAACTAAGCAATATAACATTTTTCCCACCAGAAATTTGGTAATATATACAAAGATTGCAGCTGCCTATGGGTCTGTTTTGCTTTGCAAGCTGTCTTGATGGACAAGGCTCTATTTTTAAGCTAACACTTTATTTTCATTTGTCAATGCAGTTTTAGCCTTGAAATAATACTTATAAAATGGAAGCGTTTTTATAGTGCTCCAAATAGAACTTTCAAGAAAAAAATTGCAACTATTAAAAATCATCTTGGTCTCTCAGTTCCAAGATAGTAACTAATTAAGAAACATTATCAACTTATTTTTTAATGCCAAAACTTTCAGTTTGGTTGCTTGACTGTACATTTGCTATTTAAAAATAGAAAATGGAAATAATTTGTGCATAGGTTATGGCGTATTTTGGAAAAAGACCTATGATCTGGGAAATGGCATGTTGGTTTGCATTGCAAAGGAATAAGTGAATGAATACAAAAGTGTTTGTTCAATGTGCCTCTGAAGTAATAATTGAACTTGAGGAAAACATCATATTGAGGTTTTAAGAGGCTAGGGAGGTGAGAAGAAGAATCTTTCAAAACAAGGGGAAATCTCAGGGGAAACAGTATGGAAACGATTTCATCTCAGGAATTTACACAGTGAGAGACGCACCACCGAGGAACGGTGGTGTGGATGGCGCAGTAAGAGGAAATAGTTGGGATGTAGACAAATGTTTTAAAAGCCATGATTGGATTTGTCAATAAACCAAGAATAAGAAATGCTTTGTGCACAGTAATAAATGTAAAGTACGGTTTATTTGCAAAAGCCAGCTGTGTATAAGCCATAGCCTTCTGCTAAAAAGGTAGTTCTAGAAAGCAAAAGGAGGAATTTCTGTCACTTCTTATGATCTCGAAGGGATGTTGGAGAGAAGAGTACAGCATTTGTCACTT
Organism: Homo sapiens; assembly: GCF_000001405.40. Lineage (NCBI taxonomy): Eukaryota > Metazoa > Chordata > Mammalia > Primates > Hominidae > Homo > Homo sapiens. Next base: position 25,808,034 of record NC_000007.14, on the reverse strand, counting down.
GCTTTGAGCATCAAGTGCAATAGTCGAGCTGAAAAGTGAGAGAAGCACTCTGGAGACATAATTTCCAATGAGGTTCTTTTCCCATGTCCACTAACAACTCTAACCACAGACACACTTGCTTATGCTTTAAAACATTCTCGAAAGGGTGCTCCATTTTCACAGCAGAAACCCTTTGCTGAATTCAAAAATAGGTTTTATTAATTAATGAGTCATCACTCTGAATTGCCCTACTGACCTGGATATATTCTTTACAAAATGCACTTCCCTTTAAGTTAGAAGATGGTCATGCATCTTTTTGTTATTATTTTTTAGAGAAAATTAGAATTTTTATTCTAGTTTTCTAGTGGCAGATCTTTAAAAAAATTTTAATGTAAAATTTCAAACCCCAAGCAGAAGGAGAAAATAGACTATAAAGAAACCCTGTGTATTCATTATCCTGCTTTAGCAATTACTATGTTTTGCCAATCTTGGCCAAATCTTTATAAAGTACAAGTGTCAGGTTATACTTTCTATATTTAGACATATTCCTGTAAAAAGGCATATAAATTGAACTATTATAAATTTATTGGGAAATCTTGCTCTTAAAAATTATCTTAAGGGAGGTCCATTGGCTAAAGTGAATAATCATTCCCTTTTCTGTTTTTTAGAGTAAATGCTTTTTGTCTTCCCTCCCTATCTCTTCTCCTCCCTCTCCCCACTCCTCCCTCCCCCCACTCCTCCCTCCTCCCTCCCTTCGTTTTGTTTCAGCACAGAGTACTTTTTGCAATATCTTGGAATGGGAAGTTGCCCTTTTCCATAGGATTATGCAAGCTGATAGTTTCAGTGGGAAAGAGGTAAAGAGTGTTATGAAGAGGATTTAAAATATATATATCTGTGTATGTGGTTCATGTTTTATGGTTGATCTGGTAAAGCCACTTACTTCCAGCATTAGTAGCAATCACATTTTGATTCCATAATTGCCCACTTTACATTTAACTCAAGATTTCACCTGCTAGGAAGTCAGGTCGAAGTTGTCCCTCTTAGGGACTGAATGCCTCTGGTGCTTACCAGGGTTTTGGAGAACACAGCCTGTTTCACTGAAGTCTGGGTGTGGCTCTCTCCTCGGGATAGAAATATATGACTTCTTAAGCACTGTGGTGGACCCTGCTAGAAACCTTCCTAATACCCATTCTTTCCATACTGACAGAATCCTAATCCTGTTTGGGGTGGCAACGTCCGCACCTAAACCACTGAATGTCCCAGCTTTCCCAATGAGACATGAGTAGAGGTTTGCTGGGGATTTTGGGGAAAAATTTTGCTTTTCTCTTGAAGGCTGATGTCCTATCCCCTTTTCCTTTTGTGTGGATGGGGTACCACAGGAGGACCGCTATCTTGTAACCATGAGGTAAGAAGCGTGAGGAGTAGATGAGAGAGGGAGGAGGCTGGGACCCAGCTCCTGCTGAGGAATTGCTACACCTGCCTGCACCAGCCACCTCAGGATTTCTTGCTATGTTTGAGAAATAAATACTCTTTGATTAGAGTCAGCTTTCTGTTACCTGTGTAGAAAGGCAATTTCAGATGGACTAATGCATAATATATAGGAAATCTTGCCGTTTCTTAACTTCAACCTTGGGTAACATCATTGTGCATGTCATGAGTTAGGGAAACTGTCTGAGAGAAATGTGAGCAGGACTCAGCTCTGCAAGTAGTGAATGTTTCTTGAAAACAGCCCATATTTTCTTCCAAGCGCACACTGAAAATGTTCCTTAAAAATTTCTCATTCCTAGGTCTAGGCTCACAAAGTGAATCTGAGAACTGAGGAAATTGCTTAGAGAGCTTTCCTTCCTGAACGCTTTCACAGGACTAATCATATCACTGAGTCACAGATGATTTTTAGACATGTTACGGGGATCATTTTCCTTGGTGATGTGAATTTGCTTTCAATGTTTACATGCACTGCATAAATAAAATAATCTAGGAAATTCAGGTTTGAATAGCTCTACACTTAAAAATGCTGTAGTTGTTTAGCAGAGACGGTGCCAAATAGGGTGGCTTCTTCTGAGGTGAATAAATCAGGCATGGGATGGTATCACTACAAGGCCTTCAAATGCTCTGAGAGCAATATGTAAAGGCCATTAAAGATTTTTTTTTTTGAGAAGTGACAGATTACCTAACACAATAATCCATGCTATTGGACAAATTGGTTTGCAAAGAATACAGCTGGCTTCATTTCAACACCACTAATGCTATGAACGGCAGCAACCAAATGATACCTGGAGGGCAGGGGCCCTTGTGTGACAAACCTGGCTCTGGGCCAGCTCAAAGAATGTTTTCTTCTTGTTTTTTTTGTCTACATTTGGCACATGGCAGCCACATAAGGGCTGTTAACATCAGATGTTGTGTAAATCTAAACAGGTAAAAAATCAGGATCAATTTTTTAAGATAGAGAAGTTTCCAGCAATTCATCTTGAACACAGAGCTCTGGCATTCCTCACTCTCTGTGAGGCCTCCTGTTGCAGCAGATAATTTATGACTCCCACATCTTGGCATTTCATTAAAACCTAAAGCATTTGACAAACTGTATTTTCAGAAAGTTTTTTCCATGAGTTGGTTTCTAGCAGGAGGAATTTATGATGAGTTGACTTAATCCTTGCTTTTTGGAGGCATCTAAAAAAAGTTCTTTCTATAAACAGCAGAATTGCGTGTAGGGGATGGCAGACCAAGCAATGGCTAGGATGTCCTTGTGAAAGAAAGCTCACCCAATGCCGTTGTAAAGCCTCCTGTGTGCTGCCCAGCTTTCATGTCTACCTCCTGTGCTAATTGTGCTGTCTGGAGGTTGGCGGGCTTCCAGCCTTACCTGGACCAGTTTTTTCCCAAACCCAGGTTGCCTGTGTATTCACTTATTACAACTAACCACTGTGAAATCATTCACAGACTTTGGAAATCACATATGTAAGGTGATTTATTTATATATTTTGACTAATAATCTTAACTTGTCATTTAGTTTTTAAAAGTTGATAAACGGACTGGGAGTTGGAAGAGGGAGCTGTTCGTGTTAAATTTATAACCCTGCTTCTTGGCATTTTTGGGTTGGTTATTGCTCTTGGATTTCTTTACTTTTCTTTTTTTTTTTGGTTAGAAACGTGTGTGTGTGTGTGTGTGTGTGTGTGTATTGGGGTCTCTTGCTTGCTCCTTCTGGTTTCCCTCAATATGTCAATATTGTGTTACACAGAAAATTTTTGAGAGGTGCAGACTTCACAGAATTTTTATGCACTAAGAAAGAGGAAACTGAAAAATGTGAATATAGCATTTTGTCAGTGTAATTTTTGCCTTTTCTTGCTGTTTATACACAATGTAAAGTTAAATGGCATTTCAGCAGTGATTCACTTATTTTGACAGGCAAAATAGAAAATTCAGACTCTTAAATGTATTTTCTTGTCTGTTTCCCCAATTATCATCATCTATGTGGAATTCAGTGATGGTCACAATTCCACTTCACTTTGAGCTGAATACACATCGCTCCTTCTTACATCTTTCTCGTCTGTTTCTATGACCAAGAGAAATGAACGGGGAGGTGTGGGGCAAGTGTGTAGATATTTCATATTACTGTTCCAATTGCTTGAGGGATAATATGAGTAATACTGGTTACTTTTGTTGACTGAATGCACAGTTGACTGGTCTCCTGCAAGTCTTGGCCTGTACAGACATAAGTCCATGTAGTTTGGGTTAAACAGCAAGTACAGGCAAAGAAAATTAGCGACATGGCAATTATCTGGATAATTCAGATTTACAACACTACTTATCCTTGAAATGGTTTCAAGGGAAAAATGGTTTTGTGGGGACTTGTTTAGATCAGGATGTGGGAACTTTCTGTAAAGGGCCAGATAGTACATATTTCAGACTTTGCAGACCTGACAGTCTCTATTGCAACTAGTCAACTTTCCAGCACAAAAACAGCCATAGAAAATACTTAAAGGGGTGGGTATGGCTGCATTTCAATAAAACCTTATTAATAAAAACAGGCAGTGGATCAGATTTGGACAGCTCTCTTTAGATATTCTATATGGGTCTTTATTCTCTAAGTTGTGTAATCACTAGATCACCAGTGATTATTCTGCCTCGTGGGAGTGGAAAGCACACGTGTGTGTTAAGTATGTGTGCATACAGATCTGATCAATACTATTTATGAATGTTAAGATGAATCAGGCTTAAAAAAACCCTGAAACATCTCAAACTACTTGGTTTCAAAATTCAAAATGTTTTACAAAGTCTTTTCTCCTGTCAGTCTTTTCAATTGTTCCAAGCCTTCTTGTCTACGTGTTGTAGAGAGCAAGGCTGAGAGTGCTGACAGACAGTGGGAAGGGCTGTCTCAGAGGTAGGGAATGAAGAATGGAAAACTGACACCTTCTAGAAATTGAAGAAGACGACATGGTCTGGACTGTCTGGAGAAGCGAGTAAATGGGACGTTTAAGCTGAATTAGGGTGTGCAGGCTTTTTGAGGTGTATTTATCTGTCAGGGATGGTTACTGCTTTTGTCTGCCCCGTTCTTGCTCCATGATCCATAATGACTGAGTGGGCACACAGCACCGGCCAGGAGAATCAGGGGCCTTCCCAGGTGTTCGAGGTGGTTCTGGTGGTGAGGATATCTTTCTATTCAGATTGGAAAGTCTGAGTTGTGCAAGTCAGAGTTGTCTCCAGCCATGCTCCCTGAAGTGTAGAAAGCCCTTTGGCAGTAGACAGCGTGGCACCAACAGCCCGCAGAGCGATGAGATGAACAGAAAGTGTCACCTCTGAGCTCTGAAGCTCTCCTTCGACTCCATGAACCACCCAGTACCTTCCTGATCACCCCCTTTATTTTGATTTAACTGTTTTTAGTTGGGAATTTTACAGCCATAATCAAACAGTCCTGACTGTTTTTTACCATCTCATTGGTAAAGTATCTGTCTTCAAATGTCAAGTTGTATATAAAATCTCTATTTTCATAGAAGATCTGTTTCTTTTTAACAAAACTGATGTGGCTATATTCCTGTTACATTTACCATGTTCCTAAGAGAGGCAAAAGATACCTTCCAATATCTTTTTAGGAGGAAATATATAATTCTATCTAGAACTTTGTGACTTTATATGCAGGTACTCACAAGACACATACACAACCATACCTACCTACTCTTTCTTTGGAGTAAAAGTTGCTATTTGGAGACAACTATCTTTTACAGACTTCAGAATGAACAAATAACAAAAATAACAAAGAAAATTTCCAGAGAGGTTGAAGCCACTGTAGCAGAACCCAGCAGTTGTTTTAAGAATGTTTTCATTGCTCTAAGGGAATTTCTTCTACTTTAGATTCACAAAACCATATGACTGGTCTCCTCTAACAAAGTGAAACAGAAGCTATGACAGACTTCACAACAGAAAGTCAAGTGGAAAGCTGGAAATGAATATAATCAGTGTTCACAAACAAGTTATAAATTTCCAGGAAGAAAGATTCCATTTGACATATTAATTTTTTTGCATGAGGCAGTCCACAAAAATCTTGATAAACAGTGTATTTCCCAGTGTTCACTGGACTCTGTGCAATGTGGTCCAAGCCAAAATGGACACGAATTTATGAAAGAAAACTAATCTTTTTGATTCTCAATAGTCAAGATATTCTTTTGACTTTTTATAACTCATGTACAGTAAAGTTTACAAATCTTAAGTGTGTAGCTCACTGAATGAATTTTCATCTATGTAGATATCCATGAAACCACTACTCACATCAAGAGTTACAGTATTTCCAGCATTCTAGAAAGTTCCGCTATGCCCTCTCTGTATGAATATCCCCACCAAAGGCAACCACTATTCTAAACTCTAACACCGTAGATTACTTTGGCCTGTTCTTAGGCCTCATATAAATGGAACTGTAGGCTATGCATTATTTTAGGTTTGACTTTTTTTTAACTCTACAGTATGTTGGTGAGAATCATCCACACTATTGAGTATAGCAGGATACTTTATTTTTATTGCTGTGTAATAGTCCACTGCACGAATATACAACAAAGTATTTAACTATTTTGTTTCTGATAGAAATTTGGGTTGTTTCTTGTTTGGGGTGATTATACATTAAGGTGCTAAGAATTTTCTTGTACATATCTTTGAGTACACGCATGTACTCTTTTCTCTTCATTAATATACCCGGGAATGGAATTTCTGGATCATAAAGTAGGTATGTGTTTAGCTGTAGTAGATACCAGTAAGCAGTTTCCAAAGTGATTGTTCTGATTTACAGTCCCACCAAAAGTGCATGAAAGTTCCATTTGGTCCATAAGCTCATCAACATTTGGCACTGTAAGTCCTTTTAATGTTAGCTCTTTTGATGATTGTATTAGTCTACTCAATCTGCCATAACACAATACCATAGCCTGGGCAGCTTAAACAACAGAAATTTATTTTCTGACAGTCCGGGAGGATTGAAATCCAAGATTAAGGTGCTAGAAAATTTGGTTTCTGGTGAGGGCTCTCTTTCTGGCTTATGATAGCTGCCTTCTCTTTATATCGTCTCCTGGCCCTTTCTCTGTGCATGAGTATGAGAAAGAGCCCTCTGGTATCTCCTCCTCTTATAAGGATGCCAGTCCTACCAGATTAAGACCCTGCCATTATGACGTCATTTAACCCTAATTTCTTATCTAATTTCCCAAGCAAAGCGTCATCTCCAAGTACCATCACATTGGGAGCTGGGGCTTCAATATATGAATTTTGAAGGCCATTTGGATGACCAGTAAGCATATAAACCTTAAGTGACTGCTTAAGGTTTAAGCCCATTAAAAAATTGGTTGTCATTCTCCTTATTGATTTGTAGGAGTTCTTTATATATTCTAGATGCTAGTTTTTTTGACAGATACATTAATCACAAATATCTTCTCCCAATCTACAGCTGATTGTTAATTATCTTCATCTTGTGTTATGATGAACAGAAGTTCTTAATATTAAGGAAGTCTAGTTTTTCAAACTTTCATAGTTTGTGTTTTTTGTGTTTAAGGAGTTTTTGCCCACACCAAGTTTCTGATAAATTCTCTTAAGCTTTCTTCCAGAAGCTTGATTGTTTTAACTTTCACATTTGAGTCTATGTGGTACCTTAAATTAATTTTCTCCTATAATGTGAGGTAGAGGCTCAAAGTTTATTTTTTTTCTAGGTGAAGATCCATTTGACCCAGAACCATTTATTTTAAAAGCTCCCCACTGAATTACAGTGTGTTTTTATTGTAAATCAGATGATGACTATATGTGGGTCTATTTTTGGGTTCTGTATTTTGTCCCATTGGTCCATTTATCTCTGTCTGTGCCTCCATCACTATCTTTACTACTGTAGAATCTTACATCTTGTTATCTGATTGTGTAAATCCTCCAGATGTGACTTTTAAGATTGCCATGACCAGGTCCTTTGCATTTTCATATGCATCTTAGAATCAGCTTGTCAGGTTCCACAAAAATCCTGGTGGAATTTTTATTAGGATGACATTGAATTTTTAAGTTAATTTAGGGAGAATTTATACCCTAACAATGTTGAGTCTTCTAATGCATGAAAATGACTTATTCCTTAATTTATTTAAGTCTTTCAAAATTTCCCTCAGCAATGCTTTGTAGTTTCTGGTATATAGATTTTGCACATTTTTGTTAGGCTTGTTCCTAGGTATTTTATGATTTTTGATACTATTATATTTGGTGTTTTAAAAATTTCATTTTGTAATTATTTTCAGTAATTATGCAATTACTTTTTGTATCCAACAATCTTAAGTTACCTTAATAAATTGAATAGTCTATAGTTTCATTTGGATTCTCTATGTGCACTTAATTATCTCCTCTATGAATAATGTTTTACTTTTTTCTTTCAAATCTTTTACTTTTATTTATTTTTCTTGGCTTATTTTCTGGGTAAGAGCTCTGCTATAATATTGAATAGAAGAGATTCAGGAGTATTTTCTTGTATTGTTCTCAGTCTCAGGGGAGAGTGTTAGATGAGTTTTATCGGCATCTTTTATCGAATTAAAGGTTTCTTTGCTATTCTTAATTTGCTAAAAGTTTTTTTAAGTCATGAACAGTTGTTGAATTTTATCAAATGTGTTGTCTGTGTCTATTAAGATGAATGAACAGATTTTCTCCTTTATTATGTTATGTGGTGAATTACTTTAATTTATTTAGTATGTTAAGCCAACTTTGCATTCCTGGAATAAATCCCATTTGGTCATAATGTATTAATTTTTGGCTGTATTATTGGATTCAATGCATTAATATCTTGCTTAGGATTTTTGCATCTATAATCTTCCTTTCTTATATCAGATTCTGATATCAATGTTATGCTCCTCAGAAAAAAAACTAGGAAGGGTTTCTTCTTTCTCTATTCTTTGGGAAGATTTGCACAAAAATTCACAAATGAAACCATATGGGTACACGGCTTTCTTTGTGGATGTCTTTAAATTATGATTCCAATTTCTTGAACAGCTTTAAGAGTATTCACATATTCTATCTCTTTCTGAGTCAATTGTAAATAGTTTTCTTCCAGAATTCATTCATTTCATTTAAAATTTCAAATTTATTGTTGTAAAGTTCTTTATAACATCCTCTTAATATGTTTTCAGTGTCTGTAAGATGTGTAGTGAGGTCCTGTTTTTCATCTTTGGACTTAGTTACCTGTGTTTTCTCTTTTTCTAAATTTACCTTGCTGGGAATTTGTAAACCTTGCTAATTTTTTCAAACTACCAAACATTTGTGTTTGTTGATTTTTCTCCATTGCGTATTTATTTTATATTTCATTAGTGTCTGGGCTTAACTTTATCATAGCTATTTTAACATTTTTACTTGTGCTTAATTTGCTACTTTTTCCATAAGCTTTTTGAGACAGCAATGTATTAATCTTCAGCCTTTAAAAACTTTAACAATATATGTATTTACCTAATTTAAAAAATATTTTTAATACCTGCATTTAGTTCTAGGAATATTCCTGTAGGCACTGCTTTAGCAGCATTCCACAAGCCTTGATATGTTGCATTTTCACTTGGTTCAGAATATTTTCTAATTTCTATTTCTATTCCTTCAATGACCTGTGGGATATTTAAATGTGTGTTGCTTAATGTCTAAATGTTTGGTTATTTCTTATCTATCTTTCTTATATTGATTTCTCATTCAATGCTACTATGATCAAAGAAGGTATTTTAATTTAAATTGTTTGAAATTTGTTGAGACTTATTTTATGGACAAGTTTATGGTTTATTTTGGTAACTGTTTTATAATCACTGGGAAAGCATGTGGGTTCTCCAGATGTTGGGTGGGCTGTTCTAAATATGCCAGTTAGGTCAAGTTGACTAATCATGTTGTTCCAACCATCTTTATTTTTTGCTGATCTTTTATCTGCATGTTCTATCAGTACTGAGAGAGGTGTATTAAGGTTGGTGCTACTCTGTCCAGCTGCAGAGGCTTGCCTGACTTTACGGAATATGTGCATGGCACTTCCTGGAGTCATAATCAGAACTCATGCTGAGTATGAATGTCAACCCTAGGACTTGGGCCTCAATGGACTGGACATCTCCAAGATGAGTCAGAGGCCTGTGTTGAAGATTCAGTGCCATGTATGAATGACAAATCAATCTCTGTCAATTACATAACTGTAATTGTAGGATTGCAATGGTAATTTGGGTAGGATTTTTGATTTATTTAGTCTGCTATTTCTCCTTCTTTAAGTCAGACCACAAAAATGCTCACTCTCCCAGGCTACAGAGAAAACATGAAGGCCCTGTCCGTGGTCTATGTGAAGACAGCGAGAAATGGAAATGTGACTGGACAGAAGGCAGATGCTGGGAGTTACCTAGGAAGTACCTTCTACCTGTAGAGAGCTGTTTCCTCAGCAAATTCTGATTTTGGAAGTGGAGCCTGACTCTGTCTGAAGCGTGGGTTCAAGCATCGCCATAAGTCCCTTTCTTCATGGTGAACACTTTCTAGATGGGCGTATATGCTGGCTCCAAATTGTCCAGTGCTGTGGGCTTGGTATTTGTGACGGACCAACAAGTGTGCACAGACTTCTTTGGAGCATCAGGCTGGGGAAGAACAAGGGTTTTTGAATTCAGAAGACCTAAAATTAAATCCTACTCTGGCACTTTCTGGTTATCTGACCATGGGCAAAACTACAACCTCTTTAAGCCTCACTGTTTTCATTTGTAAAATTGGATTCACAGGATTTATGGGTAGGATGAAATAAATAGGAAGCTCCTAGAGCTACGTCTGGTCAAAGAGATAATCAATATATGTTACTTCCTCCCCCTTGCTTCCCAGTCTCTCAAGTGAAAGAATTGAAGCATGTCCCCACCTTTGAGGTTAGTGTTGAAGACTGAGAATGGGATTGGCTGAGGAACCTAGCCCTGGGAAAAGGCTGGGAATATAAGCTGTCTGGGTTGACAGGTCCAAGGCCTATGGAACATTGAAGTTTTCCCACAAAAGGAATGGGGACCAGTTCTCAGCTGTACTAGACCCTGCTCCTTCCCTTAGTTTATGCTGACGCAGTTAAGCCTCCCAGGAGAATTATAAACCAGCCCATCCAGGAAAGACGTGACTGGCACTTCACTTCTGTCCAAATGTGGAAAAGCCCCTCACACATCAGAAGTCCACCCAAATATAATTCTAACACTTTCCTTTTGCACAGGACTGGGATCTGTTAGCACTCATCACTGTCTGAGATCTGCTGTAAAGCACATCCTAGGAAAATGTTATTGAAGCCACGGAAGGAGGGCTGGAAGTTCTGGCTCAGCATGGGCTCCAACAGAAATGGAAGCATCTGCTGAGGCTGGTGAGGGCAAGGCAGGGGTGACAACCTAATTCTGAGGGCCTGTGGGAGGCTCTGGGAGCCCTACCCTCCCTCTCTGCTAGAGTACCCAGGTTGTCCTGGAGTCCAGAGGACAAGTATTTTGGGCAGATCGGATCCTGTCTGAACTGTGAGAACCATTACAGGCAAAGTGTGGGATAAACACATGCTATGGAAGATCTCTTCATCTTGGGATGGGCTTCATCTCTAGCAGGCTGCACTGAGAATGATTCCAGAGGCTCTTCTGGGCTCAGCTGGAAATCAGGCTGAGGCTAATTAGTGATGTCTGCCATGGAGCAGGGACAGGCTGGCCGATAAGTTGCTCCATTATTTTTTGTTTCTTTTAATGTTTAATTTTTTTCAAGTGATATGTTCATATAATAGAAAAAGTCAGTGATACTACAGGGCATGTAAGGAAAACCATGGTCCCTTGTCTCACCTCTCCATACTTGAGCCTTGCCCTCTACCCCCACCGTCCCCTCCCCCAAAAGCCAAACCCTTTCCATTTTTAAAAGCTGTGCTTCTTATGTCCATATTTCTTTTTTTCTTTTTCTTTTATTAAGGGCAATTTAGAATATATACAAAAGTTGAGAGAATAGTTTGAGAAATCCCACGTTCCATCACCCAGCTTCAACCACTATGCACCACCAGTCTTGCTTGCTTGCTTTCTGGAGTGCAGTGGTGCCATCATGACTCTCTGCAGCCTCGACCTCCTGGGCTCAAGTGATTTTCCCACCTCAGCCTCCTCAATAGCTGGGACTACAGGCCGAGATTACAGATATGAACCACCATGCCTGGCATATATATATATATATATATATATATATATGTATGTTTACATTTTTACCTCTATATTTCTAAATAATATAGTTATATTTGAGTCTTTATTTTCAAAGCCAATAGTATGGTTGCTCTATCCCGGGGATCCATCTATGTTATAGCAAGTCTGCAAGTCACTGAGGGGCAGAAAGGTGCCTTTGGGTGAGGCATGATGGTCTCCTAGCTGGGATCCCTCCCCCTGTGGCCTCCCCTGCAGAGGTTGGCCTTCTAAGCAGTTGAGCCCAGCGATGAGCTAACACGGGGTTTTGCACTTTCACTTTGTGAATCTGAGCACAGTTTTAGAGATCCTTGCTCCACACAAGTGTATGTGGAGCAGACATGTGTGCTTATGTAATAGCACTCAGATTCCTTCCTGACACTGGGAAGGTGAAAATGGCAATTGTTTCTGAAGTAGCCAGAGTGGTGTAATGGAAAGAACTCATGGTTTGTTGGAACTAGTAAGCTTGGATTGAAATTGGGCTCTGTCATGTAGCAGCTATGTGACCTTGGGCAAATTATATAAACTTTTTGTCTCTCTTTTTTTCACATGTGTCATGCAGGACAAGAATGCTTACCCTGAAGAGGCGTTGTTGTGAGGACCAAATAAAATAACATTCACAATGCACTGGAACAGGATCTGGCATATAGCAGAACCTCAGTAATTTCATATGCTCTCTCTCAGTTCATATACTATAGTACATAGTATCTATCTATAGATGTATGTGTACAGATATCATACATAATATTTTACTTTTTTCATAGATAAATGGACAGCAAATCTAATTCACTTTATTTTGCATATTTACTATTGTATTTATTTAAAAGATTTAGCCTTTTTACTTTAACTTCTACTTATGACTACCTAGAATAAAAATGTAAGACATAATAAAACAACTCTTTTTAGTAAAACTTCCTTAATATAAATTAAAAATCTTACTAATAGAATTATTTTTAAAAATAGGTTTTATTAGTTTTATGTAATGCCAACTAATTGAAGTAAATGATTCTCTCTTGTTTGGGCCTGATTTAGTGGACATGTTACTCACACAGTGAAAAGTGTTTCAATCAGGGTTCCTCTGGTTGCAAGTGCCAGAAAGGTAATGCAAATTAGTGTAGGCAAAGAGGAATTTTGTTGGCTCACAGATGTGGGAAACCTGGAGGCTGAGTTGTCTACGGTCATATCACAGTCTAGGGGCTCATAAAACATTGCTAGATTTTTATCTTTCTCTTGCCATCTCTCCATCACTTAGCTCTGTGCATTGACACCAATTTGCAGTTTCTTCCACTTTTCAAAGGTATTCAAAGTGACTGAAAGCATCTCTAGCTTGTGTGGTCTTTGCAGCTCTCAATCCCAGAGGAAGAACTTTTGTTTCCCAGAATCCATAAGTCCCATCTCAGGAAAGACTCTGATTGTCTCAGTTTGGTCATTTGCTCACACCTGTGGTGAGATGGTGAGCACAGGGACCCAGTGGTTGCTAAGGTGGGCAATCTCACTAGGACCACATGGAGCTAAAGGGGTGATTCTCCAAAGGAAAATCAGAGGGTTGATATTATATAATGAATGTTGTTCAGAGTAAAGAAAATAAAACACATGATCATGTCAATAGATGCAGAGGAAGTATTTAACAAAATTCAACATCCATTCATCATAAAAACTGTAAGAAAACTAGGAAGAGAAGAGAACTTCCTTAACATGAAAATGACATCTATACAAAATTTACAGCTAGCATCGCATTTAATGGTGGAACACTGTGTGCTTTTCCCCTAAGGTTGTGAGCAAGGCAAAAATGTACACTGCCACCATATGTATTCAACATTAGAGGTCCTTGCCAGTGCAATAACTAAGAAAAACAAATAAAAGGCATACAAATTGAAGAATAATAAAGTGTCTTTAATTTCAGATAACATGCTCATCTACATGGATTATCAAAAACAAAACAAAACAAAACAAAACTACAAAGAAGCTACTAAAAGTAAAAAGTGAGTTAAGGAAGGCTGTACTATACAAAAATCAAATGCGTTTCTATAAATAAATAATTGAAATTTATAAACAATCTAAATTAAAAATTCAAAAAATAACAATTGTAATAACATCAAAAAACACTAACTACTTGGGGATAAATCTAAAAAATGTGTAAAATTTGTATTCCTCAAAATAAAAATTATTGATATGAGAAATTAAAACATATTTAACAAACAAAAAAATACAGCATTCTTTATTGATTGGAAGGCACACTAGTGTTAAAATGTCAGTTTTTCCCAAATTGACCAATAGATTCAAGGCAATCCCAGTCAAAATCCAGCAGGCTTTTATTTCTTGTAGAAACTGACAACATATATGAAAAATTTTAATTTGTATATAGATAAAAGGAAATAACTGTAAAGATAATAAAAGGAAATGACTATATAAGTATTAATAAAAGCAATTTTTAAAAATAAACAACAGTTTTTTTTTTTTTTAAATAGAGACAGCGTCTTTTTCTGTCACTCAAGGTGAGGTGCAGTGGCACAAGTATAGCTCACTGCAGCCTTGAACTCCTGGACTCAGGTGATCCTCCTGCCTTAGCTCCTAAGTATCTGGGACTTGAGGCACATGCCACTACACCCAGCTAATTTTGTTTTTTAGAATTGAGGTCTTGCTATATTTCCCAGGCTGGTCTCCATCTCCTGGCCTCAAGTGATCCTCCCACATCAGCCTCCTAAAGTGCTGGGATTATAGGCATGAGCCATCATGTCAGGTCAAGAATAGCTTTTTAAAAATTGACACATAATAGTTGTACACCATCTGATACAGTCTACTATAAAGCTATTTGAGCATGACGACATGGTGTTAATGTAAAGTTAGAGGGATAAATCAACAGAACAGAATAGAAAGTCCAAAAATAGACCTACACATATATTGTCAATTGATTTTCCACAAAGATGCCAAGATAATTCAAAGGAGAACAAACAATGTTTTCAACAAATGTTGCTGGAACAATTTGAAAGCTATATGCCGACCGGGCATGGTGGCTCACGCCTGTAATCCCAGCACTTTGGGAGGACGAGGAGGGTGGATCACGGGGTCAGGAGATCGAGACCATCCTGGCTAAGAGGGTGAAACCCCGTCTCTACTAAAAAATACAAAAAATTAGCCGGGCATGGTGGCTGGCGCCTGTAGTCCCAGCTACTCGGGAGGCCGAGGCAGGAGAATGGCGTGAACCCAGGAGGTGGAGCTTGCAGTGAGCCGAGATCACACCACTGGACTCCAGCCTGGGCAGCAGAGCGAGACTCCATCTCAAAAAAAAAAAAAAAAAAAAAAAAAGAAAAGAAAGCTATATGCCAAAAAATAAAAAAATCAAACCTTGACTCCCACTGGCTCTGTGACCTCACCAAGTCTCATTTTGAATTGTAACCCCCACATGTTGGAGAAAGGGCCTGGTGGGAAGTGACTGGATCATGGGGGCAGATTTCCTCCTTGCTGTTCTCGTGATAGTGAGTGAGATCTGGTTGTTTAAAAGTGTATAGCACTTCCCCCTTCGCTCTCTCTCTCTCTCTCTTCTGCTTGGCCGTAGTAAGACGTGCTTGCTTCCCCTTCCCCTTCCGCCGTGATTGTAAGTTTCCTGAGGCCTCCTATCCACGCCTTCTGTACTGTCTGTGGAACTGTGCGCCAATTAAACCTCTTTTCTTCATAAATCCAGTCTCAGATATATCCTTATAGCAGTGTGAGAATAGACTAATACACTTTACTAGGAAAAAAAGAGAAAATGTTATGACCCTGTGATGGGAAAAGATTTGTTAGTACACAAGGAAGAGTCATTAAAAATGATTAATTGGACATCATCAAAATTTTTAATAAAATCTGCTCTTCAAACATGTTCAGAAAGTGAAAAGCCACAGAGAGAAAATAGTTGCAAAATACATATCTAGCAAAGGAACTGTGTCCAGAATATATAAAGAACTCTCAAAACTCAATAAAATAAAAAATAATTCTAAAAAATGGACAACTTATTTGAATATGTATTTAACTCAATGAGAGCATATAAGTACCTGAAATGATGCTTAAGATCGTCAATTATTAGGGAAATGGCAAATCAAAACCATGATGAAACACTACCACACACTTACAGAAAAGCTAAATTTTGGGGGGGATTTTTGGGTGTTGTGATTCTTCTTTTCATATTATTTCTTTATTGAAAATAAAGATTGTATATACTTATGTAAAAAAAAGTTGTTAAGGGAAAAACAATTGCATCATTTACACAATTTATTTGGCATGTGATTATGGGTTATGCTAAAAAGTCAATATAGTATAATTTTTATCAAATAGTTTATTCCTCTATTTAATGCCATTCTTCTCTGCAAATGTGTTTGTAGTATTAATTTTATATCAAATTATTTATAAACAATAATAAATTACAATGTTCTGGAGCACCTAACTTGCCCTAACCCATTTAATCTTCACCCAAATTCCCATTTTACAGATAAGTAAACCAAGGCTGGGAGAGTTAGGAAGCTTTCCCCAGTCACATGATTAGTAACGAGAAAAGCTTGAATTCAAACTGGGAAGTCAGGCTACAGAGCTGGCATTCTGACTACTTTAATGACAAAAGGAAATTTCTGTTTAGTCTGTGCTTCTCCATGTGCACAGGTCACAGGACCACAGATGATAAACCAAACCAAATCCATGTTACTTGTAATACACATTATGCTATATATTCTTAAATAAAATTTATTCATCAAAGATTAAGATGTTAAAGATGGCAACAATAGACACTGGGAACTACAAGAAGGAGGAGGGAGGGAGAGAAGCCCGGGTTGAAAAACTGTTGGGTACTATGCTCACTACCTGGGTGATGGGAACATTTGTACCCCAATCCTCAGCATCATGCAATATACCCACGTAACAAACCTGCACATGTATCCCCAAATCTAAAATAAACATTGATACTATAAGGGGAAAATGATTAAGATGTAATCATTATGGTAAATATCTTAGGGTGTGGGAGGGTCATAGCAAAACAAGATCAGGTCCTCTCCCTTAAGAAATTTATAATTTGCTTGAGGAGATAAAACATGTAAATGGGAAACATTTTTTGAAAACCCAGTAAAAGCAAAGCCACTAGCAGCCCTATTTAAATGTGCTGGCGAACAAGAACCAAAATCATGTCCTGGCTGGCTGGGTTTAGCTAGGAAAGCTTTTGAGAGAAGGGACACACATGGATTAGCGAAAGCTGGAGGGAAGGCTTTAACAATAATAAACCCTGGGAATTATAGCTAACATTTGTTTGTGTTACCATGTTCCATTCACTCTGCCAACTCCTCCATGTGCATGATCTCATAGAACCCTCACCATAACCCTGTGAGCCAGGTACTATCGTTATCCTCATTTTAAAATATAGCGAAACTGAGTCATAGAGAAGGTTAGGCCACATGTTCAAGGTTACTCAGCTAGTAAGCAGAATGGGGATTCATACTAAAGTTGGCTGACCCTAAAATCCAAGTTCCCAACACTATGCCTGGGGTTTATCCCATTTAAAAAATGTTAAGCTTTGTCATGTACCAAATACACTGGTAGGACAGAAAGAGCATTTACAGGGTTCTAGATGTGAGAAGGTACTCTCGGGGGCTCAGGTGACTGAGTGCATGTGTGTTGAGTTCCTGCACTCAGGTGACAGAGTAGTTGACCTGGCATGGGGCATTTACAGACATGAGGAGCTCAGCATGCCCCACACCAGGAAATTCCCAGTGTCCATTTTGTCCAAGCCTGATAATTGCAGTAATTTCCACAGGGTGTCTTTCCTGGGGCCATACGTTATCAAGGTACTGCCAGCAAAGTGAAGGTTGGACTATAAAGTGGCAGTCTAATCTTAAACCAGTGAAACAGCAGGGAAAAACGTTCACAGAGTTTGTTCACATCAGCATAATCTCAGTGAATCATCCCCAAGGACAAGCCCAAATGAGCAGGAAAGGCATGTGGATGAAATATAATCATCAGATGCAGTGGAAAAGACATGAGAAACCAGCGAAAGCAGCTGAATGACATTTTCTGACCAACCTTTGGTCATCGTTTTGGCTAAGCGTCCACAGGCACACCCAAAGTCCCTAAGTCCTGGGAGCCCACAAGGAAGAAACAGGATGTGTGCATGTTTATTTTGTGTGCACGCATGACTGTGTGTGTATGTGCGTGTTTAAATTCATGGCCAGCAACTCTGTTGTATGTGTTAAATGGCTGAAAGTTAGGAGAGTGCCAGGCTCGGCTTTAATTGGATTTTCTAAAGCATAAATAAAAGGTAGGGAAGGGAGATGCATTCTTTGATGGATGTCTTCCCTCAAGTGTGCACAGCTGGCTGAGTCCCTCTCTTGCCTAATTAAGGGGCTTTATTCTGCTCACGCTCAGAGCTGCTGCCTGCATGCTTGTCTGGAAGCCGACATCAAGCCCATTTGGCCAGAAATACCTCTAGAGGTGGAACTGGCCCAGAAGACTGGACCCCCAGAGTGCTATGGAATGTCTATGGGAACAAAGGAGGACCTAATGGACAGCAGAGAAACACGATGCCCAGCTCTGGTCTGGTAGGAGGTCCCTAGAAGAATGGCTTCAAGTGAGACTTAGAAATACACCCAGTCGGTTAGCCTTTGGGAAGCGTAATGAGTACTACCTCCAGTAGTTTTTGAAGGTCAGCCTTTGTTGTGAAGGGAGGTGGGATAGGGGTGGGCTTTCAGGGGCTGGGAGAAAAGAGAAACCATCCTGCCGTCTTGCCCTCTACTGTCCATTTTCCTCACCAGGACCAGGTATAAGGGAGGCAAGTTGGGCAACGAGGGAGACAAAATTTCAGGAGCTGCTCACTGTTGTGTACTTGCAGTACTGTAGCCACAGGGATCTTTCAAACATGCATACATGAGTGTGTCAAAGACAGAGACCAAATGCCTTAACAGGGCTCTGTCAACCTGGGGATCTCTCGAATGTAAAATTCAGATTATAGGTCAGAAGGGAGAGTCTGAGAGTCTGCCTTTCTAATGAGCTGCCAAGGTGATGCTGATGCTGCTGGCCTGGGGACCACAGAACAGTGAGGGTTCAGGTGCCAGCAGAGTCAGGATGTCAGCTGGGTCTGACCTACAACCTGTTTTTGTAAATAAAGTTTTATGAAAACACATTCATTTACATATTGTCCATGGGTGCTTTCTAGTTACAGCAGCAGAATTGAATAGTTGCAACAGAGTGCATGACCCATAAATCCTAAATTACTTACTGTCTGTCCTTTACAGAAAGGTTTGTTGATCCCTCTTTATGAAATCTGTCTTTGTTTATCGCCTGTTAATTACATTTCAGCCAAAAGCCATGCACTTTCCTTTCTGGGGCTTTGCAATTAAGATTGCCTCTGCCTTGATGTTCTGTCCTTTCTCTTTTAAACTTTTGCCTTGCTTCTCTGATCTCAGCTTAGATGTCATTTCTTCCATGATGCCTTGCTTGACTTCCAAAGACTGAGTTAAGTGACTCTCATATATGCTTCCAGGGAGTCTCAAACTTCCCATTGTGACGTGAATGGACACTTATTGCCCTAAATGGTGATTGCCTATTTCATCATCTAGATCTCCTGTTAGACCATAGGCTTCCTGAGGAGAGACCATACCTGTTAACTATTGAATCCCAAGCACCAGGCACACAGTGTTCAGTTTTAAAGTTGATGACTTTATGACAACTTTAGAACCTTTCTTATGTTTAAGCACTCTGAATGGAGAGACATCTTGAGATTCCAGAGAAATTCAATCTAATCTACTTACCAATACTGGTTTCTTGGAAGAGGATAAAATATTCAACAATGTCATCACACTCACCCAACACCACTCATGCTCACACACAAACACACACACACAGCTGCTCTTGGCTCTCATTTCTGGGTTAGGCAGAGAACTTACATACATTTTGAGATTAAAATCCTTGAGCATTTAAGAATGGACCTATTTTTTTTCTTAAATCTTCTGCACTGAGGCACTTTAGAGCTGTGGTAGAAGTTTCAACAGGAGGAGAGTAAAACTCTGTTTATAATGATTCTTGGATTGTATTTATTCCTGTTCTCCTTTAATAGGGAGAATGGAACTCCAGTTCAAGGGGCCATTTCAGGAAAATAATCAGCCATTAGGTCAACTGCCTCTTTCAAGAGAACAAGCAGTGGTTTACAAAGCTCATTTCCACTCAGTGGGGCCAGTGGAATCTTGGGTGAAAAGCCAAGGTCTGCCCAGTGAAAGCTGTGGGCTGGTCTGGGGTCTGGCTGCTATAGACAGGTGTCTGTAATTGCCTCAGGTTCTTTCTTGAACACTGCAGTATGCGCTTCCAAGGTGGCCCTTCTGCAGTATGCAGGAGGTGTCTAGTGGCAAGGCTTAAAGACTTTAAGCCAACCGTTGATTGAAGGTTTATAAGATTATCTTGATGAGATGGTCTGAGCTAACCAGATGCCTATCAAACCAATGATTCTTCAATTCCTTCCTGAGATGTTTAAACCACTGCCACAATGTTTGCACATCATGAGGCATTTACCTCTTTTCCTCACACTCTTTATTTCTGTTCATTTATGGTCAGTTCCACCAGGCCTCATTCCCTCAAGTTCGTCGTTAACTATCAGAACCTATGTGTGTCCAGGACCACTGCTTTTTTGTTATCACAGATGAGTGCTTATGACTTTTTAATATCATAGGCATTTCCTCTGCAATCTCTCTCACTTTCTTTTTGAAGTGAGAAAAAAGCTGCTTAGGAGAAATTATGTAACTCCAGAAACAAGAGCCAGCATTGGAGACATCCTGTGACAGTGAAAAGCCAAATTCCAGATGTTGGGTTTTGATTCTCCAAAGAAATGTGTTCAAGGAAGAGAGGGATTGGAGTCAGATCAGGAATTCATTAGAGATCTGCTGACTTCCCTTCCTGCACAGTTAAGTGCTCAGTATACGCAGCTGACACAGGCTTTGGGGGACAGGGCTGAGGTGGGCAGCACCCTGGGCCCTAGCTGCCCAGCAAGCTGCAGGCCTCTGTCTTTCAGATGCCTGGGACATTTTCCCTCCTGATGCTCTCAATAAATGTTTACTGCAGGACATCTGAGGCAGGACATACAGGACAAGGTTCTTGGAGGAGATGTAATATTATTTATTTTCCTTTGTGCCAGTCTGAATATGTCAAGTGAGTAATTTCTGGACTTTTGTGAAGTTTGACCTCTTTTTCTCTTTTTTTATGTGAAGTAGTTGCTTATTTCTCTGTTTTGGTTTTGTCATAGCTGGGATTTTTCAGGCCACACACAGACATACTTTTTAGTTTTGGCAAGGAGTAAACGGCCAAAGCTCATAAATTACATTCATAAATATTTAGTGTACTTAGATGTGCTGAGGATTTTTAAAGGAAAGGAAAGAAAACCAAGGCTGGGTAAAAATAAGCTTTAGCCAGAGAAAAACAAAATCCTTTCTTGTTTGAAAACTTGAAAGCAGTCACTGAGAAACAAAAATGAACTTTGGAAGTGTTCAAAGGAATCGTATTCTGCTCCCAATATAATAGCAAGGAAAACATCTCTTGATTTCAATAAAATTTTGGATTATGTGCTCCACAATGACAGGGTGAAGAAATGGTTGCATTTAAGAGTCAATGAATCATGGAGAAAAAGAAATGATGATCCTGGAAGCAGCTAATGATCTAATATAGAGCTGCTCTGGGTCACACAGTGGGTAGGAACCAGGGAATCTGGCTTCTCATCTTCCATTCTTTGGGGGGAAGCCTGCATTGTCCTCCGGTGTCTGGAAGAGACTTAGGTGTAACCCACTTTGAGAGACACTAAAGTACAGCCATTTGGATATATCAGAATGAGACAGGAATGATGCTTGCGTTGGCAAGATTCTTCACTTTCTAGGAGTGTATTCATCCCTAGATTTGTCTAGTAGCTGCTCTAGTACATTTAAAATAAAATTGAATTTCTAAAATATTGATTTTTTTAAAGAAAAACACACAAAAAACACAAAGCTTTTTAGGAAATGCTCCATTGCATAAAGAGAGATGTTCTTGTGCTAGCTAATTTCCTCTCAGCTTTATGAAGCTATCGGCATTGACATCATTTTGTCATTTTCCTGCTCAAAAACCTCCTGTGCCTCCCCATTGTCTATTGCAAGGTTTCTCAACCTTGGTGCTATTGACATTGATGTCATTGATTGGGTGGTTTATAAGCAACAGAAATTTATTTCTCATGGTTCTAGAGGCTGGGAGGTCCCATATCAAGGTGCCAGTAGATTTGGTGTCTCTTGAGGACCCACTTCCTCACAGACAGCCAACTTCTAACTCTAACCCCAGAGGGTGGAAGGAGTGAGAAGTCTCTCAGGTCTCTTTCATAAGGGCCCTAATCTTATTTGTGAGAGCTCCACCTTCATGACCTAATCACCCCCAAAGCCTCCACCTCCTAATACCATCATCTTGTAGGGAGGTGAGGATTTCAACATAAGAATTTTGGGGGGACATAAACATTCAGACCAAATTACATCCCCACTGAGTCATGACAACCAAAAATGTTTTTGGGCATTGCCAAATGTTCCCTGGAGGGAAAAATCAGTCCTGTTTGAGAAACACTGGTCTACTGAATAAAGAGTATAGATCTTTCCTTCTCCATTAATCTCCACCTCCCTCATCCTCTCCTTGAGGCATGTCTGCCTCCCAGTCCCCAGACATTTGTTAATGCCCTTTAGTTCTTTGTTCCTGTGTTTTCCCCCACTTGAAATGCATTTCCTCTTGCTTGTTCCTATCTAAACCTTACCATACCTTCAGAATACATTTCCAGTCCCAACTCTTTCGGCATTCCCAACCCCATTTGCTTTCCTCTTCCTAATACACATAGTATTTATAGTCCCTCTTGCTCTTTTCGAGACAACAGAAACTCCAGAGGTGTTTAGGGCCATCTGCAAGTAGAGAAACCTTGAGCTCCTGGAGAGACCCCTGGGGATGAATTAAGAACCCAGAGTAGAGATTATTGCTCAGGATAGCCCCAAGAGTTCCCTACACTCAGAGGGGAACAGATGTTGCTGAGAGAGGACCAGGCCCAATGAGGCATTCAACTGGGTTTGGCGATATTTGGTGGTCACTTGAGTAGATTGATGCTGAAAGTCCAGATGGGGAGAAGGAACATGGCCACTGGGGAAGGATGACAACCTTGAGGACCAGCTTCATTGGACGCTGATAACTTGCCACCAAATAACCCAATTTAGGCAGTCAGTGGCAACATCAAGATGGTGGCTTTGAGATTGAAGTACCATACAATTCTGTCAGATTCCCCTCTAGCCATTCTGATAAGAATAAAAATAAAAATAAAAATAATAACAATTATTAATATCATTCTATCACTTAGAGTGATCAACTGTCCCAACTTGTCTGGGATGGGTTGGACAGAGACCCTGAAATGTGGGGCTTTCTGCTGTGTAACTGAGATGGTCCTGTGCATACCGGAAAAATTGGTCACCCTACTACCATGATTACTACTACAACTACTGCTACCATTAATATTTTAATATTTTTTAATATTCCTCTTATTCTAATAGTTTCTAATATTCTCTTTTAGGTGCAATTTAAATTTTCTCAATTTATGCAAAGTTAGTTGAAAGCTACTTCAGAAAAAAATTTTTTTGATCCAAAACATATAATGCAACACACACACACCTTCCAGTGGGAACTGCCATCCCTAACAAAACTTCTTTTAGATAGAATTCTGGCATTGCTTGTTGCCAAGAGTTCTCAATATGACACTGGGCTGGGAAACTCTTCCCTCGCATTGCACCCATCTGATTTGGGTCAGAACACTCATGGTAATGAGGGTCTACAGTCTTGAAGGAATGTCCAAATATCTGAGTATGTCTTCTTTTCCATTTATGCAGCTTAGACCTCTTTTCTGGTTAAGTCAATTGAGTGATCCCACTTACATGGTCTGAGATTGCTGCAGGCAACTATTCCATTTACAAAGCAACATGAGTTCCAGATAATCTAATTGGTTAATCAAGATTCTCTAGCAAAATGAAACAGGCCAACAAAACAAATCAAGTCAACAAAACTAGCTTAATTGTGTTTATCTGAGTAGACTTGGCCACAAAAATACCTGTCCTGAATTCTAGTCTCATATCCATTATTGACAAGCCATATAACTTTGCATAGATCAGTTGACTTGGACTAGCAGCTAACTTTCTCTTCTGTAAAAGAGATGATATTAGTTTGTTATGCTAGTGATTAGTTTGTATCCAATGAGGTGAGAGTATGCTGAGAAGCGTAAGGTGTTATGCAAATGGAAGTCTTTGCACTGAAAGCGTTCTCTTTTGGTGACTTTTAAAAAGGAGTATTATGTTAACCTTATCCTGGATCTGTGTTCAAAATCTTACAATACATTGCCATTCAATTTCACGTGCTCAGCGGTTCTGTGTGGTATAGCTGCTGTTTTTGGCAAATGTCATCATTTCATTCATCGAGCTGTCCTGAAGTTTGGGCCCTGAGGTAGCACATGTGGAATGAGGACAATGGAATTCTCCATCCTCCAACTCCAGTAAATTCCGTGGGACTGCATGCAGTGGCCCCTTGATGGTAACTCTGAGCCACAGTGCTCCAAAGTATAAACTATTAAAAAGTATTAAAAGCCCTTACTCCAGATGAACAGAGGTGATTTCCAATCTAAGCCCAACCTCAAAATTCTAGCTGAAAGAAAACTATCCAATTCTGTGATTCCCAAGTGATGTTTGAACCTGGGCTACTAGGGCTGGGTAGTAACTAGGATGATGGGCCTACTTTACTTTTTCAGTAGTATCTGCGGCGATGAAAACATCAAGGAGGTTATCGTAGTATGTACGTGTGTGTATGGGGAGATGGCGGAGTGCACCAGCTTTTGAGTCAGACTGACTTGGGTTTAAAGAGCTCTGTTCTGTAGCTATGCTTTGAATTAATATCAAATAAGCAATATTATAATTTCTATTATTATTCTTGCTCAGTTGAGATGAGAATGTGGTCTTTGCATCAAGGATGCCTACTGGGGTGGCTCACAATAGGACAACCCTGGAGAATGCCGGTGGGCAGATGGTTCAGGACAGAAAAAAATTAGCTTTGGTCTCATCCAATCAGCTTGACTTTCCTGTAGGAGAAGCAGCAACTGGAAGGAAAGGTATGGAAAGCTGATTTCCAGTAAGCACTACTGGTAGATGGAGCAGGAATAGAGGAAAATTGTCCTATAGCCTGTAGCAATGGTGAGAAACCTTCAAAATATGTGGCTGGAGACAATCTCCAGGAGTCAGTTGCAGCCAGGCCAAAACAGGCCTGCTAAAGGAAGGGAAGATGGACCTCAAGGTGATGCTTGTTGCTCTCAAGGAGCCCTGCCTCCAGCAACTTCAGTTGCTCAAGGGTGCCCAGATAAACTTTATTCCTGGCTGTGAATAGAGATGACCTAGTCTTACTCCCCACCTTGCACCTTTTCTAGGCTCCATCCCATTCATAGTCATTTCCATGTGCTGAAATCCAGCTCACCCTTCAAGGCCTGTCTCAGATGATCCCTTTTCTGTGGAATGATTCCTCTGAAAGTGCTCTCTCCCTTCTCTCTAGCTGTGATGCACAGACTATTGGGATAAAACCAAGAAACAACTTGGGGATTTGGGAAGGATCGATTTGGATGGAGAACTTTTATTTTACCAAGGAATGATATTTAAAAATGCACAAACAAAAACTGTTTTCTACTTTATAAAAGTTAGTATGTTAATTTCAAAGGTAGGAAGGACATGATTTCAGAATAAACAATAGTTTTTAAAGTAGGACAGAGTTAATGTTACCAAAAAAATCTGTCTACATTTTTTCTGCATCATTTCACATTAGACTTCTGATAATTTTACTATGGGTTTGGACCCTTCTGCAGATCATGGTATTTGGCAATCTCAACCCTGTGACAACTTATTGGTACCTCTTTGGCCCTTCTCAAGGTCCTCATCATGCTGACATTTTTTGGGTTTATGGCTATTATATTAGAAGCTCCCTTATGGTAGGACACAATCCTTACTTATTTCTGTATACCCTAGAGTTCTTAGCCTAGAGTCAATCCCTATGAAGATTGACTAGCTGGATAACTGTGTTGTGATTGAACAAGGTAGACTGTCCAAACACAGAAAAAATGCTAGGGGCTTTTCCAGGGGGTACTTTACTGCCCTATTTCTGAGAGTTTTACATGGAAATCAGAGCTATAGTAGATTGATTGCATTAAGGGCCCTTATTCTATACCCCTCTCTAACCCATAGTCCTATAATCTTATAGTGCTCTACAAGGGACCCAGCCATATGACTTACTCAGAATAATTGGACGTTAGCATGCATCATGCAAATGGAGGCTTGAAAAGGTACTTGTTTATTTCTGCTTGTGCTCTTGCCATCTGCTATTGCCTTGAGAGAAATACATTTGAGCTAACCTGCTGGAAAATGAGATAGGTGAAAGAAGCCAAGTCATCCCAGTCATTCTGATTAAGGCCAACCTATATCAGCTAGGAACCAGTCAACACCCAAACACATGATGAGCAAGCCACTATTATTGGCAGGAGCAATTGATAGATTGATGTGCAGCTGACAGAGACCTCTTAAGAAAGCCTAGCAAAGATTAGTTGAGCTCAGTTCAAATTAGCTGGATCCTACAGACTTGATGAGTTTGACTAGTGTTTGTTGTTGTTTGCAATTGAAATTTTGTGGTAGTTTGTTGTGTAGCTTTATTGGGGCAATAGACAATTGATACAAGAGCCTTGGCTAAAAGGTAAAACAGGTGGTATATTAGAGTCCCAGAAATGATGTGACAAAGAACCACAAATGGATGGCTTAGAACAACAGAAATTTGTTGCTTCACAATTCTGGAGTCTAGAAATCTGAAATGAAGGTGTCAATAGGGCTGTTCTCCCTCTGAAGGCACTAGGAAAGGATTGTGCCATGTCTCTCTCTTAGCTTCGTGTAGCCTTAGGCATTCTTTGGCTTGCAGATGCGTCACCCACTCTTTCATCTTCACATATGTTCTCTGGTCTTTACATCATCTTCTGTCTTTGTGTGTCTGTCCATATGTCCAAATTTGCCCATTTTATAAAGACACCAGTCATATTGGAATAGGGCTTATCTTAGTCCACTTTGTGCTGCTCTAACAGGGTAATTGAGACTGAGTAGTTTATAAAGAACAGAAATTTACTTTCTTATGGTTCTTGAGGCTGGCAGTCCAAGGTCAAGGCATTGCCAGGTTTGGTTTTCTGGTGAAGGCTGCTCTCTGCTTCCAAGATGGTGCCTTGATGCTGCATCCTCTGAAGGGGAGGAATGTGGTGCTCTCACTCGGTGGAAGGTGGAAGCGCAGGCTAGTTGAATGCTGCATGAAGTCTCTTTAATAGTGATTTAATTCTGTTCTTGGGGGAGGAGTCATTATGGCCTAATCACCTCTTAATGGTCCCACCTCTTAATTTCATCATATTGGCCATTAAGTTTCAAGACCTAAATTTTGAAGATGACACAGTCAAACCATAGCAGGGCCCATCCTAATGACCTCATTTTAACTTTATCACCCTATTTCCAAATAAGGTCACATTCTGAGGTACTGAC
This sequence comes from Homo sapiens, assembly GCF_000001405.40. NCBI lineage: Eukaryota > Metazoa > Chordata > Mammalia > Primates > Hominidae > Homo > Homo sapiens. The sequence continues at coordinate 25,780,835 of NC_000007.14, read as the reverse complement.
AGTTAGCATTTCAATATATCCTTTTTTCAGGGAGGAAGCACAATTCAGCCATAACAGGTGGTAAAGTTACTGTGAGTTACCACTGAAGGCCATGAGAACCAGTCACATGGTATAATTTAAGCCTCCTAATACATCTCCTTCCCAAATATCTTTCCCCAACCCACTGGAATTATCCTATGGCCTGCCATTTTACCATAGAAAAAGTCCCTTCTAAAATATTCCTTTGGGATGTTGGAGGATCCAGATAAAAATCATGATTAGCTAACATCTGTGTTATAAACTGAAGTGAACAAAAAGAGGAGTAAGCCAGAAAAAGAAATGGGCAGAGAAGGAATTCTATAAGGAGGAAAATGGCAACTCAGCAGGCATCTCTGAGCCTGGACCTAGTGGCAGCACCTGCATCCTAGGGGGCAGCTGGGAGGAGTATGTCACCTAGGATTCATGCTCTGATTCCCAGGAGGCACTCCTGTACTGCATAGGGATCCTGACCCTAAAGAACCATCTTCCAGCAAATGATTTGCTGCTGTGAATCTCTTTACTTATTCTGAGTTAATTAAGCTTATGTAAAATGCATCTCAATGTTTCCAAAACAATGCACCACAAAATACCAAAGTTTTGATGCTTAAAACTAAATTAAATAAGACAAGCATACTGCCTCTTAATGCTTCAGTGGCATAATGCTTTGTACTTTCAGACTTTCTCAGCCAACAAGAGAGGGGCTTCTAAATTTTGCAAATATACTATCAGCCAGTCCTATCAGCTTTTCTGAATTCATTGCTATAGAAGACGCTTTGCCCAGCTCTGGCTACAAATTTTCCTGCCATCTTGCAAAGATTTATTGTCTTTCAACACTAGCCTCCAGGATTTCTTGTCAAGCCATAGGCCAGGTGCAAATGAACCATTTCATTCTGGCTTTTTTCAAGTTGTAAAAATTAAACCTTCCCTCTAAGATAGGGAATTTTGCTTTGAGAGGGCTTAGAGAAGAGAATAAAGAGACTACCCATTGGCCATTCACCAGAAACCATTTGCAACCTGCAGCCAAAATGGCCTGTGCATGATATGATTGCTTTACCTACCTTCTAGCAAAACTCCAAATGTACCTCTTGGCCATACCCATAGAAACCACTCTGCTAATTTCCACAAAATAAGCAGTACCTGGTTTGGACAGATGCCTTGTCTATCTCTATCCTGGGCAATTTGTTAATGGTTAGGTGGATTCTGGTTCTGAAGAGGTTGGAGACAGTGACGAGTACGTGAAATGACAGATCAGTGGCTCTCCACATTGGCTGCACAGTGGAAGCACCTGTGCAGCTTTAAAAATACCCGTCATGGTGAATTTTATGTGTCAACTTTACTGGGTCACGGTGTGCAGATAATTGGTTTAACACTATTTTGGGTGTTTGTGTGAGGGTGTTTTTGGATGAGAATAACATTTAAATCAATAGACTTTGTGTAAACCTGATTGTCCTCCCTAATATGGGTGGGCCGCATCCAGTCAGTTGAAGGTCTACACAGAACAAAAGACTGACCTTTGGACTTGAACTGGAACATTAGCTCTCTCCTGGGTCTCCAGCCTGCCAGCCTACCCAGCCTACCTGTATAATCAAGTGAGCCAAATCCTTAAAATAAATCTCTCACTATATATATACACACACCCTACTTGTTCTGTTCCTTTGGAGAACCCTGACTAATGCAATAACTATATCTGAGCCCTTTCCCCCAGTGATTCTGATGCAATTGGTCTGGGGTTGGCCAGGGACACTCATGAGGGGTGGGTTAATTTTTATAGATCTCTGGGTGATTCTCAGGTGATACCAGGGTTGACTACAACTGCCAGAGCTTCTCTCTGCCCCTAACACATAAAATGGGTCCTGGCTCAAATCACATAACCATGAGTCCTGACTTTGCTATTAATGGGCTGAATAACATTAAGCACGTAACTCAAACTTTTTGAGCCTCAGTGTTCTTATCTGTAAAGTGGAGATAATGACACCAGAACAATTTGATTGTTGTGAGGGTGAAGACAGGTCAAATAAAATGACCTACAGAAAATCACAGTCTTTTCATTTTTATTAGGTGGGATGAATGCATGCATCTTGTGTACATGTTACTTTTGTCATCACCATGCTGTATAAAACATGCCTCTGTAAGAAGGGTGGGTTTTTTTTTCACCCTTAGGTACTAACCTTTAGCCTCTCCTCTTGGATAAGCAGCTTGGTCTCTGCAGTTTTCCTAGAGTGGCTGGGAGCCCTGGATCTGACCTGATTTCAGCACAACGGGGGCCAAGCCAGGATGGGTGGGACCCTGGATATTTGAGATTCAGCAATTATTGTTGACTTCAGGCCTCTGTGTGGGGGCTCTGCACAAGGGGACTAACTGGGACTATGATGAAGTCGTAGGTCACTTAGAAAATGTTGGTGAAACAAATCGAAATATTGTGGCCAAATCGCAGCTGTGTAAGAGAGCAGGAGACATATGTGACCGATTTTCATGGTTAGCTGAGAGGCACACCATCGCCTGGGGTGAGAGGCTTCAGTCATGCATGGGTGAAAATGATCTCCCTCCATCTCTGGCCGACGGGCAGCTTGCTGTTGATTATGTATTAATTTCAAGTGGTCATGCCCCTGTTCAGGTATCATTGTGCCTGGCTGCAAAGCATGCTCCTCCATGTGACATTTGAGAGGGACATTTGAGAGGGTTAGCGAAACCACTTTTCCCATTCTCTGTCATCTTGAGTGAAATGTATTCAGGACGTGTAAAAAGCATGCCCTTTAATTTATGGCAACGTAAACAAAACCTAAGCAGCCTGAGCTGAAACTACAAGATGAGGGAGATAGGAGAAAAGTGTGGGTGTGCTTAATGCACTTCAGATCCATTCACTCCTATGCGTGAGTCTGGGCAGGACGGCTGCAGAATTTGGACCATGAACACATACTTTGCTCATATTAAAATTGTGAAAATAGTTGCGTTTATTTACATCGTGCACTGGAAGAGGACATTTTTAGTAGCTTAAGGAAGGTGCGTCATTTGAAAGGATTGACAAGTAGGAAACCTATATTCAAACCTATATGCAGAAAAGCCTATACCAGGTGTGTACATTTTCACCCCACCCAGGAAAATCAACTATTAGATGGCAGTTGGTGGAAACCACCAAGCAAGATCTGACAGTTTTTGATGGGCCTTATTTATTCATCATATGCTTATAGGCTGCCTCTGGGTCAGGCTCTGTGCTAAACTCTGAAGGGGTATAAAGATGTGTTCATGCAATGTCTGCCCTGAAAGGATTTACATTAAAATGTGGTATAGGGCAGTGATTAACACAGTATACAAGTTTCACTTTTTACTAGTGGTGTACTTATATGTAAATTACTTGACAACTCAGTTTCTTCTTCTGTAAAATGGATTTGATGATCATGGTAATGATGATGATCGTGATGATAATAACGATGATGGTGATAGCAAACACGTATTGAGTACTCACAACCTGCCAGGCTTACAGGCATGGAACTCAGAAGCATGGAACTTTCGCGTAGTCCTCATTCAATCCTCACAATAAACCAATGAGGTAGGTTATTATTACCTCCATTTTTACATCCTTTATGAGATATAATGAAGATTAAATGAGTTAATGTATACAGAGCACTTAACACAATGCCTGGCATTAGGAAACCCCAGTAAGTAAGTAATTGGCAATAATCATGAATATTAAAATTTTAATTAGTGGATAGAAGCCAGTTCCCAAATAATTGTCATAGCTGCTTTAGAAGAGATATAGGCAAAATGCTATGAGGGTTCAGAATGGGGAGAGTACCTGTAGAAAGAACAAAGACTTCACAAGGGAGGTGGTCTTAGAGCTGGGCCTTCCAGAAAGGATGTGATCACAACAGGCAGCATGGCTACAAAGGCGTGCAAGCAAAAGCACCAGCATGAACAAGGCCAAGAGGCCACATGGAGCAGGGGATGTTTGGGGCAACTGGAGTAGGCTAGTTTGGCTAAGGGAGGAGGAAATATAGGAGTTAAGATTTAAAAAAAAATGAAGGCCTGCTTTGGAGCACCTTGGATGCATTCTAAGAGTTTACACTGAATTTGGCAGGTAGGGAGGCCACCAAAGGATTCATTATAAGTGGTGATAGCCACTGTCAGAGCTGTTTGCTTCTTGAATGCAGCCTTCCAAGAGTTACCCAGGGAACACATAAAATATTGGCAAAGCCATTGGTCCTGGGATTTAAAATGAACTCCGGGCCAGGCCACAGTCCAAAGTGGATGAGAGTTTAGCTTTAATGAGGAGGATTAGGTCAGATCTGAAAACCCACAGGGGTTAGATTTAGCTGGTCTGGTCCCTGCATCAACAGCAGTGCCAATATTTTATCTGTTGTTAAAGTGATTCCACCCATCTTTCTTCCACCCTCTTGCCTGTCTGAGAGAGATACTTATAAGGACCAGCAAGGAGTGCCCGCACATAACACACAGTGATGACAGGGCATGTGGAATGGAATTTGCATAAAACTTATCACCAAATTCTGGAGGATTCTCTTCACCCCCTCTCCACTTCCTCCATTATTTCTTAATGGGACAAAAAGTGATCCAAAAACAACCAATGAATTGTGTATTTCTTGCATGCCTTTGATATGCAGGCACAGAGCTACAAGCTACATGTCCCTGGCCCCTCTCCCTAGGAGCACAGAGTTCCAGTGAAGAACCTAAAGCACAAACACTGACAGCTGTAAGGTAAAGTAGAAAGGGGTAAGAACATTTAAGGCGAGCAGCAGAGTGCTTGTGTTGGTGGGGAGGGTGCAGGTGGTAATGATGGGCCTTCTTTGGAGAAAGTCAGCACCTATCAACCCCTTATTTTGTCCTTTATATTTGAGTACACCGTCTGCTGTGGGCTGCGTGGTGCAGTGTCTTGATATCAGACAGACCTTGGTCTGAATCTTGGATCCACCTTTTACTAGCTAGGACTCCTCTGGTAAAATTTTTGAGCTTCATTTTCTACAAAATGGGGATTGATATTGCAGCCATGCATTGCCTAATGAGGGGGGATACATTGTGAGAAATGTGTTGTTAAGCAATTTCCTCATTATGCGTACATCATAGCATGTGCTTCCACAAACTTAGATGGTATAGGCTACTACACACCTAAACTATACGCTATATCCTAGGCTACAAACCTGTATGGCATGGTACTGTACCAAATACTCTAGGCTACTGTAACACAATGGTAACTATTTATGCATCTAAACATATCTAAACATAGAAAAGATACAGTAAAAAATATGGTGTAAAAGGTAAAAAATGGTACACCTTTGTAGGGCACTTACCATGAATGGAGCCTGCAGGACTGGAAGCTGCTCTGGCTCAGTCAGTGAGTGAGTGGCGGGTGAAGGTGAAGACGCGGGACATTACTGTACACGACTGTAGGCTTTATAAACATTGTATACTTAGGCTACACTAAATGTATAAAAAATTCTTTCTATAATAACAAGTTAACCTTAGATTACTGCAACTTTTTTACTTTATAAACTTTTTAATTTTTTAAACTTTCTGACTCTTTTATAATAACATTTAGCTTAAAACACAGACACATGATATAGCTGTACAAAAATACTTTCTTTATATCCTTATTCTATAAGATTTTATTCTATTTTTAAACTTTATTTTCTACTTTTTAAACTTGTTTTTTTTGTTAAAAATGAAGACAAAGACATACATACTGGAGAGCCTAGCCTAGGCTAGGCTGCCATCTGTAGTGGCAGCTCTCCCCAGACACAGCACCCCACTCAGGTTAGTAACATGGGGGTCAATTGAGCTACACACATCCTCCATACTCAGTTTAACTGGGCTGACTTAGGCCACCTGCCTACTTCTGGATCAGGAACAATCTTCATAAGTTCCTATGCCAGTTATTGGCAAACTGTGTGACCTTGCGTAAGTCACTTAACCTCTCTGTGCCTAAGTTTTAAAAAATATGTCAAATTGACATATCTGCCTTATACTGGTGTTGTCAGAATTTAATGAATGGTGGTTAGCTTAGATCAGCTATTTTTCAAACCAACTGCAGCAGCCTAGTGCTAAGTCATGAAGTAAATTTAGTGGACTGTGACTAGCTTGAAAACCAAAAAAACAAAACAAACAAAAAAGATAAGACTAGAGCACATTGCATATGATAAAGGTAAATATTGTTTCATGAAACTCTTGTTTACATTTTGTATGTGTTTTTATGTGTATTTTGTTGTGATAGAAAACAATTAATACACTGCTTCATGAAAAAAAGTTGAGAAACATTAGCTTGAGCTAATGAGGGTGAATGGCTGAGGCTGGAATCATTCCTTTAATCAGGGCATTGTGAGGAGAGAAGGAATAGATGGAAGGGAAAAATAAAAATTGCAAACCCCTTCTGTGGGGTTTACCAAGTGCCAGGCATTGACTTAAGAGCCTTAGGTATATTACACAGCATTGTTGGAGATAGACAACTTTAGCAACCCCATTTTACAGATGAGAAAACTGTGGGAGAGAAGTTAAGTAACTTAGCAATGCCATGTCGTTAGTAGTGGTGGAGCTAGGTTCAAATTCTTTGATGTTGTCTCCAGCCTAAGGCCATGTAGAAGAGTCCATGGAAGGGAGGGGTTGGAAAGAATATCAAAGAAGGGCATTTCATGATTACAAATTGGTCTTTCCAAAGCTGTGTTCCTAATAATAGCTACTGTTTGTTCCAAGTTGTATATTTAGTCAGACTATGTATCTGGAGCTGCTGTAACAAGGTAACATAGACTGGATGGCTTAGAAAGAACAGACATTGGGGCCGGACACTGTGGCTCATGCCAGTAATCCCAGCACTTTGGGAGGCCAAGGGGGGTAGATCCCAAGGTCAGGAGTTCAAGACTAGCCTGGCCAACATGGTGAAACCCCGTCTCTACTAAAAAAATACAAAAATTAGCCGGGCATGGTGGTGGGCGCCTGTAGTCCCAGCTACTCGGGAGGCTGAGGTGGGAGAATTGCTTGAACTGGGAGGCAGAGGTTGCAGTGAGCCAAGATCACGCCACTACACTCCAGCCTGCGTGACAGAGTGAGACTCCGTCTCTAAAAAAAAAAAAAAGAAAAGAAAAGAAACATTGATTTCTAACAGTTTTGAAAGCTCGAAGTCCAAGATCAGGGTGCCAGAATGGTCAGGTTCTGGCGAGGGCCTGCTTCTGGGTTGCAGACTGCTATCTTCTCATTATATTCTCACGCGGTGGAAAGAGGGTGAGAGAGCTCTCTGGGGCCTCTTTTAAAAAGGGATTAATCCCATTCACGAGGGCTTCACTGTCATGACCTAATCACCTCCCAAAGGTCTCACCTTCTAGACCATCACCTTGAGGGTTTCAACATACGAATTTTGGGAGGACACAGACATTTAGTCCACTGCATCATGTTATCCTCAAAAGACCTTTCAGCACATAGTCAAGTTTTTCAAAGGCTCTGAGTACAAGTGGGGTGACACTGGTTGGAGACTAACATAATTTCCTTTAAAACACATCTCCGTTCCCCTGAGGTGTGGGAGGTAATGTTTTCATGATGCATCCAGAAACACACAGTACTAGCCACTGAGAGCATATGGGAGAATGGAGGGAGGGCCCGTTTGATTCTGATGTTTAGAAGATACTCTGATCTCTTTCTGGGGTATTTGGAAGGGAAATGGGAGGACTGAACAAAGTGACCTTCACATGCCCTGGTATAGGTAGGAGCAACAAAGAAATACCCTGAAAGAAGCCTGACCTCATTTTATACAGGGTCATCTTGGCAGGCTAATCTAATACAGTAGAGGAAGAATTTTTAAAAAGAGTCCCAAGAGGGCTAATAAAATGGCTTTGAATTTCATTATGTTTGAGAGAGAGGCACTAATTCAATTAGCCACAAAATAAGCATTTTTCTACCCCTTCTGTTCGAAGCAGTTCCGAAGATAGACTGCATCCAAGCGAACGCTGAGCTGCCTTTTAAAATAGTCTTCCTCCTAAAGACAAACAGTCCTTGTCAAAATTTATCCATCTCCTGAACTGTTACTTTCTTCCTCTGTGAAATGCAGATAATGATGGTGCTAGTTCACTGGTTTGGTGGGAGGATTATGCATTTAATGCTCAGCACTGGGCACAAAGTAGCCACTCAATAAATGACAGCTATTGTTATTAGTTCTTATGGCAGTGGTCTTGCAACCACAAAACAACAGAGACTTTCATTTTTCTTTGGAAGATCTTTCCTTTTTCCCAGTGTTTTTATTTTTCGAGGCTTCGAGGATCTTAGTCAGTGACTATAGGGACAGTACATGGGAGAGAATAAAAAACAAGGATAAATGATATTTCACTTGAAATGCACAGCAGAGTTTAAAGGGAATGGAGGAATAGAAAGAGGTAAAGTTCGCTCTGTCAGACTTTTCAGAGAATTAGGAAAAGATACCAGTAAAATAGATTAATTAAACTACACAGCTATGCACGGTGGCTCACTCCTGTAATCCCAGCACCACGGGAGGCTGAGGCGGGCGAATCATCTGAGGTCAGGAATTCAAAACCAGCCTGGCCAACATGGTGAAACTCTGTCTCTACTAAAAATAAAAAAATTAGCTGGGCGTGGTGGTGCACGCCTGTAGTCCCAGCTACTTGGGAGGCTGAGACAGGAGAATTGCTTGAACCCTGGAGGTGGAGTTGCAGTGAGCCACGATTGGGCCACTGCATCGCAGCCTGGGCGACAGAGCAAGACTCTGTCTCAAAAAACAAACAAACAAAACACTACAGATATATTCATTCACTTGCCATTTACTCATATTTACATATTGAAGTCTGGTGTATTGGTCGGCTTAAGCTAAGGTATTCTGGAGTAGCAAATAATGCCTAAATCTCAGTGGCTTAGAACACAGGTTTACTTGTTGTATGAGATGACAAGATCTAGAAACTACTTGTCTGAATTATTAAATATTTATTGAATTCCTGTTTGTCATTCTTGTTTTTGTGGGGTAGGGAATCATAGATTTTTAAAACATGGCTTCTGGTCTTTGGTAGTTCATTGTAGTGGCAGAAATTATATAGCAGAAGGTCACCTATCCAATGCAACTGGGATTTGGAGTCTGTCGGTTAATCCAAAATAATGGTGTAAGATTATACCCAGAACAAAAATACACACGTCTTTCAGATCAAATATCAAAACATCTTTCCATCGTAAACCAATTTAGTCATGATAAGTCAGCACCACTTGAAAGAGGTAGTGGAGAAAAGCAAAGAGATACTGGAAAAATGAAGTTGCTTTACAGTCGAATAAATATATATTGTCATTTCCATAGAGCACAGAAAAAAAAAGAGAATGCTAGACTGAGATTATATGACAAAGAAACAGTCATTCCTAATATAAAGCATCTTTCTCAGGCTCTTGTAACAACATTTTGTAGGATTTGTAATATGGTGATGAAAATTATTTCTTTGTGTTTAAATTGACGTATAATTGTATATGTTGATGACACAACACAATGTTTTGAAATATGGATACATTATGGAATGGCTAAATCAAGCTAATTAACATGCGTTACTACACATGCAACATTTAATTGTGGTGAGAACATCTAAAATCTACTGTCAGTAATTTTCAAGTATATAATACATTGTTATTAACTATACATATGGTAATTTTTAATTTGCGTGAATGCTCCTTAATAGCAGGGACCCTGTCTTATTTTTTGTACTCCGTGGCACCAAATCTGTTCTTAGTACAGTGCTCAATAAATGTTTGATGAGCATATGAAAGGATAATTTAATATAACATTAATTATGTGAGTACAATAATATTCAAAGAGTCAGTTCTCCTTTCTACATGTTTAGCTTTCTCCCAGAGACAGATTTAGGCTTTGGGAGATGGGAGAATCTACCTCGGCTGAATTTCCAAATGACGTGGCCAGCTTTCTTAAAAATGCATTTCTATTCCATTCCATTACGTACTTTGTTATGATCTTTGGCTGTCTTTTTGAACCTTATGACAAATCCTCATGGAGCACATATCTTTGAAAAGGAATGTGTGCCAAGAAGAAGAGAGACAGAATTCCACATGCCACCCCAAGTCTTTTTTCTTTTTTCTTTTTTTTACTGTCTAGAAGGTCAGCTAGAAACCCCAGTTTTGTGGGGAGGAATTTTTCCACATCTAAAAAGTACTGCAGAACACATCAATCCTATCTCCAGGTTTTTCCTAGAATTTATTTTTTCCCTTATCGGTACATTTAAACCCTGCTGTTTCCAGTGTATTTATTTGCGAAATGGATTTAATTCTGTTCCTGTAAAGGCTTTAGAAAGTCTGTCAGGGGCATATAGGGGCACGCAATGCTTAAGAATGATGTTAAAAATTTAAAAGTGATTTATTTGACCCTGAGGCCAAATGGCACAGCCTGCAAATGTGATAAATCTAGCAAATAAATAAACGTAAATACCTGTGAGGAGGCCACTGGCCAATAGGCAGCTCTGCAGTTGGCATTTAGTTTTACAAGAGCACTTGTTAATCTCACATGCTCAGGACAGTTATAAGAGTTTCATTTCCTCCCTAGACCTTAGTGCCTCCCAGGTGTGTGGAATAGAACACTTTATTTGAGCCTGGAATTGTGAATGTACTCCCTATAAGAAGATAACTTCATGTATATTGATATCACCAGTAGGGGTTTATTTACCTTGAAGTTAGGAGCCATGACTTACACAGCTCTTTGCACAGAGCTTTTTACACAGTATGTATTCTACAAACATGTATTAAATGAATGAATGATTGCTGTATCTCCAGCACTGGGCACAGTATTTAGCACATGGAAAGCACTCAATAAATGATTGTCACATAAATAAATAAATAAATAAAAGAATTGTGCAAATCACAGTGTCAGCAGGTATTTCTATCTTCAATACTCTTGCATATCAGAGATAGGCAATATTGAGGTCTTTTTGGTGGCTTATTGTTATTATTTGAAAAATTCAGTGTTGAAAGGTACTGAGATAAGGTGCTAGACTGTGGAAGGGGTGGGAGGATGAATGACTAGAGAGAGAAAAAAGAGCAAAATTAAATGTCAAGCTTGCTTGCTTTTCTTTCTTTCTTTCTTTCTTTCTTTCTTTCTTTCTTTCTTTCTCTTTCTCTCTTTCTCTTTCTCTCTATTTCTCTCTCTCTCTCTCTCTCTCCCCTCCCCTCCCCTCCCCTTCCCTTCCATTCCCTCCCCTTCCCTTCCCTTCTCCTTCCCTTCCCTTCCCTTCCCTTCTCCTTCCCTTCCCCTTCTTTCCTCCCTCCCTCCCTCCTTCTTTCTTTCCATCCATCCACACACACATATATAAAACTAGCTGTTAAAATTCATTAATTAGGACGGGCGCGGTGGCTCACACCTATAATCCCAGCACTTTGGGAGGCTGAGGCGGGCGCTGGGAGGCCGAGGCGGGTGGATAATGAGGTCAGGAGTTTGAGACCAGCCTGATCAACATGGTGAAACCCCATCTCTACTAAAAATACAAAAATTAGCTGGGTGTGGTGGCACGTGCCTGTAGTCCCAGCTACTCTGGAGGCTGAGGCAAGAGAATCGCTTGAACCTAGGAGGCAGAGGTTGCAGTGAGCTGAGATCACGCCATTGCACTCCAGCCTGGATGACAGAGCGAGACTCTGTCTCAAAAACAAAACAAAACAAAAAAATTTCACTAATTAATGTGGAAAACTATTAAATCTACCTTCCTGTCTGTCTCTATCTTTATCTATGTGTGTTTGGACCCTTCTCCTGAAGCAAGACCCCATAGTTCAACTACTGTTGGGCATTTCCACTTGTATGCCCACAGACAGCCTAATCTCTGTCATTTGTCTTTGAGGGCTGAGCAGTTGGTTTGTCATTTAAGTCAATGGTTTGTTTCCATCTCAGGATCCACCTTGGACAAGGACTTCTCTATTTCAATGACCCTCCCTGACCCCTGTTTTATATAAAAATTTTAATGGGGTCCTTCCTAGGCATGTTGCAGAAGTTATCTATGTAAAACCTCTTACCACCTGTTCTTCCGCTCAAAAACTTTCAATAGCTTCTCATTATTTATAGGTTAAAATTCAAATACTCCAGCCTGGTTTTAAGATCCTGTGTAACCTCCCTTTGGAACTGTCTTTACTCTATTTTCAAGCCCCCTTCCACCAGGTTTGCCCTTGCTCACCCCTGAGAGGCTGCTGTTCTTTCCATTTCTCCCCAATGACCCTCACTGATCACCCTGCTACATGCCAAGCTCTTATATAGCATCTCATTTGTTTCTTCACCTGTTTACTAGATGCAGGAATGCCACCCACCTCCCTCTCAGCTGAGCTAAATCTTAATCATCCTTTAAGGCCCATCTCAAATCCTTCCTTCTCTGAGAAGGCTGCCTTGACAATTCCAGTCTATAGTCCTTCCTTCTTTATTTGAGCTCATCCCTTCCAAATTGTATACTATATTTTTTAATGTTTCTCTTTTCTTCAAATTGCACTGTCTGCTTCCATGGGGGAAGAATTCTGTCACAGCCTTTTAATGCTTTTTTAGTGCTGATTGCTCGGTGAAATCACTTATTAACTGTGGGCTAATTGATTGTGTAAATACTTTCAACAGTTTGAACCTCATTATTTTCTAAATTTGTATGACTTTAACAATCAGAAAAATGTGCCACCAAGGCACAAATTATCTCTCATACTAAAAATGTAATTATCAGGATCCGTGCAGACATTTTTGCACATGGCCATTTAAAACATACATTCACCCTTTTAACTCTCCTTACCCTTTTATTTCTGGAATGCTGGTAAAAAGACATAGCATGAAAATTAGTCTACTTCGGAGACTTGAAAAGATTGAAGAAAAGTCTGCCCAGGACTAAGTCTTTCTCTTGTCTTTTGTGGAATAGTGGAAGGCTCTTAAGGCAAGATCCTTTATCTCGGCAGGCTAGTCACTTCTCTCCATCGACTAACTGTGCGAGCTTGGATAAATCTCCCAGCTGCTTGTGGTTCATTTTCCTCAGCTTTAAAAAGGGGACGATACCACCAGCTAGGCCTGAGATCGTGTAATGCTCAGGAAAATTTTTTCTAATTTTTTTTTTTTTAATTAGAGAGAGGGTCTTACTCTGTTTCCCAGGTGGTCTTGAACTCCTGGCCTCAAGTGATCCTCCTGCCTCAGCCTCTCAGAGTGCTGGGATTACAGGTGTGAGCCACCATGCTGTTCCAGGAAAATGTTTGAAAACTGTAAAGTACAATTTTGATGTTAGGTTTTATTGTGGAAACTGTCAAATTACCATCTCTCTTACCTTACCACCTTTGTCACCATCTGCCATCAACCCAGTCCTCAAGATGGGAAATGTCCACTGGAGCTGATGACCTCTTATAGGAGCCAGCAATATGGCATTTTCCAAGTGTAAATGGTTCATATGCCATATCTTTTTATTTTGGTATGTTGCAACTTCCGAGAAATTGAGTGGGGCCGATCATTTCTGTCTCTTGCTGCACTGCGATCCCTTCTGGTTTTGTGGCTCCAGCTCCCACTGCTGCAATGGGCTTTTGGATAATAGAAATGTCTCTTTGGAATCGTTAGAGAGTTTTAGTTTAACATTGTGAACAGCTGGTCCTGATGTACCATATTTTGTTGAACCTACAATACCATCAATTGTAAAACACACCATCATTTCATAAATCACCAGGAAAGGCAAAAGTGCTGCCAACTTTAAAGCATGACACACTGCTGATTACAAGATGCACCCCTATTTCAGAGTGACTAAAATATGAAAAATGAGTGTCTGAGAATTGGTCAAATTACAGCAAGATTATTGCTGCAAACATCTGCTTTGAGTCCTCTGAGCCCGGTCATGGCAGGTGCTGGAGTCTCCCTGCTCCCTGCCCTTGCCTCAACCTCCATTGCAGCCATAGCACTGCTGAGCACCCCTATGCTAAGCTGCAACTGACTGGCCTCTTGCTTCTCCCAGGTCTTTTATTCTGTGAAGGCAGTGGTGGAGTTGCTGGTGGAGACTAAGCAGAGGTGTGCAAAGAATGCAAAGCCCAGGAGATGGGATGCTTTCTGTTATGACCTGGCAATGCCTCCTTCAGTCTCCTTGTTGCTATGATAAATCTGTAAGGTTACGGTAGGAAGTTGCCCCAGAGGCAGTCGCTTCCAGCTCCGAGGAGCCACGTTGCCTGGCTTATATGTTCTCTTTTTTTTTTTTTGAGACGGAGCCTCGCTCTGTCACCAGGCTGGAGTGCAGTGGCGCAATCTCGGCTCACTGAAACTTTGCCTCCGGGTTCAAGCGATTCTCCTGCCTTAGCCTCCCAAGTAGCTGGGATTACAGGTGCATGCCACCACACCCAGCTAATTTTTGTGTGTGTGTGTTTTTTTTTTTAGTAGAGACGGGGTTTCACCATATTGGCCAGGATGGTCTCGATCTCTTGACCTCGTGATCCACCCACCTTGGCCTCCCAAAGTGCTGGGATTACAGGCGTGAGCCACTGCGCCCGGCCAGCTTGTATGTTTTCTTATCCAGAGGCGCTAGAAGGTCAGGTGCCCATTTGAATTTTTTCCCAGGCCCAAGGAGCTCTTATTTGGTAAGCGTTCATCTTGTAATTACAGATGGGAGGCTGAGAAGTCTCCTTATTTAGTACACCTAGGGGTCATTTTAATTTGGGTTTTACTTCAGGAAAAATAAGGTTCATCTTAGGTTACTTTCAAAGTGACAAATAACCTGATGCCCTGGCCTTGGGCCTAAGAGCAAAGTGGTTTTCTTTTTTCTCTGAGATAGAATCAGGGCTGGAGGGGGGCCAGAAGGTTCAAAGCTATTTGAAGCAAAAGGCATGATCCCTGCCCTTGTATGTAGGGAGGTAGGATCACCCAGGTTCTCAGGTGTCACCACCAACTGCAGATATTTCAGCACCTCTTTTCCTCCAAACGTCTTGGGTTTCAGACAGGGAGGTAACCAGACCCTTCACATTTGCTACAGTAATGCTGTTTCAGGCCTTGTTCCTTGACCTTAGAAATCACCTGCTCCTCTTGAGGTATTTTCACCCTCTGGGGTGAGACATCTACTATCCAGATTTTGCTAACAATATTGGGAATAATTTCTAGCTCAAACTCGTCATTGTTTTGTGTGGATCTTGCTTTGGCTAGCAAAGTATGTCATTCTATTGTGGCTGTAGTATTATTGGCTTAACTTACATGATGGATTGGAAGGTCCTGTTGGCATGGTAAGAAGTTACCCCACAAGCAGACCCTTCCAGCTCCACGGAGGCATGTTGTTGGGCTTATATGTCCTCTTATGCTGGAAGACCAGGTGCCCACTTGAAGTTTTTCCCAGCCCTGAGTAGCTCCTATTTGGTAAGGGTTCATCTTGTGACATGTGAATTTAGGAGGCTGAAGATAAGAGGTTTTAATCTCTTCATAGTCTTTCTGTCCACTCTGTGTCTCTGTTCTCTAACCACTTAAGAATGGGGGACTTTCAGAGGCTTTCCAGTCCTATATCAATCAGTCCAAACTCTTCAGCATAACACTCACAGCTGTACTAGCCAGGACTTTTTTAGCTCAAACTAGCTCAAGGCAAAAGGGCATTGAATGACTCATGTAACTGAAAAGTCCAAGGAAGGATCTAGAGCTTCAGGTGTAGGTGGGTCCAGGGGATCACATAATGCTCTCAGGGCTCTCTCTGTCTTTTGCTATATCTTGGTTCCCGGTTCTTCATTGTCATAGCTTCATTTTACAGACAACATCTTTCTAGAAAATGGGAAAGATAACTGCTAACATCCTCAAATTTATATCCTTTCAACCTCAGATAAAACAGCCATTTCTTTCTTCTGATATCCTTACATTAATCCAGAAAGCCCTGAGTGACCCTGCTCTGATCTTGTGTTCACCCCCGGACCAGTCGTTAATGTCTGTTCTGATGATCTTTGTCATTAACGCCTGTTCTAATGATCTTCGTCTGAGCCACGTGCTCACCCCCATGACTGTGGGTGTCTGGGCAGTGATGATATCCTCTCTGGGACTGCACACAGTGAAGTAGCAGCTCTCTAAAGACAGTATGGATGGTAGACAGACAAACACCAGGTGTTCTCTATCAAGGTCTTTTACTCCTTGGCTCTTTCTACTTGCCCAGCTCCTCCTAGGACTTCCCTAGACTCATACCTACCAAACACATTGGACGACTTCATGCGATGAAAACCTGCCTTCATCTTAACAGCTTATTTTCTTTACTTTCTATGCTGTTTGGATTTTTTTTTCTTTCTTTCTTTCTTTTTTTTTTGAGACGGAGTCTCACTCTATCGCCCAGGCTGGAGTGTGATGGGGCGATATCGGCTCGCTGCAAGCTCCACCTCCCGGGTTCACTCCCTTCTCCTGCCTCAGCCTCCCGAGTAGCTGGGACTACAGGCGCCCGCCACCATGCCCGGCTAATATTTTGTATTTTTAGTAGAAATGGGGTTTCACCATGTTAGACAGGATGGTCTTGATCTCCTGACCTTGTGATCTGCCCGCCTCGGCCTCCCAAAGTGCTGGGATTACAGGCATGAGAAATCGTGCCGGCCTTGGATTTTTTTTTCTTCCCCTTCTATACTTACCAAAATTTTTCTCAGTCTTCGAGGCTTAATCAAAATGCTGCTTCCTTCAAAACCCTTACCTATACTTCAAGTTCTTCCACTTTGCCACCAAAGGATTTGGCTGATAAAACTTTTAGAGAGTTTGTTTATCCTCCCCTCTATTTGGAGTTACTTGTTTACATGTCTACAATGTCAAGATTGCTCTAAGCATCTAGTAATCTCATAGGAGATAGGCAATAAACATTTGTTGGTTGGAGAAGCATTCTTCCAAGGTCTTTTTTTGAGAGGATTCAATGTATTAAATCTACCCAAATGCACGCGCGCACACACACACACACACACACACACACACACTCAGGCTCCATATATATAATATCTGCTTAATGATACACACATAGGACTTTTGTATATTCCCAGTAATACACTGGGAATAACACTGTTAGCTTAGTTACAAGCACATTGTCTTATTGGTGACTTTTTAATCTCTGGGTTAGGGAGGATGATGAGTTGTGAATGGGGTTGTGGGAGAAAATCTATCAAGTGAAAAAACCTGGGTGTGCTGTAGGAATGAATGCAGGACTGACATGCATCCTCCGTGGAGAAAGAGGAAGAGCTAGGGGAAGGAAGTTGAGCATAATGGCAAGAATGCAGCCTCCAGGTTAGAATTCAGGTTCTGCTACTTGTTAGCTATGTGATCTTGGACAAGTTGACTAACGTCTGTGTGCCTCAGTCTCTTCTTTGTAAAGCAGTGATACTAGAGTATTTATGTTATAGGACTATCGTGAGAATAAAACAAGATAATGCATGTGGAATACTTGACACAGTACCTGGCTTCTAACAGGGGCTCATGTAGAAGCTTGGCTCCCCCAGCCTCAGAGCCAAGGTACAAGTAAGGTACCTGTTTTTTGTTTTTCAGGGTAGTCATGTCAGTCACATTGTGTGAGTCTATACTGGGAATGCATTAAAGGACACTCTCAGTTGTGACTGTAGCTACCTGGATAACAGTGTTACTGTCTAATGACCAGAATGATGGATGCACTGAGAGGGTGGAATATGTGGGTGGTTAGAGGTCAGTTATCTCAGTTGAGAGCAACACTGGCAGCAGCAGTTTTTATTTCCACTGCATCTGAAATGTGCAGTCAGCCTGCAGAGCGAGGGGCAGAAGCCCCCTTTGACCACATGACACCCAGTGTGTGGAGGATCCCCTGTCCCTGGTTGAAGGGTCTACCGGTTGAGGGAAGGAAACCAAGCCATTTTATGAATAAACTCTGTGCCTATTTATAATAGCATAATTGTAGACGCTACAGGAAAGGAATCCCAGAATAGAGTCCACTGCTAGGTGAGACAACTCCAGGAACTCTGCTTTTTATTACCCCTTTTATGATGCCCATTATCCCCTGTATTCAAATGCTTTTCATGTTTGTATAGAACAGCTACAATGCTTCACGCGGACCAATGCATATCCCATGGCGAGGAAGACACATATGTGATTCATTTTCTTCAGGATGAAGTTTAAGGATTTACCTAAGGACCCAAGAATGTTGTGAGGTAATTTTTCAAAGCGCAACAGGTGGTGTGGTGATTATCGATTGGCAAGCTCACCTTGTCTTCCACTAATTGGCTATGCGTTTGCATTTCCAACCAGTGACCTACCATGTTAATAATGCGATGGAATCTTTAAGGAGGCAGAGGAATCAGCACTGCTTTACTAGTAAACAGATGGCTGTGAACATGCATATTCCCTGTGCAGCAGTTCTGGATACCAGGAGAGACGCCCTAACGAGCCAAATCTTCCCTGAATGATAGATTATGTGGGCATAGGGTCAGGTTGGGGGGCACTTTAATTGTTATCTAGGCAGGTGAGCCATTTTACCAACGAAGAACCAAAGAAGCAACACTGACTGTCCACAACTCCCAAAGCACTTTATTTTTCTTTTCACATTAAGATTTATCACATTGCATTGTGATTACCTGTGTATCTATCCCTCTGTATCAGGTCAGAGTCTTTCTGCTGCAAGTACTGAAAACTCAGCTCAAATTATTTTCATCAAAACAAACAAACAAACAAAAAAAAGGACGCTATTGACTCAGTAACCAAATGTTTAGTTGGCTCCAGTCTCTCCATTTCTCAGTCCCACCTTCCTCCACACTGGCTCCATTGTTCTGGCATGCTTTAACTGGTGAGGACAAGTGGCTGCCACTAGCCTAGACATAGATTGTTACAGCTCCAAATCCAGAGGGGAAAAAGAGGACCTTCTCTCTGCCAGACTGGTTGAGATGGGCTCAGAAGCACTCCTGAACCAATCTTGTGGCTCTGATTGGCTGGGCCTAGGGTAGATGCCTATGAAGCTGTGCATGGAGTCTGTCCTATCTAAACTGTAATGACTGAGACTAGGAGGAGGATAGGTCCGCAAATGATATTTGGGGAACCATTATTAGAAGAAGGAAGAATGGATGCTGGGTAATGCAGAAAAAAAACCATTGCCCTCTCTGCCTAGAACTTGAGTTTTCCTGTAGAAGAACAACGTCTGAGGCTGGGCGTGGTGTCTCACTCCTGTAATCCCAGCACTTTGGGAGGCCGAGGTGGGCGGATCACGAGGTCAGGTGTTTGAGACAAGCCTGGCCAAGATGGTGAAACCCCGTCTCTACTAAAAATTAAAAAAAAATTAGACAGGCATGGTGGTGCGTGCCTGTAATCCCAGCTACTCGGGAAGCTGAGGCAGGAGAATCACCTGCACCCGGGAGGCAGAGGTTGCAGTGAGCCAAGATCGTGCCACCGCACTCCAGCCTGGGCGATGGAGTGAGACTTTGTCTCAAAAAAAAAAAAAAAAAAAAAATACAACTGCCTGGTGCTCATGCCCAGAAGTGGATATCCTTACATTAATCCAGAAAGTCCTGATTGACCCTGCTCTGATCTTGTGTTCACCCCCGGACCAGTCGTTAATGTCTGTTCTAATGATCTTCATCTGAGCCACATGCTCACCCCCATGACTGTGGGTGTCTGGACAGTGATGATATCCTCTCTGGGACTGCATACAGTGAAGGAGCAGCTCTCTAAAGACAGTATGGATGGTAGACAGACAAGCACCAGGTGTTCTCTATCAAGGTCTTTTACTCCTTGGCTCTTTCTACTTGCCCAGCTCCTCCTAGGACTTCCCTAGACTCATACCTACCAAACACATTGGACTACTTCATGTGATGAAAACCTGCCTTCATCTTAACAGCTTATTTTCTTTACTTTCTATGCTGTTTGGATGTTTTTTGTTTTTGTTTTTGAGATGTAGTCTCGCTCTGTCGCCCAGGCTGGAGTGCAGTGGCACCATCTCGGCTCACTGCAAGCTCCGCCTTCCAGGTTCACACCATTCTCCTGCCTCAGCCTCCCGAGTAGCTGGGACTACAGGTGCCCGCCACAATGCCCGGCTAATATTTTGTATTTTTAGTAGAGTTGGGGTTTCACCGTGTCAGACAGGATGGTCTCGATCTCCTGACCTCGTGATCCGCCTGCCTTGGCCTCCCAAAGTGCTGCGATTACAGGCGTGAGCCACCACGCCCGGCTGGCTCATGATCTTCTCAAGTAGGCCCCTGTGTGTGTTGTTCCCCTCTTATGTCCATGTGTTCTCATCATTTAGCTCCCACTTATAAGTGAGAACATGCGGTATTTGGTTTTCTGTTCCTGTGTTAGTTTGTTAAGGAAAATGTGGGCTGAATTCTTAGTGCGGTGCTGTCTCTTCCATGCTGTCCCCTATTAGTGACATGGTTGTTCTAGAAAGGTTGGGAATCATCTATGTTTTTAGCATTTTATCCTTTCCATTTAAATCATTTATTTAGAGAAAATATTCCAACTTAGCTGTTCAAAGTCAGAAATTGCAAAGTTTTTGGTTTGGGCCAGTGGACTTAGGCAAATTGATTGGCACTTTGGTAACTCTTGGGTAACTTATTGATATACCAAATCTGTAATTATAACAGGGAGCCAACTGGCTAACCACGTGTGCATTGCATGCCTCTGATGAGCCTCCTCAGCCTCTCTCAGCTCTGTCCCCAGGCTCTCAGCTGCTCACCCTACTCAGCTCCTGCTGTGTTGAAACTCTGTGGGGACCCATGTCTTTCTACAGCCTGATGCCATTTGGTTAACACACCTGAGCTCCCGGGTTCTCCCACATTCTCCCAAACTTGATGAAATGACACTCGGCAGGGCATCGGCTCTGTCAGAGGGGCCAGATGGTGCAACCTGGAAGTGTAGGGACATAATTCCCTGTGGTATGTGTTTTGATCAATGGCAAACAGGAGATGGGAGGGAACCTGGAGGACCAATTCCCTCTCCTTCCTTCCTCAGTGGACTCCTGCGTCTCTTTAGGCCCATTGTGAAGTAATGGCCAGCATATTCATGCATCACTTTGCATTGCTTTTTATCCTTCCCTGCTTCACTTCTCTTTCTTTCACTTTAATTGCTCTGGGATTGCACCTCCCATAGAAAGCACTGGGATGGAATTCCTGCTTCAGCTCTGTTTTCTAGGAGAACTGGGCTAACATAGGATTATTTTGTTTTCATATGACATTTTCTCTAAAAGCTGCTGAAAAAATTTTTAAGTTCAATCATCTTGATTTGCTCTGATAAAATAGCATTTCTATTTCTCTGTAAGATGGATAAACTGAGGCACATAGAGGATGCAACTGTTCAAAATTACAGGCTTAATCATGGATCCATTGAAACACAGAATCCAGGTTTTCTGTCTTCCCATCAGATACTCTACACCCAATCACATTTTAGGTCTGGGTCTGCACACACAAAGTACAGAGAATAATTGGGACAATTATCCTAATCATTCAAGCCAAGCAACCAAACCTAAAATAGCTGCATAATTGAACTCAATGTTTCCATTTCACATTGGACCTCTGAAAACAGCCAAAGACAAGTTACTAGAATCTTGCCATTATGTTGTTATAAATGCTACTGGAGTTAGTGGGTATGTATTTTTAAACAGTTGATTCCATGTCTTAAAATATTTTGCCTTCTGTGCCACATTCCTTTGCTTTTTAACTAATGGAGATGAAAATAAAGTTATAGTAAAGATAATACACTTTTCACAATAGGGGAAATGCCATAATTATAAATAAAACCTTTTAGATTTGCCCAGAAGTGTACTATAAACACGAACGTAAGGTTAATTAGTAAGTGGACATTTTTGTGCCTCGGTGTCATAATGATTTCAAAGTGACGCCTTGCTATTGCTTTGTATTTGTTTCAAATGAGTTTTTTATTTTTATTTTTTTAATTTGAATTTAAATTGAAATTAATTTGAAATTATACCCTAATAGGTATAGAAAACCAGTAATAAAGAGGACTGTAATACAAAACAAATTTTGGTACTGGGATATGTTCTAAACCAAACCTAAAAGGAAAGCTTTATTTGTTTCTGGTCTTTTCTGTGTGTGGTAGTTGATAGTTACAGTCGGGCGAGTGTGGGCTTGCATTCTTCTGTTACATGTAAGATCCTACTCTCAAGTATTTTTAAAGCACCCCTGAGGAACTGACACTCAGGTTACAATGGTTTAATCATGTTACTGTTGTCAGATGTCACGAAGTACATTTGTCTAGAAAAGGCAATGCATCAACCTAGCACAGAAGCCACTTCTGCACATTAGCCACCAGAACTGGAAATGTCAAGCCAATATTAAGGGCACACTATGTTTTTTGAACCCATTTAAGAGTACATGAGTGGTGAACCGTTACAGAAAAATAGCCAATTAGATAAGCATTTAAAGCAGAAAAATCTCAGTTTTGGTGAAATGTACATCTAAAAGAACTGAAGAAAAAATTTAATTTACTTGATGTTTACAAACATGTCAGAATGGAGAAGTTGGTTTTAGGTTCTTGGTTGGCTCCCACCTTGGATTTTGATTTTCCCTGTGGCCTAAATCATAGAAGAAACAAGAAGAAAGACTAAGGCTTCATGGAAGATCATTCCCAGGAACTCAACAATAGGCTACAAGTACATTTTATCATGGCACAACTGAGATGAAATATTATTCATGTTATATGGATAGGAATTGGAGATGACAGTGACTTGGCCAAGGTGTACAAGACTGTTAGGAAGAAAGGAGTGGCATCTTTCAGTGTCATGAGTTTGTAGCTTACACCATTATCACCGCTCAACATTCACAGTAAGAATTCCACATTCACATATTTAACTACCAAGACTAGGAAACAGGTCAGGTATTAATCAATTCTTATAGAAAATTGGGCATTTAAAATATTCTCAAGTTGTGTGGAACAAATAGAAACCAGAATGAGCTAGCTTCTCTCTTAGTTCTTTATTTCCAGAGTCTTTGAAGAAACTTGGATATTTCAAAAAGCATCTTTCCCAGGAAAGAGGAGGAGGGTCTGGAAAGGAATAAGAATTGTGAACTTAGCATCAGTAGATAAAGAAATGAATGCCTGTGAGGCAAGAAAACTGAGGTTTGGACCTTGGAGCAACCTTCTAAAACAAAGATCTTCTGTCAAAGATTCTTAACGCCCACTCCTGTTAAAGTTATAATAAAAAATACCATGAAATTCAGTGAAATACGTTCATTTTCAACACACAAATGGTGCTAGGCTTTCAGTCCTGATTAGAGGCATGTTTTCCTAGGATGGCTGAAGTCATTGTGTCGAGTGAGAATTTGCTTCTTCACAAAAGGCTAACCACATTTTAGTATAAATGATGTCAGTTTCTAAATGCATAAAAGGCAATAAAGCTTAAAAGTTAGAAAAAAAGATTATGAAACAGAATTCGTTTGACAATTCATTCCTTCAGGCTATGGAGGCACCATGATACCAATTTCATTTGTGAAAAAGTTAAAACTTTTTCTCATTGCTTTGTTTAAGCATTAATCAGATGTCAACATCTTGAGAAAAGTCATCTGTGGCTGGCTCAGCACTCTCTGGGTGCTGCTCTGACCCACCTTTGGGCTCAGTGGCTTTCTCAACCCAGTGGATGAATGGACCTTTCAAAGATGATCCTTAGTAACCTGAGAGACAGGCATAACCATCTTTATTTCTCATCTTTTCCTTTATTCTCTCTGTTTTTTCCTTCCATTCCTTCTCCTTCTATATTTAAGAACAACACAAGAGTTTGGAGGTTAAAGGGCACAACATTTTGTAAACCAGCCAGTCATATAAAAGAAACAAGGTACTTCATAAATATTTGGATTAGATTTATAGTCTCCACTGTTATTAAGAGGGCACTGGGTACTCCACATTCCTAACCAGAGGTAACTTCACCTTTAGCTTGGCTTCTCTTAGCTGAGTTCCTTTTTAAAAAGCCAGTCTTCTCCTGTATAGTGATTATTCTTGTAAAGTCATGATATTATAATCCATGGGATTTAGGAAAGTAAAGTGAAGATTAAAGTGCCTGGGTATCTTTGATCACAAGTCTAAGATCATTGCTGAGGATCAAAGTCTTAACTTGGGAAAATTTAGCCTCATTACTGTTTTGAGGTCTGACAGCTGTCTCTGTGCTTTTAATAGATCAATTCCATTCATCTATTCAAATGAGCTCTTCCAAATGCTTCCTTGATGTGCCAAGAACACACTTCTCATCTGTGTAGTTTTGTTATTTAAGGATGATATATTGGATTTTTTTCAGTCAATCATTTTGGTTATTCTGACACTTTCTGTATACCATGTCCTTCAAAGTTATTTTTGTTTTATCAAGAGATTTCTTTGTGTGGCTAACAGAAAATGGTGCATAATTGTAACAATAATGAAGTTTTATAGATCTTTGCACATGGGCATATGTGACATTTTAGAAATTCATAACATTCTGAGGAACATATTGGCGCCATCCTCATAGGATTTGTGTCCATGGGGATGCTAGGTGATCATTCAAGTCCTTACTTTCTATCTCATTCTGGAGATGGACTAAAAGTTGTAACACCAACACCAAGTGGCATGTTATGTATTTATATTTGTGAATTAGAATTTTCCTGAGTTGGGGAGGTGCATGGCAAGCATGTCTTTCTTGGCCTCATAGTTTGCATGAATGAAATGAAAAGATGGAATGGTGGTGCTTATGATGTATTTTATTGCTATAATACGAACCTGAGTAATGTTAATTAAGATTAATTAGGATTAAGCTAATTTACAGTGGGGGGGAATCTACTCACAGAAATAAGAACAAATTGTCTAAACTTACATATATTTACTAAATAGTAGGAACTATTTATTTAGCTAAAATTAAACTGTAACAGGTTTGGTTGAAGATTACCCACAACGTAACCAGTCAAGGGGAAATACTGTAAGGATAAAAATTCAACCAAGGGCCAGGTGCAGTGGCTCACGGCTGTAATCCCAGCACTTTGGGAGGCTGAGGCGGGTGGATCACGAGGTCAGGATATCGAGACCATCCTGGCTAACACGGTGAAACCCCGTCTCTACTAAAAATACAAAAAATTAGCTGGGCGTGGTGGCAGGCGCCTGTAGTCTCAGCTACTTGGGAGGCTGAGGCAGGAGAATGGCGTGAACCCAGGAGGTGGAGCTTGCAATGGGCCCAGATGGCGCCACTGCTCTCCAGCCTGGGCAACAGAGCAAGACTCCACCTCAAAGAAAAAAAAAAATCAAATAAGATGTTACACAATGAATACTATACACATCACTGTCTTGAGGGCTCAAAGGACCCTTTAATTCTTCCCTAGCACAATGGAAAGAAAAACAGGAGAGGCACAGTACCTAATATAATAGATGTTGGAACACAAGGCCAGAGAGAACTATGTAGAATCTCAGGTGGCATAAACAGCCAGGAATTGCTTGAGAAAGCAGTAAACAAAGACAGTTGTCTTTCCAGCAAAGGCAATTCAATATTCAGATCTTAGACTATTGGGCCTTCAATTGAGAAGCTTTTGGAAGGCCTGAAGTGTGAGGATCTGAAGTCTTTGTGGAAGATACAAAGGGAATGGATGGGGTTACCAGACATTGGATGGTGACACGGAGCCCCAGGATGGGAATCTGTGCCACCACTCAGCATCCAGGAGCTCCAAAGCATCTGCTTATTTGGGGCTACTCCAGGTGGTGTTTTCAAGATAATTCATCCTGAGTGAAATGTTCCCAATAGCCTTTGATCCAGCGACTAAAGTCTCTTTTTGGTGATGCCCCAGGAGGTGAGAGCACTTTGTGTATATCCCTGGTGGCCTGCCCAATTCCTTAGGTTGGTTTCTTCTCTGCTTCAGTAATGAAAATGTGCTGCAATAACCAAAGACCTGCAAAGCAATGTGGAAATATTCACTCATTAGTGAACTATCAGTGCCTCCCATGACTGTTGCCATTTCTATCCATGCAGATGGCAAAGGGCTGGCTTCTGAGTGTGTCTTCCTGAGGCTGCAGAGCAGGAAGGTGACAATCACATCAACCTCTCTCTCCCTCGCATCATCCTGTCCATTTGCTCCTCTCTGCATATACTCCCAGTGCCAAAAATCTAGTTAATTCTGAATTTCCCCAGGCAGTGTCTTCATTTAGGTAGTGCATATCCAAGGCCCAGCATCTGGGTGTCTAAAATCAGTATATTGCCCTGTAGACAGATTTTAGCCACCCCAGATGGAGTTTATGCTCAGGAAGTGTTGGACCTTAGCAGAGCTTTCAGACTTAAGGAAGAAAAAAGATCGACTTTACCACCTTGGCAGCATGGAGACAGCTTTATGTACATGTTCTTACAGGGTTTGGCTAAACATTTTGTACGGTTCGGGTGGAACATGTGAAGAACTGTAATAGAAGCAGAAGCGTTGCAACACGATGGCCCGACCATGGGGGCTTGGCAGCAACTTGCTCCAGCTCTCAGTTTGGTACAAAGTGCTATCATTACCATTTGGAAGCAGCTCCCTGTAATGTGAAAACACTTCCAGGGAAATGCCAGGAATCACAAACACAGCCTTTACAGAATGCAGAGACAACCACTATCTTTGCAGGTGGCCATTGGTGGCCCGGATCTGCCTCCCCAAGTCTTAGGCAGAATCTGGAGTGGACAGGAGGGAGTTGAGGGCAGGGAGGGGGTAAAGATATTTTCCCCAGTCCAGCCAGAAAGCTCGGGTAAACGGGCCCTTCCTTTGTACTCTTGGGTCTTCTGTGTGATCAGCTGAGGCTGAGGAATCTTTGGGGCAAACTCAAGGCAGCCGTGTAAGTCAGGCCTTGGGGAAAGCGGGGAGCAAGGCAGAAAAACAGAGCAGTGGGAAGTGGTTGCTTGGTGCTGAGTTTGGCTTAAAGTGTTGAGCTGTGCTTGAGCCTTCAGGCTCCAAGCAAAACTCCAGGGGAATGAAACCCACAGCAACCCAAACAAGGTTAAGGCTGAGCAGGAGGCCGTCTGTGGGGCCACACTGCTCTTCACACGCGGCCTGTGCAGGCCTTTCGGTGGATGGAGACCTTTCACTGCAAATCGGGTTTCTTTGGACTCATCTGAGCCAGAGTCGTTGAATGTGTTCAGTCACGACTCGGTTTTTCCCAGAAGCAGAACCCCTTTCTCACACCCAAGACCATGTCCTTGGCTGGCAAGCTATTATTTACCTCGTAGCCGAGCCAGGCAAGGGAGCCGGGGGTTGTTTTTGTGAAGAAATTCACACTGGGGATGGGTTGTAAAAGGAAAATATGAACAGAGGTTTGGAGTCGAGACTCTGAGACTCTGTTGGGGTGAACTCCCCCCTCCATAAGAGTCCTAGAAAAACAGAGGCGATGTCGTCATAGCAGCTGCTGATGGCCTGACAGACAGTTTCCGCAGCGCTACATGAGGCCCTTTGGTGTCTCTGTCAGGAGATTGGCAGCTGAATGACACCAATGAGGCCGGGCCTGTATTCCCTCTGGGAATGCCGCCCTAATTGATAGACAGAAGGCAAAGAGGAGGATTGTTTTTGAACCTGAAAAGAAACCCCCTTTTTTTCTCCCGAAAGCTCATGCCCCCACTCTCCACAGCTCTATTTTCCCCTCCCTCCGACACTTTTTTTGGAAGGTGTTTTGTTCCAGGGCAGTTACAGAGCTTAATGGAACTGAATGACTTTTACCCTTCACAATCTGTCAGTCAAAGCCCGACTCCAGGACTGTTAAATAAAGTCCTTTCAGAGGCAGACAGGAGAGGAATGTGTCAGTCAGGCAACAGACCCTGTTGTGTTTTAATCTGTCAGAGGGCTGATGAGGAGAGCAGCGGGCCCCAGGCAGGGCACATTCCCAGCAGCCCGAAGAGGCCTTGACAAACCCAGGTGTGGAGCCAGAAAGTCCCCCCACTCCAGCATTCTTGAGGTGTGGACTCAGAGCCCCCAGGCACTCGGGTTTGCAATCAACTGTGAGATGTTTGGGCAAATTTTCAGCACAGGTTTCATACTAAGCATTTTAAACATAAAACCAACCACTAAGTGCTGGGTATCCGTACGAGGCATGGCTTTCAAATTAATACACTGCTTAGCTGAAAATACAGCAGACAGTAATGTTCTTGCTGAGGGGCCTTCAGGTAGACTCCAATTCCAAACCAATTTTGTCTAGCCACTTTCATTTCTTTCTAATACTTTCCCTTCACATTATATGACAATCCATTAATCTTGCCCATTAACTTAAAATTGCTGGGCAGTTTTTTTGCAGAGTTCTCAACAGTTGCTTTTGTTCACTATAGATTCAGAGCGTTACATAAAAAATGTCCACCATTAGACATACTAATGACCAATTCCTTATGTTTGGGTGACATTTCCTTTAAGGGGTTTCAAAAAAAAATTGGAAAAGGATGAGAGTAGAGTGGAAATAGGGCGGAGGGAGTGGGGAAGTTGATTTTTAAACAAACGGGGTTTGTTTTTATCAGCGTGCAGGAGAAAAAGCTACAAAATACCAATACAGATATTTTTACCCAGGGCTGAAGGCCTGGGTGTTCAGGCAGGAAAGGCATCCCCTTGCCGCAGATGAGTGGCAGTGGGTCTGGCAGGGAAGGCGGTCTGCAGAGCCTCAGCCCTGAGGGTTGTTTGGGCTCAGGATAAACTTGAGTATGTTATTTATTACTTGCCTGTTTTCTTGCCTCTCCTCAGGAGATTTTGTATAAAACAAGAGCAATCTTCCCTACTTCCCCCCAGCCCTGCAGTTTTCTTTTCTTTGACATGCCTACCTTCTACCTCCCAACACACTTCCCAAATTAGTCAGTTAGCAAAATTTTGTTTCTTTTCTTTTCTCTTTTTTATCCCCTGCTCAGGTCTAGGTATTGGGGTGTCCATCTTCCAGCAGCTCCTGGGACCGCTCGCGTTACATTGGTGTATTAGGCAATGAAAAATTCCCCTTCTTCTCTCCTTCCATCCCTCTCTAGCCAAAAGTGTCAACTTTGTGTTTTTTTCTAACCATGGGCATGGGCCCCTAGGTATAAACCTGTTTTAGACAGACTAAACTGAAATTTGAAAGGCCTCTGGCATAGACTGATACACTTTGTCAAGCTGAAGTAGGTCTAAAGATGTTAAAATAAATATGGCACACTCTCTGTTACTAAAGCTAAACAATTTCCGAAGAAATGAATTTTCAGCATTTTACCCCCATCTATGAAATTAGAGAATCACGATGGACTAAATGGGAAGGGATTAACAACAAAGCAAAAGCACGATAACTGATTTCTATACTGAGGTGGAGAAAGAAAGTCTTTTCTCAAATGATAATCAGGTTCTGTGAGCTATCTTAGAGCCTGCAGTGCCTCAAGATGTTTAGAAGGGACTATGGGTTAGATTTTATGCCCACGGAAAACTTCATGGGAACAATATTCCTCTAGAATAGTAATGAAGTCTTCAGCTTCATTCCAAAAATATGTGCTCTGAGGCTTCCTGAGTCCATCCTTCACTGGTTATTAACGATCTGGCACACTTTATAAAAAAGCCATGTTTTATAAATGAAAAGTTCACTTGCTGCCTGCCTGCCATTCCTTCTCTCAGCCTAAAACAAACATCCTATTCGGGTACTGCCGGGAAACACTGGAGCCTTCTAAACAAGGGAAACATTTTTTTTCTCTTATCCCTGAGACTTAAAATGGATGCCACGGCTTCTGTTTTTAACATTAACAGCTACGCAAACACTTGCAAGCGAAAGCATGCAGCTGATAAAAATACTTCTTATAATGGCAGTGTGTTCTCTAGTGGGGAGAAAAACACTTCAGATAAAGCTCTTAATCCTCCCATTTCTTCACAGGTGACACCCAAAAAATTGCTCTGGTTAAAAAGCAAATAAACATACACACAAACCAAAAAATACAAATAAACCAAAATCCTACGTGTTGCTCTGGCAGCTCCCAAATTCAGTCCATAAAAGCACGGTTAGGAGCAAACAGCTTTTCAATTTCCCTGTGTCCTTTCCTATGGCTGTGGTTGGAGAGACGTAGAGAGAGGCTGCTGCGAAGTCACAATCCAGCCACACGGCATTGATCCTGTCATGGCTGGTGTGGTTGTGTCCACACGTGACCTGAACATCCTTCCCACTCAGTACCAAATACAGTCAATTCTGTGGCTTGATGGTGCGTGGACATAACATTCAGATATCGCCCATGGTAAGTTTGTCAGCCTTCATACTTAAATAATGCCTGCAAAACATCTGTCCTGCTGGGCTTTCATTAGGATGGTTGCTAAATCTTTTGTCTTAGATGGATGCTCTAAGAAACACAATTTCCTTTCTGGAGTTGCGTGCAGAAACAACTGAAAACTACATCTGAAAGTCTGCTTGATAATGCTTAAATTCTTTCTATTTTTTGGACTGATTAAGATTTGAAATTCCCTTTTCAAGTCTATTTTAATATTCAGAAACTTACATGTCAGTTACACAAATAGCACACTCTTGGAGTTTTAGCTGAAGATCTCCAAACCAGATTACCCAAAGACTTGAGGGGCCATCTCTACAGGAAGTTCAGGGGAAAACTAAACCCAAGTTTGTAAACTAGTAAATCAGTAACCAAGGGTTGGAAACAGAGTCAGAGCCTTGGCCTGCCCATCCATTTCCTTCATTATTAGTTCTTGTGTGATTTTTAGTCGAATTAGATCATCTTTGTGATTAATTATTTGTAATAATAATAATTCTGGTAATAATTATTAATGATAATATAATGTATTGATTATATATTATGTTATTTGGATGATAATAACATGTGCTAAGTGCATTCCTCATGCATTCCGTATATTATTTAAAAGACAAAAGCCTCCTCTTTGAAACAATGTTTATGGTGGCTAAGAGCCTGGCCTTGGGTGACAACTGCTCCCTGCCTGTGATGCTCAGCTATCACATTGGGGTAATAATAGCATGGACTTCACAAGTTGGTTGTGTAACTAAATGAGTTAGTATTTGGAAAGCCCAGGGAAGTATTCCTGGTCCAACATAGGTGCTGTATAAGTGTTAATACTATTATTATTGTTTTGTTCTACTGTGTAGCCTACATGAATAATGTGAGGGTAGCGTCCACCAATTAGGAACAGCATTCTTTTTTTTTTTTTAATTATACTTTAAGTTTTAGGGTACATGTGCACATTGTGCAGGTTAGTTACATATGTATACATGTGCTATGCTGGTGCACTGCACCCACTAACTCGTCATCTAGCATTAGGTATATCTCCCAATGCTATCCCTCCCCCCTCCCCCCACCCCACAACAGTCCCCAGAGTGTGATGTTCCCCTTCCTGTGTCCATGTGATCTCATTGTTCAATTCCCACCTATGAGTGAGAATATGCGGTGTTTGGTTTTTTGTTCTTGCGATAGTTTACTGAGAATGATGTTTTCCAATTTCATCCATGTCCCTACAAAGGACATGAACTCATCATTTTTTATGGCTGCATAGTATTCCATGGTGTATATGTGCCACATTTTCTTAATCCAGTCTATCATTGTTGGACATTTGGGTTGGTTCCAAGTCTTTGCTATTGTGAATAATGCTGCAATAAACATACGTGTGCATGTGTCTTTATAGCAGCATGATTTATAGTCCTTTGGGTATATACCCAGTAATGGGATGGCTGGGTCAAATGGTATTTCCAGTTCTAGATCCCTGAGGAATCGCCATACTGACTTCCACAATGGTTGAACTAGTTTACAGTCCCAACAACAGTGTAAAAGTGTTCCTATTTCTCCACATCCTCTCCAGCACCTGTTGTTTCCTGACTTTTTAATGATTGCCGTTCTAAACTGGTGTGAGATGGTATCTCATTGTGGTTTTGATTTGCATTTCTCTGAAGGCCAGTGATGATGAGCATTTTCTCCTGTGTTTTTTGGCTGCATAAATGTCTTCTTTTGAGAAGTGTCTGTTCATGTCCTTCACCCACTTTTTGATGGGGTTGTTTGTTTTTTTCTTGTAAATTTGTTTGAGTTCATTGTAGATTCTGGATATTAGCCCTTTGTCAGATGAGTAGGTTGCAAAAATTTTCTCCCATTTTGTAGGTTGCCTGTTCACTCTGATGGTAGTTTCTTTTGCTGTGCAGAAGCTCTTTAGTTTAATTAGATCCCATTTGTCAATTTTGGCTTTTGTTGCCATTGCTTTTGGTGTTTTGGACATGAAGTCCTTGCCCATGCCTATGTCCTGAATGGTAATGCCTAGGTTTTCTTCTAGGGTTTTTATGGTTTTAGGTCTAACGTTTAAGTCTTTAATCCATCTTGAATTAATTTTTGTATAAGGTGTAAGGAAGGGATCCAGTTTCAGCTTTCTGCATATGGCTCGCCAGTTTTCCCAGCACCATTTATTAAATAGGGAATCCTTTCCCCATTGCTTGTTTTTGTCAGGTTTGTCAAAGATCAGATAGTTGTAGATGTGCGGCGTTATTTCTGAGGGCTCTGTTCTGTTCCATTGATCTATGTCTCTGTTTTGGTACCAGTACCATGCTGTTTTGGTTACTGTGGCCTTGTAGTATAGTTTGAAGTCAGGTAGCATGATGCCTCCAGCTTTGTTCTTTTGGCTTAGGATTGACTTAGCGATGCGGGCTCTTTTTTGGTTCCATATGAACTTTAAAGTAGTTTTTTCCAATTCTGTGAAGAAAGTCATTGGTAGCTTGATGGGGATGGCATTGAATCTGTAAATTACCTTGGGCAGTATGGCCATTTTCACGATATTGATTCTTCCTACCCATGAGCATGGAATGTTCTTCCATTTGTTTGTATCCTCTTTTATTTCATTGAGCAGTGGTTTGTAGTTCTCCTTGAAGAGGTCCTTCACATCCCTTGTAAGTTGGATTCCTAGGTATTTTATTCTCTTTGAAGCAGTTGTGAATGGGAGTTCACTCATGATTTGGCTCTCTGTTTGTCTGTTGTTGGTGTATAAGAATGCTTGTGATTTTTGTACATTGATTTTGTATCCTGAGACTTTGCTGAAGTTGCTTATCAGCTTAAGGAGATTTTGGGCTGAGACAACGGGGTTTTCTAGATATACAATCATGTCATCTGCAAACAGGGACAATTTGACTTCCTCTTTTCCTAATTGAATACCCTTTATTTCCTTCTCCTGCCTAATTGCCCTGGCCAGAACTTCCAACACTATGTTGAATAGGAGTGGTGAGAGAGGGCATCCCTGTCTTGTACCAGTTTTCAAAGGGAATGCTTCCAGTTTTTGCCCATTCAGTATGATATTGGCTGTGGGTTTGTCATAGATAGCTCTTATTATTTTGAAATACGTCCCATCAATACCTAATTTACTGAGAGTTTTTAGCATGAAGGGTTGTTGAATTTTGTCAAAGGCTTTCTCTGCATCTATTGAGATAATCATGTGGTTTTTGTCTTTGGCTCTGTTTATATGCTGGATTACATCTATTGATTTGCGTATATTGAACCAGCCTTGGATCCCAGGGATGAAGCCCACTTGATCATGGTGGATAAGCTTTTTGATGTGCTGCTGGATTTGTTTTGCCAGTATTTTATTGAGGATTTTTGCATCAATGTTCATCAAGGATATTGGTCTAAAATTCTCTTTTTTTGTTGTGTCTCTGCCTGGCTTTGGTATCAGAATGATGCTGGCCTCATAAAATGAGTTAGGGAGGATTCCCTCTTTTTCTATTGATTGGAATAGTTTCAGAAGGAATGGTACCAGTTCCTCTTTGTACCTCTGGTAGAATTCAGCTGTGAATCCATCTGGTCCTGGACTCTTTTTGGTTGGTAAGCTATTGATTATTGCCACAATTTCAGATCCTGTTATTGGTCTATTCAGAGATTCAACTTCTTCCTGGTTTAGTCTTGGGAGAGTGTATGTGTCAAGGAATTTATCCATTTCTTCTAGATTTTCTAGTTTATTTGCGTAGAGGTGTTTGTAGTATTCTCTGATGGTAGTTTGTATTTCTGTGGGATCGGTGGTGATATCCCCTTTGTCATTTTTTATTGCGTCTATTAGATTCTTCTCTCTTTTTTTCTTTATTAGTCTTGCTAGCAGTCTATCAATTTTGTTGATCCTTTCAAAAAACCAGCTCCTGGATTCATTAATTTTTTGAAGGGTTTTTTGTGTCTCTGTTTCCTTCAGTTCTGCTCTGATCTTAGTTATTTCTTGCCTTCTGTTAGCTTTTGAATGTGTTTGCTCTTGCTTTTCTAGTTCTTTTAATTGTGATGTTAGGTGTCAATTTTGGATCTTTCCTGCTTTCTCTTGTGGGCATTTAGTGCTATAAATTTCCCTCTACACACTGCTTTGAATGCGTCCCAGAGATTCTGGTATGTTGTGTCTTTGTTCTCATTGGTTTCAAAGAACATCTTTATTTCTGCCTTCATTTCGTTATGTACCCAGTAGTCATTCAGGAGCAGGTTGTTCAGTTTCCATGTAGTTGAGCCGTTTTGAGTGAGTTTCTTAATCCTGAGTTCTAGTTTGATTGCACTGTGGTCTGAGAGATAGTTTGTTATAATTTCTGTTCTTTTACATTTGCTGAGGAGAGCTTTACTTCCAAGTATGTGGTCAATTTTGGAATAGGTGTGGTGTGGTGCTGAAAAAAATGTATATTCTGTTGATTTGGGGTGGAGAGTTCTGTAGATGTCTATCAGGTCCGCTTGGTGCAGAGCTGAGTTCAATTCCTGGGTATCCTTGTTGACTTTCTGTCTCGTTGATCTGTCTAATGTTGACAGT
Organism: Homo sapiens; assembly: GCF_000001405.40. Classification (NCBI taxonomy): domain Eukaryota; kingdom Metazoa; phylum Chordata; class Mammalia; order Primates; family Hominidae; genus Homo; species Homo sapiens. The sequence goes on along the minus strand of NC_000007.14, from coordinate 25,746,263 downwards.
GGGGTGTTAAAGTCTCCCATTATTAATGTGTGGGAGTCTAAGTCTCTTTGTAGGTCACTCAGGACTTGCTTTATGAATGTTGGTGCTCCTGTATTGGGTGCATATATATTTAGGATAGTTAGCTCTTCTTGTTGAATTGATCCCTTTACCATTATGTAATGGCCTTCTTTGTCTCTTTTGATCTTTGTTGGTTTAAAGTCTGTTTTATCAGAGACTAGGATTGCAATCCCTGCCTTTTTTTGTTTTCCATTTGCTTGGTAGACCTTCCTCCATCCTTTTATTTTGAGCCTATGTGTGTCTCTGCTCGTGAGATGGGTTTCCTGAATACAGCACACTGATGGGTCTTGTCTCTTTATCCAATTTGCCAGTCTGTGTCTTTTAATTGGAGCATTTAGTCCATTTACATTTAAAGTTAATATTGTTATGTGTGAATTTGATCCTGTCATTATGATGTTAGCTGGTTATTTTGCTCGTTAGTTGATGCAGTTTCTTCCTAGTCTCGATGGTCTTTACATTTTGGCATGATTTTGCAGCGGCTCGTACCGGTTGTTCCTTTCCATGTTTAGCGCTTCCTTCAGGACCTCTTTTAGGGCAGGCCTGGTGGTGACAAAATCTCTCAGCATTTGCTTGTCTGTAAGGTATTTTATTTCTCCTTCACTTATGAAGCTTAGTTTGGCTGGATATGAAATTCTGGGTTGAAAATTCTTTTCTTTAAGAATGTTGAATATTGGCCCCCACTCTCTTCTGGCTTGTAGGGTTTCTGCCGAGAGATCCGCTGTTAGTCTGATGGGCTTCCCTTTGAGGGTAACCCGACCTTTCTCTCTGGCTGCCTTTAACATTTTTTCCTTCATTTCAACTTTGGTGAATCTGACAATTATGTGTCTTGGAGTTGCTCTTCTCGAGGAGTATGTTTGTGGCGTTCTCTGTATTTCCTGAATCTGAACGTTGGCCTGCCTTGCTAGATTGGGGAAGTTCTCCTGGATAATATCCTGCAGAGTGTTTTCCAGCTTGGTTCCATTCTCCCCATCACTTTCAGGTACACCAATCAGACGTAGATTTGGTCTTTTCACGTAGTCCCATATTTCTTGGAGGCTTTGCTCATTTCTTTTTATTCTTTTTTCTCTAAACTTCCCTTCTCGCTTCATTTCATTCATTTCATCTTCCATCGCTGATACCCTTTCTTCCAGTTGATCGCATCAGCTCCTGAGGCTTCTGCATTCTTCACGTAGTTCTCGAGCCTTGGTTTTCAGCTCCATCAGCTCCTTTAAGCACTTCTCTGTATTGGAAATTCTAGTTATAAATTCTTCTAAATTTTGTTCAAAGTTTTCAACTTCTTTGCCTTTGGTTTGAATGTCCTCCCGTAGCTCAGAGTAATTTGATCGTCTGAAGCCTTCTTCTCTCAGCTCGTCAAAGTCATTCTCCATCCAGCTTTGTTCCGTTGCTGGTGAGGAACTGCGTTCCTTTGGAGGAGGAGAGGCGCTCTGCTTTTTAGAGTTTCCAGTTTTTCTGTTCTGTTTTTTCCCCATCTTTGTGGTTTTATCTACTTTTGGTCTTTGATGATGGTGATGTACAGATGGGTTTTTGGTGTGGATGTCCTTTCTGTTTATTAGTTTTCCTTCTAACAGACAGGACCCTCAGCTGCAGGTCTGTTGGAATACCCTGCCGTGTGAGGTGTCAGTGTGCCCCTGCTGGGGGGTGCCTCCCAGTTAGGCTGCTCGGGGGTCAGGGGTCAGGGACCCACTTGAGGAGGCAGTCTGCCCGTTCTCAGATCTCCAGCTGCGTGCTGGGAGAACCACTGCTCTCTTCAAAGCTGTCAGACAGGGACATTTAAGTCTGCAGAGGTTACTGCTGTCTTTTTATTTGTCTGTGCCCTGCCCCCAGAGGTGGAGCCTACAGAGGCAGGCAGGCCTCCTTGAGCTGTGGTGGGCTCCGCCCAGTTCGAGCTTCCCGGCTGCTTTGTTTACCTAAGCAAGCCTGGGCAATGGCGGGCGCCCCTCCCCCCAGCCTCACTGCGCCTTGCAGTTTGATCTCAGACTGCTGTGCTAGCAATCAGCGAGACTCGGTGGGGTAGGACCCTCCAAGCCAGGTGCGGGTTATAATCTCGTGGTGCGCCGTTTTTTAAGCCCGTCGGAAAAGTGCAGTATTGGGGTGGGAGTGACCCGATTTTCCAGGTGCCATCCGTCACCCCTTTCTTTGACTCGGAAATGGAACTCGCTGACCCCTTGCGTTTCCCAAGTGAGGCAATGCCTCGCCCTGCTTCGGCTCGCGCACGGTGCGCGCACCCACTGACCTGCGCCCACTGTCTGGCGCTCCCTAGTGAGATGAACCCGGTACCTCAGATGGAAATGCAGAAATCACCGTCTTCTGCGTCGCTCACGCTGGGAGCTGTAGACCGGAGCTGTTCCTATTCGGCCATCTTGGCTCCTCCTCCAGGAACAGCATTCTTTATCAACGGCAATAAGCCCTTTCCCTCCTCTCACTACCAAGCATCCTCCAAATAGTGGTCGTGTTGGCATATAAAATGGCCCAAGGCTTGCAACAGTGAATTTCTGGTGAGTGAATGGTTTAAAAAAAACCTTCTTGGGAAAGTTCCCTTGTGAGCAGGCAACCCTGCAGGGAGGCATTTACCTCAGGGCAACACTGAATTAGTCCTAGTGCAGTTTAGACTTCCACAGAGGTGGCCAAAGGCTTCTAAGGTCCCTGGGGGTGGCATCTCACTCTCTGGGCACCTGTCTATTCTCGCTGGGCAGTCTCTGAAGGGCTGTGCCTGGCCCTTGAAGGCCAGGCCATATTCATCTAAGATGTTTGACCTTTGACTCGTTAAACTTGTCGTGACTCTCCCTCACGTCCATATAGAGCTAATACATGATATTCAAATGGTCCCTCTGTTAAGAAAATAGCCTGGAAACTAGAGAAGACCTCAGCAGGGTGCATAGGCAGGAGGCAGGGCATCCCTGTGCAGTGAGGCTATTTTTGATAACCAGGCCCCCTCCTTTGGCCACCTTTGTGTTTTCCAGACCATCTCATATAGTGGATGCAGTCCCACCCCTTGGGCTTCAACCACAGCCAAATCCTGCCAGGGCATTGCACCCGCCGCTTCCTAATTGCTACCAGATTTGTCACTTTCCCTTTGGGAAGATAGCTAAGTCTAGCAGTCATAGCATGCTTTCCTATTTAACTGGAAGGACAAACAACCCTAAATTTAATCCAGGTTAGTTCAATTAATATTTATTAAACACCTATAGATGCCTTTAATCACTTATTTTATTTCCTATCAATAAATTCCTGTATAAATATTATAAGAATGTAAGAAAATCTGCAGATTATTTTAACTACATTTTCTGATAACCTTTGCCCTGCCGAAATTAATTCTCAAATACCTGTAATGTTGATCTTGTTTTAGAAAGGCAGCACAGTGCTCCCTCTGGTTCTCACCTCTTACAGGCTTGCACTGATGCCCACACACACTTTTGTTTGGTTAATATAGTGAAATAAGAGGCACCTAATTCAGAAACCCTTGAGCAGGTCTGACCTGGCCACAGTATAGTCTGCAGACGTGATATAGCTCGGTTGTAGCTCAGAACTAACTGGCTCAGAGGGACCCCAAATCCATTTGGCTCAGCAAAAGTGTGTACTAATTCCTATAGTGTCTTGGCCCTGGCAAGAAGCAAGTGACAGATACATCCTGTGGCTGGGGATGAAAAAGTTGGGGTCATCCAAATTGGAGTAGGTAGTGATTTGGTCTTTCAGTCTCGAACTCTTGTGATGCAGACATAATTCATGAGTCAGCAAATAAATAGTTTTAGAGCTCTCAGGCAGGACAGCAGCAAAGTGATATTGGCCATCTGTGGTGTTTTGTTTTTATTTGTGCAAATTTATGGGGTACAGGAGAGATTTTGTTACATGTATGTAATATGTAGTGATCAACTCAGGGTATTCAGGCTGTCCATCACCTGAGTGCAATATATTTTTATTAAGTAGAGTCACCTTACTCTGCTATCAAACAATGAATTTATTCCTTCCATCTTACTGTATGTTTGTACCCTTTAATCTATTTGTCTTCATCTTCCCCCTGCACTCACCCTTCCTAGTCTTTATCTACTTTTCTACTCTCTACCCCTTGTGTCCAGAGTTTTAGCCCCACATATAAGTGAGAACATGAGATATTTGTCTTTTTGTGCCAGGCTTATTTCACTTAAGTTAATGACCTCCAGTTCCAACCATGCTGCTGTAAATGAGATGATTTCATTACTTCTTATGGCTGAATAGTATTCTGTTGTGTATATATACCACATTTTCTTTACCTATTCTCCACTGATGGACACTTAGGTTGATTCCACATCTTTGCAATTGTGAATAGTGCTGCAATAAACATGCGAGTGCAGGCATTCCTTTGATATATTGGGCATCTGTGGTTTTGTCTGCCACTCCCTCTCTTTCTACTGGGAAATTGCCTTTCTATCCCTGATGGTTCTGGTGACTTGTCAATTACAGAGCCTCATCCCTGGCCCTGGGAGGTAGGCTCATGGTCTAGGCCTGGCCAACTTCAATCTTGCTCTCTCCATAAGGAATGGGCCAGGGCATATGGCCCAAGTAGGGTCAGTTATATCCTTCTATAAAAGCTAGTGTGTGGGCACTGGGACAGATTTGAGATACTTTTGGATGGCAAGCTGTATACACAGAAAGCCTATGACAAGAGAGAATGAGGTCAACATACAAAAGAAGAGAGACCAGTACAACAGAGAGATGGAGAGAGAAAGATAGAGGGAGAAAGATAATTTTCTTATTACTTGAGCACTGTGCTTGAAAAAATTTCCACCCTAAACCCACTTTTCTGCTTGCAATTGTTTATATTGGGTTTATATTGGGTTTAGGGACTAATACACAAGATTTCTCTATTCTTCGGGCAACTTCTTGGCTTTGGCAATCTCTTAGCTAAGCTACGTATCTCTTTCCTCACTTGTAAAGTGGGATTTGTTCTGGCTGCAGTGGTGGGCACACAGTCCCTCTTAGGGAATTTTTGTGGAATGAATGAAGTACCTAACAGTATAAGGGTAGTTAGTAAGTATTGGGCTTAACTATGTGAAATCACCACTATTTGACCATTTTTGACTACAGAAGAAGCAATTTCACATGGTTAAACTAATAATATTTTCAGCTACTGAGAAAGTAGCCACACTGTCAGTTAACATTTGTTGAGAACCTACTATGTGTGGATATTGTGTTAAGTGCTGTGAGGGAGTTTTGGATGGAGAACATAAGGTCCCTCTTCTCAGGGAGGTCACAGCCAAGTGAGGGACCAAGAACTTACTGAGAAAGCACTGATTATAGTGTTGGCCTCACTCCCTAAACTAATGAAAAAATTAGTATTTTTTTAAAAAAAGATTTCTTATTTATCAATGAAATGTCATTTGTACAATTTGAGAAGGATCTTTTTATAGTGTCAAATTCGAAGAAGAGTTCTGTTGCTACACTTCCTAGAACTCCTTTGCTTGCAACTTCTGTCTTCTTTGAATCCTTTAGAAACTGTTACACTGCAGCCCCCAAAGTCAAGAATCAAGGAAAATATGGAACATAATACAATATGCCTTTTCGTTTGGTCTCTGTGCTGATTCACCCCACCTCCATGAGAATTTTCTCCTTTCTTTTTTGTTTTCATTTTTTGAAATGGAGTTTTGCTCTTGTTGTCCGGGCTAGAGTGCAGTGGCGTGATCTCGGCTCACTGCAACCTCCACCTCCTGGGTTCAAGTGATTCTCCTGTCGCAGTCTCCCAAGTAACTTGGATTACAGGCACTCGCCACCATGCCCAACTAATTTTTTTGTATTTAGTAGAGATGGGGTTTCACCATGTTAGTCAGGCTGGTCGCGAACTCCTGACCTCAGGTGATCCACCTGCCTTGGGCCCCCAAAGTGCTGGGATTACAGGTTTGCACCACCACGCCCAGCGCTGAATTTTCTCCTTTCATTCCTTTTGTCTGGGAAAGAACCAACTCAAAATCTCATCTGTTGCTGCATCAAATCCCCAATTCACACAAGCAGAGGGTGAAGAATAATAATGGCGCATAGCAGAAGAATTACCGAAATTTTACTGTGACTTCAGTTTATGCATAACTGGGTTCTCCAACTAGATGGCATCTGAGATGACCTTCTATGCTTCCTCTGTCCATATATCTTGATTTAGATTTCCAGACTTGGTGCAGCAGTGATCAAGCAGTGATGATTTATTCTAAATATCTCAATTTCAGAGTGTTTGCCCACCAATTCTCCTCCACATAATGTGTACCTAAAAACATAGACGAATTGCCCAACTCAGGCCAGTTTTTATCTCATGTAGAAAAAGAATTCCCTGCCGGGAGAATATGGTTATATTAACCTTCCTTGAGTGGTCATTTGCTCAGCCGTCCGGTTGAGGACTTGTTGGACCTTACAGACTGCTTCCCAGAAAGGAATACTTCTCAGCTTTAAAGAAATGGATGGTTTCTTCCTTTCTTGTTTATTTTAAGTGAGGCCTCGCTTTATCCTGCTCACTTCTTTCACTTAAAGAGAAAATCACCTTCATGTGGAATAACTTGCTTCTTTGCCAAATCTATCCAACAAAATAAGGAACCTTGGGAACGTACTAGTGGACCTATAGAATAGGGGCTCTAATTTATGAAAGATGGACTTACAGAGCAAAAAATGCATGTAGTAGAGGCCATTGACACTTGCACACAACCCTGATGTTTTAATTTATCTTCTGCAAACAAGAGAGATGTTTTTTCTTCTAGGTGAACATAAATACAGTAGTTGAATGCAGTCTAAACTGTGATGTCAAGCTGCAGAGCTCCTCCAGTGTTGCCAAACCCTTGTGCTTGTGCACACACATTTTATAAGGGGCACTCTCGTTGCTAAAGGAACTCAGGCCACTTTTGCGTGAATGCCCTGTGATTGGCAGGAATGCTGGCTGTTGTAAGTATCATATTGTTTGGCAGTGGAGAATATTTTTTATTGCTAGTTCAATAGCATTTCACAGTTATTAAACCAGAGTCATTGTTCCTGGGGGCTCCCAAAGGCTTAGAAACTTTGTGGCACAAAGGAGAAAAATACACAGGCACAAAACCTGTCAGTTATCCTCATTGTTCCTCATTGTTCTAATGCGGCTGTTATACGCTTGGCTTTTAAGGTATTTGGGGAGAAATGTTGAGAAAGTAGCTTTTCAAACATATTTATGGGCAACTTGTTTTCATAAATAAGAATTTGTGGGACCAAATTCAATCATAAATAGTATTTTGAATTTTTTAAAATTGGAAACTTTTATGGAATGATACACCTATATTATTACAACTGCACATCAAAGCACATTGATTAAAGATATGTTCACGGTATTAGCAGATATGGCCAAATATCCCATAAACTCCAAGATAAATGCCTGCCTGAAATCATTAATAGGGCCCAAGTAAAACGCTCTAAGAAGGAGATGAATGGGTGTGACTAGGGAGGGAGCACATATATTTCTCTACAAGTAAGAGCTCCCCCAGCTCATTTGGCAGATAATGAAAATATCCTGCAAGTGAGCGGGGTGGATGACCTTGTACAGCTGGCTGGTGTTAGTGACAATTGAGGACTTGCTGGGAGAAAAATGGCAGCCTAGTGGACAGTTTTCCCCTTCGATAAACCTCAGTTTTAGGATGAGGACAGAGTGCAGGGTGCTAGGCTGTTTCTGCAGGGCTAACAGGGGACCAGCACAGTGTACTCATATGGGTTGCCCGAAGTAGGAAACACTTAGGGTCTTTTGCAAACACTCAACTTTCTGGGAATTTGACTACTTTTTTTGTTACTTCTCCTGAGAGCACCAAGCCAGGTCCTGATGATTTTGCTCTCCTCAGCTGATTGCGTACTTTGTGTATTGCTTTCTTTTCCTTCTTCCGAGCAGTTTCTCAGGCCCCGAGGACCACACTGACACTCAAGTCAGTGGATGCACAATTAATCTTCTGCTGAAAGAAAAATGTATTCTTATTTCTTTTCAAGTGTGGCTGGCAATAACTGGGCGTGGGCAGGAACTTGTGTTTACCTGAACAGAAACAGAAGATGTACGACCTCTAAGCACTTCTGTGGCTTAGCTCTTCCACCAGTCTAGGGCTGAATTCTGAGATTCTTTTTCTTTTCTAGAATTGCAACTTTAGAGGAATATACCCCATGGGCGATATTGTGGCTGATGAGTTGATGGTGGTTGCGTTGGTCCTCATGTCTGGTCATGGTTTTCTCCTTCTCTTTGTAAAAGGGGAAATCTACCCCAAATTCTTGGATGTTTCCTCCATTTATACTTTCTTCTCCATGCCTGTCTTCTCCACCCCAATTCCTGTCATTTTGTTTTCCACCAAGGGAAGTTAAGGTTCCTTAACTGAAGATTTGGTAGGCTGACTTCTCCCTGTGATAACTGTGAGAAATCATTCTCTCCTGAAGGTGGAATAACTCTTCCTCACATCCATTATACACATGCTGTATAATTAATCTATACATTTCTAGTCCGTATCTTATCTTTTTTTCTCCAAACTCTCCTGCATCATTCAAAAGGAGTTTGCCAGTCTCTGCCTTCTGTTTTAATATTCAAAAATAGAGAAATCTTTAAGGTTACTTCTAGGCTGAATCAATTAAACTACTTTTTAATAAAGAACTTATTTGCTGGGGTTTTCTCATTAGCTATACAATCTCAGTTTTGCCAATGTCTAATCCCCTCTTCCTGTTTCTATATGCTCAAGGGGTATTTTGTGAACATTTTTGATTAAAATGGATTAGTATCTCATCTTAAAACAACAGCAACTGATAGGCATGGTGGCTCACGCCTGTAATCCCAACACTTTGGGAGGCTGAGGCAGGTGGATCATTTGAGGTCAGGAGTTCGAGACCAGCCTGGCCAACATGGTGAAACCCCGTCTCTACTAAAAATACAAAAACAAATAAAAAATTAACCAGTGGTAGTGGCTCATGCCTGTAATCCCAGCTACTCGGAAGGCTGAGGCAGGAGAATCATTTGAGCCTGGGAGGTGGAGGTTGCAATGAGCCAAGATTGCGCCACTGCACTCTAGTCTGGGCGACAGAGTGAGGCCCTGTCTCAAAAAACCAAACCAAAACAAACAAAGAAACAAACACAGCAACATCTTCTCGTTGAAAAAAATCTGGAAGGATATGAATCGAAATGGTAGCATGGTTTTTCTTTGGGGGATTTGGGTCATTTTCCCCCTTTTTAATACCTTTCTGTATAGTGCAAACTTGTACTTACACTCAGACAAAAAGAGGTATTTTACTAACACCCCTCTTTCACAAGCCATTCAGCATTGTGTTGATTTCTTAAGGAGTTATTTGTAAGGAGATTGTGCCTCCAAAGAGGATCTGAGGGTTGTCTTTTACTTACATTAGTGACTCACTTTGAGCAACTCATTGGGTTAAGGCCTCAGATTTTCTTGTGTGCAAAATCAGAATAACACCCACTTGCAGGAATTATTAGAAGCTAATGAGGATATGTGTAAAGTGGATACATGGATACATGTAAAGTGCTATCTATATAGGAGGAATAACAATAGTAATCATTTGCTCAGTGGGAATCAGTGAGCCAGACTTAGGCCAAGGAATCTAAGACAAGGGAATATCAAAGAAACACGATACAGGTATTTTACGTGTGTTAGCATGGACAGAGGAATCTTTTCTTGGAGACTTCAAGTTTGTGCAAGCATTTTAATATTCTTAATAGCAGCTTCTAGCACTGTTTTGTGAAGTGTGTGTGTGTGTGTGTGTGGGTGTGGGTGTATGTAGTGGCAACCAAAGTACCTCAAATGCAATATACAACATCAAATTACATGTAAAAGTAATTGTCATAGCACCCATACAACCTTACTAGCCGACTGGTTCATGGGTTTTAAAACACTGGTTTATGTGATGCCAGGTGTTTGCCACAGAAAGGTAAAATTACTAAAAACAGAAACAGAACACAGAAATAATAGTCTCTCACAGAACAGCCAGTGAACTCACTAGATAAAACAGCTATTCTGGGAACAGAAGCTGCAGTGGAGTTTTCCCACAGCACAGCAGTGGAGATGATGAAGTTCCTGCCTGGAAGCAGAAGCAGGTAGAAAAGAGAAGTGAGCATGGGAGGAGGGATACAGTCACGTGCTGCATAGCTGTGTTCCGGTCAACCACAGACCACACTTATGACAGTGTGCCGACAAAACTATAATGGAGCTGGAAAATTCCTATTGTCTAATGACATCATAGCTGCCATAAGGTCCTAGCACAAAATGCATTACCTTTTCTGGGTTTGGATATGTTTAGATACACAAATCCTTACTACTGTGTTACAATCGCCTACAGTATTCAGTACAGTAACATGCTCTACACGTTTGTAGCATGGGAGCAATAGGCTATAGCATATAGGTTGGGTGTGTGGTAGGCTCTACCATCTAGGTCTGTGTAAGTACACGCTATGATGTTCACACGATGATGAAATCGTCTAGCAATGCATTTCCCAGAAGATGTCCCTGTCATTAAGCCATGCCTCACTGTACCTTGAAAATCCCTGAACACACTGGACACCCCTGGGTCCTGGTGAAGATGCCCTGTCTGCTTGGATTTAGAACCATTTTCAACTCATCTCAAGTACCAGGAGGAGCTGCTCATCTTGTAGATCTGGGCTGTTCAGCAGTGAAGGGGTTACGTGTAAGGGTGATCAAAGATTTAAACTGTCATGTCGACAGTAAGCCGAGGAACAGGCTGTGCAGGGGCCTTAATAAATCTGCCCTTGACTTATGGCCGAACCTCATTCAGCAGAAAATTATTTCTGCAGCATATTGAATGCTCTGCTCTGATGGAGACAGAAATAAAAAGAAAGGTGGAAATGGGGAGAAGAGAATGGAAATTCAATCCACATGTGGTGGAGAGGACTCTTCAGTAAATTCTTTCTCAGATGAAATAAGAAACAGAATGTGTAGGACTCTTGGAATAGGGTACATTCCTTTGATTACTAAAATGTCTTAGGGGACGAAAACGGACAAGCAGTGATTCTCAGAAAAGATCGATCTGGAGGATGGGAGTGGGGAAGGAGGGGGCAAACCTCTCCCTTAGTGATTTAGACATGATTGCTCATTTATTTATTTGTTTAGTCAATCAGGCTTTATTGAATGTTTACCTACTGTGGCCATTGAGATGAGCAAGACATCTTAAGGAGTTTGCAGTGACTGAGTTAGAGCCACATGTTCACTGAGCATCTAAAATGTCAGGCACCAGCTCAGTGCAATACAGCACAACGCAGACACACCTCTGGAACCTTCTCTGAGTCAAATCTGAGACTCTGTAGTAGGGTTCCAGGTATCAGAGGAGGGTCAGCAACTTTTTCACAAGACATTTCCCCAATTCAGTATAAGGAATAGGGGCTTCATTAATTGGAAAGGTTGATTTGGGAAAAAAACCCAGTCCCTTTCTCAGATGATATGGGATTTAAATCTCTTATTGCTTTTCCTTAGGATATTTTAGAAAGAGAAGAAAGGGTTAAGATTGGGGGCTTCTGTATTTTTCAGTCCAGTTTATAAAAGTATGAAGGATCCTTCCAATCCCAGACCAGAGAAAATTTGAATTCAAGAGATAATTTAGGAGACAGAACTCCTTCTCTTTCCACCAGTTCTGAAACTATTGGGAAAAGCTCAAGAAAACGCAAGAAAATAATCCAAACATTTCCTCTTCTAAATAATTTATTCACTGTTTTTTTTTTTCTTCCTATACTTTCATTCCCAGAGCTGTAATGAGTTTTAGAAACACAAGGTGTCAGATATTGACTTTTTGTTGTTGTTGAGTTCTCTAAATTCATGACCCCTCTGGGCATTCTAGGCATAGATAATATATAATTCAAAGAAGAGAGCTGCAGCTTTCATCTTCTCTTTCTTGTAAGTTTTGGAGCTTTTTGTTCAAAGGGTGATCTGTTCTGCTGCAGTAGAACCAGCCCTGTTTCCAAAAGTTTTGGCAGAGGACATGGTGCCCTGTGGTACCTTAAGGCTTTGGGAGACTCTCCCTAACTGGGTTCCATGCTTCTGTGAGTTGGAAGTGTGGATTCGTCCTGTCCTGTCCAAGGTTGGCTCTGCTGTTGATCTGCACCAAAAACGAAGGAGAGAGAGCAAGATAGAACCAGCTAGCTGTCTTAGGGAAAGGGTTGAGGCAAAGGCCAAGGCCATGTGTGCAAATGAAGATTCTCATCTGCAAATGAGAGTGGTGGTTGGATGAATTGGGGTAAGGAAGTCCAGGGGTTAAACGGAGGAATTTTGCTGAAGATAATCTCTCAACCTTCAAGAAACAAAGAGACAATTAGCCCAGAGATGGCTCCACAAAGGACTGGATTACCAGTTCACAGAGCAGGGCTAACCACTCCAACATGAAGTATTCCAGAACGGTTTGTCTCTGAGTGGGTTGTGTGTCTGGGTGTCCTTGATGGGGAACCAATTCATAGATGCTTCTGTGACTTTTCTCTAGCTCTATCTCTTGAGATGTTGCTATCTCTCTTTCTGAGAAAGGAAAGTTGAACTCCGAGTTGCCTGAAGAGGACAGGGGCTGTGGTTATCTCCCCAGGTAAACCTTGGGAGAGCCTTGGGGTTTCAGAACTGAAGAGGTTGATGAAACTGACTATGGCCAAGAAGACTGACTACTACTAATCAGCTCCTCTCCTCATGTTAAATAATTAGTAATGTATTATTGAAATATATTATTCATAAGCTCAATTTAATATCTTTTTGTGCACACATATATATATTTAGTTTTTATTTTTCCTCTCTCCTTCCTTTATGTAGTTATTAACTATTTAACTATATAAATAAATTTCATCCTAACAGGGCATTCTGGCAAAGCATATAGTAATATAGATGCAGAGAACCTTGTGATTACTTATGTCACTCTGGGTAAAATATGTCATCACTCTATTCCTGGCTTTCCCCATTTGTACAAAAAGAGAACACACCTCTTTTACTTTTCTCAGTGTAAAGACTAAGACGATCTAGTGTGGTAGGAGTTACTAAGAAATTATTTTAGGCAGATAGAGAGGAAAAAAGGGGTCCTTGGAAGATTTTTCGCGGCTCTTGTCTAGCATGAAAGAGAATCCTGACTCTTAGACCCCAGCTGGCAACCTTTGATATGCAAATGCAAACCGTTAGAAACTGGATCCACCCAACATGGCCGGCTGGCAACCTTTAATATGCAAATGCAAGGCGTTAGAAACTGGGTCCACCCAACATGGCGATTCCCACCGTTGCCCTCTTACCCTTGCCCCCACATGTGCCTAGCAGCATGGTTGCCCCCACATATCCCCAGGTGTGTGGAACATCATGGCGCCCTACATTTGCATGTTAAAAGACTAGGGTGAGAGAGCCAGTTTTTTCACGGTCTACGTGAATGACATGCCTTGTCAAACCAATCCCCTGAGCCCCATGCAAATCAGACACCGCCTCCTCCAGCCATCGAATATAGCTAGTTGATAGCAGGGTTCCCTCTCAGCTTTGGAGCCCTCCCTCCCTCTGTCTCTGTACAGGGAAGCTTCTTCTTTCTTTCTTCCCCCTTCTTTCTTGTCTATTAAACTCTCTGCTCCTTAAAACTACTCCATGTGTGTCCGTTTCATTTTTTCTAATTCTACTCGAGATGAAGAACCTGGTGTTCTCCACTCATCAGAGCCCTGTCACTAGCTCCTCACCCCATCTCCACTAAGACTTGAAGTTCTTCGAGAAGCTTGTACAGAAGTAAAAATAAGGATGATTTTCTTTCATTTTAATGACCATCATTTGGCTACTTTCATTTAGAACTGGAAAAAAATCTGTAGATACTTGATGATTTCACGAATAGTTTAAGCATTATGATTTATTTGGATTCCTAACTGAGGAATAAGTTCACCTTGTCTCTCTAGGAGCCCACATAGCTCTTTGTGCCCCATCCTGCCATCCATGTGCCCAGATGAGATTTTCAAGGACTTTTCTTGCTGTCCTTGAGAGGTAACTGTTAGGAAGTGTCTGGCCAGCGATCGCTGCGACTGAAACCCCTTTCTTTTCCCTTTACCCTGGATGGTCTCCCCTTTCCTTACCTAAGCCAGATTTCCTTTCCTCACACTTGAATCCAGAGTTCACACTGGAGAAAAGGGTTGGAGAAGTCAGAGGAAACCTTTGACAAATGCCTTGGGGTGAGGGGTGAGTAGGAGGATGGAGAAGCTAAAGAAAAAAGAAAAAAACAACAAAAAAACCTTAGGCTAAGAATGAGGAGGAGGAGGCAGCAGTGACCTGGAGGAGGCTTTAGATATCAGTTGCTTTTAATGTTCCTGATTTAACCTGAAACAAAGGAGACCCGAAGCTTTTAAAAGAAAAGAAAACCATGGAACTGAAACAAAGCTGATCAATTATAAGGGAGGGTGTTATATCAATATTCACCATGTCAGGTTATTCCATCCTGGGAGGTGTAATGAAAGCCCCCGATTGGCTTGATTAAAACTCAGAAGAAGATGAAGAGAAAGGAATGTGTCTGAGTACAGCTGTTCAAAATGCAAACTTGTTTTTTAGCTTGGTATATCTAAGATTGAAACATCGCCAAATAATTGCTGGGAAAGTATTTGGTTAGGTTTCAAAAGACTGTTTAAAGAAACTGACTAGCTGTAAAAATGGAATATTCGGAATGGCTGTCTGGGAAAAATAAAATTAAGAACTGGAAAGACGTGCTCCATAGGCATAAGGGAACAAAAAACAGTGTAGAGGAGGAGATGGTATTTTGTATTTTTAAGGATGAGAGTGAAGGTGTCTGAGCAAGAGTTAATTTGCCAAGTTTTGAGTTGTGAATTTTTTCCTTGCTGTGGTTTCCAGGAAGGATTAGGACTTTAGTTTTTATGCAAAGTGGCATCTTATTATAGAACAAAAGGTGACAGCCTCGAGTTACTGTATCTAAAATCTGGAATTCTGCTTCAGGCATTCATCTCGCATCTAGTTAACTTTAGAAATAAAATCAGAGGGAATTTGGCCCTCAGGTTATAGGGCTGGAAAATGCTTTGAGAGGCCTTCTAGTAGGATTACTTCTAAACTCGCCCTGACAGATGAAAATTTATCTTATTTTTAAATGTTCCCCAGAGGAAGAGTGTCCACAGACTTCCTTAGTAACTCATTCTAGTTTTTAACGACCTCCACATTCAGGAAATTCCTTCTTCTGTCTTACCTAAACCACTCGGCCTCAGTTTAAGTCCATTTTCTTTTGATCTGCCCCAGTAGAGATGGAAAAAAGTGGGTCACCATTTTGCACAAACATCCTTTCACGTAATTGAAGATTAATTTTTAAAATCCAAAAAGTTCTCTATCTCCTCTTTATCTCATTGAATCTCCCCACTTCCTTTAGCCTTCTTTCCCTTGGTAGTTCCATCTTCCAACCTGTTATCCACATTTGCCGTTGCCTCAGACACTTCCTCTGTCATCTGAAGCCCATTTTGTAGGCTGGGAGAGATGGGAGAAAGTGGCAATGCACATCTCTCCTTATTTCTTTGGGCTGCCTGTGCTGGAACTCATATAACAAGCTATATATTGGCCTGATAATGTTTAAAGATTTTAACATTTTTCTTGCCCACATTATAATTGTTTTCAAAGTCAAATTTTGCTCACACAGTAGTTCTGTGGGCATTTACAGAGGCATATATTATATCTTTAGGTTTCAGAAGGGCAAAACCAAATTATGGCAATACGTTAATGTAATATACTAAGAATTATTCAGTATAGGCCGGGCGCGGTGGCTCATGCCTATAATCCCAGCACTTCGGGAGGCTGAGGTGGGTGGATCATGAGGTCAAGAGATCGAGACCATCCTGGCCAACATGGTCAAACCCCGTCTCTACTAAAAATACAAAACTTAGCTGGGTGTGGTGGCACGTAGCTGTAGTCCCAGCTACTGGGGAGGCTGAGGCAGGAGAATTGCTTGAACTCAGGAGGTGGAGGTTGCAGTGAGCTGAGATCATGCCACTGCACTCCAGCCTGGCGACAGAGCAAGACTCTGTCTCCAAAAAAAAAAAAAAAAAAAAAAAAAGAAGAATTATTCAGTATAATGCAAAAAGCAAATTCAATAGTTGTTCCTAGATTAGAAAAAAAAGTTTTTGCCCAGGAGGTCTTTTCACTAGGTATGAGCATTTCAGTAAATAGCCTCTCAGCATTGCCCAACTGTTATTTGATATTTTCCATGAACTGGTTTCTTGGGTTGAACTCCTGATCTTTCCCCTAGTTCTTGGTGATGAGACCCTAGAATCTAATTAGATATCACATTCGCCAGCACTTTACCCAAATGCTTCCAGGACAGGGCAAAGTCTCGATGTGTTTTCTTGGGTATCAAAGCTGTTGGCTAAACAAAGTAATGGATTTTTTATAATTTACTTTTGCTTTAAATGAGGTCCTATTATTATCTGTTTGCACAGTTTCCAACAGGTTTAGATATTTGGGGATCAGAGAATCACTGACATGGACATGACTTTACAACTGGCATTAAAAAAAATTTCTAAAGAACTCTAAAAAGATTTTGAGACAGTTTCAGATTTCCCCACAGTTTTCAAAACATGGTTGTGAAGGTTTAAATGGGAAACAGGTGCTTTTAAAAATCAATTGATATTTTGATGAATCATGTGTTTACTTGTACTTGTGTCTTAGCAAAAGACCGTGGAGAAAATAAAAACATAGAGAAAGCAGGCTACTTGTCAATCATTCTGTAGAATGAGTTCATAGCAAACCAGGGCACAGTGCTACATTGGAAGCTGGAGTCCTAGAGGCCTCATGTTCCTCTGATTTTATTCTTATTCATTAGAGGACACCTATCATGGGCCAGGCAGTAGTCTAAGCACCAAGGTTACTGCAGAGAATAAAAAGAGACAGAAGTCTTTGCTCTCAGAGAACTTACATTTAATTTTGGTTTTATACATTTATCTTCTCCAGGATCTATTAGAGTTAGAAATTTTTGTTTAAAAAAATTTAAAAAAGAACTTTACTTTCAAAAATGCATCCCTTATTTTGCAGCCATTAAAAATTATTATTTATGGAAAGGGTATGGTAATGCAGCAAATGCTTGGTGGGTTACCATACTAAATGACAAGAAGGATACAAAGTTGTATATGCAATTTTTCCTAAGTCAAAACTAAAATCAACAATATAATCATCCCCTTTTACACACACACACACACACACACACACACACAAGTAAAGGCTACAAAGAATATGCGTGCCAAAAATACAACAAAATTTTAATGGTGCTTGTGTTTCAGTAGCAGAATGATGGGCAATTCTTTTGCTTTTTACTTTTCTGCATTTTTTTTGTAGTAATCATATATTACTTTAATAATAGAATGACACATGTTCATTGAAAGAAAATAATTCCTTTCAATCTTTAAAGTCTTTAAAGTTTTGCAGTCTCTCATTAAAATACACCTGGGATGAATCAATTCTTAAGCCATCATCAGTAAAGACTTGAAAGATACACACCTGGGGAAGACAGACACCTCCAAAAGGGAGGAGCCTGGAAGGAAGCAAAATCAGATTTCAGTCCCGTCGCACTTTTCCTTGTCCTGGGCAGCTACCTGGCAGCAATTTCATGTTGTTCTTTCAATTAGGGATAGAGTGAAGACATGATCATTTGGTAAATGCGTTAGGCATTGTATATTGCATTCCATTTAACAAGTGAGGAAATGGCTCGGTGGCACTATGGAGTTGCTTAAAGAAAGTAAGAAGTGTAGTGAGGATTCACAGCCAGGTCTGGAGAGAGGCGATGAACTGTCTTCCCTGAGCTTCCAGAGATGCCTCTCAGACTTCAGGACAGCTTTCTGAAGGTTCTGGGGAGGGTTGAGATTTGGCAACCATGTGCCTGGAGTGATCAGGGCAGCCCTGATTTAAAAGAAATGACCCCAAGAAGGGTCAGTTGTTAAATATGTAATCCAATATGACTATAATTTTGATAGCTTTGTCAGAGGATTTTCCATCAATTCATTTATAAATTGGAAAAATACCTTTCCCAGACCACTTGCCTAGTTTTGATTGAGAAAATAGAGTCACACTGCAGATGATTCTTTTTATTTTTACTTTTCATAGAGTCAGGGTCTCCCTGTGTTGCCCAGGCTGTCTTGAACTCCTGGGCTCAAGCAATCTTCCCACCTCGGCCTCCCAAATTGCTCAGATTACAGGCGTGAGCCATCATGCCCAGCCAATAGGGTCACATTGGATTGCAAAAGCAGAGAGGAGAATGTGGGGGTCTAAGACATTTTCTCAAGGTGGAAGGCATTATTAATGTGTGTGTATATATTTATTTATTTATGTATATGTGTATATATATATATATTTATATTTATTTTTTCCAGCTTGAGTTCAAGATTTGTGCTGAAGTCTCTTAGTTCCTGCAACCTTAATATAGTCAGAGTCTCTAGGACTTGCTGGGTTGTGGGTTTAATCAGAATTCTAGGAAACATGAGAAGTATTTTCTAAGGTTTGTCTTTGAAGGACCAGAGGCTATAGAGTGACCCAGCTAGCATTTTGTTTACTATTTTCTTTCTTAACCTAGAGGTCTGGGAGGTAACTGGCCACTATATTGGAGATTCTCTTATTTGCTGCTCTACAGGAGGTAAAGTCACAGAAGACTGAATCAATTGGTTCAGCTTTCAAACATCCAGAGGTCACTGCACAGCATGCGGTGGTTGGTAAACTAATATACTTTTTATTTTTGGGACCCAAATAAAATAGCTGTTTAGCACACTTAATGCTGGCCAGTCTGGAAGCCAGGGCTCAAGAACTTTCAAATTCCCGATGTCAGAATATATGAAAGCATCTTAGCACCCAACACTTGGATAATAAGAGTTAAAGAGAGAGCAAAAGCTTCATGGTGAATTTTTCTTCTTCTTTTTTTTTTAATAAGAGGGACACTCAGTGAAATTTTTGCGTGAAAATAAGATAAAGTTCTATTGTTCAGCTTTTAATGATAGCATGGAATTCTAAGTAAACATGGATGAAATACAACTTGTCAGCACAAAAATACTGCCTGTCATAGTCATTTGTGTATAAAATATGACCCGCAGGTTTGAACCATATGGTTACATGAGTTCTAATTTACGTGGCATCTTCTTAAGTCAGCAGAATGCGTCCTGACCTGCCTGGGGGAGGTGGAGTCAGCACCTCACCCAGTGAAGTGAGAAGGGATCCCCTGGGGTGAGGCCAGTTATGGCTGTTGCAGTGTAGATCAGAGAATTGCAAGGCTAAAGGGAAGCCTCCCCAAGACAACCAGAGCCCTTGCACGCAGTGGCATGGCTGACCAGGCTGTCCCTACAATCAGCTTTCAGAGTTGGACGTGTGAAATTGAAAAATATTAAACATCACAGCTTGTGACTTAGCTGTTCCTTCTGTTCCCACTGTGGGGGAAAAAGTAACACAATCTCCCCTAGACGCGATTGTGAGAGCGGACATTTGGATGCCATTTTAAAGCAATGTTTAATGAAGTGAGAAAATGCATTTGCGGTGTTGTGCTCTGTGGCACATGTACGCAAGCCCAGAAGTGCACAATGGACACATTTTGTGATTTAGACATGAATTGGAAAAGCCAAGGAAATGCCATCGAAATAAAAATCAGACTTGAAAGTCTAAGCTGAGCAAGAAACAGATGTACTTTCTGCTACTTAAAAAAGAAATTCTTCTGTCCTCTCCTCTCTTCCCCCAACAAGCTGTGCCCTGTCACTGTCTTAAGATGACCTTTCCACCGGGTCTTTCTGAGATGCTTTTAGAGAACGGGTTGGGGCATGTGACTCTTGACCTTTCTGCAAATTCTGCAAGGAGCCCCAGGGTTCTCCAGCTGCCCTCTGGGTGGTCCCCACAGACGTGGCTGCAGATGTCTGCTCCTGATAAGTCCAGAGACCAGGGACTGAAGACCCAACAAGGGCTCCTCTGGAGGGTGAGGTAGGCAGCAGCCTGGCCTGGAGAGCTAAGGGCTCAGCCCAGAGCAGCTGCTCACGCTGGGAGGCGAGGGCTGCTGGCTTTGGTGTTTTGTTTCTTGGGCAGGTGTGGGGGAGGTTATTCTTGCTTTTAAAGGATTTTTTCCACCCTGCTGCCATCAGCTGACAATGAAATCTTCCTAGAGTTGACATCCAGCTAAAGGATACTATCATCACTAAGACCAAAAATAAAGCTCAGATATTCTTTCTAAGTAAGTCTAAAAGTGGGGATTGAAATTGACATTGCTTTGGAAGAATAAACAGGGCAGCCTTCTTAGGTAGCAACTTATGTTTGGTAGTGTGCAAGGGGAATGACTGATGAAGCACAAATAGAACAGAGAAAATAAGTCTAGAAACTGTTGTTTCAGTTGCTAAAAATGAATTATCAATACAGAGAAGAGAAGCGATCTAAGGCTTATTGAATACACACTAAGTACCAGGTATTGACCCAGGTACTCTCCATATGTGGATTCATCTAGTCTTTACCACAACACTGGGAAAGTGGCACTACTGCTTCTGTTTCAAAGATGAAGACACTGACATCCTCCGAGATTCAAGTATGTGACCTTGTGCATAAAAATAAATGGTTGAGCCACATGACTCAGGATTGTCTGAATCAAAATTCTGTGCTCTTTTCTGCATACTGTCATTTTAACAGCTGGTCTAAATGAATATCAGGTTGTTGTTTAAAATTAAGACCGTATTTTCTTCATTTCCAGTAACAAGTTGGAATTTTTGTGGTTTGAAACAGGGCCTCCTACATGGGTGAGTTTTCAGTAAAAAGTGTATCCCTTTTGGTCCCTTTTGTCCACATAGAGCTATGCTCATGTTGTGTAAAAGCCACAATTTTAGTAATTTTTTGTTCCAGAATCCATCTAGCCCACCTTTTGATTGTCTGCTCTGCGACTTTTTGCTTTCAGATCTCTTGGTTCTTCAACTTCTCTCGGTTTGTGTGGATTCTGTGTCTTGGCTGGTGTTCTATCTCACCCCTGGTCTCAACAACCTGATTTGGCCTTCCTCTTCTGGCACTGATGGGGTGTCCTCGCAGACACAGCTTTCCCTTCTCATGCATGGCCATGATGGGCAAGTGGTATTTGAGCAGCCTTTCTCCCTTGGTTCCCTTATCGGTGGCAGGCATATGGGCTGCCCTTCTCTGCATCATAGCTTTTAGCGCAATGACTTCTTATTTATATAGGAACAGCCTGACAACATAATACGTTTCTGCTTTCTCGAGTAGGGATATTTAGCATTATTATAATATGGTAAAGTTGTCAGGCCATTGAGAAGGTCAAGACCAAGAGTTTCTTGTCAGTTCTGTTAGATAAATATATTTTTAACCTCTGTATCCGGCCTTTGCAGTTAGTTTTGCTTCTTTCTGCCATTGGTATAGCTTTTTACACACAATTGTCTTGGTCAAACCTGAAAGTGCTTCTATCACGCCTAAGATATGAAGGACATGGGCTTTTTGATAAGTCTTTGTTTTTTAAGATGTCCTTTGCTTACTTATCTCTCTTCTTCTCTATGTTCTAGATGATTAAAATTGCCTAAAGGAGGCAGTATGTTGCCAATTAAAAGCCCTACCTTGCGGAGTAGATCAATGGTTGTCAACCTTTTTGCCGCCAAAAACCACTTTCTTATTTTCTTTTCTCAAAGATTCAGATTTAGTCCAAATACTAAATTTCTTTTTCCTATTATTTTTTAATTTCCCAAAGACAAGCAATTATGGCAGAGTGAGATATGAACCCAGGTCTATCAGCTAAAACCTGAAATCTTGGCTCGTCTGCTACAGGTCAAATTGAGGCAATATTAGGTTGAACCATATGAAATTGCCAGTGTTTGACTATTTTTGACTTACAAAAATGAAAATTGTTTGTGGCTCTGCCAAATAATATTGTTGACTGAATTAATTTAATTTCAGACAGAATGAATGCTTTATATGTAAATCAGCCAGGTTAGATTCATCCTGGAAAACATACTAGTTCTGGGAAAACTTTTGTAATAGTAGCAATAACTCTAATACCACATTCCTTGACACTCCCTTCCTTTCCTCCACCTGCCCCTGCTCTGGCCAACCCTTATACTTCCACAGGCTCCTTGGGGTTAGGAGCACTTCCTTGGGAAACACAAAATTTGGTGGATAACATGAATTCTGTCTGATACATATATATTATATATATTTAAATATTTATATATTATATATTTATGTATGATATTTATATATAAATATATATATATATTTTAAGCTTAGTAGTCACACATAATTTGTGTTCAGATAGAATTCTGGGATGTTTTCCTTTTACGTTGTCTAGGTCTTTGTTCCCAGCATGGAGTGAAGGAAAAACTTTCAAGAAGAAAGAGGGAGCATACAGTTGGAGGAAAACCCTCACAACTTGGGGTCGTGCAAACTTTGAGTAAAGGCTAAGAGTGCTTATCATCCCTAACCATCTGAAGCCTTCCTATATGGAAATCATTAATCATCATCGTCACAATCATCGTTAGCACTATCCTCATCCAAATAGCTAACATTTATTTGTCTTATAGCTTACAAACAACTCTTGCATACATTTGATTCTCCTAACATACCTGTGAGATTGGTATTATTAGTTTCCTAATTTTGCAGATGAGTAAATTAAGTGAAGTTCATGTAGTGAGATCCTTGACTCTGAAGCAGCATTGCCCAATAGAAGCTTCTGCAATGATAGAAATATTCTATATCTATGCTCGTCAATACAGTAGCCAGGGCACATGTGACTGTTGAGCAATGGAAATGTGGTGAGGTAACTGGATTCTAAATTTTATTACTTTTTACAAACTTTATTCACTTGAATTTAAATGGAAATAGCCACATGTAGCTAGGGCTAACATATTAGATAGTAGCTCGAGAACCTGTATTCTTTTCTTTGCCATGTTTTCTCTCTTTGGTGCAGGGATTCTGGAGACTGAAAGAAAGGGAATGAATGTAAACTCTAGCATCTTATTTTGATGGATACAAACGTTATCCACCTGAAAGGTATTCCAAGGGGTTACATGAACCTTGCACAATCTCCCTGTAAAGGCTGTTAGACTATGAGATACTCTGATTTTTCTGGCTGTTTAACTATATTGTACCAAAAAATACCTCCAACACAGGCTAAACCAAATTCACCTGGTTTCTTTCTAGCCATATGGTCTTATGACAAACATGACTAATTCGTGCTCTGTTTGGTTTGAATCTTGTTAATCTGCCAATTGGTTAGCACCCATTACAAAGCAGCTTTTATCTGGAGATTCTCATTAGCATGTGAAATTAGTCTAAGTCTAAACTTCATTTTGCCAAATCCTTCCTTGGTCTGCTCTTGAAATAGAGTCTGTTCACAATAGAGGTTTTGTTCCTTGACTGTCAATAAGGTCAGATAATTAGCTTTAAAATTTTTTAAATCAGATATTTACCATTTTTTTTTGCCGCAGTCTAAGCTATGGCAAAGCTAATTTTTTTAAGTTTCACTTCTGCAATAGAGAAAAATGTCGTCTGTTGCCCAGCAAACAAATGATTTCTTATTGTATCAGTTTGGTTTCATCAAAATAATTTTAAAATATTCTTTTGCTAAATTTCACTTGACCCGCTGCTGCTTCTAATTATTCTCTCACCTCTAACATTTTTCGACATTGCCAAAAAACCCCTTGACATTGCTTTTCTGCATTTTCCCACCAGTGATGGAAGGTAACACAAAGAATCAGAAATGGCTGCATTAAAATTTTTAAAAAAATAAAATTATAGTCAGGAGGACAGGTATGCATATGTAGTTCCCTTAATTATTTATGGTTTATTTCTTTTAAAGTAACTTTTTATTAGTTTTTCAAAAACAATACATGTTATTCAGAAAAAATAGAAAAATCAGAAGCAATTATCCCAAGACTTTCTAGAATAAGTAAAATTTTAAAAAGAGTTTTTTGAAAAACTGACATAAGGTGGCCAACTCTTATTTGATCAAGTAAGGACAATTAAAAGACAGAGAAAGAAAAGGAACAGCTTCTCTCATCATCACTTCTATGGAGAAAGGCTATTAGTATACTAAAAATTTTTTTAGCATAAAGAATAATCAGTTAGAGTAAACATATTTAGTTTTATAAAAAGCATGATCATTTCAGTGTCCTTCTTTTTCTCAGTTTTGACCCAGGCCTGGGAAAATGTCATGCTGGAAAGCATTTGTGGACAATAGATACAGAGAAAACATAAAAGTCCCCTTGAATCCCACTTTGCATGGCTGTTCTATTATTTCATTACACTTTATTGGAATAATGATAACTGTGTCTGTGAAAGAAGGGATTTGCATTTTCCTCGGCATTTACTGCTATTCTGTGTCTTGTCTACCTCCCTTTGTAGAGTGTTTGCAAAGCCTGCCTGAAGGTAAAATAAATGCAAGTGAAATGTGAAGGTCTTTTTCCATCTTGTTGCCTCTCCTTTTAAAATATTTAATAGTGCAACCAAGACAAGATGGGAGATAACCTGAGCAGAAAATGTGTGTCACTCAAAGCCCATCATTTTCTCTGTCCTGGCCGTGAATAGTTACTAAGTGGTAGAAGACATTATGGTACACTAGTTAAGAGCTTGGGCTTTGGAACCTGCTGATCTCAGCACAGCTACTCACTAGCGTGGAAAGAATCCAAGTCTCAGCTTTACCATCTATAAAATGGGGATACTTAAGTCTTCCCACCTATTGACATTCTTGTGAAGAGTAAATGTCAGTTGGTCAGCACAAGATCTGAACCATAGTAAGGGCACAGTGAATGGCAGCTATTGTTCGTTTCATCTGTAGGACGCTGGGCACTGGGTGGAAGGAAGGTAAAGGAGCTTTTGTGTTTCTCATTGTGTGTGGTGCATTGTAATTGCTCACTAAGTATCAATACTAATCATCATAGAGAGTGGGTGGACGCTCTTTGGAAAGGGCATGAAGGCTCTGTGCAGGGCAAAAGTCAGATGCTTTTGATGTGCTACTGGGTCATAGCGGGCTTCTTAGAATCTCCAAAGGACTCAAATTTACCTCCTGCCAAATTTCTATGTTCTCTGAGGTGCAGGATCCAGAAAGGAGAGGTTGAGAGAAAGCTCAAGTGTGGGTGGGACTCCCTGGAGAAAAGCCGCCTGAGGAATGCAGGGACCTGGGTCCCGCATCATCAATCGCCTATTGAGAAGGGGTCCCAGATCTAAGATGCTCTCTGGGAGGGCTTGGCTTTCAGAAAAGACAAGTTCTAGAAAGAGATTTGATTGTTGTTTGAGGGAAGGTAAAGATATTTTAACTTTTTAAAATTTTTATCCCAATTGTGTTTTTGTTGAGGGGCAGAGGTGATGGGGAGAGATGGAGCTGGTCACAGAAGGACTGCAAATCCCAAACTACAAGTGTGCTGGGTTGTAGTGGCTCTCGTGCCTCATGTTCTAAATAAGTATTATTTTATTTTATTTTGTTTTTTTTGTCCATTAAAACTGGCTTGGTTTCCTGTTGGAAAGTTTTTGGTTAAAAGATCATTTTGCTGCAGTTAACATTCTCTTCTCCTTCCTTAGACAGGAAAGAATAGCTGGCAGCCTGCAGTGCCCCAGATGGTATTGTTTGAATCTGGGAACAAAGATTGATGAAAACATTTGAGTCATAATTTTGACAAATTATTGAACTCTCCCTGAGCTTCAGTTTTCCCATCTTTAAAATGGGGATAATAATAACACCCAGCTGATAAGGGATTTGGGAAGAACAAAGGTGACAGTGCTGGCCAGGAATGGAGTGCAGTCGCTGAGCAGAGACAGCCCCTAGTGGACATTAGTTGATAATAGGACAAGACAAGTAGAACCAGGCTTGATGTCTCACAATTTATGTCGCTGATTTCTGTCTTCAGACAGCACTGGGGCATTTCCTTTGGTCACAATTTTCTTCCCTTAGGAACTCTCGGGGGCGTGTGCTCCCCTCCCAATGCCCACCTCCCAATCAGAAACAAAACTGGGCTTTTTCAAAGGAACAACTGCTTTCCCTAAGCACAAACTTCAAAAAGTGGTGCCTTCTCAACAAATTTTAGGATACGTTGACTTGAGATTTGTTGTATTTATGGTGAGAAGATATTAAAGAAAGCCCTGAGAAATATGTCAATGGAACATAGTCAAGGTAGTCAAAGGATGGAAACTTTCTTTCTCTTTCTTTTTTTTTTTGAGATGAAGTCTCACTCTGTCACCCAGGCTGGAGTGTAGTGGCGCGATCTCAGCTCACTGCAACCTCCGTCTCCCGGGTTCAAGCGATTCTCCTGCCTCAGCCTCCAGAGTAGCTGGGATTATAGGCACCTGCCACCACGCCCGGCCAATTTTTGTATTTTTAGTAGAGACGAGGTTTCACCATGTTGGCCAGGCTGGTCTCGAACTCCTGACCTCAGGTGATCCACCTGCCTCCGCCTCCCAAAGTACTGGGATTACAGGTGTGAGCCACCGCCACCTGCCCGGGTGGAAACTTTCTCTGTGTGCATTCTCTTGCCTGTCCCTGGTGTGGGCCCTGCTCTCTGGCCGACCTCACCCTCAGCTCATCCCCATTGCTATTCAAACACTGCCACCTTCCTTGCCTTCTTGTACTGGGGACTCATTTTCTTCTTAGGGTTGAGTCATGCCTCATGTGGAACCTGGGGCTATGTAAGCCCTCTCTCCCATAGTTGTAGGAACTGAAGGTAAAATGAGAAAACATGCTAGAAATAAGTAATAAGTGCAAGAAAACAATGCCTGTTAGTAAGTGGTGTCTTTTTTGAGTTTTCTACCCATGTTGATTGATTGTGTGGCACCTTTCACATTTCCACTATTGTGATCAGCACTCATGGAATGGGAGGGTCAGGCTCTGAGATGCATTCTGTGGCTATGCACCAGCATCTGTGTTTTGGTTTGTTTTCACTTTTCTTGTTAAAAGCGAACTATTCCACTATGCAGACAGAGTATGTAGATCTGGTGAACATTTGATCTGATGAACATCTGATCTGGTGAATATTCTGTTTTCCAAGTGCCTCCCAAATCTGGCTGTGTATTAGAAAAAATTGGAGGCACTGGTTTTCAAACAATTCTGGATCTTGTCCTTGAGGATAATTCTGTGGGTCTGGGCTGGGGACTAGGAATGCCTGTTTTTGTCACTCATCCTGGGAGATTCTGACAGGGCCAATTCATGGACTGGCCTTTAGGAACTGCTCCATCGGTGATAGCCACACACACACACACACACACACACACACACACACACACACACTCATTCACTCACTCCTCTGCAGCAGATAATAAATCCCTCCATGGGATCAGAAGCTCAGGGCCTCCCTTTTCCAAAGGAGGCCGCCTGCAAGAAGACTTTGAATGAAAAGAAGCCAAGCCTGGTTCAATTCCCAGGGATGGAATTTAACAATGACTGATTGCTCATCATCTGCTATTTGAGTGTCATAATAAAGACAAATGGGAACTTGGGAAAAGATCTCTCTATAACTCACCTATAGTAGTCAGTGCACTGCACTGTAGACCACAGGGTAGGCTGCTGAGCCCAGAGAAGTGCAGTTATTAATAGGTACGCACTGAGCTTATAAAATGTTTTATTAAACGACAAAATCCTAAACATTATACAGGGTCCTGTTTTGTGGTCCGTATGCTGACTAAATTCCCAGGTGACTTTAATGAGCAAATGGCAGCCCATTAAAATTACAGTAGTTTTGCAAAGAAAATAGGTCTCCAGGGGAGGACAAGAAAATGCACCAGGCTGCTACTGTGTTGATAGTTGTCCCAGGAGCTCCCTTCTCTTCCCCAAAGATTGCTGGTAGAGGAAAATCTGCTGTTCTGAAAAATATTTACCCCCATCTGGCCTGTCCTCCTGTGTCTGAGAGACACTGCTTGCTTTTGCTAATCAGTTCCTAGCCTTGCTGACCTTGAAACAATGAAGAAAACAACACTTGCGTGGATATTTTGCTTAATAAAGAAAACATTTATAGTTAACCACTGGGAAAGAATGAACTTGTTTTTCCATATTGGTATAACGACCTCAGCTTTCTTTCCAAGAGACTATATTGTAAAGCAATAACCATGTACCTCTACTAAGTTATCATATTATAACATAATTTATATTTTCATTATATAAATTATAAGCCTCCTCTTTATATTAGGTCACTAGGAATTTTGCTTTGTTTTGCTCTCAGAAAAGGTGCTGTTTCATGCAGACCAAAGGGGCAGTTTCTGATCTTCTTTCCCCAGATATGCTATGAACATGGTTCCCAGTGTCTTAAGAGTTTATTCCCCGGAGACAGCATCTTGAATATTTCTTTCCAGTGCACATCACCATGCAAGCATCCTTCATACTGAGGTGTGGGAAGAGTTTTTCACAGTATGTGAGATGATAAACCTTCTATTTCAGCATCTGTATGTAATTTACACTAAATATGATGTTCTATAACCCTTGCCATTACTGGTCCCTAAGTGGACCTCAGCCTTCAATGGATGAATGCTGAGAGGCAGCAAAGCTGCATGGACCAAAAAGGGACCAAGAAGGGCAAGGGTCAAGGAAGGCCTAGATTCCTCATTTTTGCCCAGCCTTCATCTGACTGAAAACATACCTCTATGTGCAAGTTTTCTCTTTAAATCACCATAACCCTCTTTCCTCTCTTCCTTTGGCCCTTTTTTTGGTCAAGTGTTTCGTCATTTAGGTACCCTTTAAAACATCACCTCCTTCTGAGGCTTTCTCTAGCCAGCTACTATCACTCCTGTTGCTCCTGCCAATCACTCTTGATTTAATCACTTTCTATTGTATCACCTTTTTATATTTCTGCCCTAATACTTGCCATTCTGTGATATGATCATGTTGGTTTATTTCCTTGACTACTGTTTGTCTCTGCCCATCCCTGTCTCTAGAATGTAGGAGCTGGGGCCTTACATATCTTGTTCTTCATTGCATCTCTAGCACCTCAAACAGTGCTCAGTACAGGGTGACAGACAACAGCATTTGTGGAGTGAATAATCTGTGGAAATTCTTTTTTTAAAAAAACAGAGTCTTGCTCTGTTGCCCAGGCTGGAATGCAGTGGCACAATTTTGGCTCACTGCAACCTTTGCCCACCGGGTTCAAGCAATTCTCCTGCCTCAGCCTCCTGCCTCAGTTTCCTCCTCTGTAAAATTTTTTTTTTGAGATGGAGTTTCACTCTTGTTGCCCAGGCTGGAGTGCTATGATGCGATCTCGGCTCACCACAACCCCCACCTCCTGGGTTCAAGCAATTCTCCTGCCTCAGCCTCCCGAGTAGCTGGGATTACAGGCATGCACCACCACTCCTGGCTAATTTTGTATTTTTAGTAGAAACGGGGTTTCTCCACGTTGGTCAGGCTGGTCTCAAACTCCTGACCTCAGGTGATCTGCCCTCCTCAGCCTCCCAAAGTTCTGGGATTACAGGCATGAGCCACTGCGCCCGGCCACTTTGAAGTATTGTTTGTATTTTGTATTTTTGGACTTGGTGCAGTCCATTGGGAAGTCAGATCATTAAGACTGACTGTGAAAACATATTTTGGCCAAGTTAAGTAGCAAAACCATGGGAGCGGGAGGAAGGTACCTTTCTTTGATGCCACATCACTATTCCTTATAAGATTCCCAGGAAGGAAGGCATGGGAGATGCAGGCTGTGTGTGGTGACTCAGCACTGAGTCTTGCTGAGGGCTCTCGAGGTTCAGTGGGTAAAGTAGGTCAGGGGAGGAATTTGTGGGCTCTAAGTATGACGCTGCCTCTTAGCCTATATTTTACGTGTAGATAGCGGCATGGAGAATGGAAGCCTGGGATAGGAAGTCCACATTGGTGATTCCTTGGAGGCTGTAAGAGATGATGGCCCTATGGTTGAGAGGGTTTAGGAAGTGGCGAGAAGTATGCCAGGTGTGCAGAGCCTGGCCATGGTCCCAGACGGAGGTTCTGCCTAAACTGACTTTACCATAAAATGTCTTCAATGAGTCCAGGGTGGACAAGTTCTCAAAATGTTTTCTAAAATAGTGGCAGCCAGGAAAAAGCATACCAATATGCCCGGTAGCTATGCTATCCTAAACTATGTTTGGCAGGTGGCTGCATGAGCAATTCATTCTGCAAGCTATAAATGACACTGGTCTTTTTACTAGATGGTCATTTCTTACAGAGGACACAATTATTATTTCCTTTGTGTCTTGGAGATGGGTACAGTGATTTAAAGGGAAAGCTTATACATGCAGGTATGTTTTCAGTCAGATGAAGGCTGGGCAAAAACAAGGAAGCTTCCTTGATTCTTGCCCATCCTGGTCCTTTTTTTGGTTCATGCATAATGACCTATAGGAGCATATGAGTGTAAGAAACTTTCTGTCCAAGGAATGCCTTCATGCTCTTGATGTCCATGTGTTTGTTCTTTGCTCCTGAGGCCATCACCTCTACCCACCATGATTCTGGGTGACCGTAGATCATGAGACAGATTTGGGAGAATGACATCAGGAACTAAAATCTTGCCTTCTTATTTGATGAGTGAAATCAACTTTCTGAAGAATGAGTAGAGGAGAATGATTTTTTTTTTCCTCTTAGATAACCTGACCTTGAAGGTTGCCTCCACCTCTTATGCCTTAAGCCTCAGTTTCCTCCTCTGTAAAATGGGAATAATGTCTACCTGGACTTTTGTACAAATTAAATGAGATAATATAAAGGTGAGGTGGGGGAGCCAGGATAAATTCAGTTCCCAGCCATTTATGAGGAGCTACCTGTCATGTGCAGGATACAGCAGACATGCCAGGAGCCCATTGATAAGTAGAGTATTGTAAGTAATTAAGTCACGTGTCTGTATAAAGTTCTTTTAGAGGAAGGGCATCTGACTTAACCTGGGAAGTATTTGGGAGTGAGTGAGCCTGGACTGGGGATA
Source organism: Homo sapiens (assembly GCF_000001405.40). Lineage (NCBI taxonomy): Eukaryota > Metazoa > Chordata > Mammalia > Primates > Hominidae > Homo > Homo sapiens. Next base: position 25,715,425 of record NC_000007.14, on the reverse strand, counting down.
ATGTCAGGCAAGAGGAGGTGGGAATGCAGATGTGAGTCTTTAAAAAGAAGGAGAGGAAGACATAAGTAGGGGGAGAGCGACTCTAAGCAAGGAGTACGGTACCTCAAGGTGAGTGAGCTCAGAGTGATTCCAAGTGACTGGGTTGGAAAGCACAAAGCTGGGGTGGATGAAGAGGAGGGTGATGTTATCAGAACGGCCAGACTTTCTGAAGAAACAAACCTGGCAGCAAGGTGGGAGGTCTCAAACTGGTTGGAGATCTGCAAAACAATTCTGCTGGTAACTAGCTCACTGACGGAGGTTGAAAACAAGATGTGTGTCACATATATCAAGCTCTTTCAGACATGTGTTGGGGGAAGTGAGAGACTTAAGAGAGTCAAGCCCAAGCAATATTATTAATATTCTCCATCATCAAATGTTGGACCCAGGCCAGAGAGCGTTTTCTGTAATAAATTTTTTTCCTTGGATTTTATCCTGTGAGATACATAAAGTTTAAGGCTGTCAGTGGAGAAGCATTCTGTAAACCAGGAACAACTGACATTTTGGTCTTTAGAAGCTAAGTAGGGTATGGCTCCAATATGAGAGGGGTGGAAATTATTTTTATTCAGCAAAGTGTCTTTGTTGGAGAAATTATAGAGCATGCTACAATCATTAAGTCGTTGAACCTTCCTCTTTGCAGAAAACATTTGCTCAATTGGCCCACATATAAATCTATTTTTTTTGTTCAAAATGGCAGAGAAGCATTAATATGGGAATTGGGCTTAATAGGTTTGGAGAGAAGCATCAGTCATGCACCAGACACTCTTCTGAAGACTGGCCTGCAAAGAACTGTCCTCTTTAACACACCAGGGGTTATCCAGCCTGCAGTAGTCATTCAGCAATTCAGCAAATATTTAGAAAGGGCCTTGATGTCCTAGGCTCAGCACCATACTGTAGATCACAGTGGCCAATAAGATGGACAAGGCCCTGATCTCATGAAGCTCAAGGTCTGGTTGGGGGACTTGATAGCAATCAAATCATAAACAAGAGAATGTTAGATGGTGGGTCATGCTGTGAAGGCACTCTAACAGGATCCGGAGACAGAGTAGGGAGTCGTTAGGGAAGGTCTCTGAGGTGACACTGGGCAGAGACTTGAATAAGGAGCCAGCTGTGCAAAGATCCAGGGGAGAGAAGAGCAAAGGCCTTGAGGGAGGAGTGGGATTGGCAAGTTCACCAAGTGCTATGGGGTGACTCAGGCTGAGAACTCTGAAATCAGGCTGTCCTGGTTTGATCTCAGTGCTGCCACATAATAACTGTACTAATTTGGGCACGTTACTTAACCTCTCTAAATCCTACTTTGCTTTTCTATGAAAAGGGAGCTATTATAGAACTGCCGTAGGATGCTTTTATGAGATAAAGCAAGTAGACTGTCGGACTAAGAGTAAGCATTCAGTAGGTGTAGGTCTTCTTCATCAATAATTAAGTCAACAAATGTTTACTGAGCATTTTCTACATTCCAGGCATTAAGCTGCAAACATTACCAGGGATATTGTCTGCTGCTGTTATCCAGTCCTACGGTTTGGGGAAAGATTTCCCTCTTTAGACTATGACCTCAGGGTACACATAGGACATGCACACAGGGGAGAAGCTATTTATTAAATATGACAGATGGCACTATGTAAGCTAAATCCTGGATTATTGTACTTGAAAACGTTGGTTTCCCCAATAAATATTTGTTGTGTGCCTGCTGTTAGTTAAGCAATATTTTAGGTAATGGGGATAAATTATGAACAAGATAAAGTTTCTGAGCTCATAGAGTTTGCAGTTGAAAACTCTTGGCAAAGACTTATCAATGTCTAATTTGATTATAAGTTTCAACAAATAACTCTGAAAAGGCATGAGATGCATCTAATGTAACCTTTCTCTGGGTACAACTAAAACTATGTGTTTGGAAAAAGGATTCTATTTGGCCACCAAAGTTTTCACCACTCTTAATATGGAACCAATTTTTCAGTATTCAAGAGGTAGTAATATAGGGAACTGGAATGACAATCTAAACCACTGGCTGCTTTTTTCCATCAAGAAGAAATGGGGAAGCGTGTTATATGTATTGAAAGAGAATGTGTTCTGAAGTCAGACAGACCTGAGTTTGAAGGCTGCCTCCACCTCTTAAGCCTTAAACCTCAGCTTTTTTTTCTCTGTAAAGTGGGGATAATATCTACCTGGAGTTTTGTGCAAATTGAATGAGTTAATATAAAGTTTCCATCCCAGTCACTGATATTGGCATGCAATGAATATTAGTTTCTAGTCTCCTTCTTCCCTACTCACCTCCTCTTCCTGCTTACATTCAAAACTGGGGTTTCTTCTGAACTATCAGCAAAATCTAAGCTGTAATTATCTCATGGTTATCTCAATGATAAAAATTTTGCTGGGGCTAGAGATTTGAGGCATCATTTTGGAAACTGTTATCTCAGGTGCCCTTCACCTCCTGCACTGAGATGCAGTTTTCTGAACAAGATAAGATGAACAAGGTGACACTTTTGACAGCAATCACATGGGCTGGTTGTGAGAATTAAGTGAGATAATATGTATAAAAGCAGCTTAGCAAAGTGCTTGGCACAAAGGAAACAAAAAGTAACAGCTGCTATGCATATGCAGGTATTTTAGGCTCTCAGACCAATTTTTCACTGCTGGATGGTCTTGGGAAACAGCCACACTTTTAGAGAATCCTTTTGTTCTAAATTTGAAACTGAGAGCAGGCAGTGTAGGCTGTGACCTCATTTGCTCTTGGACAATGGCAGTATAGTAGCTCTTGAGACAAATGTGAATAAAATATTACTTTGGACTTTTGACAAACAACACTTTGCATAAGTATGATCAAACGAGAAACTAATGGGGTAAGTTTTCCTCTAGGACACAACTGGATAGAAAGTAGAAGAGAATGAGACTTTTTAAGAAAAATCCACATTTTAGTTTTGGTAAACAGAGAATCTTGAAAATTTGAGTAGTATGAGTCTTGACAATCATTCCGAGTACAACAAGTTTTAAATATATTCATTCAACAAATATTTATTAACACCCACTATATTCAGGCCAATATTTTCTGGCTTTCTATTCTAGGAGCCTAGGCCTCAATTTCACGGTGTATCTTGTATACTAATCCCTAGCTTATTTTGAAAGTGCAGCTAACATTCACCCAACTTCCAAAAAAGTCAGCATATTAATAGGGAACATGTACACTTTCTTTTGATTAAACTTTGAAATTTAATTAGTTAGTTCCAGGAGAGTGCAGTTGACATTATTGTCAACATTATATAGCAGCTGATCCAAAAGGACCTTGGCCAATAGTGTTCTAATTGTGGAAAGTAGGGAGAGGAAGGCTACAGGCTTTGCCAGAGCCAGCTAACCCAAGCTCCATTTGTTCTTCAGGGAAGGACAGAATTTGGTTTTAAGACCAATTGTGTGAGTATCAATGTTTTGAATTCATGTTTCTTTTTACATTGTTAAATTTATATATTTCAGCTTCACTTTGTTTCATCTGATGGCTTGATTTTTATCTTATTCAATCTCTAAAGTGATAGGCAGTCTTTAGAGGTATTTCCCCACCATCTCCTCTTCTATTTCTATACTCTACCCTTACTAGTACCAAAACTAGAGACAATACAAGAAAAGAAAACCCCAGACTATCTCTCATGAATATAGATTCAAAATCCTCTGTAAAATATTAGCAAATTGTTCCCAATAATATAGAAAAAGGTTAATATATCAGGACCAAGCAAGGTTCATTCCAGGAATGAACCTGGACCATTCAGCCTGGCTGGTTGAACATTCACAATCAACGGGTATAGTTGGGAAAATATTTGGAAATTTTTGGGAAAAATGGGAAAATATTAACAGATCAAAGAGGCAAAGTCATGTGATCATCTCAATAGATGCAGAAAAAGCATCTAACAAATTCAACATTCGTTCAAGACAAATCTCTCTGCATATCAGGAATAGAAAGGAAATTCTCAACCTGATAAGGTCTTCTGTGAAAAATATACAGCTAATATCATACTTAATGGTGACAGACTGGAAGCTTTCTCTCCAAAATTGGGAATGAGGCAAGGATCTCCTCTCTCATCACTGTTCAGTGAGCTTGAAAAGCAAAATAAAGAAAGTCCATGCATACTGGGAAATAAGAAACAAAACTGTCTCTATTTGCAGACAACATGATTGTCTATTTGAAAAGAAGTTACAGATAAATAAGGGAGTAATGCCAGAATAAACTCTGTGGTGCTGGATTGCAGTCAGAGATGTCGTATGAAGTCATGTTTATTTTAATACATATACAGCTAAGCAGATACAGAAGTAAATATACATGGGTTAGTATACATACACACATAACCTAATGTTGTTCACTGAGAGCTAGGATCAGTGACATCCTTGAGCAATGAATACACTTAGCTCCAGATTTTGGTTTCTAAACATTATTCTCTAATAAAAGGAACCTGATGTTCTTGGGAAAATGGCTAATTCTAGGGCTGGGGCAGTGAAAACATAAGATGAGCCTGGAGCATCTCATGGTGCCAGAATTTAAAGAAGTGGTTAAGAAAAAAAAGGAAAGGATGGGACATATCCAAAGGACACACGATCCAACCTGAAAGAGTTTCTAATGGCCAAACCTAGAAAATCTGAGAAGCAAAATCAACAATGACAGTATTAGATTATAACCCCCAAATGAAACAAATATCTATAAATCCATACTGATATAAATACATGTTTAAATAAATACATGGGGAGAAGGAACAAGTCTTACTTACATATATTAAATAATGTTAAGAAATGATGGAATGAGGGAAATTGAAAATTGCCATAAGAACCTCACAATAGTGATTACCGCGGCAATATCCACCAAGAAATGCTAAGAATAGTGGGTGAAACTTTAAAGAGAAGTGGGATAGCTATGTAGCCTCAGAGTGTCTTCCCCAAAATGTTTGTGTATTACTGTGGTGGTTTTAACATGTGTCTGCAAATTCTTTGATATATCTCTCTCTAGGACTTGGAGTTTAATTCATCTCCCCTTGAATGTGAGCTGGATTTCATGACATGCTTCTAATGAAAAGGAGAAATTAATTAGTAACTTTTCCTTAAAGAAGTCTCATAGATACTACCTTAATCCAGTGATCAAGGTTAAGTTCACCAATAATAAGACATATTGATATAATATCCCTGAAATGTTGCAAAGGGCATGTCACCTCTGTGGCATTCCTTCCAAAAATCTATAACTGTATCTAATCCCGAGAAAATATCAGACAAACCCAAACTGATGGACATTCTACAAAATATTTGACCAGCTGTTTTGAAATATGTCAGGGTCACAAAACACAAGGAAGGATGGAGGAACTGTCACAGACCAGAGAAGATGACAACTAAGTGCAATATGGTGTCCTGGATGGAATCCTGGAACAGAAAAGAGACAGCACTGGAAAGATCAGAGAAATCTCAACAAAAGCTATAGTTTAGTTAACAGAATTAGACCATGCTAATGTCTGAGTTTTGATAATTGTATCATGGTTATGGAAGGTGTTGACATTGGAGAAAGCTGGGTGAAGGGTAATTGGGGACTTTATGGTCTTTGCAACTTCTTTCAAAAAGTCTAAAATTAATTCAAAGTAATTTAGTTTTTTACCTTTTATTTTTAATTTATTTTTGTTTTTATTTTTGAGATGAGGTCTCATTCTGTCACCCAGGCTGGAGTGCAGTGGTGTGATCACAGTTCATAGCAACCTTGACCTCCTGGGGCTCAAGCAATCTTCCCATCTCAGCCTCCCACGTAGCTGGAACCACAGGCATGCACAACGATGCCCAGTTAATTTTTTTACTTTTTTAATTTTTTGTAGAGACAGGGTCTCGCCATGTTGCCCAAGCTCACCTCAAACTCCTGGGCTCATGTGATCCGGCCGCCTTGGCTTCCCAAAGTACTGGGATTATAGGCATGAACCAGCATGCCCAGCCTGAAAAATAATTTAAAAGTTGGTGAAAGTGAGCTAAATTCTTACCCATCATGGTGTGAAGTCAGTAGTTATTGTATAAAATTAATAAATCAAGAAATAGTATTTTAAGCATACTATTTAGCAATACATGAGTAACTATTTGAAGAAACAGTTGAAAGAGATAAAAGTGACTGCATATGGGGAATAGGACTGGGATGGAGAAACAGTGACCCCTGGGCTGCTGCTTCTCATTGTAGGCTTTTCTGCATCAGTGCCTTGTAACAAAACTTTTTATTCTGAAATAATTTCAGACTTACAAAAAAGTTGCAAAAACGCTACAGAGATTTCTCCAAATGTTAACATCTTACATAACCATGCTACAATGATCTAAAACCAAGAAATTAACACTGATAGAGCATTGCTAACAATTTGCAGGTTGATGGTTAACTGCCATTAATTAATCTATGAGTGTCTTCGTTATGCCATTATGTTCTTGATCTGGTCCAGGATCCAGCCTGTGATCTCACATTGCATGTAGCTATTGTCTTTCCTTCCTTTCTTCCGATCTGTAACGGTTCCTTAGTCTTTGTTTTTTACAATTTTAAAGAGTATTGGCTGCTTATTTTGTAGCATATTTCTGAATTTGTTGTTGTTTTTTTTTTTTGAATTTGGATTTGTCTGATGTTTTATGCTTTTCTGAACATGTATTCCTTGCTCTTGATTTAAATAAACTAATTATATAACCCAACTACATTTTACCTGGGTGATCTTTTCTGATGTTCAATGTACTTGGCCAGGAATTTATTTTCACTGTATATGTTAAGCCTTTTCTAAGTTTCTCAATGTGGGCTTTGTTTCTTTTGGTTCCATCATTGGTAGAGTGAAGAACAATCTTAATTTCTAGCCCCCTCCTAAGGATTTAAGCTGACAGCAAAGAACAGGTCTAATTTCCTCTGGTCGTGGGAGGAGACCAACCACAGAGGCAGGGCCTGGCCTCGGCCCATGCAGAGGTGCCTGGGGGTTGTTGAAATGAGGGCAAGCTTCCTTAACCAAAGGTTCTGGCAAACCCCCCAAGGCACCCCTTCTCTTCCCTGTGATTGAGCACTTGGGTGCTGACCTTTTCAGGTCTTTGCCTGTCAGACGCTTGCCTTTGGCCCAATCATAGCTTCTCACTCCCTTTAAACAAAGAGAGTAGAGACCATCGGCATCTCCAAACGTGCTTTCTGCCTTTTGAAGCTTTGAGAGACTGCGCTGGCATAAATCAAAGGAGAGAGAGAGAGTTTATTCATTTAGCTCATCAAAAAAAATCCCACTGTCATCATGTCACATACAGGAGTTTATTCTTTTAATAGCTTTATTCTTTGCCCGTTAAGAAAGGAATTGTTCCAGGGCACTCATTCCATACTGTATATTAGCCATTTCATTTTTCACAGATGGAAAAAAGTACCTTTCCACACATGATTAATTTTGCAGTTGAATACCAGAAGAGCCGACCATGTGCTGGCTCTGGGCCATCCATCAGCAATCTAACATCTGTAATCTAGCCACAACGAGTCACTGTTAACATCACAAACAAATCATGGCTGGTTCATGGTCTGAGCAGTTTATGGACCTTGTGTGGGCAGAGCTTGCATTCTTCCCAGGGATTTGAAAATGAGGATGATCTGAAGTAAGGAAAGCTGCATGTGAAGAGGGCTCACAGAATTTTGTCTTTGAAACATTCCTATTCGATTCTTACCAATGAGAGTTCAGAGCTCTGCCTTCTTCCTCCTTAAAGGAGAATATCAGGGAGGGAATAGTGGGGCTTATACTTTAGAAAAGAGGGGGAAAGCATGATTAGAACAGTTTGAATTAAGTAGAATCAGAACAGTGGCATAAACTTTTTTTAAAATTTTTTTTACTTCTTTTCTCCCATGGATCTGAATTGTGCAAAAGAATTATCACTCACTGCGAGTCCCAGTGTGAACACTTTTCATCAGATGCTCTGACAGCACAATGTGTCATGGAGCCAGGCGGACCGGGTTCGAGTCCCAGTTCCCCAGCATAGCAGTTGCCTTTGGATGTGTCACTTAACCTCTCTGATCTCCTGTTTTCTCCGGGATCATAATATCCACCTCACATAGTTGTTGTGAGATTTCACAGGGCAGTGCTACCATATGTGCCGGCACCTGACACTTAGTAGGTGCTGCTGGAACTTATGTTTCTGTTTTTTCCCTCCTCTTTCCTCTCCAAAGAGAACAAGGTGTCTCTGTCAGGATTAACAGATCAAGACAACCTTTCTGGAAGTTTAGTTGCAGGGCAGATCCTTTAGAGGAACATGAATAGCTTTATAAATTGCCTTCAAAAGTAGCACCAAATCCTTCAGTCAGTTTTAAAGGAACTGTTTACTGCTGCATATGGCAGTCATTATTTAGAATAATAAACCCTCTGAGAATCTGAACATTCATGGGCCAACAGATGGGTCAACCTGCTTCGCAATTTAACAAAGTAATTTATTTCAATCACCGGGACAGGGCATGTGAAGATTACTAATTCAGTTCACAAGCAAAAGCAGCAAACACCACTTGGTTGCTGAATTGTGCAGCCATTATGGAAATGCACACCTGTTCAGTTGGTTTTGGGACAGTCTTCATTTCGATTAGCGTTTTGTTTTCTTCGAAGGTATGTATTAAATTGCTGTAGATTCTTCTGCTGAAATGCATGTGCTAATTGGTGTCAGGATGAGATAAAGATCTCAGTGAAAATTTATACTGTAGTGTAGATAAAATTAAGGTCATCAAAGTTGACTTTGAGAAGTAGAACAGGTGTATCAGAAGTATATTCTTGTAATAATTGGGCAATGTGATGTTCTTTCTTTTCGAAACATTCTGCCCAGGATTTACTGGGGAAGAAAAATAGCCAGGATTATTTTTCTCTCGTCTTCAGATCTGCTTAAATCTCCCAGATCTTGATTTTATTTCTCTTAATCCATGCTCACTCTGGAGCCAAAGGAAGAAATAGAAAAGATGGTCAGAGAGCTTCTCTGGAAAAGTTTCTATGAGCTCAAAAGTGGAATCCAAGATGCTAAAAAGAACTGGGTGGTATTCCCCTTGATAGCTCTCCTCTCCTCTTCCCCAACCCCAACACTGAGTTGGACAGAACTTCTCTGATAATGTCAGGAAGCTTCACACAAAAGATGGCGCCTGGTTTGTATTTGAGAGCTGCCATATGTTAGTTACAATTACTAATACCACAAGATTGTTTTGTTGCCCTTTTTGAAGGGAAGATACTTGTTTTCTTCTATAAAGTTGTTCTCCACTTTGATGTCTGTACTTATTTTACTTCAATATAGATGAGTTTCCTTTCTTACTATCCCTCCCAAATTATTTAATTTTTGGTAACCTTCTTTCAGCCAGAGATTAGATTAGCTACTGGAATTTCAACTAAGCAGAACACAATTCTATCCCTCATGCAGGCAGGAAGACAGACAGGGAGGCAGCAGTTATAACTCAGTGAAAATATTGCTACAATTGGAGGTAAATGCAGATTATGAGAGGATCCCTTGTCAGTGTTCTTAGAAGGCACTTCTATAATATTTTTACATTTCCATGTATATTAGAGCACTAAATTAATATATCAATAGAGCTGCAAAATTGTGGTATTTTTAAAGTTTGTATTTATCAAACTTCAATACCCACATGAATTCAAGGACTGTATACATTAACTCATCATCTCAGGCCATTTGTGCTGCTATTATATAACAAAATACTTAAGACTGGGTAATTTACAAATAACAGAAATTTAGTCCTCATAGTTTTGTGGGCTACAACGTTCAAAATCAAAGTGCCAGCAGGTTTCGTGTCTGGTGAAACCCTGTCTCCGCTTCCAAGATGGCGCCTTGTAGCTGCCTCCTCCAGAGGGGATGAACTGTGTGTCCTCACATGGCAGAAGAGCAAAAAGGCCTTAAGCTAGTTCCCTCCAGCTCTTTTATCAGGCACTAATCCATTCATGAGGGCATGATTTAATCATTTCCCAAAAGGCCGCATCTTTTAATATCACCCCAATGGGGACTAAGTTTTAATCTATGAATTTTAGGAGCCATTCAGATCATGGCACTCATTTAAAGGCAATGTCAAAAGTCTCAGTTTGAGAAATTCATGAATATGAGGCCTGGGCCAAATGGCCCTCCTTCTCCCCCATCCCCACCCCCACCTAACAGCTCTGCATTGCAACTCCCTCTTGGTTGCATTTGGATGTCTCATCTCCCTAACTCCTGCCCTGCCCCTCCCAAGGCTCAAAATATCTTAAACCCAGTTTTTCACCTTGCCCTGAATCACCAAATCAGTTCTTTCTTGTAAAGTCTTTCCTTCTGTAAATGGCCACACGGTATTGTCATCCACTTTGCACTCCTCCTTCATCATCGTTCCTTAAAATGTGACCAGTTTTCAAGAGCTGTTGGCTCTCCCTCTGCCCTATGCCCTGAACTCTTCCTGTCCTGTCCCTCCTCACTGTCATTTTCCTTATTTAGGGCCCTACCATTCACCTGGGTGGTTATCATGCCTTCCACGAAGTCTCTCCTCTTCCTGCCTCGCATCAACATATTCCACCCCCTACCCACTTAGTAAATTGATCCTTTTGGTACCAAGATACCTGGCTCCCCACTGCCCACAGAATTAAATAGATGCTTACCAGCCCGAGAGCTAAAACTCTTTCTGGAATAGCCACAACTCTTATCCCTTCCTCCACATACTCTAGGCGCAAGATAAACGAGAATACTGACTATTCCACAAACACATCTTTGCCTTTCCACCTCTGAGCATTTACATATGCCGCTGCTCTGCCTGCAATGCCATCCCGGAGATTCTGCATGCTGAAACTCTATCCTTCCTTTAAAGTCCACTTCAAATGCTTCAGGAAACCTTCCCTCCTCCCCGACCCCCTGCATGTTGCTCCCTCTTTAGAACACTAGTAGCTCTTTGATTCTTTTATATCTTATGGCTCTCACTTTTTCTTTTCTTTTTTTTTTTCTTGAGACGGAGTCTTGCTGTGTTGCTCAGGCTGGAGTGCAGTGGCACAATCTCGTCTCACTGCAAGCTCCGCCTCCCGGGTTTACGCCAATCTCCTGCCTCAGCCTCCCGAGTAGCTGGGACTACAGGCGCCCGCCACCACACCCAGCTAATTTTTTGTGTTATTAGTATAGACTGGGTTTCACCGTGTTAGCCAGGATGGTCTCGATCTCCTGACCTCATGATCCACCCACCTCAGCCTCCAAAAGTGCTGGGATTGGCTCTCACTTTTTCTAACGTACCTATTCCACAAATACCTAACAAGCATCTATCAGGAGCTACAGACTCTGGCATGTGCTGGGGTTAAATGAGGTATCAAGGATCCCTTTCCTCACAGAATTTATAGTCTAATGAAGGAGGCTGACAAGGAAACAGACAATTCCCATAGGGTGACGAAGCAGGAGAGTGTCTGATGGTAGCACAGAAAAAGGCTGCTTCATAAACTGGGGCACAAGGGCAAAAGAATCTACAGGCAAATATCCCCCTCAGTTATCTATATTTTCATTTATACCTTCTAGGTGGACCTGTTCTTGAGGGAAATTGGCTGATATCACTGCATGTCCTTGAAGCCTAAGTATTGTGCCTATACATCAGCACTTACAACTTTGGTTTTTTTTTTAATATATACATTTTTATTACACTTTAAGTTCTAGGGTACATGTGCACAACGTGCAGGTTTGTTACATATGTATACATGTGCCATGTTGGTGTGCTGCACCCATTAACTCGTCATTTACATTAGGTATCTCTCCTAATGCTATCCCTCCCCCCTCCCCCCTCCCCCACCCCACAACAGGCCCCGGTGTGTGATGTTCCCCTTCCTGTGTCCAAGTGCTCTCGTTGTTCAATTCCCACCTATGAGTGAGAACATGCAGTGTTCGGTTTTTTTGTCTTTGCGATAGTTTGCTGAGAATGACGGTTTCCAGCTACATCCATGTCCCTACAAAGGACATGAACTCATCATTTTTTATGGCTGCATAGTATTCCATGGTGTATATGTGCCACATTTTCTTAATCCAGTCTATCATTGTTGGACATTTGGGTTGGTTCCAAGTCTTTGCTATTGTGAATAGCCCCGCAATAAATACATGTGCATGTGTCTTTATAGCAGCATGATTTATAATCCTTTGGGTATATACCCAGTAACGGGATGGCGGGGTCAAATGGTATTTCTAGTTCTAGCTCCCTGAGGAATCGTCACACTGACTTCCACAATGGTTGAACTGGTTTACAGTCCCACCAACAGTGTAAAAGTGTTCCTATTTCTCCACATCCTCTCCAGCACCTGTTGTTTCCTAACTTTTTAATGATCGCCATTCTAACTGGTGTGAGATGGTATCCCGTTGTGGTTTTCATTTGCATTTCTCTGATGGCCAGTGATGGTGAGCATTTTTTCATGTGTCTCTTGGCTGCATAAATGTCTTCTTTTGAGAAGTGTCTGTTCATATCCTTTGCCCACTTGTTGATGGGGTCGTTTGTTTTTTTCTTGTAAATTTGTTTGAGTTCTTTGTAGATTCTGGACATTAGCCCTTTGTCAGATGAGTAGATTGCAAAAATGTTCTCCCATTCTGTAGGTTGCCTGTTCACTCTGATGATAGTTTCTTTTGCTGTGCAGAAGCTCTTTAGTTTAATTAGATCCCATTTGTCAATTCTGGCTTTTGTTGCCATTGCTTTTGGTGTTTTAGACATGAAGTCCTTGTCCATGCCTGTGTCCTGAATGGTATTGCCTAGGTTTTCTTCTAGGGTTTTTATGGTTTTAGGTCTAACATTTAAGTCTTTAATCCATCTTGAATTAATTTTTGTATAAGGTGTAAGGAATGGATCCAGATTCAGCTTTCTACATATGGCTAGCCAATTTTCCCAGCACCATTTATTAATTAGGGAATCCTTTCCCCATTTCTGTTTTTGTCAGGTTTGTCAAAGATCAGATAGTTGCAGATGTGTGGTATTATTTCTGAGGGCTCTGTTCTGTTCCATTGTATCTCTGTTTTGGTACCAGTACCATGCTGTTTTGGTTACTGTAGCCTCGTAGTATAGTTTGAAGTCAGGTAGCATGATGCCTCCAGCTTTGTTCTTCTGGCTTAGGATTGACTTGGTAATGGGGGCTCTTTTTTTGGTTCCATATGAACTTTAAAGTAGTTTTTTCCAATTCCGTGAAGAAAGTCATTGGTAGCTTGATGGGGATGGCATTGAATCTATAAATTACCTTGGGCAGTATGGCCATTTTCATGACTAATAAAGAAGAAAAGAGAGAAGAATCAAATAGATGCAATAAAAAATGATAAAGGGGATATCACCACTGATCCCACAGAAATACAAACTACCATCAGAGAATACTATAAACACCTCTATGCAAATAAACTAGAAAATCTAGAAGAGATGGATAAATTCCTCAACACATACACCCTCCCAAGACTAAACCAGGAAGAAGTTGAATCTCTGAATAGACCTACAACAGGCTCTGAAATTGAGGCAATAATTAATATCTTACCAACCAAAAAAATTCCAGGACCAGATGGATTCACAGCCGAATTCTACCAGAGGTACAAGGAGGAGTTGGTACCATTCCTTCTGAAACTATTCCAATCAATTGAAAAAGAGGGAATCCTCCCTAACTCATTTTATGAGGCCAGCATCATCCTGATACCGAAACCTGGCAGAGACACACACAAAAAAGAGAATTTTAGACCAATATCCTTGATGAACATTGATGCAAAAATCCCCAATAAAATACTGGCAAACCGAATCCAGCAGCACATCAAAAAGCTTATCCACCATGATCCAAGTGGGCTTCATCCCTGGGATGCAAGTCTGGTTCAACATATGCAAACCAATAAATGTAATCCAGCATATAAACAGAACCAAAGACAAAAACCATATGATTATCTCAATAGATGCAGAAAAGCCCTTTGACAAAATTCAACAACCTTCATGCTAAAAACTCTCAATAAATTAGGTATTGATGGGACATATCTGAAAATAATAAGAGCTATTTATGACAAACCCACAGCCAATATCATACTGAATGGGCAAAAACTGGAAGCATTCCCTTTGAAAACTGGCACAAGACAGGGATGTCCTCTCTCACCACTCCTATTCAACATAGTGTTGGAAGTTCTGGCCAGGGCAATTAGGCAGGAGAAGGAAATAAAGGGTATTGAATTAGGAAAAGAGGAAGTCAAATTGTCCCTGTTTGCAGATGACATGATTGTATAGCTAGAAAACCCCATTGTCTCAGCCCAAAATCTCCTTAAGCTGATAAGCAACTTCAGCAAAGTCTCAGGATACAAAATCAATGTGCAAAAATCACAAGCATTCTTATACACCAATAACAGACAAACAGAGAGCCAAATCATGAGTGAACTCCCATTCACAATTGCTTCAAAGAGAATAAAATACCTAGGAATCCAACTTACAAGGGATGTGAAGGACCTCTTCAAGGAGAACTACAAACCACTGCTCAACGAAATAAAAGAGGATACAAACAAGTGGAAGAACATTCCATGCTGATGGATAGGAAGAAGCACTTACAACTTTGGAAAGATGTTTTTGCACAAAGCTCCTGAGTCTGAAATTTGCGTGAAGCTCCCTTTGAGAGATGAAGCCAGCTGGGCTTCCGGGTTGGGTGGGGACTTGGAGAACTTTTCTGTCTACCTAAAGGATTGTAAATGCACCAATCAGCACTCTGTGTCTAGCTAAAGGTTTGTAAACACACCAATCAGCACTCTGTGTCTAGCTAATTGGGTGGGGACCTGGAGAACTTTTCTGTCTAGCTGAAGGACTGTAAATGCACCAGTCAGTGCTCTGTGTCTAGCTAAAGGTCTGTAAACACACCAATCACCACTCTGTGTCTAGCTAATCGGGTAGGGACCTGGAGAACTTTTCTGTCTAGCTAAAGGGTTGTAAACGCACCAATCAGCACTCTGTAAAAATGGACCAATCAGCACTCTGTAAAATGGACCAATCCGCACTCTGTAAAACGGACCAATCCGCACTCTGTAAAACGGACCAATCTGCACTCTGTAAAACAGACCAATCAGCACTCTGTAAAATGGACCAATCAGCACTCTGTAAAATGGACCAATCAGCAGGATGTGGGTGGGGCCAAATAAGGGAAGAAAAGTAGGCCAGGGGAGCCAGCAGTGGCAACAGTGCTCAACGATCCACTTTGAAGCTTTGGCAGCTTTGCTCTTTCACTGTTTGCCATAAAGCTTACTGCTGCTCCCTCTGAGTCCACATTGCCTTTATGAGCTGTAACACTCACTGCGAAGGTCTGCAGCTTCATTCCTGAAGTCAGTAAGACCATGAACCCACCTGAAGGAAGAAATTCTGGACACATCTGAACATCTGAAGGAACAAACTCGGGACACGCCTTTAAGAACTGTAACACCGCGAAGGTCCGCAGCTTCATTCTTGAAGTCAGTGAGACGAAGAACCCACCAGCAGGAACCAATTCCGGACACACCTTGTGGGAAAATAAAAGTCTCAGGGGAAAAAAGTAAAATAGAATAAAATGCCAAAAGGATTTTTAACTCCAAAGCTTGAACTCTTCGCAGAGCTTCAATTAGTTAACTTGCTATCTCAATAATTAGTTCCATTTTACAGCTTTCACAGATACCGCTGCAGGCTTAGGAGCTGATATCACAAAACAGTGTCTAAAGTCAAGTGGCTTTCCTCCACGTGTTACCTCAGAAACACCCCAGTACCCATAGCAGAGTGCTTGACAGAGAGCCCACAGTCAGGGTTGGATAAGCCAGTACTAAGCACTGTCCATGTTGGAATGTGGAGAAAGAGTTTAATCTTGTAAAGTGCTGGTTGGGTCCCTCCTGGGACAACTAGTCTACAGTTTCCACCTCCCTTGCAGCTCACTTAGTCACATGGTCCAGTTTTAGCCAATGGAATGTCCCTGTCCTAATGGGCAACTTCTAGGCCGCAGACTCTTTCTCCTTGCTGGAAAGCCCCCTGTTGAAGATGGCAGAGGCAGAGGTGGCACTGTCAGTACCTCCATGCCTGCCTTATCTGGCACACCACGTTGGACTGTTAAGTGAGCAAGAAAAAAAGCTCCCACTATGCTAAGCCACTGGAACTTGGGGCTTATTTGTTGAACACCTGGCATAACCCTAACAGCTGATACAATCCACTTTATGTTGTGTTCAGAAAATGAGGACAAAAAAGCAAAACATCTCTAATGGACTCTCTGTGAAACCAGACTTGCCTTCAGGTGAGTTGGTTGCCTTGTTTCTCTGAGTGTCTTCAGTGGGCCTTTGGAAACTTGCTTTTTTGGAGCAAAGTTAGGTAGGTTCAATAGTATGTTTGAAGTTTTCCTGTGTTACATTTTTTAAAAATTTGTAATTTGTGGATGCAAATTCTTCATAGCTTTCACAACTGAAGAAAAATTTCCAGATGTTTCACAAAGCACTAAAATACTGTAAGTTGTTTTCTTTTTCAATGGGAAATTATTCACAGGGCAATAAAATGTTGTTTTTTCAGTAAACAGATTATGTTTCAGTCTGCGGTGTGAACACTTAAATGGAACGATGCAATATGCCACTTTTTAAAAGAGGGTTTTAAACATGTCAGTACAAACCTTTCAATCCTCTGTCCCATAAATTCAACTTTTTAAAATGAAATCAACCTGAGCCCTGTGAAAGCTCATACTGCTATATCAAAACCAGTGAAATTTGCCTGTTTATTGCCATCTATGGAATGTGGCAAAGAAACATTCTTTTCACATGGGACAATTTCTTCAACTTTACACCAGGTGAAATTTAATTACTTTTCACTTCCTGGAATCATTAGGCATTAGTTCTCCTGGAGGCGGAGCGAAAGGAGAAGCTGAAAAATAAGTCTGTGTTTAATACATTTCACCTTGGAATTTTATCCTTCTTCCCTCTACTACTGGTTATGCGGCAAGTTTCAGCCTGGGAAGCCACTTCAGAAACATTTAGGAGTTCTCATCAACACAGGTACATTGACACTCAAAGTAATTCCTTATGTCTCAACCAATATTGTCAGTGAAACAATTGGAATGTCAGGTTCTTCCAAGTTAGCGTTTTGAGATATTTTTGTCTTTACAAAAAAGTAGTAAGTGCAGTAGCAAGTAAGCAAACAGAAGCCCGAGCAAAGCCTTCTCCAGGGTATGGTTGTATCACAACACAGGAAAAACAGAATTGTACAGAACAAGTATAGTTTAGTAATTTAGTTCACATCACAATAGATTGTTTCACTCTTCAAAGGGATTCATGGGTCCTTTTATATTTAATATTCTTTTTATATTTAATTATAAATCATATATTAAAGTTTCTCATAGAGTATTTGAATGCAGTTTATGGTAATTACCTAACAAAGAGAATGAGAAGGGATGAAATTAAAGACCCTTGTTAAAGTCACTGTCAGAAATGCAGATGAACAATCTGCAAAGGCACGGAAGACGAAGGGAAGGAAAGCGGGAGTCAGTGGGAAGGAACACAGTGCGTCAGATCACATCCATGTGGTAGTGCGAGGTATACTCGTGCTACATCGTGAATGTCTTTCTTCACTTTTTGAGATCCTCACCCCATGATAATGTGCAAAATGCTCTTGGTAATTACAAGACAGGACACTGCTGCTAGTTGGTTGAGACCTAAAGACTCTCTCATAATACCACTCTTTGGGAGGCACCAAAGATGAATATTGGAAAATGTAGGATGGAAGTTGACAACTTCCATCAAAGTTGGAATGTAGTTGACAAACTTCCTCCTACAAAGGAGGAACATAGCATGACTTTTTCTTGGGGTAGATATGGAAGAAGAGAGATGATTAAGTGAGAGCAGCACTTTCTTTATGGGCAAGAATTCCCATGCGTACACATGTTGGTTTTGCAATTCAGTAGAACTGGATTCTGAGCATCCTATGAATCTTAGTTTTGTTTTTTTTTTCAAAACAGTGGCAACCATTCTTTCTTAATGGATAACTACATACTCTCTCTCTCTGTGTGTGTGTGTGTGTATGTGTGCATGTGATGAAGAGAATGATTATCCCCTACTCAAGAATTTTAAAATGTGGATAATTTTCGTGCTGAAAACCCAACTTGATTAAAGTCTCTATATTTCACTATGTTTAATTATCTGGACCTCTAATTGATTTGAAGGCATATTTTCAAGATAAGACTAGAGGACATATTTTATCTAACTGTTTGTTAGCTCGATCTGAAGATTATAAATATTTAGACCAGTGGTTTTGGGACCCCCACTGTTGTGTGGGGGTCACACAAATGTTGGGGAGCCCTGGCCCTCTTAAGTCTGCAACCAACCAAAACCCCTTGGCCTCTTCAGTTTCTGTACCTTACAGCCAATAGACTGTAAAGATTTCTCCCCTCTGAAATACTCTTTGATCTGTACTGAATTTCATCTGAATGTGAAGTTTAGTCAGGAGGGGTTTCACCTTGTTAAAAACTCTCTCGCATAGTGAAGGAATGTTTTTTGAGCGCCTATATATAGTTATATTCTGGGCTTTGGGGAGGTTACACTAGTCAAACAGACCTAATCTTTGCATTTTTGACTAAGTAGGGAGATGGACATTGAACAGCAGGCTACTTCAATAGCTTGTTAGCTATTTATTGTTATGGTGAGTGTGACAAAGGATGCCTGTGGAGTCTTGAGTGTGTATGAGGTAGAGCTGGGCAAGATGTCCTCAAGAAAGTGACTCTTATGCTGAGACTTAAGGTTAAGTAGCATTTGGCCAGAAAAAACAGTCACAGGAAGCACCTTGGGCAGAGTCTTGGTTCAGGGTGGCTAGAGATGGGCAGTGTGGCGGGAGAGGAGGCTGGAGCAGGTGATTAGGTGGGTGAGGAGGGCCTGGTCCTGCAGAAGGTGGAGTGCAGTGGTGGGAAGTTGGTGCCATTAGTAGGGCAAGAAGTTTGAAATGGGCTTTGCCTAAGTAAATATTGCTTGCAAAGATTTTAGCCTGTCCATCCTTGCTGGGGTGGGTTTGGGGTTGGAGGGGATGGTCCATCATTTTTCACCTGGGCCTGACCTATTCTTTTTAAATTTAAATTTAAATTTAAATTTTTTTTAGAGACAGGGTTTTACTCTGTCACCTAGGCTAGAGTGCAGTGGCATGATCACAGCTCTGTGCAGCCTTGAACTCCTAGGCTTAAGCAATCCTCCTGCCTCAGCCTCTCAAGTAGCTGGGATTACAGGTGAGAATGACCATGTCCAGCTAATTTTTTTTTTCTTTGCAGAGATAGGTTCTCGCTATGTTGCCCAGGCTGGTCTCAAACTCCTGGACTGAAGCAATCCTTATCTTCCTGTCTTGGCCTCCCAAATTTTGAGATTGTAGGCATGAACCACATTTGTCCTCTGACCTATTCTTGATGGGGTTGCAAGCAGAGCCCTGTGGGCCATGGCAGGAATTTGTATAATATCCTAAGAGCAATGAGAAGCTACTAGACGTTTTAATGAGAAGTGTTACATATTTATCAAGTGCTGTCAGGTTCTAATGTTGAGGACTTGGATGAGGTTTGGTAAAGGGCATCAAAATATCTGAGTGTGTTTGTAACAAGTCATGACAATTAAATTTTTAAAAACTGTGTAAAGGAGGAAGGGGCTGGTTAAACATGATATTTGATCTGCCTCATTCTTGTTCAACCTAACAGCATGTAACTGTGTTAAAGAGAATATAACTCAGTATTAATCTGTAATAGTAGTAGACTGTGGCTGTTTTGAACCAACTAATTTTTGCAGTAATCTCACTCCTAAAAAAACGTGTTCTTGGCCAAGTACAGCGGTTCATGCCTGAAATCCCAGCATTTTGGGAGGCTGAGGCAGAAGGATGGCTTGAAGCCAGAAGTTTGAGACCAGCCTGGGCAATGTAGTGAGACTTTGTCTTTATAAAAAATTAAAAATTAGCTGGATGTGGTGGCATGCATCTGTAATCCTAGTGAGTTGGGAGGCTGAGGCAGGAGGATCCCTTGAGCCCAGGAGTTTGAGGCTACAATGAGCTGTGATCACACCACTACACTCCAGCTTAGGTGACAGAGCAAGACCTTGTCTCTAAAAGAAAGAAAAAAACCTGTTCTCAAAAGAAGCTCATGGTGGGAGGAGCAGAAACCAATGCTGACATATCAGTCTTTGATACGGAGGTGTAGTAGGCAGACATGAATTTTCCTAGATTAAAAACAAATGTGTAATGAAAGTTGAAATATAAAGAATTTCTCCATTTATCTTCTTGACTAAAGAGGGAAAAAGATCATACACATTGTAGATCATTTGAGTTTTAGGCTGATGATTTGAAACATTTTTATAATAATTCAGTGGCTCTTTTTGAATATCCAGATGTTAATAATGGTTCCCTGCTATGTGATTAGAAATGAATCTGCCAAGGAAAAATGAAGCCCTTTTCTCTTGGGGGAAGTTGAGTAACTTCTGTTATTTTCCCAGGCTTCCTGGGGAAGTCTATCAACATATGAATAAATGATGGGAACCGGAGTCTGGCTGGTCACCATGGAATTACCAGCCTTGTTTTCTGAGTTTGACCTTAGTTATTTACACACTCAGCTTGAAATACGGCAAATGTAGTCACTTTTCAGCTATTTCATTCCTTGAAATCTAATAGTCCTGTAAATGTTTTGAGATTGAAAAGGCTGTGCTGTTTTCATAAAGGTTTCCGCTGTCATTGGTTGTGAAGGCCACGACTTTTGCCCAAATAAAGAAATAAGATGAGGACTGGGGATTCCCTCTTCTCTATTAAATTTTTCGTGGGAGAGAGAGAAAAACATCATCCTCTTGAAAAAGAAACAACATTTAAAAGCCACAAATCTCTCTTAGAGATAGAAACCCAGTAACTGGCTTGGATGGATGATTTTTGTTTTATTGTTGCATTTCTGATATGCTACCTGTTTTAATTTTTTCTTTAACACTGAAGATTCCATGCTAGGGTTGTCTTAGATCTAGGTATTTCCAAATCATTACATTCAAACGTTAAAACACTCCATTTGGCCCTTAGAAACATCATGATAGTCTTTCTTTACACTGAGGAGCTAAAACATTTCCGGTATAATGCCTAAATATAAACATACATCTGCAATGACCTCTTCCCATATGGGACTCTTTATTCAGTCCACCAACATTTATTGACAGGATTTTTAGGGATTTCTTGTCAAATGAGATCTTGTTTTGGCAAAATAAAAACTTATCATCTGAGAAATGAGAAGATCATTGCTTTTTAAGCAGCATTTATAGGACATTTAATATGTATGGGACATTTAATATGTCAATATTTAATTTATTGACAGGATTTTTAGGGATTTGTTGTCAAATGAGATCTTGTTTTGGCAAAATAAAAACATCATCTGAGAAATGAGAAGATCATTGCTTTTTAAGCAACATTTATAGGACATTTAATATCTACAGCATTTTGCAAAGAAGCAGAAGGTAATAACATTAATAACAATAGCTGGCATTGGGAGCTAACATTTGTTACATACAATCAGCCAGGCACTGAGGTAAGCACATTATATAGTTTGGCTTATTTTTTCCTCCAGCACTCTTTTGGGGTAGGTACTATTATTATCTCTATTAACGGATGAGAAAACTGAGGCTCACTAAAGTTTAGTAATTTGCCTAACACCATATGGCTAATGAAAAAGCCAGGACACAGTCCTAGGAAATTTGTTTCCAGAGTCAAGAACCTTCTAGATCAGAGGCTCTCCAACTGTGGTTCATGGACTGTTTTCTGGGAACCCATGACATCAAAGTATTTTCATATTAACACTAAGAGGTTACTTGCCTTTCTGTGCTGACATTTGCGCTAATGGTGCAGAAGCAATGGCAGGAAAACTGCTGCTTCTTAGCACGAATCAAAGTGTTAAAATCAAGTTGTGCTAGTGGTCCTTGTGTTCTTCACTGCCATGTATTTCTGGGGAGATAAAAAAGACAATTTCTTTTAACAACGTCCTTGATGAAGGAGTAAGAAATTATTAATTTTTCTAAACCTTGGCCCTTATGAAAAAATTTTAAAACATATTCTGTGTGACAAAATGAGACATGAGCACAAGGCCCTTCTTCTGCACACTGAAGTACAATGCTATCACTGTTTGATCGTTTGAACTGGGAGCTGTCTAGTCCTTTCTTTCATGGGGCCCCATTTTTACTTGAAAGAATAAGACAAACGATAGATACTTAGACATGGCAGATCTTTTTAGTGGTGCATTTTTGCAAAAATAAACAAAATGTGCTTATTGTGTCAAGAAACTCACTGATAGTATTTATGGCTAATAATAAAATTTGAGCTTTCAAGAGAAAATTAGAATCTTGGAGATTTTGTATTCACCACCATGAGCTTGATAGCTTCAGGATACTTAAAGACTTTTCTGAGCCCAGAAGTGAAATTAACACATGCAATTTTGTGATATAAAGTAAGATATGGCAACATCTGGAAAACTGCATAACTAACAGAGTCAACCAATATTTCCCCAATGACCAATGCTTGATGTTACAAAATCATGCATAGGTAAAAGATTCATTCAATGTAGGAAGTAAACAGTGGATGGTAATGTTACAGAATATAGCAACAGTTAATTTGTATAGTTTCAGATTCCACATTATAACTAACCTTTAAGAAGCTACCACTTGTTAAGTTTTGGTGTGATACCAAAGAATATCTGCAATGATCAGATAAAGCTATCAAAATGCTCTTCCTTTTCTAAGTACCTAATCGCAGTTAGAAAAAAATATGTGTGATGCTGGATAATCTTCATAAACTTCCATCAAAACAATATATTGTAACAGATTGAATGTAGGAGCAGATATAAGAATCCAGCTGTGTTCTATTAAACTAGACATTTATAAGATGCATAAAACTGTAAAACTATGCCATTCTTGTTACTAAATTTTTAAAATTAAAAAAATTTGTGGTAAAATACACATGAACATAAAATTTACCATCTTAATCATTTTTGAGTGTACAGTTCAGTAGTGTTAAGTACATTAACATTGTTGGGCAACTAATCCCTAGAACTTTTTTCATCTTGCAAAACTAAAATTTTACACCCGCTAACCAATAACTCCCGATTACGCCCTCTGCCCCTCAGCCCTTGGCAACCATCATTCTACTTGAATTTACATCTGAATTTAACAACTCTGGGTACTTCATATAAGTGAAATCATATAGTATTTGTCTTTTTGTGACTGGTTTATTTCACTTAGTAACTTTCTTGCTTTTTTTTTTGAAATATAGTCATTTTCATAACAATGTTATTTATGTTAGCATACAATGGATTTCTTATTGTTATTTCAATGAACAATAAATACTTAAAATTCTCAGTTTTAAATTTAATAGAATAAATGTCAATAGATATTTATTGACATTTATTGACTATACATATCTCTATTGAACCACTAGCTGCATTACTGTAATTACTCATTTTAATGTTTGTCTGTATAATATAATATAATGTTTGTCTTTATATTATAATATAATGTTTGTCTTTATATTATAATATAATGTTTGTCTCTATAATAGTCACTATATGGTGACTATTGTGGCAAGGACTGTGGAGTATTTATTTTATATCTATAGGGCGGATATTAACTGAGTATTTGATAAGTGATGAATGCTGAAACCCAAATTACAGTCAACACACTTTGAAAGTTACAGATCAACTTGTTGTGTGAGTGCATAATGCATAATTTTAAGGGGTGCTGGAATAAACATTTTAAATAGGTATTATATAGTTTAATGTGTTTGGAAAGAACTGTAACTTAGATATTGAACTTCCCATTTCACCAATTTCATTGTTTAGTATGAACATAAAGTAAGATGCCAGGTAGGTAATGTTGTATATTGGAAAGGCAAAAAATTGTGAAGTTGGGACTTCAGTGCTGGAGCTGGGAAAGCGATCATAGTCATGAGCTACATTTCTTCTGATGAATGAGTTTTCCTGCCATCTTCCTTATGGACATCTGCTGATAAGGAGAAACTCATTGGTAGAGAGTCCTTGAAATTTCCATAATATGTGCCAACATGAATTAATACAAAATACAACAATTATGCAATATGGGACTTGAAAGCAAGTATTGTACTTTATCCACTATGATGGTTAATACTGAGTGTCAACTTGTTTGGATGGAAGGATGCAAATTATTGTCCCTGGGTGTGTCTGTGAGGGTATTGCCAAAGGAGATTAACCTTTGAGTCAGTGGACTGCGAGAGGCAGACCTACCCTCAATCGGGTGGGCAACATCTAATCAGCTGCCAGCATAAAATCAGGCATGGAAAGAGAAGACTTGCTGAATCTTCCAGCCTCCATCTTTCTCCTGTGCTGGATGCTTCCTGCCTTCGAACATTAGACTCTAAGTTCTTCAGCTTTTGAACTCTTGGACCTACACCAGTGACTTTCCAGGGGCTCTCGGGCCTTCGGCCACAGACTGAAGGCTGCACTGTCAGCTTCCCTACTTTTGAGGTTTTTGGACTCAGACTGCCTTCCTGGGTCCTCAGCTTGCAGACAGCATGTTGTGTGACTTCACCTTGTGATTGTGTGAGTCAATTCTAATAAACTCCCCTTTATATATACATCTATCCTATTAGTTCTGTCCCTTTAACGAACCCTGACTAATATACCCACTAAACAATATGGGACTTGAAAGCCGGTATTAGTACTGGCTTTAATTTCAAGGCTTTCAAGACCTAATAATTATGTCTTAAACCCTCATCTTTTCTAGAGAATGACTTTATTTCTCATTTGTTAAAAACCTGCCCTAATGTCTTTCTCTTGATGAATGTTCTTAGTTGCTCTAGAGCCAGGGGATCATTGAGGAAATCTTTTGAATTTGATTAAAAATAGTCTGTGTTAAATATAAAAACTCACAGAATGACATATTAAGCCCTTACCTTCTCTGTATTTTATTAGTAATACATATGGTGAATAAATACAGTTGCTGCCATATAAAGCAATTTTTGGTGCTATTAACATTGTTTTCTGATTTACTATGATATGAGTATTTATTGATCTGGGGCTGTCACTGGCCTGAAATTAATGGTGTTTAGGGTCTAAATTAGGCAGGATGTCACAAGATCTTAAATTCCATAGAGAAGAATGTCTGAGAAATGTGCCTTTTGCTCGTCTCAGTGGAGTAAAGCTTTTGATCTTCTGCATACTTGGATCTGGTTTCCTGCAAAGCCATGTTGCCCACATTGGTGCCAATGACTAAAGCTGAGTTTTTTTAAGGACAGCACTGGCTTAAATTCTTGTTGCATTCAGACTAGTTGCAGTCTTGTCTCTGCTCCCTTCCCCTATGAAGAGTTTGGGGAAGAAACATCATGAAAAAATACATATTCCTCCTGAGTACCTGATCCAGAGCTCAGACATTTTTGGAAGTGACTTGGCCTGATCTTTTATCTAACTGTCTAATTTAGAAAACCACAGATTGTCTGAACTTAAAGGGAATCAAAGGCAAAACAAGAGTGAGGCGGCTGAGCTACAGACGCAGAGATGCAGATCTTTGTGAAGACCCTCACAGGCAAGACCATCACCCTCGAGGTCGAGCCCAGTGACACCACTGAGAATGTCAAGGCCGAAATTCAAGACAAGGAGGGCGTTCCACTTGACCAGCAATGTCTGATATTTGTGGGCAAACAGCTGGAGGATGGCCGTACTCTCTCAGACTGCAACATCCAGAAAGAGTCCATCCTGCACCTGGGGCTGCACCTGTGAGGTGGCATTATTGAGCCCTCTGCCAGCTTGCCCAGAAATACAACTGCGACAAGATGATCTGCCGCAAGTGCTGTGCTTGCCTGCACCCCCGTGCTGTCAACTGCTGCAAGAAGTGAGGCCACACCAACAACCTGTGCCCCAAGAGGAAGATCAAATAAGGCTCTTCCTTCCCCCAAGGGCAGCCTCCTGCCCAGGCCCCATGGCCCTGGGGCCTCAATAAAGTGTCCCTTTCATTGACTGGACAAAAAAAAAGACAAAACAATTCAACACACCTTTTTTTTGCAGTTGATGAAACAGAACTAGAGAGGCTAAGTGGCTCACCCCAGTCAATACTGAATTGGTGACAGAACAACGGCTAAGCCCAGAGCTCTCATCGGTGGTTTATTTTCTTTCAGCTGCCTGCTGATGGGGAACATTTGTGGGACTTCTTTGAATGCCGTCTTGGGAAAATATAGTGAAGTGGGATCAATCCCACCCCAACTCTCTCTCTCTGTTTATGTCTCTCCCTCGCTCTCTTGCACACACATAGACACACAGGGTATTCCAGTCACAGTTCCAACAACTCTGTGACTTCG
Source organism: Homo sapiens (assembly GCF_000001405.40). Classification (NCBI taxonomy): domain Eukaryota; kingdom Metazoa; phylum Chordata; class Mammalia; order Primates; family Hominidae; genus Homo; species Homo sapiens. The sequence goes on along the minus strand of NC_000007.14, from coordinate 25,689,162 downwards.
CTTGGTCACTTAGCGAGCTAAGGCTCAGGAGTGTACTCTGCTTCAGGGAGATGGTGATACCTGTGCTGGCTGTTGCATGTATTCCATGAGATGATATATGTGGAAGCCCTTCATGAGATGTAAAACCCTATAGCTAGTGTAACTGGGTGGTAGTAACAGAAGATTTTAAAGCAAAGCTCCGAAATGCTTGTTCACACAGTTTTTTGTGTAGGTACAAGAAATCTCATGAGGTTGTGAATCCCGTGGTTTCATTTGCATAATTCATAACTCTGTAATATGATATTGTCTTAACCAAATAGTTAGCCTTCTCCCGGTCTTTTCTTCATCCCTTGCAGTCTTTTAAGCCAAATTCTCAATTTCAGACCTTGCTGGAAGTCCCCTTGGACCTTCGGTTTGTTTTTTCAAAGCTAGGATAAAAAGAGTTTAAGATATGGACATGTCTAAGAAAAATATACTTATTGCTTTGGGCCTTTTCTTTCATTCTGTGTTATTTGGCAAGCTTGTTCTATTTGCTTGAGCTGTGGGCTGGGGGTTAGGAGACTGACTGGGTTTTGATCCCTGCTCTGCTCTGTGTCGCTTTGGACCTGGTACTTAACCACTGTAGAAAATTAAAAGGCCGGCTCAGTGGACAGCCTGTTTTGGTCAGTTCAGGCTGCCATAACAAAGTGCCATAGGTGGATTGGGAGTTTAAACAACAGAAACGTACTTTTTCACAGTTCTGGTGGCTGGAAAGTGTGAGATGAGGGTGCCACCATGGTTAGGTTGTGCTGAGGGCTCCCTTTCTTGCTTGCAGATGACCATCTCCTCACTGTGCATTCACACGGCAGAGACAGACAGACAGTTGGCAAAACCTCTAGTGTCTCCTTCTCTCTCTCTCTCCCCCACTTTTTTTTTTTTTTGAGATAGGATCTCACTCTGCTACCCAGGCTGGAGTGCAGTGGTGCAACCTCAGCTCACTGCAGCCTCGAGCTCCCGGGCTCAGGAGATCCTCCCGCCTCAGCCTTTCTGGTATTTGGGAACACAGGCGCACACCATCATGCCTGGCTAAATTTTTGTATTTTTTGTAGATACAGGGATTCATCATGTTGCCCAGGCTGGTCTTGAACTCCTTGACTCAAGTCATCCACCCGCCTTGGCCTCCTAAATTGCTAAGATTTGAGGCATGAGCCACCACACCCAGCTGGTGTCTCTTTTTGAAAGGACAGCAGTCCCATCGTGAGGATCTCACCCTCATGATCTCATCTAAACCTAATTATTTCCCCAAGGTCTAATATTCAAATACCATCACATTGGGGGTTGCAGCTCCAAAATATTAATTATTTGAGGGGGAATACAATTTAGTCCATAGCAGGCCCCTTGCAGTCTAAAGGCTGCAAGTCTATATTACATGTGAGGTGTAATGCTAAGTACTGTGAGATACCAGAAAATTTGTAGTACAGAAAATCCAAAATACAACTCACTCCTTGGGAGCACAGCCTGTTTGGAAAGCAAACATAACACAAAGCAATGTGAGAGGAATCACGCGAAAGGAGCAGAGACAACAAGGGCCTGTAGCAGTTCGGGAGAGAGAGAGAGAGAGAGAGAGAGATCAATTCCTACTGGAAGAATCAGGAAGGTCTTCCTGGAAGAGGTGGTGTTGAGTTTGATTTTGAAAGATGGCAAGATATCCACAGATGACTATGGGTATGGGGTGAGTGACAGGCAACAAGAACAAAGATGGAAAAATGCTTTTTGGAGAACAGATGAGCCTGAAGCTTAGCAGGGGATAGTCCTGGAAATACTGGTTCAGTCCACCCAGTTCTGAAAGCAAATGTGTGATGACTGGAGAACCTCTTCAGCAAATAAATAAACAAAGTGGGCTTTGGGGGAAATTAACTCAACTACAGAGAGGAGAGTTGCTTAGGGCAGAGAGGAGATGAACAGAGAGGCCAGTTTGGAATCTAGAAATGTGGCTTGTAGATTTCTCTTAAACATCTGGAATGTATATTCAAAAAAAAAAAAAAAAATCAAGCCGTGGATTTCTTCACTGCTGGAAAACCACCATCACCCTTCTGGTTTTGGCTTCTGCTTTGGGTGATCAGATTTATTTCCTCTTATCAAGAGTTATATTCCCTTTGCATAATAGACAGAGGCTCTGGGTGCATCCGGAGAGGTGTCTGTAGTCAAGACAAGCTGTCATTTCTAAGAGCAGCAGAAACAAGGGCAAGGGCTGGCATTTCACTGGTCCCTGCATACCTCATTTCTGGGAAGGGCAGGAGTGAACTTGGTGGGGCAGGAGAGCCTGAGGCAGACTATGTTCTACATTTTGGGAGCTGTCATCCTCAGGGATGAAAGACTGTCGATTCAGTTTTCAGTACCCTTGACGTCTGCAAGTTGCTTTTGTAGCCTGAAATTCCTCAGGCCTCTTCTTCCTGGTGTAGGAAGGTTGCCACCTTGACATGAACCATCAGACTTGGCTGCCTCACTGTGTCCGGCTGCATGACAGAAGTGCCTCTGCCCTCTGCCCTGATTTTATTTATGGTTGTGTTTCACATGGGCTCAGGACAGTTCTCACAGGTTCTTTACTTAGGTTTCCTTGTTAGTGTCTGTTTCCTGCAAAGCCACTTGAGAATGCTGTTTCCTGGGGACTTTCATGCCCTCTTTCCCCGTGGCTGCCTTGAACACCAATTGTCAGAGCTTCCAGTGGTGCCAGAAGATCCCAGGCCCCCTTCCGGACTCACTGTGCTGGAGCCACTCTGTCGTCTCTCCTGGGGCATTGGTGCCTCTGCTCAGGGCCCTGAAGCATGAACCTTCCTTCTTCCAGGTCTCACTCCTCATGCCAATGAACACCAAACCCCTTTGATTCAGAAGTTCTCTAGACATGGCCAGACTCTGAATCCTAGTTTAAGCCAAGCCGATCCTGAGGACTCCCACCCCCACACCAGCCCCTATAAGGCATGTGGCTACTGCACTTTGTTTCTTATCCAGGTGGCAGGACAGGGAAGCAGGTGCTAGAGGCACCAGCAGCACCACTCCCAAGGTGTCGGGGTGAAAGTGTGGCAGAAAGTTGCACAGTTGCGTGTTGATGTGAAGTATCCTCCAGGGAAATTTCATTTTCAAAATGCCAGGACTGACTGTGTTTTCATAGAACCAAGGCAGAGCTTCCGTTCTCAGAGGGTGGGCTTTGGAAACAAGACAGCCCGCTGCTGAGTCCAGGAGTTGTCTCTTTGGGACATTCAGGGAGCTAAGGGGACACTGTTGCTGGTCGGTTGCCCTGAGCAGGAACTTCTCAGGCAACGTCAGGGGACTGGGGGCCCTGGGAAGGAAAGTGGGCTAGGGGAAATGCCCTCAGCTGCAGGTCAAACTGTGTCCTGGTGTTGGGTGTAACATGGTATGTAATAAAGAGTATGAATTGGTGGAACAGCTACCCTGTTTTTCCATCACAGCATGGGGCTTCTTTTCAGTTCCAAGCCTGAGAGTGAATTCTGGAAGGGTGGGGCAGGACGGACCTTTTGGGAAGAAGGCAACTCCTTTGCCATTGGGCCGGCACAGTCCCCAAAGGGTTGGCATCCCTGGGCCCTGCTGGGCAGTGGGGGCTAATGTTTTGTGTACAGAGGGCACAGGAGGCACAGGGGGCACCAGCTTTGAAGCAGCTCTTCAGCTGATGGTCAGTTATTAAACATCTCAACTGAATGGCTCTTGTGGGGAAACAAAGATGAACAGATCCCTCTCCAGGGAATTCACATTCCGTTTGGGGAGACAAACAAATAAATGCAATGAAAAAAATGCTATAACTGAGATGTCCTGTCACAGAGAGTGTTCCTCAGCAGCAGCGGGAGACAGAAGGTAGTAAACATCCCGGGGGATGGTGGCTAGGACTGCCTGTGATCTCCAGGTGGATGGGTGGGGCTTGAGGACATGGAGACAGGACCAAGCATGGGTGAGGAAGGCCATGGGGCACCCCGATGACAGGGGTGCACAGAGCGCAGCTGAGGGTGCTGATGGACGCAGAAATCCGAGGAACTGAGCTTTTCCTCAAGGTGGCAACAGTCAAGGCAGAAAGAGGGCACTGGCGTCCCAAAATGCTGACCTGGGAAGTGAGTCCCAAAGACCCCTGGACAGAGTCACCCCAATTCTGTCTGTGGGGATCTAGTTTTAGGACTTGTGTTCCAGAACGAACTCCTTCTATTTGATGGCCTTCAAAAGTGGTAGGGCCTTGTAGAAATGACTAGTTTAATAGTGTGCATTGTGCATTCACTCAGCTCTCTGGTTTGGAAACATGCCCTTCTAGAAACCTTCCCTTTAAATTTAATTATTTGAATTGGTAATAGAGGCACCTAGTACAAAAGATACAAAAGGATGGTAGATAATGAACAGTAAGTCTCCCTTCTATCCCAGGGACCCAGCCACCCTCTCACCCTCCCTAGAGGAGCCACCGTGTTCAGTTTCTTGTGTCGTCTTCCAGAGATGTTTTATGCACAACATGGCTCTTTCTCTATACACACACCCACAGCACCTATTTAAATGTAAATAGGAACACACCATAAGGTCTTTCTGCACCTTGTTTGTTTCTCCTAGAAATATATCTGGCTCTGGTTCCGTATGAGCTCATATAGAGATTCCTCAGTTATTATAGCTTCTGCTTATTCAGAATATATGTGTCAATATGCATGTGCCTATGGACATATTCAGAATATATGTGGTGCCACAAATATACCTAACATCCATCATTTCACACGAGTAAAGTACTTGTAAAGGGCAATAAATTTCCAGAAGAAGAGTTGTTGGATCACCTTGTAATGAATTTAAACTTCAGGTAAGCATCACCAGGTTGCTTTCTGTAATGGTCATATCTCTTTCCATGCCCACCAGAAATGTCTGAGAGTGCCTGTTGCTCCACGCTCTTACCAACAGATTCTGTTTTTAAACCTCTTGATCTTTGCCACACTGATTGGTGAAAAAATGTTTTCTCATGGCAGTTACCATTTGTGTTTCCTAATATTTTGACAGAAATTGAGCATCTTAAAGAGTACTTTGAAAAATCCTGTACCACTTCAGTCCTTTTTGAAGTAGGCAGAGGATAGAAGGGAACAATATTCAGAAAACAGAGGTCCCAGTCAGATGAGAGATAATTGTAATAAGTTCCTTGAGGACAACCACGTATCCTTTTCCTTTTTATCTTTGTTGGCACACAAAATTCACTATAAATGTGTGTCAGATTGAATTTGTGTCACTTTGGTGTAAGAGGGGAAACTTTTTTCATATCTGCCCTTCAGACTTTGATGTTTCCCTTTCAAGAGTTTGAAAGGGCTTTCCTGGAAAAATTCTGTTCAAAGAGTTCAAGTTTCATTTCTTGTCACAATGTTACTGCTTGAAGGTCCCATTCATCTGTTATCTCCATGACTTTCTTGTTGTCTTTCCTAAATCATCGTGTATCTGTGAGGAAAGTGTCAGAACTGCATTAATCTCAGAATATGAGGAGAAAACATTTTTTGAGTGACATGGACTCCAAATCTTGAAGGAGTGTTTCTCTACAGCCTGTATTTGCTGCCGAATTTTTCATATTGCATTAGCCAATATTAAATGTCAGTGAGTTACAGCTCTTTGGTGCATTCACCTTAACTCTAGGACATTTACCAAAGGAGTTATGATCATGGGATCCCGTGGGAAACATTAGTATTATAATCTACGTTACTGCCAGTATTGAAAATTTTATTAGAATGCAGTATGATATATCAAGATCTCTACAAAAATGAATCGTTTTTGCAATTTGACTTTGCAACCGTTAAAACTTTCCATAAACATAGATCCATGCATCCAATAAAGAGCATACAACATGAAGCTTTTTGTACACTCAAAATATTTCAAATTTTAGGATAAAAATCTTAGTGGTAATAAATTGGATATCTATGTCCCTTGCCCTGCCCCCTTAGGAATGAAAAAATATCTGTTTTTAGTTACCAAGTTTTATGCTGGAAGCCATGTTAAAAAAGATTATGGACAACCTTATTTCCTTTCTTCTTTCCTCCCTTTCTTTTTTCTTCTTCCTTCTTTGGTCATATGTTAGGCAGCTACCATATACTGGCCACTGAGATAGAGTCAGAAGTGTATGTAATTGTGCTTATAAATATGACTGTTTTCACAGTCTTTGCAAGGGCAAATTATTTTCTTTTTCTGTAAACCCTTTTGTTGGCCACAAACACGAAGGAAGGAGCTGATCCCACAGCCTAAGACTGGTGGTAAAACACCACTTTCCTGTACAAAAATCTCACATTCACAGAGGTGCCAGAGTGCTTGAAATTCTACCACTAGAGTTTTTGTCCATTTGGTTTAAAGTATTAGCCCAGAAAGTCCCTGTTCAAGTGCAAGTCTATAACTTGGGATAAATAATGTACACTGATGTGTACTGAGATGTTTGAGATTTTAAAAATTATACAATTAACTATCATCTAGCAGAGAACTGACTCCTAAGGAAAGGGAAACACCAGGTGGGTGACGCCTGTTAGTGGAAGGGATGGACCAGAACATGGAATATTGCTGGGGATTTGTGAGAGTGCACAAGACCAGGGCCCTATAACCTAGATGTATAGACATTGCTCCATTGTCTCTGGATAGTAGAAAACCAGGCCATTGTGGTGTCACCTCGTTCCTTCTCTGGGTATCTGTCCGTCTCCCTTGGATGGTGACTGGAATTTGCTGAGTAAACTCCCTGCCACTAATCAAGACTAACCTCCCTAGGTGGCCTATACCCCATTTCCAACTCAAACTCTCACCCAGGTGTCCTCTCCTCTGTTGACCCTAAGCCATGAGGAATTATTTACTGTTTCCCCCCAAAACCAGCCTAATGCACTTCTTTCCATTGCCTCTGCTCACACTAATTTGTGCTGAGGATGGTTTGCCTGCCCCATACCAATCTATTTTTCAAGTCTCAGTTTGAGAATCACCACTTCTTGAAGACTTTCATGACTTTGCCATCTTCACACCTGCTCCAAGTAGAGCAGACTACTCCCTTCTTTGGGAACTCCGTGAATTCTAGAACACTTCTAGCACAGCATCTATAACTTTTTATAGCACTTACTGGTTTACCTTTCTGTTTCTTTACTAGATTCTAATCACCGTGAGGGCAAGGACTATGTCAAATATATCTCAGTATCCCTAGCTTCTTTTAACACTTGGCAGGTAATGTATGCTTAATGCTTTTTGGCTGAACAAATAACAAATGACTCAATATCTTAGAGAGGGGACCTAGTGATATATAGGATAATTAATAGATTATGGACATGGGGGTCTTGCTTCTTGAAAACTCCATTTGATTAGGTATTTCTTGAGCACTTAACACTTGTGTCACTATGACTTAGTCACAGCTCCCACTTGCTATCAGCCTTATACACTATTTAATGTAATCTTCAGCACAACCTAAGAGGTATGTATTATTATCCCTGTTTTTTTTTGGATGAGGAAATTGAGACTTGGCAAGATTAAGTAATTCACTTAGAATTACACAGCTATTCAAAATTTCAGGCCAAGTCCATGCGAGTCCAACACACTTGCTTTTCCTCAACTGCTGCATGAAGCTAGGTACTGCAGAGGATGTAAAGGTGCTGCAAGCACTTCACAGTCTAATGACAGAGGACAAGCACTTCACAGTCTAATGGCAGAGGACAAGCATATGCCGTGAACTCTTCTAATTCCAGGCATTGGATATCTGCTACAATAAGGGTACAAACAAAAAGGCTGATAACCACGTTTGTATATATACAGAGTTGCCTAGTTTTACTGTCATGATATATAATTAATCTTTATTCATGTATCTCATAAGCAGAGATGAAGAAAAATTCATCAAAACTGGAAGCACACACATCGGGTTGCTACATTAGCATGCTTTGGTTTTGTGCAGAGAACCAAATTCCAGCCAACGATCGCTGGTCCAGGGCTTGCCCAGCTCAGGCGGTATCTGTGGGTGACATAGCCTGAGTTGTGCCTTTGTTTGAATTACTAGCCTTGGCACCAAGGATTTAAACATGGAATAGACTGGCAGGACCGTGGTAGTAGATTAGAATATCTTTGTTAACTTAGAAGTTGTGTGAGGTTGAATTGGAACCAAATCACGCTGAGGTCCTTCAGAATAGATGGTGTGTATATGATAATGAACAAATTGGATGGTTCTTGTGGGAAAGGCACCAACAGTGAATGGGAACACAGCCAAGTGAACACATGAAGACTAAAAATTTGGAAAACTCAGGGAATGGCTATTTGGGGCAAACAGTGGGAAAACATATGGCCACTTAGACTAGACCACCCAGTTGGATCTGCTGATGTGCAAATCACTGTGGTGTGGAGACTTCCCCAGCCAGCCCCATCTCCCCATCTCCTCAAAAAAGGTCTTGAGTGACAGAGGGTCTGGATACAGGGGGCTGATGGTCATCAGGAGAGGAATTCCAGTGGGGTCATCCTGAGGCTAACTTGTTCCCAGTCAAGATGACTTTCTGAGAGGTTGTTCTAGGAAATGATCTGTGCTTTCAGTTTGTTCTTGAGAGGTCTGAGGGGTTAGCTGAAGAGAGGAACCAAAGCAGTTAGGATTAGACTCTGTTGAGGTAGCAGAAACCCCATCATAATAGTGGCTTAATCCTGTGTTAGTTTGCTAAGGATAAAAAATAAAAATTAAAAAAAAAAACCATAAAAAACTAGTAGCTTAAATTATAAAAAAAAGTCTATTTCTCTTTCTCATAAGAGAAGCCCAGGTGTGGCCAGGCGTGGTGGCTCACGCCTGTAATCCCAGCACTTTGGGAGGCTGAGGCGGGTGGATCATGAGGTCAGGAGATCGTGACCATCCTGGCTAACATGGTGAAACCCCATCTCTACTAAAAATACAAAAAAAATTAGCCAGGCATGGTAGTGGGCACCTGTAGTCCCAGCCACTCGGGAGGCTGAGGCAGGAGAATGGCGTGAACCTGGGAGGCAGAACTTGCAGTGAGCTGAGATTGCACCACTGCACTCCAGACTGGGCGACTGAGCAAGACTCCATCTCAAAAAAAAAAAAAAAAAAAAAAAAGAAGCCCAGGTGTGTCAGCTTAGAACACGATTTTACTCTATAATGTCAGGGACCCAGTTCCCTTCTATCCTGCTCAGCATGTGGCTTCCACTTCATGACCCAAAATGGCTGCAGAAGTTCTTGTAATCACATCCTTATTCCAGCAGTAAAAAGGAGAAGAAGACAAAGAAGCACATGCTCCCTCCCTTTAAACATAGTGCCTAGATGTTGTACCCAGCACCCCCTATAGTTGCACACCTAGGTGCAAGGGAGACAGAGAACTATAGTTTTACTCAGTGACCACATGTCCAGCCAGAAATCAGAGGTTCTTTTATTAAAGAAGAAAGAAAGAAAAGATTTTGTAGGACAACCATCAGTCTTTGCTACATTAAAGCAGACAGGAGGAACCTCCTGGAGTTCTTTGGGTAGTAGCAGTAGTACATTGAGTTGGGGCTGGGATCCCAGGGCTGGTAATTCTATATCTGCATCTTGGGCCTGAACAGGAATTGCTGTGTGCTTGAGTCAAAGAGAAGGCAAGGAGGACAGAAAGGGAGTTTGTTTCCTGAAGCATGGCACATAACAAGCACTTGGCTCCTGGGTAGACCCTCCATGTGGATCAGCAACATTTCCTGAGACATGATCCTCAGAGCAGCAGTTCTGCAAAATGGTAGAAGGTATGACTCAAAAGGCAAGGGCCATGGTAAAACAAGTTGGTGCAACACCAATTTATGGGCAGTTAAGCAGGCCACTTAACAGTGAGAAGCCTTAGGACCTTCAATGTGGACTAATGAGCACTACAGAATTCCACCCAAGAGTGGAATGTGGCACACAGCATCTCCCCCTCCTCAAGACACATCTCCAGTGTCCTGTGGAATGTGCCCCATGGATTCTCAGAGATCGGCAGGACAAGGAACTCTGAAGTTGCGTTGCCCAATGCCACCTCTGACAATGTGTGTGGTGGCAGGTTGATGCCACAGAGGGAGATTTGGTGGGGCAGCAAAGAGCAGAAGATGCTGAGGCTCACGTTGAAAAAGGAGGGAAAACCAGGCCTTACGGAGAAGTTCTTTACAGGCAAAACAAGAGGGCAAAGACGTGAGGATTAAAGTAGAAACTCCTGAATAAAATCAGTGTGGAAAGAACCATGATAGATACTTCTCCCAGAATGGCAGAGAGAGGGGGCCTGATCGACCCCACCGAGGCAGTGACCAGCCACGTGCTAAGCCCTGCAGGAGCGGTGGGCTCCTTCCATCTGCAACCTCTGGGGCAACCACAAGAGCTGCAGCTGCTCAGGGGAAACTGCAAGCTAAGACATTTAACTGCAAGCTGCTAAGACATTTAGTCCTCTTGAAATCCATAGTGATTGTCTTTCCCTCAGATTTAAAACTTTGCTCTCAGACAAAACTTGTCCTATCCCCTAAAAGGTGTAGAGAAAGAAACTTTGGTAGTAGTGATTGACAGTGGTGGTGGTGATGCTCAAATATGGTGGAAAGGTGGGCCTGGCCTCCTGGTCTTCCCCTTTTCTCTCCATGGGCTTCTTGGCATTACCTGTGTGATAGGAGCAGGTCTATTTCTTTGCTAATTCCCCTTTGGCAGGTTGCAGAACAGTTGGGGGAGGGACAAAAGAAAAGGTTAAGAGAGAATATCATTTTTCTCTTGCAACACACACCCCTACCCCTTCATCATACATTCTCCTACTTCTGACTCTATCTTTCCACTATTACAGAAATCTGCTTATTTGACACAATCTTCTGAATGCCTGCTTTCCCTCCCAATTTTTTGCGTTCCTATTGTGTACTTTGTCCTTACAGGTTGTTTAGAGCTTGCCTCTTGTTTTCTCTAAATGTTGAGAGGACACAGTTATGGCTTTGTGAAACTGGGCCCCCCAGTGGAGCCACAGTGGTGGCCCAGGCTGGAGGTGGGGCTGGTTCTGGGCTGTGACTGAGGAACTGGTACTAGAAGCGGCCTGAAGTTCCTATGCGTACAAACTTGCCCCAGTTACCTTAAGCCTCCTGAAAGCTACCCATGTGATTATTTTAACCTGATTTCACTGGAGCTTGCTAGATTTTACTTGCTGATTTTACTGGATATGGTCAAGGCGAGAATTAGGGGTAAAGGCAAAGAGACATAAATCCCCTTTCCTGGTGCCCCTCACACCGACCCGGGCACTACGCAGCTCTGCAGAGTGGAGCAGAAAATTCCTTAGCCTTGATTGTTTCTATGTTCATTGGAATTATAAAATGGAGAGCAATTGTAAGTTCTGAGAGAGCCTCTAGTTTCTGCATTTGAAGATTGGTACTACTGCTTGTATTTCTAGATTGACTTGATATGACCTCATAACTTTACCAGAGTTTCCCTAGGGACACTGTTCCATGCCAAGTATGTCGCACTAGGTATGATAATTTGCTCCAAAGCTGTGGAAAACTAGCAAAAGGACAGATAAAGAATTCACCAATGTATAATTCAAGCCTAGTCTGATATTTATTGGATTCATAAGGCTGAATTACTGATAAAAAGAGGGGAAATGAGCAGAATTGTCAGTGCCGTTAATACTGTGTTCCAAAGGGCAGAGGCACTTATACAGCTGGAGAGGACAATAAAAAACATAAGCACGTTAAGGACTGTGGAGGCTCAGTCACCTCTGGCCGGTGTGGCTCAAATAAATCTATATGGGACCCCAAACTTGAGACTTGATAAATGTGCCACTTCATTTCTCTGAGCTGTGTAGTCCATATGGGGCCAAACATGTCAACACTTCAGACCACATCATTTCTGATTTTAGAATTTTTCCAAACGCAGCAGGTATTAAAACCCCAAATCTTGCATGCAAGAAGAAAACTTCTGTGGACGTACCAAGCAAAATGTTCAGCTGCCCGTGACTGCAGAGCGGGAAGACAATACAAGCATTTACAGGCTGGGCCTCCTGGAATCCTCATTGAGAAGTGTTGGATGGAGGAGCCTCCATAGACGCCTGCCCACCTCCCGTCCCCAGTCCCAGACTCCACTCTTCTTTCAAATGTCACACATCAACAGAAGCAGAAGGCTGCTTGCTTTCTCTGAATGAGAAAAATAGCCTCAGAGTTTGCGATTTGTGTGGAGCAGGGAATTTAAACATTTTAAGTTTAATTTCTTATGATTTACCTTCATGAAGTATTTTGGAATCAATCCACATTCAGCTCCCCTCCTATTCCTTAGCCCTTCCTAAGTGGTGCATAACTTTTAGGTCTGGAACAGTTTCAAAACACATGAAGAACTCACTTTTACCGAGCCACTTGGTTTTCAATCATAAATGTCAACATACATAATATACGTATCACTGTCTCACATAACACAATTAAAACATGTAAATACAGGGTCTTTCAGTTAAATCAACTGTGTGAACAAATATACTATTGAATGTTTTACATATGTGCATCTTTAAAAATCATAAACATGCACATCTGTTTAAGTTTTGTGTCTACAAAGTTCACACACAAGTAAAAGTTGGTGATATTATTTTCTGTACCCAAACTGTTTAAAAAGTATGTGTGTTTGTATATGTAGAAAATTCAGGCACAATCTAAAAGCCATATATGTTTCCATCCATATATATGTAAAGTTAAATTACCCATCTTACTTGGCATTTACATCCTTTGTGAACAATATCCTTAAAGGTTGGTTTTTATTGTTTATACTATGCCTGCTGAGATCTGCTAAATATAATTGTGATTTTTGAGGGGTTAAGGTAAAACCAGATCTCTGATGCAAACTCAGACCACACCCTCCTCTGGGCCAACTCTGTGAAGCAGGCTTGGAAGCAGCAGTCACATGAGGTGAGTGGGGACTCAGTGACACCAGAGGCCGCCTCTTCTGGTAAATATTAGTACATCCTGGACACACTGCTGAGAGCTGCCAGTCACACTGCCATTTCTATGGCAGCTGCGGGGCCTGCAGAGGCCAACTTTCTGTCAGGCAGCTCAGCACACAAGCTCAGAAGCTGGGTGTGGAAAGGAAGATGTTTTAATTCTCACATCTACTTCATTAAAGTCAACACATTTTGTGGGTGTCAGTTTCTATCATGCCGCAAAATAATCATCACTTTAAAAAATGTTTGAAGAAGTTGGGATTTGGTAACCATTCTAAACAAACCAGGACCACACCACAAACACATTGGTATTGGGGCCCCTAAATGCAAAGTGACCTCATGTGCTAGAGGGAAGTGATCTCATGGATCCTGATCCACTGCTGCAAATACCCAGAAACCCTCAGGGCTTACATTCATGAGCCTGAGGCCCAAGCACCCTCCATCTCTCTTTCACTCTTCAATGAAAAGAGTAAGTTGGACAAATATACATTATTCCAGTCATAGGATGTCCTATGGTAGCGGGTCACGCACTAATCTCTTGGTCCATAAGACCCAGAGAGGCTGTGATTTGCTCAAAGTCAGAGACATGTCTAGAATCTGGGTCCAGTAACCTTTTAAAATTTTAATTAATATTTGTTTGGAGCAGTTTTCAGTTTACAGAAAAAATTGAACCAAAAGTACATAGAGTTCTCATAGGTCCCCTCTTCCACCCACCCCAAATTCCCCTGTTTTTACTATCTGGCATTAGTGTGGCACATTTGTTACAATTGATGAGCCAATATTGACATATTATTAACTAAAGTTCATAGTTTACATTAGGGTTCATTCTCTGTGTTGTGCATCCTATGGGTTTGACAAATGTATAATGCCACGTATCTGCCATTATAGTATTGTACAGAATAGTTCCACTGCCCTAAAAACCCTCTGCCTCTTCATCCTACTCTTCCTGTAATTGCTGACAACCACTGGTCTTTTTACAGTCTCCATAGTTTTGCTTTTTCCCAAATGTCATATAGTTGAAGTCACACAGTATGTAGCTTCTTTCTTAGTTCTTCTAAGATGAACTTCTTTCACTTAGCAGTATGCATTTGTTTCCTCCAGGTATCTTGGTGGCTTGATAGCTCTTTTCATCACTGAATAAGTACAGCCATCACATGGTTGTATTGGTTTGATCTATTTACATATTGAAGGACATCTTGGTTGCTTGCAAGTGTTGGCAGTCATGAATAAAGCTGCTATTACTGTAGCACATTCCTTCCACATGGACTCAATGTCAAATGTCAAGACTTTGCAAAATCGATTCCTAACAATGGTTGCATTTGGCAATGTTTGGGCCTCATCAAACCTTTGAGTATTATCTGCCCTGTGTAAACTCTGCTTCCAAGAGACTCCTCTATTCTGTCTCTGAACCATCCCTAATGTAACACACCCATTCCAGAGTTGTTCTTTTATTCGTATCCCTTTATCCTATTTAGAATGTTTTTTTCCCCTTTAGTTTTCCAATCTGTATCCTACTCATCCAGGCCTGTTCACATCCTGCCTCTGCTGTGGCAGTCTTCCCTGGATTCCCACAATTTTAAGGCAAAAACTCTAGAAAGAAAATGGGAGGAAAGAGAAGTGAGTAATTTACTTTCTCAATGACAAAATCCCCTCAACATGGAGAAGAGCAGTCAGACAGATGTGCTTCGAATCCTTGCTCCACTACCTTACTGGCTCTGTGCCCTTAGGCAAGTTACTTAACGTCTTGAAGTTCAGTTTTTCCATCTATAAAACGGGTTGAACACTATCAACATTTTGAGTTACTGTGAAGATCTATGTAAAGTGCTCAGAGTACTTCTGACACCAATAAATGATGATGCTCTCCTCTTGCCCCACTTCCTCCTTATCACTATCATCTCCAAATCCAGAAATGATCTCTCCCTCTTCTGCATCCTCACAGCCTTCTATGTGTGTCCTTGTCATGTCTCCAAACTAGAATACATGCATGTGGGGCTGCTTAACTCCTTTGGCATGCACAGTGCCAGGGGCAGGCTTTTTGCGTGTATTCCTTTACATTTTAAATTGGTGAGGTTAAACAGCATTAATCCCTGTGTTTGTAGAACCCTGTTCCAGCTAACCTCTTTCTGTCTGTGTGGGTAACATCCCTAAATACCCTTTTTTTCTGGGGAAGGAGAATAGTTCAAACTATTTCTGAAATAGGGAGAGGACTGTCAATCTCGGCGGGGAGTCAGGGGATGTCTGAGAATTTGCGGCTAGGGTGCACCTATGTTTTTCTTTCAATTACTCATGGCTGAGGATCCAGTTGGAGGATAAATCAGACCCTTCTGTCTTCTCTCTCTGGTTTTGTATCATCGATTCAGGCTAATGCTGGGGAAGGAAATTGAGAGGAAAGCCCAGCTTTGAAACCACATGATGAGTTTTATTGGGGCAAGAAAGTTATAACTGTGGTAAGATTAGAAAAACAAATAACTTGTGTGTAAGTGACCTCCCACCAATCTGGTGATATCTGAGGGTAGCAAATGTAGAAACAGTGCAGCATTATTTATGCACCTTTCCTAATCAAAGTGGGACCTGGGACCTCCAGGAATCATTGAGTCTGTCTTTTGTGCAGGGCACATAATTGGTTTTGGGTTTTATAGTACAGGCCAGCAAACCTTTTCTGTCATAGGCCAGATAGTAAATATTTAGGCTTTGGGGGCCATATAGTCTCTGTCAAAATTAATCTGCTGCTATATTGCAAAAGTAACAATGGCCAATATGTAAACAAGTGGGTGTGGCTGGATCCCAGTAAAATTTTATTTATGGATATTAAATTTAAATGTCACATAATTTTCATGGGTCACAGATAATATTCATTTTGTTTCCTCTCAACCATTTAAACACGTAACAAGCAGTCATAGCTTGTTGGCTGTACAAAAGTAGGTGGCAGATGCATTAAGCTGTAGGTTGCTGATCCCCACCTTACAATATCATGTGGAAAACTGGCTTAGGCAGAGTTGGGGTGAATCAGGTATAATTTTTTGGTGGGGTGAAGGGAAAATGATGTAAGAGGAATTTGATACCCCTTTGTCTTACTGCTTTCATTCTGAACATTAACCCGTAGATCGATCATGTCATCTCAAACTAAATTGATCATTAGTGCAGTATTTCTCAGCATTGGCGTTGTTGACATTTTGAGCCAGATAATTCTTTGCCGAGGTGGGGGGTGCGGGGGTGGGGTTCTATGCATTATAGATTTAGTAGCATCCCTGACCTCCACTAGTTAGATGCCAGTAGCTCCTCTCCTCTTTGCAGTTTGATAACCAAACACAACTCCAGACATTGCCACGCACCCAGCTGAGAACCACTGAGCAAGTGAAACAGCCTCAGAATGACAGGAAATTCAGCAAACCCTTAGCAACCAACTAACTGGGATGGAGGAGAAGCACGCATGTATGTGTATGCACATGTGCCTGTGTGTGGGTATCTCCAGACAGGGCAGCCTTCTCTGGATTCCCACAAATTTCAGGCAAATCTGGAAAGAATATGGGAGGAAAGAGAAGTGAGTAATTTACCTTCTTAATGACAAAAGTGTAATCACAAATAATGCGTTGCCTGAAGGGGGCACTCCCTCAGGGAAGACTCCAGTCCAGTCATTAGCAGGGTGTTTCTAATTATCGAATAATCAAGTCAGGCTCCACAGTGAGTAAACGGGGCTCCAGGCTTTTAATAAGGCCCTTATTGTGTGATTACCCTTTGAATGCCAATTGAAAGTTTTTCTGTTTTTAGTAGAGGACAAATATTTCATTCTTTCTGTGAAAAAGAAACCTCGGTAGGAATTGAATCATTTCACTTCCTGACCAGCACAGAAAAAAAAGATAAAGAAAGGAGAAAAAAAACATGTCTTTTTTAAAAGGAGGCAATGGAATGCTTGAATTCAAAGAAAAAGTTGCATGTACTGCTTTAACCTGGGTTTTCAGGTTTTTTTTTTTTTTGAAATGGAGTCTTGCTCTGTCGCCCAGACTGGAGTGCACGCACAATCTCGGCTCACTGCAACCTCTGCCTCCTGGGCTCAAGTGATTCTCCTGCCTCAGCCTCCTGAGTAGCTGGGATTACAGGCACGCACCACCGTGCCCAGCTAATTTTTGTATTTTTAGTAGAGATGGAGTTTCACCATGTCACCTAGGCTGGTCTTGAACTCCTGACCTCAGGTGATCCACCCGCCTTGGCCTCCCTGGGTTTTCAGTTATTAACAGAAAATGTTGAACCGAGACCTGTGGTAGTGAAGAGACTGGAGATTGTTTAGAGTGTGGCCTTCAGGGTATTATGAAATGCTATCTATGATAGATATTGTATTGAGAACTTATTTAAACACACAAAAAAGCATGGACTGACTGAGACAGTTGGCATGGCTTTTTACCATTCTGTACTCGTTCTTAGTAATTGCAGATGAAACTGACATAGAGATGAGTAAGTAGCAGTTTAGCCATCGAGACAAGTAAATGCCATTAGATTTTCATACTGGGGCAGATTTCTAAGTCAAGGTTCATCTATTTGCCAAGAGTCTCCCCACTCATAGCCACCCCTTGGAAAACCAAAATTTAAAACTGAACTAAAATAATCAAAACACCTCGTGATCCTGTGAAGAAAATTAATAGGAATCACCCAAGTGGGTGACTGTTCCTTCTTCACTCATTTGCCACAAATCAGCTTGTTTTTATTTGCCTCAGAACTCCCATTAAATAAAATTTGTCTTGTAGCCCACAGATCATTTCCCATGACCAAAACGCAGATCTGTCTTCTTTTCCTACTAAAGAATCTGAGCTATGTTTCTTTTCAACAAATCCCTATTCCCTGACCCATATTCTACATTTCACCATGTTTTGTCTACTTGTCTTCTGATTCCAGCTGTGTCATTTTAGTTATCACGCCTTTGTGTCTCAGGACAAACATCGTAGAGTGGGAGCGAGTCAAGGATGCCGACGACACGACATTAACCCGAACTGGGCAGCTACATGCCGGCATCCTAACCAATGACCTCCACCCACTCACTGTTGACAGGAGCATTTTTTTTCCTTCTAATGCATATTTTAGTCTTGATTGACCATCAACCATATGACAGGGTTGTCCTGTGGGCAAGTTTATTATTAACAGCTCACAGCTGGAGTTACAATAACTACACACGGCTGTGACATTGCACTAATTGACGAAGACACATCTGAGAACAAGACACAGAAAGTGGCCATTGCAAATTACTTCAAGCACAAATGGAGGATTTAGTGGGAAACACCAGTTTCAGATTAGAGGCTTCTATATGTTGAGACCAGATTGGTGCAGGGAGAGGGGCTGGCTAGAGAAGGGGAAAGCAAGGTTGATAAGTCACGCAAAGGCTTCTTTTGAGCCTCCATTAGGTTCCTATTTCTATAAATTATTCTAAACAGATCCCTGTTAATGAGAAAGAAACAACTGCACTTAAGTGGAATTAATCCTGAATTTTTAAGTGCTCAGACAATTAAATCACTAAATCCATCGGGTGCCTTCCATTCATATTTCCCTGTCTAATCCTGCTGTCACAGGCGAGGCTGGGCGAGGTCTAAGAACAGTATGTGCTGTGATGGCTACATCACTTAGCATTAGAGTCAAAGAAGCCGAGTTTGGAGGGGACCTGGGTTTGTCTGTACAGGTGAGTGGAGTGATGGGGGCAGGGACACTAGCTAGGGATTGTGCATGAGTTAACTGGCTACCGCTGGCTCCTCTGGGGGAAGGCTCCTGAAAAGTTATGAAATGTGAATAGGCTGTCTGTGCATCTCTCAGTAAATTTCTTTCTCAGATGTTTCCAGCCAGGGCGACTCGATTGAGAAATGACTGGGAGAGAACAGAGGATAAAGCCAATGAGCTCAGTGTCTTATAAATCAGCCGCACCGAGCTGAACTGGAACTGTCAAACTGTGGCAAAACCTGCTGCTGTGCAAGCTTGTGAGGCTTTTCAAAAACAAAACTTAACCCTCGCCTGGCTCTCTAGATGGGAGAGGGCTTAATTAAAGTTCGCAGAGGAGTGAGGAGTGGAAAAAGAAATATAGTTTTCTCAGAAAATAAAAAAGAACAAACTCAAGGGAGCCCATATGTGACACGTCCCCATTCTGACTTGGCTCAGGCACAGGATTACAAGTGGGGCCATGCAAAATAGCTAAGTGCTGTCATTAGTAAATCCTGCCTAGAGGTCCAGTATTACTCTGTGCTCCAAAGCAAAACTAATCAAATCACCCGGAATTCTCCCAATAATGTTACCCCTAGTTTATGGATGAGGAGACTGAGGCACAGGGAAGGTGAGTCCTTTGCCTAAGGTCATATAGCTCCATAAATGGAAGAGGTAAATAGGATTTGAACCTGTGAAGTCTGGCACCGGAATCCATGCTCCCAATCACCATGCCATCAGTCTCTCTTTGGGGACATCACAGACCCCAAGTTAATAACCCCTGCTCTAGGCAATAGAACAGTAGGCAGGTCTGATCCTGACACTTCGTTTTCTGAGAGTCCTGCTCAGACATTCTGTGTCTCAAGTGTATCCAGCGTCTGGATCTGTGCCTTTGATGCTTAACTACCTATACTTGTCTGGAGTTATGTTAGTGCCTTCCCCCACCCGAGTCTCCATACCAAATGCTGAAAATCAGCTTTGAATTTGGAAGCAGAGGATTTGGGAGGAAGACTCACTGAGGTTTCCCATGGCAACTGTAAGTCAGCCAGATTGCATGGTCTCCATCCAGGTGAAGGCGTGAAGGTCACTCCCTTGTGCACCAGAAAACAAGGCCTGTGTACCAGGCTTGAAGTTGCATTACTGTTGCTAGGGAGACCATAATTAAATTTCCTGAATTACACACAGTGCGATAAAATGTTGAATAACCATATTTATTTGCCTTCTAGGCCCTGTGGCATCTGTTGTTTAGTTCACAAAGCTCCTATTGACTGAAGGAGAGGTTTATTGATCCAGAAAGCTGTGATGGGCCCATGAGGCAGTGGGAGCTGGAGGACTCCTGGGTAGGGCTGAGAATTCTCATCTAGTTCAGCAATCACTAGCCAAATGGTCTGGCATGGGAAAATCCGTGGAGACAGCCTGAGACTCTGGCATGAAATTGATCCCTCTCTTTCCTGATGTTCTCACTTCTTGATTCAGGGGAAGAAGGAGATGGTGTGGGAAAGTGGTGGTATGGAAAAGGAGGGGTAGCAGGAAGGAGGCAAAGGGGGTTGGTTAGAGACAAGCGGTGGAAGGGGGTTGGAGAGCTATGGACAGAGCTCATGTGTCCTGTTCACATGCACAGGGGTGAACATGAGGCACTGTCTAGGGATGGGCATTACTCCGGGCATGGATACACAGGTGAATGAGACACAGTCCAGCCCTCGAGGAGCTCACCAAATAGTTGGTTCCCTAGATACTTAAATCTTATAAGAACTTTACAAGCAGAGAACTATTGGAAGGAGAGGAAGGGCCCCTTAGCTCTGATGAGCAGGTTGGGAAAAGATCTGCGGATTTGGTGATGGTGAAGTGAGCTCTTAAAAGATGAATAGGAATTCAGTGGGTGATTGGCTTATTGAGCTCAGGAAATGGTGTAGGTAAAAACACAAGCAGAGAGGGGGCAAAAACCTCAGATGCTGGGTATTCTCTGAACTGGCCATCTCCAGTGACCCTGATGTACCCTGAAACCCCAGAAGTTTTCAGGCATATGCAACCCAGATGACTATGAACCAAAAAGTCAGTCAGTCACAGGCCCTTGCCTGCGGTTCCCTGCCTGGCCAACCTGTCCTCCCTTCACCCAGGGAGCTGCAGAGGGCAGCATGGTGGCCTTCCCCTTGTCGAAGCAGGTAGCCCAGGGAGCCCAAGGGGGCAACGATGGATCTGGATGGGAACCACATGACCAGGTAAGAAGGAAAGAGAGTTGATGGCTTGAAAGTGAAGAGTCCATTCCATAGTAGTTTGAATTTCATTTTAAATATTTTTTTTCCCTAAAACTTCTCAAAATATTTACTGGCATTGCCACTCCTAAGTTAGCAAATGAATGGGTGACTTCTCTGGAGCAGAGGAACATAGAGCAAAGGAAGGAGAAGCGTAGGGGGATTGGGCTTCATACAGGAGCTCACTGAAGCACAGAACCCTATCTTTCGGAACAGAGTCACAGAGGTGCGACAGAAGCGGGTTTTGCTGCCTGAAGTTCAGCAGTGTTTCAATTAGAAATCAGTTCTAATTGAGGCATTGGAGCTCTCTAACCCATCATAGTGTGGAGTGATTTCTCGCCTGGCTTCAATTTGGTTGTTTCAATTACTGAGGTAATAATATAGTCACACCTCCATTACTCCAAGGTATGCTTCTTCTTAATTTATCTTTGTATTCACCATTGGACTTTCTAAATAATCTGTTTTTAGTGTTGTTCAGTCTACCCTGCTGAAGAAGATGTTTAGAAATGTTTTCTTCCAAAATAACAAGATGAAGAAGAAATGACTTCTTCCCGTTATTTATTTATTTATTTTTTGAGACGGCGTCTCACTCTTGTCCCCCATGCTGGAGTGCAATGGCGTGATCTCGGCTTTCTGCAATCTCCACCTCCTGGCTTCAAGCAATTCTCCTGCCTCAGCCTCCCAAGTAGCTGGGACTACAGGTGCCCACCACCATGCCCAGCTAATTTTTGTATTATTAGTAGAGACGGGGTTTCACCATGTTGGCCAGGCTGGTCTCAAACTCCTGACCTCAGGTGATCTGCCCGCCTGGGCCTCCCGAAGTGCTGGGATTATAGGCGTTAGCCACCATGCCTGGCCTCTTCTCTCTATTTTTAAGCTTTTTGTTAGAGAAATTTCAAGAAGTCATCCACAGTAGAGAGCAGGGCACCGAGAACCCACAGGTGCCCGTCATCCAGCCTTCACGGCAGCTCAAGGCTGATCTGATTTCCTCTCTCCCCAAGCCCTCTCCCCTGTTCTTCCATGGCCCACCACCCCCATCCACTGGATTGTTTTGAAGCAAATACCAGACATCATGTCATTTTATTTATAAATCCTTCAGTATGTATCTTGATAAGGACTTTAAAAAATGTGTAATTACCATGCGTCATCACACCTAAAAAATAGGATTGGATTTCCAGTCAGTTTTAAAATTTCTGCAGTTAATTAGCAAATGTCCATTTACTAATAAGCAGGACAAACCTATACACTGGATTTGGTTGTTGTGGCTCTTAAATATATTTTAATCTGTAGCTTCTCTTTCCCGCTGGCTTTTTTCCTTGCAATTTATTTGTTTAAAAAACTAAGTTATTTGCACTGTAGAGTTTGCCACATTCTGAATGTATTAATATCTAATAAAATGATACATCTAGGGGACCATATTTAATAGCTGTGAAACCATTAGGTGAAAGGCCAACAGGAAACATTCTATTGGATAAGGCTGATGATCCTGGAGCCCTCTGGGCAATCCTAACATCCCCGAACAATCTGATGTGTACATTACCTCCTAGAGTGAATTCTTACCCAAAAATTTAACTTGAAACTGATTGAGCCTATAGTTCTCAAAACCACTTTATAGAAAATACAAGGGACAGAAAAGAAAATCACATGATAGGCTTCCCCCACTTATTTTAACGTAGCAAGCATTTATTTAAAATTTCCTTGGTTGCTCTGTTATTAACAGGCAGTATATTGTGATGTTTTCTCCAAAGGTTACTGAGGACTAAGGTGTATTTACTCCTCACTAAATGGACTCAGACTGCTGTAATTTTGTGGTTCTTTTGCCTGGTTTTTGTAGATTTTAATCTACTTCTAATGAGGACTGACTGTACTGTAACAATTTTCACATGCCTCAGTGACCTTCCTTCTTGGTCTTCCTCCTCCACCTTGGCCCCTGCCCACAGGTTTTTTTCCATTTTACTATGGATTAAGAAACCGAACATTGATCCTTGTAAAACCTGTAAAGGTTAAATAGCTCTCAGTGAAAGCTAAATAAAGGCTTCTATTAGTAAACACACAAATATTAGTGACAGGACTTTAGCAAGAATCATTGAGATTTTTGACTTTTTTCCTGTCTGAACAGCAGAAGCATCTGGATAGATGAGATATAACCCTGGTGTTGCTAAACTGATCACGTTGGATAGAAAGTTCAGTCATAACATGCAACAGTAAGCCTTAGCTGTGCATAGGAAAGGTGGAAAAATTCCGAGTTAACAAAACCCAGGAGCACACACAATCCTGAAAATCCCACAGGAATGTAACCTAGATGAGATCCTTAAGGATAAACAAATGCCACATTTCACTTCCTGACAGGTCACATTCTATGGGTCCTGCTTGGCCATTCTGTGTGTCTCTTGTTGGCAGCACCTTCTTCTTAAAATATCCTCTTCCTTTGGATTCCATGACCTGACATTCTAATTTTCTCCCACCTCTTGGGACTCTCCCCAGTCTCTTTCCTGGCTCATTCTCCTCTTGCTTACCATTAAATATTGGAGAATTTCAAGGCTTGATACACTGCCCTCTTCTCCTTCACATTCTACACCCTCCCTCCGTGACCTCGTTCGTACTCATGGTTTCAATTATTATCTATATGCTGGTGACTCTTAAATTTATATCTCCAGCTTAGGCTCTCCTCTGAGCTCCCAATCATAAATCCCATGGCCTATTCCACATCTCGACTTGGCCATCTCACAGCACTTCAGACTCTGCATGTCCAAACACTGAACTCATGCCTTCTTCCTCAAACCCATTCCTCCCCCAGCATTCCACCTCAGTAAACAGCAGCGCCATCCAAGATGAGCAAATCAGACACTTGGCAGCACCCTGGACACCTCCCTCCCGCTCACTGCCATATTCAGTGAATCAGTGAAGTGCTGTTAATTCTCATTTCCAAATCTAGCCATGTCTCTTCATCTTCACAAATGCCACCGTAGTCTGAGCTCTCACAGTCTCATTCCTGGGTTACCTGGAGAGCTTCCTACTCTCCCCACATCCTCTCTGTGTCCAACCTATTCTGCAGCCAGGAGCCTTTAAAAAATATATAAATCTGCTTATAACTTCATCATCTTCCCAGTGCCTTGAAAAAAAAAACCAAACTCCTGGCTTACATGGACCTGTGTTATCTGGGTTCTACCTCCTTCACCAGCCTCATTTCACAACCCTTTTCTTGTTCTCTGGGATCTACTCATCCTGGTCCTCAGGTCAGGCCTCAGGACCTTTGCACAGGCAGTTGCCTCTGGTAGGATTGCTTTCTTCTCTTGACCTGGTTAATTTCTATATGTCTTTCTGAACTTACTTCTTTTAGGAAGTAAAAGAAGTACTTTTACCTTTTACAGACTACCGGCTGCTGGTAGGTCTTCCTAATGTCATGTTCACAGACCTCATTCTTTATGATTGAATCACCTTTACAGGTGAGGAAACAGAAATGTTAAGTAACTTGCTTGGGGGTCCAGGTAGTGGCTTTGTGAAAACACACAATGGATCATTTTCACTTTAATAGCAGCTACATCTCTTGTCAACGATTAGAGTTCTGTGTCAAGTTTTGGTTTCTAAATGATGTGTAGATGCTGGAATGAGTTGAGAGAAAAGAAACAAGCTAATTAAAGAGTAGATGAGTAGGACCTTTGAAGAAAGAGCAAAGGAGGTGGGGATTGTTTAATATGGTGTGGGGACATGGGAAGAAAACCGGATTTAGAGTTTTCAAGTTTGGGGAGGTTATTACAGCAGAGATGGCAATAAAAATACTTTTTGACTGGCCATGGGGTACAGAAGATGATATTTCTCATCTCTATAAAGATGAGAAATTGTAGCTGGAGGGGGTTTGGTTTCACAAAAGAAAGGGTGATTAAAGATTTGAACAAGACACAGAGTTAGTTTCTAGAATGTCTTTTTGCAGATGTGGTTAAAAGCAGGATCAATAGCCTTCTAATTCACCTGGTGGCTCAGGCATTGACCTATTTCAGGCAGGGAGCTGGGCCTGCTGACCTCCTGAGGTTGTTTTGAATGAATGACTAACTGAATGAATGAATGAATGAATGAATGAATGAGAAAGTGAACCTTGCCATCTGTCACAGGCTAGATTGTGCCTCTGCCCTGCCTGGCATGGAAAAAGAAATATTGAGTGACATGCGTCCCTAAGGTTTCCTCAGCTGATCACACTCAGTTGGCCTTATCTGCCACACAGGTGTTTCCATTTATTGCTGATAAACTGTCGGCTGAGAGTCAGCTTTGGGGTAAGAGGTGGGGGAATGAGTGGAGGAAAGGGTAATACCCCAGATGTTTTCCAAGAAGACGGGAGAAAGTTATTCCTCAGTACTAATACATTTCGTCATCCTATCTGCCTGCAGATGTTAAATTTGGGAACACTTCCAGGTTCTCTTTTTGCTCTTAAAATAAAATAAGTTGTGTATTTAAAAACATCCAGGACCCAGTCTTCCCTGGGGATGTATCTCTTTTGCATATGGATGAAGCTTTGGGGACTTAAGAGGATCCTAAATTTTACTGGCTATGTTTCTTGCAGCCTCACCAGTCCTGTCAGGTTTCTCTGTCAGAAACCAGGAAAAATGAAAATAATCAGAAGTGCCAATTACTGAGTGCCTACTGTGTGTCATACAAAATTAAATCACCATGGCAATACTGCAAGGGCCGTATTAACATCCATTTTACCCTTGGGGAGTTCACCCAAAGATTGTCATTTCTCCAAGTTCACAAAAGTGCTAAGTAGCCAAACCTGGTTCAAACCCAGGTCTGTGTAACTTCAAATAATAATGGCAACATTTTGAGAGCTTTCTAGTGTCCCAGTCACTCATTAAATCCTATGGAGGAGGCACTATTAGGTCCTTCTGAAGGTAAGGAAACTGAGGCATAGGTCATACAGCTAGTAAACGCAGAGTAGAGAGTCAAAGCCCCAGCAACCTGGCTTCAGAGCTTATGACCCTGTACTGATTTCCATCCCCTTTCAACACTGCATAGAGAACTTGGGTTGCCTGGATGCAAGCTTTAGTTAAATGATCTCAGCTTCAGTATCTCGAGTAAGAAACCTTTCTTCCCTGTGTTGTCTTATCTTTCCATTGATCTTCTGTTGTGGGAGCAGCTGCAGGCTCCCCACCCTGTGAGAGCTTTCGTGTGCCAAGTCATTGGCTACAGGTGGCAAAGTTGTGGCTCCAGTTCAAGTCTCTCCCCTGGAGCTGGATGTTCCAGAAAGGACACTCAGTTCTTCAGGGCTGTCTCTGTGATCCAGGCTTTGATCTGGGAAAGGTTGCGCCTCATTGCAGAGTTGAAGCTATCTGCCTGCTTTGTTTACACGAACGCCCTTCCAGGACTCTGTCTGCTTTTGGGGTGGAAGTGCCCTGCCAAAAACTCCAGCTCTCCATGCTGGCTGTGTGGCCAGCATACCTCCTGCCTTTTCAACGATTCCTCTGCCCTGGATAGAGAGCGGTGTCTCATAACAGTTTGGAAACTACAAAAGTTTCCCTGGCAGGATGAATGATTGACTCGGCAACATGTTCTTGCCTTTTGGAGTTGCCCTCCAATTTTTCCAGGCTTGATTCTGTAAATCATTTCATCTTGTAAAAATACTGGGCTGTGAGCACGGATGATCTCAAAGGTGAGGATTATTTGAAACTCCATTTGAAAATCTATCCTCCTTTCAACAGATTATTCTTGTGAATAAAAATTTTCTTGTGAGCATGCCAGTACACAGGTAGTTCTAGGGCCTTTGAGAGGAAGTAGAATACGCTTCTGCTCCAAGAGGCTTTGGAAAAAGTAACTTGTCTATATATTGACAACTAATTTATCATCGAAAACATTAGGCCTGCTCTCTGCAAGTGCTCCTGGGAGGTGTTGGGGAATGAAGTGGGGAAAATTCGGAAATGTTTTGAAAGATATGTCAAACCCATAAACCTGAAAATGTCATTCAGAATATTCTGTTGCTTTCTGCCATCCCAAGGAGATGGAAATCTGTGGTTTTCAAGATAGGTTAAGGTTATGTAACTCACAGAGTTGGAAGAACATTTTGGGCAATGATTTGAATTATTGCTTGTTGTAGTTTTTGCTCATTTTTCCCTTTTTCCAACAATGAGAGAGAATCGGTTGAAGGCAGGCTGTGACAGAGAAGGTCCAACAACCATAAGTTGATGGATGATATCAGAGAGGAAGCTTCTTTGACATCTCTGCTCTTCTTTAACTTGCTGACCAAAGAGTAGCCCATGTGCAATTGCCATATGCTTTTGAAATGAACATTCATGAATATTAGAAATTATCTTGCTGGTTTTTGGAGTGAAGGCAAATGTGCCTACTTTTCAGCCATACTTAGGAGACCTAACTCATTTTTTAGAGTATCTACAATTTAGTGTGATCCAATGAGTTAAAAAAAATGTACCCAAATATTCGGTTTAAAATTTTGTTTTAGATATGAAATCCTTTCATCAAGCTATACCCTAGAAAGGTAATTTCATAAAGTATATTTGTAATGTTATAATGATTAAAACTGATCACAACGTGATATAAATGGATTAGCTAGGGGAGAGAAAAGAAGACCTGAAAATCTTCTATATGTTTGTGAAGCATTAAAAAAAATGACATTCCATTTAACTCTCACAAAATTTTTTCTTTTTTGCAGATGAGGAAACAGAAGCTGGGATATGTGAGTAAACATTTCCAAGGTCCTGCAGCTAATCAATGGTGAGCTTGCGAAGAAACCCATAGCTTTCAAACTTTGAAACTGATGCTCCTTAGATTAACCAGGCTACCTCACTTACTAACTAAGTGAAATCATCATGGAGGGCTCCTTGTCCACCTCTTTGCAATGACCCTAAGGATCTGAGACATACCTACCTCTCGACAAAGACAATAACATCATATCTAGGAGGGGCAGTAGATTGATTCTTGAATTAGGCTGCTTGAGCTAGTACTCTCGCTCTGCTGTTCACATGCTATGTGGCTTGGGGGCAAATTACTGAAACTCTTTGTACTTCAGTTCCCTAATCTGTGAAAAGAAAAAAAAAGTGTGGATAATACATATACCCAACTCATAGGTTTTGTGAGAATTAAATGAAATGGCAAGTGGTTTGCCTAAGGCCTGGAAAAAATAATTATTCAATATATCTATACATTTTCTCATTTTATTTGGAGCTTGCATTATGTTTAGTTATTAATTTCTTTAGCAGAAAGCCACCTAGAAAAAAGCATGCAGGTTTCTTACGAGAGGAAAAAATAAACGCTTGTGAGCACAATTAGATATACGAAGGAAGACGTGGGTAACCCGGTCTGGGAGAGCATTGGTAAGGTGGCTGATCATGCTTTCTTGTTTTTGTTTTTTCTCAAACAAATTAGAGATTCCAAATTAAGGAGCAAGACTAGAACAAAGGTGAAAATTGTGAAAAATTTCTGTGAAGCCCAATGCTCTATAGTAACCAGTTAGCAAAAAGCTATTCAGGAGAAAGGAACTAGACTAACGCAATGTCTTTTTGCTATAGCTAATTCAATCACTGTCATTACCACCAGCATATTTTCAGAAAAGAGAATATTTAAAAGACTCAATTCTGTTAAAAGTTGGGTACCATATAGTCTCAAAAGTGAGCTATGAAATCCTGTCCCAAGCCAGAAAAAACAAGTTCACCATCTTGCGAGAGTATTCTAAAAAAAAACTTTTTAAAACCTGTTTCTTACTAATTATTTGATTTACGTCGAACATTTTGAATTTTCCATTATGTGAAGGGTCTAAAGTCTTTTGCCAAGGGCAATGAAAATGGTGGGAAGGGAAAAAAAAAACACAAAACACCCTTTGTATAAATTTCACCAATTTCTGCACAATTAGAATACATATTAGTTTTCCTTGCATCAATAGAAAACATGCTGATGGAGGGAATCCATTCTGGATATGTCAAAATAGGACCTTTCCCAAATAACTCAGACCATTTAAAATTGCTCCTTAAAATAGAAGCTTATTTTTGCCCTTAAGATTTTGCTGTTCAGGGGTGGAGCTCTTGACCATGCTCCCTCTGCAACGCTGCATTTCAGGGACATTTTATTTATCATTTTACCTTCAGTGGTGATAGCATCCCTTGCTATTTGGGAGGTGGGGTGGGATTAATGAAAATAAAGGTTAGCTCTTCCTGATCTCTGTGGGGGCCATGTTGTCTCAGTTTTGATCATTTCCCCCAAATTAAGATTTCTGCATAACCCCCCCGTGTCTGTGTTTGGCTGGCAGTTTTATGGCTGACCAAATTGTGCACTGGCCGCTGTTCTGGTTGGCTGAATGTTTATACAGGCTGTTAATCAGACTGGGGAGGGGGCTGTGGATATGGGGACTGTCTGTGAGCCGGAGCGGTCCTGTTTGCTGTCGTGTGCAAGGGCCTGCACTTTGTTACTACAAATTACATAATGACATGTTACATTTCAAAGTGTATTTTTACTTCAGGGAAAATTAAACCAATAAACAAACAACCCTGGTGGAAAAAAAAAAAAGAAAAAATAAGATCCCTGGTTTCCAGATCTTCCTCTTCGAAAAGGTTCTTAATTAAATTGTAGCTATAAACAAATCTTTGTTTTATTGCAAAGAGAGCAATTGTGTATAAAAGCTATTTTTAAAAATTAGGATGTGAACATTTGCCGGACAAGGGTCTGGTCCGTGTTACATGTTTTATGATCTGTACAAAATGAAAAGGCAAGCTTGTGTGGTGATGGTAGATTTTCAATTTTTGATTGTTAATCCCTCTCAAATGTTGCTCCTGCCTTGCTTGAATAGAGCCTGTAAACACAGGAATTACCTTAATTTTTCCAGGTACTGATTCAAGCAAAACTGCTTAGCATAAGCATGAACTTGCCGACTCTGAATTTTTAGTCATGTAGAAAATCAGTTCTTTTCTTCATACTATCTGCATTTTAGGAACTTTGAAATTGTTAAAAAACAGAACAAAACCAACCCTCTAACTCAACGTCCAAAGTTTTCACTGCACCCTTATGCATGCAACATTAATTCTTTTCTGTAAGCTGTTGAAATTAAGCATATGTTCAGGATCCAAGATTATAATGATACTCCTTCGTGTAGTAGTTACACTCATATATTATTCAAATATGTGTGTATGTACTCGTACAAAATTTTTTTTGGAATAAACTACATTATCAAAAGAGGATGTGTTTTCACTCTCTTCTCTCTAGTTGAGTGGAGTCCTGAGAATAAGGACACCTATTAAGCTGCATTTTGTATGAGTTATTTGATCAAATCAATTCTACCCAAATCTGCTGTTATCAGAACCATTTGGCCCGGAATTCCTGGGTTTGTTCAGGTGTTTGGCTGCTACTAGGAACAGCAGCAGCCCAGGAAATGGCTGGGTGAAAGAGGGCCCCTATTATATTTTAAAAACACCCGATGATGCTCACATTTCTTAGGCAAAATTACGATGTGACTTACAATAATTTATCAGTACAATCCACAAAATGAGAAATCACAAGATGAATTGAAATAGACAGTCTAAGTCTTCCTGTTCAGTTTATTTATTTTTAAATTCAGGATGTTTTAAAAGAAACCTTTTCCCCTTAAATCTTGGAAATAAATAAAGGGGTTTTGAACCTTCAGTTAAAATGTCAGATTTCAGCAATGAATGGAAAAAAGAAAGGGTAGCAAAGTAAAGGACAGATACATAGTGGAGATTTTTGTGACTAAAAAGGGATCATTTGAGGCAATGCTTTTTGCTGGCAAAGAATGCTTTCCCTATCTCATCTTGGATTCTTGACAGTTCTGTTTGAATAATTAGCTTGGATTACTTTATTACTTATGATGGTATTCAACCCTGTCCCAAATTGACCTTCCACTTTTCAAGTGCTTGTGTTTTTGACTTCTGTTTGGGACATTCTGATGGGGCTTGACCTTGACTTTACAGTGAGCAGAAAAGACCACCAGATTTTTTCACTGGTGCTTGAGCTTACTTTCACAACTATCAGATAAAGAACAGCCCAAGGTGAAGAGTCAGATATTAATTCAGGGCTTTCATTCTATGAATGACTAATCCAATAAGAAAGAAGATTTCCATCCAAGGAAGAGTCTAGGAATTGTCTAATAAATGAAGATATGCCCATGAATAGATAAGATGCCTTCATCCTTGTTTTGTGCTTTGCCAGCATGTGAAGTACAGATGGAGAAAGGGTACAACATAGCTTGTTGAATGAATGAGTAAAAATGGGCAATGTATAATAACAAGTATAACACGAGGCCTTTCCTTTTCATTCTCTTGGATTGAATGCTCTCAATTTCCCCAGGTTGACAACTTCTTTCCTCTGCCTATGTTGCCATCCATGTCATGGTTTGTGTCAAGACTCTAGGAGAAGTCTACCATCAGCACCACAGCTACTGTGCACAAATCCAGAATGCCAGACTGAAGTCAGAAGGAAAGGTAAAAGTCCAATTCTCAGATGGCAATTCAGACTTAGAAAACAGAATGAGAAAAAGCAGTGGTGTCCATCTCTCCTCAACGATGAATTCATGTCTTAAAATGTATCTGCATCTATTTCTTTCTGTCTACCATCCATCCATCCATCTTTCCTTCTTTCTTCTTTCTCTTTCTCTTTCTCTCCCTCCTTCCTTCTCTTCCTTCGTTTTCATAAGTAAAACTAGTACTAATGCAGAAGTCTGAAATTAGACTTTAAAAACGAGTACTACTCTTTTTTTCCCCCTTTTTGAGAGAGCTGGTGATTTTCTTCCTTGCTTGGCATTAACTGTCTTACTGTCTTATGATACTTATCTTTAATGTGGCATATCAGAGAACCTCTTTGAAAATGTTACGGCTTAATGCGGCTCAGGGAAATAAAAGCCCACTTTAAAAAAGCCAAAATAAAGCTTTCTGATACGGACTTCACAATTAATTTTTGAGAAGGTCCACTTTCATATGCAAGCAAATCTGTTTAGAAATGTTTTAAATTTTAAAGCATGCATACACATATAAAACTAATTTATGTGTTTTTAAATGCTGTTTAAAATTTTAAAGCATATATAGAGAGCAAGAGAGCAAGAGAGGGTGCTCAATATGCATCATAATAGCATGAGAACTGAAAAATAAAAGTTTACTTGCAAACTTAACCGGCTTTGCAATGCAACAGACTAAACAAGTCACATTTTATACAATGTATATGTTTATAATATGAGTGCAGCATGCCAATGTGCTATTTAGATCATTGTCCTGGTTGAATGAACAAGCTCACAGGTTCACCATTTAATATTTGTTCTCTTAAAAACATGAAACTCGTTTTGAAAATACCGGCTTAAATGGGCATTATTAAGTCTTTATCAGTTCTAAGCATTTCAGCCTTTTGCATCCAGAAATTTCTCAATCTGACAGAATAAGAAATGCATTTACATGGCCTAAGCTCTTAAATTGTCCCTTTCAATTAATGCCCCATCATGGAGCAATCTGGAAACCATTACTCAGTAACTCTTCATTATAATTGCTTGCAGCTGAGTATCCAGCCCTTGGTAATATAAGAATAAAAGAAAACTCAGTTAGTAACAAGTGCAATTGATTCCATTCAGAATTCCCTTGGTGCTTTGCCATGTTTGGCCTGCATAAGAGGAAACACGAGGGTTTTTTTTTTCTTTTGGGGCCAGGAAATGAATTGGCAGACATAAGCTGGTTTGTGTGGTGTGCGCCTTCATTTTTCAGCTGGTCCTTGTTAAAAATGAGACGGTGGACTCCTGCTTTCTTCCCCACTGGCTACATTTTTTTGGAGGGCTTTTCTGGTAATAGATAAAACCACAAAACTTCAATTTGCTGCAAACTGACAGCATCCAGAAACTGTCACCTTCTGTAGCCGTGGCCGATCCTGGGACTTACTACTGCTAAGGAGTGGGCTTTAGAATTTTATTCACTTCTACCTTGGTCCTGACTTTATGAGAGCAGAGTCCCTGGTGCATTCTGTACAGGTGGAGAGTGTTTATGTGTTTGGAGGCTATCAGTCACCAACTCAAGAAATGTAAAGATCTAAATTATGATAGATGAAAATGTGAAAATGTGATGTGGTAAACTAACCACCCCCACAACCATGTTCCCCCTTCCTGCCCATGCAAATCAAGGACCTGGCTTTTAAAAATGGTGAAGGGAAATGTTCTTATCACCCATTCCTGTCAGAGATGATGCAGCTCATTGCTGATGCTGAGATCCAACGTCCAGTGCCTGAGTACCCCTGGATTCTGAGCACTAGGGGCTGGACTGTGGAGACCATCAGTTCATAACATCCTGTCCCTGCTCCCTGCTGTAGATGACTGAGACCAGGTAACAAAGACACTTAACTTCATAAATTAAAAATGTGTAAATTATAAAATACATTTTTAATTATAGAATGAATTGATGTTCAGCAAAGAAAAGTTGAATGTAATAAAACTCTCATTTATTTCCATTATTTGCTTTCATCATCAAAGGAAAAAAAGCATCTCTCTGAAGTTAAATGGCATTTCATTTTGATTAATTGTAGAAAGAAGATTGGAAAAATCTCCCATGACCAAGGAAAATTGTGAAAAATATTTCTGATATTTTGTCTATGCATTTTATTTTTGAGGGTGTTTTTTATATTAGTGTGACTATTTTGTATTTCCTACCCTGTTGTAAACTTTTTAAAAATTGCTCTTACAGTTATTACTAAGTATATGATTTAAAATCCCTAATTAGGGTTCTTAAACAAGGGAGAAGCACTCTCATACCCCTAGAACAAGATGAACAAAAGAAGGAGGAAAAATCTTGACCTCCGTAAGATCCAGGATGGCACGTGCAAGGCACTGACACAGCATCTGCCGGCATCACTGACTCTCCTGGACCCCAGAAGCCCAGTTCCCCAGGCTCTGAAACCCTGCAGCAATGAAAAGGAAGCACAGGCAAACCATAAGGAAGATAATTTTTCTACTAAAAAATAAATAGAAATGCATCCTTAGAGGCAGGTTTCATGAGGACACAGAGAATCCGGTTTTGTGTGTGCCTGATTTCGTTTTTCTGTCAAAGAGATACAAAACAATCAACTGAGTTATCTTGAACTTACAAAGATTAAAAATAATCAATTCCTGTTACTATTTTCAATTTTTCCCCCATTTTACTTCTTTAGGTATGAAGAAATGTAGCCTATTAAAACCTGGATTAATAAAAACCTTTCATTAACTTTTAGAAGGTGTGTGATAACGAAATCAGTGTATGTCCAATAACCTTGTCCAGTGACTATGAATTCAGGCCAATTAATTAGTGATTCTCAACCTTGGGATGAGTTTGGGGGTGGGAGTGGGATGGAGGTGAAGCCTACACTTAGTAAAGAAGATGTATCTAGTAGTGTAGATGTCTATGTTTGAAGTAATCAAACTCCAAACTCTGGGGGACTCTGGTCCAGGCCTTTAGCCAAAGGCCACATACATACATGTGCATACAGCCACAGGCATGTCCTCCAATCTTCCTTATGAAGGCCTCCTTGATCCTTTAATGGAACCCATCATGGATGGGTCATATTCCTTCGTAAGTCAGGCAGGCTTGTCTGCCCAGTTATCTAGGCTGTTTACAGGACCCTTTCTTTGTTTCAGATTTTCAGCACTTTTATTCAAATCCTCTCTTCTTGTCCTCCTGAGGACAAGCAGTTCTCCCATTTCCAATCAATCAACAGATCTTTCTTGAGGTCTGATTGAGAGGAATTTTCCACAGTTGTCCAATGCTGCTGTTTAGTAATGTCTGTGGCCAGGCTTCCTAAGAACAAATTCTTGGATTTGAATGACTTCAAAAATCTTCTTTCAATGAACATTACATCTAATAATGTTGAATAATTTAAACTGCTGAGAAAAGACCATAGTTTTATAAGGAGATGAGGTAGCTTCTTACTTTCCACCGTAGATTGAATTTATTTTATCTGTATTCCTAGTTAAATGTTCTTATTTTTACTTTTATCTACTTATATTTTTATAGACAGAGTCTCACTCTGTTGTCCAGTAGGTGCAGTGGTTCTCACAGGAGGCCATAGCTCACTGGCTTCAAGTGATCCTCCTGCCTCAGCCTCCCAAAATGTTGGGATTATAGGCATGAGCCACTGCTCCTGGTCTCTAGTGATATGTTCTTAATGAGGATTATTTCATTTTACTACCTCACACAGAAGTCCTATGACCAGGAAATGTACAAATGGACAAGAAGAGCATATCAATAATAGCTGGCCCTCAATTATTTGTAGAGAGGTAGACTTACAGAGGTTGCAAAGTGAAGTCCCCATGGACATCCACCATTCAGTGTGTCTGGGTTGGCCAGCAAAGTATTTTTGAAAGCATGAATTAATTTTCAGTATTGGAGAATGGGATAATTCATATGGGAACATTTTCCCCTGCTTCTCTAGAAAATCAATGGATCTAGCAACAGTGGCCCCCCATTTGGCCTGGCAGTGATGAATGGATGTTGGGGAGTGGTGGCCCTTCCAGTGGGCCAAGGGCTCTTCAGTTTGCCCCCAATCTCCTCCCAGCCAGTTTCACTCTTCATTACCTGTTGACCCTTGTCTGCTTTTGAGTGTGAGAACTCTACTGTGTTTTAGAGCTACTTGAAATTCCCCAATTGTCCTCCTTTTCATCACTGATGACAAAACTCCTCTTTTTAATGCTGCTGTGTAGATGCTTGGGTGTTGACTGTGAACTATGACCTTCGTGATCAACTTGGAATCAAATGTCTCTCAGGAGAGGATATAAAGGACTATCTGGAGGGGGCCCCTCCTCATTCACTGAAGGAAGGAGACATTCATTTATTTCCTCTTCCTGCTCACTGGCTGTGAAGATAATGATCGCTTAAAGAAATATGATATGGGAGGCCAGAGAGAAAAAGAAAGAAGCAAAGCAAGAAGTGTGACAAATTCTCAAATGCATTTTGAGCAGTTGAATTACATAGGGCACTGTAATAATGTCACAGGACACTTTTACAAAGATTTGAACACCAGGCATTCTAATCCTAAGCACTACACAAAATGGCCCTGCTGATTTTCCCCTGTGGGGGGCTACAGGGCTCTAGTGAGGTCTCTCGCCCAAGCAATGAAACATTTCTGTGGTAGGCTGAAGACTGTGGGCCCCCAGATCCACGAAAGAGCAAGCTCCGCAGATACCCAGTCTCTTCTGGGATCCAGTTTGTTCCATGTCAGGGATCAGGAGGAAACCCACACAGGGTAACTCTTCTCAGGAAGGTAGAGCCTAAAGGGGAATACCCAGCCCTTTCTTTGACCTCTTTCTCTTCCTTCGGCCTTAGCAATGAGGGCTGGGAAGAAGAGGTGACTGTGCATTTGTGCATCTCCCTGCTTCCAGATCCCTTCTCTCCACAGAGGCCGAAAATCCCATTTGGATTGGCAAATCTGGCTGAACAATGTCCAGATTAAATCTGAGAACTTTCTCAGTGTTAAAGGTTTCCAGCCTTTAGCATCCATAAAAGCAAACAAGATAAAGTTACACTCAAAATAGGAATGGTAGGGAAAAAGGTCTCCCGGTTTACCATAAAAATCAAATTACTCCCAGGACCTTGGTGACAGTTAACTCTCTGGCTTTCTTATATCACACAGAATTATTGCTCTGAAAGAGTCTTTCTCACAGTTCTCCAGACATTTGTTGTATGCTCTTTGTGTATCTGGGCATGCACATACCACCTGGGTCCACACCATGCATGGTGCTGACATCTCACAGTTGCTAGCAAATGAGATGACACCAGAAAATTGCTTTGTCCAGCTCAGCAAAATCAAACTCCCTAGTTGAACTTCCTTCTGATGCTGGGGACCAGGGAAACAATGAGTAAAGGGCAGGTGACTTAGCAGATCTGTAGCAGAATGCCAGCCCCAGCTGTGTACTAAGGAGGGGTTGAAATTGTGTGGGCCACCTACCAGTTACTTCTCAGAGCTTCTCACTGTGCACACTTAGCTTCCTATCATGTCTGCTTAATTGTTTTTAATGTATGCACACGTGTCCCTGATAACCAAGGAGCTATAATTTATTGGTAATTCATTTTGCCACTTTTTCTTTCCTTTCTTGTCTTAGAAGATGCATGAACAGACACTTCTCAAAAGAAGACATTTATGCAGCCAAAAAACACATGAAAAAATGCTCATCATCACTGGCCATCAGAGAAATGCAAATCAAAACCACAGTGAGATACCATCTCACACCAGTTAGAACGGCAGTCATTAAAAAGTCAGGAAACAACAGGTGCTGGAGAGGATGTGGAGAAATAGGAACACTTTTACACTGTTGGTGGGACTGTAAACTAGTTCAACCATTGTGGAAGTCAGTGTGGTGATTCCTCAGGGATCTAGAACTAGAAATACTATTTGACCCAGCCATCCCATTACTGGGTATATACCCAAAGGAATATAAATCTTGCTGCTATAAAGACACATGCACACGTATGTTTATTGCGGCATTATTCACAATAGCAAAGACTTGGAACCAACCCAAATGTCCAACAATGATAGACTGGATTAAGAAAATGTGGCACATATACACCATGGAATACTATGCAGCCATAAAAAATGATGAGTTCATGTCCTTTGTAGGCACATGGATGAAATTGGAAATCATCATTCTCAGTAAACTATCACAAGAACAAAAAACCAAATGCTGCATATTCTCACTCATAGGTGGGAATTGAACAGTGAGATCACATGGACACAGGAAGGGGAATATCACACTCTGGGGACCGTGGTGGGGTGGGGGGAGGGGGGAGGGGTAGCATTGGGAGATATACCTAATGCTAGATGACGAGTTAGTGGGTGCAGCGCACCAGCATGGCACATGTATACATATGTAACTAACCTGCACAATGTGCACATGTACCCTAAAACTTAAAGTATAATAAAAAAAAAAAAAAAAAAAAAAGAAGATGCTCCCCATGGGCAGGCCCAGGAGTTCCCTTACCCAGAAATCAGAAGACCAGGAAGGAGAAGTCTGCACGGAGCAAGCCAGCTGTTTCAGTCCTATGGCCATCTTCCATCAGTGACGATGTCCAAAAGGATGCAAAAGCCCTTGTGACAGAGGCTGCTTGGGAATTAGCAAACCTGCTTCCTCTTCCCCCTGGGCTTACACAGCCCATTGCATTTTCCAACCTCCATTGCAATTAAGTGGCTGTGTGACTGGGTTTGAGCCTGGGAAACATGAGCAGCAGTAATTACACCACTTTGAGGCCTGTCATATTCAAGCTCCCTTGTGAGGTTCTCCATGTTCATTATCCCTTCAGCTGGTTACGATGGAAATGACTTCTAGGGCAGCTTTGGGAGTTGCCTGATGAAGATGCTCAGCCACGAGATGGGAAGATTCTGGGTCCCTGATTCATCATATGGAGGAGAGCTTCCCAATCAGGAATAATCTCACTGGACTGTGACATGAGCGAGAAAGAAACTTTCCTTTTGCTAAACCACTGAAATTTCTGGGTTCTGCTGATAGAACAGGTAGCATTACTTCGAAAAATACAACATCAGTCTAGGACTTTCTGAAAGAACGAGATACGTAAATAAAGCCTAGGAACAACCTGTAGGAACTGGAGAATGGCGCTTATTATGGATGGAGAAAGAAAAAGAACTACAGATCCTTCACAATCTTCAATGTAGATTACATCTGGAGTAAAAGAATATCTAGTGTAGATCAAGAATAATATCTAGTGTGGATCATATATTCTCCAAACATGAAATGCTTGTAGCTTGGAGAGATCAATATTTCTTCAGACAATCGGGCACTAACACTACTTGTGGATATTCACTTGGGAAATGTCAGAGCTCCAGATTATAAAATTCTTGCAAAAGCTTGCAATTGGCTCAGAATGGGACATGGGACTTTGTAATTAGGTCTATCCCAGAATTACAACCTTTGCCCATACTAAGCTGGAAACAATAGAAAGTATTTAAATGTTGGACATTTTAATTACAGCGTAGGAGAGAAAAAACACACAGTGGATAAAGATGTTGTGGTATATTGGCTATAATATTCTTAGCAAAGTGGGAAGTTATGACTTCAAAAAACTCTCAACAGATTCCTCACTTTGATGGGAGGAGACTGCAGGTATGGGAGCAGTAGAGACTTGAATTACTCCGACATTATTGCAGAACATTCCTCAAGTCTTTCCTGAATAATTGGACCCCTTATAGGTCTATCACTTTGCCACCATGAGATAATATTGAGTTTGCAAGAATGCTTTTGCAGAGGTCGCTGTGCTCCTGGAAGACAGTATTTATAAAAATAGTCACTTTGTATGGTGGTATCTGTTTGGGACAGTGTGAGCCCCTCACTACTCTCAGCTTTAGATATGGAAAACTCAAAGACAGACACAAAGGAAAATACTTCTGTTTTCAGTTATTGAGAAAATGATACTTTGTTTAAAAACCACTATTGATTAAATTTAGTGATATTAGAGACATATAAGGCATGAATATATATATATATATATATAATTTTTCAAAAATTCAAACAGCTTAACACAAAACTCTATTCTCAACCAACATTTCTTAGATGTTTGCAGACAAAAGACGAAAATCAACTGAATTGTTTCTTAGGTTCAGGAGTTCTAGACTACA
The DNA here is from genome assembly GCF_000001405.40 of Homo sapiens. Taxonomy (NCBI): domain Eukaryota; kingdom Metazoa; phylum Chordata; class Mammalia; order Primates; family Hominidae; genus Homo; species Homo sapiens. The sequence continues at coordinate 25,649,819 of NC_000007.14, read as the reverse complement.
GGAAGGAGACTCTCTGGTCCTGATGAGGCCATAGGTTAAATAAGTTTGTTTAGTTATTTTCTCTTTCTGCTGTGTAAATTGCCTTTCATTAGCTCACTTAATTGCGTGGGAGAGAACCTTTTCTGAGTTACCTTCTGAAACCAGGGAATTAGATGTGAGGTGGATAGCCACCTTTCTCTTTTTTGTTACTGTAAACTATATATCTCTATTTTTCTCACTAGCCATAAAACACAGTCAATCAAGTACATCACAGACAATTTAAGTGATGCCAACAATGTACTCTTAGCATGAATATGATACTGAAGTCCTACCTGTGAAGGATTGCAGTATTTTAGCATTATTTGTCTCTGAAATAAACACACAAACACACACACTCTTACGTACATGACTGTATATCTCCTATGTGCTCTGAATCCTATAATAATCTGGTGAATAGTTACTGTGCCTTATTGAAAACGTGCTGACTCTCATCTTGAGTTGAACACACTGTGCCACGTGTGTTATTTACTTGTCTGTGGCCTTTGTGGGGGTAGGTTTTGACCTATAATGGCCAATAAAATGTGTGCATGTGAGAATGCCTGAATTAGCTCAAAGGAACAAAAAAAGAGTATTGCCCTACATATTAAAGGGTTGGTGTTCTGGCAAATCTAGGCACTGCTGGTGGGGTGGTAGAGAAAATGCAAGACCAATATCAGCAAGGAATTGAAGATTGATGAAATTTTTTAGACATTAGGAAGGGCATCATACATTTCTCTGCAACCTGGAAAAAAAGCCAATAATAGAATGAAGCAAAGCTGGTAGAAACTATAGCTAGAGACAGACGATTACTTCAAGATTGGAGAAAATGGAAATGTGGGTACAGATGTACAAGTAAGGCAGCATGGAAGTGCAGGAAAGTGGTTAGTATAGAAAGTTGTTCCCATCAGTCCACACAACCCCCCAAATCAGTGGTTTGCAGAGTTGGCCACAGCCTCACTGGGAATGTAAATTCTTAGGCCCACCCCAGACCTACTGAATCAGAAACTGTGGGGGTAGGACTCTTGATCTGTCCTTTAACCAGCCTCCAGTGGTTCTGATGAGGGCTGAAGGTTGAGGACCACTGGGAGAAGGTGTACATGAAGTGGGAAGCATAACTTTGCTGTTCTTGCAGATGACTTCAGTCTTCCCGGCCCTTCACAGCATCAGCCTCTTTTAATGCTGTGTGCCATTCTACTGTTTATAGGCACACAGTTTTCATGACAACTAGTCCCTAGACAGAAGTTCAAGTGTAGACATAGGCCTATTTCAATGCTAGAGAAAATCTAGCAGGGCTGACTTTAGCGAGAGGCAGTGTGTCCATCATCAATGGGCACCATCCTATGTGATTTTCCAGGATATTTTGACCATAGTCAATATTCACCATATTGTGATCACTTTGAATCCCAGACAGATTCTACTCCACTAGCCCACTGCACCCACACCCATCTCACTGTTCTGGTTTACAATAAAGAAACCTCTGCCTTGGCAGCCAATGCACATTTAGCCTCTTCCCATTTTGCTTGTTAGAGGCTTTGCCATACAATGAAGATTTAATGCCATATTCAGCTAAAACACCAGCTAGAGAAACTATAATGCAGAATACTTTTGAAGAGTTCAAATGAATGGGTTTGCTATTTTTCAGAGTGCTTTAAAACACAATTGAGTCTCTCTCTGCTGTTCTCCTACACTTGGGATGATTATCTTGCATCACAGCTTGGTATTACTAAAAGGTTTTTTGTCTGATTATGAGCCCAGAGTTCCCAGAAAAGGGGGAGATCTAAGAATCTTTTTCAAGTCCAAAGAGAATGTGGAGGAAGCAATTTCCTGTGCCCTGTAGAAATAAATGCGCCAGTTGTTGCTCGGGGAAAATGCAAGAGAATCCTGCTATTTTGCTGATATGGAAGACAAGGAGGATTTGCACCAAACATTGCTTTTCATGTGGGGAGCCAATCCGCCTTATGTGAGCCCCCAACACGTGGCAGTGCAGTCTGCTTTGTTGGGTTTCACCATATTCCACTGATAGGAATGAGAGGACTGAAAACTGATGAAGGGGGCAGTGAGGGAGCTTCAGCTGATAGCGTGTTGAGTGTTATAGCCTGTCTGGCACCTGATGTCACACACAGATATTACCCTTTAAAACTGCCATCAGATGTCAGAGGTTTCCTAGATGATAGTTCCATGGGGATCCAGAGAAGGCCACCTGCGCAAAGGTCTCTGGCTGTCTCCTTCTTGATGTCTGCTACCCAACAAGAAACCAACAGCAGGAAAAGAGTTATGAGTTGGTGAACAAAAGATAAATGATTTCAGTCTCTGGATGTTTTAAGAGCAAATTTTTGTACATCAAATGGTTAAAATTGATCTCTCCATTGACTTTTGTATGGAACGGGCCCAAACGAATGATGTTAGGTAATCAATGAGAAAAGGCTGTGCATGAAGAATGAAAAACCACAATATTGGATTGCTATGGAAAAGGCTCCTCAAAGCAAGAAATAAATGAGGGCTACTCACACTCAAAGAAGGCTGGACCAAGAGCCACCTCCCCTGGCTCTGACATGCTGAGCAGACTCGATCACAAACTGGTCTGAGACGCATGACTCATGAAGTGAACCCTCTGACAGTTAATATTTCTTTTCATGGAGATTCTGATTTTGCTATCTGTGCTGGCGTTTCCTGCCTTTGTAACCTTCCTTTTATTTCAAAGAAATAGCTTCCAGGGTGCTGTTGTTTGTTGTAATAAGTTGTGACTATAAGCTTTTCTGGTTTAAGCCACTGTGAGAGGACCAGGCCTTGTTGTAACCCACTGGGAGGGACTGAGCATTGCTGAGCACAGTCTTTCCCAAGCTCCTAACATGTGTACTAGCCTCCCTAGGTAACTGCTGAACATCCCAGGGCTTCTGGATCCACCAGGCCAACCCCGCCATCCCACCCCTAACTTCCCAGCAAACATGTGGAGAATAATACCAGGGCATTAAATTAGACCTCATTACCTAGCCAGTTGGGCTGCCCGGCTCTCCTGCACATAATGAGGTCTGATTTACTGTGATCATTATTCAGGCATTATAGGTCACTAAATAACATACTTTGCTCACACATGTCTTCTGAGCTAACAAATATCCTGAGAGGAAACATTCTTGAGGGCGTGAGTCTCAGGTTTGGGTTGGTAACTTCAGGCTCACTAATTGCATGAAGGCACTTTGCCTACTGCTCATGAAATCTTGGGATAGGAAAAGTCTAATTAACAACCTCAGGGGATGTGAGTGAGAGGCAGGGAAGAGACTGCTGGATTCTTTGGCCTACGGGACACAGGCCAAGGTGAGCCACTGGTGGAGGCTGACCCCAGGTGAGTCAACCATAGAGCCAATTCCATAGCACCTCATGCAGGGCCTTTTGGGAGCAGGACTGGGGGCTCCTCCCTTGCCTCCTTGCACTGTGTATTCCTGACATATCAATTAGGAGTTCCCTGTCATGTCTCTTTCTCTCACCACTGGGCCTTTGCATGTGTTGTCTAAAATGCTGCACTCCATTCCCATCTCCCTTTGTATGTGTTGTCATCATGTTTGGAAACTCAGCTTAGCTGTCTCCTCCCCGAGAAAGAATTCCATGATCCTTTCGTACCAAGTGTCTACTCTTATACAGTGTATGATACCATATGGTTTTCATTGACCTGCCTGTATTCTCCATTAGACTGTAAGGCTCTAAATGGCCTAATCTAGATCTTACTGACTGCTGTATTCCTAATGCCTGGCACAGCACCTGGGACGTGGCAGGTGCCATGTTATTTGCCTGGAGAATGAAAAAAAATTGTCTATATGGAAGGAAAGAAGGATATTGAGAACAATGTCATGAATGTGGTGGTGGTAGCAGAGGGTGGTGACTTTTTTAGCCTTGGTAATATCTAGTCATGGAGAAGAGGTCCCTAGCCACCCTGGACATTACTTTCCCAAGCCTTTCATTATCCAGACATACATCCAACTGGAAACTTCTAGAAGGAAGAAAACCTTGTATCCTTGAATGCCTGGCCTGGGTCTTGGCATATAGTAGGTGTTCATTCAATGTTGGATTAAGCTGTTGGCTCTAGTAGCCAGTCTTGCCCACTCACCAGAGACTGGGGCCACTTTCCTTGAACATAAGGGGAGAATGTGGTTTGTGGCTGAGGAGACTGAAGCTTCTTTCTGGCCCTACCCTCAAGTGGAGCTCTGCTGGTAGGCAGGGGAGAAAGGGGCACTGGCAGGGTTAACTGCTGTCTATAATTCCAGCTGCAGCAGGTTGACATTGTAACAATGCCTGGCTATAGGCTTTTCCTTGCATAATCCGAAATCATAGCACATTGAGGTTTCAGCTTTGGACATAATGCAATTATAAGAAAATGACAGCATCAATGGATTGTCACAAGTCCTAGTTTGATAACATCCATATTTTTCTTAAAACTGCAATATATATTTTTAAAAGTCTATTTTTCTCAAGGAAGACACTGGGGATTGGGAAAATAGGATTAAAAATAATTCTTTTTTTTCTAACTCGTAATGCAAAATATGTAACTGGTAAATACTAAGTAAATCTGACCATATATCTACATTATTTATGGAAATAATTCAGGATTATTTACTTTATAGAAAATTTGTTAGAATGCTTTAAAAATTACTGAAATTAAATAAAATCAGGCTCCTTGAACTATCCATGAGTGCAGCCTCACATAATCAATACTTTAGCCATTCTAGGATGACATTGCATCTCAAGACTATTTTCTAACTTAATAAGATTAGAAATAATAAACTGATATTATTTCTTTGTGAACTGGGGCCTCTGACCTGGTAATTTAATGCCTTCATTATTGCACTGGAAGAGCTCTTAGAGACCCACTGAGCCTCTCGTCCTACTCACAACCACATTCCGTCCACATGATAACCTGAGACCTTGTTTCCTTTGGATACGGGGGGTTACATGCAATTGAGGAATATTCTTAACTTATTTTTAAAATGCTCTGAGCATTATTTTCAGGACAGTAGTGTATATATTTAAAATGGAAAACTTTTATTGATTCAATAACAGAAACCAGTAGGAAATAAGATGGCTTATTCCTGAATTGTATTGTTCTGGATATTTTCACGCTGGCCAAGAGGTGAATTCTGCAATGGGGACATGAGGGAGTTTGTTTTTGCCCAGCCTGTGCTTGATTCAGCTGTGATGGTTCATGCTGCTTTTTCCTGCTATCTGGGAGAAACTGAAGGCAAGGGTGTTAATATCTGAAAGCGCTGTGGGTCTGAGGGCTGAATTCTTGTCCCATTTTCTCATGAATTCTGTTCCTGCCTCTTCAGAGTCGAGGAGTCTCTTGAGCCTGTCTGTGTGAAAGCACTTTCTCATGAACCTTTGCCTGTGTGGCTTGAAGAGAATTTCCTCCTCTGCTTAAAATATGTTAGGGCCACACCTCTGCCCAGGAGGTTTTTCAGAGGCTCTTCTGGGAGGCCTGTTCCCAGAATCACCTGTGGTGAGAAGCCAGTGGAGGACTTGATTCCCAAGATTATAAGCTGGACTCCAAAATGGAAAATGAATGTGGATTAGAACAACCCACGTAAAGATTCTCCTGACTGGGAAGGGCTGGGCTAAAAGAGGACGAAACATGTTCTATTTAGGGAGCACCATTTAAAATGCTGAACAAGAAGGGCAGGAGGCAGTTACGAATTCTTTAATTGACCAATAGGAAATTGAAGTCTCTCTGCGACAGTTAAAATTATTTGTCCACTGGGTCTGTTGGCTGTTGGTGACTTGCAGAAACAGCTTTGTTGTCAGGAAGCGCTGCTGAAAGTCATGTGACAGAGCTGACTTGGGCCCGGTGAGTTTTGAGCAATGCGACAATAATAACAGTGGCACCCACTGTGCTCCTGGTGCTATTGAGAGTGCTCTGCCTCCATCATCTCATTTGCTCCTTACATAAACTACAATTGTATGAAGTGGGCCACATTTAAACACTTGGTGAGACTGTGACTTTCCCAAGGTCACCCAGTTGGAAAGGGTGGAGCTAGGACTCAAATCCAGATTGCCTATGTTGAAGGTCATGTGCTCATAACACCTAACTGTATCATTTGGCTGTGCCAGAAAGATTCAAGAAAGATTCAAGAAAGAACCGTGCATCTACAACACTGCCTCAGAATCAGTGGCTTTCCAGGGCAAATAGTTTATTTCATTTTATCACTTTCTCACATAATTGCCTCCGGTTTTATAGACTATGGCACAGTGTTTTCAAAATATTGCAAATAGGAAGCTAGTTATTACTCAAGAGCAGTCAAGTGCTTCTGGGCACTTCTACTGAGCCTCTAAATGTCTTTGGAAATGCTGATGCTGGGTAAAGCCGCCTGGTGAGCACAAAGCAGCCCATAAGATCTGAGATGGGATGCATTTTCCTGAGACCCCGGCACGCCTTTACCTATGGGAGTTGGAATATAGCAGGGGAAATGCTAGGTTAGTGACTTGTTCCATTGCAATGTCTTCTCCAATGTAATACACTGGAAGGACAATGAAGAAAGGACAATGGAAGACAATGAAGAACAATGAAGGAACAGCCTCTGAATCGATAACCAGAGACTTGGGATACTACATGGCTGTGAGAACGGTGGAAGATTCATAAACTATTCTTTTATAATGAGTGCAAAATTGAAGATTCAAATATTAATGATGACTGTGACTCACATTTCTTGGGTGCTTACTATGAGTCAGACACTCTTCTAAGCCCTTTATGTGTGATGTTAGCTCATACTTCACAAGGTTCTTATAGCAACTTTGTGAAGCAAATGTTTGAGTGTAATTTATTTCTGCTCATGTTATATTGGCTGAAATGAGTCACGTGGCACAACTGGCTGCAGAGGAGGCTTGAGCTGAGTGATCAGTGCCCAGATAAAACTCTTGGCATCATGTTATTAAATAAATAGGAAGAAGAAAGCCAGGGGGACAGTGAACACCTCTGTCCACCCCCTAACGTATCGAGCAGTGAACTTATCCTTGGAGTGGTCTGAGAAAAGGGGTGTTTCTTGTTTTCTCCTCCATCTATGTTTTTGGAAGATGACTGTAGAAAAACCTGATTTTGTAGAAGTTGCTAATCTCACTCAGGTGCTGGGTACTCTGAATAGATAAAAGACAAGAAAGGATGAGTGAAGGAGATGAAGAAATTTAAGCATTGCCTCTTCTGTAAACCTCCTGTCTTTGGATAGAACCAATACTTTTGTCCATGAGGCTCTTGTGCTTTTTGCCTGATTTTAGAAATTATGGAAGTTGTTCATTTATTTATTTGACTAGCATTGATTGGAAGTCTGGGATGCATCAGGCCCTGGGCCTACAAAGACACACAAGATAGACAAGGTCCTTGCTGTTAAGAAGTTTACAGTCTATTTGGAGAAGACAATTGTCAACAAGTAAGTGGAGAGGCAACTTCAGAAGTTGATAGGTACTACAAAGAAAGAACATAAATAAAACCACCCAAAATTTAGTAGCTTATAATAACAAACATTTATTCTTGCTTACCAGCTACATAATTTTTGGGGGCCTAGAACAAAATGAAAGTGTAGGGCCCTTGTTAAAAATATTAAAACATTCAAAACAGTAACAGAAGAACATTAAACCAAGCATGGGGCTCTTCTAAGCAAGGAGTCCTGTACAACTACACAGGTTAAGCGCCTGTTTGCAGGTGTGTGGGTTGGTGGGGCTTTGCTCCAGGATTTGGGTTCACCTCAAATTTGCTCCATATGTCTCCACATTTTCTTTGGCACAGGAAGTACCAGGGCTTAACATCTCTTGGCAGGTCAGAGAAGCACAAGGGGCATGCCAGTCTCTACAAGCACATGTTGAGCCTCTGCTTTGGTGATGTCTGCTAACATCCTATTGGTCAAAGGAGTCATATGGCCAATTTCTAGGTCAAGAGGTGGAGAAGTACATGATTCCTACCAAGAAGCCATAGCAAGGGTATGGAGGCAAAATTCTGTTAAGGGATGAAGTGAAGAATTGAGCTCAATCATCCTCATTGGCCTGGTAAGAGTGTGATGAGGAGCAATTATTTTAAGAACGGAAGTAACATGCTCTTTTTACATTGTCAAAAGATCGTTCTGGCTGTTATGGGGAGAATAAATTGTAAAGGGCAAGAGTGAAAGCTGGAAGACTAACGAGTCAAAGAGAAAGATGCTGGTTTGGATTATAGTGGTAGAAATGGAGATGAAAGTGAAGGATATTATGATTTAGAGGTAGACTCAGTGAGACTTGTTGCTGGGTTGGATGAGGGGGGTGAGTAAAAGAGATCAATGAAGAGAGAATCCTATTTTTTTATTTGAGCAAAAGAATGGAGAGGGAGGCAGAATTAGTGGGTCTGTGTCCTTAGCCAGACTACAAACTTCACAAGGAAGAGACTACATGATCTTATTCATCTTGAAATTTCTAGAGACCTGTATAGTGGTTGGCTTATACTAGGTGCCTGAAAAATCCACCAAAGGAAAAAAAAAAGCAGATGCTTAGTATAGTGAGTGACATCCTTGGAGCTCCTGGAGTAACTTGGGTGAAAGATCATTAAATAATTCATTCAATTAATTCAACAACCATATATTGTTCATAACCCCAATAGTTACTCATTCCATTAACATTTATTGACCATCTTATCATGTGCAAAGCCATGTACTAGAATGCTGGTAAATAGAAATGATTACAGCACCTCACCTAAAGGAGGTGATGGTCTAGTGGAAGAATCAGGTAAGGAAATCCATGATTATAATACAGGATTAGAAGAGTGTGCATGAGGAACTATGGAAGCAGAAAGGAAAGTCCTAAATGCAGCCTCCCGGGGAGAGTTTTAGGAAATTTTTCCAGAGGGAGTGATGCTTAAACTGAGTCTTCAAGGAAAGTAGGAGTCAGCCCACAGAAGAGGCTGGAAATAGTGTTGTAGGCACAGTAACAGCATATGAGAAGGCTCAGAGGCTCAACTGTATATGACACGTGTCTGGCGACATGCAAGCAGCTGAAGAATGAGGAAGGCAAGGTGAGTTTGGAGAAGCAGGCCAAGGCCAGATCACAAAGTGCTTTGGATCTTATGTCCTGTGCTTGGGGCAATAGTTTGCTGATAGAATTTTAAGTAAATAAGTGACATGACTTATGTTTTGGGAAGATGTTTCTTGGAGCAAGGTGGTGGATGGATAGGGGTTGGAAGGGACTGGAAATAGAGACTATTAGGAGCTCTTGGAGTAACTTGAGTGAAAGATCATGAAAACCCAGACCAAGGCAATGGCAGTGGGAATGGGGAGAGGTGAATGATGTAAGTGGTATCTAGAACAGTGAATCAACAGCATGACTGGCTGCAGGGGACAAGGGAGAGTGAGGCCTTGACAATGATTTCCAGGTTTCTGGCTTGAGTGACTGCATGGAAGGGTATGTGGCCATTCACAGCAGTGGAGACTGTATTGGGGAGAAAGTTTGGCTTGCAGAAGCCCATTGAGCCAGTACCCACATTTGGTAGGATTACAAATATTATCAGGGAGAATTCAGCAAAGCAGCTATTCTAGGTGCACAGTGTGGGATTGTTGTTGCTTTCATGGGGTTCCCTGATTCTGGTACTTGAAAACCTGAAGTTAGCCCTAGAGAGACATCTCCCTTCAGTTGCTCCAGTGAATCTGGAGTTACTATCTCCTTTTTTCTGTGCAACAGTGGAAAGCCTGCTCAAGGGTATTTCCCTTCTAAGGGTGATCACACAGCAGTCAGGGATATGGTGCCCTGTGGCGGTAGCTATACTCAAAACACACAACCTTGACACTATAAACATTTTGGGCTGTATAATTATTTGCTCTGGGAACTTTCCCTTGCATTATAGGATGTTTAGCAGCATTCTTAGCCTCTACTCACTAGATACTAGTAGCAAACCCCAGCTATGACATCCCAAAATGACCCCAGACATTGCTGATGTCCTTTGGGGAGCAGATGTCCAAGAACAACTCTTACCCTTCCTTGGCCTGTCTCAGTTACCATAATAATAATATTAATGAATATAGCTAAACACATATTGAATATTTTCCAGGTATTCTGTTAAGAATATTACTGGAATTATTTCATTCCAAAATATAATTCTATTTGGAGAATTGTATTTGTTTACCATTGTACAGCAGAGGAAACCAAGGTACACAGCTACACTGCTCCAGTGCTGAGGATGTCAAGTGGTTTTCTTGCCACTATATTATTCTAGGTTAACTTCAACCCCAGCATCAAGAGAGCTCAAAGCTCAGTAATGACCCCTATATCCCATGGAAAAATTAACACTGGGTCTGTGAATATTTGTTATATGTTGCAAACACTCACTGCATACCAGGTGCTGATACAGGCACTCTCCATATGTTAACTCATTTGATTCTTATCATGACCCAGTGGAGTAGGTCCTATTATCACCTCCATTCTATGGATGAGGAAATGGAAGCATAGAGAGGTTGAGTAACTTGCCTGAGGTCACACGACCAATAAGCAGCAGAGCCAGGGTTCAAACCCACCATCTGGCTCCAGAGTCCAGGTCTCACCCAGTACGCTATCCCTCATACCTGGTAGCAGCTGAGGCCCACTGGGTTGTTGGGCTTGGGAGAACACCAGCAGCCATGAGCAAGCAAGGAAGGGAGGTGGTGGATGAGTCTTCGGAACACAATAATGATGTAGAACGTGTATAGGTGCATTAGAATTCATCACAAGGGCATTTGAATCCCTCCCCAGCTGCCCACGCCCTCCCCAGTCCCCTACGGCTCAGAAAGGCCCCAGAGAGTTGAATCGTGGTTTTGAGAGCTTGCATAGTCAGAGCAGGCCATAGTTCTCATTCCATCCCTCAGATCTTTAGCCCAAAGGCAAGGCTGCCCCTCATTGCAGCTTTGCCAGGCAGCTCTCTGTGACTAGGGAGGCAATACTTTATCCATAGTCACCTCTATACGGGGAGAAAAGAAAAGCCCAGAAAGTCCTGCTGGGCACCATTCTCAGAATCTGCAGAGCAGCCAAACCTGCTGTGAGCACAGAGATAAGCCAGGAAGTGGAAATGTGACCAGGCAGGTACTGGCTCTGCAGACTGGACAGAAAGACTGATGTGGTGGGCAGTAGGCCAGGGCGGGCCAGTGACCACAGGGCTCATCTAGCATCAGGAGAAGCAAAACATTCACAGCACAGCCTCCAAAGAAACAGGACAGAGTGATGACAAGGAGACTGGCAATGGCTAAATCAAAGCAGACCCAAAAGTTCCCCTTCCCAGCTTGGGGTGACCTGGGAGGGGCACTTCAATATCGACCTGATCTATGACCCAAACCTAAGCCAAACTTCCAGCCGGCTGAAAAGAAGACATTTTTCAGATCATCATGGAAGTTCCTTCCAGATTTTTATGCCCTGCCCAGGCCTGTGAGTGTTCAACTGTCTTAGATAAAACTCAGAGGAAGCATCTGTGATCCTGCTGGAGCTAGTCCTATAGAAAGCAGGAAGGAGTCAACAAGCCATAAGGCCTCTTCTCTCTGGAGATTCTCACTGTGGTTTCCAGACTGGAAGGTCTGAGTGGTCTGAGGAAATAGCAAATGCTCACTGTGTTCCCTGCAGCCTCCTGGGAAGGGTTACACATAACACTGAACTGGCTCTCCATGATGCCCAAGCAATTTGTTAAAATGTTTACAAAAATCACTTCCCCAACAAATGTGTACTGAGAAAGGCTCTGTTTAAGACAGTCAGCTGAAGGTGGAGGGGAAGCTAGTAGATAAGGAATTCAAGAATGCAAAGCTATGACCCTACTTGAAGGGGTGCAATGATCTGAACCCCAAGCCTTATGTGAGTACATGGTTTCTTGCTGTTAGTTATGTGCTGAAAGCCAATAACCAATGACATGTAACTTCTCTGAAAATAGAATTATTTACTCCATTAATCATCCCCATGAGAGAGTTGGTTACCCTCAACAAGGGAATATTCCTGTGGACATCTTCTTTAGCCCAGGAGAGAAAATAAGGGAGCAGAGGCAGCATGTCCCTACTTAGAAGTCTGGCCATTGTCTACACAGTGCCTTGCTGCCTCATCATGCTTTTACTTGTGTAGACAGTCTCATTGGATCATTACAACAACCTTGTGCTGAGAAAGAGCAGAGCCTGTGGCATTATCTATAAGGATGGTGATGATATTAAGAAATTTGGCCATTTATTGAATACTTACAATGTATGGGGCCCTGGCCCTGTATTCTATGCACAGTTGCCTGTTTATTCCTCACTGCTGCCCTGTAAGGAAGGTACCTCTTTTTGGCCATTTTGTTGATAAGGAAAATGAGGCTCAGAGAGTGACTTACTCAAGGTGACACATCTAGTTAGTGCCAGAGCTAGATTTGAACCCAGGTCTGGCTGACCAAAAGTCCTTGCTCACAGACACTGAACTCAGTCCACAAGGCATTGGTAACTTGCTGACAGGTACACAGCGGGTGATACAGGACTCTGAGTTCCCGCCTCGTGCTTTGGGATCCTTCCCCCTGCCCATACTTAGCTCAGCTGAGTCTCTTGGAGTGGGTGGTTTCCAACTGTTCTCGTCCCACCCACCTTCTCTTCCACCCCCTCTGCCCAGACGTGGACAGCTTCCTTTCTGTGTGCACTAATGAGCTCTCTAAGCCCAGGCAGTGCCCTGGGGTGCCAGATGTTAGGGTCACAGTGGGAGTTAGCCAGGAACATAGGCGTCTCCTGTTTGTTTTGGGAAGGCACCAATTCTGGACCACCCAAACTGCTCCTTAGCCAGAGCTCGCTTGGGAACTCTGACATGGAGTTGGCAGCTTTCCTGGTCCTCCTGATAACTCCCCTGGGCCTGAGGCTCAAGTACCATAAGCCTCTCAAAGCCCCCAACCAGTGCACTGCTGGTGCTTAATGCACAGCCCTTGGCTGAGGATGTCCAGTTTCCTCCATTCAGACAGGAGACAGCTGTCCACCCCTGTTCTGGAAGTCCTGACTCAAAACAGTGGTGCCTGTTTCTTCCTTCCTGGTCCACCTGGCTTCAGCCTCAGCCTGTACCGGTTTTCACCTAAACTGCCCACCTCCACAGCAAGGCCAGGAAGAGCTCCCAGCCTGAAGTGCCTCCACTCATTGTTACTGTTGGTATTATTGATGTGCTCAGATTGGATGGAGAATGGGAGGCTCATTGTGTGGCTTTAGAATCAGAGAGTTCTGGCTCTGAATCCCAAACATGCCGCTTAGGAGCTGCAGGACCTTGAGAAAAGCCACAATTTCTCAGCATGTTGCAGTGTCTTTATCTGTGCAGTGGGGCTCATGCCACCTACCTCTCAGGGCTGGTGTGTGGATTAAAGGTGATGTTTCATAAGAGGTGTCTAGGACAAGGCCTGGCACATCAGGCCCTCCATGGATGTGACTCTCTCCTCGCCACTTAGCCACACGAACAATCACTCCTCTTCTTATGGACACCTGTTCTGTGGCTGAGTGGCTTCTAAAAATAAGCGGACACTTCTGCACACTTTCCCTGGAAGAGATAAGGGAGTGCTGGTGGCTTGGTTTCAGTGGGTTTAGTGTTGGGCGGCTGGTGGAAATGATCCAGTTACTTCTGATCCCTCCTCTGCACGGACGCCTCCGTGGTGTGCAGGCCCATTCCTCCGTCCCGAGCATGCAATGTCCTCATTTGGAGAGGTGAAAGGGAATGTTTATAACTATGCTTCCTAGTAGCTTGGGGGAGAGAGGACACCAGAACAACTTCTCTACACAGAAAGTACAAAGACCAATGCCTCTGCCTGTGTGCCTTGGAGACGCTTCCTTTTCAGGCTCATCAGAGATTTCTCCCAATTGTAGTTTCCACTACCTCCACACCCTTGCATTCTGTACTCTCTATTCTCTTTGTTTAGAACAACTTCCCTTCCAATCTTAATTTTTTAAAAAAGTTTTAGAGTACAAGTGGTTTTTGCTTACATAGATTAATTGTATAGTAAATACAATTACTATAAAGTCTGAGATTTTAGTGCACCCATCACCCGAGTGGTGTACATTGTACCCAATGTGTAGTTTTTTTAAAATCCCTCATGGCATTTCCTGTCTTCCCTTTTTGGAGTCTCCAAAGTCCATTATACCACTCTGTCTGCCTTTGGATACCCATAGCTTAGCTCCCATTTATAAGTGAGAACATATGGGATTTGGTTTTCCATTCCTGAGTTACTTCACTTAGAATAATTGCCTCTAGCTTTATCCAAGTTGCTGCAAAAGACATTATTTCATTCTTCTTTTTTATGGCTTAGTAGTATTCCACTGTGTATATACCAATCTTTATCTAAAATGTAACCCATTAAATTACCTTCCTATCAAAGACCTTTTAAAAATCTTATTTCCAGAGGCTAGTGTTGTAAGTAAGTAATAACGAAAAGCACTGCCTTTGAACCCCTGACTATAAGGAGTTCATCTTCCTTCCATCCCTCCTGGAAGTCACTGACAAAGAGATGTGATAGAAGACAGGTGCAGGGTGCCTTGTAGGATAGTTATTTGTTTTCTTCTTTTTGGAAGATGGTAAACTCCATGAAGGCAGTGACTATATTTTACCCATGTATCAACTCCATCCTAACAAGACATTGTCCAGGCCAGGTTTTCTCAACCTCTGCACCATTGACATTTGGGGCTGAGTAATTCCTTGCTGTGGGTCTGTCCTGTGCATAGCAGGATGTGTAGCGGCATCCCTGGCCTCTACTCACTAGATGCTGGTACCACCCTGCCTCCTCAATTGTAGTAGCCAGAAATCACCCCGGTTGAGAACCACTGCTTTAGGTTCTCAATATGCTAAAAAATATTTTTTAATAGAAAAATTTTAAGTATAGATGAAAGTAGAAAAAAAAGATGATGAATTTTAGGTATCTACCACTCCTCTTTAATACGTATTAATATTTTGCCAGTCTTGTATCATCTACCTAGTATTATTTATTTCATCTGCCTACATTACATCTATCACCTATTATTTTAAAGCAAATCTCAGCCACCATATCATTTCACTCATGAATACTTAAGTATGTATCTCTGAAGGATAAGGACTTTTAAAATTGCTATGATGCTATCACATCTGACAAGAGTAGTAATAATTCCTTAATATTATCTAATACCCAGCCCATGATCAGATTCTCTCATATCATGGACTTTTTAATAATTGATTTGTTCAAAGGCTCAAATAAGGCTGTTAAATACAATTAAATTTCTTCTAATCTATCTTTTTTATGCCACTAATTTTAATGAATAATTAATAAATATTTTTAATTACTGAAAGTGAGGGGTGCCAAACCAAATTTTGAGGCAAAAAAGAGGGTTTCTGAAAGTTGGCGTGAAATTTCCTTCCCTGAAGGCTGAAAAGAAACTCTCTTGTGTTCATTAGCATTTGTTTAGTTCTCTCAGAGTCACCATTGACATACTTGCCTAAAATATCATTTATTTATGAGTGAATATCTTCATTTAATTTTTACGTGTATTTTCAATGCTCAAAAATTAAATTCAACTCACTCCGTAGAGAGAACAGTGCTAGGTATAACTTGGAGAAGAAGCATAATTTTTCACAGTTGTTTTCTCTACTTGGTTTTCCAATCCAAAGTCAAGTAGAAATGGAAAGGCATCTCCTATTGATACTGTTTGCATCTCTAATGATCAGGAAGCTCAGATAGTTAAAAAAATTGTTTGACCAACCGTCCTTTTAATCAGTACTGCACTCATATCTAAGCATATGTTTTTAGACTTTAGATAGTGACTTTCTTTTTATGTTTACAAAATTATTTCTATGGCAAAATCAGAGTACAATTTATTTTCCCTGCAAGAGTAACCTTGGGGTGATAGGAAAAATTATGTATCTATCATGTTGCATTGTTGTTTGCTTGTAGAAGCTGCAATTTGTTTTCCTGTATTGAAATGTTTGCTTTCCTTATGACATAGAGAATATTTGGAGATATATTATGTATGCATTTGCTCTATGCATATATTCTTGCCCTTGGGTAGAAATCCAGTGTCCATGGAAGAATGTGGCATTTGATTGAAAGCCAGTGAGCCTGGTGGTTTTCCAACAGTTACAGTTCACGGTTCTGCTTGAAGCAAATGCCTCCAACTGTGGACAATGTGCCTTCCTTGAGAACTTGAGACAAGTTGCTGGTTAATGTCTCTGAAACAGCCTGTTAAGACTGTTACTACAAATTAGAGTCTGGATCATTCCGAAACCCAAATAGACTTCTTTCATCTTCCAGATGGCCGTCTGATTGGGAGCTGGGCAGGATCACATTTCAGGTTGTGACTTAATGATTCAGGACAATATTTATGGTTATTACTTGACAGAGGGCAGTAAGGAAAATTAAAGCACAGCCCCATGCTTCATTTATGACAAAAAACAAATACATGGCAGGGTTGTAGATTAGAGATGGCATCTCCAAGCTCCAGGCAGAATCCAGGCACAATTCTGAGATGACCCATGTGAACAGGTACAGCTAAGTTGGCAAGTCCAGACTTCAAAACTTCAGTCAATGCGTTACTTTTGGAAACAGCCAAATAATTCTCTAATAGGAGATCTTGGGAAAGGTATAGCTATGAGTGAGAGATTTCAGAGGGGACAAATAATGCAATTATGTTCTTTGCTGGTATGATGACTACATGCAGCTGAAATATTATGTTTTAGGGCACATTTTTGACTTTATTATTACAGTTGGTAATATCAACAGGAGAAAAAATAATTATGTCTGCCAGTTGTGGGCATTTTGTTTATGTAGTGTGTACTTTCTGCATTAATTTCTCCTTCTAAAACATGCTTTATATGATATAATATTCATCTCTTACATTACCCGGAATTTTAGGAATTCTGTAATTGGGTGCTTTGGGGAAGAAAATGGCAAGCCAGGGAAGATGAGACATAGAAAGGGATAAATAAAGCTTGAGTCAGTTAATGAAAGTGTAGATTGTCTATAAGAACAGCAAGCAGAAAGTTTATCTTGCTCCATTAATCCTCTACTCACTCTGTGAAATGACAATGCACATATTGTTCTGCGGGAAAAAAAAAGAGAAAACTAAACCATATGCCATTAATACATTTGACCAGCTGTGACATTTTTTAAATAAGGTTTTAACTGGTTTTATTACAACAACTGTGTAATTTCAAAACGACTTCGTCATCTCTTATATCTATTATAAACAAGTACTTTGTTTAACCGAGCCAATAATAACCTTCACAGGGAAGGTTGAGACTTGAGGGAACCAAATTCTCTGATTGTTTAGATAAGGGAAAAGAGATTCTTTGGCTAGAAATAGAAAAAAGAACATTATCTTGAAAAGAAATTTTAATTTATCACATGATTCCCAATAATTTGATATTTCCTTCTGTTGTTTGTGGGGTTGGCTTCCAGTGCCCGAAGCCTACCCCCAAGTTAGTGCCATCTTGGTTCCAGCACTCATGCTCTGCTCCTGGGCTCCCAGCTTCCAAAGGGACTGCAGAGGGACTGTGTCAACACCACTTGGGGTGTCCTGCCCCCAGTGGGGAGCTTGCTGGGGAAAATATGGTCAAGGTGACTTCAAGAGGAGTCACTACCTCTTCTTTTTATTTTTTCTTTGACACATAATAATTGTACATGTTTATGGGCGTAGAATGTGATGTTTGACATATGTATACATTGTGTAATGATCATGTCAGGGTAATTAGTATCTCCATCACCTCAAACATTTATCATTTCTTTGTACTACCTTTTCTTTAGGCCTTGACCTTGACAGCCCAAACTGCAAGTGGCTGCTTTTGCCAGGTGGACTGGAGAGAAGGAATGGGGAGAAATCTCCTTGCCTCCTTACATCGTGTAGGGTACACCCAACAGCCTCCTGGGTTCAAAGACAAGGCTCTAGCTCCCCAACTAGTTTTCATTTGGTGGCCTTTCTTCCTCTCAATATAGTCTTTTAAATTGTTGCTATGCATACTCATTTTATTTCTTTCCAGACATTTGTTTGTTCCTGCCTTCTGGAGATGCTCAGGCCCTTTCATTTTGTAGGAGGGTAGATTGGATGCTCATGCACCTATTGTTTTTTTCAGTGAGTGGTGCTCAAGGTGAGTAACACTGACAGCTAGTGTTCCTCACCTGTCTCCTTTAGTATAGCAAACTGGTGTAACTTGGACTGACTCCTTGGGGAACACAGAGGGCTGGGTCTGCACCAGACCAGAGTATGGGCTTTAGAATGAACAGAGTTAAGTTTACATCCTGGTTCTATTCTCTATGTGATCAGAGGAAATTAACTCTCTCAGTCTCCAACTTTATCTGGAAAGTGGGAATAATCATTCCAGTTTCACAGGATTGTGATAAGAATGATATAAAATTGCATGCTTGAGACAGGAAAAACAGTCCATATTTGAAAGGTTTACCCCTAATCTCTGCAAAAGGAAATCCATTCTATTGGGAATATTGAGCTGTCTGTGCCTCATACTACGTAGTTGTAGCAGGAACCATAAACCCAAGGCTACAGGACCAGTGTTCCCAGATTGCTCATGCTCTGTGCTGTTACCCTCTTCCCAGTGCCTCTGTGCTCTATGCCTGCCAGTGACCCATGGCTTCTCCTTCTCTTGAATCAACTGGGCGTTTGTATCTTCATCACATTCAGTCTGTGACATTCCTTATGTTGTTCTTTGTTGATGGAGTCACAGAATATTGTCAAGCTGAAATTTACCTAATTTACCTTCTGGGCCAAGGCTTCCACGTTACTGCGGATGTCCTTGAAACCCAAGAGGTTGTGTGACTTACTAAGGGCATTAAAGCTAGTTCGTGGCAAAGCCAGGAATCTTGATGCACGGGCCAATAGTGTTTTCATCACCTGAGATTGTTATTTAACTTCTGTGTGTAGATATGTTTCCTATTCATGCCTCCACTCCTAACACACACACACACACACACACACACACACACACACACACAGCCCTCAGATTTAAAGTTCCTTGAAGGTATATCGACTCCCAGACTGTCCAGCATTTTAAAGAGGTAATTGATAAATACTTGCTGAACTGATTCAGTGGTAAGGAGCAATTTCTGGACATGTCAGCAAACAAACATTTCATCAAGTATCCTCCTTTTCAATTTTATGGATCTATTGATCTGAAAAGCAATACAGATAACATTTTCATGTAGGAAGAGGAGTTTTATCCTGAGTCAATGGCCACTACCTTCCTTCCCCAGGGGACTCAGTTATCCTTGTAAAGGTAGGAGTTGAGACATCTGGATCACTTCACACTGGGGCAAGGTTCCTTAGAGCAGGAAGGCCAGGAGACATTCAGTGCCTTCTCTGCACCTTGTGATGAATAGGATCTACTTATGACAGACTAACTCTGTCCTCAACCTCAACCAGGCAGCGGCTCCTAGCCTGGTTAACTTTCAAATGTGCTAGTGAGGGACAAAGGCACAAAACCAAATGGAAAGTATTGCACACATTCAGTGAGAGAGGTGGATGCAGTCAGCCAATTAGGGGAGACGTGGAACAGATGACTCCTGACACGGCTGGAGAAGGCGGGGAGTTTTCTAATACATATTGGATTCCGTTTTCACCAAAGGTCAGCTTTAATCAAGTTCCCAATGTAAATATTACCAATATAAACCAAGTAATGGAGGTTAAACGACTGCTCTCGAGGTCAGCGACTCTTGGTCAAGCTGGAACATTTCACATGAAATGGACCAGTTGGAATTTACCTGGAGGGCCTCAGTGCCTGGCCATGAAACTCGAGCCCGCCCTGACTCTCTTAGCTGTTGGATGGAGTGCAGACCGATGCAGAGCATGGCAGGGTAGCTCTGCTTTCCAGCTCCATGGCTGAAAACCAGATGCATTGGGCCCTGGGGTTTTCATAAACACACAGGGCTGCAGTTTCTCTGTGGCTGAGGTTATAGTGTGGGGATGGGGGCACATGAAGGTCTGATGCACAGGCAGATACATCCTGCTTACTGACTTCTCTACGGAGGAACACCTGGTGATCCTGGGAAGATTCCCCTCTCCTCCTAGGTTCTGGAGGCTGAGGTCCCTGATGAGCCCTCAGGCAACCCTTCACAAGAGGTGCTACAAGATCTTGCTATAGAGATAGGGCCACTTTATCAAATGCCGCACCAGCCTGGCCTGCCACACATGATCCTGATCATACTGGCATTTTTGACTATGCCCTTTCCTTACTGTCCTATTGCTCTTGCTTAGCCATGTGGCATCACATGTCTACATCATCATTTGTCTCTGTCTCTTGTTGTGCCTGCCACTCGGTTCTTAAAATCATTGTCCTCGTCTCTCACTTTCTGCTGGCTCTAACCATAGCCTGAACTTCTCTGCTGCCTTCTATTAAACAAACTATATATAAATGTATATATATATACACACACACATATATATATAGTTCTTGAAACTATATATATGTATATTTCTTGTGTTAACTTTTCCTTCCAAAACATGCTCTATGATATACTATATATATAAAACAACAAACTATATATGTATGTATATCAGATAACTTTCATTATTATATAAAAAAGAAAATTGTTGCAAAAGTTTCTTTTGTCCTTCCAATGTGCCAATTACTATGATAAGTGACTTACATACCTCATAGTATTTACTTTTCATAGCAATCCCATGAGGCAGATACTCTTTATTATTCCTAATTTACAGATTAGGAAACTGAGGCAGAGAGAGAATAAGTAACTTGCCTGAAGTCACATGGTGGTAGAGACTGGGCTTGAACTCACCTCTGACATTAGTCTGCACTCTTAACCACAACTTATATTGCCTGCTTAAATGGTATCATGAAGCTGGTATCTGTTCTGCATGGATGGTTTTGAGTTCTCATTCATTTCTGACCAGGTTCTGAGTAAATACACAGTTTGCCATCTACATATCTTAGCCCCTTCTTTCAAAAATGGGCTTTTAATCAGAGATGTAGAAAGAGTCTCACATATTTTAACTCTTAGAGATAAATCTATGTGCATAACAAACATACTGTGTAGAGGCGGTGTGTTAAGATAACTTTTAAGGGTATTCATTGGCTGTTCCACCCAGCCAATGCTCAGTAGGGTCTGGGAGCTTCATGACTGTCTGGCTTCATGCCTTGTTCATCAATGAACCACAAATCCAGGAGGAAAGTATGGACCCATCCTGTAGCAGTTGCTTTGGTACCTGGTCTACAACACAAGACAGCCTGGGGAGAGGAAGGCTGCTGCCTGCGAAATGCACCTCCTGTCATCTTTATGGGCATGCCAGACCATAAAACCTGGAGAGATATGACCTGAATAACCACGTTATCTCTTTCAAAGCAAAAAGGAGAGGAGGATGGAACATGGAGATTGATGTACAAAAGCGAGAGTCTAAATAAACAATCTCCATAAATTTGCATTTGTATAGGAGCATTGTTATAAAATGTGGTCTTCATTAAAGAGAGAGGCTGGTGATATACCTCAGGAAGGCCTGACATGTGTGATTTCTGGTCATCTGGCTCTCTCATCTCTTTAAAGTCAAATCCTGTCTACGGAATATTTGCTTTGTCTAAATAATGCAACAAAATCACCTAAAATGAGAGCTTCTGAGATCTATTCATGACAATATTATACGTGTGGTATAATTTACAGGGATAAAGATGTACGTTCACATGTATAATTTCCAGGGGTCTTAGATGCAAAAGTTTTCTGGTGATAGGTTTTGGAAAAAATCATTCAAAAGGGCATTCTGGTTTAGAACTAAATCTTTAATCCCAAGGGAAAATGAAACAGAATAATTGAGAGTGACCAAAAATAATTTCCTTTATAGAAGGGGGAACAGTTGCTCTTTTTCTTTCTCAACTCATGACTGAATAAATAAAAAGGGACAATAGCTTTTAACAACAGCATGAGGGATTTAGGTTAGAAAAATGACAAGCTTTCTTTTAAGAAGATTGTTTTGTACAGGCCGTCATCTGTTCTGGTGTAAAGTGGAGGGAAGAAAACAAAGTAGGATGGCTTGAGATCCTTCCTGAAGAAGAAACAGGAGGAAAATAGTCCCCAGCCTTGCTAAAGACATTAGAAAGCAGAGCCATACTGTGGAACAGTCACTGGAGTTAAAATTAAAAGACTGGAATTCCAGACCCTGGTTTTCAATTACTAGCTGTGTGACCTTGGGTAAGTTATTTCACTGCTCTGGACTTCATTTTCCTCAACTGTAAAACTGGAGCATTGAACTAGAAAATATCTAAGGTTATCTTCAGTTCTAATAATTTTTTGGTTTGAGATTCCTTACGGCAAGGGATGAATATGTTATGGTTTGCCTGGGATGGTCCTGATTTGTGCCTATTGTCCTGGCATAATTATTAATAGTGCACAATTTCATTCTTAAAATGTCTTGGTTAGGACCACAAATTATATAGTCACCCTACCTAGATTAGTTAACATAACAATTTTCACTTGAGATCAGCTTACATTGTTTTTCACAATACTGATATTAACCAGAAAAAAACCAGAAATATTCAGCCAAACAACTAAGCTCTTCTTACAAGAAACAAATATTAATAATGGTAATAATGAGAGCTCTTGTTTACTGAGTTGGAGTGCTTTCCAAGCATTAGCTAATGTAATTCTCATTACAACCCTAGAAGTCAGATGCTACTCATTTCTCTTTTACATTTGGGAGCATTGAGCCTCAAGAGGTTAAGATAACTTGCCTAAGCCAGGATTTGAACCTAGGTCTCTCTGCCTCTTGGGAACAAACATTTAAGCTTTCTACCATGCTGCTTGCAATATAGTGTATTTTACTAATACCCCAGCACCCTCAACCCACCAAGTGCCTTAGCTGCTTTTAGCAGCCAATCTTCCTGGCTGAGAAAGCAAAGCCTTTGCAAGTTCCAAGCCATTCTATATGACATGAAAACTTACAGATGAAAATCTTCCAAAATCACTATGACTTCATATGAGCAACATTTTTTTTCTTTCCAACAAAGATACTCAGACCCCTGGGTCATTGTGAAAGTCTTTGGAACTCTAAACTTTTTGATATTTACCGAACAAGACCTGCCTAGAGATTATTGAGAAGTTATGATGTTAATTAAACCAGGATGTTCCTGTTACCCAGCAAGCAAACGGTTGAGTGATAAAAGCGGTTCAGTGTCCTAAAGTCATTTTCAAAGCAAAAGAGGGTCTGAACAAAATAAATGATTTGAATGCAAGACATAAACAACCAAACAGGCCTGCAAACGAGACCAGTAATGGGGCATCTGGGACCTCAGTTCTGCTTCTGATGCCTTTCAGGGTGAGCCTTGATGCTTTTCAGATTTTCAAAGAAAAATAAACTGGTGACAAAAGAATAGCAGCTGTGGGCACAATAAGGAAATTAGTTGGAGCAGATTTGTAATTAAGCACTGAAAATGGATCAGTGTGATCCCTCCCTGTGTACAAGTACCTTTTGCTTTTTGCCTCTTCTCAAAACCCCATTTTTAACAAAATTAACACACACTTCATCTTCAGTCAAGCATGTCCTGACCTGGGATATTAGCTAAAGACATTATTTTTTTTTTCTGGAAAAAACAAGACATTATTAGCTCACAAGAAGCCCAGAACCCCATGAAATAAAATAACATTTGACTTTGGGTTGATTTTTGTCATTTTATAACTTTGTAAAGACAGAGAGCTTTCTTCACTCAGAAGATTGTATGTTTGTGTATAATGAAGGGAGAGTGAAGGATCCTGGGGCATTGTGAGGATAATTAATTTTTATTTCCTAATATAAGATGAAGATGAAAATTTTATGATCTTTCTAATTGTCCTGATGTCATTCAACAATCGCATCACAGCCAAATAAAGGTTAGGCTATAAGGATATTATTATATGTTGAAAATGTTTTAGAAACTAGCAGTATTTTTGAATGGAATGAACTTTAGTGTTAAATATATTGATTATGCCTTCTAGGCTAGAGATGCCTCCTCACCCACAGCCAGATGAAACCTTGCTGCCTAATGTGGCATTTCATGGCTGAGATGCCCCAGCAGCTCTTAGAGGGAGACAGACCTAGACTCTTCTTGAACTGGAAATTAGTGTGTCTGTCAGAGAAGCTGATTCCTACTTCCTGGTCCACCCTGGAGAGTGGGCCTTTCCTCTTGCTTCTGGTTCCTATCCCCTCTTCCTGTTCTTCCTGTAAATCACTTTGAGCTTAGAGAAATGGAGGAGTGGGTCGACCCAGGTGTCCTGAATCATTAGGCACACTGGCTCCTCTGGGGGCCAACCAGACTCTGAGCTTTGACAGCAGTGAAAGGTGACAAGAAAGT
Source organism: Homo sapiens (assembly GCF_000001405.40). Classification (NCBI taxonomy): domain Eukaryota; kingdom Metazoa; phylum Chordata; class Mammalia; order Primates; family Hominidae; genus Homo; species Homo sapiens. The sequence continues at coordinate 25,625,573 of NC_000007.14, read as the reverse complement.
AAATATCCTAGTGCCCCACTTAACCAGAGGTCAGACGTCCCCCAACCTCTGCCTTCTGGAATTCAGCTTGAGAAAGAGGAAGGAAGCAAAACAGGCTCGAAGCAGCGGAAACACCAGTCACAAATCAATGCACTTTAACTATGTCTGATTGAGTTGTAATTAACACATACTTCTAACAAGCCAATTTATATAGTCTCTCAGCCCATAACGAATTAAAAGCAGAAAATTGGAGGGGGCCAACAAAGGAGGTAAGACAGATTGGTAGGGATAACACCGAAGGCAGTAAGAAATGATGGCCAACAGCCTGACATCAAAGGAAGAATCAGAAACAAGCCCCTAGAAAGTGGTCCCAGAATTAGCAAAATCAGCTCTCCACAGCCATATATATCGGGTCAAACACATCTGGAAAGCCCTGAGGGCTCGCTGTGGTACTGAACACCATAGTTCCTGCTCTAAAAGCTGAGACAACGTATGAGAAGGAGCCAGCTCGTGCAGAGACCTCGGCCTCTTCCAACTCCCACGGTTCTCCAATCAGAGAATGTTTGAGAATCACCCAGGGAGCTTGCTGAAAATAACAAACTGGGAGATTCTGACCAAAAACATCTGTATCCTCAGTCCAGGATCCTGCGTTTTCACATGGCTCCACCCACTGCAATGCTAACTCACATTCCCACTTTGGAAATCATTGCTAACTCCTTCACCAAACTGGGAAACCGCTTAGGCAGTCACTTAGTAATTGGGGCCCTGATTCTTTTGTAAAATAAAAGGTCAATCATCTCTAAATTCCCTGACAGCCAGACCTGCTTAGAGTGTATTCTAATTTTCCAGCAAATGCCCATGCAGCTGGTGAGTGATTGAGGAAGGGTTCATGAGGATGACTGACCCCTTGTCTTAAAAAGAAGGCCTAGAAGAGGGCGTTCAGTCAGTGTCTCTAACCTTGGAAAATTGCACATCCCATCAGTAAAAATTTGGGGGTGCTCGCTCTCAATAGATGTGTTTTTATTTATTTATAATTTATGCATGTGCTATTAAATGAATATATTGTTTATATAATAAAACATACTCCAAAATAAGATAAAGATTAAATTAGATGTTCTAATCTTTTCTTCACATACACCACTTTTAAGATGACTGGAATAAATTTTAGGACAGATTCTATTCAACATCCATTAGAATATGAGCAATTCTAAGGGCACTTTTTGCTTAATTGGTCGTAGTAGTCTCAAGGCCCAGCTCATGGTCCAGGAATGTTTTTGAATGAATAAATGTCTTGGGATTTGAAGTGGCTAAGTTTCAGTGATCCGGAATATTCATTTATATGGAATACCTCTTTCTTCTGTGGTAGTCAACAAATACATCATGACTAAATGTAGAAAATAAAGGGTGACGTTGGGAAGTATTACTCATATTTGAAGAAACCACCTGTTAGAATTTAGGGAGTATGATCAATATTTATGAAGCTCAGAAAATCTTCTCCAGGGCAGGGGGATGACTCATAGTTCATGAAAAGGTAAAAGCATCAGCTGTTCCGTAGCAGGTATGTATTAAATACCATATGTGTCTATGAAGGGTTTCATGTGTGTGTTGAAGACATTCTTTAGGAGGTAGCAGGGATTTCCTTTTCCAAGGATATGCTCTGTCAGATGCAATTTATTCAACTGATTTTTTCTTTGTTTGTTTTTTTTTTTTGGTTTGGGAAAACCAGGTAATTTTTTTAAATGCACTTTAAAAATTAATATATACCACATCCTTCTTTATGCAAAAGAAGTTTAAAATTTAAAACAGTTTAAAATTCTCTTGATTATACTAAGGGTAGTTTGTGGCTTATGTCATATGATGAGTGACTTTGCAGAGTCCTATAGCTGTACATCTTTAGTATTCTGTTTGCCAAAGTGACCAAGGCTCAATTATAGTTGTCTGCCTGCTAGTCATTGGCATGGCAGTCTCCTTGGTGAGTTGTAAGGATCACACTAGTCATTGCTGGGACTGTGAGAAGGAATTATCTGGGAAAGAAGAGGGTAGACCAGTCGTTGAAGAAATGGAAATGGTAATGGATACCTGCTTCACTTAGTCCAGCACTTCTCAAATGTTCTGTTTTTCGGATCTCTTTACATTCTTAAAGTTGTTGATGACTTCAGAGAGCTTATGTTTATCTGGGCTATATCTATAAATATTAACTATATTAGATATTAAAATTGAAAAATTTTCAAAATACAAGAATACCCATTCCATTAGCCATCAGAACAACGAAATATTTGTTATGTAGCCTCTAGAAAACTACACTGTAAATTCGTGAGAGAAGAGTGAAAAGGACAAATAACATTTTGGATTATTATGAAAATATTTTAACTGCATAAACCCACAAGAAGTGTCTCAGGAACCCCCAGTTGTTCCTAGACTACACTTCGGGAACCACTGACTTAGTCCATTCAAGAGGCAAAAACCTGACCCATGTCCATGCCTGGCAGAAAGTGTCAACCAGCTGTAAAAGTGACACCTGGCTAGTGAGGTTGAAGAATTTCATTTGGATGATGTCTGCCTTGGTGACAGCTGGTGGCCCACCAAATTATGATAAAGCACATACCATGATGTGCTGAATGTGGAGGACACGGTATTTGTAAGAGTGACTTTTCACCTCTGGAATTTTTGGAACCAGTGACCTTCCCTTCTTGACATGACTCTTGACACAATAACCAATGTTCCTATGAATTCTTTGCTGTGGCCACCTCTGGAAATCATTAGCTTCTGGGCGTGGGTAAAGGATTCTGAAGAGTAGATGCTCCAGAGCTCAGTTCTCGAGTTTCAACAGCAGGATTCTTTTGAACTGAGATCTTGACATTTCAGCAGGAACTTTCTGCTGTTGTCAGAAACAGGGTAAAATAGGTACCGGTTCCCTTGAGCAAATGTTTAACATGATATTATTTACATTTAGAGTCAATAAACACACAAATACTCGTTGAATGAATAAGTGAAATATGAAGCATGTCATCAACTGAATGTGATTACCTGTGGTCTCGGAAGGATAAATTATTTCTTAGGGCGGAATGGAGAGCCTTCTCCCCTTTTTCCAGTGAGAGAAGATGGTGGGGAGGACTCACTCCTCATAGAGACACATTAGTCATGTTGGACCTGAGTCAGAGGACTGGGGGCAGAGCTGATTATGGTGTAAAATAAAAACATGGGGCAGCTTGTATAAAAAGCATTAAAGAAGTGTATTAAAGGTACCAAGATAGAAAACTTTTTTCTTTCTTCCATATTTCTTTCTCTCCTCTTGTCATCATGTTATTTATTTGCTATCTGATGTCATTTTTTAGTAAAGAAAAATTAAAGTTTTAAATTATTAGCACAAATTTTCCCATTTATCTTTATATTGTGCAAAGTCAGCTTTAAATGAAAATGTAAAAGCATGTGTGTAGAATCACTGAAAATATACAATTTGGTTTCCATAGCTTGTACTTGCATAGGTATTTGATTCTTGCCAGAACAGTGAAAACACTGCACAAAACTCCACTGCTTTTATTTCACTTCTTGAAACACGTGTATACTACGGCACTCTGGAAGCAGGTAGCTTCCATAATATGCTCACCTTGTATTCACTTGGAGTGTCACTGAACTCTCACACAAGGTGGGCCCACTAGAATTGCTGTGCTCATGAGGCATCACCAACAATACATATAAATGGGACAGCAAGAAACAGTGGACACATGTACTGTGCATGTCTTCTCTGCTCACATATACATTCCGTTGTCCCATCAGACTTTGCCTACAAAGCACAAGTTCAAAGGTAGAATTATTAAGAATTTCAAGATGGCAACATCTGAGAATTAACCAAGCATGGCACCCACTTGAGCATGAGACCCTATGGCACTGCATGGATCACATGTCCGTGAAGCTGACTGTCACCTGGGATCATGCTACTGTGTTGAGAATGGAGGCTTATCCTGACCAGTGAAGCCATGCTTGGGTTATGGTGTGTGCAACTCTCCCAAGAAGATGGGATATACAGGATCCCACAGGGGAACACTCCTCCTGCAGGGCCAGGGAGGCTAGAGAGCAGAAGAGGGAGCCCTAGATGATTAGTTGGAGTGCATGAAGAACATGATTAAATTCCTATTTCTATTGACTTTCTTACCTCATTCTTTGAAAACTTCTGTGTAGTATGTGTGTGTTTTCAGAATGCACAAAACATATTAACAAAGCACTATAGGTATAAAATTTATAAATATATAAATATATATTGGTGACTGTGCTCAAAAATGTTTAACTGAAAGGAGTACCTGAAAGACTAATTGGAGGGTCCCACCCTAAAAGACAGCATGAGGAATGGGTCAAGGAGGAAACTGAAGGAATGAGGCCAGAAGGAGGATCCTTTTGTTTTACTTAGCAATGGCTTCCTGAGAGTTATATGCCATTGAACTCTTCTTACAGTACTATGAAGCAGTCTTATTATTCCCATTTTACAGATGAGAGAAGGGAGACCCGGAGAGTTACATAAGTTGCTGAGGGTCACAGAGCTGATTATGGCCAGATACGCCTATTGCCCTGATCACCTATAGATTGCAGCAGGCTGGGCACATAAAGAGAATCTGAGCAGAAGTGTCTCCATCAGGCAGAAACTAATGTTTTCCCTGTTCTACAGATGAGGAAATGAAGCCTCAGAATAAGGTGGTGGTGGCTGGAGCTTCTTGGGGCAGAGGCTGGGCACGTGGTGCATTGCAAAGTCTGGAGGGCAAGTGCCATGGCTGAGATGGTCACCAGCGTCCTGTGGAGGGTAGATCTAGTTTCTAAAGGGTTGGAGAGACCCTTCAAATGGGAATCACTGGCCTTAGAAATGGGTAGACAGAATCCTTAGCCACTGGACTGGAAATTACAGGCTCAATTTATTTTACACAGCAAGCTCAAGGGCACGAAGAATCAGTTTATAATGATCTCTGTGGTATTTGCAATATCCCTAAAAGGTAACAAAGCAGCTTCATCTCATATTTATATCTACACGGAGTTAAGTAGCTGGGACAAGGCCTTCCCGCTTATGATCGAGAGAGATGCTGTTCAACTCCAAATCCCTGCGCTGGCTCTGACACAGGCTGCAAATAAGGCAGCTTCTCATTGTCTTTCCATTTCTTATTTTACCTCATTTGGTTAAGCTCAGCACGAGGAACTTCCGTTTTCTTATCTTGAACATCATGTACTGTTCCAGCCCACAGCCAGCCACCCAGGAAGGAAGCATTTTGTTCCTTTTAGACAGGGGGTCTGGCCAGCCATATGGCCATGTTGTCGAAAGGCTCTGTAAGTAACATTATCTCTATCCCACTAAAAAAAAAGATCTGTTAGAGCTTGAGAGTGCACAGCATGTTAGAGTTTAATATTCATCTCTGGTCTGTTTACCTCACAACAAACATGAAAAGAAAAACTGCAGAGGCAAGGGAGAGGGAGGGTAAGGAGAGGGAGAGAGAGCAAGAGAAGGGAGGGAGGGAAGAAACCAAGCATGGGCCTCTTTTCCTATCTATTTTGAGTTTTCCTAAATCCTATTGCAACTTAATAATGTCAATATGTCAGACCTCAATCTGTCTGTTACTGTTGAGAATCTAAACTATGTTAATTCTTTACAGTAGTCAACTCGTTATTCAAATGAATATTAAATGCTTGCCATTTTTAATATTACATGAAAGATGTTTTTATTCTTTCTCTGTTCTTTTTTGACTTTTATAACTTGGTTAAATATTTTGATGTCTACATAAAACATGTAGACCTAAGAAAGAAGTTCCAGCAAATGCATTGTTTCAGCTAGAAAACATAAAAAGAAATTTGCATGGCAGATTATCTGTCCTGTATTTTTACATCTCTGAGGTAACTGGCTTCTTGGAAACTATGCTTTAAGCTACGTATTGCTTTTGATTTACACTACAGAGAATTTTGAAAAGTGCTAAATGAAATGGATCAAAAATATTTTAAGTGACTCAAAAATGTGAAGAGATGTAGCATGGAAAAAATGCCTGAATCTGTTCTACTTAAAAAGCTATGCCAAATAGAGATTTTTGCACTGTCAGTCAAAATGGCCTAGTTAATGAAGTATAGTAGGGAGAAGGAATTAAGCTGTGAATTGGATGAAAAAAATTACACGTTTTTTCTTTCTAGTGTAGGAAGCTAACAAATATACATCTAATTCTAGACTATTAGGAGTCATGGTGGGAGTGGAAGGCCCATGGGTGATCTAAAAGAGCACTCATGCTTATCATCTTTGGCATATGGGGCATATTTGCACACATATGGGGCATTAGTAGGACTGATGAGAAAATACATTATGTTTCAAATAAGAGTTTTGCTTTAGAAACTTGATTCTGTGTGACTGGCAAACTGTCTAGTGAGCTGTTCTTCAACCTGTCCAGCTCTCATCCTCTCCCTAGTCTAGAGGTGGATTTATTTCTCATATTGACATAAGGCACATGCTTGATTGAATTTCTCTATCTCCCTCTCCCTTGCCATCTACCTTGCTCTACTATCTTTGCATCTTATTGGTCTTCCCTGGACAGTCTCTGAGAATGAGGAGAAATGTTCCAGTAATAATAGCTGGTTCTTCCTGCGGGTTTACCCCGAGCTTTTCTATTTACCTTTTCCTAAGCTCTTATACATATTATAGCCCTTCATCTTCCCCATGATCTCATGAGTTTCTATTAATATTCCAATTTAGAGTTGAGAAAACTGAGGCACAGAGAAATTAAGCAACTTGCCTAAGGACACAAAGTTTATAAAAGGGGTACTGGGATTTCAACCCAGATAATCTGCTTCCAAAGCATGTGCTTATAACCAAATTTATTACTGCCCCCAACCAAAGGAAAGGCATATATTGGCTGGGAATGAAGACAGGAGTATAATGAAGAGGGTAAAAAGGAGGGGGCTTTTGGGTTCAAATGATCTGTTTCTTGATCTGGGTGCTGATTTACATGCACCTTGTGGAAAATTCGTGGGACTGAATACTTATGCACTTTTATTTATGTGTATTATATTTCAATTATCTTAAAATAGGAAAAAGTAAATGAACAAAAATAATTAAAGTATATGTATATGATCAATGATAAGTTGAATGCCCGTTGGGTATTCAATAATAATCTTCTTGCTGAAAGAAGATCGATGAACCGGGTGCACACAGAGGTGGCCTTGCCAGGAAGTTGAAAACATACACCTGGGGTCCAGAATGGGTGTAAGTCTAGGCCCTGCCACTAGTTAATTTTGAAGAAAATAAGCTGATCTCTGTCCATGTCTCAGTTTACTCACCTGTATAACTGGGGATAGTTTAGTCCTACTTTACATAAAGATTTAGAAGTGAAGTGAAGACAGTCTCCTCCTGTTCAATGCCAGGAGAGCCTTGGTAATTAGAGTGTAGCAGTTGGTGCAGGGAAGGGAACATTGGGCTAGTAACTGTGATCATTTTTCCTAAATAAATAAAGTATAGGTATTTAAAAGCTATTTTGATAGCAAGGTCAAGGTGTGTTTTTTTCTCCAGGTAAAGGCTTTTTCTTTCAAGACAAATTGTATGACCAGATGCAAGGTTAGCCAGCTGACACTAATAAATCCACTGCGTTCACAAGTTCAGAAGGTGCAGACATTAGAAAGAGTACATTTCTTCCTACTCTTCCTTGTAAATCTTGTGTTCCATAAGTAAAATGCAGAAGCAAAAATGAATAAGCCTATGCAATTCCCTAGAGTTTATGACAGAGGCCAAATTCCAGGAAGAAGCAAACCAGTTAAGTTAAATTTCTTGGATTAGATAAGATTGGTTACTGTGTCTATGCATTGGCTTGATGTGCTGTAAACCTGTGAAATCTGAAATCTTCGTTCTCTTCTTTTGCATCCTCCATCACACTGAGCTGGCCCACAAGCATTTATAGGATACCTACTGTGTGTATTCCTTTTCTGTGCCCTTCCATGCCTGATATTCTGCCCTTGGTCACAAAGGCCCATTCTAATTGTGCCAGTGGTCAGTCTGCTTGCCACAATTCTGTCAAACGAGATAAATTAAACATGTCAGGTGACATGTGGAAGAAAAGGCTTTCTGATTTATTAGAGAACTCTTTACGGATAAGAGTTATTTCTCTTGGCCTGATACCTGCTCTCAGAGGCTTGATCACATTTCAAGGCACTGTAGCCACTTCCTTAAATATTCTGGGTTCTCAGATGTTTGAGTGCATGTGTCTCTCTGTGTGTACACATCTGAATACGACTGGAGAACTGGAATGAGGCTGTTGCTGATTGCAAAGTAAGAAAGGAGGGGAAAAGTTAATCCCTGCCGCTCTCACTTCAATGACTTTAAGCTTCACTGTTGCTATTTCAGTTGGGGAAGAACTTAGGGTCACATTGCAATTTAAAAAGACCCTTAGTGTAGACAAGTTTGAAAACATCATACTATTATTTGGGGAGGTGTATAGGAAGCTCTATTTTTTACCTGTTTGTGTTTTCAAATAGGATGCTCTTGTATCTTTTTTCCCCTGATGTAGTTATTATTCTTTAAAAAAAAAAAAAAAGACCCAGTGGCATAGGAAGGTCAAATTTGGGGTGATCATTCTCCCTGTAGCTTTTCAGATGTCACAACCAGATGAAGTATAATTTAGGAAGCACAGAGCTGGGTGATGGGTCTTGCAGAGCTGCCTGTCTGTTGAACCTGGAGGAAAGTTTATCCCCAGCAAGGTAATTTATGACACAAGAGTAGCTCAGCTCCCTGTAGGCAGCACAACCTAAGTTCTCCAAGAACTCCTGGTTTATTGGAGAGAACTGTAAGTCTGGAGCCAGGATAAGTTATGGCTTTCCAGTGGCTTTCTCCTTTCTCCTTTTCCTTCTTGTGATATTTATTATTTGTGGATGGGGATGAGAGGGTTCACGCTGCCAACTTTTGAACCCTCTCTAAATTCATGGCTCTGAGTTTTGAACAGTCCCTGGACCTTCCTGTATTTGAGTTTCTATTCTCTTAGCATTCTGCAGCTTCCTGTTTGAATTGAGAAAGGCTTATTTTAAAAGGTGGAAACAATTCCTTAAACATCAAATAGCGTTTTTTTTTTAAGTGCAACGTATTTTGATGAGCCAAGTGTAAATGAATTGGAAATATATGCTCCAAATTTCTCCAGTTTATGTAGCAAGTTCATGGCTGAATTATTGTTAGGTTTCACTGGATTCAAAGTTGATAAAAAATGATAGGACAAAGGATGGACAGGCACAGCCACATTCATTCTTCTTCTTTTTTTCTTTCTACTGTTTTGTTCCTTCATTCATGTAAAATGGGCTTTGGTTGAGTTCTAAAAGCTGGAGAGAAGAGGAGGGCTCAGGAGACATTTATAAGTTGGGTTTTGCCAACTAAAAACTCTGTATTAGGAAATAGGGCATTTTGGCTAAAGACTTAAATTCTTGATGTAATGGATGTAACCTTAGGAGGTAGAAATAACTTTGAAATCTGGGCTTCCTACCTCTCCACTGCATTGGAGCCTGTCTCATCCCCTTCACACCTGGAGCTCATTTGCTGCTTCCTCCCCAAGCTTCAAGTCCTGTCCTTAAGAACCCTGAAAGGTTATTTGGATCTAGAGCTTTCTACGGCCAATTGCCTTAAATATGTCTTTTTGAAAGTAGGCCCTGTGGGTATTAGAGACAGCTCTGCAAAGGTGGCCTAGGAGGAAGCGGAGGAAATCCTCCTCCACAACCCTGCTCTTCTGTGCTCACCACGCGACTGGTGCCCAAAGCTACTTCAACCTCAGGAGACCTGTGTGGGGGCACTTCAGGTTTTTAAGGGTCAGAGTGCATGGTGTGTGGCTTAAGAGATGCTCACAGGGTGACAGTCAGGATTGTGTGGTTGGGAGAGAGTAACCATGAGGCCACAAACCGGACTGAGTCAGAGAAGAAATGTTTACTCTTCCTGCTAACATCCTCCAAGACATGCTTGGGAAAACGACTTGCCATTTTTCTGGCTTTGCCCATTTTCCCACCTGAAAATGATGGGCTCATGATTGCCACCCACCTGGTGAGGTGGACGCGGGGTGAATGTGGGAAATTCTGCAGGGAGCTTAGGAATCCCTGGTTTCCAGTTTAGCATCTCTATAAAGCACTAAGTGCCAGGAAAACGCACTTGTAGCATGAACCAGACGCTATGGGGGAAGCAGGTACATTTTGCATGCAGTGAGCCACCAGCTCAAAATCTGCCTTCTTCTCATTTGTAGAGAGGAAAACACAGTTGTTAAAAGTTACTTTGTGATGACAGAAATGTGCTGAAAAGAAACTGCCAAGAAAACCCCTTTGCCCAGCCCTGGCCCTGGTGTCCCGTGGCCAACTGGGATTATCTAAAGTGGGTGTCCTTAGAGAGGGCAGGCATTCTCTTCCACCACAGACTGTTGAAACTTCCCCATTTGACTGTTTTAAAAGCTGCAGAGAATTAAAAATAGAAGCTTTTCAGAGGGAGGAGAGGGCCCTTGGGGGCACTTTATTTGCTTTGGTTTCTATCTCCCTCCCTGGAATGCAGTAAAAACTTGGAGAAGTCAGCACGCAGAGGTAGTCTTGCAGAGAAACGAAACCCCCTCGTGCCAAAGTGAAGGCTGAGGGGCTCTTTCTGGGATCTGGTTTTATAATCATTTCTGTTTATAGTAGGAAAGAAATAACCCCCTTCTTGAATTCAGCACATGGAGCCCTTTCTTCACTGCCCCTCTCCTTATACAAACATCATAGGGCCTACTCCTTCAATGGGTTATTATTGAGCAGCTAATGTTAAATACAGGCGGATGCTGCCCATTGAATGGGAAGCCTGTGTCGCTCAGGTGGTGAAAGTACCATTCATGCAGAGGAGATAGTGATTGCACATGGTGGCCACCAGAGTCTAGGTAGTTGGCTGGATGGGTGGGGAGCAGGATGACTTCCATGCTTTTTTGAAAGTTCACTAGAGGATGTGAGGGTGGGGGAGGAGAGGACTCAAAGGCGATCTGGAGGCCACTGGTCCCTGGAGCACTGAGTTTAGCTGATATCCTGAGGAAATGGGAAGGGAGGATATGATTGGAGTCTGAGAGCCAGCGTTTGGCTAGTTCTTTCTCTTCTCTGCTGTCTGTCTTTCTCTGTTTTGCTCTCTCTGTCTCTTTTTCTCTCACACACACATGGCCCTATATTCTCCTAGTTCAGATTATATAAAACACCAGAAACATGACAAGAAAGGAAGAATTCCAAGTGTTACTGTATTACTTTGTGAAATAATTTTTTATTAGGGATCCCTGCAGGCCATCTACCCCTGGGACTTGAATCCCTTTCTCAGAAACCCCTGTGGGGAGAAGGCACAATAAAGAGGAGTAAATAAATACAGAGATGAGGGAACCCTCCAGGAGCCATCCCTGCCCTGGCTCACACAGGCAAGCTGGGCTTCCTCCTACCACCTTCCTCCTCAGCACCTGCCTGGCACTGACGACGTGGTGCTGCGGCATTGCGGGATGCTGTAGGGCTGTGCCCTGGGGAAGGAGGCTCTCTCCCTTCAGAGGTGGAGCTTTGAGCTGGATCTTCTGGTGACTAGTTGAGGTCTTTGTGGTTTCTGAGACACTGAGTTGGATATGCCTTAGCTACTTCTTTGCTAAGAAGCAAAATGTCTCTTCTCATGCTGCAGTGGAAGAGGGCTTATGAGAAGCATTCTACCTTTCTTTACCCCACAAGAGTGATTTGAAAATGAAAAAGTTAATGTTTTTGATGCACGCTGTCACACTCAGGTGACAGGTACAGCAATATTACCTTTATTGTTATGGTTATTGCCATGTCCCTGTGTGTTCATTTTTCCCTCTGACATCACAGGGTAAGTATGGTTTCCTTTGGAAAAGACACTGGTACAGACTGCTAATGAGGACATCCATGGGGCCGCACTGACAGCCATTTCAGCCACAGGCCATCCTCGTTCTATTGCATTTCACTTCATTGCACTTTGCAGATACTGCATTTTTTCACAAATTGAAGATTTGTGGCAACCCTGTGCCCAGCAACTCGGTTGGTGCCATTTTTCTAACAGCATATGCTCACTGGTGTCTGTGTGTCACATTTTGGTAACTCTCACAATATTTCAAACTTTTTCATGATTATTGTATCTGTTTTGGTGATCCGTGATCTTTGATGTCATTATTATCATTGCTTTGGAGCATCACGAATTGTGCCCATATAAGATGGTGAACTTCATTGATAAATTCTGTTCTGACTACCCCACTGCCAGCCATTCTGATTGACCCTTCCCCGACTCTGTCCCTCTTCTCAGGCGTCCCTGTTCCCTAAGACACAAAAATATTGAAATTAGGCTGATGAACAACCCTACATTAGCCTCTAAGTGTTCAAGTGAAAGGAAGGGTCACATGTCTCTTTATCAAAAGCTAGAAATGATTAGGCTTAGTGAGGAAGGCATGCTTAAAGCTGAGATAGGCTGAAAGCTCGGCCTCCTGCACTACTCAGCCAAGTTGTGAATGTGAAGAAACAGCTCTTGAAGGAAATTAAAAGTGCTACTCCAGTGAACACATGAATGAAAATAAATTGAAACAGCCTTATTGCTGATAGGGAGAATGTTTGAGTGGTCTGGATAGAAGATCAAACCAGCCATCACATTCCCTTGAACCAGAACCTGATCCAGAGCAAGGCTGTCACTCTTTTCAATTCTATGAAGGCCAAGAGAGGTGAGGGAGCTACAGAAGAAAAGTCTGAAGTTAACAGAGACTGGTTCATGAGGTTTAAGATGAGAAGGTGTCTTCATAACATAAAAGTGCAAGGTGAGCTAGCAAGTGCTGATGGAGGAGCTGTAGTAAGTTATCCAGATCTAGCTAAGATCCTTGATGAAGGAGCCTACACTAAACAAATTTTCAATGTAGATGAAACAGCTTTCTCTTGGAAGAAGATGCCACCTAGCACTTTGAAAGCTAGAGAGATGAAGCCAATGTCTGGCTTCAAAGCTTCAAAAGGCAGGCTGACTCTCTTGTTAGGGGCTAATGCAACTGGTGACTTGAAATTGAAGCCAATGCTCATTTACCATTCTGAAAATCCCAAGGCCCTTAAGAATTACACTAAATCTAGTCTGCCTGGGCTCTGTAAATAAAACAACAAAGCCTGGATGACAGCACATCTGTCTATAGCATGGGTTTACTGAATATTTTAAGCCCACTGTTGAGACCTACTGCTCAGGAAGATGCCTTTCAAAATATTACTGCTCATTGATAATGCATCTGGTCAGCCAAGAGCTCTGCTAGAGATGCACAAGATTAATGCTGTTTTCATGCCTGCTAGTACCACATCCATTCTGCAACCCATGGATCAAGAAGCAATTTCATCTTTCAAGCCTTATCTACGAAAAACATTTCATAAGGCTATAACTGCAATAGAAAGTGATTCCTCTGAGGGACTGGGGCAAAGTAAATTAAAAAACGTATGGAAAGGATTCACCATTCAGATGCCATTAAGAGCATTCATGAGTCATGGGAAGAGGTCAAAATATCCACTTTAATGGGGGTTTGAAAGAAGTTGATTCCAACTCTTATAGATGACTTTGAGTGGTTCAAGACTTCAGTGGAGGTAGTCACTGCTGATGTGGTGGAAATAGCAAGAGAACTGGAATTGGAAGTGTACCCTGAAGATGCGAGTGACTTGTTGCAATCTCATGATCAAACTTGAATTGATGAGGAGTTGCTTCTTATGGACGAGCAAAGAAAGTGGCTTCTACTCCTGGTGAAGATGCTGTGAACATTGTTGAAATGACAACAAATAATTTAGAATATTACATAAGCTTAGTTGATAAAGCAGTGACAGGGTTTGAGAGGATTGACTCCAATTGTGAAAGAAGTTCTACTGTGGGTAAACTGCTATCAAACAGCATCACATGCTACAGAGAAATCTCTTGTGAAAGGAAGAGTTCACTGATGTGGCAAACTTCAATGTTGTGTTATTTTAAGAAATTGTCACAGCCACCCAGCCTTCAGCAACCACCACCCTGATCTGTCACAGCCATCAACACTGAGGCAAGACCCTCCACCAGCAAAAGATGACGACTCACTGCAGGCTCAAATGATCGTTAGCATTTTTTATCAATAAGGTGTTTTTAATGAAGGTATGCACATTCTTTTTTAGACATATCCATTTAATAAACTACACTATAGTGTAAACATAACTTCTGTATGCTGTGGGAAACCAAAACATTTTTGTGTGACTCACTTCATTGCAGTGACTGGAATTGAATCTGAAATATCTCCGAGGTATGCCTGTATAATTTCCTCGGGCATTGATCATGCTTCTTTTTAAAAGGAGGATATCTGAGAACTTGGCTATCTTGAAAATAAGATAGGGACAAACCTAAAATGTTTTAATTAATATTCCAAACCCTGCAAAGCTTAGCTAGCTTGCCAAAGTTTGATTTCTGTAGACCTGTGCTGTTCAGTAGCAACTGGCCACATATGGCCAGTAAGGCATATGAAATGTGGCTAGTCTGAATTCAGATGTGCTGTAAGTGTAAAACATCCACTGGCTTTTGAAGACACAGAATGCAAAAAAGAATGTAAAATATCTCATTGATATTTTTTCTTATTGATTATATGTTGAGATAATACTTTGCATTTAGTTATTTATGTATTTTATTAAACTTAACGAATTAACAATTTCTATGTTTTTAAAAGTGTGGCTGCTAGAAAATGTAAAATTTATCTATGTTGGCTGCATTGGTAGCTTGCATTATATTTCTACCGGACAGCACTGGTATTATAGCCTTTATTAATAGACAGTGGGAGTATTGCTATCCGGAATTCAGTATTTCCTCCCCAATTCACAACATCAAGGATGTGATTGGCCTTAATAGACTCTACTGTTGTATATATTGCCAGGGAAAATTATGAAGTACTTTGAAATAAATAAAAGAAAAGTGTTCTGTCTAATTAGATGGGTATAATTGGGGTTACTTCCACATTTTATTGTTCTTGAGCTATTTTATAGTTTTGCAAGTTGCAGAAAACTGGTAATAAGGAAAATAATTCTTATCTATAGAAGTCAAATTTATTATACCTGGTGGAATGTAATTGATCATTGCCTGCAGATAGATCCTTTTGCATCTTGTTGTAAATTATTTCTGACATTCCTTATTACCCATATATGTGTGGATTGTTGAATTCTTCTTTGATCTGATTATAACATCTTATTTATCCCTTATTAATTAATGAGCTGAAAAAAATCTTGGAAACAAGGTCATTTTATCTTTTTATGAGAGTCACAATTTTACCTTTTTCAGACAAGATTGGATGTGTTCAGAGTAGTATGGCTGTAGACAATATTACCTTTTCCAAACAACATTACAGAATGTAGGAATTTATGGTGGTCAAGATTAGCTGACCTGTTCTTCCTTCCTCCCTCCAACTGCTAGCCATGCCTCTGGGTTGTTATTGAGCTACTTCTGGCACTGTGAGATGGAATATAGAGTACATTTTTCTATAGAAAGTATTTTTTCTGATGGTTGTTTGCTGCTTAAACATTATTCATATATAAGGCAAGCTAAACTGTGGGTTGTTTTGAATTTTGTGAGTCAACCAGAGAATCCTCCTATCCAGTGGAATATTTGATTCTAAGAAAAAATGTTCTTCATTCCAGATTATGAAAGAGAAACTTAGCATACTACTCCTTTGTAAGGCATGTACCGTGGATATTGCTCAGGTATCCAGTTGCATAAAATCCCCAGAGTTTAATGGTAACAGGTGTTTAAAAGAAAGAGAGTTGTTCCTGCTTTTTGTTCTTGTGGGGTTGTTTGTTTGTTTGTTTTGCTTCACAAACATTAAAAAAAAAGTCCCATTCTTATTTTACCTTGTTGTCTTTTTCCAATAAGAGCTGGCTTCCTTCAAAGCAAGGTAAAATGAGATGAGCCAGTCACATCAGTATGTATTTAACGATTCCATTCATTCCTGTAAATAGAATTGATTTCAGCAAACATGAGCAAATTAAAAATATAGAATTGGCAATTTCACATACTGTCCTTTTTTAAAAGTTTGGAAATATTGCACTTAGGATGTATATGTTTGATTTCTTTTCCTCATTAAAAAAAAGTTGGCTTTTTTAGCAGAAATATTATTATGTTTTGTGAGTATTGGCCTCCAGCATTTAAGTTTTTACAGAAAACAAGGATGTTTACTGGTCTTTCATAGCAGGGAAGTATGATTTTTATATGTCTGTAATTCTGAAAATGAAACATTCACTCTACTAATGCAGAAGAGTCCACTTATGAATTATATGTTTTATAGACTTTTTTTAATATAAAGCAACCATCTTGGCAACTCCATTTAAAGTATTCTTATACAATATTATCACCATATAATCTACCCATATATAATTATTTTCTTTCTCGTTTCTTTGAGAAGTAACATGAGGCTTTATGGCATGAGTAAAGCCCTTGACTGAGGTATTTTTAATACCATAATTTACCTGGGGATACAATAAAGAAAACAAAAACATATGCCTTTTATAATTTTCAGTTGTTTGAAGTTAATTTTTGAAGTTTAACTTGGCTATAGCTGCTTTTGATTTTTTTTTTTATTATACTTTAAGTTTTAGGGTACATGTGCACATTGTGCAGGTTAGTTACATATGTATACATGTGCCATGCTGGTGCGCTGCACCCACTAACTCGTCATCTAGCATTAGGTATATCTCCCAATGCTACCCCTCCCCCCTCCCCCCACCCCACCACAGTCCCCAGAGTGTGATATTCCCCTTCCTGTGACCATGTGATCTCATTGTTCAATTCCCACCTATGAGTGAGAATATGCGGTGTTTGGTTTTTTGTTCTTGCGATAGTTTACTGAGAATGATGGTTTCCAATTTCATCCATGTCCCTACAAAGGACATGAACTCATCATTTTTTATGGCTGCATAGTGTTCCATGGTGTATATGTGCCACATTTTCTTAATCCAGTCTATCATTGTTGGACATTTGGGTTGGTTCCAAGTCTTTGCTATTGTGAATAATGCCGCAATAAACATACGTGTGCATGTGTCTTTATAGCAGCATGATTTATAGTCATTTGGGTATATACCCAGTAATGGGATGGCTGGGTCAAATGGTATTTCTAGTTCTAGATCCCTGAGGAATCGCCACACTGACTTCCACAATGGTTGAACTAGTTTACAGTCCCACCAACAGTGTAAAAGTGTTCCTATTTCTCCACATCCTCTCCAGCACCTGTTGTTTCCTGACTTTTTAATGATTGCCATTCTAACTGGTGTGAGATGGTATCTCATAGTGGTTTTGATTTGCATTTCTCTGATGGCCAGTGATGATGAGCATTTTTTCATGTATTTTTTGGCTGCATAAATGTCTTCTTTTGAGAAGTGTCTGTTCATGTCCTTCGCCCACTTTTTGATGGGGTTGTTTGTTTTTTTCTTGTAAATTTGTTTGAGTTCATTGTAGATTCTGGATATTAGCCCTTTGTCAGATGAGTAGGTTGCGAAAATTTTCTCCCATGTTGTAGGTTGCCTGTTCACTCTGATGGTAGTTTCTTTTGCTGTGCAGAAGCTCTTTAGTTTAATTAGATCCCATTTGTCAATTTTGTCTTTTGTTGCCATTGCTTTGGTGTTTTGGACATGAAGTCCTTGCCCATGCCTATGTCCTGAATGGTAATGCCTAGGTTTTCTTCTAGGGTTTTTATGGTTTTAGGTCTAACGTTTAAATCTTTAATCCATCTTGAATTGATTTTTGTATAAGGTGTAAGGAAGGGATCCAGTTTCAGCTTTCTACATATGGCTAGCCAGTTTTCCCAGCACCATTTATTAAATAGGGAATCCTTTCCCCATTGCTTGTTTTTCTCAGGTTTGTCAAAGATCAGATAGTTGTAGGTATGTGGCATTATTTCTGAGGGCTCTGTTCTGTTCCATTGATCTATATCTCTGTTTTGGTACCAGTACCATGCTGTTTTGGTTACTGTAGCCTTGTAGTATAGTTTGAAGTCAGGTAGTGTGATGCCTCCAGCTTTGTTCTTTTGGCTTAGGATTGACTTGGCGATGCGGGCTCTTTTTTGGTTCCATATGAACTTTAAAGTAGTTTTTTCCAATTCTGTGAAGAAAGGCATTGGTAGCTTGATGGGGATGGCATTGAATCTGTAAATTACCTTGGACAGTATGGCCATGTTCACGATATTGATTCTTCCTACCCATGAGCATGGATTGTTCTTCCATTTGTTTGTATCCTCTTTTATTTCCTTGAGCAGTGGTTTGTAGTTCTCCTTGAAGAGGTCCTTCACATCCCTTGTAAGTTGGATTCCTAGGTATTTTATTCTCTTTGAAGCAATTGTGAATGGGAGTTCACTCATGAGTTGGCTCTCTGTTTGTCTGTTGTTGGTGTATAAGAATGCTTGTGATTTTTGTACATTGATTTTGTATCCTGAGACTTTGCTGAAGTTGCTTATCAGCTTAAGGAGATTTTGGGCTGAGACGATGGGGTTTTCTAGATAAACAATCATGTCGTCTGAAAACAGGGACAATTTGACTTCCTCTTTTCCTAATTGAATACCCTTTATTTCCTTCTCCTGCCTGATTGCCCTGGCCAGAACTTCCAACACTATGTTGAATAGGAGCGGTGAGAGAGGGCATCCCTGTCTTGTGCCAGTTTTCAAAGGGAATGCTTCCAGTTTTTGCCCATTCAGTATGATATTAGCTGTGGGTTTGTCATAGATAGCTCTTATTATTTTGAAATACGTCCCATCAATACCTAATTTATTGAGAGTTTTTAGCATGAAGGGTTGTTGAATTTTGTCAAAGGCTTTTTCTGCATCTATTGAGATAATCATGTGGTTTTTGTCTTTGGCTCTGTTTATATGCTGGATTACATCTATTGATTTGCGTATATTGAACCAGCCTTGCATCCCAGGGATGAAGCCCACTTGATCATGGTGGATAAGCTTTTTGATGTGCTGCTGGATTCGGTTTGCCAGTATTTTATTGAGGATTTTTGCATCAATGTTCATCAAGGATATTGGTCTAAAATTCTCTGTTTTGGTTGTGTCTCTGCCCGGCTTTGGTATCAGAATGATGCTGGCCTCATGAAATGAGTTAGGGAGGATTCCCTCTTTTTCTATTGATTGGAATAGTTTCAGAAGGAATGGTACCAGTTCCTCCTTGTACCTCTGGTAGAATTCGGCTGTGAATCCATCTGGTCCTGGACTCTTTTTGGTTGGTAAACTATTGATTATTGCCACAATTTCAGATCCTGTTATTGGTCTATTCAGAGATTCAACTTCTTCCTGGTTTAGTCTTGGGAGAGTGTATGTGTCAAGGAATGTATCCATTTCTTCTAGATTTTCTAGTTTATTTGCGTAGAGGTGTTTGTAGTATTCTCTGATGGTAGTTTGTATTTCTGTGGGATCGGTGGTGATATCCCCTTTATCATTTTTTATTGTGTCTATTTGATTCTCCTCTCTTTTTTTCTTTATTAGTCTTGCTAGCGGTCTATCAATTTTGTTGATCCTTTCAAAAAACCAGCTCCTGGATTCATTGATTTTTTGAAGGGTTTTTTGTGTCCCTATTTCCTTCAGTTCTGCTCTGATTTTAGTTATTTCTTGCCTTCTGCTAGCTTTTGAATGTGTTTGCTCTTGCTTTTCTAGTTCTTTTAATTGTGATGTTAGGGTGTCAATTTTGGATCTTTCCTGCTTTCTCTTGTGGGCATTTAGTACTATAAATTTCCCTCTACACACTGCTTTGAATGCGTCCCAGAGATTCTGGTATGTTGTGTCTTTGTTCTCGTTGGTTTCAAAGAACATCTTTATTTCTGCCTTCATTTCGTTATGTACCCAGTAGTCATTCAGGAGCAGGTTGTTCAGTTTCCATGTAGTTGAGCGGCTTTGAGTGAGATTCTTAATCCTGAGTTCTAGTTTGATTGCACTGTGGTCTGAGAGATAGTTTGTTATAATTTCTGTTCTTTTACATTTGCTGAGGAGAGCTTTACTTCCAACTATGTGGTCAATTTTGGAATAGGTGTGGTGTGGTGCTGAAAAAAACGTATATTCTGTTGATTTGGGGTGGAGAGTTCTGTAGATGTCTATCAGGTCCGCTTGGTGCAGAGCTGAGTTCAATTCCTGGGTATCCTTGTTGACTTTCTGTCTCGTTGATCTGTCTAATGTTGACAGTGGGGTGTTAAAGTCTCCCATTATCAATGTGTGGGAGTCTAAGTCTCTTTGTAGGTCACTCAGGACTTGCTTTATGAATGTTGGTGCTCCTGTATTGGGTGCATATATATTTAGGATAGTTAGCTCCTCTTGTTGAATTGATCCCTTTACCATTATGTAATGGCCTTCTTTGTCTCTTTTGATCTTTGTTGGTTTAAAGTCTGTTTTATCAGAGACTAGGATTGCAACCCCTGCCTTTTTTTGTTTTCCATTTGCTTGGTAGATCTTCCTCCATCCTTTTATTTTCAGCCTATGTGTGTCTCTACACGTGAGATGGGTTTCCTGAATACAGCACACTGATGGGTCTTGACTCTTTATCCAACTTGCCAGTCTGTGTCTTTTAATTGGAGAATTTAGTCCATTTACATTTAAAGTTAATATTGTTATGTGTGAATTTGATCCTGTCATTATGATGTTAGCTGGTGATTTTGCTCATTAGTTGATGCAGTTTCTTCCTAGTCTCGATGGTCTTTACATTTTGGCATGATTTTGCAGCGGCTGGTACCGGTTGTTCCTTTCCATGTTTAGCGCTTCCTTCAGGAGCTCTTTTAGGGCAGGCCTGGTGGTGACAAAATCTCCCAGCATTTGCTTGTCTGTAAAGTATTTTATTTCTCCTTCACTTATGAAGCTTAGTTTGGCTGGATATGAAATTCTGGGTTGAAAATTCTTTTCTTTAAGAATGTTGAATATTGGCCCCCACTCTCTTCTGGCTTGTAGGGTTTCTGCCGAGAGATCCGCTGTTAGTCTGATGGGCTCCCCTTTGAGGGTAACCCGACCTTTCTCTCTGGCTGCCCTTAACATTTTTTCCTTCATTTCAACTTTGGTGAATCTGACAATTACGTGTCTTGGAGTTGCTCTTCTCGAGGAGTATGTTTGTGGCGTTCTCTGTATTTCCTGAATCTGAACATTGGCCTGCCTTGCTAGATTGGGGAAGTTCTCCTGGATAATATCCTGCAGAGTGTTTTCCAACTTGGTTCCATTCTCCACATCACTTTCAGGTACACCAATCAGACGTAGAATTGGTCTTTTCACATAGTCCCATATTTCTTGGAGGCTTTGCTCATTTCTTTTTATTCTTTTTTCTCTAAACTTCCCTTCTCGCTTCATTTCATTCATTTCATCTTCCATCGCTGATACCCTTTCTTCCAGTTGATCCCATCAGCTCCTGAGGCTTCTGCATTCTTCACGTAGTTCTTGAGCCTTGGTTTTCAGCTCCATCAGCTCCTTTAAGCACTTCTCTGTATTGGTTATTCTAGTTATACATTCTTCTAAATTTTTTTCAAAGTTTTCAACTTCTTTGCCTTTGGTTTGAATGTCCTCCCGTAGCTCAGAGTAATTTGATCCTCTGAAACCTTCTTCTCTCAGCTCGTCAAAGTCATTCTCCATCCAGCTTTGTTCCGTTGCTGGTGAGGAACTGCGTTCCTTTGGAGGAGGAGAGGCGCTCTGCGTTTTAGAGTTTCCAGTTTTTCTGTTCTGTTTTTTCCCCATCTTTGTGGTTTTATCTACTTTTAGTCTTTGATGATGGTGATGTACAGATGGGTTTTTGGTGTGGATGTCCTTTCTGTTTGTCAGTTTTCCTTCTAACAGACAGGACCCTCAGCTGCAGGTCTGTTGGAATACCCTGCGGTGTGAGGTGTCAGTGTGCCCCTGCTGGGGGGTGCCTCCCAGTTAGGCTGCTCGGAGGTCAGGAGTCAGGGACCCACTTGAGGAGGTAGTCTGCCCGTTCTCAGATCTCCAGCTGCGTGCTGGGAGAACCACTGCTCTCTTCAAAGCTGTCAGACAGGGACATTTAAGTCTGCAGAGGTTACTGCTGTCTTTTTATTTGTCTGTGTCCTGCCCCCAGAGGTGGAGCCTACAGAGGCAGGCAGGCCTCCTTGAGCTGTGGTGGGCTCCGCCCAGTTCGAGCTTCCCGGCTGCTTTGTTTACCTAAGCAAGCCTGGGCAATGGCGGGCTCCCCTCCCCCAGCCTCGCTGCCGCCTTGCAGTTTGATCTCAGACTGCTGTGCTAGCAATCAGCGAGATTCCGTGGGCGTAGGACCCTCCGAGCCAGGTGTGGGATATAGTCGCGTGGTGCGCCGTTTTTTAAGCCGGTCTGAAAAGCGCAGTATTCGGGTGGGAGTGACCCGATTTTCCAGGTGCGTCGGTCACCCCTTTCTTTGACTCGGAAAGGGAACTCCCTGACCCCTTGCGCTTCCCAGGTGAGGCAATGCCTCGCCCTGCTTCGGCTCGCGCATGGTGCGCGCACCCACTGGCCTGCGCCCACTGTCTGGCACTCCCTAGTGAGATGAACCCGGTACCTCAGATGGAAATGGAGAAATCACCCGTCTTCTGCGTCGCTCACTCTGGGAGCTGTAGACCGGAGCTGTTCCTATTCGGCCATCTACTGCTTTTGATTTTTTATACAAGAAATGTTTTTAAAATTGTTAACAAAGAAGAATATGAATTTATGCAACTA
The DNA here is from genome assembly GCF_000001405.40 of Homo sapiens. Classification (NCBI taxonomy): domain Eukaryota; kingdom Metazoa; phylum Chordata; class Mammalia; order Primates; family Hominidae; genus Homo; species Homo sapiens. Next base: position 25,602,960 of record NC_000007.14, on the reverse strand, counting down.
TTTATTTCAGAATAAAATAATATCTTTTAAATAAGTCGATTTAATTAAATGAAAACCTTTGGTAAAATTTGAAAGATCTTTATGTGCTTTTGATGTATCTTATAAAAAAAGTATTGGTGGCCCTTAATTCTCAATGAAATGAGGAAAAAAACTGACACATTAAGTCTTCTGTCATTATTAAAAAATAATATTGTATTTAAAAAATAAAACCAAGTTTTTATTTGCATAGGAAATTTATTTCTTATAAAAGGTCTTTACTCCTCACCCATTTTCCACAAAAAGGAATTACTACGTTCTTTAGCTCTTTCTTTAGCTAGGATTTCTTTAATTAAGATTTTCCTCTCACATCGATTTTACTTGTTTCATTATTAAGAAAGTGTTCATTGCAGTGATGACTAATAGTTAAATAAATAGATACAGAGATGTAGATTCCTTCTGGAAAGCAAAGAATTGGGGAATCTTTTCCAGGAAATAGTTTTACTTTTTATTAACTTTATGGCATTTAAAAAATTAATAAAAGGATGATGTCTTTGTCCTCGGCTGACCATTAAGGGCTAAAAAGGTTTAGAAAAAAGGTTAGTGTTTATGACGTATGACTATACTACTTATTGATACTATTGACCATATAAATCATATCACTGTTTATGACGTATGACTATACTACTTATTGATACTATTGACCATATAAATCATATCACTGTTTATGACGTATGACTATACTACTTATTGATACTATTGACCATATAAATCATATCACTGTTTATGACATATGACTATACTACTTATTGATACTATTGACCATATAAATCATATCACTGTTTATGACGTATGACTATACTACTTATTGATACTATTGACCATATAAATCATATCACTGTTTATGACGTATGACTATACTACTTATTGATACTATTGACCATATAAATCATATCACTGTTTATGACGTATGACTATACTACTTATTGATACTATTGACCATATAAATCATATCACTGTTTATGACGTATGACTATACTACTTATTGATACTATTGACCATATAAATCATATCACTGTTTATGACGTATGACTATACTACTTATTGATACTATTGACCATATAAATCATATCACTGTTTATGACGTATGACTATACTACTTATTGATACTATTGACCATATAAATCATATCACTGTTTATGACGTATGACTATACTACTTATTGATACTATTGACCATATAAATCATATCACTGTTTATGACGTATGACTATACTACTTATTGATACTATTGACCATATAAATCATATCACATACTATTTATGACATATGGCTTCATATAAAGGAGAGTCTCTGTTGTTAACATGACCATTACTTATGTGAAAAAGAGCTAAGAAAGGGGTACATTCAGGAGGCATGGAGTACTTCAGCTATTTTTAATAGCTGAAGTAAATGGGGTTCAGGCAATTCATAAAATGCCTGAATTGGTAGGCAATGTTTTATATTTGTTTTTTGCTTGGAAGAGGAATCTTCATCAGAGTTGGAAAAGTATCCTTGCCCATCTCCCTTAGAAAAAGTTCAGAACTACTTAGCTAGCAGGATTGCTAAAGCTTGCTGCTTGTCTCCTTAACATATAGATGAAAATGAACATTTTAAAGAACATCTTACTGTTTTGTCCATAGGATGGCCAGTGCAATCCAAAGACTATACTTTCCATAAAGACTTTTGGCAGTGTAGATAAACTGAAGAAGGCACAGTGCTTTAGCATGCCATCTCTTCTCAAAATCTAAGGCCACCTTTCTTTTGAACACCATGCTGTCTTGCCTCCTGGCCCCCAGTCTTTTCACCCTTTTCCCTCTGAATTAGCTAAAGAAAATTCATGACACTTCTGGCTTCTAGAGGGATGGATAATTCCAACTCCATAGATAAAAATGCAGTAATGTGATCCATTTAAGAATGCAATCAATGTATGTTCATACAATGGGTCTGTGTTAGGAATATATTATTAAATGAATATTGTGCTATCGATAAGGGGTTTTATTAATTTACAAACTCAGAACTCCAGTATTTCTATCAGTAACATGAGTAAGAAAGTGATGAATCACTTACAATCAACCCTGATGGAGACAATGTTATCAAAGTCTATATTTGCCATGCATAAAATTTATTCATGCTTGACTTTAACTTCTGTTCTTAAAAGCTTTCCCTATATCCTAAAATAAAGGCATGGTTTTATTTGCAAGTGAACAGAAATTGTAGGAAATTGCAAAGCAACCTCTGAATAATGAACATCTTGCCAGGAAAATGTATCTGATCTCTGAGGAAAGGTGTTGGAAGAGATAGGAGACGGCAGGAGGATTGTCTCAAACACAAGTTTGAGTTCTTTTGACAACAATGTCTCCCTGTTTATGAAATATAGAGAATTCTGCTCAAGAAGCGAGGAAGTTTTGGAGACATAATCAGAAAGAGAGAAATGCAGACAAAGAAGTTGTAGAAACTAGCTCACTTCTCATCATGCTATTCTCAGAATTTTTCTCTTCATCTCGCACTAAAAACAACCCTGTGCAAAAGACAAACCTTTTCCAGATGTTTTGGTGAATTCACTTTTACTCTCCATGGACAATAATAACCAGTTTTTGTTTAAGGCTTTACAATTTAAAAAGCATGTACTTTTAATATTTATAATAATAACTTTTTTAATGTTTACAAGAATCCCTTAAAATTGCTCTTGTTTTTATTTACTATTATCATACTGACTTTTTCAAATAAGACAACTGAAATTCAGACTCTTTTTAATCATCCAAGTAGTAAGCAGTGGAAGAGGCACTTTAAAATACAAATTATTAAACTCCAAATTCTCTGCCTTTGTTCCTCCTTTTGGATGACAATAGGGTAAAATGAGACAAGCATGTTTTAATAAATAAATGTTTATTTGCTTTTTTTGAGTAAGAGCTTGGAGAAATCTAATATGTCATTTTGTGTATTCTTAAAAATCCCTTGCTTGAAGAATCTAATGACTTTTATGCCTATGGATTTATATATTATTTGCACCATTTTGAAATATTTAGGAAAGGAGAGAATATAATTATTTGCCATGAAAATAAACTAACACCATCAGGCCAGGAGTCGATGCCAACCAAAGCATCCTATTGTCCCATATGCTGTTGCTGGCATTGATGAAAGTTGAGGATTGGAAGAAGTGGAATCAGCCAGCCTCATGTAGATTTCAGCTGGAATCTGTGCTGTTCCTCCAGGGTGCACCAGGGGCCTTCCTCCTCCCCTCACTTTCTTTCATTCCCCACTCAGTAGCTTCAGAGGTTGACAAGAATTCAGCTCGGGCAGGCAAATGTTGGTTTATAACATGAACACTGACCATTTCTATCTTACAATTGAGAGAGGGGAAGCAAAGAGAAGTTGCCAGACATCTACAGTAAATCAAAAGAGGATGTTGGGATCTTTCCATGATGCCAAGTTCTTGCTACCAATGGCTTTTTCTCCTGAAGTAACTTTTAGCTAAATTTACAGATTTTCAGAGGAAAGAACCCCTGTAGCCATGTTTTCCCCCAAAGATCAGACTCCCTTTCCACCTCAGAATGGCTTCTCACAAATACAGTAGTTTTTCAACAACAGATGGGTCTAAGTTGAAAGAGACCTTGTCATTGGTCCAGTGGCATGAGGACTTCTTCAAATGCACATGTGGTTCTGATGGTCACGGAGGGACCACACGACGTTGATGAAATTCCTCTTTAATGGGCCAGCTCTTCATCAGCCCTGATGTTCAGGCGCCCTTGTTTAAGATGCAGGCCTCCAGCAAGACCAGCATGAGTGCCACAGAACTTTGTGGAGACTCGCTAATATAACAGGCCAGCATTTGGGAGAGGGTAGTGATTATGTGATTTCAATTTCATACCATCTGTCCCCAGATTTCTTTCACTACCAGGCTGGCCACTGGCTTTGGAGGACAGTCAAAATCCAGGGCTCTGGAATACTCTGTACGGAGTTCAAAGGAGCAGGCATCCCTGTGAACTCTAAGGCTGGTTGTTGCCATGGGGAAGTGGACCGAGATCGCTGGCTTCCAGCAAGATATGTACTTGAAAGTCCTAATGAAAGCGTGTTAAGCCCTCCAAAGCTGGCTATGTGTCTGAGAGCCTGGCCAAGAGATGTCAGATGGCTCCATGGGCAAGAGAGGACATAAGCAACTGAGGAAAAGGGAGGAAGAGACATGCTGACGTTCTTCTCAACAGGAACATTCTTTCTTCTTGGGTGTCCATCAGCCTCATCATTTATTATCAGACTGTAACCACCCTTCATCCTCTTTCTTCAGCAGGATTTCATCATTCCAATAAGAACCGAAATCATAAAGCAAAAACAAGAATAATATGGCTTTTGTTTTTGGCTAGAAGGTCAGAGTTTCTTCCTTTTTTTTTTTTTAAATGCTGGCCTATTTTATACAGGCTCTTGAATGATTATTTTCTTTTCTCCTAGGCAATCTGGATTAATTGATACAGTAAAAGGTCTGGAAGTCCTAAAATGTTAGGTCAATTCCTAACTCCGACACAAAGAAGCTAAACAACCTGCAAGAGAATATGTAAAAAAACCAACCACAATTTTCCTATCTGCAAAATAAAGGAGGGGTGCCACTGGGCAACATTTTAAAAACCTTGTGTTCCTTATGCTAATTATTCACCCTTTGGCATTCCAGATCATGCCTCTTGACATCAGTAGCTTGATTGCCAATGGGATGATGCTACTGGTTTCACTTTTAAATATGGGTTTCAAAAGTTTCAGTTTTCATAGTCTTCAGAGAAACAGAATATTGAATGTGGGAAAAAAAACCTCAGGCAGAAATCCAGATGTCAATCTCTCTCATTTCGCAACGAGGAAGCCGAGGCCCAGAGTGGTGAGTGACCTGCCCAAGGCCACAGTCAGAGTTAGAGCTGTGCCAGGCCCAGGACGCGGGGCTTTCCTTTTGATCAACATTACATTTCCTAAACCAGTTTGCCTTTTATATGCCTGCTTTCCATGATGATTTCTGGGGAAAGGATTTCTCATGACACGGATTTTTCATGGCTCTAGATGGGTGATTTGGGGCAACACAGAAGGGCGCCTTTTGATCTAGCTGCTTCCGCATCAAGTACAACACTCCTTCCTCGATGGCAGAATGGCTGGCCTCTCCTATCAGTCGCTGAAGTCTTAGAAGACATGAAAATAAACAAAGCCTGACAACTCCGTTCCCTGTGTTACGACCTGTTCACCTCCCCTGCCACTTCCAACTTGACTTCTCCCTGAGTAGCCCCCATGTTATTTAAGAAAGCAGGGCTTGCAGAAGTCCGGCAGTGCCGAGGCTGCCAGAAGGAACACTTGCGTGGTAGGCGCATGTGGGTCTGAGCTCTTTAAACTCTGGGTCACGACTGGCATAGAAGGGGCTCCTGCTGCTCTTCAAATCGCTCTTGGTCTTGAAACTTCCTTCCAATGGTTCCCTCCCTTATGTTTAACCACTTGATGCCCTGGAATTACCGAGGGTCTCACTCTGATAAATATTATTTTTTGAAGCCCTCAGGAGTCTACTTTATTCTGGAATGTTCCAATAGGCAGCTTTAACAAAAATATGGGTGACTTCTTGAAAAAAGAGTAAGCCCAACTTAAAGTTGACTGTGAATGACAATAGCAATCTGACCTCCAATTCATTAAAAAATACCCATATGTTCACAGAAGGTTGTTTCATAATAGCTGCAAAGTGGAAGTGACCCAGATGAATGTCTATCAGTGGATGCCTGGGTGAACAAAATATGGTATATCTACACAGTGGAATATTACTTACAATGAAAAAAGTATTGCTCCTTGCTACATGAACACATCTCAAAGTTATGCAAAGTAAAAAAGATCAGATCACATATTGTATGATTCCATGTATATAAAATGTCCAGAAAAGGCAAATCTATAGAGACAGAAAAATTAGTGACTGCCATGGGCCAGAGGTGGGAAGAGGGAATGACTACAAATGGGCATGAGGTTTATTTTGGGGGTGATGGAATTGCTCTAAAATTAGATTGCAGTGATGGTTTCACAACTCTGAATATTTATGAAAAAAATCATTGAGTTTTGACTTCAAAAGAGTGAGTTTTATGATACGTAAATAATACCTCCATAAAGCTGTGCAAATGAACAACCATGCAGCAGACGCACCAGCTCCTAGCAGGAAGGAGATCTTTGGAGTGGAGGGATGCCTGATGTGGCTGGGCCAACAGACGAATTCAGCCACACAGTTTCCCTCACCCTGACTGCTCCTCACGAAAGGCGACCTGTAAGTCCGGGCAGGAGCCCTTGACATGATGCAACGATTTATTAAATAGGCAGGCTGCCCTTACGAGGTGAAGTCTGACAAAGCCTCAGTTCAGGGACATCTGCATTCAAAGTGAAAAACCGATGGCAGCCGCAATGATTTAGATCTGCAATTAAGACATTTAAAGTGTTTAGGGCTGACAAGGAGTTAAAGTAAATGTTGATTCAGTTGTAAAGTCTTCAAAGATTTAGGCTTGCAAAAGGGCCTTGCACAACTGTAGGATTTTATTTATTTATGCATTGTTATTGACTTTAAAATATTGTTTTTTCTCCCCCCAGAGAACTTTTCCAACCAGCAGTGGGGCCCTTAGCAGGGGAGACTGGAAACAGGTTTGAATAATGCGTTCAAGATAATTTTCAAAAAATCACCATTTAACGAGTACCATATTCCCTCCAATTTTCCCTTACATGTGATTCACCATTTTGAAAATACTGATGTATAAAGAATGCATTGAATGTGGCAAAAGTTGAAGATAGCCCCTGTGGATAAGGCCTAATGGACACCATCCTGAAATAATACATACAGCTCAATCCCCAGACATGTGTCTTTAATTTAAAATAATTCAGCAATCATGTTCAACCAGAACCTGATTACACAAAATGGGACTTTTTAACTCCCAGTCTTGGATCAAATTTTGAGGCTACAAAAAAGCAGGGGGTGGCAAAGAGAATATGTGCCATGTTTATATATTCCAGATATGGTGATTAAATGATCCATACCACGGGCTGGGCACCGTGGCTCACGCCTGTAATCCCAGCACTTAGGGAGGCTGAAGCAGGTGGATCACCTGAGGTCAGAAGTTCGAGACCAGCCTGACCAACATGGAGAAATCCCATCTCTACTAAAAATACAAAATTAGCCGGGCATGGTGGTGCATGCCTGTAATCCCAGCTACTCAGGAGGCTGAGGCAGGAGAATTGCTTGAACCCAGGAGGTGGAGGTTGCGGTGAGTCAAGATTGTGCCATTGCACTCCAGCCTGGGCAACAAGAGCAAAACTCGGTCTCAAAAAAAAAAAAAAGAAAAGAAAAAAGAAAACAAAGATCCACACACAAATTTAACTGTTTCTTTGAACTTATCAAGGCACCTAGTGCCATTTTCTACCTGTAAATATTTACCTTCCTTTAAGAGAACTTGAGTGGAAGTCCTGACTGGGATGCAAAAGAAAAAAAAATGCTGAACATAAATTGAACCCTTGTCAGAATATTATGGCTTTCAAACCACTGAACTATAGTCTTATTCTCTACTTTCTCAGAGGCTCAGGAGGGAAGGAGGCTGAACAGAATTAGCTCTCTTGGGATAGCACAGGGGACGCAGTACAGGGCCCAGAAGATGGTATCTACTGTAGTTCTTGCAAGTGCTTGGCTTCCCTTTTATCTTTTATTTTGTTGCTGGCTGCTGCCTTCCCTTCTCAGCTATGAAGACGTGGGTCCCCTTCCATACAGGAAGTAGAGCCCCTGCCTGTATTGTGATTTCTGAGATGTGAGGAGGTCTCCAATCCTTCTTCTTGATAGGATCCCCAGTACTGGAAGTGCCACCATTATTAAGTACTTATTTCTTCAAATCCTCATGATCAGAAGTAGTGGATATAGTGTTTGGTGAATCCCAAGCAACAGTCTCTAGGGATAAGATTCCAGCTAAAACACAAAACACCCAGTTCAATTTGAGTTTCAAATAAACTACAAACATTGACTGCATCACTAGAAGAAGAATGATGAGTCAGTTAATTTTACTCAACAAATGTTATAAAGGCTCGCCCCCCAAGATGGGAGGCTCTAAAAATTAGGCACCATAAACGTGGATATACTAGAAATAAAGCTTTGTGTTGGTATGCTTTGTTTTAAAATAAATGGACATATTTAGAATGGATGGTTTTCTTTTCATGTTGATAATGTTTCTGCTTTTCCTTTTGTTCCTTTTGTTTACAGATCCTTTATATATTGAAAGAAGAAAGTAGAACCATTTCTGGGTCCCAGCTGTGGGAAGAGCTCCTGTGGCTGTGAATTCTGACTTCTGGGTCTTGGCACAAGGTGTGGCCAGCAAGCTAAGCTGTCCTGAGGGTGTGCAGGGCCAGGGGCTGAAGACAGTGTTGGAGCATCCACAGACTGGTTTGTCTCAAGAAGCATGTTACTAAATATGAAATAGCAAAATCTGCAAGTGGGTTTACTTTTCCCCCATAGATTAGAATGGATTCAATATTATCTCTTTATTAGCGTCACTTTTAATCACTTGTATAACAAGTAGGACAGAAAGGTGGCTTGAAAGTCAATCATGTGAGAATTCCAGATAAATTGACTTTGCTCACAACAATCTGTTATTCATGTGACTATCAACTGTCATGTGTGCTGGGGCAAAAAAAGAAGATAAGGATTCACTGGTATCAGATAGTTCCAGGAGGGGAAACCCAGGATTGAACTTTTTCAGCCTTCTATGGTAAAATTTCCTGCTCTGTCGGTGCGCCAAAGCTTTTTTCAGTTTCCTAAACTCCCATATTCAAGAAGATAAGCTATTTTCTCTTCTTTCTCATCCTTCCTTGACAAAGCAAAGCATATTTTCATTGTCTACTCTGTGTCATCCATGCTTGGTTCCTGTCCTCAAAGAGCTTATAGTTCAAATAAAGGAGAGGGAGCATTTTACAAGGGAATTAAAGGTAAAAGATTCTGAAAGCCAGTTTAAAAAGTCGTGAGGGAGGGGTCTGGGAGAAGCTGAGCAGGGGTGAAAGGGTACGAAACATTATGGAAGGAGAACAGGGGAGCACCCTGACTACTGGGTGGAAACACCAATCAGTGGGTAGAAACCACACAGTGGTAACACTGATCAGTGGGTAGAAAACAATGACAGCAGGTATATGAGGCATGGAACACTTGGCTTATTGTAAAGTTTTCAAAATATGCAGTCCTTTCTATCCACCAGGGGTTGGGAGTTGTCTTTGTATATCAACCGTGGAAGGGCTGTTTTGGTTCATCATTCTGTGGTCTACCTGGGTAGACCTGATGCAGCCGTGTTTCTGAGGAAAGGAAGAACAGCTTTTGTTTTGTGATATGTAATGGTAGATGTAGTGCCATGGAATGATGCAGATTTCATTCAGATATTCTTGGATCTTGGCCCCAGGACTCACTCATTCTTCCCTATATGAGCATTGGTAGTTACAGGTTTTATCCTTCCTTTAATTGTAAGTCTTTTGAAGCCAAAAACTGTATCCAATTTGTCACTGTCTCCTAACAGTACTTAGCAGTGTCTGATGCATCATAGGGAGTTTGTAAATGTTTGGATAAATAAAGGGAAAACAAAAACAACCACAAAAAAACCTTTATTTTGCTTTAATAAAAATATTTTAACTAGTTTCCACTGGCATATATATCCACATGGTAGATATATTCTAAGAAACAGTCTCTTCAAATGATGGCTTCAATAATGGATGAAAAATAAATTTCCTAATGAATTATTTTACAGAAAGCACCACACACACACCCCCAACATCAATAAAAAATTCATTTGTGATTTTAAGAACTATAGGATAATAATAGGTAATCCATGTGAAGTTATGACAGCTTGTAAGGCCAGGGAGGGCACGAGGAGATGAAACACACAGATCATCTTCAAACCACAGAAGCTCAGACTTCTCTTGCTCTGAAAGTTGACGATCAGTGAAAAGCCCACTGATAGCTGAGTTTTACCTCCTCTTCTTCTGTATAATCCCTTTTTTGGTGAAAGCAGAGATGTCATGGACAATGTAGGATTTCATCAAATCTGAGAGGCCATTGATTATAGGACGGCATTGTTTTAGGTATCACTAAGAAAGAAAAAAGCCTTGCCAAGTAAACTCCCCAAATTCAGAGACATTCAAATGTTGAAAAATAACTGTTTCAGAATCTATGAAATACAGACAATTCTCCCTAATGCTTGGCCCAGGGCTTTGCATACCATAGGTGGTCAATAAGCATTTGTTGACTGAGTGAATAATGTTGACAAGCAGAAATGCCTGGTTTATAATGCCTAGAGCCCATCACTGAGAACAGTGGGCTAGATCCCTTCTTGATGTTTTAAGTAATCGCTGAGAGAATGGGTGGGCGATTGCTCTTCTGATTGCTAAGAACAAAACAAAACACAAAACTGATAAAAAGCAGAGTTGCAGAACTGCATCCTGTTGATGTACTGCCAGAGGAGTCAGGCCTGGAGTACTGTTCACTAAGAAATAGTGACTTTTGCATCCTCGACGTCCCAGTCATACACGGGCTTTTCTCTGAATAATCAAAGAAGGGATTATTTTGTGTAAGAATGGACAAATGAGTGTGTGAGTTTGTGTACGGTAAGGAAGGCAGGTAGATAGAAATACATAAAAGAGTAAAAAATTTCTTAAAAAAGCTCACTGGGTTTAACACATGCATCATTCACACATCAGAAACCAATATACACTTGCGACTCTGTACCCACAGAACTCAGAACTGCAGCTTGCAACTCCATGTCTCCGCACAGTGATAAATATGGGCAATATTAATGTCATCTTCTAAGCCCCCAAAAATATAGCTGACTCTGTTCAACAGAGCTGGTCAGACTGCGGCAGATAAATCATATTCAGATCAGAACTCCATGTACACATAATCTTTGGGGCATTTGCAAAGTCTAGGGGCATGCAGTGACAGATCTGGATTATTGATATCACTCTGTAGCCTGTCCTCCTTGAGTTTTTTTTTCCTACCAGTAATAAGGATGGATTCTCTGACACTGACCTCCTTATAAATTGGCTTCTAGTTCATCTTTCCAGAGGTGCCACCAGAGAACCAAGAAGCAATTTCAATTAAGAGTACAATTAGGGAACATACCTTTTGAAATATTATTTTTTAGTTTTTACTCATTTTCAATAGTGGTTGTGCAAGACCCTCTTAAGACCATTTCAATTTTCAGGAGGTTACTGCAAGAGTCTCACTGGGCTTATCTGACTGTGTTAAACAAGGGCAGAGCTTAAGAGTTTGATCACTGCTAGGCTCTTTAACAGGAGGATCTGTACCGGATCCCTGTGGGTATTTCTGTGGGACCTGGCACAGGTTTTTGAACCTAGTATCTGCTCAACTGAAATGTATTAAGTAAATGAATAATGAATAAATGATGCTAAGAAGCACAAGCCTCTTGGTACCACTGTAGCAATTAAAGACTTTTAGAGTATATAAATTTTTCTTCCTAAAATGCATTCTGAGGAGAGTAGATAGGTATTAATGCAAGAAAACGAACACGAGTCCAAAAAAATTGTTGAGCATTAGTGGATTCAGCAAGGATTTTTAATCTCTTTTTCTTAGATTCCCCTGAAAGAATTTTGAAACTATGGACCCTGTCACACTTTTAAGTTAGCATCTAAATTTTTTAAATCACAAGTTGTAACAGTTACAAAGGACGCAATTTCTGGCATGTTTGACAGTTATGAAGGACGCAATTTCTGGCACATTTCTACTGTTATATCACTCTTTTATTTATTTTTTTTATTTTTTGAGATGAAGTCTTGTTCTGTCACCCGGGCTGGAGTGCAGTGGTGCAATCTCGACTCACTGCAACTTCCGCCTCCTGGATTCAAGCAATTCTCCCACCTCAGCCTCCTGAGTAGCTGGGATTACAGGCATGCACCACCACACCCAGCTAATTTTTTTGTATTTTTAGTAGAGCTGGGGTTTCGCCATATTGTCCAGGCTGTTCTCGAACTCCTGGCCTTAAGTGAGCTGCCCGCCCAAAGTGCTGGGATTACAGGCTTGAGCCATCACGCCTGGTCTATATTACTCTTTTAAATGTATCCACAGAACCTAAGTATCATAACAATTTGATGCCTATCTCACTATTTTAAAAAAAATATAGAAACAAGCTCTTGAAATTTTACATTTCTTTATCTCTATAAATGCATTCTTTATATTCTACTTTCTCCATATGGTTTTATCTTAATGAAATGTATTGTCATACTTAAAAGACTTTTCTTGAACATTTTACTTCTCTGCAACGAAAATATGTATCAAATTTGAAATTAATAGTTTTATTCATTGTGCCCTTAATCTTTTGTATTAAAAATTCTACCACTGATATTTAACAAACAACAATATAAACTTTAATAAAATTATTAAGCATGAAAAGTAAAAGTACTGGATATTTATCTCTTAATGAGGTGGAAGAGGCTGTTTGTTAAAATCGGAATTCAAACAAGGTTCACACATGGCAATTTGTTGGTATGTCTCTTAAATCTCTTAGCCTTTCTTAGTCTTTAAATATCTCCCCTACAGCTTCCTTCTCAATTTATTAAAAATATCAGGGCCTTTTTCCCTGTATTTCCCAGTAAATTATTAGTTAAAGCTAGAAGCATGATCAGACTCAGGTTCACCTTTCTGGTGAAATATTTTAGGCAATAATGCTACCTTTGCATACCTTTCTTAACCTTTCAAATTTAAGTCTGTATCTGCCTTTCAATCCAGTCTCCACACTCCCTTGCCCAAAAATCTCTGGCACTGGAAAAGTGAGGCAACACAGTTAAGGCCAAGGCTATCAAGCACTCAGATTATTCCAGATTGAAAGTTTGGTCATCCCATCAGGTAAGAGCCTACCTGGCTGAGTTGCTGGCAGTGGGTAGAGACAACATAGGAAGGGTGGGGAGAAGGCAGCTGTGATGACCAAGTTGGGCTTCCTGACCAGTTACAGAAGTGGGAACTGAAGTAGGGTCCTCAACTCTACTTCTCTTTGTGTATTTCCCCAAGTCTGAGAAAAGTACAGATGCAGAGAGGACCTTCAGTAGGATCAGAAGTAGTGGCCATTGCCATCCTAGGTCTCAGAGAAGGGCAATACTGTTTGGGGGTGTGGAGGAAGGCATATAAAACATACCTAGGGTGGCCATGGGCTTGTCTACTTCAGTCTCCTCTGCAGCTGGAGTTACAGGCATGACTGTTGTCCTAAATGCACACATCTCCCGAAACGAGCATTAAGTCTCTCAGACAGGACTACCCAAACTCTTTAGGAAGAGCAGAAACATTTCCTATGCTGTAATTGAATAGATACAGCTATCTCCATGAATTCCATGTCATGTTGCTTGGTTCTTTCCTCTACATTCTTCTCTCCACATATTCTTTCTCCTCTTTGGGATTTGGATGGACATTCCCTTAGTTTTCAAGAGAAAAAGCTGAAGATTACTATTTGAATAAGGCTTGATTATGTTCTTAGCCAAGGGTCCTTGATCTCATTTTCTTTTCTGGGAGAGAAGGAAAAGGGCTTGTTCTTCCTTATAAAGCTTGGAAATCCATTATCCAAATTGCACAAGAGATCATATCAATGTGTAGCTAGCTGTACCAACTAAATATATGTTTCAAGTATTTGGAGAAAGTGTTTTGTGACAAGAGGGAGGTAAAAAATAAAAAGTGGGAAGAAAGAAAGGTCATAAAGGGAGTGAGAAATGAAACAGAAGAAGTTTGTGGCATAACCAGCAGATGATTACTATTCTTAGCTCCACTTCCATACTGATATTGAAATGACTTCTTATTTCCGACCTCATGGGAAAGACTATTTTCTGGGGCATCACTAGACTGCTGCTCTGGCTTTTCCAGCAACCTGTTTACATTGAGGACAGACATTCAGGAGAGCCAGCTGAGGGTTCTAATTTAAAGTGCTCAACATTAGCTTTCCAATGCTGATTGCAATTATTCACCCTACTTGACCTCACTGCCTGATAGGAAATTACTCTTTGGAGTAATAAGAGTAATATTTCATGCTTATTTCATGATAAGAAATCACCCTTTGGAGTAATATGCATCCTGTTTAATAATGCAAGCACTCTGAAAAAAGCATTGAGTTAAAGTCTCATAGCTCTCCATGCCTTTCCTCCTATTAGAAGGTGAGTACAGGTACCAGAGGGGCGGAGAGGTGGAGGGTTTAGAGAGGGACAATTTGGGGTATGGGCCACTTCCAGAGAGGCAGTGTCAGGATTGGGCCCATTGTGGGTTTTGTCAGAGCATGAGAGCCCTTGCTGGAGTAATTTTATGAGCTAATGAAGTAAAATCAATAAACCGAGAATGTGGTAAAATGTCAAAAAATTGAGGAGATTGAAGTATAATACCCCAATATTTTTCCAGTATAACAAACACTGTTATTTCATAAAAGAGAGGACATTTCTTGCCCTTTTTTCTTGCCGTTGGTGATATTAAAAAGTAAAAAAGTGAGTCTCAATTGCTTAAACCTGGGAGGCGGATGTTACAGTGAGCTGAGATTGCACCACTGCACTCCAGCCTGGGCAACAGAGTGAGACTCCATCTCAAAAAAAAAAAAAAAAAAAGTGTGAGTCTGTGGTCTTTGAATAAATGGCCTTTTTTCCCAAGAAAGAACATTCATAAATTTATAATCATACACACATACTATATACATACACATATAAGATATATCTAATATCATTGCCCTTATTTTTCTGGGTCCATAAAAGCTTTGTTATAAACCTGCATTTGGAAGCAAGTGGCTTAGAAAATACAGTTATCAGGTCAAGAGATGGAGACCAGCCTGGCCAACATGGTGAAACCCTGTCTCTACTAAAAATACAAAAATTAGCTGGGCATGGTGGCGTGTGCCTGTAATCCCAGTTACTGGGGAGGCTGAGGCAGGAGAATCGCTTGAGCCTGGGAGGCCGAGGTTGCAGTGAGCTGAGATCACACCACTGCACTCCAGCCTGGCAACAGAGCAAGACTCCATCTCAAAAAAAAAAAAAAAGAAAAAAAAGAAAAGAAAATACAGTTATCACTTATAAAGAGTTTCTGAATATATCATGTAACATGATTTATAAATATGTCAGAATTATGCATATGAAATACATATCATATGTAGTAATTAAGTACTGTCTACCAAGAGTTTCCTTTGTAAAATCACTCTAGTCTTTTAATATGGAAATACTATAGTATGTGTTGTTATAAATCATAAAAGCATGGTTTATTGTTCAACAAGAGCTTATAATGTAATAGCAGTTATATTATCTCCTTACTCTTTGGTGGAACATATAGACTGATATGATAATCCTATGCAGCCAGACCTGATTGATGTGGCAGTCATTATTGTAGCAAAGTGAGGTTAAAGCTTTAAAGCTAAGTAAGGGAGCAAAAGTAACTGCAAACTATATTGCACTTGAGCTCACTATGAAACCAAGTGCAGTTCCTGCACAAGGAGATTGTTATGTGGATTGAATGCATGCATTCCACCTCCTTCTGTTATTTTTCAGGGGTTCCTTTTCTGAGCCAGTACTCCTAGCTTGAATATCACCTAACCCAGAGAGTGGTAGCTAGCCCTTTCTTTGTGTCCTTTCCTCCTGCCTTGACCATGAAGGAGGAAGGTTCATATCTTGGCCATTAGAAAGTTAATTGCTCCATTGTCCATCAGCTGAGCCCCAGGTGGTGATTATGAATGATGCCAGAGAATGGGATAAGGCAAACCTCAACCAGGGAGCTAAGAAAGCTTGAGATGGTATAATGAAGAGTGTTCTGTTGACCTAATCAATTGATTCCTTCTATTAACCATTATTTTGGGCCCTTACTTTATGCCAGGAACTCTGCTAGGCACAGGGAATATGGAGAAGTATCAGGCCCCTTAAAGAATTCATAATTTAGGAAAGGGAATGTATAAGATGAATAATGTAACACTGTCTGATAGGGGATGAGCAACTTAGCATAAAGGGAGGAGAGGGAAGATGATCAGGGAAAGCTTTATTCATTTATTCAACAGTATTTTTTGGGTGCCTATTGCTGTCCTAGGACTTATTCAAGGCACTGGGGCTACAGCAGTGAGAATAAGACAGGTTAGGTTTTTTTGTTTCTTTGTTTGTTCCTCTCACGAAGCTTACATTGTAGAGGAGGGAGACAGGCAAAATGCAACAAGATGCTTGACTTGCATCTTCTTACTGGCACTTCAGCTTGAGAAAAGAGGAAGTTCAAAGAGGACAGAGCTTGAGGCGGCAGGGCCAGGTGGAGAGACTAAGAACTTGGTGAAGCCCAGTAATCATTTGAGAGTTTCGTTCCAAGTACAGAACCTAAATCAAACTGGCTTAAGTAAAAGGGAAACGTCTGGCTCATGGAATTTAGTATTCTAGAGAGTAGCTGGCTTTGGGCTCAGCTTGCGGTAAGAGTTAAGATGGTATCAAAGAGACCCTGTGTCTCTCCACCTCTTCATCTCAGCTCTGATCTGGCCCATAGTGGCCTCATTCTCTAGACAACTATGGATAACTCCCACCTCATGTCCTTAGCTCTGGGAGCTCTGGTGGAGAAGAGAGAATCTTACTTCTCTCTTGATGGTATAAGCAAGTCTTTTCCAGCACATGGCTCTGAGGGATCACACGCCCAGCTCTTACGTGGAATGGGATGCTCTAATGGGCCAGTCCTGAGTCACATGCCTTCTGCTGGAGCCAAGAGTATCTCTCCAGGAGAAAATCCGTGCGTACCCAAAGAAGAGTGAATGCATGAAAGTAGCCAAAAAGTCATCCCCAGCATAGCAGCTTCATAAACAGTTCCCTGGGTGTTAGGCTGCGTGTCAGAATAGAATATAATAAGTACAGCCAAGGTTAAAAGGCAGATGAGTGCCACCCAAGGAAGAGACCAGTGCATGATTAGAGGCTGCTAGCTGAGCAAACACACACCAGCCTCCTTGGTTCTCCTGCATTCAGTTCTCTTACAGCAAGAGAGTAGAGACAGTGTGCATGAGATCCAGCTGGCAGTGCATTGCCCCTAGGGCCATCGATCCACCCTGCAGCAAAAGTGGGTGATGTGGCTACAT
The DNA here is from genome assembly GCF_000001405.40 of Homo sapiens. NCBI lineage: Eukaryota > Metazoa > Chordata > Mammalia > Primates > Hominidae > Homo > Homo sapiens. The sequence goes on along the minus strand of NC_000007.14, from coordinate 25,585,883 downwards.
GCACCCCACTTTGTGGAGAATAGAAGGACCCCTCCCCTTCCCCCATGGGGGTCTGAATTGCAGAAAAGGGGTGGCGGGGGGCAGGTGAGGGGACATGCCTGAGGGCCATCCATGCCTGCGCCTAAGCAGTACTCATTGAGTTTGAAATAGAGGAAGATTCCTGCACAAGGTGATGAGCCCAGCACAGGCTATGAGGGCCCCTACCTCTTGGTAAGGAAGAGCTCTAGGCCCAAGGCCCATTTTTATGTGGCCAAGCAGAATCACAAAACTGCCCACACTAGACTGCCTTTCCCAATACCAGGCTGCTTTTCCAGGAGTAGAAGGCTTTATGTTGCAAAATAAGGAATTTGGGCATTATTATATGGGGAATGGGGCAGCTCAGCGAGGTTGGAGAACAGAGTGGTTACATCAAGCAGTCTTGAACCAGGCTACCTGGGGTGGAATCCAAACTCTGCTACTTAGTGCCATGTGACTTTAGGCAAGTTATTTTCCTTCTCTGTGCCTCAGTCTTCTCATCTATGAAACGAAGGTGATAGCAACAAGTCCCAGTGAATAGGTATTTTATGAGGATTCAATGAGATAATATATGCGAAGTGCTTAGAATAGTGACTGATCCCTTTAAGGTTGCTGTTCTATTGGAGGGGATTTAAGGACCAAATAAAATGATAGACCACAGAACTAGCTGGTGGCAGTTCTGTGACCTTGGTGAGCCATTGCTTGTTTCTGAGCCTCAGTCTCTTCCTCGACAAAATATGGAGGTCAAATTAGACACTGTCTGAGATCTCCTTGCTCTGATGATCTTTAGCTGTAGTTGCAATGTGGCAACGGACTTGTGTTTGAACTTTAAAATGAGCCTTGGTGCCTTGCCCTGCCCTTTCAAAGAAAGGGTACTGACAGCTCAAAAGGAACCAAAGTTCTTTAAACAAAAGAGCTCACCTGACTGTCCAAGGTAATCCAGAGAACTCTCATGAAAAGCCGCCTTCCAATGCTAGGAGCAAATGCCCACTTTTCTCTAAGAAACAGATGAGAGCAAGGATGTCTGATGGTTTTTGAGTTTACACAAACCGGGTCCCCCCCACTCCTACAATCTTTTGAGCATCTCGAGCCAAATGAATTCTTGATGTCAGCAAAATTTTACCTATGTTATGCAAAAGCCATCACCAGAAACACAGAGAAAAAGACATAAATAATGCAAATTGAGCATCCATCTTAGCCTTGGCCAGATGAAGTGGGGGTGGGGGCTGCAATTAGCAAGTTGGGGCCCAAAAATGATCATTGTGCTGCATAATCTATGGGAGGAATCTTGTTAGACCTGCACATTTGCAAGACAGAAATATCGTGCTTGATGAAAGAGAAGGACAAATACAAATTGTGAGGGACTGTGAAACAAGGTAGGAGGAGACATAAACAGAGACGCAGAGAACGGCCAGAGAGAGGATGCACTCACAAAAGATGGGAGACAATGGAAGCCCTGCCCTTGAAGTCCTTGCCATGGCGTCTTGATCAAGCTGTTGATTCTATTTGAGCCTAAATTACAAAGGACTGTGAATTATATGTGGAAAATTGTCTGGGTGCATCCCTTAGCAGATGGGAAAACTGTGATGGCAAATGAAATTAGCAGGCTGCCTTGTGGAACGAGCTCCTGCACGTGTTCAGAGTCTGCATGGGGTACAAATGCCAGGATCATCAGGAACAAAATAGCCATTAAAAAAAAAAAACACCCTTTTTCTTTTCTCAAGATTTAAGAGGCCGATTCCCTTTTTCCAAGAAATTGCCAACTGGTTTTAATTCTTGGAGATTTGGCGAGGAGTAGGTGTGAGAGGAGGCTGGGAGACTTCTCCGCTTCCTCACTGCCCAACCTGGTCACCCTGAATTTCATGATCATCTCCAGGGACTTCAGCACTGGGCACAGAGACAACAGCAGAAAGGAACAGAAAGTCAGCTGTCGCAGGAGTGAAGCCTGCTCCTCTCCTTCAGGGGGCAATGCTGGCCAAAATTAGTGGTTTCTGCTGAAATCACAGTATGAAACTACACTTCCTTAGAGAAGGAAGCGTAGGAATTCTCTGTTCCACTTGAGGAACAGAAAATGAGCTTAGGGAGCTCCCAGCAGCCAGCACAGCAAAAACCTAAAGAGAATGATACTCACCAAACAGCATGGGGAGGCAGATGGGGAACTCTCAACAATCACCCATCTCTGATCAGTAGCCTTCTGCTCTGCCAACTAGGGTTTCCACAAAGTCTAGAATTTTTTGGACACAGTTTCACTAGACTTATATCCTAAAGTGTGTTAAAAGCCAGCAGATAGAAATTCAACATCATCATAATTATTAAAATAAACATAATAATGATAACAACTCTAACTGCGATCATCAATACACAAGCACGATGAGAGTTATTACTTTCTTAATGCTTACCATGTGCCCAATACTATGTTAAGTACTTTATATGCATTTTCTTATTTAATTCTCAAGACTTTGAGGTGGATACCTTTATTAGTTCCTCATAAAAAGTGATGAAACTGTGGTGCAAAGAAGAGAAATGACTTTCAAATGTCGTTGTGGTAGATTGATTGCAAGGTGGCCATAATTCTTCATTAATCCTGGCATCCACACTCTGCAATGTGACTTCACAGCTTTTGACTGTTCTTATGGCTTCCGTTTGGACAATAGAACGAGGCTTTGCTGACAGTGTCCTAGTTCTGAGCCTAGGTCTCAAGAGACCTCCTACTCTTCTGCTTTTTCTCTTGGAAATTTCTGGGCTGCCAGGTGTACAAGCCTGGACTAGCCTGTTGAAGGATGAGAGACCACGTGGAGCCCATAAGCCATTCTAGCAGAGACCATTCTAGACCAGCCAGCTTCCTGAAGACATATGAGAAAGTCCAGATGAACTCAGATGAGCCTGGCCCAGATTGGAAGAACCATCAAACTGATTGCTGACCCATGAGCAATAATGGATAGTTGTTTTAAGCTACCAAAGTTTGGGGTGCGCATTACACAGTAACAAATAACTGAAACAATGGCCCAGGTAATACTATTACTCTAAATTAGGTTTCCTTACTCCAAAGCCCTTTGCCTTTAACCTCTAGTCGCTAGTGACACACTCTCATGCACTCCACCTTGTTTACCAACACCATCTGCTCTAATTTGGTCTTTCTCTTTCCAGTAGGTTCTGGTAGCATCAATTACTGTTTGCCTATGATATTCATTTGCTAGCAGAACCCCATGAGACATGGAGAGAGATCCCTATTCCAACTCTAAGGGCAAATCTTGATTTTAAAAGCCAGCAATGGTGGCTGCAATCCCTTCAAGGACCATTAATCAGGGGTGAATATGTGACCCCTTTCTGACTATGAGATAGGCCCACACGCCAACTGGGGACATCTGGGAAAGGTTTCCTCTAAGGACAGAAACACCAGAAAATACAGCTTTTTAGATTTTGTATGCTGCCCACCATCTTGCAACAATAAGGGGCCCTGACTGAGGCTGAAGCTAAGCTGAGACAGGCACAGCACAGACATGGGAGAAACATGGAACCCTGATGAGATCACCAGGACAGAGGTTGAATCAAGCCTGGGATTCACACTACTCTTCTTTTGAACTTTCGCTTCTGTTAAGTCATTTGAATCTTTCTGTTTTTTCACTTGCAGACGAAAGCATCCTAATGGTTAGAGTTCCCATCATCGGTTAAAGGGAACCCAGCCACTTGCTTGTCCTTTATTTTCTACAAAAACCAAAACCAAAGTGCACACAGAAGCTTATTCCCTGGAGGCAGGCCCCAACTTCTGGGAGCCCCGTGCTTAAGACATGTCTTGGCGCCTTTTGGTTGACTACGGCAGTAAGCAGCTGCCTCGAGCCTCAGAGCAGGATGACTGCAGGATGGGAGTAAAGGGCGAGAAGTTTTGAGAAGTGCTAGGACCATGATTGACGTGTGGTCAGAGATCCAAGGAAGCAAAAATGTTCCAGCAGTGTGTGTTCTCAGAGGCAATCTCTCTTTTGGTTGGTCCCAACTTTTTCTCCCCATTCCTGGACTCCCAGGAAGCATGTGGTATGTGTCTTTATTTAGGGGTGACACTCAAAGTATTTAAGTACTGTTATGGCACAGATGTGGACCAATTAAAACAGATGGCTACTGTGGTGCTGGAGAGGGGCTTAGAGACTTAAGTTTTTGGGTCATGGGCAAGTGCACATGTAGTCAGAGGGGAGTCATCCTGGAGAAGGGGTCAGGGCAGAAAGTGTAGAAGATGGTGGATGGATCCTGGGCAGTCAGGAGGGCATTTACCAACGAGTCTGGACTTATCTTCCAAAATGTAACACAAATGTTAACAACTTATTCAGCCACATTGGGGCATACCAGGCAGGAATCTATTAGAATGCATACCATATTCTCTATGTTTGTCTGTTCTGCCAGCCTGTGTACTTAGGCCAGGGGCATTGTGATGCTGACATATTAACACATCTCTGGCACCTAGCCCTATCTGCAGCACATAAGCCATCCCAGAACAGCTGCATTTACTTTTTAATAAATTAAATTGAACAGAATTGACAATTTAAACATTGAGACCCATCCATGTTGTCTAGTCCAGATTCCAAACATAGAGGAATCTGACTGGTCATGCCATTTCCCTTTGAAACAATTATTTTTTTGGAGCAGGGTTATGGAGAGTTAAGGTGACCTCTGATGTTCCGACCTCTTTCACCCTGAGATATCGCAAGATTCAACTGTCTCATTGGGAAGAGCAGATGGTGGAGGGAACTGGGGTAGAGCAGCCCATGGCCAGCCTCCATCACCCTCAGTGATCCAACACTTCTCATTTGACTGAGAAAAGGGCATAAAACCCTGCCCCTCGCAAGTCTTGCCCTGAAAAACTCCCCAAAACAAGCCAGGAGTCCAGGACTTGCACACTGTGTAAATCTCAAAAGTACCCCTGTGTACTATTCATCTTTCTTTCCCTGAACACCAAGCAGTGTCTGACCCATGGCAGGGACTCTGGGACCATCTGCTGAGAGCTCAAGTGAGTGAATGAATCAATGAATGAATGAATAAATGAATGAATGGGGTGCCCTCCCTTGCAAGCAGTTTTGGTGTAGAGAACATGAAATAAACTTTGGAGTCATATTAATTTGGGTTCAAATCCAGGTTTTGTCATTTACTGGCTATTGACTTTGGGCAAACTCCTCAACTTCTGTAAATGTGTTTCTCATATGCAAATAGATGTAATAAAATCAATGTCAAGGGCTCACAATGCCTGTAAAGTGCTTAGTATAACACCTCTAAATGCTCAATAAATTGTAACTACTTCTCTCTTCACTTTCTTCTTTTTCTTTATTTCATCTTTTGAGTTTTAACATTATTAGTAGTAGTATTAAACTCAGATATTCTTCCCATGTGTTAGAACAGCCTAGCTTGAGTTTCTTCACGTGAATCATGCCCTGATAAGTCATATAAATGGTGTTTCTGAACAAAGTCTTTGTTGTTCACTTATAGCCGTTGAATGTGCATACGCTAAGGAAAAAGACCCACTTGAAACAAGCCTTGTAAAGAATGTAATGTTTAAATGTAATGGGCACCTCCCTTCACTTATCTTCTCCCTCATAATTTTTATTGAGCCCTTACAGTGTGCCAAGCCCAGTGCAAAGCTCTTTATGATCCTATGTTTTTCCTAATCTCTAGAACAGCCAGGAAGGTCGATACCAAGGCAATCTTCTTTTACTAATGAGAAAACTGAGGCTCAGAGATGTTAAAAGATTAGGCTAAGAGAATACAACCAGCAGAGCCAGTATCACGAATGTTATGGTGGTCTCCCCAGTATCCATTTCTTCTTCCCCAGGGGCACTTCTGGTTTTGGTGTGATCAGCTCCATCCTCAACTCCATTGAGTGACTGTAATTGATTTAAAACAACTGCGGTAATCCTATTTCTTTTGGACAGTGGTTTTATTGGATAGCTCAGATAAACCAGACCTCAGCTAATCAGTGCAGGACATTACCCTAGTCAATCCGATTGGCGGTGTGACAACTGGCGGAGAGCAGTTGTCCCTCTTTTTCTCCTGCTGGCCCCTAATGAAAAAGCAGTTAGCCTCACTTGCTGCTGGAGCCAGCCTGAAGCTTTGAGAGGAATCGGGGAATCAGTCTGAGGATGGAGCTGAAACAGCAGAGTAGAGAGAAAAGGAACTACTGGTGACATTGAGCTGCTGAACAACCAACCTGGAAGCGTCCTCTGCCTCTGCTCCAATATCAGCTACTAACTTTTGGTGTTAAAGCTGTTTCACTTGTTTTTTCTGTTACTTGCAATCAAAAGCATTCTAAATGACACAGCAAGATTGAAACCCAGGCTTATCTGACCCCCGTGTGAAACCTCATGTCCTACTGCTTTCCACTTTCCTAGCTGATGGTCTTAAACTCACATCTTTATCAGCAGGCAGTAGCACCACTGCTGAGTCAGCCAGTCTGCAGCATTTTTGGGGCAGTTTGTTCTCTGGCTGGAAGAATGAAGTTCAAGAGGTAACTGGTGGACATCTAAGGGCACTCTTTCAAATTGGTGACTGGAGATCATTAGAACAAGCTGAAGGCTATTTCTAGATATAAAGTAATGAAAACCTCTTCTTGGGATCAATCCAGCCAAGGAAGGCTGTGGAGTAGGGCAGATTTCAATGAGGACCAGAGAGGTAAGCAGACAGCTGCAACAGCTGCTTATCAGATCTTGATGTATTGAACATGTAAAAATGCTGAACTCCTCTGACTGCAATCTAATTTGTACAAGTGCTTAGAAAGAACACTGAATTTATCAGAGCTTGAAGTGCAAAATATTAAAAAATAAATCACTGCTAGTAAAATTGTAGAGCCATCAGGAGATCCATTAGAAAAGACAGTTAGCAAAGTCTATTTGAAGCACATTCATCAAGCTTTAAAATCATAGAGAAGCCCTCATTCACATGGGCATCCTTCTAGCCAGCTCAAGAGGACCCTACAATTGAAGGCAGAGAACAGCTGAATCCTCATAATTAGGAATCAGATCATTGGAAATTTTAATAAAAGTGTTTAAAGATATAAAAGAAAATGCTAGCCAATTCGCTGAGATCAGGAGATGATTTCTAACCTACTTTTTCCTGGTCCCTGCCTTCCCATGTGTGCTGTGGCCAGGGCTGCTTTTGGTCTCCACCTGCAGACTTAGCCATGCCCAAGACCAGGTTATACCTCAGTTTCCCAGACCTGGGGTTTAGGTGACTTGTGGCAATTGAGAATCTTCTGTATTGGGTTTCAACCCACCTTGACTACCTGTAATTGAGGGATCCATGTCGACCTCACTGGGAAGCAGCCAACCTTCTTGCTTACCCAATTCAATCCTCAAGCAGGAGTGGGCATCCTAATTCTAACTGATCAATTTCTCTGTTCAGACCTAAAACCTCAAAGGGGCCTAAGCTCCTTGGACTCTGGGCTGTCCTCTGTCCCCCAAATGATGTGTAGTGTCACACTCGAGGCCAGTCTTTTCAGCTCTGCCCATTTCCCCTGGGCCTCCTGAGGAAGTGGGTTCCAGGCCAAGGTCTGGCCCATTCCTCCTCCCATCTGCCCCGTACAATACAAGAAAGAATGAACCTGACTCATTTGTGTGTTAACCATTTATTTGTTTGATTTTTAATAATGAGGCAATATAGCATGATGGTTTAGGAAGCAATGCTTCTCAAACTATGCATGGTGAATGACCAGTGTTTTCTGTTTTCAACCTACCGTAGAATGAAATGTGGGCTCCAGCAGCACCTTGCCCCACATGTGCCTCATGATGCAAATGCGACAGCTCTGAACTCATCTATATCCTATTTAATGAGGTGTGCCCACTGATCATGCACTGGGAAGCCATAAAAGTGTCAAATTATAAAACATTCCAAATGTATACTTTCTATTTCCATGCTTGCCTTGTTGCAGATCAGTAACAATTAGCTCACATCTGCACATGGCACTTTGAGTAACCTTTGTTTAGATCAATGGTTCTCAAAGTGTGGGCCCTAGACCAGCAGCATCACCTGGAAACTTGTTAGAAATGCAAACTCTCAGTCCCCAGCCAAGACCTAAGAAATCAGGAACTCAGGAGATGAGGCCCAGCCATGGGGACTTTTACCAGTCCTCCAGGCGCTTGAGAGGGTGCATGCAAGTTTGGAGAACCACTGCTCCTGCAGCTGAGCAGGGCAAAGGCCTGACGACAACAGGGGCGTTAGGAGATTTCTTCTGTTAGAACCTTAAGTACAAGTCAAAGGAAATAATCATGTCAGTACTGACCTACTGAACTCAATTTTTAAAATTTTGAGTTGTATTTTCCTTAAAGCCAATAAGTAGTGCATTCTACAGAAATTTACCTAAGTACTCATTTTAATCAAGTCCACAATTCCGGTGTTCAAAGTTAATATTTAAGAAAGTTAAGGCTAGGTGTGGTAGCTCATGCCTGTAATCCCAGCACTTTGGGAGGCCAAGGCAGGCGGACCACCTGAGGCCAGGGGTTCGAGGCCAGCCTAGCCAACATGGTGAAATCCGTCTCTACTAAAAATACAAAAATTAGCCGGGCATAGTGGCACATGCCTGTAGTCCCAGCTGCTTCGGAGGCTGAGGGAGGAGAATCACTTGAACCTGAAAGGGGGAGGCTGCAGTGAGCCGAGATCGTGCCACTGTACTCCAGCCTGGGTGACAGAGTGATACTTTGTCTCAAAAAAAAAAAAAAAAAAGTAAAAAGAGTGAATGACCATTTTATAACTTCTCCTTAACTCACTCCTATCTTTTGCATTATTTTTAAGCAATGCTTCAATAGCATGTGAACAGAGACACTCAGAAGGAAGGAATACCAAGGAAGGGAAGATGAGGCTCATTGAAAGCAAAGATACAAGCACCGTGATATGCTTTGGGTCCATGTCCCTTGCAAAATCTCATGTGGATTTGGAATCCTCACTGTTGGAGGAGGGGTCTGGTGGGAGGTGATTGGATCAAGAGGTAGATTACCCCCTTGCTGTTCTCGTGATAGTGAGTTCCCATGAGATCTGGATCTTTAAAAGTGTGTGGCACCTTCCTGCCTCTCTTCTTCCTCCTGCTCAGGCCATGTAAGATGTGCCTGCTTCCCCTTCACCTTCCACCATGATTGTAAGTTTCCTGAGGTTTTCCCATCCATGCCTCCTGTACAGCCTGTGGAACCATGAACCAATTAAACCTCTTTTCTTTATAAATTACCTAGTCTCAGGCATTTCTTTATAGCAATGTGAAAACAGACTAACACACACCCCATCTCTGTGTCCCCAATAATTGGTTGATCATAGACACTCAGTACATCTTAATGGAACAAATGAATAAATGAATGAACAAAAAGAAGCCTGGAATTGGATGAGTTAGAACACTTTGGGAAATAATTTTCTGATTAATTGAACTTCTGGTTCATTGACAAATACTTTTTGCTCTGGTTTCTGTTTTTAAAACACTTTCTTAATAAAGTACATTTTGTTTTTCATCTAGTTTGAGTGACTTTCTATTAATTGCAACCCAGCAGTCACTTGATTAAAAGAGAGTCCTTGTTCAGGTGTGAGGCATCCAAGCTACATCTGTCTTAAAGGAGACTGTCCAAGTTTCCCATGTCACGTAAACAACAAAACTGAGAATATCACTTGTGAGAATTTTCTTATTGGAAACCACATGCAGATAAAAGCAAACAAAAAAATTATAGCCCATAAAGCATGACAAGTATATGCTGTTATTATTTTAGAGCAAATTTAATTATTTTTATTGTTAATACTTAAATTAAGCACACCTGCATTTGACATTACCATGAGGATAATCGGTAAAATAGTTTAACATCAAGCTTAGAGTTGTTTCAGGAAGAATTTGCCAAAAATACAAGGAAAATCATAATTTTTTTTAAATGAGAGAAAAGTAAAAAACATCTACCAACTGGTTTGCATACTCAGGGCCAAGCAGCTAGAATGATAGATTCACAGAAGTTGACTGAGTCTGGCTGAAACTCCATTGGCACAATGCCAAGACAACCCATTGATTTGCTCTATTCAATCCCAAATTGATTGAATTGGTTAGTCAGTTGGAGTACCTTGGAAATCGGTCTGTAACCTGTTCGTCTTGAATACAAAGGCCTGCATCTTTTAGGAACATTCTCAGCCACACAGCATCCCTACTTAATGGGGAACAAAAGTACTACGGTTACGTAAATGCAAAGAGACCTAGGGGTACCAACAAGAAGTTCCAATATCTGGCTCAGAATCTCCTTTATGATTCAGGCAAGCTCATTCTTATAGAGAGTTTGACATTCCTGGGTTCTTAGAAAAGGGGGAAGTGAATCTTGTGAGAGAGGGAGAGAGAGAGAAAGAGAGAGGAGAAACTGATGATGTTATTAAAACAAAAATTTTAAGGTATGAACTCAGGAAGATCTGAGTTCAACTCCTGATTCTACCTCTTTGGTCATAGGATCATTTTCTGTAAAACAGGGATAATAATAAATCTACCCCATAGGTATTTTTTTAAGGATTAAATAAGATCGTGCACATTGAGCACTTACTATCATGCCTAGTGTTTAGTTAAAATTAGCTGTTTTTGTTAGTTACTTTTCGTCAAGCATAGAACTTTTCTTGATTTGCCCAATAATGTCTCTTGGGTGTTAGATATTTGAGTTAATATCCAAAGATAGAGAGTGGATGCCTAATGGCAAACTCTTTACTCCAGTGCTGAGTTTTCATCACACTTTATGAGCTGGTTGTGAAGGAAATAATGATTTTCCCACCCAAAATATATCATCCCTGGAAATATTCCAGTTGATGGTCATGAAGCCAAAAAGCAATAATAATGAGATTATCAGACTCTGCAAAGAAGGATAAACTAAAGAAGATTCCAAATCCATGCCTGCCAAGTTTTCCCTTATTTGGAAGTAGCTCATATGAAATTTTGGAACTCTGTACAGGTCATTCTCAATCTGCCCATTAACTTTCCTGTTTTCTGTCTTCTTGTCTACCTGTGTCAACCTTTCTTAATATTTAAGCAGTTTTCAGGAAATTCAGTTTTAAAATGACAGCAAAGCAGCTTTGAATTGGCAAAAGCTTCACATTTCAGAGGTGATACTAATCTAAAGAAACACACTATTATCTTTGTAATTTCCAATTGCTGCTGGAAGCATTTTGCTGCGGAGACCATTGCCGGCTATTAAGTAGAGGAGACTTGTTTTGGTTGCCAGAATTAGCTGAAATTAAGATCCTTTGACATCTTCTTACAGAAAAAAGTCAGTTTCAGTACAAACAATCCAGAATTTAATACATTGTGACAGGTTATAAAATTCTACGCATTTGAAAGAAAAGCTTTGCTGGTGGAATAATGTGTTTCTAATTTACACATAATAGGCCCATGAAGCTATGACTAGAAGGATATTAAAGTAATGAGGAAATTCCAGTTATGGACACCTTCTGTAGAGATCTTAAAGATTATGATTAGGGCAGTCATTTTCCCAAGTACCTTATACAGCTAAAGCCAAAATGAAGGTGTCCAAACAAAAAAGGAGACGAGGAACACAATAGGCTTCAGTTTAGAGGGCCAGGAAAGCATTTTTGAGATAGCTGCTCAACCCAGATGTGGAGGATTTTATGAAACTTAATGAACGCTGTGTTTTCTGAAGACCCCCCAAGGGTCAGCACCGGGTGCTTTTCCATGAAGGAAGAAGGATCGATCACCAATGCCATGAACAATAAGAAAGGCTGTATCATTTTTGGGGCTAAAACCTTTCCCCCAATACAAAAGAAGAAACATTCTACTTTGCCTTGATTCTTTGTCCCCACAATTTTCAGCTTCTCCATCCTCCCCATAATTAACACAATGCACAATTGTTTCATTCAGTGCTTTCAGAATTTAGAAAAGTCTCAGTGCTACTGTGTCATTTAAAATGTATACTAGATGGCAAGAAAATTGGGAGTGTGCTATTTGATATGACTTTGGGTAGCCATTCTCATAACACAAGTTGATACAGAGATAGCGGAAGTGGCTGGTGCAGAACAGCAGAGAACAGGCTGATAATGAAAGGCATATGATTCACTGCATTGCCAATATGTAGTTTCCTGTCCTTTTCTGAGATCAATTCTCAAGAGTTAGTTGATAGAAATGAACCTGCTTTCTGACTAAAATGTGATTGGAATCTCATTCTGTTATTGCTTATATTTTGGGTGTCATATTAAACATAGGAGGTCAATACATCTTGGGTGGCATGTTAAACATATTAGAGGTGGTCAATACATCTCCACTTAGGTGTTAGGAGATCTGGCAATTATGTTCTTTTTTTTTAAAAAAAAAAAGTTTCTCCAGTAAGAGTTTCATGGTTCTCCCCTTCTTTCTCCCTCTTTGCCCGTCAAAAAATATTTTTCGAGCACCCTCTACACACCAGGAATTCCCTAGGCACTGGAGAATGAGGTCCTTGTGTTCACATGTACCATGGTTAGGCTCTGATCCTCTTTGGCTTGTTGAAGCTCTCTTCCATCAAACAGCATTTTCTAAGCCTTGATCTTATCTGAGTGTGTGTATATATACACATATGTATATATAAAATGTGTATGCATGTACATATGTATATATGTATGTATATATGTGTATGTATATGTATATGCATGATAGGTTGCAAAGGACATTGGTAGAAGTCACCTTCCACCTAGAAGTCTGAAAAGGTGATGAGTTTACAGTTTACAAGTCACCATATTACTATCAAAGAGTAGAAAATGTCCAAAGAAAACAAAAAAATGCTATGCCAGCAGCTTTGCTTCCCTAAAGCCCATCTCTTTCTGACTTTCCTTCAAGAGGCATGAGGTTTAGTTAACAGGTACAATTTCCATCTCTACTTTCCCTAATGAAGGGTGTCTTGGTGACACTTGACAGCTGGGCAATCAGTTCAATTCAGCCAGAGAAAACAAATCTAGCTAGCAAGTTGTTTGGTGTCCAATAGAAAGATGATCTTCTTTTCTTTAAAATCTTTTTGCCAGTTTGTTATCTTGGGACGTTCTGGAATCCACTTATCTACAACTGAAATTCCTTCAAGAATAAATATGATAGAATTCTTTCTCATTCCTCTGTGGTCATCATCCCCTAATCAATAATAAAACTTTGAGAAATAGCATCAAAGGCCATGGCGACCTCATTCGTTCCAAATGCATGATGTTTTTTCATTGCACTCAGAGGAGGTTCATACTACTATAGCATGAGAATATCCTTGTTAGTAGAGGGCTGGAATCTGGGTCTGTGCTGTTCTCAGCATCCTGAGGACTTGAAAGCTTCAACTCTACTCAAAGTGAAATCATAATCTTCTGAAAGAATTTTGGACATAAACTAGGGTAAACTTGGATAGCAAGAATCAGCCCTTGTTTGTGGTTGAAACAGAGATATGCTATTGTCACTGCTTGGGCTTCTAGAAAACTACACTCATGATAGATTGAAACTTGGCCCCCAGCTTGCTCTGTGATTTCTTTCAGAGTAGGCCCATGCAGCGGACAATCTTATTTATTTTCTTGCAGAACCTCTCATTTGAAATTTCAGAGTTGGAAAGAATCTTACAGGTCATTTGTTCTTATATTTACCCCTCCCAAATTCAACACTTGTGTCTCTTAAAAGACCAAATATGGTGACAAATAACTCACTAGTTTCTGATACATTAAAAATGCCTGGCAGAGATGTATGCAATGAGATTTGTACAGAGAATTCATGGAGGAATGAAAAGATGCACCTAGTAGCCCAAGTGCCAGGGGCCAGCTCAAGGTGTGGGAGGTATTTACCAAAACTGGCTGGCTATATCCATGGCTTCATCGTGGCAATTAGAGAGAATTAGAAGAAGAAAATCACCTTCTTTTTAGCTGAAGTTACTAGTTAAGCATGTTGACGTTGCTTGCTGCCATTTTTTCTATCACTCTTGTTTCTTGAAAGCGCCTATACAATTCATGCCGTTTCTGAAATCTACACTTCGTAGTCATTATTTTAAAAATAACAGTATTTCCTTTTGCATATGCACTGAGAGCTGAATAATTAATTTGTTTACTGTTTAACACATGCCTATTATCTGCAAGATACTTGAAAACAAATGAAGTCAAACGCCTTAGTTGGCTTCCCATCTATAAGAGATATAAGAAGAAAGATACTACATTAAACTCTCTCTGAAGGGAATTTTGTCAATTGTTTCAAAAAGTTATAAAAGTGTTAATACCTGGCCAGGTGTGGTTGCTCATGCCTGTAATCCTAGCACTGTGGGAGGGTGAGGCTGGTGGATTACTTGAGCCCAGGAGTTTGAGACCAGCTTGGGCAATATAGTGAGACCCTGTCCCTACCAAAAAAAAAAAAAAAAAAAAAAATTAGCCCGGCATGGTGGTACACATCTGTAGTCCCAGCTACTCGGTAGGCTGAGGCAGGAGGCTCACTTGAGCCCAGGAAGTCAAAGTTGCAGTGAGCTGAGATTGCACCACTGCACTACAGGCTGAGTGACAGAGCGAGACCCTGTATCCAAAATAAAAATAAATAAAAAAATAAACAAACATACTCTTTATTCTTCTAGCAATTCATCCTAAAAATATGGATTATAATAACAAAAACTGGAAATAATGAGCTTATTAATAATAATAATAATGGGAAATTGGATCCAAATGCCCAATACGAGCTATCCAGGTAATTAACGGTAGCTTGCTCTAACAAATAATACAAGATCTCAGTGGCTTAACACAATAACTGCTTATTTTTTGCTCAGGATACAGTTCGAGGTGGGTTGTTTGGCAGCCTTCCACTCAGTGGTTTAGGGATCCTAGCTCATTCTGTCGTGTAGTCCTACTCTCTTTTAGAACCCCAAATTCTTCCTCTGGATCCCCTGAGTTCATCCAAGTGATGAATAAAGAGAAAGAGCAAACAGGAATGCCTGGATAGGTAATGGACTGGATATGGCTTGAATCATTCTGACCACATTCTGTGGCCAGAACCTGGTTATATGACCACAACTACCTGTAAGGGGAGTTATAATCCTTAAAACCGGGAAGTATAACCCTTCACTATGCCCAAGAAGAGGAGACAGGATTGGTGAGTATCCTGACTTTGTCAAGGATCCTGACTTTGTCAAAAATAACGTATTTGCAAATAAAAAAAAATCTATTATGTTGGTGCAAAAGTAATTGCGGTTTTTGCCATGGAAAGCAATGGCCAAAATCGCGATTACTTTTGCATTAACCTAATAGAAGCCATACATCAGTGTTTCTTCTTGAAAGGTGGGATGCTAAGGATCTTCCTTTCCTATACCGCGCTTTTTAATATTCCCGGGGTGGGGGGTAGGGTGTGGATTGGGAGATGTTGGTCAAAAGGTATAAAGTTTTACTTTGGATGAATACATTCTAGAGACCTATTGTATAGCATCATGACTATAGATAATGATGCACTGTATACTTGAAAATTGCTAAGAGATCTTAAATATTCTCACATCAAAAAAGTAAGCATATGAAGTGATGGATATGTTAATTAGCTTGATTTAATGATTTCACAACGTATGATGTATATCAAAACATCATGTTGTATACCATAAATGCATACAATTTGCATTTGTCAATTATATTTTAATTAAGCTGGAGAAAAAGTAACTTTAGAATAGGCCTCTCTAATAGAAATATAATGCAAACAACACAGGCAATTTTAGTTTTGTTATTTTTCATTTTAATTTTAGTTTTTGATATATTAATTTTTATTGATTACTTGTTGAAATGATAATATTTGGGATATATTATGTTAAATAAAATGTGTTATTAAAAATAATATCACTAGGTTCTTATATTTTTAAAAGTGTAGCCTCAGAGTATGAGAAGCAGCCTGAGGTAGACCAGGTAACAGTCAGAAGGAACTCAGAGGAGGAGGTCTCAGATGTGTGGGAGGCAGGAAAAACTCTATGAAGGAGGTGGCTTTGAGATTGGGCCTTGAAAGATGTTATCAATACAGGAGTTCCCCCTTATCGGTGGTTTTGCTCTCTGCAGTTTCAGTTACCTGTGGTCAACCATGGTCTGAAAATATTAAACGGAAATTCAAGAAATAAACAACTCATTAGTTTAAGTTGTGTGCCATTCTGAGTTGCCTGATGAACTCTCTTGCCGTCCTGCTCCATCCCTTCTTCATCACAAAAAGAAAAAGGGTGAGTACAGTACAATAAGATATTTTGAGCCGGGTGCAGTGGCTCACGCTTGTAATCCCAGCACTTTGGGAGGCCGAGGAGGGCGGATCACTTGAGGTCAGGAGCTCAAGACCAGCCTGGCCAACATGGTGAAATCCCATCTCTACTAAAAAAAAAATACAAAAAAATTAGCCGGGCGTGGTGGCGTGTGCCTGCAGTCTCAGCTACTTGGGAGGCTGAGGCAGGAGAATCGCTTGAACCCTGGAGGCGGAGGTTGCAGTGAGCTGAGATCACACCACTGCACTCCAGCCTGGGCGACAGAGCAAGACTCCATCAAAAAAAAAAAAAAAGATATTTTGAGAGAAAGAGACCACAAGTAGGTAACTTTTACTGTAGTATATTGTTATAATTATTCTCTTTTATTATTAGTTATCCTTGTTAATCTCTTATTGTGCCTAATTTATAAATTAAACTTTACCATCGGTATGTATGTATAGGAAAAAATATCACAGACATAGGGTTTGGTACTATCCGTGGTATCAGGCATCCACTGGGGTTCATGAAACGTATCCCCCTCGGATAAAGAGGGACTACTGTAATGCTATTGATAATTGATGACCGCAATATCGACAACACCCACTGTTTATTACAAGCTTGCCACTCGTCGGTCACCCTGTTAACCGCCAGGGGTCGGTAGCGAGGCGGAGATGGACTTTCTGAATGCGGAAACACCAGCAGTAGCGGCAAAAGCAGAGACCTGGACAAAGGACTGTATACACTTGGAAGTATCTGAGGTGGGGGTGGGAGGTAGGGGACAGGAACGATTAGGTGTTAAACTCTTACGAAGTAGAAGAAAAGGCAGGAAGGCAAGTTGGAGTCAAGTTTAGAAGCATCTTCAATGGGAAGGGAAAATCTTTCTACCTAGTTCCGTGAGAAAATGTGGTGATAACAAAACACTTTGGAAGCGCTTTGTGATACCTGCTGTTCCAGTGTCCAACACGCACTGACTCACTATGAGAGAGGTACCAATGCAGTCACGTGAGGTGTCACTACGGGGAAATGTTCTGACACGTGCATGTTTAGCGATTTCAACGCCGTGTGAACGTCATAGAGTGTATTTACACAAACCTAGACCCAGAGTGTATTTACACAAACCTAGACCACAGAGTCCACCACACCCCTGGGCTGTGTGGCATAGCCTATTGCTCCTTGGCTACAAACTGGAACAGCGTGATACTGTGCTCAATACTGTAGGCAGTTGTAACACATGGTATTTGTGTATCTAAATATAGAAAACGCACAGTAAGATACAGCAGTAGATTTAAAACAAATGGTACAATGGTAAGTGTATGGGACACTTACCATGACTGGAGCCTGCAGGACTGGAGGTGGCTCTGGGTCCATGAGTGAGTGAGTGGTGGGTGAATGTGAAGGCCTGGGCATGACTGCACTATTGTAGGCTTTAGAAACACTGCACATTCAGGCTACACTGAGGTTATAAAATATCTTTTTCTTTGTTCAATAATAAATTAACCTTAGCTTACTGTAACTTTTTTGCTTTATAAACTTTTCAATTTGGACTCCTTTGTAATAACACTTAGCTTAAAACACAAATACATTGTGTAACTGTACAAAATATTTTTTCCTTATATTCTCATCCTATAAGCTTTTTTTCTATTTTTAAATGTGTTTATTTATTTATTTATTTCCTTTTTATATCACTACCTTCCACTCCCACATCTTATCCCATTGAAAGGTCTTCAGGGGCTAGAACACCCATGGAGCTGTCGTCTCCTGTGGTAACAGTGCCTTCTTCTAGAATGCCTCCTAGATGACCTGCCTGAGGCTGTTTACAGGTAACTTTTAAAACCATAAGTAGATAGAGTACACTCTAAAATAACAATTAAAAGGATAGTATAGTAAATGCATAATCTAAAATAACAATTAAAAGGATAGTATAGTAAATGCATAATCTAAAATAACAATTAAAAGGATAGTATAGTAAATGCATAAACTAATAACATAGTTTTGATTGACATTGTCACGTATTATGTACTGTACATAATTGTATGCACTATACTTTTACATGACCAGCAGCTCAGTAGGTTTGTTTACAGAAGCATCGCCACAAACGTGTGAGTAATGCCTACAGCGGTACGACAGCTATGATGCCGCTAGGTGATAGGAATTTTTCAGCTCCATTATAATCTTGTAAGACCACCATCATATATGCAGTCCGTCATTGACCAAAACATCATTATTATCTCTATTATCCCCATTTTACAGATGAGGAAACTGAGGCATAGAGAGTTCAGGAGACTTCCCAATGTTATACAGTGTGTGACAAAGCCCAGATTTCAACACCAGTATTTCTGGCTCCAAAATCTACCTCTTAATCACTCACAGAGACTACACCATTTGGCACCAGAGACCTGGATTCTCATCCTAGGCTCTGCATTCGCTCACTGGGAGACTTGAAGTCCTTCTCTGAGTCTCTGGTACCCTCAGCTTCCTCCTTCATGAAAATGGTTCATACCTTGTCTATCTTAAGGTGTCACTGTGTGGATGGAATGACACTGGGCACAGAAAGCATGAGTTACACTGCCTGGCACAGAGCAGATGATGCCCATAAAAGCTGGTTGCCCCCCAAAATGCCATGGGAAGTCATTTTGGGCCTTTAAGTGGGGCAATGAGATGACTGAACTTACACTTTCATATGTATGTTGGAAATACTCATCTTCCCTGATTAATCTGTCAGAGATTGATTGGAGCTGGGAGAGATGTGTTAGAAAGATATTGCAAGAATCCAGAGAACAGGCAGTGAGGGTCTTTGCAGGCACAGAGGCAGGGAGAAAGCAATTGCATTATTGAATCTAAGATTTTAGAGCTAAATAGACACTATGGGCCATATAGCACAAAATATCCTCATTTTATAGAACAAAGGGGCCCCTACCCAGACTTAAATGACTAGTCCAAGGAGAAGCTGTGGGGCTAGTTCAGGGCTTCTAATTTCCTGATTCACTGATTTGTCCTCAACTCAGCCAGTGCTGATGTCTCACTAGAGTTTTCAACTCTTAATAAAAATAACAAAGTATATCTATTTCATGTAAGTCATATACTTTCTACTCTTCAATAGCTTCCATGGACATTAATCCCATTTGATTTTGCCAATGACAACTCCCCTCGACCACCAAAGAAAGGTAGCACACTGGAGTTAGAATTATCCCCACACTCCAGATAGGTAAACTGAGGTGTGGAAGATGATTCTAATTTCTGCCTCAAATTCTCTCGTCTTTACTTCTACATTAATTCTTTACATTTTGCTTTTTAAATGTTACCACAATGTTGATACAGGAACGGTATTCACAAAATTTTGTCCTGAAC
The DNA here is from genome assembly GCF_000001405.40 of Homo sapiens. Classification (NCBI taxonomy): domain Eukaryota; kingdom Metazoa; phylum Chordata; class Mammalia; order Primates; family Hominidae; genus Homo; species Homo sapiens. The sequence goes on along the minus strand of NC_000007.14, from coordinate 25,566,372 downwards.
AAAATTTCATAGGGCAGAGAGGCTTAAAAAAATGTAACTTCATTTAGAAAGGTTAATGGTTGGGGTTTACTTGAAATTATGTCCAAAGAAAGGATGCTGTGATCAATGGGAAATTGTATGTTTGTAGTTGTTCTGTTTTAATTATGGTGAATGAAAGTATATCTTGCTTAGAAAGTATGCTGAGATGCTATCTCTTTCTGTCTTCCTTCCAGAGGAAAGAAATCAAATCATATGTTTATAGAATTTGTTTTCTTGTCTGTGGCCGATTGCTAAATCCTACCACAGGAGGGCGCAGGAAATGTTAGGCGCTTTTCATAAAATGGACACTAGGTGGCGCCGCTCTGCTAGTTTTCTTCATGTCTGCTTTTAATTTCGTTTTTTTATTCCTTTGTTTAGTAGTAATTGTAATGGTTAGCTTTAGCGATGTAAAATGTATTTCTATTTTCCTATGCTTTTCTTAATATGTCTGGGTCTGTCATTTTGCCTTTATAAAAGTATGCTAAGAGAGGTAGAACTAGTTATTTATGTTAGTATGTTTTCTTTACATTACATAAATTAGTTGTATTTTCTTTCACAGTATTTTTCAGGAATTCAAATATGAGTCCAGATTGAGTTTTCCTTGTTGGTCTGTCATTGTCTCTTATTCTTTACAGTTTTATTGGAAATTACATATTAGTTTGATTTTAAAAGAGGAGACATAATTCTGAATCATATCAGAACAGCAAAAATCTAACATAGCTTGAAAGTGGAAAAGAAAAACAGGTAACAATAAAGGAGCTGGGAATGGATTCTCCTATTTAAATTTGCATAAGGAGGAGTTTCTCTCAGTCTTATTAATTATTTAGTGAATTAGTTGTGTGTCTGTGAATTATGCCCCTCTCTGGAGTTTGGATTCCTAATTATAAAAATGAGGCAGTTCCTCTAAACATTCTCAAAGATCTCTTGGCAATCTGAAAAGCAGTGAAATTATGAGTATATTAACAAACTTATGCCCCCTGCCTGTTCCAAACACAATTCTTGAACATACATGCATAGACTATGACTTTTCAAAAAATTCTAGATAATTCTCAGTGGCACAAAATATGCAGTTATGAGCCCCAGCCAACTTTTCAATCCGTGTTACTCAACTGGCGTTCTTGTGAGAATGAAGTCTGAACACCGAGGAATAAGTTGCCTGCCCTGGCAGAATCGCACCCCTGGAGCAGAACTTGCTGGCTCTGCCCGGGGACAGACTACGAATCCAACTCTGGCTCTGTTCCTGAGTAGCTGGGAGACACTGACTTGTCAATTAGCAACAGGCAGCGAGCTCCACAGCAGACCCCATGAGGAAGATGTGGAGAAGAAAAAGGCCAGGCCCTGTACCTGAGAATCTATGAGGGGCACGAGTTGTCCTGTCTTGGGAGGTTAGTAATACCGGGGAATAAGTGCCAAATGATATTGGATCTGTGTCCCTGACCTAACCCCTGCCCAAACCATTGCCCACAGCTGTGATCCTGAGAAGTGATGCTAAGCCACCACTGAGCACTGGCTGGGTCTGGGTGGAAATCATCGAATTAGGGCAGAGAAGAGCAGATGAAGGCTGGAGAGAGATGCTCATACAATTGCTTAACATTCTTTGCCAACTGACAGCGAATGTTAGACATCATGATCAAAGGTGTTATGTTTTCTATCGAACAAAAGAAAGTGGCAAAGCTGTAAATACATCAGGTTCACATAGTTGTTCACTAGCCTGGAAGCTAGTAATATGAAGTCTGCAAGGCAGTAAAAGTCCTCAAGACATGCCCTCCTGGATGAAGTCCACTGGAGCTGGTAAAACGTTGAGTGTGAGCTCATCAAACCAAACGGTGCATATGGAACCCTTTTAAATGCGCGTGTTGGTGTCACAGGGCTCTTTCTAACCTCTTATAAAATAGACAGAAACAGTTGCACATTTTAGCGAATGGTATGTCGACTGATCACCAAGACTAAATGAGTTGCTGAAAACTGTGAAGCCTGTTAATGTTACAAAAACAGTACACACTTGGAATAATTTTGTCCCTGCTGTCATATGGGCTGAACCTGGTAAAAATGTGCTGTGCCTTTCTGAGCCCCAGTGCACTTCCTGGTGATGTGGCCAGCACAGCCCCCGCTCTTCTGGGCTAGGGTTGTGCATGGGCTTTGGGGAAGCAGGAGATTGGAAGTGAGTGGTATAGAATCTGAGTTTGGAAGCTGAGGCACTGAAACGAGGGAAAGAGTGGGGGATGCACCAGCAGCCACTGAGGTGCAAAAGCCCATGAACCAAATCTTTGGTTTTTTTTTTTTTTTTGAGATGGAGTTTCGCTCACCGCCTGGTGTTCAAGCGATTCTCCTGCCTCAGCCTCCGGAGTAGCTGGGATTACGGGCATGCGCCACCACACCCGGCTGATTTTGTGTTTTTAGGAGAGATGGGGTTTCTCCTTGTTGGTCTGGCTGGTCTTGAACTCCCGACCTCAGGTGATCTGCCTGCCTTGGCTTCCCAAAGTGATGGGATTACAGGCGTGAGCCACCGCACCTGGCCCAAATCTTTGTAAATCAAGAACAGTTCATGTCGATTCAAGATGGTGGCAGCAGTGGCAGTGAACAAAGATGCAAGACTCCTTAGCAGAGAGCTGGCCTTCCTTCTTCCAGATTGATCTTAAACCAGTGATTCCCAAAGGGTGTTCCTGGGCACTCTAGCACTGAGGGATGTTAATGGATGAGGAGAATAAATGTTTTTTCAAATTCATTTGGGAAATGCTGGATTAAAAAAAGTCAACCACATTTATTTGCTTCTTGGAACCTTTAATACGCTACCACATATTACAACATTTTTAAAGGAATATTTATTGGGTAGGGTTTCCTAAACTTTTTGAGTTTGGAAACTTAAAAAAAAAAATCATTGAGTATCTCGTGACAAGTGTTCTGAGAAATACCTCTTGGAAAATAATATCCTAATGCATCCTATTTTATTTTGGATTAAATTCTATTTTAGCATTTTCACTGTAAAAATTTCAGGATAAAATAATTGACAGAAAAGTGAAGGATTTATTAAACGAACTTATTTGGTGACATGCAAGCAAAGCCAGAAGGATTATTTTGATTCGTTTGTTTGAATCAGTTGTGAGCATAGACACACTCCTAAAAGAGGCACTGGCCCCATATTTAGATTATTTTTCTCTCACTCAGCTCCACTAAGTTGCCTCTGCACTCCACACTGTCGGGCCTGGCCTAAATGCTGCCACTGCCTCGGAGCCTGGTGTCAGTTTGGCTGTCAGTCGAAGCAGATCTTCTGCTATGATGAGAATAAGAAGAATAAATACAGTTCCCGATTTCCAAGTCAAAGACAGTGCAAATTGATATTACACAGTAAAATGCAATGAGATTAAATCAATAACATCTGCAATAAGGCATAATGAAGGTAAAATTATATCTCTGGCTTCCTGAACAGCTGTGAATCTATTTTTAATGATCCTCATTTTTGGCAGTCAGCTAACAACTTCTAAAACGTCCTAGAAATTGGATTGTTAGGCAGATGAGCATGGCAGTGGCTCAGAATGTCATTAATTTCAGCCGCCTTATCCATCTGCATGGGTGAGACAGAGGCATGGAGAACTTACCCCTCACTCACCCACCAAGCACCCCACTCCCAGCCTTGGGTGGCCCCTGCAAATGCTGAAGATAGCCAGGCAGGGAAGCTGTGGGCAGAGGAGCTCTCCCTGGAGAACCACAGGCTGTTGAATTAAGGACAGAAAGGAAAAGTTTTCACCTTTGTAATGCCAATTACAGTACATAATTGGCTTGTGTGTCTCCATTGCACTATAGAACCTCATAACCACTGCAGAGAACAGGATGCTGTAATGATCCCTCAGTTTATCAGCAGGGCACTGAGGGGCCTTGAGATTGCTCTGCCCAGGACTTGGTTAAGGTCACACTGCCAGCAAGTGCAGGAGCCAGGACCCCACACAACTCTTATTCCAAAGCCAGGACCATTTCCATGGCCCTGCTGGTCTTCTGGTTGTTTGAATAGTAGCCATGGGAAAGGCACCATGAAAAATTTGATACTGAGGAAAGTGAACACTCAGGATCAGCTATGTTCTTCTTAGCTGCCTGGCACCTTTGCCCTTGGCTGCAGCTTTTACTACAAGCTGTGCCTGGGAAACAGGCATTGATCTCTTTGGTTGATTGTTTTGAGCTTGCTTTCCCTCTCTGGGCTGGCAGGGACGGGGGTGGGAGGTGGCACCCCATGCTCTGCACACGGCTGTATTTTCTGCATCCCACAGACAAATTCTCAGATCCCAAGTCAAGCTTACAGGCTCAGGGGCTCAGGAGGCTCCAGGCTAAATGGTGTTCCAGAAGGCTTCACCTGAGGGTAGAAATTCACCTTCAGGTACCCCCTCCCTGCCTGCGTGAGAGCTGAGAGAGGAAGATGAATTCCTTAAGCTCTTCCCTGTGCTGGGAAGCAGTAGTGTTAAGAGAGATCTCTGTGCTGAAGATGGAGCTGCAGCCAAGATGACCGGCATAGTTTATAGGCTTATTCCACTGCCAGGCTTGCTTTTGGCCGTGGAGCTGATCTTTTGCTGCCTGAAATATGCGACAATCAAGAATTTGATGGTGCAGAGGGTAAGGCTGTGGCATGTGTTTGGACTGGAGAAGAGTCTGGTTCCAGGAAAGTCATCCTATGACAGATGGGACCTGAATTGTTGAGTAAAACAATATAAATGGATACTTCCTTCAACAAGGAAGCCTCCCAGAGGCCTTCCTGATTTGATGGCAGGAATGCTGTTAAGAGAGGTGGAAACAGCAGAGGGAACTGGGAGGTCTGTTATAATGGAACAATATAATCAAACGCTAGTGGGTAAAACAATGCCTGATGTGCTCAAAAACTAAGGCTGGCATCTGAAGACATGAGGGAAATTGGAGGGATTAAGGTCCACGTGAAGGTGAACAAATCATGCTCAGAAAGAGAAGGCAGGAGCAGTCCAGGGAGAAGAGGGAGAGCAGGTTGCCAGGCCCAGGAGGACTCAGTGGGCTGACTGCAGGGGCCAGGAGGCAGTGCAGGGAATGAGAGGGACCCTTGCAGCTGTGTCGACCTGCTTGTCATGCCAGGGGAGCGGGGTATCTCACAATGTGCAGGGAACAGACAGCTTTCTTCTGGCTCTTCTCTCCCCAGTGGTTCCCTAGCACCAGCTCTTCCTACATATATTAACCAACGATTCAAACATGTTGTTTTGCTTTTAGAGAAGCTGTTGTCCAGCAGCATTTAACTTATATGCGGAAGTCCACACGCTGGTCTTAATGAGTTAGCTGTGGGTGGGGACAGCCTTTCACTGTACGAGGAGATACTTGTCTGTCAGTGAGGAAAAACCTTACTTCTTCACTGTTCATGGACAACGGCTTAATTCAGGGTTGGCAAATAAGTTTTGTCTCACGTGTTGACTTTATTGATTCACTGTGTTCAGAAGGAGTCTGAGGCTAGGTCCAGGTTCATTCAATTAGTGAGGTCCGCCCTGGATGAGAGGTAGAGAAGATGAGAAGTCATAGCCACCCCCCTACTGCACCCAGTGAGGTGATTGCACTTTAAGTGGAGCTGGCTGAAGCCTCAAAAACCAAGGGAACGTCACACTCGCAAGTGGGAGAGGAGATAGAAGGAGGAGCACTTCCTGCTCCAAAGCACAAAACACATGATTATGGCAGGCTTTGGAAGTATCAGAAATCAAATTCACTGCTAATGAGGCTGTTTGGAAGAATCAAGACTCCAGAGAATGGTTAAGTAGAAGCCAGAGGGCCAAGCTAAATTGTCCAGTAACCTGACTTAGAGTTAAGGGTCAGGAAATTGGGCTACTACCCATCAGATAGGAGGAGCAAGCTGGGTCCTCTGCTCCTTCCCGTTTTGAATAGTGAAGCAAGAGCAAGTCCAAAGAGACAAGGTGGATGGGGATATGTATGTATACTCACATATATGTGACTCATACTTATGTGTGTGTGAGTAGATATACACACATGGAGATCATATGCGTCTCACTTCAGTATAGCTACATGTACTTGAGGATCATATGCATCTCACTTGAGTATAGACATACACATGTGCAGATCATATGCATCTCACTTGGGTATAGATACACGCACATGCAGATCATATACATCTCACTTGGGTGTAGATGCATGCACGTGCAAATCATATACATCTCACTTGAGCATAGACACACGCACGTGCGGATCATATGCATCTCACTTGAGTATAGACACACGCACGTGTGGATCATATACATCTCACTTGGGTATAGATACACGCACGTGCAGATCATACGCATCTCACTTGAGTATGGGTACACACATGCAGATCATATACATTACACTTGCTTCGTCTATATTACATATGGAGGAGAACAACTTAAGGAAAGAGCCAGAAGCCCTATTCCCTTGCTGGTCTGCATCAGATAGTCGTCTTTTCTAACTAATTAGAAGCAAATGACTAAAGGCAGCCAATTAAAACTCAAGATTAGAGGGCAGCCACCTGTGGGTTAGATGCCTGAAAACTGATCTCATGATCAGCTGTGACTCCCTGGGACTGTGGAATGTGAACCGCAGAGTTAGAGAACCAATTTGTCCTTTGGCTCTGAGCAGATCAAAACCTACGATGTTGGTGGTGTCTGGAAACCTTCACTGTGAGTTCAGATTAGTTCTGGGAGGACCTGCGGGGCTTGAGTAAATTAAAAAGCAGAGCTTAATAGTATTTTAAACAAGACAGTATCACCATTCAGAGGTAATTCTACATGTTAATATCTTTCTCCATACTAGCTTCCTAATAAACTGCATTTTACTGGTAGGGTGTGGGATGCTAATTATCAATGGGGTTTTGTTTTTAAAAGGAAAAGTCACACCAAATGTCTGCATTGGATAACTTCCCCTAGATGAACATCACACAACTGATGCCGAATTCACTCACATATTAGAGAAGCACATACATATATTATGTCACAGTTTGGTTTTATGAAAATATTTTAATAACTCCATTTTAATATAACTGATTTTCTTTTTAATCTCATGTATGTTATTTTATACATTAAAAACATGGGTCTGAGAAGAAAGTCTCTGAATAGAAAGAGCCCCCTTTCATACGAGGAGGCCTGGGGTATGGTACTTGCTAAACAACTTTGATCAATCCTCCTTTTAATGTATTTCTTTTGGACAATTTAGAAAATTGAGATGAAATTCATATAATATAAAACTTACCATCTTAAAGTGTACACTCACTGGATTTCAGTATATTAACGAGATTTTATAACCATCACTACCATATAATTCCTGAACACTTCATTACCCCAAAGAGAAACCCCATCCCTGTTAGCATCACTCTCCACTCCCCCTGCCCTAGCCCCGGGCAATGACTAATTTGTTTCCTGTCTGTAGGGATTTGCCTATTCTAGACAGTTCTCATCAATGGAACCATATAGTATGTGGCCTTTTCTGTTTTGCTACTTTCACCTAGAATGATATCTTCAAGATTCACTTCTGTTGGAGCATATGTCAGGACTTCATTCCTTTTTATGGCAGAATAATATTCCATTGTATGGATGTACCACATGTGGTTTATGGTTGATCCATTCAGGCCAAGTTCTTTTTCAGCCTTAGGTTCTACCCTTGCAAAATGAAGAGATTAGGGAAGACGATGGCTAAGGATTCTCCCAGCTTTCAAACTATGTTTGTGCACCCTCCTTTTAGCCACTGCTGCGTTGTTTTGCATCAGTCTCTGCTTTGACTCAGTTCTAACTGACCTGTTTTCAAAGATTAGCCTATTCAATTCCTCAGCACGTGTTTTTCAATCCTATCCATTTATATGTATCCCCAAAATTTAGAAACTAGTTTGGAGATCTTACCTAATTTAGGCCTTTTGGGTAGATGTCTTTAATGAAATATTCCCCTTCTTCAATTATCCTTACAACATTACAGCAACCATTCAAACTATAATGAGCTGGGCCTGTGCATAGGAGGCTGAAATTTTTTCAATTACAACCAACAGAAAACTTCTTTTAAATATCTGTGGCATTTCGGACGTCCTTGGGAACAATTCAAGGTCTCTTCCAACGTTCCCACACTGCCATTCTCAATGCTGAATTCCAAAAAAGAATTTTCATCTGTCACTTTAAAATTTCAACAAATCCCAACAGCTTATTTCCACTAAGCCTGTAAAGGATCAGAAAGATAAAGGAGGAAAGGGCTTATGCAGATAAGGAACTATCAATAAATCCTCCAACGGTGTGAGTACAAAGCATTGTTCACAGAGTTCACTTGAGGATCTGTGCCTGCTTCTTAACTCATTGCCTTCACTCTTGTTTTATTAGATTATAGAATAGCACATAGGAACAACAGTCAGAAATAACACAAGGCTTCTTAGGCAGTACAACAAATACATATTTAATATGAGAAGAGAAATTGTAAATTACATACAATGTTATTGGATTTTATGCTCTCTCTCATCCCCCCAATGTATACATTTAAACAGGAATCGCCCGTTTCATCCCCTCACCTTTCTCTGACATCAGGTAAGCCCTGTTTTGCTTTCAGCCTGTTCCTTTGTTACATAACCACACTCTCAGTCCATTCTTTCATTTCCTCCCAAGTGCTTTCCATCACACCGTGGCCTCTGAACCTCACGTTTGAGACACCTCATTACACCCACTGGCACGTGGTGCTGAAGCGTTTACTGTGATCAGCCCAGGACATTCTTTGCTTGCAAATGCTTTAGTTTCTTTGGGAGATAAACCAAGAAATCTGCAAATTCATACCTAATCTGTCATAGCCCTGTCACTCAATTCAATCCTCTCTAAACAAAATCCTTTTGGTGAAAGGAAGACAATACCCCCGTTTCATAAATAATTTTTTCCACCAACCTTAATCTGCTGTCTATGAATATTAATGAGTCTCATCGATTCATGTCTCCATTTTATGTCCTATATTAGACACCTTCCCAGAAAGCTAGCTGTCAAGGTTGCAAAGGAACCTATTTCACTTTCACATTAAATTAGCAAAATGAAAAAGGGCGACTTCTTTTGCTTGTAGGTTTCAAGAGATACCCCTTTAGCCCTACACTCTGATTTTTTTTACATTGTTCTTAAATTACAGGCTGATCTTTGCAGGAAAGAGAGATAGGTCACTTCTTTTTGTTTGTTCCAGGCAAGAGTTGACTGGTAATTGGTGACCTGATACCATGGAAAATTTTCAGAGACCTACAAAATGTGTTTCTGTGTTTTTCTCTTACCGCTAATTGTGACTTCTTTGCTTGCCTTTTTTTCTTTTTCTTTTTTTTTCTTTTTGGTGCCTTCCTGGTTGGGTCTATGTCTGAATTCCTATGAGATTCTGCTTCTTTTGGCTATTCCTGCCTTTAAATATTTTTCCAGGGGACAGCAGATTAAATAGGTTTGTTTCCAGGGCTGCTGCTGGCTTGTAGGGAATCTTTGTGAAAATTAGAAGAGTGGTCTTCTGACAAACTAATTAGAAAATGATGTTATGACATTTCCTCTGAAGGGACACATTAGGAAAAGGAGCCCCTCTCTGCGTGGACATAGCTGTGTACCGGGGTCCAGATTCTGTGGCGGGGGGCGGGCTGCATTTTAACACCCACTCTCTCTCCACGGGGCGCCTTGGTTCATTTCTCTCATTAAATCTTTCACAGGTCTCTCTTAGCTTATTTCTCGGACCCAAGATATTTCTGGGACACCAGAGGCCTACCCTTTATGCTTAGTTCTCTTTCAATTGCAATTCGCTTTTTTTTTCCTTTCCTCTTTTTCACAGCATTCATGTTTAACCTCTTGTTTATCTGCCAGGTTTTACTGAAGCACCTTCACGTTTACAGCATTGAGCAATGTGAATAGGAATTCCAATGACATCCTTGGATTCTTTTGTTTATTTGGTTGGTTGAGCTTTTTAATACATGCTTTCACATGTTTCACAAAGACTTGTTTGCCCATAGCATTCTGTGTTGCTTAAATGACAAACATGGCTAGTTGCCAGAGGGGGCCATGTTATTTGAGGGGACCCTGGAAGCCTGCTCTGGTTCTAAATATACTCCTACCTTACTTTCCACACATGCCTGAAATTCCATCTTAAAGTCATATTCTTTTTGATTAAGTAAATGTAATATAACACACTTAGAAATAACAAAGTTCACTGTATCAATAATTAACACTTTAGTGAGAACTAGCTTATAAAATCCTATTCCAGGGACAGCTATGAGAAAGAAGGAAGGGTTTGGGGCATATAGGGTACTCACTCTTTGGAGGGTAGGCCTGGCTAGGGGGGCATAATACAATTTGAGCACATTGGGCATTTGGGGGATCTCTGAAAGAACCAAGAACATGGAAGGCAAATTTTCCCATGCCAAGTTTTTGTCTACAGTAATCCCAGCGTAGGGCTTGGTATCAGCTGTTCAACAGTATTGGTGTTTTCCAAACCAACTAAGGGTGGGACTTTTTTTAACTTATTGGGGCAACTGAGAATTTGAATTTCTGCTTTGGAACGAAGTCAATCACTCCCTATTTTGTCCTTTCTGGTATAAACATTAAATTTTCTCAAAGGCCCAGGATTGATGTTAGCACGACAGCATATACACATCCAAGGAATTAATTTCTCACATGAACATGGATGTCTGTGGAAAGATCTTTGGGTCATAGATCACAAATGCAAGGAATATTGAAGAAATTAGGGTCCTTAAAGATCATCATTAGTCCAATCTTAATGTGGGCTGCACACACATTTAAGAGTACAAAGTCATGAGTTACATACAAATAAACATGAAACATCTTCCTGAAGTGTCAATTTTACTAGGCAATAACAAACCTAAAATGTGAGTCTTAAATTAAAACAAGCATGACTATATTATGGAATTGAATGCAGCAGTCATGAGAACTTGAACAAGCACCGAGGGAAATGAATGCATGATTACAGAAGACAGAGCTTAAAGGGGTCTTAGAAATCATCTAGGCCTGCACACTGAGACCTGATCATGCATCAGAATCACCTGAAGAATTTCAAACAAAACTCCAAAACAATATTGAAACTGGGATTCTTTCCAAATGAAACTGGGCTTCGTTCTGGTACGTTGATATTTCTCCAAAGACCTGCAGGTGATTTGAAGGTACAGTCAGGGCTGCGAGCCACCAAATTCTAGCCCAGCTGAGGCTCAGAGAGGTAAAGTGAACCCAAAACATACAACAAAAATTTGTATTTTTTTTTTTATCTATTGCTCTATCTATGATATTCTTCTCAACAGGATTGGCTGTATAATTTGTGGGGCCCAGTGCAAAATGAAAATGCAGAACCCCTGTATGCGGATTACTATGAATCTCAAGACGGCAATAGCAAAACATTAAGTGCAGAGCCTTTATATGTATGGAGCCCAGTGTGAAGTCGATCCTGCCCCTCTGAAAGACTGAACAGCGTGTTCAGGGTAGCAGCCACCTTGAGAGCACAGCTGGAGCAGGTCCACAGCGCAGAGAGGAGCCTGCCTTCCTCTCCACATCTTAGTTTATGGGACCAGTTAACATGCTCACATGCACACAAACACACATGCACAAACACACACACAAACACCTGGACAGGTAGTTCCAAGAACCCTCTGACAGAAGTGTTCAGCAGAATAAAATCAGATTTTTTAAAATATGAAAACATATTTCCTTGTTTATCTAAGTCAAGAATGAAACTGTCATCTTTTGAGTGTAACCTCTGTGCAATGGATTTAAAATTCTAGTTTATACTTTCTCCCCAAACCACAACCCCACTCTCCATCCCTGCATCATCTCCTATAGTTCTAAATCTTTATCTGGAATTTTAGACTCAGAAGACTGAAAAGCATTTTGTCATATTTTGACCCGAACAGCCCTCTCTGAAATACATATCTGTGGTGTTGGGGGGTGGCCAGAACTACAGGAGCACACATACACACACACACACGCACACATACACACACGCACACACATACCCCACAGAATGGAAGCAGCAGAGCCGATAAGGACTCCAGACCTGAGAGTGAACCTCACCCTAAGGATGCCATTCTCTCTGGAGAAGGAGGATGCGCACTTCTGGGCCTGGATAAAGACCTCTGTGAGGGCCAGGAGGGAAGGCACAGGGTGGGCCTGGGGTCAGTGCAGGGAGGCAGAGGGCCATGGCCAGTCTATTGGAGGAAGGGGGAGACATTCATTGCATTCTCTTGAGATTCAGCAGGGAGCAAGATACTGAGAGCTAATGAGTCAAGAGGAGGATGGGGGACACGAGGGAATTCAGAGTAGATAATGAAATTCTCATTACATCACCACTGGATTAACATGCAAGCCTTCCTCTCTCCCAGGATTTCTTCTTGGTGCTGGCTGCTATGAAATATTTGGGGCCAGAGATGCAGGGAAGCCCTAGAGGAAAGAAGGTGATTCCTGTTTCTGGGAATTTGCATCCAGCCCTGTAGTCACAGCAGCCAGTGGCCATCGCCTGCAGGACTGCAGACGCTTTCTCAAAACCCTGGAAATCATGAGGTATCCGGTCCTGAAGGCGAGGCCAGTCTGCTCAGATGTGGAGAGATCCAGTGCGGTCCGTCCTATGAGGACCGATGCTTACCTGGCCAGCGTTCTTGATGCCGGACCCTTGTCTGTACCAGTGTTCCTTTGGCTGGCCCCTAACAATAGCTAAGTCTGCCTCTCAACACAGAACTTCATAAAAATAACAAAGGATTCATTGAGATTCAGAAAAGGCCCGTGCTGGAAAACAGTATAAACAGTTTCCTAAGTAAATAACTACAGACCGTGCACGTGGATAGGTAGGCGATGATGCAAAACAAACCACAGATCCCACAGGAGCTTCTTGGTGCAGTGGTCAAGGCAGACTTTGAGGTCAGACAGACAAGAGTTCTGTTCCCACCTCTCTGTGATCTTGGGCAAAAAACTTACCCTTTCTTAGCCTTTTTTTTTTTTTCACTACAAAGTTGCCTTGAATACCTATGTCATAAACTTGCCTTGTGGGTTAAATGAAATGGTGTAGGTGAAGGTCTTAGCATGAATGTTGTAGGTATTCAGCAATAATCACTATTAGCCACAAATCCTTTCCTTCTTTCTGCCCCCACTCTGGGGATGAATGAAAACCTTAGCCAAGAGGACGTTTCTGGCCAGGTCCTGTTCCAAACATTTAGCACTTTTTGTCCTAATTCTGTGGAGTTGGCTCGTCTCTATGCCACATGGCTGCTCTTTCACAAAAAAGCCTAACAGGCTGGGCATCTCTCCATAACAGGGCCTATATATTAATTGAAAGACAAACTTCTTAGCCTCTGTCTCCTGCTGTTTTTGAATGTCACACTTTGAACATGAGTCAAGATGAATAGTCATAATTTGCTTCCCGATCAATTTGGGCAGTGCTGGAAGATGAGACTGTTCTTTCCATTTCTTCCAATGTGTGTCCAGAGAAGTGGCCCCAGGATTGTGTCTCTCTGGGCTACCTTCTAGCAGCCGGAGGGAGGGCTCGCCCAGACCAGAACTTCTCAGGGGACCCAAGCCCTTCAAGAACATGTCTTTGAGCATTCTGTTGCAAAATAAGAAAAGTAAGGACAATGAAGCGAGATTTTGTTCAATAAAGCTTTTAATGGAAAGGACTATCCTTTATCCTTTATGCTGAGATTGTGGCTTGCTTATATTTTTGGTATAAAGTTATGCTTTTTTGGTGTAAAACAATGGAGAGAGTAGATAGTAGTGGTTATTTTTAATGCCCTGGCTTGGCAAAATAAAATGTAGGCAAACTCATGTTACTCCCCTCGCCATCACCAACCACCATCCAATTACAATTTTTTTAAAAAAATCTGGCTAGATGCAGTTGCTCATGCCTGTAATCCCAGCACTTCGGGAGGCTGAGGCGGGTGGATAACTTGAGGTTGGGAGTTTGAGACCAGCCTGGCCAACATGGTGAAACCCCATCTCTACCTAAAAATATAATAATTAGCCGGGCATGGTGGTGCATCTCTGTAGTCCCAGATACTCAGGAGGCTGAGGTGGGAGAATCGTTTGAACCTGGGAGGTGGAGGTTGAAGTGAGCTGAGATCGTGCCACCGCACTCCAGCCTGGGCGACAGAGTGAGATGTTGTCTCGAAAATTTTTTTTTTTTTTACTGGCTCATGAAATTAAAAAAAAACAAAAAGCAAAAAACTGGAAACCACTGATATAGACCACCCAGTCTGTTTGAGAAAGAAAATCACTTCCAGATTAGCAGTTACCTGGAACATTTCCCCCTGGACTGGAGACCCCTGGGCTTTTGCTGCATAAATTATTTCATGTCTCATATGGGGCTAACGTGGCTAATGAAGATGTGAGGAGATTTATGAAAGTTAAAGGTTCCCTAGTAAACCAAGCATATCCTAATAAGGATGGATGCAAAATCGAATAAGCTGCCATCATTCCCACCGTGGATACAAACCCTGCCTTTGTGTAATAGGTCTGAGAGCACTCACCACCACTGCTGATTCAGTACTTCCAAAACGTTATGTTTATTTTCTTATACAAATTCTTATGTTAGAGTGTTAACTTTAACCAGTTTTTTGGGGGCTTTGAAAAGACCACATTTTGGAGGGTAGGTGGGGAGTCTAATACTGTAAAATTACTAATTTCATCATTATAAGTCCCAAACTTCACTAGGAATGAGCTGATGTTTCTAATAATGCATCTTGAATGACCTGCTGTTTTGTCTCATCCTCTTGTATTTGCCAGGGTTGCCTCAGTAAACGTTTCTGGAGCTCCCTGGGAAGGGCCCCTGTGGTTCTCCAAAGGTTTTCCTGATGCTGCAGTCAGCCACTAGCCTTCAGATTGCTGGTCTTCATATCATCCCATCATCTCGGGGCATTTCACTATTCCAGACACTTCCCACTGGCCTTGATCTCCCTCATCCTCTCTTCCTCCACAAGACTTTGTGATTAATTTCTGCTGCCCCCTCCTGGAATGACAACTTGCTCAAGTTACGCCCCCTCCTCCAGGGTTCAGTTCTAATTACATTTTGTCTAGGAACTCTAAGATCCCTAGAATGTAAATACCTCCCCTTCTTATTCTCCTACTGTACTGTGTACCCCCATAAGCCAAGATGCCTATGATGAATGCCAAAATGGTTATTTACACGTTTTTCTTCCTACTACCTCCAGCAACCATGTGGATACAAGGAATAGATCAAATTAGTTTTTTGAAACCTGCCCAAACACTGGCACGGTATATGGTACATAGTAAGTCTGTTAAATATAGGATAAAACTGGGTTGCCTTAAATTCTAACTAGAGTGTAAATGACTGATTGTCATACCTCTACAGAATGTACAAGAAAAACTGTCTCCATGGTAGGAATTTTTGTTCTAATCAGTCCATGGAAAGAAAAAGCTATTATTGAACTTCCCAGGAATCTCCCAGGCTGAGAAGTCTACACAATATTCAGGTAGGTAAAGTGTCAAAGAAGTTTATCGATTCATGACGAGAATCCTGTGATGTCTCCTACCAATCTTTCCAAGTGACAACACTAGCAGGTTTCACACAGTGTTAGCCTCATTTAACCAGCCATCATTTCCATTTAAAAAATACGAGGGGAAGAATTAAGAGTGAGTAGAAAAAATGCCTTTGAATTAAAATCGTTGCTTTTCTTTGAACATCCAGATGATTAAATGAGATCCAGACGAAAGCCTGCAAATTCCAAAAAATAAAGCCCAGCCGGGGGTATCTGCATTCCCTCATGTTTCTGCTGGTAACCCCGTGGTAAAGTAAAGTAATGATTGATTTGGAGAGAATTATGGCTATTATAAACTGTAATCAGTGGTGGATGAGAATAATTACACAGAGAAAGGGGGAAAAGCTGAAACATGGCTGAGCAGTGTTCTGATGGATGGGGAAGTCATTTCCTAGCTGTTAATGACTGATTTTTCAACAGTCAGCACACAAGCTTTAATCCCAGAGGGGAGAAGGAGAAAGGAACGGCCACGTTATTAAGGATGCTACTGATTTAACCTTACCCATTTTCCTCTGGACATTGCTGGTGCCTGTCTCCCATCTGTTCCTGCTATTGCAGACATACCATGCAGGTTTGAGGTTAGGACCTGGCCTTTATCTGAGAGACACTAGAAAGAGTTATGGTTGTAGAAAACTACTGTAGATCACGGTGGCGGGATACAGCATTAGGGTGTCATAGCATCGTAGGATGTTAGGACTAGAAGGGCCACAGTAATAACCTGATCCAATCTGCTCATTTTATAGATGAGTCCAGAGAGGTGAAGTGATGCGTCTATGTCACATAGGTGAGGGGCTTAGACATAAGGGGAAATTGCTCCCACAGGACCCAGGAGACTGGCCTTATAAAAGAGGCATGATCAGATCTCTGAGGGAGACAGCTTTACTAAAGCCAATTCGAAATTGGCATCAGGTTGGTCTCTTGCCCTCAGAGATATGCTCTGGAGTTCAATATTCTCTCTGCATTAGTTGTTACTGGATGAGGTTACACAAGGTCAGAAAGGGCATGGGTTTGTGGAATGATCAGTTTTGGTTTACAGACAAGTCATGAGTCCTCTAAACTGTGACACTGACACACATACACACACACACACACACACACACAGAGAGAGAGAGAGAGAGAGAGAAAGAGAACCCAATTTATCTTATCATTTGCAGCCATAAAACAGAATAACTGATAGAAGTAGATTAGAAGTCATAAAACTGTGTAAAACAGGACAGCTAAGATTTGGTTGGCATCCCCCTTCAGGGTTCTTGAAGAGCCTTTTGGATACTTTTGCAAAGTGCTGGGTTCCCCTCTGGCCTCCCGTGCAGAGGCCCCACAGAAAGAGGCTGCACAGTGGTGCTGGGCCGTGACAGATTCCAGCCGTGTCTCCCCTCCCCCACCTGAGGATAAAACCCGTCAGAAGGAAAGGCAGGATCATCTCCTAAGAAAATACCGTTGCCTTTGAGGCTAAATCATGTCAAAATATAAGATCAGGAATGTCCAGATGCTGTTTATCCAATCGTAATTAAATTTGGACTTCTTTAGGAGAATAAAACATGTCTCAGTTCCAGGAAAAGTTGTTTTGATCCCAAGGCTGTTTGGGCTCTTTTTATGAAAACAAACATTTTAACCGAGATGATACCAATGTTCCTAGATTTTCACCATGAAGGCGGGTTTTCTGGAGCAAAATCTCTTGAGCCACCTTATGTTCTTCATAATATTTGATCCAACAGTATTAAAAATCTCAGCTTTTTTTCCACTTTCATCTTTAGTTTTCGGAAATTATTTTCAACAGGATCAATTCCTTTTCAGGTACATTTTACAATGATGCATTGAGAAGTTATTTTTCTGTCTGGTGTTTTTTTCCCCTTCTTCAGATAAGTACACCTTACTTTTCCTTTGAGGAACCATGCTTTCCCTATGCCGTGGGATCCTCCTGTAACTACAAGTCCCAGAGAAGCCATCCTACCCCAAGTACCTTACGTGGCCTGAGATGCATAAGAGGGTATGCAATCCTAGCAGGCCAGTCCAAGTCCTCTATCCCCAAGCCAGGGTGATTAGCTTTGAAAGAGCCACCACTTATGTGGGGCCAATCACTGTCTTTCTCAAGATTTGCTGTATGGATACTGAAAGAGACTGTGTGTACTCTTCAATTTGGAACAATAGCTGGAAGGATATGAATTTTTAGCTGCCTGCACTATCTTTTCAGTGTAAGGAATAAACAGAGAGAGAGAGAAGGTGTGAGAGACAGAGAGAGAGAGAGAGAGAGAGAGAGATTTTGATGTTACTTCTGATGCCAGGAAAACTTGACTCTTGTTTATTTTATGTTATGGGAAACAATGGATTCCCTCCTTTGCTGTAAGTTAGAATTAGATACAACTCAAGGAGTCTTGGCTAAGAAGAAGACTTTTCATAGGGTTTGCTCAGATTTCTTTTAAATTTTGACTAGTGAATGTAATACTTATTTTTTACATGGAAACATTTATATTGAATTATTATGTCAGTAACAAAGGGCTAAAGTACTTTGTAGAGCGGAAGGTAAATATAACTTTTGACTATAACTTTCAGGCCCAGTACGCATCTCATTCTAACCAGTCTTTGGATCCTATGTTTTGAAAGAATAAATGAATGATTGGACAGACAGACGTGCTAAAGTCCCCCAGATCTCACCAAGCACCAACTGTAATCCTCTATTCTGTCAATTGGTTATTCGAAGGAATGATTCTTTTTTCTTAACCATGCATGCACATACACCGACCTACATCATCCTACAAGGATTAACCAGAAAAAAGCAAAGTTCTCTAGAGGAAATACTTACAGGAATTGTCCAACATGCAGTTTAAAAAAGAGTGCCATTCCCCCACAGGTAGTGCTAATGGGGGGATCAAATTATGAGAACTCCAAATGGATGTAGAAATTCCAGAGCAGATATTCAGCCATCTGACTCAGCTACTGCTTCCATCTAACTTTTCTTCATCTGGGGCCCAACCTTCTATACCTTTGAGGATTAAATTATACGTAACAAAGTACTTTATTTCTTATAGGCTCTGCCCTGCCCTGCGCAGAGCAGGAAGAGTGCAGGGAGGATTCGTGAGATGCCAGTTCTGATAACTTTCAGATGTGGAGGGTGAGTGCCTGAGACCTTGGAGGCAGTCCAAAAGCTCTTCCTCCTAGGAGGGTCCTCGGAGGGGCACCTGTTAGAAGGGACAGCAGGACAGGCTGGTGGGGCAGTCATGTCAGCAGGGCACACAGGAAATCACGTGGCCCCAGAATTCAGTGCCCGGCACTTGGCCCACACTGCCCCAAGACAAAGCATCCTACCCTACACTGTTCTATTGTGTGAAGTGCAGTTTCTTAGCTGGGAGGAGGAGGAGGAGAGAGGAGCCGCCCCTGGGCACAAATATCAATTAAGATCACTGTCACCAAGGTGGCACACAGCTTCTGCTCCAGGCAGGACCTGTCCCATTTTATTCTGTCAAGATGGCCATCTTCACAAAGAGCAAACAGATTATTTTGTAACAGTTACTTAAACTCAGAAAATGAAGACAAACCATGTCACAGAAAATGGGTATCTCTTTGTCTTATTTGTTGTTGACCTGCTGGGTGTGATATATTTCTGTGCATTTACCAGTAGGTCAATTCTCTGTATTGATGGGTCTTTGAAGTTAATATATACAGTTATAGACACACATGAGCATATATATTTTCATTCATTCATAAATCTATATGTGTGGTATACATATGTATGTTTATGCATGCATACAAACATACCTGTCTTATCCATAATTGTGACTCTGGAAAGAGGTGTTGAGCACATTTTTTTTTCTTTTTTTGAGATGGAGTCTTGCTCTGTTGCCCAGGCTGGAGTACAGTGGCGCCATCTCGGCTCACTGCAAGCTCCACCTCCCAGGTTCACACCATTCTCCTCCCTCAGCCTCCCGAGTAGCTGGGACTACAGGCACCCGCCACCACGCCCGGCTAATGTTTTGTATTTTTAGTAGAGATGGGGTTTTACTGTGTTAGCAGGATGGTCTTGATCTCTTGACCTTGTGATCCACCCGTCTCGGCCTCCCAAAGTGCTGGGATTACAGCCGTGAGCCACTGTGCCCGGCCTTGAGCACATTTTTGAACAAATAGCTTACTGACTTTTTCTGTTGATAAAGTAAGAATACTCATGGTAGAAAAATCAGAAGCAGAAATTTGTGAAAAGAAACATAACTACCACCTCTAATTTCACTAAACAGAGAAAACTCTGCTTTATTCATTCGTTTCCCTTTCATGAATATTTTGTGGGTACGCCTTTTCCATGACACAGATCATGGTATGTACAGTGCAGCACACTGCCATTTTCCACTCGCCCCTATTTCCCCTATGATTGTGAAACAAATGTTGAGCCTACCTTATGCATTTCTTTACAGAGGTCTCAGTTTAAGTATGAGTGTGTGACGGCTGTGTGGCTCTGACTCCAGAACTGGGGAGTCCCAGTTCTGCGTCCCCATAGCTCCCTCTTTTACATTGATGGGTCTGCCTGAAGTAGCAGAAGGTGAGACCAAGCATTGCCCGCTGGCATTACCTTATCCCCCAACCCCCCAAACCCTTTTCCCCTACACTTCTCTCCCAACCCCTCCTCCTTGCCCTGGCATAGTGATGGAACCATCACCTGCCGAAACCCAGAAGGAGGCCTCTTGTTTAGCACTGGCAAGGAGCAGATGACCTTCCCTAGGATGAAGAAGGGCAGCCCTGGCTCCGAAATGTGACTGGCACTTTGCCCTGCAGAGAATGCACCTGTGAGGCTGGTTTAGGGGTGATGTCTGCAGACTTAGACTTGGATCTTGAGTATGCACTTCCCTCCAGCCTCTGGAAACCATCTGCATCCTCAGTAGCTGAACACTGTGAAAAGGGTGCATGAGGCTATTTGGGTAAGTGGTGGCTCTGTGTGTGGTGTGTGTTATTCAGAGAGGGCAGGAGAATGAGCTGCCAAGGGAAAGAGTCTTGGTCATGGCTAGGTGAGTGATGGACCTTAGCAAGGGGCACAGCCCTCAGCTGCCCAAGGCTGGGCTGTCCCCACCCCATCCCCACTCCAGCCTTGATCACATCTGCTTCTAGTTAGTTGGGCCCAGAGGCACAGAATGCAGCAAAGAAAGGAAAAAACACAGGATAGAGAGCCAACGTTGTAGAAAAGGCTGTTATGGAAAGATTTAGGCACAAAGACATTTTTACATTTTTTTTAAAGCACCAATAAATTCCTTCTTGTAAAAATGACAGGAAACCAATTTGGAATAAAGAAGAGAAACTTACAGAGAGAATCATCAAAGATCCTTGAAGCCAAAGGAATACAAAAGGAAAGAGACTGCAACTGGAGGCGATGAGGGAGGTCAGAGGCTTGGTTGGCCTTTGCTGCCTGGCCAGAGCTCAGGGGCTTGCGCAAAAGCTCTCCCTGTGCCTGGCTCCATTTGTCCTGCTGGGGCTGTGCAGGGTGAAGGAAAGAGAAGGCTGAGGTGTGCTGGGAGCCCAGCACCGACATAGCTCTGGAAGATCTGTCCAGTGAGGCGTCAACTATGCTGCACCCTTCCCCCTCCAGGTCAAAGCAGGTGCCTGCAGCCAATACAAGGACCTTCCAGGAGCAGTAAGGCCTGGGTAGGGCCTCCCTGCTTTGTTTTGTGTTTTGTAATGTGCCTCCGTGTTTGGGGGTGTCTAGGATTATGCACTAATTAACCAGGACCTCTGCCTGTCTGTTAGTTCACAACGAACATGATACTCCCCTTCCTGAAACTATGAGATGTCAATGTTTTAAAAAAATATATACTTTCCGCTTCTCAAATCTTAGCTAAATCTTAAATTTGACAAAACCATTTTAAGGTAAATGTAATCTTTTTTATTATAGAAGTAATATATTTTTATTTTATGCATTTAGGAAAATTGAATAAAGCACACAATATTTACTCACACTATACTATTACAATAGAAATATGTATTTGGAGATTGTGTGTTCCTCCTGTTTTTCTTCTTTCCTTCTTTTTCTTCCTTCCCAGCTGACCTGGGATTATAATTACTACATCCTCAGAGCTTTCCTTGAATTGGGGCATTTTGAAAAGTCCCAGAGGATCTAAAAAGCACAGGACATTGTGGTTAAAAAGTGCTGGGCAAATCCTGCCTCCCCCTTCTCAGAGACATTGAGAGAAGTCCTGCAGTAAATATCACTGTTGGACCCGGTTTATAACATCTCATGCTTCTATTTGATCAGGGAACACTTTATTTCACACAACACACATTGCCATTCTGTGGATTGATTCTGAATACACAGCTTCAAAACTGCTGTTCAGTCATGAGAAATCTGAACAGCCCCTGCCTTTTCTTGTGACACCGGCTTGTATGCTATCAACAGCAGCTGGTTGGTGTCCCCAAGCCCTTAAATGATGATGCTAATTTAGCGGCTGGCCTTTGAAATACCATTGATTGAGATTCCGGTTTGATATATTGGATACTTTGATTATTGAACCTCCCCTAACTGTTCTGTTAAAAACACTTCAGTGTCTTGTTTCATAGTGATTATCATCATCATGATCATTAGTGACATTTATTGACCGTTTACTGCTTTCGGGCACTGTGCTGAGCCCTTTACATGCATTATCCTATTTAACCTCATACCAGCTTCAGCAGGGAGACAGTATTATTCTTCTCACTTAAATGAGGAGGAAACTGAGGCTCAAATTGGTTAAGTAACATGCTGAGGGCCAGTTGGCTTTCAAGTGGGTCAGCTGGGATGCAAATCCATGAGGTCTGTCTACCCTCAACCAATATAAATTATTCACTTCAAATATCTCTGCTGTAAGGTTTGCAAACATTCACAGAGATTTACTGGGCACATCTGAAGACCTTGTGTACTTTTCCCTCAACATATTTATAGCCCTAACCTATCTAATTACCTAGCTGGGTTTTCTCTTTCCTCTGTCTCTTTCCTCTTGCAAGGATTTATTAAATTTCTACTAGACGTTAAACCCTGAGTTAAGTGTGATGATGAAAATGCAGCATTAAGACAGGGGCCCTTCCCTTAGGGAGCTAACAGTCAATGTAAGATTCCGAGGAGTAAATCAATGGCTAAAACACAGTCCATGTTCCTTTGGGAACCCAGAGGAGCAGCATCTAAAGCAATGGGAGCTAGGGAGAACCAACTAGAGGAGGTGGCCACAGAGCTGGCTTTTAAAGGGTAGGTGCCTGATAATAGACCAAGAAGGGGAGGGACTGACTTTCCAAGAAGACAGGTGGGCATGGAGTCGGGAGATGACCAAGGAGTTTGGGGACCCACGCGTGCTGGAGTTGGGTTGGGCAGTGGGTCTTTGCAGGAGGAAGATGGAAGGACAGACAGGGTCGGCTCTTGGTGGGTTAAGTGGGGCGTGGCTGTGTGCTCAGCTGAGGAATACTAGATGTATGCAGAATGAGATGATTCGGTTTGTGTTTTAGAAAAACCACTCCCTCAACACTGGGAGGCCATCTGAAGTGGAGGGAGTAGTACTAGAGAGTGGAATTAGAATGGAGGAATCTAGAAGAAAAATGAGAAAAGCCTGCCCTGAGGCAATGATGGTGTGGGTGGGCCAGAAGAGGCGGATACTGTGGGGAGAAAAATTGGGAATATCTGATTGACTTTTAGATGTGGAAGTGAGCAGGGAGTAAAAATGACGGCTGGATGTCTGATTGTAGTGATGATGCCAGTGGGACTAGACAGCGCTGGCGAGGAGGGGATAGAAGGGGAGACACAGAGGAGGGGCAAGGAGCCCGTGTGTCTGGCTTGGGTAACTCAGTGGGTGATGGTGCCGATGAGACAATTTGAACCTTCACCTCAAGAACCCTCCCCGCCATTTGACTTGTCCTCCTAAAACTGTGAAGCACTGACTTAAAAAAACAAAAACCAAAAACCAAAAAATATACTTTCATTTTCTATTCTCAAATCTTAACAAAATCTTAAAATTTGACACAAAGTATTTTAAGATAAATATCAGGTTTTTTTTAATTATGGAAGTAACATATCTTTATTTTATATATTTAGGAAAATTGAGAAAAGTACAAAATATTCACCCACACTATTATTACCTTCGGGAGATGTATTTAGGAGTTGCGTTTCTTTCTTTTTCTCTTTCTTACTTTATTCGCCTCCATCTTCTCTTTCTTTCATATGTATTGATTGGATTTAGTTATTTATCACCCATTTATCTATTTATTCTACTGATATTATTTGAGCATCATCTAGTATACTAGGCACTGGGGATACAGCAATAAACAAAACAGTACTTCGAGGAGTATAAATTCTGATGGAAGAGATTTTGACAATAAGTAAACGAATAAATGTATGTTGGGTGGTAAAAATTCTACTGGGGGATATCAAATATAAATAAGCAAATAATTGTATGTAGAGCGATGGTACATGCTATGGAGAAGAAGAAATTAAAATGAGCAAGGGAGCTCTGGAATACTGCGTGGAGATTGGCCATTTTATGTAGAGTGGTCTGGAAAGATCTCTGGTCTCTTGAGGCATTCATTAGAGACATGAAAGAACAAGGGAATAAACTGTGGAGCCTATCTGGGGAAAGAGTGTTCTGGGCAGAGGGGGCATCCAATGCCAAGGCCCTGGGGTGAGAGGATGCTTAGCATGTGTGAGGAACAGTTTATGGATAGAACTGAATGAATGAGGTGGGGAAACAGGGGATGAAGTCATAGAGGTAGGAGGGAGGCAGATCAGACTGAGTAAAGAACACATTCTTGGAAAAAAGCACAGAGACCAGTTCGGAGGATATGTAAATATTCCACATAAGGGTCAATAGTGGCTTGTGCTCGTAGTGTGGTGGGGGGGAGTTAAGAAGCAATTGGATCTGGATTTATTTTGAAATCAGATTAGAGGGATGTGATGTGTGAGGCAGGGGTCAAAGACAATGTCAAGGTTTTTGACCAAGGTTTTGACCTGGAAGAATGGAGCTTTTGTTCACGGAAATGACCATTTGTTTATTAATATACCTGCACATACTTGACAAGATTGAAACATAACTGTACCCTGTCTGTATCCTTTCTTTTTTCCACCAATTCTTTCCCCTCAAAGCAGGAAATTAAAGGAAGCCAAATAGAAGACATACTTCTTGTTCACCTTTTCACTTTTTCTAGCCTTATCCCTATATTTCTCCTTTTTCTTGTCAGGAAAACAGAATGTCCATGAATTAAGCCATGCATTCTGAATTTTGCTTGTGAGGGGACTCAGCTAGAGGCTGCACTTTATTTGAACTTTGTGGCCAGTAGCCAAGGGAAATAAAGCTTAATTAATGCTAATTTTTCTAACCCCTTTCTTTGCCTTTTCAGCAAAATAAAACCACCTTTGGGAGAACTGGCAAAAAAAAGTTAAAACAGACACCACACTACTAAACTTCACCACTGAGATAGCAAAAATATTTTCCTACAAGGTTGTGTTTGGTCGCAAAATGATAAAATATTTTGTCTTGCTCCTCCTTCTCTCTGCCTCCATTTTTTTTTAATGTTTGAACAAGTCAGCCGATTTTTATTTGTCTTTATTTCCTTAGAAGATTAAGACAGTCTGTGAGCTTGTTTGTACTGGGCTGTGTTCTGAGCGCCGGGGCTTGGTTGGCCATGGTTACAGCCGCTAAATTTCAGGGTGAGGAAAGAGCTGGCAGGGGTAGTTGCCTGCTGGTTGACTCAGTTCGGATCCAATTTATTGGCCTTTCTGGTCTGTGAGATTGTTAGACCAGCTACCTGGGGACAAGCTATTAGGAGGTAATCTTCACCCATTTCTGTAGGTAATAGTTTTTGTTAAACTTAGAACCAAGGCATGCCCTTGTTGACCTCCTGGTGAAGACCATGAGCTGTGTAGTTTAAGGGGCTTCTTTCTTAGCTTTGGCCTATTTCCTGAGCACTTTGCAGGTTATGTTTATAAAATAGTTGACTTGTAGATTAGAAGTGTAGTGATCTGTGGGAGCAACAGCATTTCCATGAAAGAATGCTGTAACGTAAATCCTTAGAATGTTACAGCTCCATCATCATTTAAGAGAATCGAATGTGGTCCCATCCCCTCCCCATCTCCCCATGGCTAGACCAAAAACCAAAGCAAAACACACACACACACACACACACACACACACACACAAATAAAAAGAAACAAAATCATCTACTCATTCCTCACCACTACCACCTCCACCCTGTTTTAAAAATGAGGAAGCAGAGGCCAAGCACGTGAAGGGGCCTGTCCAGGGATACCCAGCAAGTGAGATGCTGAGGATGGGGCTTGGCTTATGAGGTTGCTGCAAAGAACCTGAGAGCTGCTGTGAAGAATCAAAAACATTTGCTGTTGAGTTGCTCTTTGGCCATGTCCTTGGATAAGGTCATGATTTAGGGCAGTGTCATATCTCACCTGGACCTCTATAGTAGTCTCCAAAGTAAGATCTCTTTATTTTTGTTTATTTATTTCTGAGTCAGGGTCTTGCTCTGTTGCCCAGGCTGGAGTGCAGTGGCTCAATCATGGCTCACTGCAGCCTGGATCTCCCAGGCTTAAGTGACCCTTCTGCCTCAGCCTCCTGAGCAGCTGGGACTATGGGTGCACACCACTACACCTACTAAATTTTTTGTAGAGATGGAGTCTTGCTATATTGCCCAAGCTGGTCTCAAACTCCTGGCCTCAAGTGATCCTCCTACCTGACTCTCCCAAAACACTGGAACTATAGGCAAGATCTCTTTAGATAGTCCTTTTCCTCCTCCAGGTCTTACAGGAAAAATCTGGGAGTTCAAGAGCCATGGGAGATTAAGGCAAAGGAGCAGAACTCAGAGCATCATGGAGATGACAGCAGGGCAATGACCGAAATTGTTGGGTGGGGGCACCTCCCGTCGAAAGCCTTAGTTGCTGACAAGGCCCCATTCCTGCAGATGGTGGAGAGTGCTCAGTCTTCCCAATTCAAGTACAACCATCTCCTCTGAGTAAAATAACTTCTGTGGGGTAATTACTTTCCCTCATCTCAAGGGCATTCCCCACCTCCACCTTCACAAAGAAGCATCATGGTCAGTTGCAAGGGAAGCCCATGTATCCTCCAGGCATCGTGATGTTCTCCTGGTCCCTGGGCTGCATCTGTTGCTGAGTAGCTGAGGCAGGTGTGTCCACCTGTGATCAGGCACCCATGGCCTGTTGGTTCCTCCTCATCCTTCTGATCCCCTGAGGCCTGCCTGTGGCTGCTCCTGAGAATTTGGCTGGCAGAGTCTGCTGTGGAGCTGAGTCTACAAGGTAACCGTCTTCCCCAGGACAGCTTGGAAGCCAGCGTCATCAGTCACCATCTGTGTTTCCTCTGGAGCACGTGGGAATTTCCATGTCCCATAAATACTAGGCCAGGGATGTGGTAACCTTTGGCCCGGTCTCAGGAACTTCCCTCAGAATTGTCTGTTTTCGTTCGGGCACCATGCAGCAAGCAGCGCCCTGTTGGCCACAGGGCTTCTCTAAGAGGCATGGAGTATTTACAGGATGAGCCCAAGGAAAGTAAGAAAATAGTTTCCTATTCTGGAAGCACCTTACACCTACCCCAACGTCTTCTGCTGAAGTTCAGCCTGGCACTTCAGATGTGGGAGCCAAAAGGATGCTAATCTGACTTCCTACCCTTCTTCCTTAGTGGCTTCCTCTTCCCCACCCACTCCCTATGAGTTTCTTCCTTTCTCTTTATCTCACAGTTTCTGCCCATGCCTCATGTAATCCTCCTTGCATTGACTTAAACAAATGAACTTAATGTTCATATCCCACCAGGCTTGGTCCCTGATGTGTAAAATTCCAGCTTTGGGAGTTAGGAAAAAGGTCTTTGCTCTTTCTCACAACAAACTCTGGGTCTTTGAAAAACAGAAGAAGCATCTTACGACGTTTTTTCCTCTCCTTGTGTTCAGCATCTGAGTCTCTTCCTCCCTTCGTGAAGGTTCTGCCATGGTGTGAGTTTGGTGAGAGCTGAGAGATCAGATGTTCAATTTGCTCTCATAGATCCCTAGCCTCCAGGGTGGGGGCTGCTTTTGACGTTGAAGTCTGTTTGTTTAGTCAGCCTCTGGATGTTATGAGCTCCCAATATCCCTCCTATAATTTTAATTTCTGCTTAGGTAGATTTCATTTCTGTTTTCTGCAACCAAGAACCATGCCATTTCAACATATGCTTTCAGATTATCATGTAAGTGGAAGCAGATTGTCATGTAAACTTAAGTTTAAAATAAAAATTCCAAGAGATCAGTGCCTGTTCTTTGAAGGTTCTAATTTTATTATGATGTGATCAATTCTTTTGTTTTAGTTGGGGCAGGTGGTGGCTTGGGGCAACCAGGAATTAGGAATTATCAGGAGCTACAAACATTGGTTTAGTATCTTGGAAATGTTATTCTCACCATACATTTTGGGAAGTCTTTGGATGGCCTAGATTAGCATAGTTTATTCAAGAACATACAGTACTATAGCTTGAACTATAATAAAAATTGTCACTCTTAATACCAACCAGTTTCTGTACTGAAACAGACAACCAGTTGTCTGTTCCAATTTCTCTATTCATTATGTGTCATTTGCCATAGACCCTAAGAGATGCAAAGTGACTCTACTAGTTATCTATTGCTGTGTAAGAAATTACTCCTAAATTTAGTGGCTTTATCATACAATAAACATTTATTACACACACAGTTTCCATGAGTCAGGAATTTGGTAGCAAATTCACTGGTAGGGTTTGGCTTGGAGCCTGCCATGAGACTGCAGCCAAATGTTGGCTGGGGCTACGGTCATCTGAAGGCTTCACCAGGGCTTCAGGAGGGTCTCATTCCTAGATGGCTCACAGACACAGCTGACAAGTTGGTGCTGGATGTTGGTGGAGGGGCCTCAGTTCTTTCCCTCATGAGCCTCTCCACAGAACTGCTTGAGTGTCCATGGCAGGTGGCTTCCAACTGACCAAGGAGAAAACTGCAAAGCCTTTTATTCATTAGCCTTGGAAGTCACATTTCCTTACTTCTGCTGTATTCTGTTGGTCACAAAACGAAACTGTGATTCATTGTGGGAGGAATCTTTACAGATGTGAATACAAGGAGGGGAGGATCATAGGGGAACATCTTGGAAGCTGACTTCCACAGTCACTGAGCTGTGAGTGCTCTAAGGTGGTAGGAACAGGTAACCCAGCAGACAATTTACAGCAATCGATGCACTATCATCAAATTCACTGCTCTGTCAGAGGAAATTGCTATCATACATACATTGTGGGGAGGTCTTAGGATCAGGAGGAACTCAGATGTTTCTCACATGGAGGTAGTCACAGCCTCTTCACGTTTTCTTGGTCTTGGAGTTGCACATTTTCTGCCATTTTGTCATGGTATGAATGATCATCCCCCCTGAAACACATTTTGAAACTTAATCCCCAACGTAACAGTATTAAGTTGTGGGGCCCTTAAGATGTGATTGGGTCACAAGGGCTCTGCTCTCATGAATAGATGAATTCATTCATGAATTAATGAATTAATAGGTTAATGGGCTTGTGGATCAGTAGGTTGTTACAGGACTGGGTTAGTTGTCACAAGAGTGGGTTGTTACAGAGTTGGCTCTATCTTGTGTGCCCCTCTCACCCTGAGATACCCTCCATCAGGTTGTGACACAACACGAGGCTTTCGCCAGATGCTGACCAGATGCAGCTGCCCAATTTTTGACTTCT
This sequence comes from Homo sapiens, assembly GCF_000001405.40. Classification (NCBI taxonomy): domain Eukaryota; kingdom Metazoa; phylum Chordata; class Mammalia; order Primates; family Hominidae; genus Homo; species Homo sapiens. The sequence goes on along the minus strand of NC_000007.14, from coordinate 25,537,200 downwards.
TAGCCTCCAAATCCATACTAAATAAATCTGTTTTCTTTATAAATTACCCATTGTCAAATATTCTGTTATAGCAACAGAAAATGCACTAACACATCATGTCACATGTAAATATTTAGAAATCCATTCTTGGCAAGCACCTGAGAGGGGAATGTGTCTTCATCGTCACTTAGCATTACAAGCTGGGCCAAAGCAGCCTCTAGATGACAACTTGTTATTTCTCTGTATTTGGTAGATGATTTTTCATTGCGACTTAAAGGGAGGAGAAAAGAAGGATCCAGGAAGAGCCAGAATGCCCCATCCAAAGTCTTTATTGTAGATAAAGCCAGTCTCTCTCATTTTTTATGAACGAAAACCATACAGAGTGGTACATTTTCATGGCATCTTACCATGTTTGGACTGGAAGAGACCTTAGCAATCACATGTTCCAACACCATTCTCTACTGGTGAGGAAGCTGATGCCCAATAAATGAGGAGGCTTGTCCATTATCAAAAAACTTATTATTAATAGAAGCAAGACTAGTAGAATGCAAACTCTTGGTTCCTGGTCCATTGTGTTTCTATTATTCCAAGGTGTTTCTGAATCTTTATTTCAGAAGTTTCCTGATGTAAAATATTCTACTTGTGTGACAAGTTTTCTGATGTAGATCATTTTCTTTTCTTAGGAAGTTCCTAATGCTTTTGGACTCATGATCTATTTTGAAAATTCAATAAAAGTTATGTGCTCACCTGCAGAAATATGCACATACTCATCTACAGATGATATTTGCTGTGCAGATTCAGGGAATTGTGGACCACCTGAATGCCATCCTACTGGAGTGTGAAAGTCAGGTCAAAAAACTGTCTAAAAGTTTATTTATAAATGTTTCTCTAAATACTAATGTCTTCTGCACTTCCAAAATTATACTGTAAAAATATTCTTAATGAGCCTTTTTACACAGCATTTGAATATTATTCTGGTTTAGATTATGTTTCTGACTTTGGAAGCTGCATTATCTTTTGATATCTCAACTTGCAATGTTTTTTCCTCAAGTCCTTGGAATATTTTTTAATGCATCTTAGAACAGTTTTAGTTTCAGGCCTATCCTTATCAGGGAGACAATCTTTGTTTTATTTAATTGAGAATATTTTTGTTTTATAGGCTATTTAATATTTGAAAGACCATGAGGTTAAATTCATCATCTATAGACTTTCCGCCACTGTGCAACAGGCATTATTTAATCACCACATGACAGTTCCAATCAGAATTCAAAACTTACACTGACAGCCAGAGTCTGTGGGGTCAAGCTTAAGTTTATCACTTTACAAGAAATAAGCATCTTTGGATTGTTCTTCTAGGGTGTTCTTTCTGCCATTCAACTAGATGATTATTTCATATCCTTTTCTCCCTTCTCGAATTCCAATACCTCTTTTCCTGCCTTCATCACAGCTGAATACTTTATTTTCTATTTCACTAATAAAACTAAAGCAACTCGAAGAGAATTTTCATAGGCTCTTTTCACTATATCCTCCCAGCTACCTGCACCTATATTGGGGGTACTTCATGCCCCCTGGTTGGGATGGGTGAACTCCAAGGCCAATCCCTTCGCTTGTGCACTAGACTTTACCCTTTCTCTCTTACTCAAAGACAATGCTTCAACAATTGCCTCCTTTTTTTACTCAAGAATCACTATTTTCTCTCTCCTGGATCATTCCCTTCAGCATACAAACCTACAATCCCTCCCACTGTAAAACAGAACAGAACTCTCCCTTGATCTCACATCACTCTCTAGTTATGGCCAGATTTATCTGCCCCAATTTCAGCAAAACTCCTCAAAAGAGCTGTCTCGACTCTCAGTCTCCATTTCAGCTCTTCATGTTCTCTTTGAATCCACTCCAACAAGAGTTTCCTCTCTACTGCTCTGTGGAAACTGCTCTGGTCAAGGTCACCAGTAAATACCATATTGGTTATAACTACTTGCCCAGCCTCAAATGTGCTGTCTACTCTCTCACTCATATCTGTTCCTGAACTGCACATTTGAAAGACACTCAGGCTATCATAAGGAGAAAGAAAGAATGTTTACTCAACTGCTTCCCAAATTTGATAATCCTGCATGTCCAGCCCTATTTTGTACAATATAATTTTATGAGAAAATTGAGCACATACAATTAAAAATATAAACTCTTCTAGGTCTATACATACAAAATGGGGCATCAGCAATTATTCAATAAATTGGGGCTGTTTAGACAAAGAGGTAGAATAACGGAGATGCCTGCTCCTCTCCCCAGCCACCGTTTTTTTGGGGGTCAGAGTTGGCATTATTTGGTCTTAAAGGATGTGAGAAATTGTGTATTTCCTTGTTTTCCCTTTTGGGGACAGGGGGAGAAGAGCCCATCGTATTACTATTGAAGGTCTAGAATGCCACATATTTTACTTTAAAGGAAAATGTGCAGCATGAGAATGAGGTCTTAGAAATGAAGCAAGCTGCACCCTGTCCTAACAGTCTGCAACCAAATGGTCTCTCCATGGACCCTGGGGGAGATGACTGTGCATCAGACTCCTCAAAGGAGGTTCTGAATGGACAAGGCAGCAGTGGTGGGCTCTGGGGGGAGGAGTTGGGAGGGAAGCCATTCCTAATAGATCTACATTAGAAGGAACTGTTTTATAAGTGACTCACGATTTATTGCAGTGGGATATGTATGTCTTCCTCAGCAACCAGGAGGAGAGAAAGGGATCTCAATCCATCTTTTAAAAACTCAGGCTATTTCTTCTTTGTCTCCTTATAGGGCATTCTCCATTCTATCTCCTTCCAGAGCTAAAGGTTCATTTATTTTCCTAGATAAGGTCTGAATAAGGGCAAGATATAATTTAAATGCAGTCAGGCTTAAGATAAATCAGTCATAAAGAGGCAATTATTTTATATTAAATCTGTGTCCTTTCTAAAAGGGAATTTGTATTTATCAATTAACTCATTTCCACCATTTAATTTTTCTGAAGGAGATTTTGAACTTAAAAAATATTCATTGTGGGGTCTTTTAATTTGTAGAAAGATTTAGATGGTTGGGGGGGTTCATATTATATTTGGAGTCATTTTATTCATCAACATTAAAAAAATTAAGAAATACTGTAGATCTCATTGTTTGCTTTAAGCATTCAAAAGCTCATGCAACAATTTTATCATATATTCCAGATTGTTAGATCAGTAATAGGAATGTCTAGCCAGCAAATAAGCACAGTAAATAACAAACGTCATTTGCAATCAGACTTGCATTTGAATTTCAGGCTTACCACTGCACGATCTGGGGCTTGCTACTTAATTTTGCTAAGTTTTAATTTCCACAATCAGAAAGTGGGGATATAAACAACATTTGATTGTAACAAATATCTATTGGCTTTGCCTGTCCATCTTGCATTTCCTCTTCTGGCCCAGGACATTTCCTTTTCTCTCAGGAACCACCCCTCCCCTATTCTCAGCCCATAGTGTTCTGATGGAGCTAATCTGCCTCCTGGTTTGGGGCTGTGCCCATGACTCAGAACTGCCCATCAGAGAACATTATGTCTTTGGTGCTAAGGGCTGAATGTTTGTGTCACCCCAAAATTCATATACTGATACCTAATCCTCAATGCAGTGGTATTATGCGGTCTTTGAGAGATAGAACAGGTTACGAGGGCAGAACCCTCATGAATGGGATGAGTGCCCTTTGTAAAAAGGCTCAAGGGAGCTTATTCGCCCCTTCCACCATACAAGGACACAGCGTTGAGGCAAAGAGCAAGCCCTAACCAGACACCAGATCTGCCATTGCTTTGACCTTGAACTGCCTGGCCTTCAGTACCATGAATAATAAATTCCTGTTGCTTATAAATTACTCACCTAAGGAATTTTGTTGTAGCAGCCTGAATGGACTAAGTGACTTGGCCACAGTGGTAGGTGATGTGTATGTAACCTAAGTGGAACCACTGACTTCTGCTAGTGGTATTAGAAAATCAATATATGCTCTCCATAAGGGTTGCTAAACCAATAGAATGTAAGCCTGAAACTGTGAATGGCTATTTTGTTATCCCATATGGGACCCTTTTCGAGAATGACGCCAACATAGAAAGCAGCAAAGCCAGAAAATATGGAGAAAGACAATATCCTGGGAATATTTGAGCTGTTGTCTCCAGCTATGCCCAAAGCACAATGTAAACCTGGATTTCTTAATCATATATACAAAATAATTCCATATATTCAAAAGCCAGAATAATTCTGAATACTGTAGACATTGGCACCAAGAGATTGGGAATTGCAGGGAACAAACCTAAACTATGGAATTAGTTGTCAGGGTAGGAGATGGAGTGGAGAGGCTTTTCACTCTCGTGGCTAGAAAGTTGGTTACCCTATAATGTGGGTTACCCTTTCAAAGCTTGCTGTTATAAGCTTTAGTAGCTCACCCAATATTTGCCACTCTCTGCCTTCTAGGCACTTGTTAGAATTCAATTTTATGGCCCCTGTGATCAGGTGGGGCCATGTCACCTACTCGTTCTGGCCAATAAATTTTGAACAAAATTAAACACATAATTGCTAGTGCAAGATTCTCCAGGGTACTTATTGCCTTCATCCCATTGAAGATGCCAGCTGCTGTATCAGCCTGGAGTCCTGAGTATAGGTCAGGAGCAGAGCTGCCCTGCTCACCAGCAATGGGCATGATGCATGAAGAAGAAATAAACCTTTGTAGTTGTCAGTCACTGAGATTTTGGAGGTGTTGGTTAGAGTAGTATAACCTAGTCTTTCATGGCTCATGTACCTCGTGTATCTTGAGATTTAGACCATATTCCTATCAAAGCTCAAGCCTTAAAAGACTTGATAGGAAATGTCAGGATTACATCCTGCAGCCTTCAGTTTGGCCCTATAAGAAAGAAAACAAGCTACAAATTGACTTATCTGAAAGCATGGTGGAGTGGGGAGTGGGTGAGAGGTGACTTTCTTAGGAGAGGGCCTATGACCAGCAGGGTTAAGTGGTTGCAAGTCAGGGATTCAAGAGCTTTGAAGGCTTGGCCAAGCCAAACCGTCTTCTCCAAGTCATGGTTAATGCAAGCAAAGGCAGAAAAGCTGGAAACTCAGGGGGAGATAAGTATTGTATATGTATTGTATATGTATATGTATCCCAATAAGATATGTATTGGGATCTGGGGAAAGCCTGATCTCCAGTTGGTGGTGGGCTCCCAGCCAACAAAGCGGGTGATGGTCAAATCACACTGCACAGAGCCACCCACTGGACAACCTTCTGGGAACAAGGGGCAGACTGGCTGCTCCTCCCCACCCAGCTATTGTTTAATATTGCCCAGGGGCAGAGGCCACAATGGGAACACAAAGACATGTTGCCAAGGGACAGATGCTTTGAGGCCTAAGACTACATTCAAAGACCATGACTTAACTGAGCTTTGGTTAAACAACACAGCTCTAAAAAGCCTGGAGGTGGTTCGGCTGAGTTCAATCCAAACTTCACTAGCTGTGTGGCTTTGGGCAAGCTACTTAACCTCCCTATTCCTCTATCTCTTTCCAAGAAAAGAGGGAGAATAATAGTAATCTAAGTGATGCTGCTGTCTTCAAGATTTAATTAAGATAATGTATGTAAAGAGCTTAGAAGAGTGCCTGCACATAGAAAGCATTTAATATATGTGTTAGTTACTCAACACCTACTATTATTATTAGCCAAGATAATGGATGGATAGTTTGAAACAACTTGAACTGCCAGAGAAACCCAAAGCTTGGCATGCAAATGCTTGTAATTGCCTGACCCCTGAAATGAGCAGGCCCCAAACCTGCACTAACAGCAAGTGGGCTGCTAGAGGAATGAAGGGAGCCCTGTAAGGGAACCTTTTTCCTGAGGCAGCTCACATGGGGCCATGGTGGATGTGTGCAAGAAAGAGCCTTCCAGAAAGCAGAAATGAGGACTTCCTGATTGGCTTATCACATAACTCACTCCACTGCCAGGGCAGCCAATACAGGCTACCTTCTCCAGCATAAGATCTCACCAGTTATAAGACAGTAGCCCCTGTATGTTGTTTTATTATTTTCTTTTCCTAAATAAGACATTTTTTCCCCAATTACCCTATTTTGCTCCCACCATTGAATGTTGGATGTAACAGGGAGTTAGAGTTACTTTCTAGCCATGGAATTCTGTAAAGCTATGTGAAGCTACATCTGGATTGACCAAGGGGAATTCCTATCCATCAGAGTCTCTGGACTTAGAACTGGGTGCATTAACTAGACAAGATTTCATGTTGCCTCCTTTTGGGGATGGGCTGAGTGTATTTTTGTTGTGTATGGGACAGCTGCATTGTCAGGCAAGGGCATATTTGAAGTTGTGTATGTATGTGAAGAAGCACGTGCCTACATGCAGGATAGCAGGGTGAAATGAAATGAACCAGGACATTTCCATTTTGCAGAAGTAGCCTTGAGTTCTAATTCTGCCACTTGCAACAAAGAGTTCTGACTGAAAACATAAAATAAGAGACAATGTGAAAAATGTACTAAATACAATGTCCAGCATATAGTAATTGTTTAGTATATACTAGCCACTGTCGTCATTTTGAAGAATATTATAAGACCTAAGTGGAATAAGAGGTTAGGAAAATAAGGCTGAGCAGGTAGATGGCACTTGTCCAAGGTGACACAGCTACAAGTTACAGAGCCTATATGATACCAAAGTCCCTTGATATGGTTTGGAGCTCTGTCCCCACCCAAATCTTACATTGACATATAATCCTCAGTTTTGGAAGTGGGGCCTGGTGATTGGATCACGGGGGCAGCTCCTTCGTGAATAGTTTAGCGCCACCCCTCAGTGCTGTTCTTGTGATGGTGAGTGAGTTCTCAGGAGATCCGGTTGTTTAAAAGTGCGTGGGTCCTCCCCGCCTGCTCTTTCTCAGTCCTGCTCCTTCCATGTAAGACACCTGCTCCTGCTTTGCCTTCTACCATGAGTAAAAGTTCCCCGAAGTCTCCCCAGAAGCAGACACCGCCATGCTTCCTGTACAACCTGCAGAACCATGAGCCAATTAAACCTCTTTTCTTTATAAATTACCCAGTCTCAGGTATTTCTTTACAGCAATGCAAGAACTGACTAATATAGCCCTGCTCTTTGCGTGGAGGCAATAGCTTGGCCCCTGTAGGCCCAGAGAGTACAGAGAATCCATGCACTGTCTGAGCATTAGAGCCAAAGGGACTAAGAGATCACCACATCCAGCCTTATCATTTCACAGATGAAAAATCAGGGCTTTCAGAGATGTGAAGTTATTTCACCATGGAGAGAGAAAAAGAATGCAAAAAGCCCAATATTAGCATTTACCTATTATGTCACCAAAGCATGAGGTCAAGAAGACCCAGGATATAGTCATGGTTCCATATTCTGACTGTGGGTTATGGGACCAAACATTTTCCTCTTCTAAGAAGGGAGGAAAACAAATTTTCTTTATAACCACAACTTGTTTTATTGAGGCTGGATCCTGTTAAGGCATAAGCCTTTTTGTGGATTTGGGTTTGCCAGAGCTGAGTTTGGTGGTGGGAATAGACAGAGGCCGAGTTTGATGGTTCATGCTGGGCCCTGCGGGGAGGGTCCCAACGCGGCAAGGAGGCCTGCAAGGGGAGGCCGAGGCACCGGTGCAAGCAGAAACCACCCGGCGAGGCAGAGCAGGGGCCGGTGCCCCTGGCCATCCTGTGCCACGCATGCTTGGGGTCCCGGGGTCCCTGGGGTCCGGGGTTCATGGCCCTGGTGTGGCTTTGCCCCGCAGGTAGGGTTCCAACGCAGCAGGGAGGCCTGCAAGGGGAGGCCAAGGCACCGGTGGAAGCACTTTGGGAGGCCATGGGAGAATCACTTGAACCCAGGAGTTTGAGACCAGCTTGGGCAACATAGTGAGACTCTGTCTCTACAAAAAAATTTTAAAAATAAAACAAATAAACAAACAAACAAACAGAGTCAGAGAGAATGAAGTTGCTTTAATTAACAGAAAGATAGAAAACACTTGGGGTTGGAAAAGCACTAGAGGCTTGTGAGATAATATGAGGCTAAAGGTGGTATATAGAATAAAGAAGTCCTTAAAAATATATCTGGGGTTGGGTGGAAGACAAGGGTCAAGAGAAAGAGTGAAAGAATGATAAAGTAGATTGCCTAACAATTAATTGAAAATGGTTCATTATTTTGGCACCACCATGGCAGTGCAGTGAACTACATGGTCAGCCAACTCGGCTGTCCCCAGTTCTGCTCTCTGCTCTTATTGCAATAAAACCCCTTCTGCTTCCTCAAGACCTTCAGTGTGTCTGCGGCATGTGAAACCCCCATTTGAGCAGATTTTTGTGTCGACTAAGGAAGGAGTCAGTTCTACATCTGCATCACCATGGTTGCACATGTGGAGTGGTGCAGTGATCCCTAAACTGAACTAATTAGGTAGAGAAGCCCTCAAAGCCAAAATAATGATCCCCCAACCCTTTAGAATTCATAAAGACTAAGAGGAAGTTCTGGGATGGCCTCGGAACATAGCGTGGAGTTTTTCAGCCCATCTTATCTAAATATTCATGGCCAGGGAGGCTTCAGATGACAATAGGTTTAACATTTTGTCAGGTGTTGAAAGCCTTGAGATGGGAATGAACATTTCCAGGACATATTCCTTTTTCAGCGTGCAAAACCATGAAATCAGGAATAAATTGCTCTTATGTTTGCATAGCACCCCCAAAACTGACAAATCTCCCTCAGCACTCTTCTGATTTCCTGGAGGTTGCTCTACCCCTGTCTGGCTGGGTGAGCAATTGTAGCCTGGGACCATTTTCTTGTCTTTTCTCCTTTCTAGTATTTATATTTGTCTTCAGGTTTCATTTCAGACCCTAGACGTGTCCTTCAGGCTTTCCTGCAAAAACAATCGAAAGATCGTTTCCATAAGAGTTGATGAGATCTCGGGTTTAAAGGTGAATGGTCCTCTAGTTACGTGGCCTGAGCTGACAGTCCTCTCAGCATGTACAATACAATTGTCTCAGCCCATCTGACTGCTGAACTACCAAGGGCAAGATGAGGAGTATAATGTGTCAAGGCAAACCAAAGCTGACGCTCTGTCTCCAGCGCCATCCGCAGAATCTCCACTGGCTGACAGAGGACACACTGCTCCTATTTGGATTGGCTTTCACTACCCTCAGAAGGGTGTAGGAAATCCATCTCTTACTCAGTTATTGGAACCACTGGGGGATCTGGCATGCAGATTAAGAACAACTGCCAGGGAGTCTTGATCAGGAAGAAACCCAAGCCCGCCTTCACCCCTCACATTTGCAGAGCTCTTGACATGTTTAAAAAGCATTTTCATATACACTTGAAACGCTCTTAAGCAACCTCCACTTCATTATCTTCCCAGGCCAACTAATCCTCTCCATCCGTTCTGTAAAATGTGATGGCTGAGGACTAGAGGGTAACTTTGGAGGATACTCTTGACTCCAAAGTTACTCTCTAGTAACACTTTGCAAACTGCACATTGAGATCCATGAGTGGATCATGAAAACACGTTAGAAGGTTGCACCAGAATTTTTAAAAATGTAAAATAGAAGAAAAGCATGCATCACATGTTGTAAGGATAAGCTGTGTTTTCTAAAAATTATGTTTGAGGGGCACAGGTGTGTTTGCATTTTTATGAGTATGCATGTTTGTATGTGAGTATTTATGTGGATGTATTAGGCTGCAATAAGAAATGCCTTTCTGTGGATCTGCAGTCAAATAGTTCGAAAGATATTGCTCTAATATGCCCGGGTGCCTTTTTCCTACTAGCTGTGTAGTGCACTTACCAAGAGTCAGGGGTAGTTATTCCTAAATTTATTTATAGCAGTTGTACTTGGTTAATTTATGTTAATATTAATGTTTATAATAATTTTATTTAATTAATATAAGACTGATGAGCTATGAGAGTGAAGAGGCAGAGAGTCGTCTCCATAAAAATAGAGTTGCATGATTTGGGAAGATCTGATAAAGTGAGTTCCTGAAAAAAAGTGCTGCACAAATAAATTTGGACCAGATCATGGTAACATATTGAGGGGAAATGTTAAAAATTCAAGAATCTTAATTCATATAGTTTTAAGTTGTAATTTCTTTCAAAAAATGGCTTTGTGCAAGAAAGACCAGGAAGAACCCCACCAGCAAATCTATTGCCTATCAACTACGCGTGTAGACAGTGAGGATTCAGTGGTAAATGTGACCCGCTGGAAAGATAACAGGGAACAAGACCCTCAGTCTGCCTGCATGAAGCTACAATCCAGCAGGAAAGGCAGACTTGAAGTAAATCATTACACAAGTAAATAATGATGACTATGATACAGCCATGAAAAGAAAGGTCTGGACTGGGGAGCATTTACAATTCTAGGGGTTAGAAGTCACTTTCCTAACCCTGTCTTTACAAAAAAATACAAAAATTAGCTGAGTGTGGTGACATGTGTCTGTGGTCCCAGCTACTCAGGAGGCCGAGGTGGGAGGATCACTTGAACCTGAGAGGCAGAGGTTGCAGTAAGCTAAGATTGCACCACCGGACTCCAGCCTGGGTGACACAGTACGAGACCTTGTCCCCCTAAAAAAAAAGTCACTTTCCTGAGTCCATCTTTAGTTTGTTTCCTCATTCATCAAGTGGAGCTGGACACACTTCCCTTCCTATTGTCTCTTAAGGGCTTTCATGTGAAACACGAAATTGAATTAGAAGGAAAGTGCCCTCCACATGTAGAAATATTATTAGAAATAGTCTCTGGCACATGCTATGGTCCAATGGCACTTAATAAATGTGGAAGCATGGAAAGAAGTGATTGAGTGAGAAATAGTATTTTTATGGAAGATTAAATCAATTATCGGAGGAAATACATCATATGCTTGAATAGCTAGAAGATTTAGAAACATACTTTTCCTATATTTGCTTTTGACTGGATCTTATATTTGTTAGGTCTTTCCTAAATCTGCTTAGAACTGTTTTTCCCCCTCACTGTCTTTGCACCTGAGTCCTGAGCAGAGAAAACCTGCTTCTACACCCAGCCAGCCTTGGGTTTTATTCTTATTTTCCCGACACTACCCAGGATAATTCCAGACATCCATACTGAGAACCTGTTCCCTGCATAGCTAGTTCTAAGAGCCTGTAGGATGTGACAGAAGCCACCCTGGTCCTTTCCCCTTTCCCTCCAGCCCCAGTTCTTTCTTTCCTAGAAATGTGTGATTGCCCTACCACATTCCTCTTGAGAGTTATGAGGCCACGTGGACTGCAGATGTTCCTTCCATCTCAAAATAGAGACTCTTGTGCCCCCTTCTATCAACCTGTCTCAGAAGTGTCTTGTTTCCCTTCCAGAACTAACCCCAAAGATAACTGCCCATTCCTTCTTGACCCCAGCCTTTGTAGCCTCAAACCCTTCCTTCGGAACATGCACAGCAGGTCTCCTCTATCTTGGAAAAAGGACAGCTCTTGGCCCCACTGTATCCTCAGACTGCTATGTTATTTCTCTCCTGTTGTTGCCACTTTCTTGGTGAGTTCTCCATGCTTCCCATCTCACCATCTGCTCACTCAAAGTCTGGTTCCTGCCTCTCCTGCTCCTGTCATCACCCTTCAGAAAGGCACCATGTCTTTCTAACAGCAAACCCAGAGGTGTTTTCTCAGTCCCTCTCTTCCATGACAAAAGCAAAGTTACATGAAGGAGGAACCAAGGACTCAAACAGTGCAAAGGATCCAGAGGGCTGAAGAGGATTGGATCAAGAGTATGAGTTTGTTCATGTCCCCATGTTATCTTTCTCTGTTTCTTGGAATCTTCATCATTGATTACTTCTGTGCATGATCTAGGTTCTTCCTCTTCAGCCTTGGCCTTTCCTTAACCCCTAGGGACCGTTAGAGCTCTGGTGTTAGAGATTATAATGTAGTTTTCAAATAGCCTGAACAACTTGAATGTTTTCCCAATGTTCTATTATATCATCTACACTTTGGGACTTGATTAAAACACACCACCTGAGGCTTGTGAGGCTGCATATCCCATTAAATCCCATCACTGCTTGCCACCGGCTAGACCAATTGCCGCCTCCCAAAGGTAATATGCTTTATTTAGGCAATGTGTGGAAAGGAATCGAACCTGACTGCATGGAGTAAGTGCTTACTATAAGGAGCTGTTATTAGTATAAATGAGTGCTCAGATTAGTGGAGAGACTTCCCCCTCATGACTTCCTTAACCAATCTGCGGGTTTACTCCATTTTCTAGTAAGCAGAGAAAAAAGTAGTTGTTAATAACTATCGTCGAGAGAATACAGTAATAGAGCAGATTCCTCTCTCATCTCATAGCCCAGCAATAATAAACCCCTTGCTCTGCCTCTCCTCTAAGTGGACATCATGTGATCAGTTTCTTTTTCTGGACCATCATAAAGACAATGTAAGAAGAAGACTGACTATGCAGCCCCCACACCCACCCTCAGATCAGCCTAAACCACTGAATCAACCATTTCTTGGGCCATTCTATCATTATGGATATGATCTGAGCCTCACAATGTGGGCTTTGCAAATTGTGTGGACTGAAATTTCTGTATATGAAGAAACATAGAAAGATTTTAATATTCAGTTTCAATGTTCTCAGCATGCACAAACCATTCAAACTTTGTATGGCTCAGTGTAGTTACAAAATATCTCTGTCTAGTTATAAAATGCCTTAATTTTCCTTTTGATCAGTTCCAGATTCCAACTTACTTTTCAGTCAGCAAGAGAATCCTCCAAGGACTGAGTACTAGGAACAGGTGTGCTTCTAAATGACATCTTTCTTTTTATCTTTTGAAATTATGAGCCACGAAGCTGTCTGTATTTCCCTCTTTGTGATGACCATGTGGAAGCTCGTGTTCAAATTTGCAGCCTGATGCTGGTGGCAAAATACACGACGTAATATAAGACCTGCATTTTATATCTAACCTTACCCTTGGTATTGCTCTGTTTTTCTACCTTTATCCCAATCCTCCATACCCACTCTTTTTCACTTATTTAATTTTGTTTTTACCCTTTATGTCATTTGTCATTATGTAAACTACCACAAATTGTACTGAGAATAAAATCCAAACTCTTCAGTATGTCCAAAGAAGCCACTCCTCTCTCATTTGCCCTTGGTCGCCTCTCTCAGTGCATCTTTCATAATTCTTCTCCTTGTTCACACCAGCCTCCTGGCTGTTCCTTGTACTCACCAAGGACTTTTCCATCCCAGGGCCTTTGCACATGCTGTTCCCTCTTGCTGCAATGCTCTTCTCCAACAAGGCTCCCCCCTTCCCTTTGCTCAGGCCTCTGATTCAATGCCAGCTCTTCAGAGAGGCCTTTTCTGTCCACCCTGTCTAAAGCAGGATTCTCTGTCTCTACTACCTCCCCCATTACCCCCACGCCACTGCTTCACTTATCTTGGAATATTTCTTATGACCTAATGATTAGAAAAACAAACCATGTTTCCTCTATACTCTCACAACACGCTTCTGACACCAGATGTGTGGGGATTTCTCCCCAACAGCAAGCAAGCAAGTAATGATGTAGAGTCTACAGTGAACACTAGGTGGGTATCCTTCAATCCAATTCAATTCAGACACCATCTACCTGGAGATAATGTCAGATCACACAATTTGGGGCTCAGTCTCATAAGACTGCCCCCCACTTCAGATGACAGTCACAAGCCCCAGGTTGTTTTGCTTGTGCTTCTGCCCGACTGGTATAAATCAGGAATTAGATGACCTCCTCCTCAGGTTTGATTAACTTGCTCTAGCAGCTCACAGAACTCAGGGAAACATGTTTACTGGTTTATTATAAAGGATATTACAAAGGATACAGATGAAGAGATGCATAGGATGAGGTATGGAGGAGAGATCACAAAGTTTCCAAGAGCTTTCTGGGCTTCCCACTCTCCAGGAAACTCTAGATGTTCAGCTACCTGGAAGCTCATCTGAACTCTTGTCCTCTTCTGCTTTTATGGAAGATTTCCCTATTAAATCATTGGCCATTGATGATGGGGGCTGAAAGTCCCAACCCTACAATCATGCCTTGTCTTCCTGGTGACCAGTCCCCATCTTGAAACTACTTAGGGTCTGCCAGCCACCAGTCAACTCATTCAGTCAACTCATTAGCACACACATGAAAAAGACACAGTTTGAAGATTTAAGCATTTTAGAAGTTGTATGCCAGTAAACTGGACAAAGATGAATATATATTTTCCAATATCATACCTCATTTAAAAACAGTTTATCTTGGGCAGCCTGGGGAGTGGTTATAAGCACAGACTCAGAATCAGACTGTGTTCATCTTCCTGCTTTACCAGGAAGTGGGTGTGTGAACTTGGGCAAATTATTTTACCTCTCTGTGTTTCAGTTTCTTCATCTGCAAGTGAAAGGCATAGAAAAGAGTGCCTGGCACATAGTGAACACTATCTGAGTATTTCATTTTTGAAGGAATAAAGAATTGATGTTTATTTTCTGACTCCTTACTTGGTCTGTCTTACATATCACTGTCTCCTTAGCTCCGTAAACAGCCCCTGACATATCAGGTAGGCCCTTAAGTATCTGTTGAATACTTTTGGTATAAGTAAGAGCACTGAAACATAAATAAGTATTTTTAAAACCTGAAGTTAAAGAGAAAAGACACTGGGCCAAGTCTTGGAAGACTGAAGTTTCGATTCTTGCTCTGCCACCTAAGAGCCAGTTGATTTTAGGTAAATTAGGTAAAATCTGCCCCAAGGCCAAATTAGAATGAAACAAGTCTTCTTTGCTCCAGAGGTGAAAGGAAAGTAAAGTGAGAATTTTACAAACCTCCACTTACTCCATAAAGAAAAGTTATAGTGTTCCCCAAGGAGAACATGGAGCCTTGTTGATTAAGCTCTTCTATGTGCCTGGCTCTGCCTTAAGTCCTGGGAATATGGAAACTAAAGACTTGGCTCTTGCGCTAGAGGAACTGACAAAAATCACAAGGAAGACAGAAAGTAAACAATTGCAGTGGAGTGATGACTGTTTTGGTGGAGGTGAGTCTGGAAGCACAGTGGGGAGCCACCTATAGGTGTGACCCTCACCCTGAACTGGGAAGGGAGTTGTCTGGGTGGGGAGAGGCATTCTCAGCACAAGGAGTGAGTGTGCAAAGACATGAGGCTCTTTTCACCACAATTTCAGGAAATGAAGGTAGCTCAGTATGCCAGGGAGTGGGTGTGTATGAGGAGAAATGGCAAATGATGGCATAGGACAGGTAAGCAGGGCCCTGATCTTATAGGGTGATGCTAAGATTCTCCTCCTTGCCCTCCGATTCCTCTGACAAAGTGGCCTGGGTGCTGCTGGAGGCTGAGACATCGCTCCTGGCCTTAGGAGCCCTGCTGACTTGCTGGTCTCAAAGCTGCCTACTCAGATGTGTGCCCAATACCTCAGAGAAGCCAATGGCACTCCACAGAGAGAAGTAGGAGGCTCACCAGAGTCATCAGACCAGATCAGATCAATTTTTTTCTAGACAAATGGTATTAAACCTTCCTATACTTGAGGAGAGGGCTGAAGAGAGGGCAGGGGCAACCGAAGTGAGGAGCAATCCCATTCTTTTAGATTGAGCCTGTTCCTCTTTTCCCCCCAAATTACTTCTCCCACTGCCTTCTCCTCTCATTACCGATGCATCATGATGATTCCAATTCTCCACTCA
Organism: Homo sapiens; assembly: GCF_000001405.40. Taxonomy (NCBI): domain Eukaryota; kingdom Metazoa; phylum Chordata; class Mammalia; order Primates; family Hominidae; genus Homo; species Homo sapiens. The sequence continues at coordinate 25,521,575 of NC_000007.14, read as the reverse complement.
CCTCTATATTCCTGCCCTTTGCCGTGGGACTTTGCGGCATCCAGAGGCGGAGTCTGTTTCCCCATCTCTTGAATCTGGCTTGACCAACAGCATGTGGGGGAGGTGCTGGCATGCAGGTTCCAGCCCAGCCATTGGTTCCACTCTCCCCTAGAATCCTGCCAAGGGGAAGTCGCTGAGTCATCCCAGGTGAGACTATTCTAGATCAGTGAGGCCCCAACCAGCCCAGCAGGTGACTGCAGAAGCGTGAGCAGGCCCAGCTGAGATCTACCAAGCCAGGACCACCCACAAAACCACTTGCCCCACCCTTAGGCTTGGGAGAGAGAACAAATGGCCATTGAGTAAAGTGACAACATTTTAAGAGGTTTGTTACATAGAATAGCTAAAAAATATACTTCTCAGTGATTTTTTATTTTCCTTTTTGTCCTTCCTTCCCCAAGAAGAGTTAAGGAGGCAAGATCCTGGTGACTGAATTAGGGAGAGGGCATGAGTCGCCATTTCGGGACCTATTTACTCTTTCATCCTAGGATGTAAGCTTTCTATTTATATGAGTACTAACTGCCCCAAAGAGACACCAATTGTGCAGCGAGATGTGTTTTCCATTCTAATAAACCATTTTCCCCCTTACCCACAGCATTACCCTCTGCATTGCTAGGGCTGAAGGTCATGGCTAATTGGCATGGCTGCTCAAATCATCTCTGGGAGTCGCCTCATGGAAATCTTGCAAAGTGGAGGACCCAGTGGGAGAACAGCAGGATTCTGATAATGGGCTGAAGATAATTTCACTGGCTCACCTTGGGCCTTGTTTGCTGGTGATAAAATAAAGGGTAGGAGCTCAGCAACCAAATTGGCTCCAGAGTTGATGTGTGGCCGAACGGCCTTGATGAGGAAGCTGGGAGTTGTAAAGCAGGCTCGCCCTTTAATGGGTGCTTTGTGCTTGTTTGGCTCCTTGTCTAGAGATTGGGCAAAATCTATTAGTGCAATCCATGCCGCTCACTCCTTATACCAGAGCCATCTGGGAGAAGACTTACCCATTTCTTTTCCGATCCTCTAATTGGAACTGCTGACTGACTCTTATGTACCTGAGTGGCTTACAACAGGGATGCTAAGAGCTCTAGTACCAAAGCATTTTAAAGGGCAACGGGAGATGTCATTCACATTGTCTGCAGATCTGTTTGGATGGATGTGGACATCTGCCAGGAGCAGCCGGCCTGGAAGGTGCCCGTGCAAAGATTGCTGATTTGCAGTGACCTCTGACTGTACTTAAGCAGCTGAATTCTTCAGACTCCAGTGAGCGGAGATTGAGTGTGTTTGAAGTCAGCTGGTGAAGAGTTGAGCTTGTTTTCTGATCCTTCCTTCATCATCTTGGGGAAATACAGACAGGAAGTCTCCTGAAAGAGACCTTCTGGCTGCAGTTTTCAATGGCAGGAAGTGGGGGCTACCTTCAAATTTGACATGAAAAACAATTCCGACATGGCTGGATGGTTCCAATTAATCACCCTCATGGGTCTACAGATGACTGAAAAGGTTATGAACCATCCTTTCGGTTAATAGTTTGGTAACTGAAGTCTGCACTCTCAAAGCTTGCTTTTTTTGTTTGGTTGGTTTTTTTGTTTGGTTGGTTTTTTTGTTTGTTTGTTTGCTTGCTTGCTTTTGCGACGTCTTGATCTGTTTCCCAGGCTGGAGTGCAGTGGCGCAATCTTGGCTCACTGCAACCTCTGCCTCCCAGGTTCACGCCATTCTCCTGCCTCAGCCTCCTGAGTAGCTGGGACTACAGGCTCACACCACCACGCCCAGCTAATTTTTTATATTTTTAGTAGAGACAGGTTTCCATGTTAGCCAGGATGGTCTTGATCACCTGACCTCATGATCCGCTGGCCTCGGCCTCCCAAAGTGCTGGGACTACAGGCGTGAGCCACCGCGCCCAGCCCAAATCTTGCTTTTTTAGTCATCGACTGGGAAGGCCAAGCCTGTTGCTATTTGCAAGTTACTAAGCTGCTAAGTCTCTATGGGAGACCTTATGAGTGTGAGTGGAGATGGGGAGTTCACTTGAGAGGAAGCTAGGTTTCCTCCCACACTGCACTTTGTTTGGGTTTTGCAGAGTAGATCCCTTCTAAATAAAGCATGCAGTTTAATGCATCAAGCTTTTCTTGAGCACTTACTATGTGCCAGAAACTGTTAGGGATGGGAACACAAGACTGAATACCACACGGCTCCTACTCTCGTGTTGCTCAGGAGGCACCAGGCTCTTCTTTGGGATGCCCTGCTCTCCCTCTTTTCCCTGTAACAAGCTCAGCAGCTCTTCTCTGCCTGTACCCACTTGGCCTTAATGCTGCTGGAAGTACCTGGAGGGTTGGGGTGGGGGCTTTTCCTTCCCCCAGAAATGTAATGGGGGGAGGATTTTTAAAAATATGTCTATGAAAGTGAAACTTTCACATTTTGTTAATTTTTATCCCATCGCATTCCAAAATTGATATAAAAATTACAGGTCATAAGATCAAAATGGGAAGGATACAAGGGGAAATACATGCAGAAAGAAATACACAGAATATGTGCCATTGAGTCCTATAAATGACCTTGGTGTAGGGAGGGGGAGCACAAATTTAGCTCAGAGCATCTTTCATTACTAGCTTAAAGATGAAAGCCTGAACAGACAGTGGATTCATATTATTCCTAGAATTTAAAAAGTAGATTATTTTGAAGAAATAGTTATTCTTGAGAAGGGAGAAATTTCTCATAGTCCCTTAAAAAGGGAGTGGTATGTAATATAACTTATTGGATTCTTTTTTAGTTTAAAGGATAAATAAAGATTTTCAAGCCTGTTGCCTAATGCATTTGTTCTTTAAAGATGTTTTTCTAAGAGGGAATGCTAATCTTGGGATTGCTATACTTCCAACATTCTGTGTTTCACATTACAATAAATACCAGACTAAGGGAGAACTTGAAATCCACATCGGGAAGGAGAAGTAGGATTTAACTTAGGAGCTGGGTTTAAGTGGACAGGTTGGTAACACTCTCAGATGATGTCTTTATCAATTAATGTCATTTTAAGCGTGGAGTACAGGGCTTCCAGTTCTGGGGCAAGATGGTTTAGACTTATACCTTCCTGCTCTTCCCCTTTGAATACAACTAAATATCCTGGAAAGAATTCAACAATTATAAGAGAATGGAAATATAGGAAGAAAGAATGTGAATATCAGGACTTGAAAAACAAAATCAAGATGAGTTCCCTGGGCTTTCTTTTTGTCTTCCATATATCCCAGACTGGGTGCCAGAGAGGGCTATAAGCTGGAATCACCAACAGGCATAAACAAAAAGAAAGAAACAAGAAAAGCCTTCTCTCTCTTGCCAATGCCCTGAGAAAGGGAATTGTGTAAGTCCCCTTTCTAAACCCAGCAGGTACTAAGTGGGAACTTAGTGGGGAGTATCATACCCAGTGGCAACAGTGAGCCTCATCTGCCTGCAGCAGCAGCAACATCAGCCTCTGACAAGGCCAAGCCCTCTCCCTCCCCACAACTTGTCAGCAGGTGGGCCACTCTGCCGGCACTGGCAGCTCCAGAAAGCCCAATGTCTCCCAGGCCCTACCCAGCAGCAGAAGACAATTCAGGCCAGGTGTTTCTGGTCCCTTCGCCCAATGGCAAAAAGCAAACCAGGCCTAGAATTGCCTAGCCCTCCACCCAGTAGCAGAAGGTGAAGTAGGCCCTGGGTCTTCTACCTTCCACCCAGTGGCAGAGAGCTACACAGACCTCATGGCTTCTGGCTTTCTACCCAGGAGCAAAAGGTGGCCCAGGCAGGAATTTCTGTCCTTCTGCAGAACTGACAGAGATCAGGTGGGAAGCTCACTAGCATCAGGTGACTGGAGAACAGGCTGAGGGACACGCTCCCCATCCTGTGGGTTTAACAACTCTCTGCATAATCATACTAGGTAGCTCACACTAGTGCCTTGCACACCACAGGCAGCAATAGCAGGTATCCAGTAGGACCTTCAGTGAAGCCAGAAGGACAAAGCAGACCAGAATAGCACTGCAAGGGCTCAGAAAACTGAAGTGTCATTGAAACTACAAGCCCGCAAAACTAAGCCAGAACATACATGCTAACCCTAAACAGGGTGACTTGACTACCTGCTAAAATATAAAGGATCCATAATCTCCTAACATATTAATAATTACTTTAAATGTAATTGGTCAATTAAAAGACAGATATTAGCCAAGCTGAAGTTAATCACATATTGGAACTAACAAAGACTTTAAAGGAGTCATCATAAAATCTTCTCAATAAGTACAAATTACTTTGAAACAAATGAAAAAACAGAAAACCTCAGCAAAAGAATGGAAGTTATAAAAAGAGCCAAACGGAAATTTAAAAGTACAATAATGAAATAAAAAGTCACCTGGATGGGCTCAATGGTAGAGTGCAGAGATGTGAGAAGATGGAAACAATGAACTCAAAAACAGATCATTATGATCCAACTTTATGCTGTCTACAAGAAACTCACTTTAAAAACAAACACAACATATTTAGGCTGAAAGTGAGAGAATGGAAGAATCATATAATGTTAACATTAATTCAAGAAAAGCAGGAGTGCTTATATTAATATCAGATAGAGCAGACTTCACACAAAGACAATTACTAGAGACATTATATAATGTTAAAAGGATCAGATCTTCAAAAGAAGGCATAGTAATTCTAAATATGTATACAATAAACAATGGAGCTTCAAAATACACGAAACAAACAGCAAAAAAACCCTGATAGAGCTGAAAGCAATTGACAGTCATGCTGGGGAAAAAATTAGTAAAGATACAGAGGGCCTGAATAATGCCAACAACCAACCTATCCCAATTGATACTTACGGAATACTTGACCCAACAACAGCAAAATACACATTCTTTCAAGCAACCATAAAACATTCACCAAAATAGACTATATTCTGGGACATAAAACAAACCTCACCTCAATAAATTCAAAAGAATTGAAATCATACAAAATATCTTCTTTAACTATAATGGAATCAAACTAGAAATCGATAACAGAAAGACAATAGGAAAGTGTCAAATACTTATAAATTAAACACACAAACAATCCATGAGACAAAGAAGATGTTGCTAAGAAAATATTTTAAATGCATAGAACCAAATTAAGATGAAAATATTAATACAACATCCAGAATTTGTGGAATGCAGCTAAAACATTGCTGAGAGGAAAATTTATAACACTAAATGCTTACCTTAGAATGGAGAAAGGTCTCAATTCAATAATTAAAGTTTCTACCTCAAGTATAATATTCAAATACAAACTTTAATTATTGAATTGAGATCTTTCTCTATCTCAAGGTAAGCAGGAAGTGTTTTTAATGTTACTTGAATGTTGCTTCCTGGGTTAATGTACTTATTATTATCTTAAGAAAAATTATCTTTCTTCTGTAACTATTTTATTCTATATAAACACTTTTACTCAAGAGCTTGAAAGCATGCCTACTGAGAGTAAGTGACTCAGAGTGAGATGACCTCACCCTGTTGGGGCTGCTCCTGGATTGGCTGGACAGGCAGTTGTTGGTGAATTGAGCATTTCACTCAACAACTTATTTCTCAGGTGATAGTGTCTGATGAATTTTTACTCTCACTACAAATTCTACTTTGAAGAATAAGAACCAAATCCAAAGGAGCATATTTGATTTGCACAAGAAATACACCAGTCTTGAGACACACCCAGATTAAAATTCATTTATTCATTATTATTTATTCATTCAGCCTATGTCCCAAGGACTGTTCTAGGTGCTGGAATGTAGCAGTGAACAAAATAAAGACCCTGTCTGAGAGTTCTACTTGCTGTAGAAAGCATAAAATATTGAACAACATAATGTCTTTCCCCAGGAGTTTGCAGTCTAATAGGGGAAATAGCTGTATATCCAATGAAATGGGCAGCTGGAATGTAAAGCGTCAGATGGGAACCATAGGAGAGCTTAGACAATGAACTGAGGACAAGACAATGTTTGGAGATGGGGTCAAGAAGCACAAGGAAAAACTTTTATTAAGAGGCTGAGTTGGGGTTATGAGGAAAAAGATAGATGGTTTACAATGGAGGAGAAAAGGGGTTGACATTAGGAAGATAAGGGTAGGGACAAGAAAATACAAGGCTAGGGGCCACCAGAGCCTGCCAAGCAGGGAACAAATGTAACAGACACTTGGAAGCAGTAATAACTGAGTGGTAACCATTATAAATGTTTACTCTGTGCCAGGGCTTTACATAGATTATTTTATTTAATTATCACAACATTGAAAGAAATAAATGGATATTTCCATTTTATAAAAAGGAAATTTAGGCCCTAGAGGTTAAGCAACCTGTCCAAGATTATACAACGATAAGGGGTGAGCCTCAGATTTGAACCTGTTTGGTACATTTGCTCTGAACCAACATCATTTTTGGATTCAGTCACATTATTTTGTAATCTCTATTTGTCTGTAAATTTCCTTCTTACCTGACTCTCCGTTCTTCAATCCACACTCAAGCTACCACACAGATGGCAGTTAGCTGGGTTGTTTCCAAGCATGGAGGCTCCTTCTTTGCTGACTTTGGCTTTAGTAACATATGCCTATTGACAAAACCACATTAACACCTTTTAGCCAGGACATTCCTCCTTGGAAATAAAAGTCCAGCATACCCAGAGATTTGGCCAAAGCTCATGCTTTCACCTCTACATCCAAAAGTACCAACGAACTGGAGTATAGGATGGGGACAGGTGAAGAGAGAATGAGGAATCAAAGATGACTCTGAAATTTTTGAAGTTAATTGTCTAGGAGAATACTGGGGCCATTATCAGGTGCAGGGAAAACAGGAAGGGGTGATAGTTTGAGAGTAAGGAGAATGAGTTTGGTTTGGATAGGTTGAATGTGAGAGAGTAGTAAGATATCTAAGCAGGAATAGCACTGATGGGGTTTTCTATCACTAAAGCAAAACCATGTAAGACGATGAATGCCATCGTTGGATTCTGCCAGGCAATTGGGTAGTGATGTGAGTGGACTTCTGGGAACAGAAAGTGGTGTAACAAAGAGACTTACCAGAAAAAAAGAGAGGTTATAGAGTTACATGACTAAATCCAAAAGTGTTTTTGGTTTCTATAAGTCTCTTTTATGTACTTTTGTGGGGTTTGTTATTGTTTAATTTTGAATTAAGATACACTAACTGTACATATTTGTGGGATATGATGTGATGTTTTGATATATGTATACATTGTGCAATGATCAAATCAAGGTATTTAGCATGTCCATCACCTCAAACATTTATAATTTTATGGTGAGAACTTATGTGGTAAAAAAAATGCATAATATAAAATTTGCCATTTTAACTCTTTTAAGAGTGTAGTTCATTGGCATCGAGTACATTCAGTGTTGTACAATTATCACCATCATCCATCTCCAGAAATTATTATCATCCCAAACATAAACTCTGTACCAATTAAGCAATAATTCCCCATTATTCCCTACTACCATCTCCTAGTAATCTCTAGTCACTTCATGTCTTTATGGATTTGACTACTCTATGTGCTTCACATAAATGGAATCATACAATATTTGTCCTTTGTGTCTGGCTTCTTTCACTAAACTTAATGCCTTCAAGGTTCATCCACGTTGTGGCATGTATCGTGTTCCTTCCTTTTTAAGGGTGAATAATATCCACTGTTGTATATAAAATTGTGTTTATTCATTCATTGATTGGTGGACATTTAAGTCATTTCTACCTTTTGGATACTGTGAATAATGCTGCTATGAACATGGATGAACAAATATCTGTTTGAGTACTTGCCTTCAATTCTTTGGGGTTTTACCTAGAAATGGAATTTCTTTTATAAGTTATAGTCAGTAGGTCTCCAAGCATGACTGGCCTTCACTGGTTTGAAGTATAGTAAGAGGAGAGAATTAAGTGACTTCCATTTTACTCATGTCATCTAAATGGTCAACTGAATAGTTGACAACTTCAGTGTTAACTGGAGACCTCAGAAGCTACTGTTAACCTAAAATAGAAGTCTAGAGGGCACAGAGATGTGCTCCCCTTATGGAAAGCATATAAAACTGATTCTGGCCCTGTTTCTGCCATTAACAGGCTGCGTGATCTTAAACTTGTCACTACATCCCTCTGGGGCTTGGTCTAGCCAACCCCTAAGGCTCCTTGAGCTCCGTTATTCATGAAATGTTATGCAAAGAGCTCAAGCAAACACCACCGATGTAACCAGATAATGGCTGGAATTTGTGGGCAGAAGAGTCGGTAAGTAGATGCCTGGGTTCCTTGTTCTCTCAGCATCCTGTAGAGAGGTAGGCTGGATGTACTCTAGGGCTCTGCTCCAGGAGAGGGACCTCCCCCTCTGTTGTTTTTTTATTTAACAGACCAAATATGAGAATGTCTTTGCACAGCCAATTTTAGGCTCAGGTGCTAGTCTGTGCTTGGGTACCAGCTGTTTAGAGGAGTGCTGGGCAATACTTGGAGGTCTTGGTTCCTCTTTTTCCCTGGACACAAAATGGGATGTCCAGCCTCTCCAGCAGGAGGGGAAGGGACTTCCAGCTGCCTGGTTGCTGTGCAACCAAGAGAAATTCCTAGGGTTATTCTTTGGACAATCCTCTTGTTTCTTTTTTTGCACTTTAGAGCTTCCTGAAATTAAAGCCTTCATTCTTGGGCAAATCCAGCATAATGGAACCATTGAGCAACAGGGTATGTCATAGTAAAAAATATGGGACCAAAGGATCTTGCACTGACCCTCATATCACGCTGCAGAAATGGCTATTACAATATGCCATGTTGAGGGCTGCCTGTGGGCCTTCCTCTCCTGGATAAGAAGCATTCCCATAATATTGACGACATGGAAGATTCCTGGGAACTTCCTCCCAGAAGTGCCTCATCACTGTGGCCTGAGGGCTTTTATCACCTTTATTCCCTCTCCCTGTCTGTATATAATCTTTATCCCTTCTTATATTCCCCAGATAAAGGAATAATATGAGTGAACATACTCCCACTGGGTTTGTCACATAGCTCGTTAATGTGTTGGGTCAGTCATGCATTCTTGCAGTCTTACTTACTATTGGGTGCTGAGAAAATCAATTTCTTAGGTAATAAAATTAATTTCTTAGCAACCAGATGAGGCTGCATTATCTGTAACACAACTGTGCCAAGGCATTTCAAAAAATCTACAAAGTGATGATAAAGTATCTACGCATTACAGGTTAATAAACTGATGCTATAGAACATTTATTCATTTTCATGTAAATGTAGTGGCTACCGTTATCATGATTTATTCCCCAAACTGTCTTGTGTGCTTAAATTGAGAAGTTACAATGTAAAAGGTTTATCTTTATAGCTGTCACTGGTGTCATATTTATATACATGCTACTTCACCAACACTTTAACAACCGAGTAGCAATATAAATTGAATAACTTTGAAGACAATGTATGTTTCTCTCTAGCACAAGTGTACATTCATTTATATTATAACCTCATTTCCGTAAAAGATTGGCTGCACTAGAATTGAATTCAAATGGATTCAACCATTGCTCTCCCCCTACTTCCTTTCTTACTTGAAGCACACAAAATATTACTTCAGTTTCCTTTCTTACTACTGTAAAAAAACTGTAATATTAAATGGTAGGGAGTTACTGATGAAAGTATGTGCATAATGAATTGTTAGTTTGAGAGTTAACTTCTTACATTTGTTGAAGTACTGTTTATATTTTAATAGATCTCTACACTTTTTGAAGAGTAAAGCCCTACATCCTGTAATATAATTATATAATTATATTATATAATAATTATTCCTAGTGAATGCTTCAGAAAGAAATAGACTTGGATTTGAAAGAGCTGAATGGTCTGCTGACAGCCATATAATCTTCTAAGCCTCAGTTGCTTCATCTAATAAGGGAGATGTAAAATATAAAATATAAAATAGTGTATGTAAAGCATTAGCATTTAGAGTACCTGCCAAATAGTAAGTATTTAATAAATGCCAGTTAGTAGTATAATTATTTTTAAAGTTGAGCAAAAAGATACTAAGTCAAACTGTTCACATTTCCCCCATAAAGCCATTTTATAAAAGAAATTTAGAGTAGAGTGAACAGTTAGTTTTGATCTTTTTCTAACATTTAGATCAACTAGAATAAAGTGTTTGAAGTTCCTGGAAGTTGTTTCCATGTGATAACTCCAGTCTATGTACAAATGAAAACATTAAGGAAGTTAGAGGTGGGAAGGCCTGTAATAGCATTTTAGGTCGCCATGTTTTACATATAAGAAAATGAAGGCAAAAACCCCTTAGACTTCTTGTCCAAGATTACAGACTAAAAGGCAGAGTTGAAACTGGAGTTGAGGTCCCCAGACTCCCAGGTCAATATCTTTCAGTATCAATTTCCCAAAGATTATAGGATTAAGCCCTTAGTGCTCAATGAATGGGAACCCTGCTGTTTTTCTTACTTTGGGGTTTACATAAAATATTAAGATGTGTGTTCATGAATAGAAAAACTTTCCTTGAAATTGCAGATTTAGTCTTGCTATGTTGTGTATGTTAATACATGCTATCTATCATCAACACTCAACAGCTGCATTTGAATACTGCACTGCATTATATATCTTTTTGAACTTCCAGTAAAAGTTAAAAATTCTATTTTTTTCTTTAATTTTTAATTTTTGTGGGTACATAGTAGGGGTATATATTTCTTGGGTACATGAGATATTTTGATACAGGCATGCAATGTGTAATAATCACATCAGGGTAAATGGGGTTTCCATCACCTCAAGCAGTCATCCTTTCTTTGTGTTACAAACAATCCAACAACTATACTCTTTTATATATTTTTAATGTATAATAAATTATTGTTGACTGTAGTCATTCTGTTATGTTAGCAAATACTAGATCTTTTTCATTCTATCTAACTCTATTTTTGTACTCATTAACCATCCCCACTCAGCCCACCCACTACTCTTCCCAGTCTCTGGTAACCATCATACTACTCTCTATCTCCGTAAGTTCAACTGTTTTAATTTTTAGCTCTGACAAATAACTGAGAACATATGAGGTTTTCCTTTCTGTGTCTGGCTTATTTCATTTAACATAATGACCTGTAGTTCCATCCATGTTGCAAATGACAGAATCTCATTATTTTTTTGTGGCTGAGTAGTACTCAATTGTGTATATATGCCACATTTTCTTTATTCATTCGTCTGTTGGTGGACACTTAGGTTGCTTCCAAATCTTGGCTACTGTGAATAATATGGGAGTGCAGACATCGCTTTGATATACTGGTTTCCTTTCTTTTGGGTATATACCTAGCAGTAGGATTGCTGGATCATACGGTACTTTTATTGTTAGCTTTTTGAGGAACCTCCAAACTGTTGTTCATTATGATTGTACTAATTTACAATCCCACCAACAGTGTATGAGGGTTCCCTTTTCTCCATATCCTCACCTGCATTAGTTATTGCCTGTTTTTTGGATATACGCCATTTTAACTGGGGTGAGATGATATCTCATTGTACTTTTGATTTGCATTTCTCCAATGATCAATGATGTTGAGCACGTTTTCTAGGCCTGTTTGCCATTTATATGTCCTTTTTTGGGAAATGTCTATTCAGATCTTTTTGCCATTTTAAAAATCAGACTATTAGATTTTTTTTCCTACTGAGTTGTTCGAGCTCCTTATATATTCTAGTTCTTAATCCTTTGTCAGATATATAGTTTGCTAGTATTTTTTTCCCATTCTGTGGGTTGTCTCTTCACTTTGTTGATTATTTCCTTTGTAATGCAGAAGATTTTTTAACTTGATGTGATCCCATTTGTCCATTTTTGTTTCGGTTGCCTATGCTTGTGGGGTATTACTCAAGAAATACTTGTCCAGACTAATGTCCTGGAGAGTTTTCTGAATGTTTTGTTTTAGTAGTTTCATAGTTTGAGGTTTAGATTTAAGCCTTTAATCCATTTTGATTTGATTTTTGCATATGGCAAGAGATAGGGGTCTAGTTTCATTCTTTTGCATATGGATATCCAGTTTTCCCAGTGCCATTTGTTGAAGAGACTCTTTTTTTCCGACATATGTTTTTGGCATCTTTGTCAAAACTGAGCTTACTGTAGATGTATGGATTTATTTCTGGGTTCTCTCTTCTGTTCCATTGTCTATGTGTCTGTATTTATGCCAGAACCATGCTGTTCTGGTTACTATAGCTTTGTATTATAATTTGAAGTCAGGTGATGTGGTTCCTCCAGTTTTGTTCTTTTTGCTCAGGATGACTTTGGCTATTTTGAGTCTTTTGTGATTGCATATAAAATTTAGAAATACTTTTTCTATTTCTGTGAAGCATGCCACCACCGGTATTTTGATAGAGATTGAAATGAATCTGTAGATTGCTTTGGGTAGTACGGACATTTTAACAATATTGATTCTTCCAGTCCATGAACATGGAATCTCTTTCCCCTTTGTGGTGTCCTCTTCAATTGCTTTTACCAGTATCTATACATCATAGAAATCTTTCATTTATTTGGTTAATTCCTAGGTATTTCATTTCATTTGTAGCTATTGTAAATGGGATTAATTTTTTATTTCTTTTTCAGATTGTTTGCTGTTGGCATACAGAAATGTTACTGACTTTCGTATGTTAATTTTATATCCTGTAACCTTATTGAATTTGTTTATCAGTCCTAATAGTTTTTGGTGGAGTCTTTAGATTTTTCCAAATATAAGACCATATCATCTCCAAACAATGATAATTGACTTATCCTTTCGAATTTCGATGCCCTTTATTTCTTCCTCTTGTCTGATTGCTCTAGCTAGGACTTTCAGTACTATGTTGAATAACAGTGGTGAAGGTGAGCATCTTTGTAGTGTTCCATATCTTAGAGGAAAGACTTTCAGTTTTTCCCTATCCAGTATGATACTAGCTGTGAGTCTGTCATTTATGCTTTTATTGTGTTGAGGTATGTTTCCTCTATTCCCAGTTTTTTGTGGGTTTTTATCATGAATGGGGCATTGAATTTTATCACATGCCTTTTCAGCATCAATCGAAATGATCATATGGTTTTTGTCCTTCATTTTGTTGATATACCTGTGTTGAACCATCCTTGTCTTCGTGGGATAAATCCCATTTGGCCATAATAAATGATTTTTTTTTTTTTTTTTTGAGACGGAGTCTTGCTCTGTCACCCAGGCTGGAGTTCAGTGGCACGATATCTGCTCATGCAAGCTCTGCCTCCCGGGTTCACACCATTCTCCCACCTCAGCCTCCCGAATAGCTGGGACTACAGACAACCTGCCACCACGCCCAGCTAGTTTTTTGCATTTTTTTAGTAGAGACAGGGTTTCACCGTGTTAGCCAGGATGGTCTCGATCTCCTGACCTTGTGATCCGCCCCCATCGGCCTCCCAAAGTGCTGGGATTACAGGCTTGAGCCACCACGCCCGGATGATGAATGATCTTTTTAATGTGTTGTTGAATTCAACTCGCTAATATTTTGTTGAGGATTTTTGCATTAATGATCATCAGGGATATTGGCCTGTAGTTTTTTTATTCTTGATATGTCTTTGTCTAGTTTTGGTATCAGGGTAATACTGGCCTTATAGAATGAGTTTGGAAGTATTCTCTCATCTATTTTTAGGAGTAGTTTGAGTAAGATTGGTATTAGTTCTTCTTCAAATGTTTTGTAAAATTCAGCAGTGAAGCCATTGTGTCCCTGGTTTTTCTTTATTGGGAGACTTTTTATTACAGCTTCAATCTTGTTATTTGTTATTGATCTGTTCAGTTTCAGATTTCTTCTTCGTTCAATCTTGGTAGCTTGTATTTGTCTAGGAATTTATCCATTTCTTTTAGATATTCCAATTTATTTGCATATAGTTACTCATAGTAGCCACTAATGATTTTTTGAATTCCTGCAGTATCAGTTGTAATGTCTTCTTTTTCACCTCTGACTTTATTTATTTGGGCCTGTTATCTTTTTTTCTCAGTTAGTTCTGGCTAAAGGTTTGTCAATTGTGTTAATCTTTTAAAAAAAAACAATCTTCTGTTTCATTGATCTTTTGTATGGTTTTATTTGCTTCAACGTCATTTATTTCTGTTCTGATCTTTATCATTTCTTTTCTTCTACTAATTTGGTGTTTGGTTTGCTCTTGCTTTTCTAGTTCTTTAAGATGCATTATTAGGCTGTTTATTTGAAGTTTTTCTACTTTTCTTGATGTAGGCATTTATAGCTATAAACTTTCCTCTTACTATTACTTTTGCTATATCCCATAGGTTTTGGTATGTTATGTTTTCATTGTTTTTCATTTCAGGAAAGTTTTCAATTTCCTTCTTAATTTTTTCATTGACCCACTGGTCATTCAGGAGCATATTGTTTGATTTTTATATGTTTGTATAGTTTCCAAAATTCTTTTTATTGATTTCTAGTTTTAATCCATTGTGGTCAGAGAAAATACTTGATGGGATTTCAGTTTTTTTGAATGTTTTAAAACTTTGGTGGCCTAACATATGATCTATACTTGAAAATGATTCATATGCTAAGGAGAAGGACCTATATTCTGCAGCCATTGGATGAAATGCTCTATAAATAGCTATTAGGTCTATAGTGCAGATTAAGTCTGATGTTTCTTTATTGACTTTGTGTCTGGATTATCTGTCCAGTGCTAAAAGTGGGTGTTCAGGTCTCCAGCTATTATTGTATTGGGGTCTGTCTCTCTCTTTAGCGCTAATATTTGCTTTATATATCAAAGTGCTCCAGTATTGAGTGCATATATATTTACAATTGTTATATCCTCTTGCTAAATTGACCCCTTTATCATTATATAATGACCTTATTTGTTTCTTTTTATAGTTTTTGTGTTGGAATCTATTTTATCTGATATATGTATGGTCACTACTGATTTTTTTTTGTTTCCATTTGCATGGGACATCTTTTTCCATCCCTATATTTTCCATCTATGTGGCAAAGTCAGCCAGCCTAGTTTCCTTCTCTTCAGGGCAGCAAGTTCCCAAAGTCCTGGTCAGGTCAAAGATACCATCCAGGAGCCAGGGCCTGGAATTGGAAACCTTAGAAGTCTACCTGGTGCTCTATTCTACTGTGGCTGATCTGGCACTCAAGCCACAAAACAGTCCTTTCCACTTTTCTCTCTTCTTTTCACAAACAGAGGAGTCTCTTCCCATAGCAACCACCATCCCAGGCCTGCAGTGAGTACTGCCTGGCTATCCCTGATGATTATTCAAGGCCCATGGGTTCTTCTGTCAGCTTGTGTTGAATGTTGCAAGGCCTGGGACTCTCCCTTCAATGCAGTGGGCTCCCCAGTTGGCCCAGGGCAGATCCAGAAATGCCTTTCCATAGCCAAGGAATCTGGAATCCTACAAGCCTTCTTGGTGCTGTAACCAAGTGTTGTTGAGCTGGTACCTAAGTTGCAAGACAAAGTCCTCTTTACTCTTCCTCTCCTCTCCTCTCCTCTCCTCTCCTCTCCTCTCCTCTCCTCTCCTCAAGCGGAGGTAAGGAATCTCTCCTAGAGCTGTGAGCTTCACTGCCTGGGGTAGAAGGAGGAGTAGGGCAAGCACTCCCTTAGCCACTCCAGCTGGTGTCTCACTAGGTTGCATGCCCCCTCAAGTCCCCGGGCTCCGAGTCCAGCACAGCACCATGACTTGTGAAGAAATTGCAGTCCTTGTGGCCCAGACTGCCTTTTGAGTTTCCTTAGAACCCCAGAGCACTTTAGCCCATGGTAGCAGGGCTGTGGGAACTCAGGTTGTGACTGGAGAAGAGATGATTCCCCTCTGGCTAGGTTTAGACTAAATGCTTCCTCCATAGGTGCTGGCTGAGTTCTGCCTGGTGTACTGAGTTCCAATGCAAAGTCCTACAGTCATTGTGCTGTCCCTCACCCAAGTGCACAGATTCTTTCTCTGAGGCATAAGCCTGCTGCTGGAGAATGAGAGAGGAGTGGTGTTGGCAGTTCAAGACTATCTTTCCTACCCTCTCCAGTGCTTCTTTCAGTGATATGAAGTTAAAACCAGGTACTGTGATTACTCACCTGATTTTTGGATCTTATGAAAGTACTTTTATGTGTGGATAGTTGTGCAATTTAGTGTTCCTGCGGGAAGAATGATTGCTGGAGGCTTCTATTCGGCCATCTTGCTCTGCCTCTTCTCAAAATATTATATTTTCTGATAATGCTAAGTGCTAAGCCCCTCCTACTCTTTGTTATTGACAACAAAGGAACACATACACACAAGAAATAAAACAGGGGGATACATTCTGGTTCTTCATTTTATCCAGTGGAATTCAGATAAAAGTAGTTGATGATTCCTAATAAATTAAATATTTTGTCCTTTTATTTTCAAATAGTTTTTTAACCCCTCTAGCTGACACTGAATTTCTTTTTGAAGGTAATTTATTGCCATACATGTAGCCAGGCTACTTGGGATTACAAAAATGAAAAATATTGTGAAGTGTGCTTAGAGTACCAAATTATGTGTGATCAGTTCATATAGAGTTAAGATGTGTTCTTGATACCTTAGTGCTTTTCAGCATTATATGCCTTCTTTGTTTCCCGCAGCTGGTAAAAGTCTGGAAAGTGTTCTTTAGATGTTATTTACATTAAACTTGCTTTCCTATTGGATAGAACAACAGGGTTTTCTAAGAAAAGGCTGAAGAATAAGAAAGGATTCTGAGGAAGAAAGACCTCCCAACCTTGAATGTAGGTGCTACCTGTTTGCAGATCCAAAGTTGGGCCTACACAGTATGATGAAGTCTCAAGCAGCATACACAGCACATTAAATACATCACAGAGATTTGGACTAACTATGTCCCTTCGCTTCTCTTTAATTTCTGCATCTAGAAAGTGTAACTGACAATATCTATTCTACCTCTTGGGATTGAAACATGATATTATATGCAAAGTAGCTGGTGCACAGAAGGAAAATATTATTATCATTGGTACTATTAATAATGATAGTAATATATTAAAAAATCAGTATATAAGGGAAAGCTGCCAATGCAGGGGAAAAAACAGGGTTCTCAGAGACCATCCAAGATAAAGGGTTGTCTGTGCTCAAGACACTGTGAAGAGTGAAAGGGGAAATAGGATGAGAGGCCAGAGTGGTGTTGGCACCATCTTTGTCAGCCCAAACACATCATTGTCAGGAAAATTTTGGAAAGCTCTTGTTGAGAGAAACATCTGCATTGTCTCTACAATTCTAGAGTATAACAGGGAAACATGCCAGATATTCTTCCAACAAAAATGGACATTCACATGTATCATTGGGTTCCCTTTGCATTCATTCAGTAATATGGCAATTGTTATATAATATATGGCCATTGTGCCTCAGTGTCTACCTATGCCTTGAGGTCTTTAGGGTCTCGGCTTTAAAGTAGATTATTTCAATGTAACCCTAGAAAGTATATCTAAAAGAGACAGGGTTCCCTTCTTTCAGCAAAGAAATGCAGAGTCCATGTGAACAATTGTAAAAAAGAGAAGAAAGCTTGGCAACTCCAGAGGAGGAGAGGAGAAACTTTTCAGGATGATCTTTAAGAGCTCACTGTTTTTAAAAAATACATTCTGTTAGACTTCTCTCATCACAATACTAATGCTATAAGCAAAGGTGTTATATCAACAAATCCTTAGACACAGGAGGACAATCCTAAATAAGGTTTACATTTTTAGCTCACAGGCAAAGTTTTTTTCAAAAAGCATCCTCTGCTTTTGAATGCTTCCTGTGCACACACACATTTATTCAACATTTGACAAAAATATAGTTATGATGTGCCAGGTAACATGCACCTCCTCTTCCCTGGACCCAAAATCTACCAGGGCCATGTCCTGGGTAGTAATATCCACAAGTGAGGAGAGATGAGAGGAAATCCTGGTGAATGGGCACCCTGTCTGGCACAGACCAGGAAGCTTGAGCTTGGCAGAAGTAGGGCCCTTGAAAAGAGATTTGAGACTATCTTGTGGATCTTATGTTTTAGAATCAGATCTCCACATAGAGGAAAGTTTAAACTATGAGACTCTCCCCATCCCCCCAACTCTGAGCAATGTCATGCAACAATATAAGTGAATTCATCAGAGCCAGGATGGAAAGAGAGATTCCCTCAGAATTTTCCAAACAGCTTTTCAAAAATCTGTGGTTTGGCAAATCTAAAAATATCTCTCTTTAACTCAAGATGTTTCTCCGTTCATGTTTTTTTAATTGTGGTAAAATATATATAACATAAAAATTACCATTCTAACCATTTAAACTATACAATTCAATGGCATTAAGTGCATTCATGTGGTTGTGCAACCGTCATTACCATCAATCTCTAGAACATTTTCGTCATCCCAAACTGAAACTCTGTACCCATTAAACACAATATTGCCCCTGTGCTTTTAAATCCATTCATATTGGAAATGAAATTTAATGTTAGATATGGTTTTGATTCCCAGTTGCTCCCTTGTAAATATATTATTTTCAAAAAAATATTTGTATGCCCTTGCACACTGCTACACAGGATGCTGAAGAAGTTTTCTGGAAGTCTTTTGTCACAGAACTGAACAGCCTTTTATCACAGAACAGCTGCATTAAAACTGAACTTAAGTGACCAGGCACGATAGTTCACATCTGTAATCCCAGTGCTCTGGGAGGCCAAGGCAGGAGGATCACTTGAGGACAGCAGTTTGAGACCAGCCTGGGCAACTGGCAGGACCCTGTATCTACAACAAAAGCAACAACAACAACAACCACATGTAGCTGGGCATGGTGGTGCACCTGTAGTTCTAGATACTCAGGAGACTGAGATGGGAGGGTTTCTTGAGCCCAGGAATTTGAGTTGCAGTGAGCTGTGATCATGCCACTGCACTCCAGCCTGCATGACAGAGCCATACCCTATCTCTTAAAAACAAACACAAAAAGTGAACTTGAATGGGTGACAGCATGAAAATCTTGTTTCCCATTCCTCCTAAACAGTTTCTAAAAGACATAAGAGTGAGAGAAACATTGCTAGTGACTCCTCCGTGATGCATCACAACATATGACTCTCCTGGTCAGCAATGGGGTAAGGATCTCAGAGGCAAGGACTGGAAATTTCTAGGGTCACTCCCACTCCAGTTAGCCTTATTTCTCCAGCCTTTATTCTTCCAAAATTCTGACATACTGGACAAACCTATTTCCCTAAGACCTGTTCCCTTACAATCCATGCCTTACGAGATTTTCTGTTGTAACAGAGTTATTTTCACAGAACCCAGTATTCAAAACGTCTGCCTTCTACATTCTCACAGTGCATCAACTTAACCTTATCTTGATTCCCTTAGAAAGCTTTAAAATAAAGATTATAACAGACTAGATGTACAATTTGGGCCAGTATAACTTTAGAAACAGTCTTGTTTAAAACAAGTTTTTTCATTTTAGTTCACGATTAGCTTATCTTGTCTTCCCTGGTTTCCTCATTAATTCCTACAAATATAATTTGAACATCATTGTGTGCCTGTTAGCAGTGGTAGGAACTGGGACCAAAGATCCATGAGGTACAGTCCAGTGGTAAGACACGGAAACATCCAGTCAGAGCACAGCACAGCCCTATGGGAGATGTGCTATAGGAAACGCAAAACGCAGTGGGAACCAGCAGAAGGAGCAACAAGCCTCCATCTCCACAGAGCAGATGGCTTTGAACCTGAATGGAGACGAAAGTCACTTGAGAGAGAAGGAAGGGAAGGTGTTCCCTACAGAAGACTGGCATGCACACAGTCATGGAGTCTTCCTGGTAATCATGTAGTACCTGATGCATGGAGAAGAGATGCTAAATTTGGGGGAGATTGTGAGGTAGAATCTTCAGTATTTGGTAACTGGTTGATTAAACATGGGGGCTGGAAGGTGGAAGAGGGGAGGAGTTAAGAGTGAATGAACCTGCTAGTTTGAGAGAGTAGGTAGACGGTGACTGTGTTTATTATTCCTTTAGCTCAAATAACATCTTTAGTTTTAATGGTGGCTTAGTCTACCATCTTGAGAAAAATGTTCTGCTGGAGTTTTGAGGTAGACATATCTTCTTGTCATTTTTAATAAATCTCAATGAAACATTGCAGTGAGTGCAGGTTACAGAGATATATGACTGTAACAACTGATATTTTCTCTTCCCAGAACCGCTAATTTATGACTTTTCCTCTTTTTATTTTGAAAAATGTCAAACTTACAGAAAATTGGAAAGAAGAGTACAATGAATACCTATATACTCTTTGTCTAGATTCAACAACTGTCAACAATTTGCACCCCCCATCAGTGAACTATTTGACAGTGAGTTGTGCTTATTATGATACTTCAGGCTCAAATGCATATTCTTAGACAAAGGACTTGTTCCTATGTAATTATAGTATTATTATTGCTGGATTTTTCATTTTTTTTGTTTGTTTCCCCCTGGTCATATTCAGGTTAAATATTTTTGGTAAGAATTCTAAGCAAGTGATGTTATAAACTTCCCCATCGTATCAGGAGGCACAAAATGACAGTTTGTCTTATTATTAATGATGCCTGTTTACATCACTTAGTTAGGTGGTGTCTTGCAATTCTCTCCATTGTAATTAATAAGTAATCTGTATAATGATAACTTGAAACCATGTAATGTATTCTTCAATGGTATACGCATCTGTTGATGACCCTTGCCTGAGTCAATGATTACACTGGCATGCCTTAATTTTAATTTAGCTGTTCCTTAATAATGATTACCTCATTCCAGCATTTAAGGTCAGAGAAAATTTTTTGCTGTTGTTTGTTGTCTAAAACGTTTAAACCAGAAACCATCATTTAATGCTCTGAAAATATTTCTCATGAAATAGAGCACATGTTAGGAAAACAGCCAAAAAAATGTGCAACTCTATTTTAGAAATCAACTAATGTTTTGTAAAATAGATAACTCTTGCATAAGATTTAATATTGTCTATGATGTTTAGCTTTTGTAGTTTGTGGAGAAAAAACACTGTAATATGTCATTTAACATCATAAAGGAATCTCACGTCTGTCCACTGATAATTCACTAGCAACACACCACAGCTGTTAAGAGGCAGCTCACAAAAGAGAAAGGAAGAAGAAAACCCACAAGACAACCATCTGACTTTAATTAGGAAAGATAAGAGTCCTCAAATGTACAAGGATAAGGTCTTTTGAAGGTCGGGACATTATAGTACAACTTGAGAAAAGGTAATACAAGGACCCTATATATGAAGGTTAGCGCATGCTTAAAAGATTTGGAGACACTCTCCTGACCATTTCCTGATGATGAATTATCCCTTGCTATAGCTACAGTCAACACTTATCAAGGCATACACACAAAATACATGCTTTCTAATTACTGAAGGCCTTCTAGACCAGGGCATAGATACCTTTAACTGAGATAGGGTCGAGCAGATTCTGTGGATAAAGAAGATCAAAATTTCAGTTTAGGGCATGGTACATTGGAGACCTCCATCAGGCGTCCAGGTAGAGATACAGAGTTGACAGTTAGATGGATAAGCTAACGTTGAGAGCAGTGGCCATGGCTGGAGGCATACATTTGATAATCATTTGCAGACAGATGCCATTTAAACGATGAAACTGGAAGGGAATTACCAAGAGGGTGAGTATGGAGTGAACAGGAAAGATGAAGAGATCTGTGGACTGAGCCCTGCATCACTTCAGTGCTAGGAGGTTAAGGGACAAGACTGGGAAGCAGCATCCAGGGGTGTTGAAGGAAAACGAAATGTGTAGTGTCTTAGAAAACAAGAAATCATTTCCATGAGAAGGGAGTGGTTAATTTGACAAGGTGTTACTGAGGGTCAAGTTCAATGGGGACAAGAAATGGATTTAGCAAGATGGAAGTCATTGATGATATTGACAAGCAGGGGTCTGGTGAGGTGGTGGAGTCCCGGTTCTGGCAGCAGTAGGTTTAAGTGAGAAGAGGAGAGGAAATGGAAGCAGTGAAATTCAGGCAGCTTTCAAAGAGTTTTGCTGTAAAGTGGGGGAGGTAGAAAAGGGATAGTGTCAGAAGGAAAAGTGAACTCAATTTTGTTAGTTTCCATTTCTAAGATGAGAGAGACAGTATTGTTGTGTGCTGGTGGAAATGACCTAGTAGAGAGAGGAAGCTGATGGTATAGGGGAAAAATAGGGAGAATTGCTGGAGCAAAGCCTGTGAGCAAGCAAGGGGGATAGGATCTAAGGCATACGCAAAGGCTAGTTTTGGACAAGAGCAAGGCTAATTCCTTAATGGGAGCAGGGTGTAGAAGGTCCAAATCCTGGTAGATAGGAAGATGCTATGGGAGCTGTGGAACTTATCTTCTGAATATTCCCATTTTGTTTTCCAGTGAAGTGGGAAACAAGCTCATCACCTAAAAATGAAGATAGAGGAGAGGTGTTAGAGATTTCAGGAGCCATACATTAGTGAAATAGTTATCTATGAGAGAAGAAACTCTCAATATATTCCAAAAATTAGAAAAAGTCACAATGCAATACAACTGGGACTTAATAATAAAAACAAAAAGTTCTTACTGCCTAGATATTAAAAGCTTGTCATTAAATAAGTTTTGGGTAACTTTTGGGTAAAAAACTAAAACTGTTAAATATCTTGAAAATAGAAGTCATGAAAAAAGTTCCTAAAAGTCTCTGCCACAATGAGCCAAGTGGGCTTTATTGCAAAAATGCAAAGAGTTCAATTTTAGAATATCTATTAATTTATTCACCATATTAACAGATTCCAGGAAGAAATTCATATGATCAGTCTCATAAATGTTAAAAAGGCATTTGATAAAATTTAATATCCATTCAAGTTTTATTAATACATTGAATATTAGGATTTCAATTTCACTACTATTATGTAAGACTTTTCTGAAGATGACGATATAATTATGCAAGATAAAGAAACTGGACATATAAATACTGAAAAGAAGAAAATAAAACTATCATTATTTGTGGATGATAGAATTTCCTGCCTGGAAAACCTCCACGTATTTATTTAAACCTGTTACAAACAGTAACAGATGACTGGGCACATAGCTAACGTACAGAAGCTTATAAAAAGTTATTAGAACAATCAAAAAGTGTTAGAAGATGTAATTTTAAAAAGTCACATTTACAGGAGTTCCAACAAATATAACATATTTAGAAATAAACTTTAAATGCTACTTAAACAGAGAACTTTAAAATGTTCCTGAGACAAAAGATTTCAACAAATGGAAAGGCAAAGGAAGACTTGATGTCTTCAACAATATGTTAATTTTTCTTAAGTTGATTTATACATTTAATAAATTACAATATAATAGTAATAGTAATTTTTGATAAGACAGGCTAATTCCAAACCTCAAGTAAAAAACAAATAATATCTTAAAAATTCTAAAAAAAATTTTGAAAAAGAATAGCAATGTTCTAATATCAGTCCTATCAGATATTAAAGCATATTATAAAGCTACAATAATTAAAACAGCATAATGTTAACATATAAATAAATAGCAAATCAATGTAACAAAACAGGAAGCCTAACATAGGCCAAAATACATACAGAAATTTAGAATATAGACATAAAGGATGCATGTATACCTAAGGATTTTAGGATATGATTAAGGTGGCATTTCCCATCATTGGGGAGCAAATAGATTACACAATAAATGATGTTTGAATAACTGGGTAGTATTATGGAAAAAAATTAAAGTGCATCTATACCTCACTTCTCACACCAGAATATGTACCAAATGGAAATCAGAGGCTTAAATGTCAAAAAAGTTAAAGCCATAAAAATCCTAAAAATTTGCTTGTATATACATTGAAAAATGTCTGGAATGATACTTAAGAAACTGATAACACTATTTGTCTCTGGATAGGGGCACTAGGTGACTGGACAAGTGCAGGAGAGAGTTTTGAACCATGTGAATGGTGAAAAATTAAAAAATAATTCAAATAAATAAGCACAGATTACCAATATGAATATTTTTGTATTGCTGAGATTATTGCACAGAGTAGACATTCAATAAATATAAGTCCTTGGGGATGCTGAAGAACAAAAATCTTAATTCTGGCAAACCATCATTCTCCCTTGCCTGAACTCCTGGAAGAAGCTGGGAGTGGCAGGTGGATGAAGGGAGGGTTGGGGGATGGAGAGAATGGGAGGGTAGGACTGTGAGATCCTGTTATGTACGTTTTGGCATTCCCCACAGTACTTAGCACAGCATCAGCATCTAATAAGAGTGCGTTCCATATTTATTGAACTGGAATAAATGTTTAAAAAATTTTTTTTCCAGACTAAAAGTGATATCAAGAATCCCAACTTCCACAGAACAGCCTCAGGAAATCTCCACAATCCCAAGCCACTGTGTAGTTTCAGCCCTAATAAAGGATGATTTCCTCTCTGCACTTGGGAAACTGAAAAGGAATACATGGCCTCACAGGCCCTATTCTGGACACAGAATAGCCATGCTTGTACTCCTTCCAATTTTGTTTCTGTCTTGATTTTCTCTTGTCTCTTCTGTGGACTAAAGCTCTCCTTTCCCCATTAAATGCAGACTGAGCACCCACATTGTGTCAGGATCTGCACGTAGAATCCATGCGCAGCCTTCAGAGAGAGGGCCTGCAGAATGCGTTCAAAGATGATAAACCCGCGTGGGAGGGACGTGGGCCCTGGGTTCCCAGCCCTGGCTCCATGGCTGGCTCACGTATCGGCTGGATGACTTTAGGTACCTTGTATTTCTCATCTACACACAGGGGACCAGCATAAAAGGCAGGAAAACAAAGTGTCCTGTGAATGTCAGTTATTGATGCATGGTGTACGGCAAACACCATTTTTTTTTCTTCCTGTTTTTCTTTGTCTTTTAGTTTCTGTTTCTCTAACCTTCACCCCTTTACCTTTTCAATGGAACTTTGCTATTTCCTATTTCCTATTCAGATCTTCCTCTTTTCTCAAATCTGGAAGGGAGCAGCTTGCTACTGTTCAATCTGCGGAGAAGATGGGTCTCAAGAGACTATTCCCTGCTAATTTGGCGACCTCTCCTGAATCAGCTTCAGATGGTTAGTCTTGGGCCTTTTAATGGGGAAGTGGTTTGTGCAAGTCATTTCTGGCTGCCTGGTTTGATCAGAGGGAGGAAATGCAGGGTTGTGGTGCACTGAAGGAAAAAGACCCATGTATGGCAACCAAGCCCTCATGCATCCTTTCAGAATTTGGGAATTGGGGCCCAAATACGCCCTAAATCAGCGATGCCTCTCAGTCCTGGCAGATTTTTAAACATCTTTAGGTTTCACCCTGAATAGAAATAAACTTCACAACCATGGGACCCACAAGAATAATTTCTAGTCTTTGAAAAATTATTCTCTATTATTTGATAGCTGATGTGGTAGAAGTGATATTATACCTACCCACAAATTTTAATACTCAGATTATAGGAGAACAATCTATTTTATATTTATGCTTTCTTTTATGGGCCTGATTGAAATAAAATGCTGGCTGGAGTTGCATTAGATTTCTCTGAACAGAGTCTCAACAGAATTGAAAAGAATGTCAGCTGACTGTTCTGAGCAGAGATTCTAAGTATAACCATTTGGTTTGTTCTTCCAGAGATACTTTTTTTGCGGTTTGTTTTTGGTTCTCTTCCAATTTGCATGTTTACCAAAATCCCAAGGAAAGAAAAAAACCATTAAGATTTTTTTTCTATAATCCATTTAAGTCAAAAATGGAGAAGAGATAGAAAAATTTGTAGCTTTCAAACACCATTAGTTTGCTAATGATAGCTTTCATCCTATGACAGTTCTCAGACTGATAAGATGCTCCAAAACATCCAGCATGAAGGAAGAGGGCCATTTATAGGCCCTCGCTCTGTCTCTGCAGCTTGCACATGTTTTCAAACATAATTTCATGCCTGCTTTCTGACAGCTCATTAAACAAAGGCCTCTTGGTGCCTATATTGCCCATCTCCCTGCTGAGAGTGTAACATATTTACGGCCTTTGCAGACTGCTGGCTGCTGGCGCCTTCTCTTGCCCGTGGCCTGCCTGCCAACTGCTTATCAGTCTCCCCCAAAGGTGACATCCTCCTCATTTGTTTAGGTAGTGATGGTCCCCAGTTTGACCCTTGGAGGCAAACAGCAGGGTGATTAGGAGCAGCTCCTGCACTGGCCAGATAAAAGCAATCACATGGTGAAGACAGCGCAAGCTGCTCAGGGGAGCCTCGGTAGGCTGAGTGCTCCCATTCAAGAACACACTGGCAGTTCGTTAGCTCGACAGCTGGCAACGTGAAGACCTTGTGGGATTTCTGCCTCGGAGAAAGCAAACAAGGTTTCAGGAGTGTGGAGGAGCTATCTGTGGCTGTGTACAAGGGTGATCAGAGCCGCTTGTTCCTAATTACCTGCCTCTTGATTGCCATTAAACCATCATTACACATCCAGACCCATAAAAGCCCCTATGAATGCAGCACCTTATACTTAATTTTTATCCCTTCCTCCTGCTTTTGCCAAAAACATTTTGCTGGGGTCCTAGGAAGATAGATGAAGACATCTTGGATGCAGTGAGAGGCTGCAGGCTGCGGCCATCTGCCATTTTGGGATCTGACAAAACTGGTAACAGGTTTCTGCCACTGTGTTTTCCTGGGGTGGTGCATCTTTTCTTTCTGAGAGAGAAAAGGGAGACAAGGGAAAAGAGGCAAAGAAGGAGGGCATGTCCTCTTTTTTCATGCTGGGAAAAATGAGTCTTGGTTAATTCAGCCCTTAGCTGTTGTAGGTGAATGGCCAGGCTCCAGGGTCAGGGTTTTGTTGAAGCCTGGGATGACCTTGGCCTTGGGAACACCTGTGTTATGTCCCTGGGATCTGATTGATGCCAAAGTAGGACCTAGACTGTGATGTGACTGATGACAACAATGGCCGCTGCATTTCAAGTACCTCCCATGAATGAGGCAATGTGTTAAGCATTTTCTTATAGAACAGTGTCTTATTTAATGCAACACCACTTGGAGGCAGGTAACTTTAAACCCATTGGACAAATGATAAAACAGGCTCAGAGAGACTGCAAGCCTCCACCACAGTCTCAGCTAGTCAGCAATTGAATCCAGGTCTGTTGCTTTCCAAAGTCACCATTCTTAACCTCCAAGCTTCTGCTGAATAGACCATTACACTGGTACAGCACTTCAGAATTCACTGTTGCTAATCCTGTTTCCCCTCTGAAAATTCTCAAACCCCAGCACTCATGACCATGAAATGGAGAGGTGGTGAATGGTTGAGAGGCCCAAACATTCTGCATTAGGAGAGACTCCCAGTCGGGGATCAGCAATCTTCTTTTTTTTTTCTTCATTTTTCAGAAGCACTGTAGGTGATTCTATATGAGGGATCAGGAGGGGTCTTTGGATCATACTTTGAGAAACGATTTCCCAACCTGGGAGCTCCTGGGGAGAGTGGCCTCCTTTATCCCGTTACCTCCAGTCACCTGCAGAGTGCTCTAGCACACAGTAGGTGCTCAATCAGTATGAGGGGTGGTTCGGTTTGATGGGATCCTCTCTGTGTGTCTTATTTTAAACTGTATTGGCACCTCTATACTCTCTAATCCTCTTGAAAGGAAGCAGAGAATAAATAAATAAAATTTATGTTTCTAACATGCCCCAAGCACTGGTGAGACGACGTCATTCATAGTCACGCAGCCTCTTCCTTATGTGAAGACAGCTGAGCCTTTCTGACCTCCAGCAGGTCAGCATGAAGGTGATTCTGTCAGACCTTATTGTTGTATTGAATATTAACGATAGAATTATCATTGCTCAGAAAACATCCCTGTATGCACATCTGTTAGTGTGCATAAGCATCATTACCTATTACAAATACAAATTATTTGCTATGTTGTTTCTAAATAGTTTGAACTCTAGCTTGTGTTCTGGGTATGGTCTGTAGTTTTGTATGTACTGCAGTTTGTGAGAACTGATCTGTGTGCACTTTAATTATCTGTGCATGTTATTTTTGATGAATCCTGATTTGGAAAGTAGATATCATTACTTACATTTTATGGATGAGGAAAGTGAGGCTCAGAGAAACTAAGTAATCTTCCCATGATGGCATAGCTAGCAAGTGGCAGAGGCAAAATTTTAGTAAGTTCTGTATGCTCTAAAATAACATTTCTATTTCACTATGTAGCCTAAAGAACAAATGGTGATTTTAAAAACGGAATAAAAGAAAATACTGGAGAAAGTAGTGGTAATTATTAATGATGGTTGCTTTTGAGCAATAAGATTTTGGTTCTTTATATTGTTTTATATTTCCTAAATTGTATATGTAAAACTTTTATAATTGCAGGAAACCTTACACACTCACACACACACGCACACACACACTCACTATCAGGGAGCACACTATCTGGCTAAACTTAATTATTGTTAATTCATTAAGAGATTTTTGTTTTAGCAGTTCATTTTAATATATGAGTTTTTGATTTAAAAAAACCAACAGAGCAAATATTAGAGCAC
The DNA here is from genome assembly GCF_000001405.40 of Homo sapiens. Taxonomy (NCBI): domain Eukaryota; kingdom Metazoa; phylum Chordata; class Mammalia; order Primates; family Hominidae; genus Homo; species Homo sapiens. The sequence goes on along the minus strand of NC_000007.14, from coordinate 25,493,176 downwards.
AGTAGGACTGCCTCATAATTAAAATATTCTCACCACAATGAAACTAGATTATTGCCAGTGGAATAAGTTTTGATTTGATTCTTAGCAACAGAAAACAGAACACTAATTGTTATTGTTTAAAAACCACAATTTTTAGAATCTTATGTTTGCCTGATGTTTCAGACTGAGCTGAGGATGGAGTGAAGACTCTTCTTTTTTCTACCACTCTGAAAGTTCATAAGGGATTTTCTCTCCTACCATTTCTATTAATTTCAATAATCACTGATTCATACATCCCATGTACCAGGCACTGTGTGTGAAGAGTGAATGATTTCCTGATCGTTGATTACCAGAATTGGACTTGATTCCCAGCAGCCTTGTAAGGTAGGTTGAGTATGTCCTATTATCCCCCTTTTACCAAAGAGAGGCCTGAGGAGCAGGAACTAGGTGATGTGCTCCAGCCTCTCAGTTAGCAGACAGCGGCACGAGCACTGCAGTCTAAGCTGTCCTGCTCTAACCCTGGTTTCTTTGAGCTACATGACCTCTGGTGCTTCTGTGGGTGGAAGCTGTTCTTGAGCAAGACTATAACAAAGATTAGATTGGATCTTTTAGTATCATTTCACACCTCGTATTTTGGAACCCATTTGTCACTCTCTCACATCTACCCATGGCCTAGCTGCATGCCGCACCATACGGCCACCCTACCAAGGATATTTCAGCACCCCAGCTCCTTCTGGTCCCCCTCTCCACCCCCTCCTTTGTCTCCCAGTCCAAACCTGGAGAACTTGTACCCCATTTGCTCAGGAAACAGGTGAATTAATCTGTGATAAGACATGATGCGGATTCCCAGGTGACAGTCTTGCTTTTTAAGAGACTTATGAATGTTTTGCCTTTGCCCAAAGCACATCCTAGCAGTGGGATGATTAGATAACATGGAGGCCAATGTTATGGGAGGGCAAAAAAAACAAACGGGAAAAATATTATTGAAATGCACTGGAAGAAAAACACATGAGAACATCATTTCACTTTAGAGAAATACTTTTCTTAGTGAATACCCAAATTTTATAACTCTGGGAGATCCATTAGTGAGCGATGACAAAAGCCTTTAAAAAGTTCATAGCCTTTGGGTAAGTAAATCAATTTCTGAGAATCTATCGTAAGAAATAATTCTAAATACATAAAGAGTTTTGTGCATGAAGATGTTCATTACAAGATTACTAATAATATTTTTAAATGACAAAGGGAAATTCATCATAGTATAAATTATGATACAATTAATTATAGTCATTACAAATGATGTCTGCAAAATGTTTTCAGATAATATGAAAAATTTTCTGTAAGATAAAAATGAGAACAACAGAATATCATTTAAATAGGGATTGTGATAATCATGCTCAAATATCTGAAAGACGGTCTAGAGGTAATTATTTTTAGAAACTGCTACTATTTATAATGTTTTTATTCTTTCTACTTTTTTACTTTCTAAGTTTTCTTAAGGGGAAATGCCACTTTACTAATGGGAAAAAAATTAAATTTGTTTGGAAAATATTATTTTAATACAATTTTTTACTTATTTTATACTTTTATTAGAAAAGAGAATAGTCCTCTAATGTACAAAGATAGGGTCTTTTGAAGGTCTTTTATAGTCGCCAGGCTGAAGTGCAGTGGCTGGATCTTGGCTCACTGCAAGCTCTGCCTCCAGTGTTCAAGGGATTCTCCTGCCTCAGCCTCCCGAGTAGCTGGGACTATAGGTGCGCGCCACAACACCCGGTTAATTTTTGTATTTTTAGTAAAGAAGGGTTTCACCATGTTGGCCAGGATGGTCTCTATCTCCTGACCCCGTGATCCATCCACCTTGGCCTCCCAAAGTGCTGGGATTACAGGTGTGAGTCACTGCGCCCCGCCTTTAATACAAATTTGTACACACCTCAGAGCAGCACGCAAGTGGCCAATTCCTAGAGTGATTTAAGAAATAAACATGCTATATAACCGTGCAGAAAAGAGTTAACAGCAGGTCTGACTGTTATCCTTTGACAGGCCTGCTTACAAGGTTGGCCTTTGGCTGGTGTCTGGAATTTAGGTTTCAGGAGGGTTCCCACCAGGATTAACTGATAAGAGTGGCCCACTATGTTTAAACTATTTGTACAAATACTATGGTTTATGTGGAACACCTGCTTTCTTCCTGAGAAGCTGGCATTTGAGTCTGTGCTAGGCAGAGGCTGCTTATGTGGCCATCCACCAGTAAAAACTCTGGGGGCAAGCTTCCCTGAGTGACAACATTTCACACGTGTTGTCACAACTTTTTTCTTTGACAGCTTCTGTTAAATGTATCCAAATGTTAGGCTATGTCCTCCGAAGGTAGGCTGAGAGAATGAAGTGTATTCTGTGTGACTCCTTTGAGTAAGAAAGGACCTCTGGAAGCTTGTGCCTGGTTGCCCCAGGACCTTGCCCATGTGCCTTTTTCTTTGGCTGAATATGCTTGGTTTCTTTTCTTTCTTTCTTTCTTTTTTTTCCTTTTTAGAGACTGGGTCCTGTCATGTTGCCCAGGCTGGAGGGCAGTGGCTATTCACATGTGCAATCATAGAGTACCACAGCTTCAAACTCCTGGCCTCAAGTAATCCTCCTGCCTCAGCCTCCCAAGTAGCTGGGACCACAGGCATGCACTACCTCATCCAGTTCTTGGTTTCCTTTCAATGGAGTAATCATTGCCATAATCTGACTCTATGCTGAGCTCTGTGAGTCCTCCTAGAGAATCACTGAACCTAGGAGTGGTCTTCAGACCGACCAACAAAGTAATTATGGAGCTCTAAAAAATCACTTTTTCCCCATCTTCATCCTTAAGTATTTAACTATATATAAGCCATAGGATAATGCTTTTCTGAAATATAATATTAATTTTGGTGCTAGGAGAGGGAATTATCCCATGCTTTTGCTTTGCAGATGAGGAGACAAAGCTAAGAGCAAGTAAAGTGATGTGGCCAAAGCAGCATCAGAACCCGGGACTCCTGATTCTCAGTTCGTTTGCTGGAGTACCCCACCCCTTCACAGACGATTGTCTTTCTGTGAATGGGAGACCATGAAAAATATGGGGAAAAGAGAAACAGCAGTAACAACAGAATGCGGAATAAGTGAAGGGTGACTAGGGATATTGGATGCAAAACAGCTAGTGATGGGAAAATGGGCTTTCCCTAATTATTCATAAGAGCTGCATAAATGGCTGTTCCAGAACAGGAAGCTCAAACAGCATGGTCTCAGGCTACAGGTTCATCTACTGTAAGTAAGGAAATACTTGAAAAAGGTGAACCTGTAATGTAAACTGGGCTAACTTGCTCTTCATTCTTCCTTTTTTTTTTTTTTTTTTTTTTTTTTGAGACGGAGTCTCTCTCTGTCGCCCAGGCTGGAGTGCAGTGGCGCAATCTCGGCTCACTGCAAGCTCCGCCTCCCGGGTTCACGCCATTCTCCTGCCTCAGCCTCCCGAGTAGCTGGGACTACAGGCACCCGCCACCACGCCCAGCTAATTTTTTTTTTTGCATTTTTAGTAGAGAAGGGGTTTCACCGTGTTAGCCAGGATGGTCTCGATCTCCTGACCTTGTGATCTGCCCGTCTCAGCCTCCCAAAGTGCTGAGATTACGGGTGAGAGCCTCGGTGCCCGGCCCTTGCTCTTCATTCTTTTGACTAGTAGTTATTCCAAGCCATTAAACATGCATTTTGTTAGCATTGCCCCTTGGAAATACACATGTCCCAACCCAGGTTGACCAAAATAAAAGTGAATATTTAGATGCTGATTCCAAGATGAATTGAATTGGTATCTCACTAAATGAGTGTCAGGTAGGCCACAGCTTCCTGACTTGCTTTCTAAGCAAGAGAAGAGGAGAGTTACAGGGAAGGAGATTCTTTAAAAACCGGGAGCTTTCAATCAAATGTCTGTGTCTTATTCACCAAATATTTTTTAATAAATTTAAAAACCTGCCAACTCATACTCATCACTTAAAAACAAATGGAAGAATATTGTTTTTTTGCATCTGCAATGCACTTAACCGTAATTCTGTTCATTCAAGGGGTAAAATCATTGATCATGTAATTAAGAGCCATTCATTCTTTTATTGGGAGCCTGAAGAGGAACATAACACATGTCTAGAGGACCTATACCCTTTTGTTTCTAACAGGAACCTGGTACAGAACTTGCACGTAGTTAAGTACTAAGTATATTTTCTTTTAATTGATAACTGGGTGAATTCTGGCTTAAGGCAGCATGTGAAGTTGCCTCCCACAATTTATTCCTAACTGCCACCAAGAAATATGGAAAAAGTAGAAGGGAAGGAAAGAAAGAAGGAGAGAGAGAGAGAGGAAGAAATGAGGTGCCAAAACCTAATGAGGAAAATGAAAACACTTGAAAGATGCCAAAACTTTAAAAAGTGGCAGCAGATGAAAAGTATGGGAAGGGGTGAAGTTATCCCTATACCTACTCATCAAGGTCTTTCTAGTGCACTGAAAAACTCCTGAAACTTATCACCAATGTCCCTGTATTTGTCTGCTTGAGATGCCATAACAAAATCCCACAGACTGAGGGGCTTAAACAACAGAAATTTATTTTTTCACTATGGGGAGGCTAGAAGTTCAAGATGAAGGTGCCAGCAGGGTTGGTTTCTGTTGACACCTGTCTTCCTGGTTTACAGATGTCTGCCTTCTCAATATCCTCACATGGCCTTTCCTCTGAGCAGCATGGAGGGAGACAGATAGAGATGGAGGGAGGGAGAGAGAGAGAGAGAGAGAGAGAGAGAGGTCTCTGGTATCTTTTCCTCTTCTTACAAGAACATCAGTCCTAGCAGATTAGGTCTGAACCCTTAATGACCCCATTTAATCTTAATCACATTCTTAAAGGCACTATCTCCAAATATAGTCACATTAGGATTAGGGCTTAAATATATGAATTTGGGGGAGACCAATTCCGTTTATAATAGTCCCCAAACTGAATGGGTATCTGCATTCTTTTTTCTATTTCTATATTCATGAAGCACTTGGAGTTTTTTCCTTATCTCTTTGCCAAGCGTTGTAAGTTACATCAAAGAAATCAAATGTTTATAGTCCACAATCTGGGTTCATTCTTTCTCTAGATTTTCTCAACCTTTGTTTCTTCCTGTTAAATCTTTTCTTAAAAACAAACAAATGCCCATACACAGAAAACTGTTGTCAAATTAGTATTATACCTTTGTTCCAATAACCCTGGGAAGCTGAACAGTGGCATTTGGGCAACCCAGACTGCCTTCTGAAGCCTTTGGCAGTTGTAGAGTTACTTTGGGCACACGTAGGAAATTATATCCAGCTGATGACACCAACAATGTAAATTACAATTAGTTAATTTGTTGATTTTACAAAGCAAATCATTTAATGTCAGGTATCTTGGTCTAGTTCAAACTAGACGAGGGTTTGGTTACCCCAATTAAAATCTGGGCTTCTCTCCTTAAAGTAACATATTGTTCTGAAGAGGCCAATGTACCATCTTAACTATATTCACTTACCTTAGTTCAAATGTGAACAAACAAAATACACAGCACTGAGAACTTGCTTTTTGCAGGGGGAAAAATCCTTATAATGGTCTTTCAGTTAAAAAAAAATGTTTCAAACTCTTTCTGCCTCTCTCAAGATCAGTCTCTAATAATTCTAGATTTGATCTTTACATTTAATATTTTAGAGGTTCAATATGTAGCTTTACAACTGAATTGATTATAATATTTTTATCAGTCTTAATGAGTGAGGGTGAAATATGTGCACCATTTAAGCTTTTTTAATTTTAAAAAATTCTTTAATTTTTTTCTATTTTCTATTTTTTTGTCTTAATTTGTATTCCTAGATCTCATCTGTTGGTGAATATTGGTAGCAGTGATGAAGGGATGATTCAACAACAAAAGTTCTGGAGAGAAAATAGACATCTCCCTCCTCATTCAACACCTTCAGTCCTATGGCCATAATCCTCCCAGTTAGAAGGCATTTGGGGAAATAAGGAACATAATTAGCATTTACCTATACAGAATCACAACTAAGTGATTGCTTACTACTTTCTCTCTTTTTATGCCTTCCTATTTCTTTCCCTAGTGGGTTCAGCACGGGAAAAGTCTGGCTTTGTATCATCCCAGAGTCATGGAGCAGATTTCCATACTGACCTCAAAGACCATCTGATGAAAACATGATCCCTTTTGTTCTATAGGGATATATAAAAACATTATAAATCAGCATCTTATTTGTTCATTTATATCTTCCATTTCTGTGATGTTTGACAGTTGTTTTGTCGATGGCAACTACCATATGTTAAAAATGAGCTTCTGGAATGCAATTCTGGCTTGTGTCCATCAGAGAAGGAAATTCTGGAATGCCCTACAATTTGTACTTTCCTAGCAATTCTTGATTCTTAAAACATTCTATGAATGCTCTCATTGGAGAAAAAGTTATAACAAAATCCACTTCTTTTAAGCAATCACAAAAATTAGGTGTCTGAATGTACAAGGTATCGATGTTTGGGCAAAATTGAAATTATTGTGCTTGTTTCATGGGAAAAGCTTAGGGGAGTTTATTGTCCTAAGTTGGGTTTCCTGAAAACAGACTCACAGCCTTTGAGGCAGAGATTTGCATGCTGGCAGTTTGTTTGGGAATGAACTTGAGAATATTTGTAAGGAAGAGAAGGATGCAGGAAGAAGCAGAGGGAGAAGTTGTACCGCAATGCAGTTGCAATGGAGGACTCAGCCAATCTTACTGGGAGCTCTGGAGCTGCAATGGGCCTTCAGAATTGTCACAAATTGAGGCAAGGGGCTGCGCCTTTGTATCCCTGCATGAATAAATTATGAGACTCAGGCCACCTCTGGGGAGGGGCAAGGCTGCTTCCTTTGGCAGAGGGCAGTTCTCAGAAAGGATCACAATTGTGAACTTTTAGCAACCAATCCTCTCTGCTTCTGGGAGAATGAGTGCCTCAGTCATGAATTGGTTACACCACATTCCCACTGTTTTGTATCTTCACAAAATGTGTGCATGTTTCAAAGAGGGAATCATCGGACCATCCTTTTAGTTAGAATTGTACTGGGTTTTGACAGTCCTTAAACTCAGGTGCACAAGAAATATCATATTATGTATGATATTACCTAAGTTCAACTTCAAGTCCCCATCCTGCCGGGATACATTGGAAATGTAACTTCAGTCATGCTCAGGACTTCTTTTCTAACTTGGGCTATTTCTAGGTTCCAGGGTCTTAAGCAGGACCAAGTCTTGGGGGCAGGGTAAAGAAGTAGGAAATGGTTACTTATAGCATGGCCATTCTGGTTGCCCCTGAGAAGACCACTGACCCCTTTTGCTTTGTCCCTTCAAGGCCATGCTTGGGAAACACCTATACCTATGGTGCTACTTCCTTAGTCATTTTTTTTCTGGACGTTTGTCACCTACAACATTTATAAGCCACTTCTTTTTCCTGCAAACGCCAATCTCCTTGAATTTTCAGCAACCAAAATAAAATTCTTCTTGGCTAGAGGCAGACAGGACTGGGTCCTCAAACCTTCCTTGAAGGAAATACTTGGCAGCCTTCCTTTCTCAGGAATCCAATAAAGAAAGAAAAACAAAACAGGTAAGTTCTATATTAAAAGGGCCTGAAGATTAATTTTTTGCTAAATCACTTCAAGGGTTCTTACTTGCTACATAGTCTGGTTACAAGAAAAAAGTAACATTTTTCAATAGTCTCCGTTAATTGGGTCTTATATACAAGACAATTTCAAGAACAGTTGTCCAAAATGACTCTTAAGTTGAAAGGTTGCCTCTTTGAGGCTAAGTTGGAATATAAACACATTGAAACATTTTCTTTTAAATGTATCCAAATTTTAGGCTATTTCTCTCCAAACTAGCCTGTGTATTGTAATGATTTCTGTTAGCAAGCATTTTGAACTTAAAACACTATTTCTGACACACCAGCGATGTAATCAGCTACAGGCAGCCCCAATCTTTGAATGTGTTGCTTGCCAAAAAATTGTTTGCACATCTGTTTTTATTAGACTATATGTTCTAAATGTCACAAAACAATAGCATAAATTGTGTGTGTGATGTCTTTCTGTGTGTGTAAAGACTCTGAGCTCTATATGCCAGGGATGTTTCCTTTCTCCCACTCTTTCTCCCTTATCATAGTATTTAATATTTACATAAGGAAACTAATATGTGCTCAATGCAGAAAAACTCAGGAAACAAAGGAAATAAATTTTAATCACCCATAATCTCATCACTGATAACATTAGGTATATAACCTAGTATTTTTTCTAAGCTTGAGAATACATACTTTTTACATTTTTTAAACTTTTATTTTAGGTTCAGGGGTACATGTGCATGTTTGTTATATAGATAAACTCATGTCACAAGGGTTTGTAGTACAGATGATTTTATCACCCCAGTACTAAGCCTACAACCCATTAGTTATTTTTTCTGATCCTCTCCTTTCACCCACCCTCCACCCTGCAGTAAGCCCCAGTGTGTTGTTCTCCTCTATGTGTCCATGTATTCTCATCATTTAGCTCCCACGTATAAGTGAGAACATGTGGTATTTGGTTTTCTGCTTCTGCGTTAGTTAGCTAAAAATAAGACCTCCAGTTCCAACCATGCCCATGCAAAGGACATGATCTCATTCTTTTTTATGTCTCCATAGTAGGGAATAGATTTTTTTAAATAAAAATATTCTATTGTACATTGTTTTGTAATATTCTTGATTTCACTCGGTAATATACTGGACACATAAAAGGTTGATATTTTAGGAAGATGACACGGTCCCACTTCCCATTCTGCACCTGTATTCCATGCCCTTGCTCTCTTCTCTCAGATTTCAGCTCTTAATCTCCCACTAGCACCTGCTTTCCCCTTCACACCACACCAGCATGCTCTCAGGCCACCTGGCTCCCTTCTCATTCCCCTGATTAAAACATCTTCAGTTCTGGGATACATGTGCAGAACGTGCAGGTTTGTTACATAGGTATACATGTGCCATGATGGTTTGCTGCACCCATCAACCCATCGTCTACATTAAGTATTTCTCCTAATGCTATCCCTCCCCTAGTCCCCCACCCCCTGACAGGCCCCAGTGTGTGATGTTCCCCTCTTGGTGTCCATGTGTTCTCATTGTTCAACTCCCAGAACTTAAAGTATAATAATAATAAGAATAACAATCTTCAGTGCAGCTGATCTTTTTTGGAGTTTGGAAAGAAATCTGAGTGACAATATTCACATCGTGGGGAAATGACAGGTAGCATCTTAACACCTGTCCCCCAGGTTGCTTTTCTAAGGAACAAGGAATCCTTAATTGATGTACTTTCAAGCAAGGTAATATTACAAACTGTCCTCATAACTTTCATCCTCTATGTGTCTAAAAGCTAACTTCTTATCTTCAACAAGACTTGAATCCTCAACCTTATTCTTGTCTCCCCTCCAACCTTTCTTCTCCCCTGACCCCATCCCAACTCAATCAGGCCGCAGGCCTGTAGGATTTTACTTCCATTTCCCTCATGCAGCAGCCCTTTCTCTCCATGCTTTCTCTCGCTGTCCTAAGGAGACGGTCACTAAACTCCACCATGTTTTGCGAAATCCTTCTCTCTGGCCTTCCTGGTTCCCATCTCTGCCCTCTCCCATCCATTCTACGTGCTCACAACAGTGATCTTCCTGAAGCACAGCTCAAGCCAGGTCCTGCTGCCTACAGAAGCAAGTCTGCAAGCTCAGGCCCCTGTGTGCCTCTTCAGCCGAATCTCCTACGCCTCTCTTCATGCACACTCTGCCACAACCATCTGCTCTCTGGTCCCTGTGCAGCCCTCACACCTTCCCTGTTCCTCGCATTTGCGTTTCCCAACTTCTCCATCTGAACACCCTTCCTCCCCTAGTCCCACTTTCAGCCCTTACGTGTGTACTTGTATCTAATAAACACTCACAGAATGCTTGCAATATGCCAAGTACTGTTCTCAGTACATCCTGTGTATTAACTCATTTTATTCCCATCCCACCTCTAAGTAGTAATTACTGCTATTATCTCCATTTTAAAGATAAGGAAACTGAGTTGTAGAGTTACTCAAATTTCTCTGCTGCCTGTTCAAATACTATTCAAATGTTAGGCTTCAGGTTAAATGCCATTGTCCATAAAGCATTCCTTATTATTCTGCAATGAAATAGCAAGAAAAATGAGGTAAAGGAGGAGGAGGAGAAATTCTTTTTTTAGTGATAACTCTATGCTGGACATTGTGCTTTGCAATTAGTTTGAATCAAATATTTTCATCCTGACCACAAAGCTATAAGTCAAGTACTATGATCTCATTTTTTTCTGGTGGGGAAACAGGCTCTGCCTGTTTAAGTGCCTTGTTCAAAGTCAAATAGCTAGTTTCTAAGTGGCAGAAAAAGGAAATGTCCCTGCACTTTGGATGCCCCTTGCTGTCCACTATATGATGTAGTGTGTGTGTGTGTGTGTGTGTATATATATATATACACAGTGTATATATTTTATATATAGTGTAATAATGTATTATACATGAGGTGTATGGGTGTGTGGGTGTGTTTGCTGTGTATGCATGAATTTCCCTGTGTGTGATGGTTAATTTTATGTGTCAGCTTGACTGGGCTAAGGGGTGCCCAGATGGCCGGTAAACATTATTTCTGGATGTGCCTGTGACAGCATTTCCAGAAGAGATTAGCATTTAAATCAGAAGACTTGGTAAAGAAGATCTGCCCTCGCCAGTGTGGGTGGGCCTCATCCAATCCATTGAGGGTTCAAATAGAAGAAAAAGGCACAGAAATGTTGAGCTCTTTACTTATCTTCTTGAAGTGGGACATCCATATACTCTTACTGTTGTATATCAGAACTCCCAGTTCTCTGGCCTTGGGACTCTGGGACTTATACCATCAGCTCCCCTGGTTCTCAGGCCCTGCAACTCAAACTGAATTAGACCACTGGCATTTCTGGTTCTCCAGCTTGTGTAATGCATATGATGGAATTTCCCAATCTCTATAACCACTTGAGTCAATTCCCATAATAAATTTCCTCAGATATATGTGTGTGTATACATATCCACTGTTGGTTCTGTTTCTCTAGGGAACCCTGACTAGTACACTGTGTTAGATTGCATCATCATTCCCAACTATTTGCTGCCTTCCCTGCAAGAAGCTCATACATCCCAACCTGTGGCTCAATGCCATGCTGTGCTTCCCTGTGGGAAAGAACATTCATGCCCCTTTCCCATCAGGCTTTGCCACATGAATTGCTTTGGCCAGTGAGATGGGAACATACCCTTTAGTTGCCATCATGATGCCTGTTTTCTTTCCCTGCTTTCTTTCTTCTCCTTCTGATATGTAAAGCATGTTCCAGATAGAGGTTGTTCCTTCAGCCTGATTCTCAGAATGAGATGAACACACCAGCTGATCTGTAGGCAATATGAACATGACTGAGAATAACCCTTTACTGTAAGCCACTGAGATTTGAGGATTGTTTGCTACTACAGCATATCATATGGAAAGCTTAGCTGAGCATGGTGGCTCATGCCTGTTATCCTAACACTGGGAGGCTGAGGTGGGGAATCACTTGAGCCCAGGAGTTTGAAACCAGCTGGGGCAACATAGTAAGACCTTGTCTCTAGTTTAAAAAAAATCCAGGCATGGTGGTGCACCCCCATAGACCCAGCTACTTGGGAGGCTGAGGCAGGAACATCACTTGAACACAGGAGATTAAGGCTGCAGTGAGCTATGATCACACCACGGCACTCCAGACTGGGCAATAGAGTAAGCCCCTGTTTCAAAAACAAACAAACAAACAAATGGAAGCTGGTTTATAAACTCCCGCTTTAGACAATAAGCACTTTGAGGGCAAAATTTCTGATTCCTCTCTTGTACCCTCCCTTTCCACTCCCCATCTACCCATCCATACCCAATGTGAACTTTTGCTTCAAAGGTTTCAATAAATATTTGCTGAATAAATAAATGTAACTGCATGAAATAAAATAATGTGGTAACAAGAATAAAAAGCCCAATGCCTATTCAAAGGGTGGCTTACAGTTCACAGAAGCTTTTCACATGCCTTTCTCATTCGATCCTGGTAACAGCACTAGGAGGTGGATCCTCTCAACGTGACTCTTTTGCAGGTGAGGAAATGGAGGTTCAAAGAGGCCAAAGGGCTCATTCCTGGCCACAGAGCCAGTGAGGAAAAGATCTCTGTCATTGGACCTCCAGTCTTGGTCTGTGTGTGTATGTGGCAGGGGGGTGTAAGGGTTGGGGAGGAGAAGGCGGGAGCACCACTTAGACAGGGAGCTGTGCTATTGCCGGAGGCAAGGGACAGGCCTCCAATAACTCAGCAGAAGTGAGAGGCTGGCATTTACTTTGAGATTTAATTCATTTTCCATCTCTTGCATTAGACCAGAGGTCAGTAAACTTTGTCTGTAAAGGGCTAGATAGTAAATACTTCAGGTGTTGCAGGCCAGATGATCTCTTCTGAAAGTGCTCAATGTTGCCATTACAGCACGAAAGAAGCAACACATACGCCAGTGAGCATGGCTGTGTTCCAATAAAACTTCCTCTACAAAAAGAGGCTGTGGGCTGTATATTTGGTCCTTGGCTTGCATAGACCCCTGCATTAGACCATTTTTAAGGGCATAAGAAATATAAGGATTATGGGGTGAGCTGGCCAATTCTAACTGTACTAGAGCAGTTAAAGAAAGAAAATGATAGGCTGAAGGTTTAAAATTCTCATTTTATGGCACAGAGAATCAGAACGTTTCTTTAACTCCCTTAAGCTAAGTCTCTTTTGCACGTAGCCTCACCGCTGATGTGGTCATCAGTCAGAAGCAGAGTCTGGTGCTATAAACTGCTGAATTACAATGTAGGTCGAATGAGCAACTTTGCCACTTTTCTTACGACAAAGTTGGGACATAAACTGGAAAAAAGTGAGACTCCCCCAGAACCCAAATGGGGCCTCTGTTAATGATTCTGTTGACTGAATACTCCGTATCTCCAAACCACCTGTTTGCCTTCTGACTGACAACGTACCTGGTGAGACAGCAAAGCTGTGTTTTACTCGTGGTCATCCAATGAGAAGAGTGTGGCCTGAAGGTTATGTATGTAATTCCCAAAGTGCCCATCACTCTCTCTGTAGTCACACCAAGCCATTTGCGATTCCCCATAATGCCATATTCTTTCAAGCCCGCACTCCTTTGCCTGCTCTATTTCCTCTGCCTGCACGTTCTTCCCACTCCTCTTCTCCATCACAGGAAAGCTACAGTCATCTCCTGCAAGGCCTTGTCTGGTGTCATTTCTATGCTGTTGTCCTCCACTGGCGTCTAACTTGTACTTTTATCCCATAGTTGGCTATATTACCAATAATCTTTATAGACCACATAGAATTTGTTATAACAATGATGAACCTATTAGCTATTAAACTATGGATATTAGCCACAATCAAAAGACAGTTTGAAAATAGGGAGATACATTTTATTCACGAAAAAGTGCGTAACTTCAGCATATGGCTTAGTCATTGGTCAGTTTTCATCAAGATTAAAAATTTATCTGGTATATTTGTTAGAAATAGGTGGGCTTAACACGCACACAGGCATACACACACACATACAGTCGTGGCTTAAACCCAGAAGAGTTTATTCTCTAACATAAAATAAGTTCAAAAGTAGAAAGTCCAGGTCTGATGTCATCAGAGACCCTCTAAGCTTTTGCATTTTTGTTTTAATATGTGACTTTGCTCTTCAAAGTCCATTGACCCTCCCCACCAAGAGAGAGCAAAGGGAAAGAAACCAGCGGAGCACATTCCCTAGGTGAGTCAATCACTTTTAAAGAATTTTCCCTGAAGGTCCCCACAACAATCTCCTTCTCGTTGGCCACTCACATAGCCATATTGAACTGCAAGGAAGCTGGGAATCATAATCTTTAGTTGGACACATGCTGCTCCTATTCAAAAGCAGTGCTCTATTAACCCATAAGAAAAGGAAAACGATTGTTGTGTAGTGTGGGGAAACTAGGCTTAATCTAACCTCACAGAGGAATGTTGAAGAATGTGACTCATCATATGTGATATGTGCTAGGTACACTGTCAGGGATAGCCACAGGAGACACGGAGGGAGAATTATGAAAAACAAGATGTCAGAGCAAGCCTGATGGGGAATTATAAAAAAAACAGGATGTCAGAGTAAGTGCAATGTACTACTGATGCAAAGGGAATATCTTCTGTTTACTGAAAGTAGGGAGATATGTAACAATTGTATTACATATTTAATTTCATATAAATAGACAGAAAAATCTACAGCTTTGTAGTCATCTGCTGGCTATCGGCATGCACTCAGATACATATTTGTTTTGCTTAAAAATAAAATCATCCAGTTCTATATTTATGAATTGGCATATGCCCTTGGGTCTCAATATCTCCCTCCCTCCCTCCCTTCCTTCCTCCCTCCCTTCCTTCCTTCCTTCCTTCCTACATCTGTCCTCCCTCCTTTCTCTCTCTCTCTCACTTTCTTTCCTAATGGTAGGCAACTCACGACTTGTGCCATAAGTGATATTGAACAGATGGAGCTGGTCTCTAGACAGAAAATATGTCAATTCTGACTCTAGTATTACACCACTGTCAATGGGTCTGTGAGATAATATCTTTTCTCAGAGCTAAAAGTGCTCAAACACTGCCCAGACATGGGCCATGTGGCCAAACATTTGGTGTTAGTTCTGAAATTCATAGATTGATACCAAGAATTCTAGGGATAGTGTGTCTTCTGTGTGGGAATTTTTAGCATAGTCAGTACTTCTTGAAGCTTTTCCAACCCTCCTATTCCATAATGCAGGCAAATCTGAGATGGTATTCCAAGAGGAATAGAAATGTAAATGCAATCTCAAACACACATAAATCTGTAACTCACTTCTGAAATTGTGACTTGTTTAACAAAAGCAAAGAAAAAAACAACAACAACAACCTAGCAACAACTAAATAGCTAGTTATTTGACATTTAGAGTTGAGGATATTGGGAAATAAATTCAAGTTGCAGTTGTTAAGTGTTTGATCCACATCTTTATTTGACTCAGCTGGTATGTGAAAAGAAGGAATGATGGTCAGTGTTCTTTTAATTTTCCTTCATTTTCAAGTACAAATGATTTGGATGCTGTGCCACATTAGTAAGAACAAGTAATCCTATGACTCTGGAGGTGAAAAATAAAATATCTCAGAACCCTTTAGTTCCCATTTCATTATCTGATGTATCAATTAAGTAAAACTTTTTGACAAATTTCTACCACCTAGCTATATGAGGTTTTCTTTTTTAATTGTGATACCCTCTTTGTTTTCACTGCTGACAAATATCTCAATAACTGACCATGATTAACAGCCAAATGGAATAAGATCAACAATCTCAATCACATTCTCTTTCGATGTAGAATAATCCTGGCTTGCAAATTTCGCAGCACAGATTCTATTAATGAATGGAAAAATGGAAGATTGTATATAAACTTTATTTTCTTCCCTTTGTACTAGAAATTACCCAATCTGTTGCAAGTGAATTTACTTTTTTCCACATTAGACAAGCTTCTCAGATGTCTTACAGTCTTTATAAGCACATACAAGAGTCTTGTTAAAATTTTCAGTCAACTGAGAAGCATTTGAATCACACACCACAGGTTGATGCCTCTGTTCTGGCAGTAAGTACATTCAGTAAATGTTGGCTTCTTCCCTTTGTTCTAAATAATGTTGTGGCCTCTATTATTGTCGGTAAATTGGCATCATTATCATTAAGCGCCAGACAGGGAGCCCTTGATCATTAAGTATCTATTTTCTTGGAACGTGTATTTTTTAATGCCCTCTGTTTAATTTCCTTTTCCCATCTCTCATGTCCCTCTGTCCACACAAGCTGAATGAGGTCTTGGTTTACATATTGTATCACAGTCATAGTTCACTGATGCCCAGGAAGTTGAAGCTTGTTAAGCACTGCATTGTTCATTTCAATGTGCTTACTCAAAATCTCTACGACACGTCTGCCATGGGAATTGCTACTTAAGTGTTCTGAGCACGTCCAGAATTAGGCCAATGGAATCACTTGAAAAAGCCCCCTTTCCTCTGTCTCTTTCACTCAAAACACCAGAACCTATGACTTAGGGACAGCCTTGATCCTTGCTGCAATGACGTCATGGAGGCAGAGCTACAATAGCAAGCAGGTGCCGCATCTGTCCACGAAGACCTTGGTCATAGAAAGGGGGCTTGGCTCACTCAAGATATTAACTTGGTACTTTTCATCTTCACTCAAATGCCTTTGGGGGGAAAAATACTGAGCCAATCTTGAATAATAAAATGGTAATAAAAATGAGAATCATTATCGTTGGAGTCTCTGGATTTGATTCTCTGCAGGAAGTGCCTTTGAGGAAGAGCCAACATTCCAACCTCTACCTGTGTCCTCCTCCCACCCCCCCTTGTCAATGCTTTGATGTTCACGGAGGAAATCCTTTACGGGGGCCAGGCCTTCTCCCATTGCATTCCCCAAAGCCCTTATAATAATAAGAGCAAGCCCTTCTGTTTTTATGGTGTTCTTGGTTTAGAAACTGCTTCCACATCCTCGGCCCCACTTCTGCAGTCTGCTCAAGGAAAGAAGCCTTGTGTCCTTTGGGTGCATAGTCAGCTGGATGCCCTGCCCAGACATCTTGCCTGAGGTTGACCAAGTCCACGATTCCAACCTCGTGTAAACTTGGAATTTCCTTGGTAGTCACTAGGGCAATGACTTATCCCTCACTCAGGTTTCTCTGACAGCTTGACTGGCAAGTAACAGGAGCAAGAAGAATCCTAAGGGCCAAAGGGACAAACCAGGTGTGCTGAGGCAGGGCCTCTATGCGTGGCTTCTGGATTTGCAAACCTGCTTGCTCAAATTTCTACAATCAGGTGACATCTGCTCACCCAAGGCTACCTGAGCCTGGAAGCAAAGGAGGCTGAAGTCTCTCTGTTTCTATTCATAGGTTTCAACGTCTGTAACTCATTAGCAGCAAAGAGTAGCAGGATTTGGGCCTAATGATTCCTACAGTTCTCCCTGCTTCCCTGTGATCTGGTGCCTCATGCAGTTCTTTTTTTTTTTTTTTTTTTTTTTTTTTTTTTTGAGATGGAGTCTCACTCTATTGCCCAGACTGGAGTGCAGTGGTGCCATCTCAGCTCACTGCAACCTCTGCCTCCCAGGTTCAAGCGATTCTCCTGCCTCAGCCTCCCAAGTAGCTGGGACTACAAGAGCCTGCCCAGGCCAGGCTATTTTTTGTATTTTTAGTGGAGACGGGGTTTCACTATGTTGGCCAGGCTGGCCTCGAACTCCTGACCCAATGATCCACCTGCCTCAGCCTCCCAAAGTGCTGGGATTACAGGCGTGAGCCACCACACCCAGCTGAATAATCTTTTCTTATAAATGAAATTCTTCCCCCCTCCATCCCCAAAGGGGCTCTTATTTGGTGTCAACTAACTTCTAAAACTGTACAAATAACTTAATTTCTGAAAACATACAAGCTCCTTTTAAGTTGATCATGGAGCCTTTGCTTAGAAAATGACTTTCTTTTTACATGTGGAGTGGGAGTGCCATGGAGAAGCATCCCTTCAGCTTCACTCAGACATTCTCGTTTCTTTTTTCTAGCCAGGCCCTCCTGGAACTCCTAATCTCAGAAGTCACAGGCTTTGTGGCTAGGCTTCTCTCTGCTGGAAAAGACTCTTGGGCCAGGCAAGCACTGACAAAACTCTTAACTGGATACTGACAGCCAATATTTACTGAGAATTTAAACATACCAGGCAGTCTCCTAAAATTTCATGTACATCTACATGTACTCTCTGACCCTATGAGGTAGTTATGTCTATTATCCATGCTTTACAGATGAAGAAAAGAAGTCTTATAGAGGTTAACTAACTTGCTTGAGATCAAAGCTGTGCTCTCTAAAGTGGCAGTGTGGGGCATATTTTGATATTGTAGTGTCTGTGCTTAAACCCTTGGTTTACTGCATTATAGCAGCTTTCAAGTGAATCTTGATTCCCATCTACTGCACTCACCAACCTCACCAGAAAGTCCTGTGACTCATCTTGAAAGGAAGGCTTTTCTTTCTCCTTTATCAACACTGGTCCTGTCTGGCTCCAGGACTTGAAATCCCTCAAGCGATTCCCTGACACCAGTCTTTCGATCTTGACAGGTGTCTCTGGATATGAATTTGCACATCTGGCATCTTCGTGCCATTTTTATTATTTATTATTGAACTAGTGATTTGTATGAGGCTAAAAGACCTTATGGACAAGAGCTGATTTGTTTCCTCTATTATAAGTGCCTCAGTATTTCACCCTTGTGGACTAACTGGCTTGGATGCCAAACCTGTGTCAGTGAATCAGTACCAGCAGATGGAGGTGTGCCCTGTGATATGAAGGTTAGCCCAGTGACATGGTGAGAGGTGGGCTCCGTACTGGCCTTCTCTTGCTGCTATTGAGTGAATGTGCACTTTGGGAATCACGACAAGATACTTCATCTTGACTTAGGAAGTAGCACATCAAGGAGAAAGGGAGGTGTCTCAGTTCTGGAGTGTGGGCTGAAAATGGGCTACAGATTGTGAACAAATGTTGCATCTGGTCTCATTCATATTCCTAGCATGGGCTATACTACCAGAAACCCAGACATTACATTTTATCCAGGGACTCCTGCTCCTGTACTTCAGGCATCTTCAAAATCTTCATGTTTTGAGGAAACATAGCTCCCTTGGTCACCAGGCATGCTCCAGAATTGCTGTGACTGGCATGGTGTGCTATCTGAATGTCTGTTTCATGGGACCCCACTGTTTCTGCAAGCCACTGGGCAATCACTTTTATCTTTCTTATTACTCTCAGTATTTAATATTAGCCATGCTCTAGCTGGAGTGAAAGTGCAACAGAGAATGTCTCTCCAAAGAACCAACTAGGCAAGCTAAGAACTGCTACAGCCTGAAGCTTTCTGAGGACCACACTCACCCATTGACATCTGCAGATCACAAACAGCGCATGGGGGTTTCACTGATTTCTGAGTGAGTGGCTTCGTCAACTCAAAGCCTTTAATTGGATTAAAAGAACAGTTTGAACAACGGGATGTGACATAAGAAAACTGGGCCAGCCCCATTCTTCTGTTCCCTTCCTCACACACATCACCAACCTCATTTTTTTCATTTTTCCCCTGATACTTCCAGGAAGGTGAACATTATCCCCCAACACACACTTAAAACACAAATCTGTTGGTGTGGCCCTGTGAATTTGGGGCCAGTTTGGAGAAACACAAAACCAAAGTTACTTATCATCCTTTAAACCTTAGGGGACCAAATGCATGTGACACCAGAGAAGAGAGCAGTGATGACAAACGGAGGTTCTGGGATGCATGTCCCCTGGTCCGTTGCTCATTCTCTCTCTCTCTCTCTCTCTCTCACACACACACACACACACACACACACACTCAGACATACTCCTTCATAGTTGAATTTGTTTCTGATGTACCGCTTAGTTTAGTAGCTCCATCACTCTTATAAGTATAAGAGAGAAGTCAACAGCTGTAGCTGTAAGTGTAGGTGATGGTATAGGTAAAGGAGCAAATGTGGGAGAAGTGGATATGGAAATATACAAGTTTTTCTTCACACCGTCACAAAGGTCAATAAGGACAACCAGCTCTGGTCTGTTTCCTGAGTAACTGTTAGAGAGAGAGTGGGATTGTCATCTGCAGGTACCTCAAGGAACCAAAGAATCTTTTTCCCCCTTGCACCTCCCCCAAGTCCTTACTCTGCATAAAACTATTGCAAACCTAGATCTGAGTGCTCCTGTTTTCTCCAGTTACAGATTCTTTATAGCCCTTTAACTTCTGGGCTGCTAATACTTCAAGAAAAAAGGCCAGTTGCATTAATGGAATGTAGAATAAATAAAAACAAGTTCAGCTGCGCAGTGTATTTTCCTACCTGCCAAGAAAGCAAAGTTCATGTGGTTTTCAAAAATGAGATGCTACATGTTGAAAGTAAGAAACAAGTGTCCGGTCTTTCTCCCAAAGAGGCTGCCTTGTAAACTCTTGCCTGGTCATTAAACCAGAGAGGTCTGTTTTCTCACAGTGAAGTCTTTTGCTCTTTCAATTGCATTTTCTGCCACATCCGTGCTATTTTGTTCATGTATAGGGGTCTTTTGTTGAGAAAAAGGAAAGTGGGTTCATGGAAGGTCTCAAATTCATTTCGTATGTGCCCAAAGTCCTTATGGGATAGATTTCATAGGTTCTACAAGAAAAGCAGGACCTTCTTTAGGTTTTCTGGTTCAGTTATTTAATCACCTTCAAATTGAAATGAAAGGAGCTTGTCAACGTGAAACTTTGATACACTTGATTTCTAAAAAAAAAAAAATTGGGGGACATGTTACTTACAACATGTAGAAATCATCTTGCAAGCGTTGGAAGAAAGGATTTTTGATTCCTGTATTGCTTTCAGGATCCCCCCCTAATAAAAACATTGCCCCACTTGTCACACATGTACTCTGTGCATGTATTTAGAGGGTAGATGCTCAACTCCAGCTTTTGCCTCCAGAACTGAACATTGTGCTTATGAGACATTTTGTCAATTATCAGGTCAAAGACAGATTCCAAGTAGTACGTGAGCTGGCTCCCCACAAAACAGGAGACAAGACCGCGAGTTGACAAAGGCTCTTGGAGATCCCCTTTCATCTTTCCTACATGGGGGAGGAGGGAGGAGAAGTTGAAGAATATGCCCCAAGGGGACTCAACAGTGACAGTCATAAAAATACACACCCAGCCATACCTGGCTGTGCTGTGGATCATGTCCTTTAAGAGAAAGCCATTGAGCTGGTTAAGGTGGAAGGGTTTAGAGTATCAGGCTCCCTCTTGGCCCCTTGGCTCTAAAGTGAGTAGAAAGGCCATGTCATGCCAAGTTTGGATTCATCTTCTTTGAAGACAAGAATCCTGGAGAATGCTTTTTGTTCCAGAGCAGTCGTGTTATAGATTCTACCCATTTTCCATGTTACATTTCAAGTACAGCTGCAACCACTCTTTTCCCTTGGTTGTTTTGACTCGTCTAAGAAAACGAAGAAAAATCTGGGAAAAATGTTGTCCATTCTCTGCCTTCAGAACCCTTTTAAAGGCAGGACCATGGAGAGTTAGAGGTAAATATTCTCTTGCTGTATCCTTTTAAAGAAATAGCTATTTTCCAAAACACTGCATGTGAGAGGCAAAGTATCATGCAATTGCTTCCTCCCACCTGCTCTGCTCGCTGCTCTTGATTTTCTGGCTGAGCCCCTATACTACATCTGCAGAGAAGCCTGCTCCCCAGTGACTTTCCTGATATGGGTGTTGAGACTTTAGTTCTACTTGTTTTTTTCTCTTACAAGGAAGTGGCTGATTCCAGTCTTGTCTTTATTCATTTATTTTCAAACTTCTCCTAAAAGCAGTACTTATTGTGTTAGGTTGATAATGCTACTCATTATTCTCTTTTTCTAAGCAGTAATCCAGTTTCCTTGCTGAGATAAACCTCTCTCACTCAGACCTCAGAGTTTATCCAGTTCAGCCCAAGATGATTTTCTTATGAGAGCATTCAACTTCTACACGATGCAATTAAGGCTTACTGCCATTTTAGAGGTTTGGGCAATCATCTTCATCATAAATATCGAATAAAGTCCCCTTTGAAGATCTACCTTTTCAAAATATGAGCTATATCCCACATTGATTTCTAGAAAATTCCCACTGACTCATGAGTTAGACCCAGACATCAATTTCTGAAGATGGGCCTACATTTTCTCAGTAACCGAGTTTTGCTTTCTTCTTGTGATGCAATGTGGCCCTCATATTCCTAATACAAATTTATGAACTTTGCACTGCTGAATTGATGCTATAAAAACAGAATCATTTTCAGACCAAAGGGCATGTATGTGTGAATTTGACAGCCCTGTGCATCATATTGCAGGCAACAATTTTTCTTAATATCAGCCACTAAAACAAAGTTATGTGTGAGTGATGTTGCTATTATATGGAGCCATTGATGGGCAAGCCAAATGCAGTGTGATTTCTCTTCTGGAAATTGCTTTCTCTGCCTCATATGCAACTAGGCACTAAGAAAATCATTTTGACTCTAGCCTCAGGTAGCCCTGCCCCCAATTACGTGTTCTGAAACTTCCAAGGGAAATCAAACTATCCCAGAGAGAAGTCATATATCTATTTTGGGTCACTAGATAATATACGTGATCCAAGTGTTTACCTCTTAATTTTTTTCTTCTTAATTAAAACTCTTGGAAGTTAAATTATTGGCATTTTTGACCATTCCACTGCTTGCCTAAAAAAGCAATTTATAAATTTTTCACCAGCAGCAACCTTAGCAATAACCAGTTGGCTTTCAGGGGTGCTTGCTTATTTTGAATGTCATGTCTTGCCCTTTTTTTTTTAACTTTGCAGGGGGAAATTTAGCATTTGTACTTTGTGTTTAGGGCTCTACATCATTGGAACAAGCTCCAGAAAAGAAACCAGAGTCCAGAGGAATGAGGAATGATTTACTATTAAACCTATGAAGATGAAAGGGAGAGAGCAAATATAGAATTAATGACTTCACAAGAGTTCAGCCTGACCTGCTCCACAGTTTTGTGGACTTCCCCAAAAAACTGAATGTCACTTTTATCCACTGCAAGCTGCCCTAAAACTCACACCAGGCCTCAATATGGCCATGAATGTGGGTCTCAATCTTTTCTTTCTATAATTCTGAGAAGTAGGGAAAGAGAACCACTGGGAATCCCAACTTATTTTTTCCTGCCTGGCTTTTCTCATTCCTGCTTTTCCTTTGTATGCAATTATTTTTTTTTTACCAAGTTCTTATATATGAGATTCAAAGGCATTTGCTCACTTTCCCCTTCATTGGTTTGCACATTCATTTATTCATTCATTCTTCCAATGGATCGTAGTTGTTTTATGTACCACTATACACAAAACACCACGCTAGGGGCTTGGGGGAAAAGAAAAGCACAACAAGTGAATTGGCAATCTTTTTGCCTTCTAAGACGTTAGAATTTAGAAGTATAAACGGGCTTAGTTCAAAAAGACCACATATAAAGCATAGAGTATATTCGGCATAATGAAAGTTTATGAACAAAATTCTATGGAAATCCCAAGAAGGTAAAACTCTTTCTTGGTGAGAAGTTTAAAGAAATCTTTGAGAGGACTTAGCCTTGGAGTTTGTTTGGCAACATAGAATCATTTTCAAAAAGCAGGGGTGGGCTAAGGGGATCACTAAATAGGAAAGTAGGAAGAAGAGGGCAAGATCATGGAGGGAACTGGAACTTCCAGTTTGACATGAAGCTTAGTGCTCATGCGCAGGTTTAAAGAAGCAGATTGGCGTTTGGCCATGCAGTGAGTGACATTCTGGAGTGTCTGGAGTGGAGACTTATAATGGAGACACTCTTATAAATTTCTTTTAGAATCGTAGACGTTACGAGCTAAAAGGGGTGTTAGAAACCTCAGCCAGGCCATACACTTTACAGAAGGAACCCGAGGTCCAGACAGGTTAAGATACATGTCTGAGATCACAAAGCCAATTAGAGACAGAGCTTGAACGAGAACTCTCATATGTCAGCTTAGATGCAGTAGACCTCATCTAAGTATACCTTAGATGCAGTAAGAAGAAGATAATAGCCTGAGAAGACAAAATTAAAAGGCAGAAATAAAGCCACACAGCATTTTCCCACAGATTCAGGCTTGTTTTCTCAGATAGGAGAGTAGACCTATAACTAGGATGTGTCTGCTTGGAAGGATTTAGAGTTAAGTGGAGTGAGACGGGGGCTTCAGACCAGAAGAAAGGGTCTCACAGCACAAAGACCTTCTCCTAACCATCTGGCCCTAATGTGGTCTGCCTCCCCACACACAGAGCTCTCTGTGGCCTTCTTTTTGTCTTATTCTTAAGTAGACATGGAAATACAAGGAATATAAACTATTGACAAAAGTCTACAGTTCATCAGAGAATATCCAAGATAAACCCAGAGGAAAATATGACCCTAGAGAATATAGAGAAGAGACACCACGGTTTCTTAGGCCTGGAAGATATAAGCAAACACTTAACTTCTAGTAACTTATGGCTGTAGACACTGTAACATAATAACACACATGCAAATGTAGTACGCATTTTGGCACAGCTGAGAGAAAGACTTTTGTTATCCAACTATTAAACGGTGAGGGAAAAGAAAAGCCAACTAAATTGGATCTAACTAAAATAGGAACAAAAACTTCAAGGTATGATTGTGGCCCTGTCTTGAAAATAAAACTAAACATTATGAAAACTAAGTCTATTGTATTTATCAAAATTTACTTACGATTTTGTAACTACTAATGTGTAGAACAAAGAATGAATTGTGACCTTTTATTTATTTATTTTTATTTTTTCTGAGACAGAGGGGATAATTTTTCCATATAGCTCCTTTAGTTAACTGCTGCTTTCTCAGCATGATCACTAAGAGGGTCATTTTTTGCATAAACATTTGGGGTGTCAGTCTCCCAAAGATCTCTTTTAATCCTTTCATATCCAGACAGTTCTCTATTGGTGTTACTATCCTTCTCTCTTCTACAATTGTTAACTTAGGAAAACTCTTAAGACACTTTGTTGTCAAGGGCTTCCAAAGTTGCAATTCTCTAGCACCACTTTATAACATTTTCTATCTTTACTTGAATTACAGTTTAGTTTTGTAATTTATTTCCATTGTAGTTGCTTGTTTGGATTAGATAGTTCAGGGGCCAGTCCCCAGACCACTGTCACTTAGTGAATTGATTTCAAGTGTACAGAAATTCCTTCTCCCTCATCCTTACCCACTTGGATTTTGGAAGAGTATAGGCAAGTTTATGATCTGAAACTAAAATGCTAGTTGAAAGCCTAATCACATTCACAAAAATATTCCCATACCTATATACTCTCTGGAGGTAAAGATTTTTATCTCTTTCATGTGAGCGAATTTGGGACGAAATGAGTTGACACTAGCACCGTGCCAATTATGGAATCATGACTCCTGTGACTTTGGAAAGAACAATTTCAAGATTAATAATAGCATCTATAATAGGATGCCATAACTTACATTGTGACCACATTGGTAAGGACAACAACCAGCTTGTCTGGAGAATGCAGGCCCATCAAGGGCTTAGAAGTGGCTGGTAGGATTCATGCACTCCATAAAATTATACCCGCTTTGCCACTCCAGTAGATCCAGAGATATACATTCTTTAGGAGAGTGACTTCAGGTCCATGACTACAGAGGGAGGTGGGTGGAGGTCAGTGATGTTAGAAGACTCTGTGTCCAACTGTCATGGTTAATTTTATGTCAAATTTGTGTGTCAATTTTATGTGCCCAGATAGTTGGTGAAATATTACTCTAGGTGTGTCTGTGAGGGTGCTTCTGGGTGAGACTGACATTTGAGTCAGTAGGCTGAGTAAAGCAGATCACAGATCATAATAAAATTATTATAAGGATATGGGTACATAAATTTACTGTAAGGAATTAATCAATTCCTTACAGTAAATTTATTATAAGGCTATGTGTACATAAAGTTTTAGAAGGATTTGGCTTATATGATTGGTTTACATTATATATGTTTGTGTGTGTGTGCATATATATGTATGTGTGTGTACACACATATATATACACACGTATATCTTTTGCTGGTTATGTACATTGCTTCTGTTTTCTGGAGAACCTGAGTAATACACAGACTTGCAGAGAGTTGGGGTTAAACCAGCCAAGCACTCATAAAAATGTAATACTGAAAAATAGGAGGGAAAAAATAGCAGACCCCTTAAATTGCTGCCTTTCAATCCAACATTTATTAAGTATGTACTATATACCAAGAACTACATCTGATTTTGGCAATACTTGAGCAGCTGTTTAAACTTGACACTATGCTTATTCCAATTTTTTAGTGGTAGAAACTAAGACACAGAGAAATTGAATCATTTTCTCAGATTGAATAAGTCAGGAAGCTACTGTTTAAATCCAGTTCAGTTGGACTTAAGACCCTCCATGCTTAGCTCCAACATTTGTCTCTAGTTTAGAGATGGCTTTCTCAAATACTCCTCCCAACTCATATAATAAACGGAGTTCAAATTTCGCCATGATGTCTCATGGAACAACTAACACCCTCAACGTGGTTTGGATTCAAATGCAGAAAGCAGTTTTACCCACCATAAAATTTTCATTAAAAACAAACAAAAAACAGTACTTGCCATGTTTTATGCTTCTGAGTATGGCCCATCATAAGGAAGAAGCTGTATAATGCCATCTGTCTTAGTCAGTTCAGGCTGCTGTAATAAATATACCATAGACTAGGTGGATTAAACAACAAACATTTATTTCTCACAGTTCTGGAGGCTGGAGAGTCCAAGATCAAGGTGCTCATGGATCCAGTGTCTGGTGAGGCCTCATTTCTGGGTTTGCAGATGGCCATCTTCTCCTTGTGCCCTCCTCTGGCTGATAGCAGAGAGGAAGAGTAAGCAAGCTCTCTCACGTATCCTCTTACAAGAGCACCATCCCATTCATGAGGGTTCTGCCCTCATGACCTAATTACCTCCCAAAGTTCCCACCTCCAAACACCATTACACTGGGGATTTGGCTTCTACATGTGAAACTGGGGATAACACAAGCATTCAGTCCATAATAGCATACTATGGAAAATCTAGTAATTATATTAATAATGATGATAACAAATTGTCCAAGACTATCTTTTAAGCACATGTTGGAAGAAATTGTTTATACCTCCTAAAAAGCATGGCATTTTATCTGGGTTTTTTTTTTTTTCCATTCGTTTGTTTTTCCTTGATGAGGGTCTTTTTCAGGGCAATCGTGTGTTTTAGTCACATTGTTCTATATCTTCTGGAGGAGATAAAGTTCCCTGCCAGTGTCCAGTGATGCACTGCAGAGTCCTTGGGATTTCAATCTGCCACCAAGTTCCTGCATGTTGTGATTGCAGCTCTCAAGGCTAATTCTACTGCCAATGCCAGATGTACATGTCACTGAGGTGGATGTCCCACTATGTAGATAAGTGGTTCTCAACCAGGGGCAATCTTGTACCACAGGAGATATCTGGCAATATGTGAAGACAATTTTGATTAAAGCAGGGCAGTGTGGGAGGGAGCTGCTACTGGCATCTAGTAGGTAGAGGCCAGGGAGACTGCTAACATCCCAAAATGCACAGGAGACTTTCCCTCTCCCCACGACCCCAGCAAATTATTAACCAGCCCCAAATGTCTATAATGCCACGATCCAGAAGTCCTGCCTTAGATTTAGAAACCAAAATGTACTTGAAGCCAAATTTTTCACAAAGCAGCCTAGGAAATTACACTCATGTGCACTTAGTCTCCTCATTTCTGAAATAAAAGAATCAGGTTAGATCATCTCTCATCCCAGTGCTAGTAGATTTGGAAGGGCTGCTTGCAGCACCATGTTAAGAAGATTGTAGGTGAGAGGAGTGATGTGGCCACCAGTTTATTCAGTAAGAGCATGGCTGGAACAGAAGAAACGGTGGCCTGAATGCTGAGGATTTGCCACTTGGGGATGAGGTGATTTCAAAGGTTCCTCATGCTTATTTTTTCTAGGAGATATTAATTTTGTAATTTTGAACACAACCCCAAAAAAACTTGATTGCTGAGTCCTTCTGGACGGCCCTCCTTTGGGGGTAACTGTAAGATGCCATTAGGGTTGAAAGCAATGCAGTAAAGAAAAGCTCCCTTTGGTGAAACTGATCATAGACCCTTCAACGTCTCAGCAATGAAGAGCCTAGAACCTGTCAGCTGTCCACCTCAGAGGGGCATGCTTTCAATATTGATGGGTTCTCCCATCTCTTCCAAGCCAGGAAGAGTCCCCACAACTGGTAACCAAACCCAGCTCATGACAACTAGAGACTGGTGCTACCTCATGGTCACTCTGGAATTCTTTCTTCCTATATATTTAACACTTCAAGGAGGCAACAACAGGGAGTAACCTGTTCAGCAGATGTTCCTGATTCAAATTTCAACCCTGCCACAGACTAGCTATGACTCACTTAACCTTCTGGTACCTCAGTTTCCTCACCTGTAAAATGGGACTAACAATAAAACTTACTCATAGCACTCTTGTAAGGATTTAATAAATGAAAGCATTGAAAAGAGTACATGGCATATAGTCAGTGCTCTGTAAATGTTAGCTACAGACTATGACCTCAGTAATACACACAGACAATGAATCCTGTATTTATACCCTTAGATTCAGTGTGTCCTGGTGCCCAGCCTGCTTCACTGATGGGATTTTGAGATCTGGCTCATGTTCCTTGCCCACTCCAACACTTCCCTTTTTTTTCCACTGCTTAATTTACTCCAGATCACAATTGTTTCTGCAAATATTTACATCCCTGGTCCTCAATACTTATATTGTCACCCTGACCAACAGAATCCATCTCAGAGAATCTTAGGACTCAGAATCCTAGAAAATATTTGTCATATAGTGAGAAATGCATATTTGGTCTTTATCTCTGATTTTTAACACAGAGCTTCTAAACCCTTGGAATTTCCTGAGTGGTAAGAATGATAGGAGAATATTTTGATATTCTTAACTAGCCCTTCGACTGCTCCTGAGTTTATGCTAATAAGGCTACTCTTGGTGACCCCTAGATAGCTTCAGGATGGGGGCTGGTTGCCAAAGGAACCAACCATGTGATAGAAGGTTGGAACTTTCAGCTTCCTCCTCATCCCCAGATCTCTGGGGAAGGTAGAGGGGCTGCAGATTGAGTCAATTACCAGTGGCCAATGATTTAATCAATAATACCTTGCTAGGTGATGGAACCTCCATAGAAACCCTAAACAATAGAATTCAGAGAGCTTCCGGATTGGTGAACACATCAAGGTGCTGGGAGGGTAGTGCACCTAGAAGGGCATGGAAGCTCTGCATCCCCCTCTCATACCTTGTCCTATTCAGCTTTTCCATCCGGCTGTTCCTTAGTTGCACCCTTTATAATAAGCTGATCACAGCAGTAATGTGCTTTCCTGAGTTCTGTGAGTCATTTCAGCAAATTATCTAACCTAATGAGGAGCAGGGGGAACTATCAAATTTACAGCTGATCAGTCAGAAGTATGGGTGATAAGTGAAACTTGTGACTGGCATCTGAAGTGGGACCAGTGTTGTGTGCCTGACCTCTTAACTAACAGGATCTGATACTAACTCCAGGTAGACCATATCAGAATTGAATGGAATTGAATTGTAGAATACCCGGTTGGTGTCCAGAGAATGCAGAATTGGTTGATATGAGGAGAAAACTTACATTTTGGATGTCAGAAGTAAAAACAACCCAAACGTCTACTGCAAATACATTTTTTTAAATGTTCTGTTTTATGAAGATAATCAAAATTTGTACATGCCCTTTGTAGTAAAATTCAAAAATAGAGACAATCTCATCTTCCCCAAGTTTGCATGATAGATAAGTCACTCCATTTTTTGGACTTCCACTGCAATTTTTATAGCTCTCTTTAATAACATTTGATGGTTTCTGTTGCATTTTTTCACCTGTATTCTGCTTGAAACTGAAGTACTCAAGGAGAAGGAACTCTAGAATTCTATGCATTGGCATACACCCTGTGATTGCCACCTTCATTCAAGAATGGGTGTATATCTAAATCACCGACCAACTATATGAAGTGATTGAGTGAATACATGAATGAAGAAATTAATAAGACTAATAAACATTTTTCATCATAGTCTTATCTTGTGCATGCCAGATCACTTGAGACTGGAATAAAAATCCTAACTCTAGCTCCAGGCTGTATTATATGTGTACACATTTTTATGACTTACATTGAAAATTAAGCACTTGATAATGACCTATTTCATTTTTATGAACATGTAAATTAGGATAATAAAATTCGAAATTAAATTCAGAGGCCAACCTCAATTCAGCCATCTCCAGTCTTCTTTGCTATGTCCTTTCTAGGACACTTGGCTCAGTAGTTTAGTCCATGATATTTTACATTTTCCTGGGTTTTGTCTCTCCCTGTATTAGCCTTTTCACTGAATCCAACTGCTCCTTTTAGACATGAATGAATGACCTAAGGTTACATATGATGAGTAAAAATTAGATTCACAAAGGAACGTCTCCAGGAGCCTCTGGTAGTAGAACTTACAATAATCCTTTTCTGTGGCTTCCTTAGGAGTTTTAACCATAATTATCTCAAATATAAAGAGTTCATAAAGCGCATTAAAAAGCGCATGGATCCTGGACCTGATCAAGTTTCTAGACCCATTAACATTTTGCAGGAAATATAGAGGATAGAGAAATATGCTGGTGGGGTCAGCACAGTCAGGAGTATGGAAAACACTATGAAGCAAAGACTGGTTTCCTCAAAAAACAAACTGAGAGAGACAGAAAGTGATAGAGAAAGGAGGAAGATAGGGGAGATGGAGGGATAAACTACAGGTTAGAAGTGACTGAAGAGGCATATCAACCAAGGGTGTGGACCGCATTTGGATCTTGACTCAAGCAAACAAATGATTAAAATAAAAAGACATTTATGAGATATTTAATAACAAATATTAAAATATCATTGTCAGTTTCTAAAGGTGAGATAACGGTACTGTGGTTATCCATTTTTAAAGTATTCTTATCTTTTGGCGGTATATACTAAAGTATTTGTCAGTAAAATAATTGTATTTCTCAGGTTCAAAATAATATAAGAGGGACTTCTACTTCCGGCCATGGTGACAAAACAGGAACCAGATTTACCTGCTGCCTGGAGCAATGCCCTCCCTCAATAAAGGCAAAATAGATGAAACAGTGGTTTTTAAGGCAGCGGGTGCTGAAAAATAAAGGACAGCCTTCCCTGCAAGGTAGGTAAAAAAGAGGTGAGTCTTATGAGTGCCACAGCTTCCCGCATTGAGAGGGTCTCTAGGTGATGGCACAGAAAATATGTGACCAAGAGAGAGTCCAAGGGATTCCTTGTGGAGAGGAAATCGAGCTGAGACTCCACGGAGAAAACTGCGTGTGGGACAGAGCACTGGCGATGAGAGAGATGCCTCTGTGGACAGTTACCCTTGAGTATTCAACAGAGTACTGACCACTGTATGGCTGTCAAGGAAATACCTGAGGCTGGGGAAAGAACCAGCCAAGAGGGTAAGAGGGCACAGTGCCTGGGACTCATACAAGGTGGAAATAGTGCCTGCTCTTACCAACCAGACTAGAGAAACGATAATGCAAAGGACAATGGGTTGTGTAATGGGGGATAATTAGACCTAGACTGAGCATTGCTCTGGACCTGCCTAATAAATCATAAAAGTCAAACCCAGAAGGAACAAACAATTTCCACATAACTTAACTGCATCTCAGAACTATGCTCAAGAATATGCATGAGAATACAAAACTGTCCTCCACCCAACAAGGTAAAATTCATAACATCTGGCATCAAAATGAAAAGCTACCAGGTATGCAAAGAAGCAGGAAAACACTACCCATAATGAAGAGGATAATCAACCAATAGAAACTAAGAACTAGCACCGATTTTAGGAATGGCAGACAAGGACAATGAAAGTTATAAGAACTATATTGCAGGCGTTCTAGTACAATGGCTGGAGTAGCTATACTAATATCAGAAAAAAATAGATTATAAGACAAAAAAATTACTAGAAACAGAGGAATGTTTTATAATGATAGAAGGGTCAATTCACTCTGAAGATAAAATAATTAAATAATAAGTGCACATAACACATAGCAAAGATTAGGATCAAGGTGGAAATCAATTAAATAGAAAACAGGAAAAGAAAACAGAGAAAAATCAATGAAATGAAAAGCTTATTTTTTGAAAAGATCCAATAAAGCTGACGACCCTGTAGCCAAACTGATCGTGACTCAAATAGAAAAGATACAAAGTATCAATATCAGGAATGAGAAAGGTGACAACATTACCATTCTACAGACATTAAATGAAAACAAGGAAATAATGAACAACATTACACACATAAACTTGACAATTTAACTAAAATGGAAAAATTCTTTCAAAGACACAAACTATCAAAGCGTGCTCAAAAAGAAATAGATAACATAACTAAACCTATATCTATTAAAGAAGTTAAATATGTATTTAAAAATCTTTCCACAAAGAAAACTACAGGCCCAGATGGCTTCACTGATGAATTCTATCAAACATTTA
Source organism: Homo sapiens (assembly GCF_000001405.40). Classification (NCBI taxonomy): domain Eukaryota; kingdom Metazoa; phylum Chordata; class Mammalia; order Primates; family Hominidae; genus Homo; species Homo sapiens. Next base: position 25,461,040 of record NC_000007.14, on the reverse strand, counting down.
AGGGATTAAATAATACTAACTCTATACAAACTTCTCCAGTACATTCAAGATGATAGACTATTGTTCAATTTATTCTACAAGCTCAACAACATTTTGAGAAAGAAAAATCCACAGAAAATAGAGCTCCTTACAAAGTTATTGTTTCAATGAACAAGAAATCCTGAAATCCCCTCTGTTCTATCTTCTAATTATTTTCTAAGTCACTTCTTCCCATTCCCATTACCCCATCCTGTTTTATCTGGATGATTACCTAAACCTCCTTACTGCCTTCCCTTTATCTAGTGTTACTTTCAGTTCTCCAAATCCAGTTTCATACTGCAGATGGAGGAATTTGGCTCTTCTTTCCCCCGGGTGAGTCCAAAGTCTTTGATAAGGCTTATAAGTTCCTCTGTGACGTGTCCTGCTGATCTCTCAGGCTCAGCTCGCATCTCCTCCCTTCCTTGTGCTTCTGTCCCTGAGCCAGACACACTGACCTGCTTGCTCTTCCCCAACGTGGTGGTCATGTGTTCACTCTGTCCTCTGGGTTCTGGTATCTGCTGTTCCCTTTTCTTGGAATACTTTCTCTACCCTACCAACCCGCATTTCATCTTCTTCTGGTTAGTCACAGCCTATTACTTTAAAACAGATAGCAATTCTTCCATGAAACCTTTCCTGACCACTCCTTACCCCCCAACCCAATTCTGGGTCCAGTGCCCTCCTAATGCTCCTATAGATTATTTATCATAATCCGTGACTATTATCTGTTTATTTCCTCACTAGGTTATCACCTCTTAGAGGGCAAGGACTATGCATCACTGTGGTCCTCCCAATACCCACAACATTCTGTGAGACAGAAAACATGTTCATCAAGTATTTGTTAAATAGATAAATTCCATTTATTAAATGCTTACAGTTCTCCAGGTACCGTGCTATGTACTGTGCTAGGTCCTGCGCTAGGTACTTCACAGGCATTATCTTTTTCTTAACACATCCATCCAAGAGGTACTACTGTTATCTTCATTTTATGGAAGAGGAAACTGAGGAAGAGAAAATGAAACAACACATCTGACATCACAACAGATATTTTTCAGGGACAGAATTCAAACTCAAGTTAGTGAGTCCTTAGAGTCCATGCTTCTATCCACAGTAATTTACAAATGAATGAATGATTTCAACAGCTACTTACTGAGTACCTGCTGTATGTTACAGTCTGTTCTAGGTGCTGGGGATCCAATAGTGAATAAAATAGACCAAAATTTATGCTATTAAGGAGCTTACATTCTACAGGGGAAGAAAATCAATAAATAAAATACATAGATAATTTGATGATACATGATAAAAGGGAACAAAGGCAAGGAAGAGAGATGGGCGTTGCCAGTTTTAAATAAGGTGATCAAGGAAGGCATGACTGAGAAAATGGCATTTGAGCAAAGACCTGAAGAAGATGAATAAACAGGTGCTTTTTAAACATTGAACAATGCCTTGTAAGCAAAGAGTTTGAGATAAATAATACATAGTTTTGTAGCATAAGTATGTCCTGTATAAAGGATAAACTTAGCCTAAAAAACAATTTGTCTTGTTTTTTTTTTTTTTTTTTTCCTGAAATTCTGGCAACCCTACACTCATGGCAAAGCTCTCTTCTAGGTCAGACTAGGAAAACTGATTTCATTGCTAATTGTGGGTCTATAGGATCTGTGTTTCTCTGAAAAATCTAGAAGATAAGATTGCAGGGAACTGGAGTATTAGCATGCAGCTTTTGTGGCATTCTCCTTGGCAGGGCACTTGCTCTGCATAGATATCTCCCATAAGCAGGAAATATTATTTTGTAGATCTTGACAGATGGGTCTAGCCCATAAGGAAGGACATTTAGGATGATTCATACCAACTGGCATATCAACAGACTTTGAAAGAGAGCTATTAAAAATGGGATTGTGTTAGCTCTGATTTGTGCTAAGTAAAATAAGCAAAACAAGGAGCCTATTAGAAAAAAGATGTGAGACATTTAGCATTTGAAGGTTTTGAAAGGCAGAAGAAGGGCACGTGATTAGTCCTTATTTTGCCACGTCGTAAAATTCTGCTTTTCAAGGAAGAGCTAGTCGTACAGTGATTTTTGCTTGAACCTAACATGTTATCTAAACATGGGCAGAGCTGGACATACATACAAGTGAGTGGGTTCCTTCACATGGGCTCAAAACGATGTAACCACATGGAAAACTCTAAATCGAGAGCAGTTGTAACAAGTACACCCCATAATTATATGTCTTTTCATTGCCTTCCCTCAGCTCATATCTTCACACGTGTTTACCTGAAACTTCTTCATGTGATGAGCTTAAATGTTACTTCCTCAGTGAGCATTTTGGCACCTCTAGGACTCTATTAAATAATCTCCTTGCTCTCTGTCCCCTTTCATAATATGTAACATACTTGTAATTAATTGTATAGTTTCCATCTTCTGAACCAGACCATGTATTCATTTTATCTGCTACCATCTCTCCAGCAACTAGCATGGTTTAGGCAAATAGATGGTGCTCAATAAATATGAATTGAATTGATAACAAACATTTCAAGAGCTTGGCAGCCTCACCAGTCTAAGCCAATTATGAATTCTCTTCTAACTCTGCATCCAATCAAACCCATAGGAGAGTCAAGAAGAATGGTACCTTTTAATTCTTTAAATAATGAATTTGTGTAGCATTGCTTTTGTAAGGGAAAAATTATAACACTATTAATTTTTTTTCAAGACAGAGTGTTCCTTTATTGCCCAAGCTGGAGTGCAGTGGCATGATCTTGGCTCACTGCAACCTCTACCTCCTGGGTTCAAGCGATTCTCATGCCTCAGCCTCCAAAGTAGCTGGGATTACAGGCATTTGCCACTACACCCAGCTAATTTTTCTATTTTTAGTATAGATGAGATTTCACCATCTTGGCCAGGCTGGTCTCGAACTCCTGATCTGAAGTGATCTACCCCTGTTGGTCTCCCAAAGTGCTGGGATTACAGGTGTGAGCCACTGCACCTGGCCCACTATTAATTTTTTTAAAGTGTAGTTTATCTTCTAAGACCAAAGGAATAAAGGGAGCTAATATGTATACGGAGTCTTAGACTGTTCTTTTTTGGAGAGACAGCTGAGAATATATTATAAGATAATATGGACATTATGATCAACAATGTGTACAGGTCAATTCTACATTGATCAGCATCCACTTGTTTTGGTAACACACTCACCTATTAAATAAGATCACAGGATTTGTGAATTTCTCATATATCTACGACTATGTCTCCATGAAGCTAATCCAGAATAAAGAGGCATTACTTCCACAGGAATAATAACATAGTAATAGCTAATGCAGGATTTCCCAAACTCAACACCATTGATATTTTAAATAGGATAACTCTTTCTTTTCTTTTCTTTCTTTCTCCTTTCTCTTTCTTTCTCTCTCCCTCCCTCCCTTCCTTCCTTCCTCCCTCTCTCTCTCTCTCTTTCTTTCTCTCTCTCTCTTTCTTTCTGTCTTTTTTTGGTGGAGTAGGGAGGTAGGGGGCTTTTCTGTGTATTATAAAATACCTGCATTCTGCCCACTAGAGGCCAGTGACATCCCCCACCCCAAGGTGTGACAATTAAACGTGTCTTTATACACGTCCCCTGGGAGCAAAATTGAATTCAAATGAGAATCACGGAGCTAACTTTTACAAACTGCTTAAAACATTCCACCTCCCTACCAAGTGTTCCCAGAAGCAACCTCATTTAATCTTTCAAGAAAATTACTATGAGATAGGAATAATTAGTATACCCATTCTATAATGGAGAAAAAGTTTAAGGATTGCTGAAGGTCACACAGCTGGTAAGTACCGAAAGTCAGGCTTTCCTCACTACTCTGTTCTTCAAGTACTTTGTGGGTGGAAAAGCAAAGCAGCGGGAGCGAAGCAGGTGTCGGGCATTGCTAATGCGAAGGCTCTAGGACTGCTTTGCAGCAAAGGCCAGTGAAGGACAGCCCAGAACTCCTTACAGGACTTCACTAAGGAGGTTACCCTAGGGCAATCAGAACTAGTCTATCTTCCTTTTTTTTGTGAGCTTGCCAGCTGTCAGCAGGCCACATGCTTAAGTAAACAAGAAAGATATAAACAGGAAGATGAAAGCCAAAATTAAATTTTGTTGTTGTTATCTGTTCTCTTACATTTAGATATAGCGAACCCACACAAAGTGAGTCTATTGCCTGGGTGCCAGATTTCAGCCTGGGGTGCCAGACTTAAAATCCAATGCCAAATTTTTTTATCTTAAAGACCTCTCCGTGTCTGGGAGGGCCAGAGAAAGAACTCAGATAGGGCCAGGCTGAAAGTGTAGGCTCTGCCTGTGGCAAAACTGTTTTGTGAGCAGTCCCCATCCTGTTTCTAGAAGAGAAGAGCTACCCCAGTGACATCAGGGACCAGGGAGTAGGGATGAGACTCCTCTAGACCTGGCTGATAAAAGATACCGCAACAGTTAGTCTCTCTCAGCAGTATGATTTGGCCAAGGCCAAAAGAGATGTGGCAACAGGGAAAAGCAAGAAGGTTCCCAAGTATGTGTCCCTTTCTGGGAGCAATCAAAGGAAACCGTAGGAGGAGAGCAAGTCTATGACCATACTAGGAAAATTTTGTTGTTGTTGCTATTATTGTAGGAGTTTTGTTTTGTGTCAAAACTTAGACATGAGGAAAAGCTGTCATTTTCATTAAATTTTGATGTGAATTTTTACCCTGAACAATTGAATACCATTTGATCCTTTGGGTTTGAAAATCATCTTTGAAAACTTCTGGAAACCATCTTTGAAAACCATCCTCATTTACAGGAACCGCCAAAAAAAAAAAAACAGTGCTCCTGACTCCCACTGTACCACTGTCCCCCTCCTGCAGGATGACAAATGTCTCATTTGCCTGAGACTGACGGCTTTCCCAAGATGCCAGGCTTTCAACTCTAAAATCAGGACAATCTCAGGCAAACTGAGACAGGTTGCTCACTCCCCCAACCCAATCCCCTCCTCTACAACCGCCCGGCCCGGCACAGACTGGACTGCCTTGCCCTGGAAATGCCTTGGAACAGCCAGTCATTTCTCGGCAAGCATTTCTCAGGCACCTATAAATATTCTTCGTGCACCTATTAAGTCCCAGAGGCACTGAAGTGAGAGAAAGATAATCCTGACGTCACCACGGGACTGACTAGTTCGGCAAACAGAAAGTTAAACCTCTTTTGCAGAACTGAGTGAAAGAGCTGTGGGAGGTAAGAGGGAGTCCCCAGTACAGACTGGGGTCTTAGGCTTCTCAGAGAAGGTGACACCATGGCTGAATCTTACAGAGCAAGTAGGAGTCAGGCAGATGCAGAAGGGGGCAGAGGTGGGCAGGAGGCTGCAGACAAGAGGAGGAGTGTGAGGGGGCACCGACGCTGTAGGAAATGACCCATGCAGGAGACGCTGGTGTAGGACCCCCCCTTCCTCGGTCACGGATCTCAGACAGCCCCTTTAGTCCTCCTCCTCGGCTTTTTCTTCAAACCCCAGGGAATTACTTGTCTACTGTCCCCTTGGGCTGCCATCAGCCATGCCATCGGTCTTTCTTTTCCCACCAAAAGACTCTCTTTCTGTGTGGGTCGTTCCCGATTGGCTTAGTTTTTAAAGCACAGTCTTTGGAAGCAGACTGTGCCTGATCCTGGTTTGCTGGTGCAAAATAGATGTGTTTGATCCTAGTCCTATCACTTGCAGTAATGTGGCCTAAACTAAGTTACTGTACACCTTTGTGCTAGCTTTCCTCAACTGGAAAATGAGGATGAACACAGTCCCCAGCCTAGCAGAGCCGTCAGGATTAACCGAGATGGTACACGCAGAGCTCTTGGAACAGGTCCAGCTCATAGGAAGCCTATTTATTCCTTCCCTGACCTGCTAGGTTCTTAGGTGGCCCCGGGACCCTTTTGGGGAGTTTATGAGGGATTTTACCTCTGGTAATTAGGGAGATAATGGGGTTTCTAATTATCTGACTTGGAGACGTTACAGTATAAATAGAAAGACGGTAAAACAGGAAATGAGTTGTCAGCTCCGCCTGCCATAGCAAAGCCTGGGGATGCCTAGAAAGACCGAGAGAAGCTGAACTCAGCACCTAAGGCTGTGGTTCACAACTAGGGCCAATTCTGACTCCTGGGGGACATTTGGATGTCTGGACATTTCTGGCTGTCATAGCTGTGGTGAGTGTTATGGCATCTAGTGGGTGGAGGTAAGGGATACTGCTAAATGTCTTACAACACACAGGACAGCGCCCACAGCAAAGAGTTACGCAGCACAAACTGTTAATAGTGCTGAGGTTGGGAAACTGTGACATAGAGCAAAACCGAGAGAAACCCAGGAGAGGCTTGAGGCTGTTGCGTCCTGGCATTCAGGGAAAACAGCTGCCTGGATCAGGAGAGAACTGAGGAGCGTGATGACGTTAGGGCTTTCCCAGAGGCAGGCTCAGAAGGGGAGTGGTTGTAGACTAGCTGGGCCACAGGCACCAAGGGCTGTACAATTTAATAAAAGGATGTCTGTGCTGAATGAGGGCAATCCTGGGCAAAGGAACAAAATGATGCTCTATGGTGCTGGAACACCAAAGAAAACTGAGAACACTAGAGAAAACCAGAAGAAACTTCAGACTATACAGCTGGGAGGTATAACCTGCTGTTGTTTAAACCGACTCTGAAGAACACAGGTTTGCAGAACACAGTGCTGGATGGAGGAGGGCGTGTCATCCCCCAGACAGCTGTGCAAGTGTGGCGATTGAAGAACTCAGCCAGAAATCACGAGAGCAAATGTGCCACATAAAGCACAATAAAAGAGTCAAAGAAAAAGATCCTATACACATGGAAGCAACCCTGCAGTAAAATGGAACAGGAAGTTTAAGCTAATGGAGTTAGTAGGTTGAATAAGGGAATTTATAGGGTGTCATTATAAATAAACTTTATTTTTGTTTCTCCTAGTGTCCCTTTAAGCCTACTCAGGAGAAGCCCTTGCTTTCCTCCTCTAAAAAAGTTGGTCTTTCACAAGAGTAGCAAGTTTCATGGTCACTTTGAATACCCAGCACAATATTTTAATTAATACCTCAATCTTGATACAAATCTTCCACCATTCCCCAGCTAGTACTGGTTGCAGGAGGGTGGCTGCCTTTAGGGAGGTGGAGCGAGTCCTTCTCTTTCCCCCAGCATTTCTTTTTCTCCCCAAGCTTGACAGCCAGAATTTCTGGTCTTGCCAGTATCAAAGCTGAGAGAAAGAAGATGGGAAGTTCTCATTTGATGCTACTATTGTTAGATAGCTTTGCTGTCTCTGGGTCTAGCTGATGTTTAACACTAACACTTTCTCTCATGGAGAAACTCATGGCCTCATCAAAAGCTCCCTGACTGAACCTTTTCAACTGCAACTTCTGTGTCACAGAAAACGCATCCCGTTCTTTTAGCCATTGACTCCACTCAGCCCGGGATTTGGGGTAAACCATTTCACTTAGGCTCTCTGCCCTTCCAGAGGGGCATCTGGAGCAGATCTTAACATGACTCTAAGGTTCCATAAGAAATACTAAAGCATCACTTGCTTGGACAAACTCTGGGAGTGTAAGTGAATTCCAAAACAGTGGTAGTTTTTCTTTACTCCTCTATTAAAGCAAGTTCCTACTCACTTCTCTTGCTTTCTAACATGAGAGTCATAATATCTGTTCTCTGTTTCCCATTGAATCCAGAAACTGCACATTAAATTCCACAAAAATTTGTATTAAAGATCTCTCACAAGTTTGAGGTAAAGCAACGACATCTCTCATCACTCTATCCCAGTATCCCAGTCTTGACTTTTTTTTTTTTTTTTTAGACAGAGTCTCGCTCTGTCGCCCAGGCTAGGGTACAGTGGCGCAATCTTGAGTCACTGCAACCTCCACCTCCTGGGTTCAAGGGATTATCCTGCCTCAGCCTCCCGAGTAGCTGGGACTACCAGGCACGTGCCACCACACCCGGTTAAGTTTTTGTATTTTTAGTAGAGATGGGGTTTCACTGTGTTAGCCAGGATGGTCTAGATCTCCTGACCTCGTGATCCGCCTGCCTCGGTCTCCGAAAGTGCTGGGATTACAGGCGTGAGCCACCGCGCTGGGGCTTCTTGTCTCTTTTATATTCTCTTTGATGAGGGAGTTTGGAGTAATGCAACCAACTTTTTAATATTACTTTTGAAAATCTTCATCATGGCCTGATCTTCACTTTCAAATTTTATTTCTTTTGTATTTTGTAAGCAAAGAACAGATGACCAAGAAAAGCCACCTGGAGATATATATAGATGTATATCCATACACACAAACACACACACACATACATATATGTTGAGCATTCCTAATCTGAAAATCTAAAATCTGAAATGTTCCAAAATCTGAAGTTTCTGAGCACTGACATGATGCCACAAGTGGAAAATTCTATGCATAAGTACTTAACACAAACTTTAGGTATAAAATTATTCAAAAGATTATATAAAATTACCTTCGGACTATGCATATAAGCTATATATGAAACATAAACAAACTTCATGTTTAGAATTGAGTTCCATCCCCAAGATATCTCATTATGTATATGCAAGTATTCAGAATTTTTTTTAAGAAATGTTATTCAACACACCTCTGGTCCCAAGCATTTTGGATAATGATGCTCAATCTCTCTCTCTCTTTCTGTGTGTGTGTGTGTGTGTGTGTGTGTGGTTGGGGGTGGTGGTGCTATGAAAATTCAACCTATGAGTTAAGTAGCAAAATCAATAAAACCAAAGATCAAATTAGTAGGCAGGATGGAAAAGGATGCTCAAATAAAAAATATGCAAAAGAAATATAGAAATAAAAAATACCAAAATTATGAGATATAGCAGATAGATATAGCTGTGCCTACTTCTGCCCCATAGGAGTTTCAGAGCTATGGGAGGCAATATTTGAAGACACAGCAACTAAGAATGACCAGAAGTGAAGATATAACACCTTACATAGAAAGAACTAGAGAGTACTGAGCTGGATACAAATAAGAAAAACTATACATAGGTATATTATAGCAAAATTTAGGAGCAATAAACGCAAAGAGAAAAAAAATTCAAGCTTCAAAAGAGTAAAAGTGGTTTACCTAAAAAGAACAAAATTCAGGTTAACACTAGACTTTTTGACAATACATGTTCTAGCACATTCAAAGTATTGAAAGAAAAAATAATGAACTTCGAATTATAGCCACTTAAACTTTCACTGAATAGGTGAAAAAAATATATTTTCAGGCATACAAAGTTGCCAATAATTTGTCACATTAAATGCAAGTTCTCTGAAGAACTCAAATGACTCCTTCATGAAGAAGATTAATTAATCCAAGCAGAAGCAATGTGATATGGAAGCAAGAGTGCACAAAGAAATAACCTGTTTAATAATATATAAATTAGAAATGACTATAAATTTATATTTACATACAGTAAATATTTTATTTTATTTTACTTTTTTATTTTTTTATTATTATACTTTAAGTTTTAGGGTACATGTGCACAATGTGCAGGTTTGTTACATATGTATACATGTGCCATGTTGGTGTACTGCACCCATTAACTCGTTATTTAGCATTAGGTATATCTCCTACTGCTATCCCTCCCTGCTCCCCCCACCCCACAACAGTCCCCGGAGTGTGATGTTCCCCTCCCTGTGTCCATGTGTTCTCATTGTTCAATTCCCACCTATGAGTGAGAACATGCAGTGTTTGGTTTTTTGTCCTTGCGATAGTTTGCTGAGAATGATGATTTCCAGTTTCATCCATGTCCCTACAAAGGACATGAACTCATCATTTTTTATGGCTGCATAGTATTCCATGGTGTATATGTGCCACATTTTCTTAATCCAGTCTATCGTTGTTGGACATTTAGGTTGGTTCCAAGTCTTTGCTATTGTGAATAGTGCCGCAATAAACATACGTATGCATGTGTCTTTATAGCAGCATGATTTATAGTCCTTTGGGTATATACCCAGTAATGGGATGGCTGGGTCAAATGGTATTTCTAGTTCTAGATCCCTGAGGAATCGCCACACTGACTTCCACAATGGTTGAACTAGTTTACAGTCCCACCAACAGTGTAAAAGTGTTCCTATTTCTCCACATCCTCTCCAGCACCTGTTGTTTCCTGACTTTTTAATGATCGCCATTCTAACTGGTGTGAGATGGCATCTCATTGTGGTTTTGATTTGCATTTCTCTGATGGCCAGTGATGATGACCATTTTTTCATGTGTCTTTTGGCTGCATAAATGTCTTCTTTTGAGAAGTGTCTGTTCATACCCTTCACCCACTTTTTGATGGGGTTGTTTGTTTTTTTCTTGTAAATTTGTTTGAGTTCATTGTAGATTCTGGATATTAGCCCTTTGTCAGATGAGTAGGTTGCGAAAATTTTCTCCCATTTTGTAGGTTGCCTGTTCACTCTGATGGTAGTTTCTTTTGCTGTGCAGAAGCTCTTTAGTTTAATTAGATCCCATTTGTCAATTTTGGCTTTTGTTGCCATTGCTTTTGGTGTTTTAGACATGAAGTCCTTGCCCATGCTTATGTCCTGAATGGTATTGCCTAGGTTTTCTTCTAGGGTTTTTATGGTTTTAGGTCTAACGTTTAAGTCTTTAATCCATCTTGAATTAATTTTTGTATAAGGTGTAAGGAAGGGATCCAGCTTCAGCTTTCTACATATGGCTAGCCAGTTTTCCCAGCACCATTTATTAAATAGGGAATCTTTCCCCCATTTCTTGTTTTTGTCAGGTTTGTCAAAGATCAGATGGTTGTAGATACACAGCATTATTTCTGAGGGGTCTCTTCTGTTCCATTGGTCTATATCTCTGTTTTGGTACCAGTCCCATGCTGTTTTGGTTACTGTAGCCTTGTAGTATAGTTTGAAGTCAGGTAGCGTGATGCCTCCAGCTTTGTTCTTTTGGCTTAGGATTGACTTGGCGATGTGGGCTCTTTTTTGGTTCCATATGAACTTTAAAGTAGTTTTTTCCAATTCTGTGAAGAAAGTCATTGGTAGCTTGATGGGGATGGCACTGAATCTATAAATTACCTTGGGCAGTATGGCCATTTTCACAGTATTGATTCTTACAACCCATGAGCATGGAATGTTCTTCCATTTGTTTGTATCCACTTTTATTTCATTGAGCAGTGGTTTGTAGTTCTCCTTGAAGAGGTCCTTCACGTCCCTTGTAAGTTGGATTCCTAGGTATTTTATTCTCTTTGAAGCAATTGTGAATGGGAGTTCACTCATGATTTGGCTCTCTGTTTGTCTGTTATTGGTGTATAAGAATGCTTGTGATTTTTGCACATTGATTTTATATCCTGAGACTTTGCTGAAATTGCTTATCAGCTTAAGGAGATTTTGGGCTGAGACAATGGGGTTTTCTAGATATACGATCATGTCATCTGCAAACAGGGACAATTTGACTTCTTCCTTTCCTAATTGAATACCCTTTATTTCCTTCTCCTGCCTAATTGCCCTGGCCAGAACTTCCAACACTATGTTGAATAGGAGTGGTGAGAGAGGGCATCCCTATCTTGTGCCAGTTTCCAAAGGGAATGCTTCCAGTTTTTGCCCATTCAGTATGATATTAGCTGTGGGTTTGTCATAGATAGCTCTTATTATTTTGAGATACATCCCATCAATACCTAATTTATTGAGAGTTTTTAGCATGAAGGGTTATTGAATTTTGTCAAAGGCCTTTTCTGCATCTATTGAGATAATCATGTGTTTTTTGTCTTTGGTTCTGTTTATATGCTGGATTACGTTTATTGATTTGCATATGTTGTACCAGCCTTGCCTCCCAGGGATGAAGCCCACTTGATCATGGTGGATAAGCTTTTTGATGTGCTGCTGGATGCGGTTTGCCAGTATTTTATTGAGGATTTTTGCATCAATATTCATCAAGGATATTGGTCTAAAATTCTCTTTTTTGGTTGTGTCTCTGCCAGGCTTTGGTATCAGGATGATGCTGGCCTCATAAAATGAGTTAGGGAGGATTCCCTCTTTTTCTATTGATTGGAATAGTTTCAGAAGGAATGGTACCAGCTCCTCCTTGTACCTCTGGTAGCATTCAGCTGTGAATCCATCTGGTCCTGGACTCTTTTTGGTTGGTAAGCTATTGATTATTGCCACAATTTCAGAGCCTGTTATTGGTCTATTCAGATATTCAACTTCTTCCTGGTTTAGTCTTGGGAGGGTGTACATACACTAAATATTTTAATATATTTTATATACATATTACAAAATCTGGAATCAAAAGTTTAAGGATTTAAGAAATAGAGAGGAACATGGGGGATAGTGAAAGTTTGTTAGAGTTTTTGTCATTTTCAAGTGGAAGACAAAACTGTTGATAAGCTTTAAACTTTAAAAGGGAAAATTAAGACTACGTATGGATCTGCATAACTTCAAAATATCGGTGAAAAAATTTTAAACAAATTTAAACATTTATCTTTTTAAATAAATACAAGAAAGTATAAAGAGTAATTTTTAAAACATGGTTAAATATAAAATAAAATGTCAGAAATAAGTCCTAATATAGAAGAAATTACAATAATTGTAAATGAGTTAAATTCTAATTGAAAGAGAATTTAAGCTCTGATTTTAAAAATAACCCAGCCATATACTACTTACAGGAGACACTGAAAAAATAAAAGTATTCTAAAATGTTGAAAATATAGGGGAAAATACTATATCAAGAAGGTACAACAATAATGAAATATATTAGACAAATACTGGACAAACAGATAAATTTTTTGGAATAAGTCTACAAAACAACAATTGTAGTTATTAATAAATATATGTATATAAATATATATATTTACACACACATACACACACGAGTTGACCACATCAATAAGAAATTTTAGGCACAAAATACTTTGGAAACAATTGCCCGTTTTGTTATAACTAAGATATTAGAATCCAAATTATTATGAAAATATAATGTAGATTATGATGTTAAATCTGATTTTTACAAAAAAATCCTGACACTTTTATTCAAGGAATTATTAGACATAGAGAAACAACAGACTAGATAATGTGATAATGTAACAGCCTGATTTGCAGAATGCTATTCTTGGTCAAAGTAGTTGTTAACTGCCAATAATAAAAAATTATTTTGACATCCAAAAAAGAATATATAATGGGGTAGCACTAAGGTAAAGGAAAGCAATATATATCAATTTTTATGGCAATCAGGTAAAATAGTACTTAAAGAGAAAATCACATATTTGAATGCATTTATTATAAATCAAAAAGAAATGAGAATAAAGCAATTAAATTTGCAATTAAAGAAAGCTGGAGATCAACCAATTGAGTAAACATAAAGAATCAAGAAATAAGAAAATAAAGATAATGGTGGAAATCAATTAGAGAACTAAAAAAATAAAAATTATTGTAAAACAAAATATTGATTATTTGAAAACACTAATATGCTTACAAAAATGTAAGGTAAAATTGATTAAAAGACAGGGAAAAACCCCAAATAAGCAAAATATGTAGTGAAAAAGAGGCAACTTCAAATAAAGCAGAGATCTGTAAAATCTCACAAGCATATTATTATATACAAATATGCTCCAATAAATTTTACAAACTAGATACAAATGAAAATTTCCAATGAAAATATAAAATGCTTAAATTGGCCCAAAAAGCCAGAAAGCTTGAACAAATGGATACTAATTGGAAAAATTGAAATAGTAATTTTCTCTTCATCCCTATAAATCCCCCTCCAAAGCATTTGTATTGGTTTAAAGGTTTACCAAACTTTCCAGGAACAGATAAGACTATGTTGTAGATATTACAGAAAACAGAAAAAGAGAAAAATATGTCCAATTAATTTTTTTGATATTAGCATAACCTTGATACCAAAATAGATATGCACCACACAAGAACAGGTAGAAAAGCACTTCCTAAGTGAGACACAAAAAGTCCATGATATAAAGATAAATTATTTATTTATTTTTTACGAATCTTTTTGTAGCAGTTAGTATATGTCAGATAGTGGTCTATATGTTTGACAGGTATTCATTTAATTGGCATGGCAACCCTATCAACTAGGTATTATTATTATTATTTAATAGATAAGGAAACAAATAATATGCCCAATATTATCCAGCTAGTAATTGATATTTTGATAACCTAAAAAATGAAGATTTCTACTTAAAGAAGAGCATATAGATAAAATGAAAAGATTAAAGATGTCAGCAATATCTGAAATTCACTAAAGATGAATATGTAGAACAAATAAAGAATTTCCAAAAATCAACAAGAAAAAAAACCAGGTGTTCTAGCTATTATGGCTATAATACAAATTACTCCTACATTCAGTGGCTTCAAATAAGGCCATTTGTTTTGTTCATGTACTTACCATTTGGACAAAGCTCAGTGGGGTCAGCTCATTTCTGCTCCACTCACCTTTAGCTGGGATGCCTTAAAGGTTGGGTATAGGAACCATTTAAAGCAGGGTAAACTACAGCCTCACAGGCCAAATTCTGTCTATTTTTATACAGCCCATGAACTAAGAATAGTCTAAATATCTGCTACTTGGCTCTTAAAGAAAATGTTTGCTGACTCTGTCCTAGAGGTTTACTCATTCTCAGGTATCACAATCAATATTAGTGAGGAGTTGAATTCTTAGCTGAAGATGTTGGCAGGAACACCTAATACTGCTTGGTCATGTGCTCTGAGTTTCCTTATAACACAGTGGTTGGGTTTCAAGGGTAAGATCCAAGAGAGAGAGAAACACAATGAGAGAGAACAGGGAGAAGCTGTATTGATTTTTATGACCTAGACTGAAAAGCAACGCAGTCATTTCCATCATATTCTATTCACTGAGGCAGTTACAAAGTCCTGCCCAGACTCAAAGGAGGGAAAGTAGACTCCACATCTTGATGGGAAAATGACAAGGTTCTGAAAGTCAACGTGGAATGGAAAATATGGCTATGACCATTTTTGGAAAATATATTCTACTACAAAAGGAACCCTAAAAAGAATGTGCAAAATATGTGAGTAGATATCTCAGGTAGGCCTAGATGACTAATAAGCACAGAAATAAATAATAACCAGAGAAAGGCCAATTAGAATGATGAGATCTATGTGATATCTACCAGATTAGCAAAATAAAATATAATGTTGGATAATGTTAACCATTATCAGGGTCATGGAGGAAACAGTAAACCTCATGTCCTTATTGTAAATTGTGCAATTTACTGAAAAGCAATTTAGAATAATTTACTGAAACTGTATTTGTGTATGTCTATAATCCAGCACTTCCACCATTGGTATACAGAATAGAAATACTTTCATGGGATACCCAAGGGGGATGTCTATTGCAATGTCATTTGTATTAGGAAAAAAAAAATGGGAACAGTTAAATTCCCATCAACAGGGAAATGAATAAACACAATGCAATATACGCAAATAATAAAATTCTGTGCAGCACCTGAATATAAATAGATATTGAAAAGATAGCGAGTGAGAAAGAAAGAAATAGACAGATTGGGTACAGCATTATATCATTTGTAAATTGAGAGCTTAGGGAAAGGCACCCATGTAGGGGATGGATTAGAATTGGGAATCAGGAAGACAAGGGTAAAAAATTAAAAATTTTCCTAGAAAAGAAGTTAGTTGGGAAGCTTAGTTAAAAACAGTTTTCTTAGGCCCCAGTCCTGGAAATTCTTATTTAGTGAGCCTGAGGCAGAAATCAAGAATCTGTATTTTTTACAACTGTCCTAGATGAGTCTTCAGATTATGTGAAGTTTGAAAGCACTTGCTACTTTCACGGGTTCATAGTTGTAAGTAACTGTTCAGATGAGATTCTTGGCTTGCAAGCAACAGAAATTGACTCAGGCTGACAAAAGCAAACATATTATTTGGAAGGATGTCAGGGAGTTCAGAGAATTGTCAGAAGACATATAGGAACTGCCTTGGAAAGAGCAAGAACCCAGAAACTCCAGAGGGCCTGGGAGGCAGTAGCCAGAATGAATAAATGGAGTCCAGTTGTTTTTCATTTCTTTTATTTTTTTCTCACACAGAAATTTAAATTTCAGGTAGGAAATATCTAATTGGCCTAAAAGAAGGCAGGTCGCCATCTTAATCAATAGTCCTATCAGCTTGTATTTAGTGGGGAAAGGCAGTTCCTAAAAGTAACCCCAGGTATAGTTATTAAAAGAAGATGGGGACTAGGATATCCAAGATGGCTTATTAGAAGCAGCTGTGTTCTGCAGCACTCACAAAGAGGAATGAAAAGCGATGAGTGAATTCTGACCTTCAACTGAAATATCCAGGTTCTCACATTGGGACTGACTAGGCAAACAACTCCACCCACAAAGAATGAAGAAAAGCAGGGCTGAGGACAGGGGCAATGGCCCACTGGTAGTGGCATAGAGCCAAAGGCGCCCCACTCCCAGCCAAGGGAATTGGCCAGTGATTGTGTGGCCATGCCTGAGAAACCACAGACACTTCTCCCATGAATCTTTGCATCCCTCAGATCAGGAGATCCCCTTGTGAGCCCATGCCACCAGGGATTTGGGTCCAATACACAGAGTTGTGTAGAGTCTTGGCAGAGCAGCTGCTCAGACACACACAGAGACCCAGGAATTTTACATACTCTGCCCCCGGGATCCCTGGTAAGGTGGGAAATCCATTCGTACATATCCCTAGAAGGGTCTGAATCCAGAGGGCCAAGCAGTGTCATTCTGCAGGCCCCATTTCTATGGCACATCACAAGTTAAGACCTACTGGCTTGAGATTCCAGCCAGCCAATGGCAACAGGCTGGAATCTGCCTGAGATGGGTCTGAGTTCCCGGAATGAGGGGAAGCTGCCATCTCTTTGGTTCAGTAGACAGCTCTTCCAGCCTGCCAGCTTTGGAGAATACAAATGGTCCATACAAGGAAGGGTCCCCCATAGTGCAGCACAACTGCCTTGCCAGATTGTGGCCAGACTGCTTCTTTAAGCAGGACCCCAATCCATTTCTCCTCACTGGGTAGGAACTCCCAATCAGGGCTTCGGCCACTCCAGCCAGGGTTCTACGGATAGAGCTCTGATCTTTCCCTGAGACAGAACTCCTGGGGGAAGGAGCAGCCACCATCTCTGTGGTTTGGTTGACTTAGCTATTCCAGCCTGTCAGCTTTGGAGAATATAAACAGTCCAGAGGAGGAAGGGTTCCCCCCCAACAGAGCACACATGCTCTACCAAAAAGCAGCCATACTGCTTCTTTAAGCAGGTCTCTGATCCTGTTCCTCCTGACTGTGTAAGACCTCCCAACAGGAGTCTCTAGTCACCTCCTGTAGGTGCATTCAGGTTGGCAACAAGTCAGTACTATCCTGGGACAGAGCTTCCAGAGGAAGGAACTGGCTGCCATCTTTGCTTTTTTGAAGGCTTCACTGGCAGTACCTCCAGGTACAGGAAATGCTGAAGCAACTAGGGTATGGAGCAGACCCCCAGCAAACCACAGCAGACCAACAGTAGAGTGGCCTGACTGTTAAAAGAAAAACAAACAAACAGAAAACCACCATCACAACAACATCAACAAAAAAGACCCCACAAAACCCCATTCAAAGGTCAGCAACCTCAAAGATCGAAGGTAGATAAGCCCACCAAGATGAGAAAGAATCAATGCCAAAACACCGTAAACTCAAAAAGCCAGAGTGCTTCTTCTCCTCCAAATGACCACAATACCTCTCTAGCAAGGGCACAGAACTGGGCTGAGGCTGAGATGGCCGAATTGACAGAAGTAGACCTCAGAAGGTGGGTAATAATGAACTTTGCTGAGCTAAAGGAACATGTTGTAACCCAATGCAAAGAAACTAAGAATCATGATAACACAATACAGGAGTGGATATCCAGAATAGCCAGCTTAGAGAGGAACATAAACAACCTGATGGAGCTGAAAAACATGAGAACTTCACAATGCAATCACAAGTATCAATAGAAGAATAGACAAAGCAGAGGAAATAATCTCAGAGCTTGAAGACTAACTTTCTGAAATAAGACAGGCAAACAAAAATAGAGAAAAGGGAATAAAAACCTTTGAGAAATATGAGATTATGTGATGAGACTAAACTATGATTGACTGGGGTACCTGAAAGAGATGGGGAAAATGGAACCAAGTTGGAAAACATACTTCAGGATATCATCCAGGAGAACTTCCCCAACCTAGCAAGACAGGCCAACATTCAAATTCAGGAAAGGTGGAGAACCCCAGTAAGACACTCCACAAGAAAATCAACCCCAAGAAACATAATCATCAGATTCTCCAAGGTTGAAATGAAGGAAAAATGTTAACAGCAGTCAGAGAGAAAAGCCAAGTCATCTACAAAGGGAAATCCATCAGGCTAAGAGTGGACCACTCAGCAGAAACCCTACAAGTCAGAAGAGATTAGGGGCCAATATTCAACATTCTTTTTTTTTTTTTTTTTTTTTTTTTGAGATGGAGTCTCACTCTGTTGCCAGGCTGGAGTGCAGTGGCACGATCTCAGCTCACTGCAACCTCCACCTCCCAGGTTCAAACAATTCTCATGCCCCAGTCTCCCAAATAGCTGGGACTACAGGTGCATGTCACCACACCCAGATAATTTTTGTATTTTTAGTAGAGACAGGGTTTCACCATGTTGGCCAGGATGGTCTCAATCTCTTGACCTCATGATCCACCCACCTCGGCCTCCCTCCGCATTCTTAAAGAAAAACATTTTCAACCCAGAGTTTCATATCCAGCCAAACTAAGCTTCATAAGTGAAAAAGAAATAAGATTCTTTTCAGACAAGCAAATGCTTAGAGAATTCGTCACCACTGGGCCTGCCTTGCAAGCACTCCTGAAGGAAGCATTAAATATGGAAAGGAAAAACCATTACCTGCCACTACAAAAACACACTGAAGTACATAGACCAGTGATACTATGAAGCAATCACATAAACAAGTGTGCAAAATAACCAAGTAGCATCATGATGACAGGATAAAATACATAACAATACTAATCTTGAATGTAAATGGGCTAAATGCCCCAATTAAAAGACAGACTGGCAAATTGGATAAACAGCCAAGACCCATCTGTATGCTGTCTTCAAGAGACCCATCTCAAGTGTAAAGACACACATAGGCTCAATATAAAGGGATGGAGGAAAATTTACCAGGCAAATGGAAACAAGCAGGGATTGTAATCCTAGTTTCTGACAATACAGACTTTAACTCAACAAAGATCAAAAAAGACAACGAAGTGCACTGCATAATGGTAAAGGGTTCAATTAAACAAGAAGAGTTAACTATCCTAAATATATATGTATCAATACAGGAGCATCCAGATTCATAAAGTACTTAGAGACATACAAGGAGACTTGGACTCCCACACAATAATAGCAGGAGACTTTAATACCCCACTGACAACAGTCGACAGATCATTGAGACAGAAAATCAACCAAGATATTCAGGGCCTGAACTCAGCTGCAGATCAAGTGGACCTGATAGATATCTACAGAACTCTCCAACCAAAACAACAGAATACACATTCCTCTCATCACCACATGGCACTTACTCTAAAATTGGTCACATAATTGGAAGTAAAACACTCCTCAGCAAAAGTAAAAGAACTAAAATCGTAACAGTCTCTCAGACCACAGTGCAATCAAATTAGAACTCAAAATTAAGAAATTCACTCAAAACCACGCAACTACATGGAAATCAAACAATCTCCTCCTGAAGCACTCTTGGGCATATAATTAAGGCAGAAATCAAGAAGTTCTTTGCAACTAATGAGAGCAAAGAGACAACATACCAGAATCTCTGGGATGTGGCTAAATCAGGGTTAAGAGGAAAATTTATAGCACTAAACGCCCACATCAAAAAGCTACAAATATCTCAACTAAAACATCTCTGCTAAAGGAACTAAAGAACCAACAGCAAGCAAACCTAAAAGCTAACAAGACAAGAAATTACCAAGATCAGTGCTGAACTGAAGAATATATAGGCATGAAGAACTCTTCAAAAAATCAAAGAATCCAGGAACTGTTTTTTTAAAAAAATTAATAAGATAGCCCACTAGCTAGACTGATAAAGAAGAAAAGAGAGAAGAATAAAATAAACACAATCAGAAATGAAATGATAAAGGGAGTATCACCACTGACCCCACAGAAATACAAACAACCACCACAGAATACTATAAACACCTCTATGCACATAAACTAGAAAATCTAGAAGAAATGGACAAATTCCTAGACACATACACCCTCCCAAGACTGAACCAGGAAGAAACTGAATACCTGAATAGACCAATAATGAGTTCTTAAATTGAGGCAGTGATAAATAGCCTACCAACCAAAAACAAAAACAAAAAACCCAGGACCAAATGGATTCACAACTGAATTCTACCAGAGAGACAAAGAAGAGCTGGTACCATTTCTACTGAAACTATTGCAAAAAATTGAAAAGGATGGACTCCTCCCTAACTCATTCTACAAGGCCAGCATCATCCTGATACCAAAACCTGGCAGGATACAACAAAAAGAAAACATCAGGCCAATATCCTTGACAAACATTGATTCAAAAATCCTCAATAAAATACTGGCTAACCAAACGCAACAGCACATCAAAAAGCTTATCCACCCCGATCAAGTTGACTTCATCCCTGGGATGCAAGGTTGGTTCAACATATGCAAGTCAATAAGTGTGATTCATCACATAAACAGAACTAAAGACAAAAAACACATGATTATCCTAATAAAGGCAGAAAAGGCCTTCAATAAATTTCAACATCCCTTCATGTTAAAAACTTGGTATTGAAGAAACTAGGTATTGAAGGAACATACTTCAAAATAATAAGAGCCTTATATGACAAACCCACAGTCAATAGCATACCGAATGGGCAAAACCTGGAAGCATTCCCCTTGAAAGCTGGTACAAGACAAGGATGCCTTCTCTCACCACTCCTGCTAAACATAGTATTGGAAGTTCTGACCAGGGCAATCAGGAAAAAGAAAGAAATAAAGAGTATTTAAATAGGAAGACAGGAAGTCAAATTATCTTTGTTTCTGGATGACATGATCCTATATTTAGAAAACTCCATCATCTCAGCCCCAAAGCCTCTTAAGCTGATAAGCAACTTCAGCAAAGTCTCAGGATACAAAATCAATGTGCAAAACTGCTAGCATTCCTATACACCAACAACAGGCAAGCAGAGAGCCAAATTATGAATGAACTCCCACTCACAATTGCTACAAGGAGAATAAAATACTTAGAAATACAGCTAACAAGGGAAGTGAAGGACCTCTTCAAGGGCAACTACAGACCACTGCTCAAGGAAAACAGAGAGGACACAAGCAACTGGAAAAGCATTCCATGTTTATGGATAGGAAGAATCAACATCATGGAAATGGCCATACTGCCCAAAGTAATTTATAGATTCAATGCTATTCCCATTCAACTACCCTGACATTCTTCACAGAATTAGAAAAAACAATTTTAAAGTTCATATGGAAACAAAAAAGAGCCCTAATAGCCAAGACAATCTTAAGCAAAAAGAACAAAGCTGGAGGAATCATGCTACCTGTGTTCAAACTATACTACAAAGCTACAATAACCAAAATAGCATGGTACTGATATAATAACATTGATACATAAACTGATACATAAACATTGGTCTATGTAGACCAATGGAACAGAATAGAGAACACAGAAATAAAACTGCACACCTACAACCATCTGACCTTTGACAAACCTGACAAAAACAAGCAATGGGGAAAAGATTCCCTCTTCAATAAACGGTGCTGAGCCATATGCAGAAAATTGAAACTGGACCCCTTTCTTACACCATATACAAAAATTAACTCAAGATGATTTAAAGACTTAAATGTAAAACCCAAAACTATAAAAACAAACAAACAAAAAAACCCTAGAAGAAAATCTAGGCAATACCATACAGGACATAGGCACGAGCAAAGATTTCATGATGAAAATGCCAAAAGGAATTGTACCAAAAACAAAAATTGACACACGATATCTAATTAAACTAAAGAGCTTCTGCACAGCAAAAGAAACTATAATCAGAGTGAACAGACAACCTACAGAATGGGAGAAAACATACAGAATGGGAGAAAAATTTTGCAATCTATCCATCTGACAAAGGTCTAATATCCAGAGTCTACAAGGAACTTAAATACTAATTTGCAAGAAAAACACAAACAACCCCATTAAAAAGTGGGCAAAGAACATGAGCAGACACTTCTCAAAGGAAGACATACATGTGGCCAGCAAACATATGAAAGAAAGCTCAACATCACTGATCATTAGAGAAATGCAAACCAAAACCACAATGAGATACCATCTCACTCCAGTCAGAATGCGATTTTTTAAAAGTCAATAAAAAACAGATGCTGGCAAAGTTGCGGAGAAAAAGGAGTGTTTTCACACTGTTGGTGGGAGTGTAAATTAGTTCAACCATTGTGGAAGACAGTTTGGCAATTCCTCAAAGACCTAGAGGCAGAAATACCATTTAACCCAGCAATCCCATTACTGAGTATATACCCTAAGCAATATAAACCATTCTATTATAAAGATACATACATGTGTATGTTTGTTGCAGCACTATTCACAATAGCAAAGGCATGGAATTAACCTAAATGCCCATCAATGATAGACTGGATAAAGACAATGTGGTACATATATACCATGGAATACTACACAGCCATAAGAAGGAATGAGATCATGTCCTTTGGAAAGACATAGATGGAGTTGGAAGCCATTATCGTCATCACACTAACACAGGAACAGAAAACCAAACACCAAGTGTTCTCACTTATAAGTGGGAGCTGAATGATAAGAACATGTGGACACATGTTGGGGAACAACACACACCGGGGCCTCTTGGGGGCTGGGGGGAGGAAGAGCATCAGGAAGAATAACTAATAGATGCTAGGCTTAATGACTAGGTTATGGGATGATCTGGGCAGCAAACCACCATGGCACATGTTTACCTATGTAACAAACCTGCACATCCTGCACATGTACCCCTGAACTTAAAAGTTGAAGAAAAAAAGAAGACAGAATATGTGATGGGCAGCACAAAGCACCAGTTTTCCACGATGTCTAGACAGAGAGGAAAGAATCACAAAGAAGAAGTGGAAAGACAAGGGAGATTTTGAAATAAAGCAAAATCTGGGCTCAAATTGAAGTCATGCCTCATTGTATCTGTATTATTGTCAACAGGTTCCTTAACCACTCTGATATATAACCCCTTCTCAGGATTATGCTGTCTTGTGCAAAATGCCAGGCATAGCTAGTCTTTTTCTTGTCACCTTACTCAGCATCATGGCCGATAGTCCAATGTGCTCATACAAATGAGCTGGAGACCATGGAGTCATGTAGGAAACACTCATGTGCATGAGCATTCACCACTGGGAATTGTAAAGATGTTGGAAAATGGCTATCACTTTACAAGCCACTTATAGGGCCAACATTCTGATTCCCTAAGCCTCTGTATTGAGGTAGCTGGAGCCTCTCTGATTAATTGTGTAAAATATCTCAACCCTTTGGAACTTTCTAACATCATCATCATCATCATCATCATCATCATCATCATCATCATCTCTGCACTTATTTGTGTTCTCCAGTCTTCTCTTTGGCAAGCATATTTATACTTGATGAATACTTTTTACACATCAAAAATAGATACACTTTAAGATTTAACTTAAAAGTTTAAAATTAAACTTAGCAATGTGAAAATTTGTAAACAAAACTCTTAGATACCTGCTACCCTGTTAGCCTTGGCACATCCTCTCTCTCCTCCTCAGTCCTGAGGTGTCTGTCTCCCTGAGTCTTCCAACAACAGACAGATACAAACGATGAACCTCACTTGCAGCAGGGGTGAAGTCAGTCAGCTGGGTCCTTTGGTAAGCAATATTCTCTAGAGTTCTGCCGTTGCTGACTTTAAATACAGGTGGCCTCCAACATTAACAAAAGGTCAGTTAGTTAATCCACCATGACAACCAGATCCCTGATCCACGGGTGTTATCTCAGCCTCCGTTATCTCACTTGGGCATTAGCTAAAACACCCATTTATTATGTTGTCAGGTTTTATAGATGACATCCACCCACAGAGGTGCTCAGATGATGGTGGAGGAGAATGGTAGGAAGACTTTCTAAAACAGTGAGACATCAAGGGTAGGAATGTTCTGGAAAGATGGTACGATGTACATTAATCAGGTGATGGATACCCTAAAAGCCCTGCCTTGGCAATTGTACACTCTGTGCATGTAACAAATCTGCACAGGTACCCCATAAAATAAACAAAATAAATAAAAAATAAAACAAGGCTAAATGAAAAAATGATATGCTTTCCCTCTAAAACGCTAATAAATAAATTAAAGTGCATATTCTGAGGTTGCGGTGAGATGTGAATGAACACGGACCCAGGAGTCTTTTCCACACAGGCTAGTGCTGGCTGCAAGGTCAGCAAAATGAGGCTATCCAGTACATCAGTATGAACTTAAAGTAGCATTAATAAAGGAATAATGTTTTCAAAAAACAGAATGTTCTGGAAAGACATTGGGAATGGCATAGACATAAGGAGAAACTCAGAGAGGCATGCAGATAAAGATATGAAGAATCAGTCACAAATGAGGTTCTAGGATAAAGAAAGAGGTAAGGAGGCTTAGGACAAGAAGATTTTCTTAAGATTTTTGGTATAAATATTTTTGGACAACACATGGATTTTATAACAGTAGTTTTAATTTCTGTAAAATTTTGCAAATGTCATTCTTTCTAACTCAATTTACCAAGACATTACCTCACTGTATACTCTGGGAGAGCCTATTCATTTCTGGGATTTGGCCAGGAGATAGTTCAAATAAAAAGACCCTATGAGTAAATTAAACCATATTAAATCAATTTCAGTTTTTTAGGACCTCAAATTCTTCTTTTCTTTATATCACTCCACTTCATTTTATTTGTTCATGTAACTTCTAAAATGAGAATTTTAAAAATAGTATAAATTATGGAATATGTAATTATAGAATATGTAACTATATGGATATGTAATTATATATGTAACTATAATATGTAATTACATATGGAGCATATAATTAAACAGAATATGTAATTACAGAATAGTATGTAGCCATGAAAAATTATGCTGTAGAAATATGTTTCTTAAAGAATGGTTTGAGAAATAACTGCATCATAATTGGCTAGGGATGCATATGAATAACACAGACTCCTGGATAGTACCCCAGAATTATTTGTTTAAGATCTCTGTTCAGAAGAATTAAGAAGATGCAGCTGAGCATCCTTCTCAGGTGATTCTTGGGCATAGTAAAGGTTTAGGGACATTTAGTAGAAAAATATTTAATGTTATGAGAAAGTGTTTTTATATAATAAGTGTAGTATAATTCCAATTCTGTAAAACAGAAAAATACATTAAAATGCTTAGAATATAGGTTAGAAAATAGAGTGATATCCATCAAATTTTAGCAGCAGTTATTTCTGGGGTGTAGAATAATAATTTACTTATTTTTTTCCATTTTTTCACTTTCCAATTTTTCTACAATGGAAATAGGTTGATATTATATTTGGAAAAAAAGCTTAGTTTTCCTTAAAATATTGAGATTTGTATGGATTCTGAGGAAGGTCTTACTGACAGCAGCTTGTTGTAAAACAAGAATAAACAGAGTCAGGAAGAAGGGAACCTGAGGAGGATGGAGCAGCAACAAGAAAAATGATCCTCTTGAGTCAGGAGGGGTGGGAGAGGGGGCTTTGGGGGCAGGCAAGAAGGAGACTTCAGCCCCATGAATTACATGTTAGGTAAGTACGCAAAGCCGCATTTTTAAAGCCTTTTATGTTTGGAAGAAACATCTCATAGGAAAAAGGTTAAACCACAAACTATAGATTCCATTCTCAATGTTGTTTTATTTCCACTGAAAGCTACTCCTTGTCAAGATGTAGTTACTGAGAAAATATTTTTCATGTCTCACAGAGGAAGAAGGGAACTTTCTCTGACTTTTGCAGAGCAATGATGAATAAATACTCACTAGCTACCTACAATGTGCCTAGCTCCGTGCTCTGGGCTGCAAGAGATAAAAGGAAAGTTGAGTCAGATCTCTTTCTTATGCTTGTTTTACATCAAGGAGATTATAACCTGGTTGGGGAAATGCAACCCCACAAACACTAAGCAATTAGCACAGTAGAGCTGAAATTTGTGGATGGGAATAATAGCACAACCTTGTGCATGGAAGAGCTCTCTGAGGGGCTCATGCACTGAACTGAAGAAGGATTTTCAAGGTGAAGCATGAGTCACAATGTTTTCCAACAACTTCTTGGCAAGTTGTGGTTTCAATGGGGAGAGTATTACCAGTTGTATCCAATTTAGGGAAAGAATAGTTTATCTGAATCTTGTTTCTGAAGTATCAAATATACACATATTATAGTGATGAAATAAATGATAGTAGTCAATGCACCAAACCATTTTGAAAAGTTGCCTTACTTTAATATTTTATAATTGGCTAGTGTAGACTCTTTTGTGCAGCATTTATAATCAATAAATATACATTTTGCTAAGTACTGTGCTAAGTATTGGGAAATATTTGTTATATCAGATTTTATTTAGATATCACGTGCTTTGCATTTATTTGGTCTCTTATTGAGAAAGCCAAAAGGGTTTAAACATTCCTATCCCATCAATATCGCCTTTCAGATCTTTTCCAATCCCAAGATTAAACAGCTATATCTATGATTCTGTCCCCAACGGAGTACAAAAACAAGCTGCAAGTGTATGTAACACTTTGCACTTCAGTGCATCAGTGGCAGAAGAAAATCAATACGACAAATAAGTATAGGGTACCACCATTAAACTGCACACAAATACCTGTCCATTATAAAGTAACATTGGGAAAACATTTAGAAAAGTGAATTTATCATTTTAAAATTGCAATACCTACCCCATTGATTTTCCCAACATTATCTTGAAACAGAAAGTGGAAATAGACATTCATTTTCCTAGGCTGGATGCGATGGCTCACGCCTATAATCCCAGCACTTTGGGAGACCAAGGGGGGTGGATCACCTGAGGTCAGGAGTCCGAGACCAGCCTGGCCAACATGATGAAATCCCGTCTCTGCTAAAAATACAAAAAGTAGCCGAGCGTGGTGGTGGGTGCCTGTAATCCCAGCTACTCGGGAGGCTGAGGTGGGAGAATCACTTGAACCCGGGAAGTGGAGGCTACAGTGAGCCAAGATCGTGCCACTGCACTCCAGCCTGGGTGACAGAGTAAGACTCTGTCTCAAAAAAAAAAAAAAGAAATTCATTTTCCTGTTTTACTGATAGAATACATGAGATGTTAAATGCTGATTATCTGTGGCTATGGAAGGCATGGAAAAAATATAACTGTGTTCAAAGCAACTGGCTGATTTAGTTGGTTTAGTGAAAGAAGTGGCCAAACCATTGTGGGGGAAGTTGCTAATTCAGTAAAGCGTTCAATCTCAGTAGCTATTTCACTGGTTTGACTTACTTTGTGACAATCAATATCAAAGCCATGTGGAGATTTCAATTTGGCATTTTATTCAAGATAGCGAAGCAGTGGGTTGGTTCAGTTAAACAACAACAAAATGGTCCGTTCAATAAGGGAAAGATTATGAAATCACTTGTCTCATTTAAATAGGAAAACAAAAACAATGAATTGTTTGAAGTTTCAAACAAGGTTGAGGAATTATCCTATTTTTTAATATATCTGATGCCTTTCTAACCATCCATTTACCAAATAAACATTTGGTAAATTTGCCATTCTAATCATCCATTTACCAAATAAACATTTCTTTTTGAATAAATAAGCCCACATATGACACTCAGGCTCTAATGGGTTCTGTACTATTCTCGAGTATAGGTCTATTTTCTAGAATTCTCCATGTTCTCTTCTCTTCATTCCTGGGCCTTCTTTCCTTCTGTCCCTCTCCTGTGCACAAGGAGGCCTGCACTCATTTTCCACAATGGCTCCTTGTGGAAAAGTAAAGCAAGAGGAGGCTCTGATAGCCTCAACCAAGATCACTTCCTGCTGTTTATGGGTGTTTGTGTGAATGAATGTGAAGGTCAGAGAAGTTTTATGATATTGCTCTCACTGGTTCCAATCCCAGCACACCTCATTTTGAAGGCCAGAGGTTGTGATCTTGAGTAAGTAACTAGGCCTTTCTGTAAAAAAGGGCTACAATAATACCTGCCTGGTAGCTTCCCGAGCAAAGTTGGTTATTTTCTCAGAGCTCTGTTTCCTTTTTCATACAATGAATGTGATAAGAATACTCACCCTGCTGAGTCTTAAGCCAGATATTACACCAAGGGCTTTCCATATATTATCTCATTTAATCCTCACAACAATCTCATGAGACAATCATAATTATCATCCCGATTTTACAGATGAGAAAACAGACACAGACGTTTAGTAAGCTACCCAAGGTTATATACAAGTAAGTGACAGAGGCAATGATTAAGCCTGAGTCTATCTGATGATACTCAAGTCTGTGCTCCTAACTTACACACAGTACTTTCTCCTCCTTACACACATGCCAAATAGAAATACAGCTTTCATATCATATGTAGGTGGCCGGAATCAAGGGCCCAATAAGCCCCAAGCCTGCAAACACATACTTTTGGAGAACAAGCCTTTTCCCCTTTCAGTTGCTATCACTCATACAGCACAGGCTTTTAGGAGGAAGAACTTCAGGTAGATTAGCCCCTGCCTATGAGACTGGATACTATGGAGCAAGCCAAAAGGCAGCGATCCATGGCCTGGGCATGTTCTTTCTCAAAAGAAGCTGCTGTTTCCATTGGTTGGCATCAGACCAGCCTGATGATCCACAGCTTGTATGCATGATCCTTCTCTCAGGGAGCATCCCAGCAGAGCAAAGACAGGCACTTCTCTCCCACGTTCCTCCTAAGGAGGCTTAGCAACCCTCCTACTCCTTAGGAACCCTACCTCAGGGTTAGACAACCAGGCCTCAGAGGGACAACCCCCACCCAACGTGTTCCCAGGTTTGCTTACAATTAATTGCCTTCCTCCATGGGAATTTCTCTGGGCACATCCCTTTTGCATCATGGCCTTGTGGAATCAGTCCTGCTGTACCAGTGCAAGTATCATCACATTGTAGAGAACTGCCCAAAGCTATGCAGCTGGAAAGGTAAGGACGATGCCTCTCTTTGAGCCCTCACCACCTCCCATCAGGCCTTTATATCCCCTTCCCCAGGTTCAGCATTGCTCGCTACGACAGACCCCCATAGTCAACTGCCCTCCTTGCCCACATGTCTGTAACCTTCTTAGTGACTCCTTCCCCACGCCAACATGTATCAGTCTCAGGTCTCATTCCCAGACAATCTGATAGAGGAATTTATTCTGCTCTGATCATGACTGAACAAACTACTAAAGTCGTTCATTTTTATGATGAACTTTTTTTCCCTTTGATACCCCCAGAATGCATAGTGATATCCATATGTAAAAAGAAGTCATTTCTTCAGTTTTTTTTCATGTCCTAGAACAGATTTCCCTAGAACCTTGATAGAAGGCTCTCAGTACTGCTTGTGGGAGCAGAAATTAATGTCCTGTTTTTAGCTAGCCTGTGTGTACTTGGGAACTCGTGTCCTCTGCGTCAGTAAAAAGGGCCGCTGAAGAGTGTCTCCAAATTGTTTACTGTATGTTTAACTGGAACTGATAGACAAAATATAGGGTTTTTTCTTTGCAAGAAATTTACATCACTATGTGCTCATTTTTTCACCATGTGTGAACTCTGCACATTTGTTTAAACAATTTTTTAATGTAGTATAAGGAAAACTTTCCAGAAAGATGTGACTGGGACTAGAGGCATAATTTAACATTAGGTTATATCCACAATGGCAAAGAGAAATGATGAGTTAAAATAATTATTCAGATAATTTGGGTGAAATGGCCCTGTTTCTGCTGCAAAGGGAATAGCATTTTGTTAGGGTCAGAATTTTCCAGGTTGACTGTTAATCCTGTTTTCCCACTCTCTACTTTGTCTGTGAAAATTATTTTTCAATTTGAATTGATTTTGTTTTTCTCGGGAAGGTAGGGGCATTGGGAAGGAACGGAGAGAGAGAAATGGGGAAAACAACTGAATTTCATTCATACAACTGGGACCACATCCAGTTTAAGTCCCATATGGGTTTCATTTCTGTGTTTTAAACTATTCCAAAATCTTCATCTTGGTCTGGTAATTAGATAAACCGAGACAAATGAGCCGACTGGTCCTGTGGTTCTTTAATCACAATGGCTCCAGAACAAATGCTTCCTCTCCCAATAATACCCACATGCCAGATCCAGAAGACATTCATCTCAACATGCTGGCTTTCTGGGCACCGACCGGCCCAGGTGATTGAATTTGTCTCCCATTTGCAGCATAAATGTGCTCTCTATCACCCATCATTTCAAAGCAGAAACATTGCTTTAAGTTTGGCACGGCATGGGTGAGAGCCTGCCTCATTCAGGGATGATAGCTCCTTTCACAGGCCTTATTATTGGCATAATCATTCTTTCAGATGGGTCCCTGGAGGCTTTTGCCTTCCCTCGCTGCTGTGCATTTTCTCTGATGGGTTTTAAAAATAAACAACAAAAAGTTTCCTAAAGTTAAGGAATACTTACAGTTGGCAGCACTGTCAAGAATATTCAAGGATCATGGAGACAGAAAGCAGAATGTTGGTTGCCAAGCGCTGCGGGTGGGCAAGGGAAGCTATTGTTTAATGGGTACAAAGTTTCTGTTTGGGAAGATGAAAAATTCTGGGAATGGATGGTGGTGATTTTTGCCCAACAATGTGAATGTACTGAATGCCACTGAACTGTACACTTACCAACGGTGAAAATGATCATTTTTATGTCATGTATATTTTATTACAATAAAAACATTAAGAAAAAAATGAGAAGAATCAAGCTCCCTTCCAGAATTGGTGAGTATTTTATGGAAGAGTTTCTACTGTCATGGAAATGTTCCTTGAGCTTCCCCCACTCCCCTGCATATTGACTTTTCTGTCCCACTCAAGGTCTGTTGCTGTTGCCTTGGTCTGTTGCTGCTTTGTATTTTCACTGTGCAAAGGTCAGGCCGCAGATGCAGAGTGGCGGGACCTAGGCTATGTGGAATAAAACTGAAAATGAGAGTGGCTCTCCAGATTGACTGTCTA
Source organism: Homo sapiens (assembly GCF_000001405.40). Taxonomy (NCBI): domain Eukaryota; kingdom Metazoa; phylum Chordata; class Mammalia; order Primates; family Hominidae; genus Homo; species Homo sapiens. Next base: position 25,429,901 of record NC_000007.14, on the reverse strand, counting down.
CAAAAATAGGACAAGGGTTATGCCTGTGGATTTAGTCATGACTCAGGGCACTAGCTGTTTTGAAATGTGCGTGGAGAACTGGGAATTCCTCCAGGGTTTGATGGAGTTTCAGCCAGACCCTTAGATCACCTTCCCCTGACCCTTGTGGATATGCCTTGTCTTGGGCATTTTCTCAGACCATCTAATTATTGGTTAGGTCTTTAATACAGTGACTTGGTTAATAGGCCTTGTTTTGCATTTAAACAAAGTGGGGGAAAAAAAGTTCATCAAAGAAAAGTATTTCTTTCCAGATAATTTATAGGATTTTGCTTATTTTGTAAGATTGTGGTTGCTTTACTGGTTTGTTTCATTTTAGTTATTTGCATGTCAACAACATTCATCGGGATGTTTTAACAAAGAGATGGAACTGACAGTAGAGTAAAATAGGGTCTTTACAAAGATCGTCATAAATATCTTAGAATGTTCTTCAAAACAAATTCCTTACCTTACTTGAAAAAAAAATATGCAATTCCATTTTTTGCAATCCCTAAGGAATTTTGCTTAAGTGCAGTACATTGCACCAAATGGAAAACAAAATGAGAATGGACTTGAGATGCTGAACACCCAGCAGAATGAAGATCAGTGTTAATGCTCACTCACACCTTCTGCTCTGCCATTATTTCCACAGTTAAGTAGTTACCCAACAGCAGTGGCTGACACCGGTACCTGTGCTCCTGCATCAAAATCTCACTTAATGAGACTCTTGTATGTAACAACTGCTGTTTTGAATCATTTCTGCAGACAAGATGAAGTCATTATGTATAGGCATAGCATCTTTTTCAAATTATTAATTTGAAAAGCTAAAAACGGCCCCCAGCCAATTTGAAGCACGAACATCCAAAAAGATGCAACGCCTGTTTCGGTTTTTGCCGAACCTTCTGAAAATGACACTTAAGCCTATCTCTGAAAGATTCAGGATCTGCAGGAGAAACAAAAGTTTACATAACCGACTGTGCTCTCAGTAAATGGACTGTGTGCATGAAAAAGACACTTCAATTGTGAAAACAAACAATAGGTACTTTAGGATTTCATTTGTTAATAACTATTCAAGGCATTAACTTTTAAATTATCCCCTCAATCACTGAGCCACAATTTAAATGTTTTTCTACTTCTGCCCAGCTCTTCTTACCCTTCCAGAGATATTTCTTTTCTCCTATTAACCTGCCTGGGGCTACTCCAAGCCTATTTACATTTTATCATATACTTCAGTAAATATAGACAATTTACAATTTTCCCGGACTTGAACCTCAGAATATTGGCTTTAAGTCTCTGTTTCTTCATATCTGAATCTGCAACATCCTTCCTCCTCCATTCATGCCCTCCACCCCAAAATAAAAATAATTCAAAGAGATGCCGAGACCTCACAATGATGAGTGGAGGAGAGTTGAGTTAATAGCATATTAACTGGAACTTTAAATGAAAGAGACCCTTTTAATAACTAAGTCCATCTCTCCTATAGAAGCCAAATCTGACAGTGTTGATGAGAAAAAATGTCATCTTGTTCATGAATGGTTTAGTACCTTACCTGCATCTGAAATCTCTATGTGCTCAAAGGAAATAGATGGATTCTCTTTCAAGAAAGAAATGAGATGACAATTTAGATGGTGTCATTGACTGACCTCCAGGAGAGATCAAGAATTGATTACCAAACATTTGATAGGTACATAACGCATTGCCTGGAAAGAGAGAAAATCAAATGAAATATCCTATTAATGTCCTGAACTGTCCAAGAATGAAACAGGGAAAAGGGAAGAGAAAGATACAGCTGACCTCACATATGGGTTTGTGTAGTCTTTTCAATTTTCATTAAACTGCTGAGGAAGATAAGGAATATCAAGAGCTCTTTAAAAATATATATTGTATTTCACACCTAATAGGAGCAGCTGTGATTATAGAAGGCCAGTTCAGCACAATGAGAATGGCACTTCCTTTTTTTTGTAATATGAGAGAGAGAGAGAGAGGCACTTCCTTTTAAAACCATTTTTTTTCTCTACTTCCTATACATTGCAGTACCTTCCGTCTTATTAACACCTTTTGACTGCTTTCTTTCTTGGCTATGTTATTTTAATATCAGATTCTCAATTCTGTCTTTAGGCTCCTAAAAGCCACTTAAGCCTTTGCCACTTACTTTGTAGTGTGTCCTTTTTCACATCTGGAATTTCATAAAAGAGAGCATTTCAAGGGCCCATTAGGCGTAGTCGGCTGTTTGCTGAGCTGTTTCAAATGGAAAATTGATCCAAAATCACCCATGTACTTCTTTACCTTTTTAAACTCTTTTCTAGAAAAAAGGAAACAAAAAGAACTAAAATGAATGTGTGTGTGTGTGTGTGTGTGTGTGTGTGTGTGTGTTGAGTAAGGACATGTGAACAGTAAATCATTTTTTCAGGTTGCAGGTAAATGTTCAACATATATTGGTACCTGGTTCTACTTCTCCCAAATTATTTCTAAAAACTACACAATAGAAGGTCTACATAAAACATTCTGTGAGCCATTGCTTGTCAGACTTGGGTTTGATCATTCAAAGTCTTACAAGGTAAACTAGAAAAGCTTATTGTTTCTTTTAGAAAAAAAAAAAGTTTAAGTAAAGAAATGCTCAAGTTAGGTGTTAGCAACAGCATGAAGCACTTCATTAGTCACAAAAACCTTAAATATCCATCATTCCATGTTCAGGTTACAGCTAGCCCATAACTTTGAGACAGCCCTTTGGGCCATAGCCTCGGTTTGCTAATGTGTAAATTGCTTTTCCAAAATACTGGTCTGAATTTTAACTTTCTCAGGCTGTCTCTGTCCTGAACAGTTGTAGATATGGTTTGAAGCTCTCTTCCTACCACTTTTTATTCTTGAAGCCCATGCCCCTATGACTTCCAATCTTTAATAATTTGCACCGTCATTTGGGAATGGAAAACACTAGATTCAACTTTTTTTCTTCCCACTCTGAGTGCGACAATTCAAAGTACAAACGAATAGAATAGGAGCACTGTAACTCCATGTGACCGGGTCATGGAACAGATCGGACATTTTCACACAAAGCACAATATGAAACATCCAAAGTTCAGAAACTTAATCTAGTATGCTGCAGTGCCTATATCTCATAACACATAATGGTGAAAATTCTGCACAATCGCAGCCCCTGCTAATTATGTTTCTAATCCATTTTAGTTTTCTTCTTTTGTTGCCCTGAAAGTAAGAATTTGCAAATATGAAAAATCAAAAAATAAACTAGGGTGGGATTGGAGATGATTTTTATTTTATGATTTTCTGTGTTTTTCAAGTTCTATATAATTAATACGTATTACATTTGAATACCTCAAAATGTGACTTTATTTTAAATTGCACATATAATTAACCAAATTAAAATGAGGTAGACCCTTAACCCAATATAACTGGTATCTTTGTAAAAAGAGGGAAATTTGGACACAGACCCACAGAGAAGAAGACCTAGTGAAAATGGAGGCAGAGATTAGAGGTCTGCTGCATGCTGCTACCAAAAGCTGCAGGAGACAAAGAAGGGTCCTTCCCTAGAGGCTTTGGAGGGAGCATGACTGTGCCAACACCTTGATTATAAACTTCTAGCTTTCAGGACTGTGAGACAATATATTCCTGTTGATTTAAGCCATCCAGCTTATGGTATTTTGTTACAGCAGCCCTAGCAAATGAATACAGTGTTCAAGAATCTACTTCTAGTTTCTTTCCCCTTACATGTGGAGGCAGCCCTTTTGGACTGGATATGAGACAACCCCACTTCTGCTGGCTCTCACTAGCACAAAGGTCCACATCTGGCCTGGGAAACATTCCTGCATCCTTCTGCCCCAAGAACCCTGGGAAGGCTGTCACTTTCCAAGCCACAATCCTTAATTCTGCGCCACACACCTCTTCAGTCAAGCTCATATGCTTTAGATTTCTTAGATACGATTCAGAAACCAGTCCCCCAAATGGCAGAGGACATATCTCACATTCTCTGGGCCTTCTCTTTAAGGCACCTCTTTCTCCACCTGGGCTCTAGAAGCCCCCGAGTTTATATACGAAGCAACTGGAAGAGACAAATGAGAGACTTTGAATCCCAATTAGACCTTTCCATGATGGAGAATCTGACTGCCCAGTTCTGGGTCTGTTACCACCCCTGCAAACAACTGTGGCCCGAAGGGCAAGCTGGTATACTATAAATACGGCATGCAGGACCAACCACGGTGGGCTGAGTTGGGGAAGGCTCAGAGAAGGGGGCTATGGGCTGGGCAGGCACACCAGAAGGGGTCAAGGGCACACCCTTGAATGGAACAGAGTCAGGTTTTCTTGTTTCCCAGACAGTTCTGGATACTTTGAGCCTCTCTGGCTCTCCAATACCCATTTTTGTATTCTATGCAGACTCCTTCCTTTTGCTGATATATTTTTAGCTAATGCCATTAATTTGGCTATGGTCTATCTCTCTCTAGGTCCCTAGGTAGCCTTCTGTCTCTTTAAAGTAATTTTGCATATATTTGATTTCAGACATTAGTGTTGATACAATTAATCAAACTAAGTTCTTGGGGATTATAAGTGGTGCTACTTACTTACATTCATTAAGTTGCAAAACCTCAGTAATATTTAGTTCCTTAAAATTCAGTAGCTCTTAGCTTCATTCATAAGAAAGCTCTATCTCACTCAATAAATTGCATTAGTGAGTTCGTGATTCGATGTGAATAAGTGGATCTTTGAATTTCATAAATAAAACATGTCATCTTATGAACAAAGCAAGTACCCTTAATGCCACGTCAACCTTAGAGTCATGATTTTCTAGCATCTCAGTCAATCTGGGCAGGGCAAGTCACTCCTCTTCCCTCATTTAAAAAATGAGCATTCATTACCCTGGGAGTGTCTGTTAAAGATTCCGATTCCTGAGCCTGACCTCAGATCTACTGAATGAGAATTCCTGAGTTGGAGCCTGAGAACATGCACGAATGAAAACTTCTCCAAAAACTTTTGCACAGAAAATTTAAGAATTAGTAGGAGACAATATGATCCCTGTTGTTCAAGCATTTGATGTGTCTATGTTGCTAAATTGACAGTGTCTCTAGTTAAAAAGAACTGCATATGTTTCTACCAACCCTCCAAATTTGTGCCCAATATTTTTTCCAAAAGGAAATACAGTATTATTTTTTCCTCAGTGCTTCAAAGTTCTAAAAATATATACAGCTTTGAGTAAAATAACTTATTGCTTCATAAGGGCACATCAGAAATTGTGCTTATTTAAGGGTGGAAAACAAGGGTCTGAATTCTGGCTCTGATGCTTACTATGTAGCTCTACAATTCTGGCAAATAACTTAACCTCTGTTTCAGATAATGTTTTATCTTTGGGAAAATGGAGCTAAACATTCCTACTTTGCAGGGTATTTGTAAGGCTGAAATGAGAGGTAGGTAGAATAGTGTTGTGGCTAAAAGCGACCCAGGAAGCAGATTGGATCCAAATCTCTGTTCTGCCACTTCCCAGTGGGGAGACCTAGCATGAGTTCCTGATTCTCTCTAAGATTCAGTTTCCTCATTTGTAAAAGATCAATCTGAATCACAGAGCAGACAGTCGGTGTGGGGGCATTGAGGGAGTTAATGTGTGAAGTGCTCTGAATGGGGCCTGCCACATGGCATCCTGTAAGGGTTGGTTAAATTAAAAACAAGATTCTGTGCATGACAGTGTTTTGTAAGGAACTAACCAAATGTAAGGGATTAAAAAAAAGTTATTAATAATCCTATTCAAAAGCATTCAGAAAACCACATAGCTCTAGAAGTGTCTCTGAAGTCGTAAGAGAGAGAGTTTTAGAATATATTTTCCAAGTCATCAATTATCCTTTCTCCTGTCATAATTAATTCCTATTGTTATACTTAATAATAGCCAACATCATCATCTTGGGGGTTATTGTTTTATTCTATTAAGCTATTTCATTACGCTCAAACAGGCTGAGGGAATGTATGTAATTGACTTGTGAAAATTATTCAATTTGCCAGAGAAATTTATCCAACATGTAAGAGAATTGGGTCAAAGGAAAGCCACACTAACTAAATTATGAGGCCCACCTCTTTGCTTTCCCACTCTCTTAGGGAACATTTTGTCAATCAACCAAATAGACTCCCTCTAAAATTAAATTTTAGTTGGAATTTTGAGTATGTCTCATTTTTGAAGAAACCTTCACCCTTTTCTGTCATTGACATCCGAGCCCTAGTGTCACATGTAGCCTGTGCAAGGCTGTAAGATAGAGGCCCCTTGAGCAAGAAGAGCAGCAGCAAGGGCAATTTCTACTCATATTGGCTGAAGACTGACCTGAAAATGATGGCCCTAAACCAGAAGGGACCAAGTCAGTTTTGATTGGCATGATTATGTCCATTTCATCCCTATCTCCTCCCCATCATCAGAAGGAATGGGGGCTCATGAGCAAGATATTTTTAATAAAAGAGAAAAAAATAAGCTACATTTTTGGCACACATAAATTATAGTAGATAAGTGTAACAGAGTCCAAAGTTTACCATATCAATAATACTACCCATTATAATATTTATGACAAAGCTGTGGAGTAAATATTATTCCCTGCTTTACAGATTTTTTTAAACTTTTACTAGATATCCAAAAAAGAAGATGGAGTTGAAAAACTATAAAATTGTTGCTTAATTTGAGCACTGGTATGCATTGACATTGTTTGGATGCATTGTCTTAAATAAATACTGCTTATCCCTACAATTTTCATTGTTGAATCAATATTTGAAAATTAAGTCCCTCTCTCTCTCTCTATATATATATATACATATATATGTATATATGTATGTGATGGCTGGTTTAGTTATTGACATATCATAGATGTTCAACCCTTCGTTCACTTCATCTTTTGGGGTGCAGTGTGGCAGAAGCGTGTCCTCTATTTCCTATCTTGACAAGGAGCCAAAGCCACCTTGGGATATGATTTTGTTGAAGCAAGATGGCTTCTTACAGGTTTTCCCAATCAGTTCCTCTAAAATAATTGCTTCCTCTTCTCAGGCCCTGAAAGCCAAATTGCCCTTTTCCAGGTTACAAGTAAAGGCAGGGGCATTGGCAGCATTGTGGAAAGGAATCTCAGAGAGCAAGAAGCCAGGGGAATCACAGAACTGAGGGTGCTCCACAGTGAAGCCTCAGTTTTCACCCAGATGTCTTAGTTCTATGAGGCACTTAAGTATTTTCCCAATCAGGCATGGTTCTAACAAATCTCTCCATCAGAGATGTTTATGGTTTTTCTTTGTTTTCAGTGTCTTGTTTATGTCTTTTATGCCATCAGAGGATAAACAGAACTGTGAATGATGTTTTATTGTGAACAATGCTGATTTCTCATTGTGTGGTATTATGAGCAGTTACAGTTTTTTTTTTTTTTCTTTTCTGGGACATTGAAATTCAGCAATGCTTAGCATATGTTCTTGGTGGCCTACTCAGATCCCTATACTGGTGGGCGCATCCCCCAGCTGCTGTACAAATTGGTTGATAAGAGCTGACAGCTATACCCTTACCTGCTCCAGGGGATTGCCCAGGGCCACCTGGTTGGCATAGCTCAGAGATGCTAGGGAGGTTCTGTACCACACCATCCTGCAGACCCTACGGCTAAAACCTGGTGGACAGGACATCGTATAAAACCCAACTCACTTTCCTCAAACTGGCACAACCATCCACACTCCGAGTTTCCCTGGGATCAGCCTGAGGCAAGACTACAACTGAGCCTACACCTTTGCCTCTCTTCTGTCCTGCTCTGTGCTATATCCCGCCCTTCCTTACCTGTTTCCTCTGAGAGCAAGTCTCTCGATAAAGCTATTGCTTGAGAATCAGCATCTCAGGTTCTGCTTCTAGGGAACCTGAGTTCAGACACCTTGGAGTTTTTACATTTTGAAGAAAAAGTAAAATTTTGTGAAAAGAGAAGGAGTTTTTTGTGATTGGTGAGAGGTGGGCTTGGTTGGGGCGGGGGGAGGAGGGGCACGTTCCTATTATTCCTGGTCAGAACTTGAGACATTTTGCAGGTTTTTAAAATGTGTTTCATTTTTCAAAGGATAAGCTGAAAGCTTTCTGCCCTTTCCTAGGATGGAATTCAGCCCACCAAATAAAATCCAGAGGCTTGGAGAAATAGGTACAGAGGGTTACCATAGCTCTGCATGCAGTGAACAGAGATTCTCTCCACTCTCCCCTCCTACTGCTTGGATGGCTACAATTCAAAATGGTGTGTTGAATTGTACACCATTCAAAAGTGTTCACCATTCAAAACACCGTTCAAAAAGTGTTCAGTGGTGACATAGAAGGAAGAGAGATATTTCCATTCCTTTGAAAAAAAGAGGAAAATCAGGCAGCACATCACTTTTCATGTGGAATCCTAAACATCCAATAAAAGTGCATGTGACCAGGACTTGTGAGACCTAGCTTTGATCCTTGCTCTGCTGTATGTCAGCTATGTGACCTTGGACAAGTCACCGACTGCTGGCAGTCTCAGCTTCCTCCTCTGTAAAATGGGTGGGTGGAGGAGGTGTTCTCTGGGAATGCAAACACAGCATTGAGGGCTGTGGGTAAGCAATATTCATGCCCCTCTATTAATCTCAGAGTAAAACAAAAACCTTTTAACTGTCATAAATGTGAACCAACTGTGAAAATTATATGACTTTAGCTCCATAAACTGTATAACATTAGTCACAGTTCCATTTGTTCTGTGACAGTGTAAAAATTATAGATTTCCGAGGTTAGAGGAAAAAAAACCTACTCCTACCATGTAGAAGTAACCTTAGCCTCTCCACCACACATTACATTTCATCACACTACATCCATGACTAAGGGTCCCAGAACAGTGGGGCTGGAGGGGTCTGTTGATCTCCCTTGGAATCCTTGGCAAGTTATTGCTGTCTTTTCACTATAACAGCACAGATTCCTCAGGAAACACAATCCCATGTGTCTCTCCTGGGCTGAGCCCACTCTTTTGCTAGGCAAAACAATTTCATTCTGGGTGAGAAAGAGGTGTGAAGACAGATTAATGGTTCCCGTGTCTTACTGCATATGCTTGTGGTCAAGTGGAAGTTCCAGGCACCATGGTCTCCCTGAAGTCATGCCATGAATCGTCTCTTCTGTTACCTACAAATACGTGATTCCTCAGTGCAGAGCAGGCTGGGCAACAATTCATGTTTTTAAATGTTTGTCAGGACTGTCTGTATTTTTTGTACTGGAAGATGGTTTTAAAATTTATTTATTTTTCTTCTTTTGTGTGAGCCCTGCAGCACGCTTTGCATTACTTGGTAAGAATCACTGAGGTTTAGAAAAGATTTTAGCATCTGTGTAGCACTAACAAGACATTCTAGCATTTAAAAAAGCAAGGCACTGATGCCAATGAGAGAGGAAGCCTTTGGACCTGAATTCAAATCCAGGTTCTCTACTAAGCAAATTTACTAGATATATTTATGTCAGGACAGCCACAATATGGACGTGAGTAAACTTTTAGACAAAAAAAAAAATTGTCTACTCACTCTCTTGGAGTGAATTTCATAGATTTCTTAAGCAGTGGATGAGTCATTTATCTATCCATTTAATCAGTAAGCACTTACTGATCGCTCTTATATGGTACCATGCTAGGAACAAGGGGCATAGAGTTAAATAAGACATTCTCCCTTGCCTCTAGGAGCTCAGAGTCTCCCAGAGGAAACATATATTAACAAATAAGTACAATACAATGTCATAAGAACTATAACAGTGATATGCACAAAGGCTTGTGGGAGCAGTAATTCTGGCTGGAAAAATCAGGAAAGGCTTCATAGAAGAAGTGACACTCAAAGCCTTTTTTTTTTTTTTTGAGAGGGAGTCTCGCTCTGTTGCCCAGGCTGAAGTGCATTGGCACGATCTCGGCTCACTGCAAATTCCTCCTCCCGAGTTCACGCCATTCTCCTGCCTCAGCCTCCCGAGTAGCTGGGACTACAGGCGCCCGCCACCATGCCTGGCTTATTTTTTGTATTTTTTAGTAGAGACGGGATTTCACTGTGTTAGCCAGGATGGTCTCCATCTCCTGACCTTGTGATGTACTTGCCTTGGCCTCCCAAAGTGCTGGGATTACAGTCATTGAGCCACCGTGCCCAGCCAAAGAATTCTTAAAGAATGTATAGGAGTTGTCCAGATAGAGAAAAGGGAGAGTGTCTTCCCGGAAAACAGGAACAAGAACCAAGGTAAATGGCCTGAAAGTGCATGAAAATTGGCAGGCGGGGGTGGGACTGTAAGACTGTTTATGGTGGGGAAAGTATAAAGAGGGGCCCTGTTTGCCAAGTCGCAGACTGTGAACTTGACTCTATAAACCATCAACAGCCATAAATGTGTTGGATAGGAGACTTTTTTTCTTTCAAAGCTTAGGAAAGGAAAGATCAAATCTGAGTTTTAGCAAGAGCACTCTGGCAGCATGCAGATAAGTTGTACAAGGAAAAGTCTGGAGACAAGAATGAGGTAGGAGTCTTTTTCAGTAGCCCGAGGTGAGAGCTAATGAGGATGGGGATTAGGACCACAGTCATGGAGAAAGCCTCTTGCATGGCCCTGAGTATAAATGTCTCCTTAATTTTGCTCCCAAGCCTCCTCACTTACTTCACCCTAGTCTCTACCCTGTTGAAAAACCTTCATCTAAGCCACAAGGAAGCCTCAGTGAGAGAAATTCAGCAAGAAGGAAGGGTCACATGTGAGCTATCATCTTACAGATGGAAGTTAAAATCATGACCATTCAGGGTGATGGTATAAAGAAGAGAAAGTAATTTAAAAGCTCTGGCGAACCCAACTGCTTAAAGATGAGCAAAGTGGGTACAAGCAGAAGTCTCTTGAGTACCTCTGGAATGTTAGCAAGGGCATCTCCTTGATTCTGGGAAGGGAAGGGGACCCCCTATATTGGTGGGCTTATTGGTACATTCAAGGCTTGATCCAAAAGTTCAAGACAGGGATGTTGTGGCAGAAACAACCACACATCTCTCAATATCCATTCTCCTTCTTCCATAGCCATTTAATTTTATCCTGAGTGTATGGTTTCCCAGAATAAAAACTACATTTTCCATAGTCCTTTGCAGTTAGGGTGGCCGTATGACTAATTTGTGCCCAATGGGATGTAAATGGAGGTGATATGGACAACTTCCATGCTGTTCCCTTAAAGAAAAGGGTCAAGCCCACCATTTTCCCTTCTCCTTCCTTCTTCATGCCTGCTGAAACAATGAAAATAGCAAGCCACTTGGGACCATGTGTATGAGAGTAATTCCCTGAAGATGATGGAGCAAAAGGACAGAGGAGCCAGGATCCCAGCATACATCATTGAGCTTGCAGCCAGCTTGCACTTCAACCTCGTTAAACCTCCACTATGCAGCTGAACTTGTATCCTCAGCCAACACATTGCCATGATGATGTAGAATTCTGTAACATTACCTATCCTAAAGCTTTGTAAACCTCAGAGTGTTTATGGATGCCATCTCTGCAGAACCAAGCCATATATCTGGTGTTGGGGTTTGAGGACCCCTCTCATCCTGCAAATTCTGAGCCAAGTACAAAATAAAACAAAAAGCTAACATACAAAAAGACTAAAATACTACTGTAACTATTGCTAAAGCAGATGTTGGAGAGAGCCTGTACTGGTGGTAAGTGGGCTTTCTAACACTGAGTTAAACACTATTACTCAAAATTAAATTTAATTATCCAGCTTTCATGGGGACAATTTGTCTGCTGCAAACTTCACCCATGGAACTATCCAGGGGTGTTTCACTAGCAAAGCTCCCTCCACGTGGAAGAAACATTAGGTCTCGGGAAGGAACATTCACTTCTAACATCTCAGGTCCCACTCAGATGTGGGGACCATGTAGCTTGGAACTAAAACCTGAGGTAAGGTGAACAAAGGATCTTCAACATCAGGAAGATGTGAGCTTACAATTGGCCAGTAACGCTATATCAACCAAGGTTTTTAGGACACAGGTTATGCAGATTTCAAAGTCAATATCAAACCAATTTCATGGCATTTCTATGTCAATTCCCCTGCAGCCTCTCCATGAGTTGAGCTCTCCATTTTTGATGTGGTCATTATCTCTCCAGGAAAAGGGAGGAGGAAAGGGATCCAAGTTCTTGCTAGGGTTTCTATCCTCACATTGGAGAAAGGGCAGGCCTTTCCACAATACCACGATTTTTGCCTGACTTGTCATTCTTCAACAAAGGACCAGAGTTGTTACTAAGGCTACTTCACATCTAAATTACAAATTCTTGCAGTGAAGATGAAAGGACATGTAATGATTTCCATCCATAGCTAAACCAGTCATAATAATAAATGAGTGCTTCTCAATGAGGAGGTGTATACTGCTCCTAGAGGACATTCAGAAATGTTTATGTTTAGAGGAGATTTGGGATTGGCACAAATTACTTGGGGTAGTACTGACATTTACCGGGCAGAGATGCTAATTGTCTTGCATCGTGTGAGATACTCCCATACAATATAGAATTGTCCCACCCAATATATGAATTTTGCTAGTACAGGTGGACTTAACCTAGAAGAAACTCTTTGTGTGCAGCTCATGCCATAATGTAGAGAAGGATCAAGCTGAGCCCAGATCTTATTTCTCATGTCTGCTTCCTCTGCATTTTGCCTTTCTGTGTCTTCTAGGAGTGGGGACTCTTGGGAGGCCAGGACTATAATTACTCGTAAGCACTATATCACAACATTCCTAAATCATGTCTAAATGTATTTATTTGTTCATTTATTTCTTCAACAAGTATTTCTTGGAGGGCAGCTGCTATGAACCACATACTGTCCCAGGCTTTAGAGATATAGTAGTGATGGGAAGACACCAAAACTCTGGCCTATTCAACTTACAGTTTTGAAAGAAAGGAAGTATAAAGAACAATAGCAAAATTCTTCTTTATATCTAAATAGAGAAGCCAGAAATCACAAAAATTTATAAGTGAAAGAGAAAGATCTTCACTTTCATTTTACAAATAGAGAAACTGAGGCCCAGGGAGGCCCAGAGCTTGTTTGGGGTCACATGGTAGTACAATGGCAGGATTGGTGTTTATAAATACCAGCTAACTGTGGTTGCTGTAGTATTCTATTGCTCTGTATTCCATCTCCATCCAAGAATAAAGAACATTCTACCTTTGATTCATGGAGCTTGGGCTTGCTTCATGGTTATCCCCAAAATTATCCTTCTCAGCTGGAAAAATCAGTGGGCAAATAGGATGGTGAATAATTATATAACAGCAGTCTTTTTTTTTTTTAAAAAAAAGTGATTATTCCAACTTAACAAATATTTACTGAGCATCTACTCTGTGCCAGGTACTATGCTTTGTGCTATAGGGGATTCCAAAATGAATGGATTGTTCTTCTTCCTCTCAGGAAAGTTACTGTGCAGTGAAAGAGATAGATGGCCTATAACTACAGGACAGGATGGAATGTGATAAATGCCATAATAAAATTATAAAGACTTGTGGGAGCTGAGGGGAAGAGATGAATGCCAGCTCCTCCAGAAGGTGTTTCCTAATTTCTCCAAATGGAATTTGAAATGGAACTTGAAAGATGGATGGAATGTTAATAAAGGGGGAAAGACCTGCTTCAGCTTCTCATCCAAGTTGACAAATCTCCTGGAGGTCAAGAAAAAAAATCTGAGGTCTAAAGATGACTAAAGCAAAGCAAGATAAGTTTTTTGATCATGAGGCAAGTCTAGCCCATTGAGAGGCATCTCCATAGTAGGATGAATTTCAGAGTCCTGGTAATAGTAATATAATAACCACTATGACTACATTAATTAAGCACATACTGTACATTAGGAGCCAGATTCTATATTCATGCATTATCTCATTTAAATCTCAAAACAACCCTTTGAAGCAGGTGCTACTATTACCTTCACGTTACTGGAAAAAAATTGTGTTGTAGAGCAGACATATAACATATCTGAGATCACATAGCTAAAAAGTATCAGGGCTAGGATTGAACCCCATGGTTGCTGTATTTAAAGTAACATGGTGATGTCCCAGTATATGGTGATATAATAAGTTCTTTTTCTCAAAGTTGCAAAATTCATTATAGTCACCATTTCAAAAGCAAATGAAAAGTAGCATCTCTCCAAAAGGTGTGTTCAGCCAGCTTGGCTCAACGAGGCCGTGCATCTGCTGCATAACTGGGATCTTGGGCTGCCACTGCCATCCCCAACGAGGCATTTGCAGCTGGGCCTGCTTATTCAGTAATCGACTAGCTATAGCAGATAATTATAACCAATCCCCATGACTCTCAAAACCACTCCTGACAACCTGGATCAGGGAATCAAAAGATATTTCATGAAAGGCTTTGCTGAGTTCCAGCTTCTTCTTCAAGACCCCAGTCAACTCTTAACCCTCATGGAACCTCCCCCTGACCACAGCTCTTTTCATGGCTCCACACTTGCAGCCCCTCCTTCTGATGTCATTTATATAGCCAGTATTCACATTCTATCTCCTGCAGGAAGAATCCCATCTCCCCATTGCCATGTGCACTTAATTCTATTTCATCCCACAAGAGAGCGAATGGTATGAAAACCAGTCTTTCTAGTCCCTCCCTAAACCTTCACAGTTTCCCTCTCGCAAAGGTGGGAGAAAGACTTATCTGACTGGTGGAAATGAAGAGGGTAAACTGTTAGCTACCCTGCATGGATCTAGGGACGATGCAGGGTTGCCATTCTTTGAACCTACCTATTCCTGGCATTTGGGCATGGCAGACTCACCTTGTACTTCCTCATAGTTGCAGCACATGGACCATGCAGCACAGAGATGGAGCAGAGTCAGGCCCTGGAAGGCCAGGTCTATTGTCTATCTGCTCTGCTTTTCCTGCTTGTCTGCCTAGGGAAGTCAGGGGTGTCTGGTCTATGGGCCAGGTTCAGGGAGGAGCAGGCCCTGCCACCTTCTCTAATCTGCTTCATCATTAGGAAGCTGACAGTGGGTTTGGATCCCTATTTGGCTTTCTGCATATAATCTCAACTAATTAGTAACTTGGGGTGTTTTGCCTACTGTGCATTCTTATCATTTACGTAAATGAATAGGTTTTCCCCCACCTGATGGAAGCTCTTTGAACACAGAAGCAGTGTTGAATAGTGGGGACAGCACTGGAGATGGCATCAGAAGGCCCAGCTCTAGGTAACACTCTGTTTGAGAAAGTCACTTACCCTTTCTAAGCCTCAGTTTCCTCACCTGTAAGATGGAAGAGATAGTACTCATACGCTTCTGTTCATCTCATGGGAGAATGGGGAGGGTTAGAACAAACAACGGCTGCAAGAGTAAACTGAAGGGCCCCAAATGTGTAATGGCCTCCCGTTATTATTATCATCATCGTCTTTATCACTATAACCAAACATTCTTACTAATAGCAAGGGGAGCTATCATTTATTAAACACCAATCATGTATCAGATGTTTTAAATACGTTCACAAGCCTCTTGAGGTTTGTAAAGCCCAGTCCAATGGTTCCCAAATTTTGCTGCCCATTGGAATCACCTTTGGTTGTTTAACAAATACTGATCCTGTCTCTGCCGTTGCCCAAAAGTCTGACTTAATTGATATGGGGAGTGACCTGGCCTTGGGACTTTCAAAAGACCCCCCAAGTGATTAGAATGTGCAGCGAAGTTTGAACACTGTGGGCACAGCCTCGTTGATAAGTCAGAAAGGATAGACATGTGGTTGGGTGAAATCAAATCCGAGCGCTTATTCCTCTCCTCCTCACTAGTTGGGGAAGGGTGTCTGCTTGGTGGCAGTAGGCGGGGTCATCTGAACAGCTATGGGATCCAACTTTGGGAGATGACTTGGAATAAGAACAAACTTGGGCCGAAGGAAAGTAGATGTGCATTTAACGAGCCCTCTAGCCCTCTAGCTGACATTAGGGCCACTGTTTTGTTCTCCTTGAGGTGCAGCCTTCGTGGATACAATAAGGGAGCCCCAGGAATCAATTTAATACCAGCAAGCCCTAGTCTCCCTGATGGAAAGGGCCAGAGCATAGCCTGGGGCTAAATCCACATTTCTCTGACTTCCCAGCCCATTTTTTTCCCAGTTCAACTTCATTCTTTAGAAGTCCTCTAGTAAAAAACAGTTTAGGGATTTTCTTTCCATTTAAGAGTAAAACAAATATGGATCCCATTTTTTTAAGGTTTTTTACACAAGCTACATGTTTCTAAATAATAGCAGCTTCTTGTAAAATCTCTTGTTAGTTCTGCAGGTTTAAACCCACTTTCTTTTAACTTAGTTTTCTAAAGAATTTTGTAACAATAAACTCTATAACTGTGACAGTTTCTCTTTCAGACTTTGCAAATTGGCACCCATGGTTTTAATACAATCATCTCTTCAATTTCCCACATTTTATAGGACACCCTAAGGGGAAGTAGATGATTATTACAACGTGGTGGTTCATACAGCCTAACACCCCAATGGAGATAGCTTGGGTCCCCATTTATAGGTAGCCATTAGTTTCCTAATATTACAAAAAGGGAAACTGAGACTTGTCTTACAGTAAATAGTGCTGAGATTTAAATCTAGGTTCATCTGACTCCAAAGCTGATATGTGCATGTGTTTGTCAAGCGTATCATGCCACCGACTTTTATATAACTTTAACCCCAAGAGATTTTTTTCCTCATTAACTTAGAAAGTACACAGAACATTAGATCACCTACATTTCTTTCCCTAAGCCATATCTTTTCTACATCCAATGACCTATTGCTTGACAATACAATATTTACCACTTGTTTGGTGAGGGTTCTGTGAATGGAAAAGGTTGGCAACTTTAGTTTATTTCCCTATTGGAAAGATTACATGTCACAGAAAATTCCGAGGTGTTTTCTCAGCAGTGTATCGACACATTAGTAGAGTTTTCCTGTGGGTAAGAATTCCATTAGGTGAGAGGATGAGTCACACACACACGACCACTTGAGAATATTCCTCCAGGTTCTAGAAAAGATCTATAGTCAGCATGTACACTGTTGCTCCCCATCACAGGAAGCCATTTGACACTGTGGTTATCAGAGGCACAAGTGCCATCTTGTCCAATAGTCACCCACTGGAAGCCCTGTGTGCCAGGAGAGCCTAGACAGACAGAAGGGCCACCCCGAAGGCACCTTCAATTGTGTTAGACTAACTGACCATTTTCTATAGTTCAGAAGAAAATTAGATTTAGAAAGCTTTTCAAATGTGAAGACAAAAACTCAAAGGAGAAAATGCCAGAAGAAGAACTGGAATGTCCCTTGGCATCCATTCTGCCTTGACCAACAGTCTTCATTTCCTACCACTCTGTAGCCCAAATCTTGGAAATTTTCTTTTGTAGTTTAACATGGTCAGGTCTGACATAGCAGGAAAGAAATCTTTGGCCTGGAAATTCTTCTCTGCTCGGGAGGCAAAGCGAGGCAATCTGAAGCTTCTGTAACGAGAAGCCAGGGAAGGAGTGAGGCAGTGATCAGGGGGTAAAAGGAAATGTTACCAAGTGACAGCCTTAAATAAATGAAACCAGAAAAGCCACGTGGGGAAAGGAAAGTCATTCAGAGCCATTTCTACAAGCTACAGTGTCCTTCCCTCTGATACTTCACTGTTAAGATAAATGTCCAGTACCTTCTATTACATTTCTAGGTCATTGTGAGGCTGACACTGGGATTATTCACCATTTTATCCCTTCCTGTGGATATCAGCTTTTCTCCTCAAATATGAAAGCAACAGAGATGGGAAATAATGTAAGCAGAATGCGAGCTATACGGCAACATTGTTCGGGGTGTTTTATCTGTATTATTTCATCTAATTTAACTTAGTACTCCACCATAACCCATTTTACAGATGAGAAAACAGCCACACAGAAAGCTTATATGACTGATCCAGGATCACACAGCCTGTAAGTGGCAAATCTGGGAGTCACATTCACTTGTATCTGCTCCAGAGCCTGTGGTCTTTCATTACATCAGAATCAATAAGGATTTTGTTTGAACAAACTTAGAATTTGTTCCACAAAATCAAAGTTGCCATTCCATGGATGAAAACACCTGCCTCAAAAGATGTCATGAGGGCCCAATAAAACAAAGTAAACTCAAAAGCACCTGAGGTGCCCAAACCGGGTACTGCACATGCACTGGCTCCCCCCGTGGAAGGCTAGCCTCCTGCTCTGCAAAACCTCCATTACCTATCATGGCTCAGGCTACACTTTGAGCATCTTCTGAGGCAGTCCCCTAAGCCTTATTACTGCACCCACATCCTATTGTTGACCCCAACCATGGTAACTTATTTCTTATTCCCAGTGTAACTCCCAAACTTTTGGAATGACTTATAGATGTGGAAAATGAATCCAATCACCCTTAAAAACAAGAACTTCTCACTACTGAAGCTATTCGAGATTGTGCTGCTGGCTCTGAATTCTAGGGAGAGACTCTCCAAAAGTATTTCCAGCAGAACGGAGGCAGCATCCCTGGGGTTGCATTTGTCTGCCACGTAAACTACCTTGAAGAGAACTGTATCCATTTGCATGAGTATTTCAGTATGTTTTAAGTATCAGTCTTATTACTTAATACCTGTACCTTCAGGGGAGTTGCAAAATTTCCATGACTGGAATGTTATTATCAGGGTGCTTTATTTTGAAGATAATGTGTCATAGTATTTTAAGCTCATTATTTTCCTTTAATCAAGTTTTTTTTTTCCAGTGGTTTTTTGATTTGGATAGTCATTCACTGACCTCAGGGTTGGAATGTTAATTGGCATGATATTTTTTGCTTTCACATTTTTCTGAAAGATGTGTAACTGATGCTAGAATATCAATATTACCTCTGTCCTTAAATTGGATATTATTTGCTTTCTAATGCCAAAAACTGGGGGTACCTTAAGCAAAAGAGTCATTTTCAAAAGCATCACCTCCCCTTAAAGGCAAGAAGAGTAAATGGGAAAAGTGCAATTTGACAAGGAAAGTCACCATTGTTTTTAAAAGTCTCCCTTATTAATATCACCTTTTGTCCCCTTGCACCAGTCAAACAAAATTGCTGATCTTGGGGGAACTCCCCAAGCATGAAAAGCTGTAACAATATTCTGGATCAACTAAAACTGGAGATACAAGTGTCGATTAAGATTAATTTTCTAATTTAAAAATTATTTTGGTGGGATGGGAAAGGGCATTTCAGTCCTGTCACCTCAGCCCACACCCAGGCCCCATGCATGACCAATCTGATTGCAGTGGTGAGTCCCTGCCATCTGGGTTTATATCAGCTCCAGGGAGCTAGTGTGGAGCAGGGCATGGGGTACAAACTGCCCTGCCACCCTTTTCCACCCTCTGGTTACATTTTCCTCCAGAGCAAAGATGAAAATTGTCAGTGAGTACCAATCCTATCTATCCCTTCGCTTCACTCCTCTCTTGAAATGACCTACTTGTCCTCTGACCAACAGAGCAGCAAGAAACATCTGCAGTTCAAAAGAAACACATGAACAACTGCACTCCCCAGATGAAAGGTCAATAGACTTCCTGATACAGGAGACCCTTTCCTCTTGCATGGTGTCTGGTTGCTTTTGCACACCACTCTTGGAAACTCGATGTTTCTTCTGTAGCCCTAGCCATCATATTCCGCCCCACTTGTGCAGAACATTGGCAAGACGGCTCACAATTCTCACCCAGGGGGGCTCTCTATTGACCCTGGCACAGGAGGGGGCTGCCCCAGACACAGAGCAGTCCATTCCCTGGGCTTCCCTTTGCAAAGCCCAAGAGAAAGATGCAGAGGACAACAGTTGCAGTGCTGGCTCATTCTTGACAAATGGGCCTGTCACTCCTCCTATTGATTAGCAATATTATGACATTTCCCTTCAAAAGCACAGATGTGACATGGCTAGTGACAAGGCCACGGCTCCAGGTGGAAAATCAGGTTTGCCATTGTTTGTGCTTCCCCTTCTGCATCTGTTCAGATTCCAAGAGATTAAAAACCCATGTTCTGATACCATTTAAAAGATTTCATTTGAAGAAGTAAAAGTTTGGATACTCTTTAAAAATACACGTTCATTAGCCATCACTGTAACCATGGAGGAGGAAGCACATGGCAAATCTGTCTAGGACATCACAAAAGGCAAAGAGATGTCCTAGATCCCTGTGTCCTTAGAATGTGGGACCCTTCCTCTGTGTTGGCAGAGCTCTCTTCAAGTCTCCTGACTACATATTAGGTTGGTGCAAAAGTAACTGCGGTTTTGCCATGACTTGTGATTGGTGCATCAACCTTGCACCAGTCAAGCCATGGAGGGGCATGTCATTTCTGTCCCGTTGCAGAAAATGCATGAAGGGAACCGGCAAATTAGTGACTCATGCTTTCTCCCCTCCCAAAGTGTTGGTAATCTTCCCATCCTGGCCCTATGGGGCTGATGGTGTATTAAGGAGAAAATTGCACCTAATTTCACTTTCTTTCCTTTCAACAAAGCACTCACATGATAACCTGTGCAAACTTTAATTTGTGAAGCTTCTATGGGGCATTTTCCCCCAAACTATTCTCAACATCTAGTCCCACATCGAAGGAAAAAAAAAAGATTCTGAATAGCAGCCCATTTAAGTAAAAAAGGAAAAGTGCATCTTGCAGTCCAACATGTGGTACATTTTGAGGTAAATTACAGGTAATTCATGAGCATTTCCAGCAGGGAGATTGCCATCGTGGGACTCTTGTATATCCATTACGTTCTATTCTCATGTTTGTGGTTAAAGGAATCTCTGAAGCCTTTGAAGCAGAAAAAGCAACACTCTCTCTGCACCATTTTGTCCAGCTGAGGAAAGTTATTACCCTGCTAACACACGGGACTGATCCAGCAACTTGATTTCAGCAAAGCTGATGGAAAGCAGGCTGTAAGGGGGATGTGTAGCACGGGTTTTACAATGCGAACTATCTGGGGGCTGGCAAGCGCAACAGTTAAATATGAAAATGAAATTTGAGCAAACTAGAAACAGTCAGGCTGACACTATTGGATGAAAGAGAAAAGAATAGAGGAGGTCACTTGGGGGATGGGGAGAAGAAACAAAAGGAAGAAAAATACTGCCTGTTAGCCCTGGGAGTCGGTGATGGAAATTAATATGATCTAAATGGGATGTGACCAATTTGTAAGGCATTTGTTTCTCCCTGTGAGATGGGAGATCTCCATCCCAGGCAGTCAGAACTCACCTTAGGCTGCCCCGTGGCCAGTCTCTATAACAAGGTAGACCACCTCGCTTGATACATAGAACCCCTTGCAGCGCCTATTACATCCCAAGCCTGACAGCCTTGTAAATTTACTCCCGTGAAGCTAAGGTCCTCTCTCCTTGGGACAAAACCTACGTGTTGGGTCCTGGCCTGCTGGGAAAGATGAAGAGGAGGGGGAATAGTGGAGAAGGAAGGACAAAACAAGCACCCTTGGCCTATTTGGCCACTCCAGATCGTTTGAGCAGCCTTTGTGTCTGGACCGCCAACAAGAATTAGCAAGAATTATGCAACTTCCAACTTCTTGTTCACATCAAAGAGCTTCTGAAAGAGCTCTGCAAGCTCTGAAGCTGAACTGACCTGTGCCTCCCCTATCCTCATCATAAATCAAGCTTTTATCTGCCTTCCCATCAAAACTGATGCTAAGTGTCCCTGACATACACATCCTCCAAATAATTCGAACTTGATCTGAGGATTTCGGCCTTCTTGACTTAAAAAAAAAAAAAAAAAGAAAGAAATTGCCTATGATTTGCTTGGCAGCCATCCACCTCAGCATAGGCCATTGTGGCCAGTGATGTTGATGTTCGTGAAGAGCAGTTGCCATGGTAACGCAGAGTTCAAAGCAAGGGCCTGAATGGTGTCAGGATAGGGGAGAGTGACAATGTAATGAAGGCTTGCATCTTCTCTTCTCAGAGAGGGACAGGTGCTGGCCAAGTGATGGGGAGTGGGGGCAGGGGTGGCAATATGCAAAATGCACAATTACAGTTATGACTGAACTATGCATTTGTTTGGCATTTTGAGGATCTACTAGCTTATTAGGAAGTGTGCACGATGGGGAATTTGAAGACTGCATCCTAGCCTCTGTAGTTAAGCAGTTGAGTGACTTCAACCTTGTTTTGCATTGGTTTCCTCATCTTTAAAAAGAGGGGGTTTAATAAAATTGAACATCTTTTCAATTGCTAAAAGATTATGATTCAATTACTCTAGGAAATCTGGGAACTTTCTGGATCCATCAGATGTATTCTGATGCAGATCACATTCTGTTCATCAAGGCCTTTCATGATGGAGAAATGGTTGGATAGCTGCTGATATTGGGACTTAGACATTCATGGAACAGTATGTTTATTGAGCACCTAGTTGGCTCTGGGCACTGTTCAAAGTGCTGAAAGGATAAAAAAGACCAAGTCCTTGTTCTCAAATAAAGCACATTCTAGCAGGAGATACAAACATTATACAAATAAATACACAATGGATCATATAATAATGACTGGAGAAAGCACGCTAAGCTGAATACAGCATGTAACTAGGGGATCCCAGCCAGTCTAAGTGGTCTAGGTAGGTGGGGGAGTGTCAGGAGGGCTTCTGGAATGAGTAGTATACAGGTTAAGATCTGAAGGATGAGTAGGAGTTAATTAGACACAGGGTGGAAGAAGAACTTGCAGGCAGAGGGGAAGGCATGTGAGGTTTGGAAGTGGGAGGGAGCTCAGATGGGCTTTGCAGTGTGGCTGGGGAGGTAGATGAGGCCCCATCCTGCTGGGGCACAAAGGCCATGTTCAGCTGTTTGGTTTTACCTAAGGACAATAAAAGGTCATTGAGGGTTTATGAACAGGATTGGCTACTCAGATTTGCATTTTTAAAAGATCACTATGGCTACATCATGGAAAACAATGGCAATTTTGGGGAGGAGGTGTGGGGTTGGATTTCAGAGATGAGAACATCCTCAAGATGATTGTAAATAATTCAGGAATCAAATTTCTTTTTTATTCCAGATTACCTATTTTGATAGTTCAAGGCAATTCAAAACATAATTTCACAATCTTTTCTCCCTTGCCTTGCCTGGGTAGACACATCCTGTAATGACTTTCTTGAACCCCAGTTGGCTGAAACTGCCAGGGGAATTTGTATGACCAGTGGTGAATTGTTATTGATCTATTATTCTTCCAGTGTATCTCTGCTGGCCTGTCAACATTTCCTATTTCAAGTGGGGCGGGGGCAGGGGGAAAGTCGATATGAAATACTCACTTTAAGTTCCAAAATTTTTCCTCCTAAAATTCAGAAATATTCACATAGCTATCCATGGAGTGGTATGCAATAGCAGATCTACTTTAAAATTGAATTAATCTAAGCATTAAAAATGCAAAAAAAAATGCTTGTAAAGAGCGACTTTTACACCAGTGATTATTAAGAGCTTGAGGCTAGCAGATTGCCCATTGCAGGAAGAAGTTCTGAGCAGCCATGTTTTCAGAGTGAGAACAACTCGAGTCAGCTAGGACGATCATTTTGGGATGCCTGGGAGAGAGTCAGCCCAGTGGATGGATAACGCAGAAGACCCTGGTCACTTTTTTTTTTAGTTAAAACGTATTGTATTTTTTGCTAATTTCTATGCCCCAAGCTAAATGCTTTGTGCTTCTTGTTTAATCCTCAGGACAACCTGATGAGTAGGCACTGTGATTATCCCCACTTAACAGATGATGAGAGGAAGATTCCAAACATTTAATTTCCCTGCCCAGCATGGTCATCTTCTGGGCCCTCATGTGCTCCCTCTTCGTTCTACTGTCCAACTGATGCCACGGGAGGGAAATGAAGGGGAGACACTCAAAGAAGAGAGCCTCATGCCCTCCCTCCAATCTCACGCACCCTCCTCTCTCATTCCTGCCTCTCTTTTTCCCACTCCTAGAGGGAGACTGCAGGGAAAGATTTATGAGCAAGGAAAACCTCTCTAACCCCCTTATAAACTTTATGAGCCATGTGGACAAGTACAAATCAGATAGAAACATGATGTCCAGGGCCAGAGTTCTGTAAATAGTGATATCACTGAGGAAAATCTCCACGAGAATTTGGTTCCCGGGAGAGAGCAGAGGAGGGTTCTGAAAACAGCGTGTGAAGAATGATGAAAGCCACTTTGAAGTGAAGCCCAGGGCCTGTGGTGTTTTCAGCAGCTTCCCCCAGCAGCCCTTGGTATTTTAGCTGCAATAAAAAGATACCGAAAGAAAACAGCTGGTCAGATTTGTTAAAGTAGAAGCAATGTGTGGCCCTGTGGAGAGCACATGATGGAGGAAAGCAGGTGTGAGGAAGAAGAGGACAGAAGGGTGGCCTTCACCGTGAGGGTCTTAGGCCCCCAAGGTTTCACCGTATACATATTAAATGCTGGGAAGGTTATGAGATACATCTACTAAATTCACCTTGTGCATATCAAATGCTGGGCAGGTTACGAGATACGTCTACTAAATTCTCTTTGTGGGTCCACACCAGTCCTGTTGGGTAACTCAGGAAGTATGAGCTTACCCATTTAATGGATGAGGAAGCTAGAGGGTTGTTTTGTGAAACAGCCAAGGGAAATCCAGAGCAGGGTTGCCTTGCCCAGGCACAGTCCACTGGTGACAAGGATGAGAGGAAGGACAGGCTGGAGATTCCACGCCCAGTTCTACCTCTGCCTGAGAGTTTCCTCATCAGTGTCCACACACAAGAAGGTTCTGTGAGAGTTGGTTGCTGAGGGTCTGACACCTGGGGAAACACTGGGGAGCATTCTCACTCACAGATTCCACCACCTTTACTGGGTTCAGGGGCACTTCAGTGAGAATCCTGCTGCAATAGTGCCATTAAGGTGGACAGTAACCAGCCTCCAAGGTCTCTACTCTTTCACATCCATACCCATTGCAGGCTCTCTCATACTGTACCAGGATTGCTCTGTTTGATCAATAGCAGGCGGCAAAAAGGGAGGCATGTCACTTCTGGGACATCTACATCCAGGGCTCTCTCTCTCATCACTCCCTCTAAAGACAGCGAGCTTGCATGTTGTGAGGCCAGTTGGGCAGTCTATCAAGAGGCTGCCATGGTGAGGAACTGAATTCTGCAGTCAACAGATAGTGAAGAGTGAATACCTTCCAACAGCCACATGAATGGGCTCTGGAGTAGATGCTTCCCCAGCCAGATGACTGCAGCCCCAGCTGACAGGGCAATGAGAACTTCATGGGAGATTGTGAGCCAGAAGTACCTGGCCGAGCTGCTCCCAGATTTCTCACCCACAGACACTGTGTAATCATAAAGGTTTGTTGTTTTAACCTGCCAAGTTTTGGAGTAATTTGTTACACACCAATAGATAACTAATACCTGGTGTATGCCACTGCTCTTCTGCTCTGAGGCATTAAGGAAAAATTACAGGGGATGAAGATTGTTATCATTTTTAATACTTTGTCACTCTTCATCTAAGAAAGATGCCTGACAAAAAACCCAACGTTGTAAAGAGTGCCACAAAAGAAATGCTTTTCATATATAAATGATGATATTATCAATGGGACAAACGGGAATTCTGCTAACAGCTGGGGATACACACAGCCAAAAGTGGAAGTGCCATGATGATGGGAGCCAACCTAGAGGCCTGAGATGAACCTCAAGGATGAGTCGGGGAAGAGAAGGCAGGTATGGAAGTGAGCAAAGGCAACAAGGAAAGAAATAGCAGAGTATACAAGAAGAACAAGAAGGGCTTCAACATGACTAAAGCAAAGCGGAAAAAACTTGAGATGAAGCTGGTGTGTCAAGGGAACACCAGCTTGGACTAAAGGACACAGGAGACAGTAGTCACTCAGCTAAATCAATCACTGCAAGAAAAATCAAAGATTGATCAACACAGTCAATATAGAGCTGTGCTGTCTGATATAGAGCTGTGTCACCTGCCACACACAGCTATTTAAATTTAAATTAATCAAAATCCAGTAGTATTAAAAATTTAGCTCTTCAGTTGCATTGGCTACATTCAAATGCTCAATAGCCACATGTGGCTGATGGCTACCATATTGGATGTTACAGGTCTAGAAAATTCCCGTTATCCCAGAAAGTTCTGTTGGAGAGATTTCACATATAGTAGTTACTAGATAATATCACAAGTATATATTGAAATTTTGAAATGAGGTGTGTAACAGATCTGCAAGTATCAGGTTGATAATCTCCAATGTGACTGTAAGTAGGCAAATGCTGCCTGGACATCCATGCTTAGATTAATCCTCTGGCATGTCATTGCAATGTGATTTTTCATATAACTTCCATGCACTTTTAGGCATGGACGTGTCTTAAAGGTAACCAGCGGCATGATGATAACTATATAAACGTGCTTAATGTTGTAGTTCTGTGTATATTGGTAAATGTCATAAAAAATCCATCTGTCGTATTTTTTTTCTCCACTGAAATCCTGTATTTCACAGAGCAGTAGTGTTCTATGGAACACAATTGGCGAAACTTTTATAGGCTATGAGGAATTTAAAAAGGAGAGTGGTACGACCAGCTTCACATCTTAATTCCTTTTGTAAGAAACATTAAGCATGATGTTTTCAGGCAGGGGCTGGTGAGAGGTAGGGGAGGGAAAGCAAATAGGCTATGGTCACAATTGTCCGGGAGACAACAATTATCTCAATTGTCCAGGAGCCTGAACTATTGTCACAATTGTCCAGGAGCCTGAACTAGAGAGGGGCCCTGGGTGAGGTGCTAGAGATGCAAAAGATATCCTAGATGTGGTCCCTGCCCTGAAGTTGGTCCCAGTTTCATGGGATGCCACAGAGAAATTGACAGACATGTCACTGTCTAAAAGATACAGATCCTTGCCTCAAAAAACCATTTAAAGTACAAGATGAGGGCTCTGGAGAAAATTCTCTCAGTCTCTACACCTGTCTCATGCCTGAAAACTACTTTTTTAGAAGATTAATGTATTTGGTTAATGTATTCTATCCCCAGGATCCCTCTTTTCAGAGGGGATAGAAAGGCAGCCTATACAGACCCTGAAGTCAGATGATGTGGGTACAATCCTGGCTCCACCAATTGTCAATTGTGTGATTTGGGCAAGTCACTTAGTCTTTCCGTGCCTCGGCTTCCTCTTCTGTGAAACTGGACTGTTAGTCATACTCAGTTCATAGGGTTGTTGTGAGGTAGAATGAGTTTTATTCTAAAGGCTCAGAACAGCGTCTGATACACGATGAGTGCTATATGAATACTCTGTTATTCTTATCTATTTTTACTCATAACACCTAAATGAGTAATGACCATATGTGACAGTCAGTTAATTCTAGGACATAAGGCCAATGGAGTTGGGTGAGTAACAGGAAACCCAGACTATTTTGGGAGTATGTGGAGTGTCTGCAATGGGCTTCTTAGCTTCAGGTGATCACATTGGTGGAAATGCTAGGAGGAGATAGGTGAGCTTTAGTGAAAGAGGTGAGAGCTTGGCAAAGAAAAATCTCCCCTACTTTACAATTTTTGGTGACTCTGTCATGGGTGATTGGGGGCTGTCAAGATTATTGGCTTTGGAGTCTGTCCTATCTCCACCTCTAACTAGCTATGTGACCACTGTGAACCTCAGCTTCCTCGTCTGTAAAGAAGAGTGAATAGTACTTACATCCTGGAGTTATTGGGAGGGTCAAATAAAATAATTCATGGAAAGTTATTTATAGACAGTAGACAACAATAAATGGTAGTTTTTAAGGTATTTTATCATAAGACATCATTGATTGTAAGACACAAACCAATCTCAGAAATACTAACCTGTGAAAAAAAATATGTCTCTAGCATGGAAGATAGAATAGGAGTATAATGAAAGGAAGCTCACAGTTACTACGTTCCTTCTATGTTTCTGGGCATTGTACCAAGAAACATGATATACATTATTAATTTAACTATCAAAACAGATCTACAAAGTATGTGACATTATCATCCCTGCTTTACAGCTAAGGAAACTGAGACTCAGAGAGTTTAAAGAGCTTGTTCCGAATCATGCAGCTAGTTAAGCACTAGAGCCCCACCTGAAATTTTCTCTGTCTTCTCCCGAAGGTACACTTTGGCCTCCTCCTCAGGCTGCTGTGTGCATGGTGGGGGAAGGGGCTGCAGAGGAATGAAAGGGCCATATGACTGACCCTTCACAAACTCTCTGAAAGGTCTGCTCTTAGCAAAGATCATGAACATGTCCCTTTCCAACCTCTTCCTGAGGACAGAAGGAAGTGGGAGATTAGAGCATGGACCCATGCAGTGGGCTGGCTGCCCTGTGAAGGGGCAGGTCTCCCAGTGAGGGTCAGGCTGGAGCAAGATCTTCAGCCCCAGCAGAGGCTCTTCTGTGCAGGCTTCACCTGTGCCTGATGGTCTCAAGGAGGGACAAGGCTACATCTGGTCCTGGTGGTGTAACCAGCCTTGGCTCCACAGGGGTTCACATTTGCAGAGGGGTTGGGGAATAGGAGATTGTGATTTTGATATGGAGGAAAAGTAATGTTCCCTGTTTATCCCAGCATTTGTTACGAATCTGGGAGCTCATGAAAGGCAAATCGTGGTTTTGCATGGAAAGCAGGTACACAGGACAATAAAGGAGGATGGCGAAGGGCATGCAGGGAGAGTAGACACCTGGACATGAGGAAGAGGAAACGCAGGCATTCTTACCTATACCAGGAATTTCAGGGACTATGGGGATTGTGACAACAAAAATAAACAGAGGATAGAAGAGAACCTATTTGTCCACCCCTAGGGGATGAACCAGTTATTTAAAAGAAAAAACCCAGCCATTAAAGTCACATCATACATTAAATGACAGCCAACATATACACGCCAGGTATTTCACCGAGCAATTCCCATGGATTAATTCACTTAACCCTGTAAGAACCTAATAAGATAGATGCCTGCATTCTCTCCATTGTACAGAGGGGAAAAAAACCTCAGGCTGAAAGAGATTAAGAAACTTTCTCAAGGTTGCATGGATAGCACAAGGCAAAGCATGGTTGAAATCAAGGTCTGGATGGTTCAAGTGCCTGCATTCCAGTCCCATTGCCACAGTAGCCTCTGACACAACATTAACAGCATCTTAGGGATAGGCAGAAGGGATTGATTTGGGGGAATTTTTTTTTTTTTTGAGACGGAGTCTTGCTCTGTCGCCCAGGCTGGAGTCAGTGGTGCGATCTCAGCTCACTGCAACCTCCTCCTCCCAGGTTTAAGCAATTCTCCTGCCTCAGCCTCCCGAGTAGGTGAGACTACAGGTGCCTGCCACCATGCCCGGCTACTTTTTTTGTATTTTTATTAGAGATGGGGTTTCACCATATTGGCCAGGCTGGTCTCAAACTCCTGATCTCGTGATCCACCTGCCTTGGCCTCCCAAAGTGCTGGGATTACAGGCGTGAGCCACCGCGCCTAGCCTGGGAATTTTTAAATCTAATCTACATAAGGCAATGAAATGCCAAGCAGGTACTCTGGAATTGATGCCCCGTTTGCCTCTAGGATGCAAAACTAAGATAAATAATTCTAATCACTTACTGAGAACTATGATCCATGGTCTGAATAGATGTGTTACATACATAATCATGTAAGATTTAATATAAGTTAATTTAATAACAGCTCTATGAGGTACAGTGTTCCTGCTTATCCACAACGCTTCCAGTAGATGCCAGAAACTGTAGATAGTACTGAACCCTATATCTGCTGTTTTTTCCTATACAGACATATCTATGATAAAGATTAATCTATAAATCAGGCATAGTAAGAAATTAGCAACAATAACTTATAATAAAATAGAACAATTATAATAATATACTAAAATGAAAGTTATGTAGATATGGTGTCTCTCTCTCTGCTTCTCTCTCAAAACGTCTTAATATTTTTGGACCACAATTGACTGTGAGTAGCTGAAACCTCAGTAAGCAAAACTGCAGATAAGTGGGAACTACTGTAGATATTCTAGTCTCCCTTTTAAACCAGTGAAACAAGAGTTCTAATCTGCTCTGAGTGTGGGTCGGACTTAGGATTTATACCTAGGTATGCCTGATTTCAATACTCATTCTCTTTCCGCTATGCTGTAGCACCTGACTCGTACTACCTGTTAAATTAAAGAGCTGCGTGTAGTTAGAATGGAGAGAAAAGGAAAGGACAGTTTGCATTTTTTTGTTCTGTTATTTGTATGTGGGCACTTAATATTTATCTAAAAATAATTTGCTGCAAGTTTGTTGTTGTTTTTCCAATACCCACGTCTCACACTTGGTACCCCAAGTAACAATCTGCTAGCATCTCACTGCCCACTTAGCACCCACTTATTTTATCCTAATAATTTATTTGAATGGATAATGCCAGCCTGAGTTATTGAAGATAATCTGGGAATGGCCAATC
This sequence comes from Homo sapiens, assembly GCF_000001405.40. NCBI lineage: Eukaryota > Metazoa > Chordata > Mammalia > Primates > Hominidae > Homo > Homo sapiens. The sequence continues at coordinate 25,399,620 of NC_000007.14, read as the reverse complement.
CCCCAGGTTAGAAAACTGGCCAACTCCATTTCCTACCCTGGGCTGTCACAGCAGACCATAGACCTGGAGGCCGCCTCTCTCAGCTGCCCCTGTGACATCGCATCCTTTGCTGCTCCAGCTGCCGGCTGGTTGCAGTTTGCCTTAGGCGGTCTGCAGCAATTTTCCATGTCCCAATCTTATCCTCCATTACAAAAAAAAAAAAAAAAAAAAGATGGGAAATATAATGGGTTGAAAGAATTCCGATAGCAGATGCCAGACATCAAATTACACAGGTAGTAATCACACAGATTAGGAAACATAATGAATATAATATTCAAGCTGAACACAGAGAATGAATTTTTCAGTATGATACAAGCATCTTGTTAACAAAATGAAGTAACAATTTTCTCCTTATTAAAGCGACAGCAATCTCTATTTTCTGAAGGGACACATGTCACCCAGACCTCTGGGCTGAAATGATCTGAAACTCAATACACACTGGACCAAATGGACTAATAGACATTTTGGCTGACTCTTAGATTTCCAATTGTATTGCTGTGATTGTTCATTATAGAGTGGTTTGGAAGTTTCGCCTAATGTTTCTGAGCCCTTTTCAGAAACGAATGTATTATTCACAGCATGTTGTACACAGAAAGGCACTGATTTGGAAATCAAGAGACCTGGGTGTTAGTTTTAACTTCCACTGCTAGATTTTGTGACCTTGGTTAACCTTGAACCAGTGATGTACGAAGATGAAATGGTGGGAGTAGTCTGCCCTTGGGGTAGGCAGTGAGGGGGCGCACTGTCTGTAGAGAATTTTATACAATAATAAAACTAACTAAAGTCAGTCTGCTTTTTATTATCAGCACCCACCATCCATGCTAAGAAAAGCAGTGATAAAATGCTTCTCCCTCTCGAGTCAATTGATCTAAGTTCTAAGCAATTGATTTTAATAAATAGATGAATTAATAAACATATATATGTGCTTCAAGTTGGCATCTTTTATTACGTATCTTTAAATAAATATTAAATTTATTTATTAAATGTATTTATTAAATTAATGTGGAAGTTAATTTTTAAAATTCCCGGTTACACAGTGGGGCTGAGACCCATGTGAACTCAATACATAACACATACAATTGTTTCTAGAGAAGTTTGCAATGGGTTAGTACCGTCTGAGCTCACTATCAGCTCAATTTACATCTTCCGTTCCATGGTACTATAGAATCCTAAACAGTAGATTTGGAATAAACAATGATAGCAAGGGATTATAAAGACAAAACACAGAACCTGAGTTACTTCGATTCTGTCATTCTCTGTGACTACTTGAAGTTTTTATTTAAAATTTATAAAAGTGAAATAGTATGAATTGTGAGGTGTACATTTTTTGTTTGGTAAGTACAAATTCTAGTTCATTCATGAAATACTTAACTAAATTTGAATTATATTTTTAAATTGAAATTTATCCTTCTTTTAAAATGTTTGTTTTTTCAAACTAAAGAAAAATCATCAAATGGATAATGATGTCCTTTATTACATGCTTATTACTGAAAACAATGCTGTTCCACAGAGGAGGGAGGTGTTATGAATGATCTGCTGTGGGTGTGAGATACGCTAGGAACACACTAGGCATGTGAACCCACCAATTTGGGGTTCATTTCTTTTTTTTTTCAGTGTCAACTTTTTTTTAAATTTTATTTTAAGTTCTGGGATACATGTGCAGAACATGCACATGTTACATAAGTATTCATGTGCTATGGTGGTTTGCGGCACCTATCAACCTGTCATCTAGGTTTTAAGCCTTGAGGTTCATTTCTTAGATGAGAAGCAGCATTTCCCAAGGAGAGGAATCTGTAGGTCCCCGGACCCTAGTTCTCTTAGCCCATCTGTGAAATTAGGGATCCGATAAATGTGGGAAGCGCTTTCCTCCCTGCACATTGGGATGAAAAATGTGCATCGTTATATTCAAGGCTGTGGGAAATCTCCCATAAAACAAAACAAAATGTTTGTTAGCCTAGTTCGTCCCAGTGACCACCGGACCTTCTTGGTTTTATTTCAGAAGCAGTTTGGTGAAGGAAGGTGGAGGGAGCCGTCAGTGAGTACTCAGGAGAGACCCTCCTGTCACCATCCCACGAAGCTGCAGAATGCATTCTGGGTGAGGCCAATGGTTCTCAAACACTGTTGCACGTTAGAATCCCTTGGGAGCTCTTTAGACTCCAGGTGCATGAGCTGCACCCCCAGCCAATTACATCAGGACCTCTGAGGAAAGCCCAGCATCCATAATTTTTAAACTTCCTGGTGATTCTGGTGTACAGCTAAGTTTGAGAGCCCATGGGTTCAATCGTCTGAAGGTTTTTTTCAGCTCTTAAGTCTCTCTGACTTTTTCATCCCCACCATGTAGATTTCCTTACAGGGACTGGCGCTAGGAAGCAGGGACAAAGGGGTGATGTGACCTTTCAGCTTCAGCCAGAGCAGAGGTGTCAGGTGAGGATCCAGGCCAAGATGCCCCCTCCTAGCTCACCTAAGTGGCCTGAACTGGCAAGGATGTCTGGAACTTGTCAAAAAAGAGGATGCCATTAATAATAATAAAAAACAAATGGCTCCTTTTGCCAAAAAAAACCCCCAGAAGTTGAAAAATGGAATATTTATGCACAAAGATGGTGCCCAGATGCCTTGAATCATAAGAAAAGCCCAGAAAGAGAAGAACTACAGCTGGTTTCTTCATTTCCAGGCTGATTTGCCTATTAACCTCCTGGAATTTTGAGCAGCGGTTCGTTGAGCTTGCTTCTCTCAATAGCCCATGCAGGCCCTGCCTCTGGGACACAGTGTACAAGAGTTTTCATTAAAAAGTTAACATTCATCATAGAGTTCAGGGCTCCTTCAATATCTCATTGAAAAGAGAGAAAAACAGCTCAGCTTCAATGAGGCAAATGTCGCAGTAAGATAAATGTTAACATTTTCTTAAAAGCCAGTGTAATTATTCAAAGAATAACCCCCCCCCCACTCCACCCCTCACCCCCAAATCGTTCTATTTTTTTGCTAAGGATCTGCTCTTACTATTTTTATTTGGCAAAACTCCCAGGACCACTTTCAGTTTCCCCACCTCGTGGGCAGCACCACCACCGTCAGCAGGTGATCTGCGAGCTTTATCAGCAGGCATCATCAAGCCCAGCATCCTCAAGAACACACTCTGATTGGTTCTGACTTTCACAAACTATTTCCAAGCTGAGCTGCTGTCTCTTGACAACCATATTTAGGAATGAGAGACCTGAATGTGGAGGCCACAGAGTTGTCCTGAATGGCTCTGGTGTTCCTACATCACCCTATTACATGACAAGGGTCATGATTCTGGAAGAGGCTGTGGCCACAGGCAGCATAAAGTCGGAAGGAGACTTGCTTCCTCCCTGAGCATGCCTGCTGAGCACAGAGGCAGCACGCCCCCTGCCTCCCTGCTTGTTGGGTATGCCCCTTGCCCAACAGCAGGGAGTTCAGTCCCTGTCTCTTGGACCCTGTTTTAGGCCACCAGCCACATCCAACGGCAAAGACTCCCTCTTTGGAAAGGGCATTGCTCTTCATATCTGCCTTCAGCAGGTCATATAAATTTGACCAATTAGAATTGGCCGTCAACACGTTGTGCTAAATACCAACCTAATATGGTATACCAGCTACCTAATATGTCCTTGCCAGTTACCCACCATCTTGAAATTTTCTAGCCTGTGAATATTTCTCAAAGTGTTTTCTGCAGAATAGCAAGAGCAGTTATACATGAAAGGGTTTCTGCGATACGGAAATTTGAGAAACACTGGGCTAAACAGAATTGTTATAACAGGACTTTTCAGAACAACTAGCAAACTGGTGACTATTCAAAAATGAGCTAAAGTAAAAGATTGGGATAAGCAGCATTCTTAAATATATTTAAGTGTAAATTTATTTTATTGCAGAATACACATTGAAAAATAATGCCTTAGTGCAGAGTGGAAATGTAGCCTCTTTCTATGTTTCTGTTTCCTTATCTGATAAATGGGAATAAAATAATACCATGAGGAATTGTTGTGATTGAATAAATGAGATAAATGCATGTAAATCATTTAGAATAGCATTTGGCGCAAATGTTACCCAAAACCTGAGTTCAAATTCTGGCTTCTTGTTAGCTGTGTACCACTGAACACATTACTTAGCCAGAGTCTCAGTTTCCTTGTCTGTAAAATGGGAATATTGTTAGTTTCTAACTCAAAGTTTTTGAGAATTACATGACATAATGCATGTAAATTGCTCAGTAAACTTTTGGCATAAACTAAATGCTCAAAAGCTGCTAGCTAAAAAAAGCAATGCTGTGTTTGGCAAAAAAGAGCTTTGCCCATATTTTCAATGAATTTGAAACTCCATAGACTCATTGACTCTGGGGAAAAGGAATACAATTTACATTCAGAAACTTGGCCAGAAGTTGAGCCCTATTTTCATCTGGCAATTCTGAAATTAAATACTATAATCTCATAAAATAAAATAAAAATAATCTTAAAAGTAAGAGCTTGTTTCTGAACTACAAAAGGATGAATTTGGAGAAGATCAAAGCTGCTCTAGTTCAGATTTAAATTTAAAAGTATCTCTGCAGATTTACCATGTGCTATCATTCTTTTTTTTTTTTTAAGATATGAGCATTTGGGGTAACTAAGGAAAAGGGATCAGGATTTCTGAAAGCCACAGCAGACTTAGGTGGAAAAAGCACCCATAGCTACCTCATGAGCTGATTTCATTTCCAACTTCATCCTTCTCACCCAATAAAGAAAAAGTCAGTAAGTTCTTGATGAAGGGAAATTTTTGAGGTGTTACATTGTTTTTGCCATTATATTTCCAAGTGCCATTCCCTCTACTTAAATCAGCCCAAAGTTAAATATAGCACTGCCAAAGCTGATTACAAAATGACAATTACATTAATTGTTAAGCCATAAGAAAATTTTAATATTCAGCCATTTTATATATAAACAGGAATTACATATAGACAGATTTTCTACTACATTAACATTTAGGCAATGATTTGATGATATTTTCCTAAGCTCCTAAAAAAATGTTTTAAAGAATCAGAGGAAAGGAACCTATGTCCTTTTAGAATCAAGAGAATGTAAGCTTGGACTAGAGTTCTGTTTCATATTTATTGTGAACAACTTGCCGTCTGGTAACATTTTTCTGTTCTATTTTTAATGGCTATAAAGTTTCTATCGTATTCAGTAATTATCTTCAATCTCAAATGAGAAAGGAAATTCCATAATAAGAACTACATGAAACATTGAGTGTACAGGTGCCAGAAAATACTGTTTTGTTTAGTGGAGATGAGATTATAAAAATATGACTCTTTATAAATGCATGTTCTCAAGTTTATTTATAGACACCATGACACCAACTCTTAAACTCCTTATTTAATCGCTAACAGAAACATTATTTCAAAAGGGAATTAAGGTGGTGAAAATATATTTTAAAGTGGCATATTCTTAGGGGAGTCTCATTTTTTTCTTACTATTATCAACAACAACGACCCAAGGAAAGAAAAGTCAGGAGGTAATTTAAGCCACAACAAACAAAAACGTTTCAAATTTCTCAGGGGCAAGCTGCACTGCATCTTGAAGGAAATTGGAAAGAATATCAAAGAGAATTTATTGTTTGATGACCACCCTTGGTTATTTAGTGAAAGCTGGGAGAGAAAAACGTAGCAGCAGTTAAGACATCTGATGTAAACTTGAAGGGAGGGCAACAGAGAGAGGGATTGAGATTTCGCTAACTTTATGCTTTGGGACCAGAGATACCTTCAATAACAAGTAGTTATTTCATTGTTGCATTTTTAGATAAGTCATATTAAACAATTATACTAGGTTATTATAATTCCTGTTAAAAGAGCAAAATATTAACCTAACTGTAAATTCCATTCAATACAGTTAAGATAAAAGCATCTACCACACTTAACCATTCACAGTGGGGTTATTAATGATTACTTTTTCCTACTTACTGCTAACATCCATCAACTGGATATTAGAAAAGTAAATATTTTTCTGTCCACTAGAAAGTACTTTTCTAAAAGGAATACAATCTAGAATATAAGGTGCTATTTTACTTCTAACCAAGTATCTACAAATATATATCTATTAGAAGCTTTTTCATTAATAAATGAGATCTCATTAAATAAATAAAGTTAGTCATGTGTATTTTTTGCTCAAGTCTCAATGTTCTAAGTTTCTGCTCTCCCTGAGAGGTAGGCCTCTAAGAGATTATTCCAGAAAGGACATTGAAATAAATGGTTTTGATGTAGAATATTAGCAGTGGAAAAGTTTCACATACTCACTGGAAAAATAAAGGGAATATTTGAGGCTACCCAGTCACATTTAATGAAGGGGAGTCAGAGAAGGTGAGAGAGAGGGAGAGTATGCACACAGTCCTCCTGGACTGACTTTGGATTTCTCAGCTTAATTGATAAAACAAGTAGGGCAGGCATTTCTCTGTTCCTGCTCTAGGCAGCGATTTCAAAATAGCGCCCCAAGGCCACCCTCATTTCCACTGAAAGCCTGGCAGCTGTGGAACTTAAAATTTGCCTGATTTGAGGTTGGAGGGCTTCTGATTTGAACAAGATCCACTGCAGAACCCAAGAGTAGCGAGACACAGGGGCTGATGGCCCCGTGACATGTTAATGCATTGGGTTTTCTCCCACCAACCCACAACATGGGTAAATAAAGATAACCTTCACCAAGAAATGCACACTGCTTCTGTCCCAGGGCGACACTGGGGAATTCTGGCAAAGGCAGCAAGTGGCCCGCTAGCATGAGCTGCCATCACAATGAACAGGAGGAGAGAGTCAGCCAGAGCCACTGGTGAGGAGTTCTGGGAACAGGAATACGGATAGCCGTTATCTGACCACTAGGGCCTGGCTGGGAAAACCCTACCCAAAATCTCTTTGTTACTCGATTCAGAAGATTGCTTTTCTCAGCTTTGTTTCTCATTAAACATTTTGAAAGGGGTTAGTCCAAGTTTTGCCTATTTAGTTGTTTTTGTTTTCTGGCTTAACGTACATCACATTACCTAATAAAAATCACACCACATTAAACAGGCTGTGTTGAGTATGCTGCGGTGAGTGCGACTTTACTGGTGTTATTTTAACTGTCTGTTCTCTGAATTCCCTTGGAATTTATGCTGTTAACTCCCATGAATACGAACAGACCTCCCAAGCCTGTAGTTACACACTCTGTATACTTATTAGGAGGCAACTTCACTTCTAGATGCTACACAGAGGGCTGTATTTTCTCCCTGAACACTTGAGTTCCTGAGCACACTTGTTTGAAAATGTCTCATAAAATATATGGTTTAGCTGGACAGACTGAAAATTTTGTGTAATCAGAGAGAATGTTTAGAAAACATCGTTTGGGGAGGGAAATAATATTTTAATGCTACTTCCAAGAGAATAAATAATGTAATTCCCCTTCTCCAGGGTCACGGGATGCAGGCTTTAGCATTGCTAATAAAACAAAAGAGAGATGGTCCTCAGAGGGAGGGATACAAAAACATAAAATGTTAACCATTTAGCCAGGAAATACGTGCAGGGACCAAAATCAGGTCCTTTCACTCATACAACAAATACTCAAATAACCACTTCAAAGTGTTTTCTCGGGAAAAGATAAGACTAATATCAAAGAGAAAAATCTCTTGAAGTTTGTGGCTGTATACCTAAAGAGAAAGCTTTCACTTTGTCAAGAAGTGACAAGAAAAGTTTTCATCTAATTGTTAGAAATCAGAACTTATTTTAAGCTTAGGCTTAGAGGGTTAGCATCCTTCCCGCTTTCATTTATAGGATGTTGGTATTGTTTCTTATGTTCCAGCATTATAATCTCATTCTACATGGAATTCTATTCAATATAAAAGAAAATTCACCCCCGGCTGTGATAGCTTTTTAATTTGTAATAATTTGTTCACAGCAGTTGTGAACAATGAGCTAAATATTGTTGAAAAACAGGAGTTTAATTTTTGTAACTTCTTGATTTGTTCTGATTTGTGTTGTTTAATGAAATCTAGTATTGAAAAACCATGGATCCTGATAAAAATCGTAGGTTAGAAAATATATGCCTCTTAAGATTTCTTGAACTTTCTTCGAAACTCATAGAAAAATACTAGAAAACGGTGTGGAATCACTGATGAAGTAGTGCCACCATCTGGAAAATTTCAGAATGGTAGACATAAGTTTCTTTTTCTTACAAAGGTGAACTCTTTCTCAACCACACATTTATTTTGGGGGAAAGAAAAGCAAATAAAAAACTTGTTCCATTTACCTAACTGTCCTAAGGATATTCAATGTAACACTTAACCCATTCCCTGTAGTATTGTCTCATCAGGGAAAGGAAAGATTCATTCCACATTGGTCTACATTGGAGATGATGTTTTACCAGGTATCTGAAGAATGAATGAATCACCATCTATACAGAAGGATGTAACGTGAAGGGAAGCTGAATTCTAACACTTTAAACTTGCAACTTAGACACATATGTGCTTAGTGCATGGGTGTTTGTGTCCAATGACATTAAAATCTCTCATCTATAAAATGAGGATAATAATAGTATCTACTTTACAGGGTAACTGGAGGGTAAAATGAAATAGTGCCTGTAAGGTGCTTCGCACGGTGCCTGGCACATAGCAGTGATCAATAATGGGAGAGATTATTAAAACTGATATGTATTTAATCTCTTTTTCAAACATCTGAATTAATATTCATAGGGTTGGCAAGGACTCAGGAGGCTTTCAGGTCTGGCTCCTGTCCTGGAAAGAAAGCTTCCACACTTCTCTTTAAATTCACGAGAAGAGGAGGTTTCCCAACCCCTTAGTGAAGCAACCTCCTCACCTGGCTCTCCACCCCCTACAGTCTGGCCTCATCTCCCCTCTAAGCTCATGCCTTCACCTAAACCTTCTATCCATACTAACTGGGTGTATTTCCAGCACCCTAAGCACGATACTTGCCTCCTGTCTCTGTATATTTTTCCTCATATCCTCTCCTTTGCACATTCCACTTCTCTTTGTTTATTTAAGCCTCACCTTTCTTGGAGGCTTAAGTTCTACCTTTTCTCCTTCTTTCTTCCCTAGCACCCATTCACATCTGACAAGTGTTAGTTAGGGTGATTATTCCTTGGCTGCAAACTCCTGAAGGGCAGGTACAAGATGCTAAACATAGTTGTACCCAGAGCAGTGACTAGATAGATACTTGTTATTAATCTCCACAAGGAAGATACATGTCAATATGCACAACTTTATAACCAAGATGACCAGCCAAACAGTCGACTTAAATTAATCAGGGAAATGAAAGCTAAATCCCTGACCTAAATTAGTAGAGAACAACCATTCACCAAATTAGCAAACATAAGGGCTTAGCCCCTGGGTCACACTGAAAGGAAGATCAGAGCAAGTTTATTGTTTTATTACAGATACAGTAAGATGGTAGTAACATCCTTACATAGAATCTTTTTCCCCCAAGTAGCCCTCATGTAAGGACTTATTCATGCATATTTATTTACCATCCCAGCATCTCTGGGATGACAGAGGAGGCACCTGGAGGCAGGTGGGGAAGCCCCAGACTGGGCTGTGTATGAGATGACTCCAAATTAGAATCCTGCCCTACTACATACTAGCTGTGTGACCCCAGATCAGTGGTTTTAACTTCTCAGTCACTTTCCTCCTCTGTAAAATGATCATACAAATACCTGCCCCCTCCCCATGAGGAGTACATGATTTACATGGTGCCTTAGTACACACACTAAGGGGCAAACAAGAGTGCCAGAAGAGAACATGAGTATTTGAGAGTTCCTACCAGCGCAGCGCGATTTTGTCGGTCATCTCAGGATTCCCTACCATTCTTTTTTTTTTTTTTTAATCCAACCAAAGGTTTAATTGAGACTTCATCCTAGATCAACCAGCAGAGGTCACTCAAGGACAGACTGAATTCTTACTAACCCCAGGCCTGACTTCTAAATTGAAGATCATATCATTGTCGTCGGAATAACATATTTTGTGGTAACTCTTCACTTTTAATATTATTATTCTATATTGTCCATTAAGAGCCACAGTGCAGTAATTTGATCAACGTTCTGCTTATGGAGCTTTCCTTACTAAAATTCTGTACGGAGAGAGACCCAGCTAAACACCCTCAGGCTAGAGAAGTGGGAAGGATGGAGAATATAGAAGAGGGATGAGATAATGGCATAAAACTTTTACTGACATTTAAAAAGGGTCTAAAATGATGATCCTTGGAGGCCGCAGGGGACCTGGGCCTGCATCCTCATCAGCAGTGAAGAAGTGTCTAATGGGAGGGAAGTGACTGTTCCAGAGAAACTCCGAGGAAAGAAAGAGCAGTTCAGAATGTTTTGGGCAGTCTGGTGATATTTGGAGAGGAAAAATGGGAACCCCAACCCCTAAAAAACCTGACATGTTTGCAGTATACAAAGTAAATAGTCACCCATCTGCAAAGGCCACTTAAAACGAATCATAAAAATGTTACAGATGCCACACTTCGTGATTTAGATTTCCCACTGATGATTAAGAGATGTCTCTTACATTTATACAATGCTTCAGTTTAAAAAATACTTTCATATGCATTACGTTTTCTCACCTTTAAAATTATGCCAGGAGTGCACAAGATCACAAACCTGTGGGCTTCTTCATCCCACGGTATTTTGAATCTGTCCTGGGTCATTGGACTTATATAATAGGCACTCAGCAAATATTTGTTGAGTGAATGATTAAAACAGATAAAACCACAACAATGGTCTGTTTGTATGTAATTTTATTATGTGTGTAATGAGCTTATTACACAAATGTATCCACACATTTGCCAATGTTCTAAGTTGCAACAACATCTGAAGGAGCTTTAGTTTTAGGTTGGTAGAACCCAGTAAGAGGTCTTGGTGTTGCTACCTCTCTCTGTGAAGGAAACTAGAAGCCTTGCAATGGCCTTGATGGCCAGGTGACTGAAGATTCCATATCAGCAGATGTCAGGGTTCCTGGATAATTTACCCCAGGCCACATCTCATGAGGAACCCTCTCTGTTTAGGGGTAGGGGTGGCCAGGAGATGTCCTATCCACCGCAGTGCTCAACATAATAAACAGACCCAACCAGGAAAATCAACGATGGGGCAACTAAGTACACTCAATGCCAACCTGCATATTGGAGGTGACACAGAAAAATGGAGCAAGCAAACATCACTGGGGTTAAAACAAGGTTTTAAAAAGGAGAACCTAAAAATCACATATTCTTGGTGAAGGGTACAGGAGTGGGTGAAGGCAGAACGATTAATTATCTGCAGGGTGCCCCAGCAAATTTGCTTGAGGAGTAAAAATGAAGATTTCTTGTTAGACATGTGGTAATTTAAATATAATTATTGGGAGGTTTAGATTTAACATGTGAAAACCATAGGATTACGAATCATAGATTATCAAGATTTTCTTCGTCTTTATATATGTTAGTGTTCAATCCATATTCTTTTGAAATGAATTGGACAACCAGACGATTCTAACTGTTTGAAATGTCTTCCTTTAGATTTTTCAAATCTCAGAAGTCCTTCACCTATCAAGGATTACTCAGAACAACTCTAATCTTCCCTCAAAGCAGCAGTCCTTCAAATGCTTAAAAACTTTAGTTGTCCCCTTACTCCTGTGTCCTCCAGAATAAACACCCTCTGGTTCTTTGGTGTTTCTACCTGTCATGCTGCCATCTGGCAGTTGTCATTTGGCCCACAATCCTCTTTAAATAGACACCCAACAAGAACATCCAAAACTGTGTGGCCTTAATGAAGCCTAGCCTTATCTCATGAGCTGTTCATCACCACCACCAAGTTTGTCCCTTCTCTGCAGTGTCATTTACCTGTCTCTCTGGTCAACCTGTGATGATATCTGAATTTGTAGCCCATTTCCTTTATGGAATTCCAAATGCACCAACCACATAATCCATTTTCACCACAGTCTCACAAGGAAGTTATTGATGCCACCATTATTCAGGGTTGAGTGGGGATGGGATGGAGTAAAAATTGGAGAAAAATTGAAACATAAAGGTAGAAAATAATTTACCTGGCTGACACTCCTATCCAAACGCCAAGGAACTAATAACATACAGTCCTCCCAACTTCTTGCCCAGCAGGACTTATTTTTCTTTAAATGAGACCACACTGCCTGTAGTGATTGAGTCCGGCAGTCGGAGATCAGAGGGAGAGAGGCCGCAGGTTTCCTAAGACCTGAGAGAGGACTTGGCCTTCCTCTTTGTACCGGGATTTCACCACCCACCCAGCAACAATCTAGTGCCTGCCTCCCATCTGTGTTACAGAGAGAACACCCTGGCAAGGGAGATCTGGCCACCAGGTGTTTGTTTGATTTGCTAGTTGTAGTCAAAGTGTGAGTGACGTCCTTGACAGGCATAGATGGATCGGGTGCATGCTAACATTCATTAGGAAAGAAGGGGCCAGCTTGTGCCCTGGAAGGTGTGGGGCTTTGACCAATGAGTGTGGGGCAATGGCAGGAGGCCTGAAGCTCAGGCCAGAGAGAGGCCAAGCATCTGCCAGGGTCAGTCCATTGTAAATCATTTGATTCCTGTATAATCTGTATATTTTACATTAAATTTAGGATGTTAGGAGATAGTTGGGTTAAGAATCCCAAAAACACACATAACAGTATCATTTTGTCCCTCTGTCTCTGTCACACACATGCATGCATGAAGCACACAAACCCTTCCTTATAGGAGAAAAATTGTAGTTTTCAATCTTATGCCAGCCTCCCACCACAGAGGACTGGCACCACCAGGGGAGGGCAGATTTCTGCCACCACCGTGGTGCTTGGGCGATGGGCCACCATCCTTGCAGCTCCTGACCAGGTGACTAGCCTGAACCTTGTGTCTGTTAGCTGCCTCTCCTGGGTAATGGAGCACGTATGACTGCAAAGTGGTGATTTTCTAACAGAGGAACTGAGAAAGTGAAGCCAGGCCCTCAGCTGTAACTAATCCCATGGCCAACCTCTCCTACCCCCTATTCACTCCCCCTGCCCCAGTCACTCTCCCCTCTCTCAGGACAGTCTGCATTTTAGCTGAATGTAATGAAAGAAAGTTGGCCCCAAAAGTGTCTCCATGTGTCTCTGCCCAGAACTACAGAGAATTTTTTGGCAGAACTTCCAAGGTAACGAGCAAACTCCTAACGGGGTTTTGGCACATCACAAACAATTAGGCGACTGCACTCCATAATCAGCCTAGGGGGACGGGGAGGCCATGCGCCTGCCAGATTTCTGGTAAAATGTTGCTTTGATTGGAACTAGGGTTCTTTCCTTCTGTGTCCCCAGGCCTCGAGTGGGGCTGGAGGAAACGACAGGCCTTCTTATTTGGGACAAATCCGACATGTCAGTGTTTACAGACGAGCTTCAAGCTGGCAACCACAGCAAGTCTAGGAGGTCTCCTAAATCCACTGGAATTACCTGTAGGGAGAGAGCTACATTCGTGCTTGTAGGAAATAGCCGCCTTTCCGTGTTGTTCCAAATGTGTGGAAGTTGTGAGGCCTGGTGTTTGATCAGCTGTCTCACCAGGAGAAGTGAGCATGAGGCTCCAAGTCACTGAGAATAGAGTGACTTCTCCTGGCTCGAGGTGACCAGGATCATACAGAGCTTCCAAGTGGGCTCCTTCCCGGCAGGGGTAGGCATCTGCCATCTGTGAAGTACTGGGTGTGTGTCAGCTGGACGTGTCCAAGGGCCAGCCCTGCAGAGGGCCGCAGGGACAAGAGCACCAGGCCCACCTGGGTACTTTGGCCCAGGGCCTGTCCTTGGCATCCAGGCTGTGTGCTCAGCCGAGGTCTGCTACACACATGTGAAAGCAACTGGGTTTGGCAGGGCTGGACTTGCTCAGCAAGACCCAGTTCCTCTCCACTCTTTCCAGACATGGGGAAAGCCGGGACTCTGATAGTTCTTCATCCCTTCTCCCTGCAGGTGACCACAGCAGGCGACTGTCCCCCGGTGGAACTCCAGCACTGACAAAGATGGCAGCAGAGAGTCAGCTAATGGGGAAATGCTTCCAAAATGAGCTACAAGTCAGTTTACAAAAATGGAGAAGGGGGAAAAATCTATTAGGCTGCAATCTCTTGTTGGGAAATGTGTTTCTAAAGGGAGTTTACATGCCATGGCAACAAATCCCTGAAGCCCAGTTTCAGCTTATTAGTGCTAAATTGGCCACAGCAAATGAGCACTGCAATTGTCAGTGACCTGAGGTTTTATAAGCACACTGGGACTGTTTGCAGAGATTTTACACGCGCCCCGTGGTGCAGGCGACGGGAGGCAACTCAACTCACTACTCCCACTTCCGAAGCCCAAAATAGCAATGAATTCACCCCCTCCCTGATGGACCCTTCTTGCAGGGATCTCCAGGGGCTGGAAAATTCCTTGAGATTATTGCCCTACCACTTGACTTCATTAAAAAAGAGAAGAACAGGAAATCAAAGGCACAGTTCAAAAGTTCTAGTTGAGGAAGAAGTCTTCATTTTGAAGCATTTAAAATGGATGGGGGATAGCCCTGTCTTGGCAGAGAAGTGGAAAGAGTAGCCTATAAAATTCAGTGACAAGGAAAAAGAGAGAGTGCCCAGTCCCAGCCCTGCAGGGGAGCAGGGGAGCAGGTGAGCATGACTAGTGAAGTGAGCAGAAAAATAGCCTGTTGCCAATAAGTGTGTGGCTTCTAGTCAGGATCCAGATCCACATCTGCCTTATGTTATTATTTTTTATCTATTCCTCCCACTAGGTCCCATCCTTCATAGAGTTCACATGCTAGGGGCAGACAGACGAAAAAATAAAATACTTGCATGCCTGACTAATATAGTTAAAATCTGATCAGTTCTGTGAAGGAAATAAGCAGGAGGCTGAAAAGGAGAGTCATGCGGGAAGAGTGGTGGGGAGGGGGCATTTCAGGGAGGCCTCAGAAAATGGAAATGAGGTCTGAGAAGCAGGAGCACAGGGGTGCTCCAAGCAGGGGGACAACAGTTGGCACCAGGTGTGTGAAGCAGGAGACAGCTTGGAAGAGAGGTAGGCAGGGGCTCAAACATGCAGAGCCCAGATTCAGGGCTTAGATTTTATTTTTAAAATGTTCCTTCTTGAAACTCTCTTTCTCCACATCTGTAACATGACAATACCCTACTTCTTCTAGCAATCTGAGCAGACCATGACTTCCTTTGCTAGCTCACCTTCCACTACACACACACACACACACACACACACACACACACACACACACAATTGAAGTTTTTCTGTGGCTGGATTCCAGAGAGCTGTTTGCTCTCTCTTTCCCTTTCCTCTCTCCTAGGAATTCAATAAAAAACTTCCATGCTAGTGACTTTCAAGCCTTTTTCTTCTATATGCCAGTATTTAATTAATTAATTCAGCAAACATTTATGGAACATCTACTATGTGCCAAGTACTTTTTAGATGCTGGGAATATTTAAAAAATTAAAGTCCCTACCTTGATGCCTTAGACCTCCATTTGGAGACTAGATAATAAAGGTGTCTGCAGGAGTAGAATGAAGTACCTCACCCATCATAGAGGTTTAATGAGACGACATTTGGGCTGGGTCCCAAAGAAGGATAGAAGATTTCCATGGAGAAGAAGAGACTATTGGGTGAAATGCCAATACAACCAAACAGCATGCACAAGGGCATAGAAGAGGAAATGGCCGTTAAGGGACCAGGAGTAGCTCTCTGCATGCTTCTTGCTGAGCCCACCATCTCTGCTCTACAGTGCACCTTCTCTGTGAAGAAGACAGTCTGATAGCTGGAAAGTGGCATCCAGAAATGAGAAGAATGTGGGCTTGAACCTGAGAAGCACCAAAAAGACTGTAGCAATGATCCTATGTTAGCTTGTTAGGATAAAGCACACGTGGACAAAGCTGAGAAATCACAGTCACAAATTAGATGAACATCCTGCTGTTGCTAATATTTGCACTTTCCTAGAACGTTCTGGTGCAGGAGTGAGAACCTCAATAGGAAGAGGAATGAAATATAGGGCTAGTCCACTCATGAGAGCATGCAACAGGTGCTAATGTACTTGGAGAAAGCATGTATGGAGAAATACTAACAAAACTAGGACTGCATAACTTGGGTAAGATGGGAGAGTGGTTACATGGCCACAATACATTAAAGGCTTTCTTATGAAAACAGGTGGTTACTCTTCTTTATATTTTATTTTCACTGGGGAAATAATGGAAGGAAAATGGTTTACTTGCAACCAAAAAGGTTTTGATTGTACATAAGAAAAAGGTTTCCAGACAGGGAAGCCTTTTAAAAAATACGGTCAATGCTTCTATCTCTGGCCTAATTTATAGGTGGATTTGCCTGAAGCACATTGAAACAGACCAGATGACCCCTCTCAAAATAGAAAGTTTGATTCTTTGGCAGAAGAGGTCGAATTGCCTATGAACAATCCAGGATTGATCATTTTGGCCCAGGGTGAACACACAGCTTCTTAAGCCAGAAATACTTTTTATCTAAATCTTGTTTATACCTGCTCACATTCTCTTCCTTAATGCTCAACCGGTCAGAGCAGATGGAACTGCCAAATGGGGCTGGCTGCCTTTACTTTCCCATTCAATTTCAGACTGAGTCGACTGAATAGCTGATATTATTTACCGTCTGCTGGTACTATCAACAGCTTTTTTTTCTTAGTTCTTAAGATAAGTTTCATTTCTTTGTACCTTAATTGCTAGCCCTTATTGCCATGAGAGAGAATTTTTGTCCAAATTCCCTTCAATTCAACTTGTTCAATAAATAAAATTCAAACATTACCTTGCCTTTCTGATGGGGGTTTGAGTAGGTCCAAGAGCTGACAAAGATGACAGAGGCCAAGAAGTGAATTATTTGCCCAGGGAGTCACTAAAAGTCTATCGCAGCATTGAAAGTAGAACTAATCTATCCCTAGAACATAGGGAATTTTGGGGCTTAAATTTGATGACCTGTCAGAAGCAGTCCATACAATAATATGTATCTGAGCTGAAGACAATGAGGGGTTCTTTGTATGTCTTTCATTTCATACAACCATACCTCTCCCCATTCACTCTCTCCCACCTCTCATGTTTCCATAGGGGGTTGCCCTCCAACAGCTGTGTATTGGGAGAGGGTGGGCTTTTCATCTCCCTCAACCAGAGGGCAGCCTGATCATGATCATGCCACATGCTCAGTGAATCAGAATCAGGACTCTTGCCTGAGCCAGGGCTGATAGAGTGCCAAGCTCTGTGGGAAACACCAGATTCCGAGCACCATCCTGTAGGACCCACTAAATAGACTGCCACCTTCACTATCAATCAAGCTGCAAAGCTGTCCGATGCTCTGTTGCTCTTTGCAGGAAAGCTAGGGTGCCACAGAAGCTTCCTCATCACCAGTCAGAATAAAGCCACTCATTTGTATCTAACTTATTTTTCAAAACTACTCCAAGCTCTGTAACTTCGAAGTTGAACTATGTTAACAATGGCTGGCTTGGAAAGTCCCTGCAGGATTTGTAAGAAATTAATGTTAGCCTCCCCTCAACAGAAAGCTAGGGGTTTGCAAAACACACCATATGCTTGTCACTTTGCCAATGAATCAAGATGTTTTTGCAGCCTTCTGAGTCTAAATAATTAATGGTAATGTCTAAAGATTACCCCAAGGTTCAGGGAGTAAGGATAGGGCCTTTGCAGTGTCCAACATTACTCAACCTCAGCTCAACCCAGTATTTCATGTGATAAATGATCAGGCTTCATGACCACGCTCCCCACATACACCCCACTTATCACCATTGTGCATTCCCTTTTCTTTTTCCTTACCTCTTCTTTCTTCTGTAATTAGATTCTCTGGCTTTCTTCAAATAAATGTTGCTGCTCTTCTCAGCCCTCAAATATTACGATAAACCTCTAACCAGATTTCTCCAACTTTGCTAAGTGGACAAGAGTGTACATCTACTAGTTTATCTTTTAACATTAGTGTTGTTCCCACCAAGAGATTAAGTTCCTTTCAATAAACTCTCACCAACCAATTAATCCAAACCAATGAAGCAAGCTAAATAAATCAATAGCCCAGCTAATTTTCATAATTGTAGAGATTATGAGTTTTAAAAAAAAATTTAAAAGAGTAGATATTAAGTTCTTGCTCTATAAAATACAAAATCATGTCCATGATCATTTGAAATATTTCCTTTTAACCGGCAAAACCTTTTTTCAATTTTATGATCCTTTGGAAAAAATGAATCTACATAACTTGGTACTGACTTTTGATGAATCTCTTCTATCATTTTAGCTTGTCAAAATGAAGTGCTATTCAGCCCCCTCCTGAATGAACCACTGTAATATTTTATGTTTTATTCATCTTTAACATATATATACACATACATATATAGATACACATATAGTCTACTTTTGAATAATGATAAACCCCCTCTTGTATAAGAACCTTACCATAGTTCCTGTCATTTTTCCCCATTGTGATATTTTAATTGAATAAACAGAAAGGTCTCATTTGTTGTAGAAGATTGTAAGAGTTCATTATAATGTAGTACTGCCTGTATGCCAGCTGCTTTACAATGCTGAGTGCTTTACAACCATTATTTCATTTAATCCTCAATAAGACCATTTCTAGATAAAGAAACTGGAATTTGAAAAAGTTTCAAAACTTTTGTCCTAAGTCATGCAATAGTAAGTGAGAGAGCTGGAGTTTGAACAGGAATGTTATGTAGCTTTCTTTGTCCATTTGGGTTGCTATAACAAAAAAACGTAGATGAAGTGGCTTATAAACAACAAATTTATTTCTGATAGTTCTGGAGGCTGGGAAGCCTTAGATTGAAGCACCGGCAGATTCAGTGTCCCGTTTCTGATTCACAGACACCAGTATTCACATGACAGAAGGGGAAGGAAGTTCTCTGATGTCTCTTTTGTAAGGGCACTAATCCCATTCATGATGGTTCCACCCCCATAACCTAATCACCTCCCAAAGACTTATACCTAATACCATCACACTGATGGTTAAGAGGCTCAACATACAAGTGTGAGGGATACAAATATTCAGTCTATAGCACAGCAACACCAGACTCTCCTTATATTTACTTCTCACTGAAGGCTGAACCAAACAGCCCTTCCAGGACAGACAGAATGCCACAGATGCTGGGGAAACCCTACAAGTAATAATGATGGCCCTAATGCAAATTTCAGACTATAAGTCAGCAGAAGCTGCCTTCTAAAGAATTTATTTCGTAATTTACTTCAAATAAATTAGCAAGAACTTTAATGTTTACTGACAAAGGTTTTAACTTTTCAACTCCTCTAAAAGTGGGAAATACTCTTACCCCAAATCTGGGTTATTTTATTCACCAAACCATCAGTATCATTCTTATATATGCTTCCTGGTAGTTCACACTCCTATTTTTCTCTCTTAATTTCATGCATCTTTAGAAATATTAACTGGAAATGATGGAAGTCAGCATGATAGAATAACTGACTTCACACTCTGTATTTTGAAATAATAAAAAGAATAATGTATTACCCATGGGGAAAATCACTCTTCCAGAATTTCAACAATCTTGTTGATGGCTGTTGTGAGACCTCAGTTCTTGTCTTATTAGTTTAAAAGAACTTAAAGAAGAGACACACAGCAAAGGAGCTGCAGCATAGAGCAATTTATTGCAAAAGAGAAAGAATATTCTAAAAGCTGGGTGCAGAATAGACAGTGCACCCTGAGAGAGGATTCATGGCAGGCTGCTCATAAAGAAGAGAAAGCATGGACTGGCCCTAGGGAGACTACCCTTATGGGAATCTTACATGATTATTCATAAGGGTGTGGAAGGAGATGTTACTAGTAAGCATATTGTGGGTGGTCCTCTGGATGCACATGTGCAGTAGCTGTACATGCTTATTCATAGGTCGCATGTCTCATTAACGTCTTAAATCTCCACCCAGGGGTTTTTTTAATATTAGTATTTTTTATATTAGTATTATAATGAGCAAAGGGTCAGTTTGAGGACAGGTAAAATCAAAATGTGCATGCTCTCTACAGAGGAAATTCCCTACTGAAAATAGCTTTGCTTGAATGAGCTTGACTACAGTGTCAACACCAGGGCTTATTGTGTTGGTGGTCATCACGGTTGCCACGTCTGAAAGACGTGGTTACTTCCTTGACTACCTCTCCTGCCTCAATCTTTCAGATACATTCCAGTGTTAGTTCACCATACATATAAATCAAACCCACAATCTGTTAATTGTCTTATTATATGAAGAATGGTCTTGGGCAAAAGAAAGAAAGCATCATCCTTGCTTCAAAAGTGTTGCCAGCCTAAGCCAGATATGGCTACAACCAGTGGGTGAGTATAGTGGCCACTAGAATGGGCACAGGACTGGGTAGTCAGGAGCCTAGGAGTCTGGGCCCAGTTCCCTTAATCTGCTGGGTGATGTTGATATGAAGTCACTTGGCATCCCGGAGCCTGCGTTTGTTCACCTGGAAAGCAAAAGCATTAGAGCAGGTGACTTTTGGGATCCATTGCAAGTCTAGAATTCTAGCATTTTGGTGACAGCCACAAAAATCATCACATTATTGGTGTAAAAAAAATAGTTCTCCTGTTTTTCCAGGATAGTATATAAGCTTCTGAGCCCCACTGTGAGGTGGGCAATCACTCTGTGATTCTCCCCATGCACACATTGTGTATGCATTAAATAAATTGTATGCCTTTTCTCCTGTTCAAACATGTATATATATATGTACGTATATATATAGGGGCAGAAAAATGATAATTTATAAACATGTATCTGTCAAGGTTGAGCTAAAATTCCATTGTTTCCCAGTAATAAGAAAATACTCATTTCATTTCTGACCCATTCATTTACCAAGTAGTACTACCAATCCCCCAAAGAACAGGAGATACAGAATCTTTATCAAGGAAAAAAAATGCCCTTTGGCAATAGTTTAGAGGAGTTTTCTTTTGTATTTCCATGTTATTCTGGAGGAAATAAGATAATGACACGCACATTCAGAATGTGGCCATTCTGCAGGACAAATGACCCTGTTTCTTGAACAAATTAGTAGCATTTAAAAGAGGAAAGAGATTGGCTTACATTAAGAGAAACCTTAAGAAACTTATGAAGTGCAATGTGTGGTCTTTGTCTAAATCCAAACTGTAAAAAAGACCCTTTAAAGACAATCAGGCATTATAGTGTTATTAATACAGGTATATTTTTATATCAGTCTAAGCAAAACATCACCTACTGCATTTCAAAGATTTTCAAACTAACTTTAGAATTTCTACCATTTTGTATTTTCTCACCACTGCTCCTCTCAACTTTCATAATATCTTTGCTTAGTTTCCTTCCTTAGAAAGGAGAGTCTGAGGCAAAGACTTATGTGTGAGTACTTGATTGGTGAAATCCTGAAAAGCACAAGTGAGGAACAAGGGGAAATGAGGGGGCAAGGAAGGAAGGGAGGAAGGAAGGAAGGAGGGAAGGGAGGAAGGAAGGAAGGAAGGAAGGAAAGAAGGGCCAATATAAGGATACATTATTGCATTGGCCACCAAAGAAAACAGCTGGTGACTTGATCCTCCAGGACCATCAGAAGAGCCATATGAATGGTATTTCACAACCATCCATTTAAGGGAAAAACACAGGGAGAATTTGTTCTTCACCCTTTATTGGGTAGAGGTTTGCCCTATGGGGCATTATTTTGCCTGCACTTCCAGGTTGCACAGGTATAGGTGCAGAGCAGGTTCCCTAAATTTGGAGCTAAAAAAACTGTTGGAAGCATAAATTATCCAGTTTCCTCACTTCTCAATTTCATGTTGGTTATATAGTTTTATTAGTATATAATATTATTATAGTATTAGTAAAAACAGAGAAAGTAGATGCTGCTCCAGGGAAGGGGTCAGGGGAGGTGGAGAGTGTTGAGTCACACCTGCAGTAGATGCTAGGAGAATAAGAAAAATTAGGAAGCAATTCATTATTATCTTTTTTTTCTGTAATGAAAGGGTAGATGTAATCCAGTTAAATTTCTGGAAATAATTATTCCAAAATTTGCTTTTGTTTTGAAACTATATTTTTGGTAATATTTTTTCTTTCCATTTTTCTTTAATTTTTTCTTTCCATTTTTCCCAGCTTATGACTCATATCTAGAAAAAGATGTTAATCTTTAAAGTTATAAAAACTTATGAAAAATGCTAATTATATTCAGTGTATTTAATGCAGTTGCATGATTGGGGAAAAAAATATATAATTTAACTGAGTCAATAGTTATAGATAGCCTTCTAGGTCATCATCCATCAAACACTTTGTATACTTCATACCAAGATTTAAAAAGATATTTTCCCACCTCTAAGGGGTTGATAATCTGGTTATAGAGACAAATGCCCATACAAAGTGCTTATGATATAAACATAAGTGCTTTAACTGAAGTACAAAGATCCAACAGAGAATGTGGTTTTGGGAATAGTAACAGTGGTGATGGTGGTAACAGCTTCATAAAGAAATTTGGTCTTGGTGAATTGAAACCCCTTTTGAAACCAACTAAATAATACTCAGATGCCAGATGCATGCATTGAAAGCAAAAAAAAAAAAAGAAACTGTAATTCTGGCTTGATCATTTTGATGCCAATAAATTATCTTTATACTAATGGTGTAATATTGTTGAAGGCTTCTCCTAGGACTTCAAAATAGTCTTCAACAGCCACGTGAGATGATTTTCTTCTTTGAAACCTTATTTCCAAATGAGGAGAGTTCCACATTAGCCTTAAAAAAAAATGCCAGCTTGTTCACAGACAGCAGGTTCTGTGCTGCTAGGGGTAATGAGAAGGTAGCATACTCATGCGGTCCCATCATAAAAGGATTTTCTGGATCCTGGGAACTCGGTCCCTAGAGCAGGTTTTATCCAAGATACAGTTCTTAGTTCAACCACCTGTATGTTAAAAATGAAGACAACTGGGATTCAACTCAGACCCACTGAATCAGATTTTCTGCAAGTAAGTCCAGGAATCTGTGTATATTTTTTAAATTACTCCAGATTATTTTTGTGCATGCAGAAAGGTTGCAAACCTTTCCTCTAGAGAGGAGTTGATCTGAAAGGTAGAGAGGCAGCTGCTTTGCATTATCTAATCTGACTCTTCTGCTGATGTCATTATCCCCAAATTTCCTTGGAAGGGTAATTGCAAAGGATACTTGGCTCCTATCAAGGAGTGGGTTTGCCAAGGGAGCCAGGAGTCTGGACAGGCTCTAAGAACTTTGGGGACCAAGGAAAGAATCTCCTGATGCATGGCTGAATTTGTATTCAACTTTGGATTTTCCCTCTTTGTTCTGTGTCAGTAATTTAAGAGTTGGAAGAGAAAAAATATGACTCATGACTCCAGACAGGGAAACGTGTTTATTTTTCAAATTATAGCAAAACAAACAACTCCAAATCTATGGTCTTGTTTTCCTTTTCACCCCTGTGAGCTCGTGTGTAGGATATAATAATTTCTAGCAGTTCAACTGGTTAGGATCCTGCACCAGGAATCCATGTGCTTAAAAATAAAAAAGAAGCCTAACCAAAGCTGCCCCATGCCCCAACCCCTGGGAACTTTTCCTTCATGAGGAGAAAAATCTGTCTTCAGCCTCCTGCACTGTAGAGGAATTGATGGGAAAGATAAGAAAACGAGAATGTCACATTTATGAGAATACACAGCTGTTCAGAAATCTAGTCTGCACAGCTTAACCTCACCATCCTCTCCAAAACCCCTCATGCCCTTTCAGATCCCCAGTACATCAGTTCATTGTCAGAGCTGATCATATAGCTTTTAGGGTATTTTAATTAGTCCAGTGTTCTTTGGGCTTGAAAATATGCTTTGACTTTCTCTACTAAAATTTCGGTTTAAAAAGGTGGCATGTTGTCCATTTCTTCATATATGCTTAAGAGAATCAAAGCTTACTTAGACATCTTTTGGAAACAAGTACAGAAGCACATTTGAAAACAGCTTAGGAATGTTTGTAAAGATGGCTCTGTTCACCGTCTGCCCTTATGATCAGTCAAATAAGCAAAATCTAAATCCCCGGCTCCCTCCCTGTGCAAGGAGCTACCGCTATTCCCATGAACAGGGCTTGCAAGGCCTGGAAGACTTTCTCAAAGTCACGACCTTTTAATGTCTCATTGATAGAGAAACCCAGAGAGGCTGGACTTGTAATTACTCCTGCACTAACCTGTTATCTTTCTATATGAAAAAATATTTAACTTTATTAACAGAATTGAAAGAGTCAAATAAAATCTAGAATACCTTTTATTCTATTAACTAACTCAGTAGTTCTTTTTAAAACCTGGGAAAAGATTAAAAGCAAAAGCAATAAGTCAGCAATTAGAGCCTCTTGTCCATGGTGGTATTTGTTAATTCTGGAAAGACATGCATGAAAGACTGAGAAGGTGACCCATGCTTTTAACAGTTTCTGGGGACTTAAGGGAGAAAAACCAGAGCCTAGGATTCACCAAGTGAGAGGGTTAGCGATCACCATGTTTTGAACTGGAACCCAAAAAGACCATACTAAAGAAAGTTCCTCTCATGGATGGAAGCCTATCTTTGAATCATCTCAATCCTTGAAATTAGACTAAGATGACACAGCCAAGCATGGTAGCTGATACCTACAATTCCAACACTTTAGGAGGCTGAGGCAGGAAGATCACTTAAGTCCAGGAATTCAGGACCAGACTGGGCAACATAGTGAGACATCTCTATAAAAAATTTAAAACTTAGCCATGTGTGGTGGCTCATGCCTGTAGTCCCAGGTCCTTGGCGGGGGCTGAGTTGGAAGGATCACTTAAGCCCAAGAGGTTGAGGCTGCATTGAGTTGTGATTGTCCCACTGCACTCCAACCTGGGTGGCAAAGTGAGACCTTGTCTCAAAAAAAAAAAAAAAAAAAATCTATTAAAAAATTT
This sequence comes from Homo sapiens, assembly GCF_000001405.40. Taxonomy (NCBI): domain Eukaryota; kingdom Metazoa; phylum Chordata; class Mammalia; order Primates; family Hominidae; genus Homo; species Homo sapiens. The sequence continues at coordinate 25,374,726 of NC_000007.14, read as the reverse complement.
TCAAAAAATACAATGTAAGCAGAAAACAAAAAAAATTAAGATCATATCATAGCAGAAATCAATGAAATAGAGAACAGAAACCAAAATCTAGTTTTTTGAGATCAATAAAATTATTGTTAGCCAGACTGATCAGGAAAAAAAAAGAAGGCACAATGATTAATTTAAGGTTTGAAAGAGGTGATGTCACTGCAGATTCTTTAAATATTAAAAAGATAATAAAAAAATACAAGACACTTAGAAAACCTAGATGAAATAGACAAATTTCTTGACAGATGAAAACTGCCAAAGCACACTCAAGAAAAATTAGATCACCTCATTATACTACACGTGTTAAAGAAATTGAATTGACAGTAAATTTCCTCTCTATAAATTAAACCCCAGGCCTAGATGGTTTCACTTGTGACTCCTACCAAACATTTAAAAAAATCATTCCAATTCTACATAAGCTTTTCCAGAAAACTAAAGTAAAAGAAATAATTCCCAAGCCACTTATGAGACCAGTATGCTCCTGAAACCAAAACTAGACAAAGGCAATAAAAGAAATGTATAGACTGAAATCTCTCATGAATGTAGATGTCAAAATTCTTAATAATACTTTAGCAAAATGAATCCAACAATATATTAAAAAGGATAACGCATTATGTCCAAGTGGGTTTTATTCCAAGGGTTTTGCAAAGTTGGTTTAACAAAAATATGGCTATTCAATTGTTTCAGCACAATATGAACTGTTCTTACACATCTAAATTCAAGACTCATTATACAGCAACAATAATCAAAATACTCTGGAGTTGACATCAAGATAGACAAACAAATCAATGAAACTGGATAGAGAGTCCAAAATAACTCTATGCTTTTGTGGGAAATTGATTTTAGACAAGTTGTTAGAATGCCTAAAATGCAAAGGCTAATAATATGAAGTGCTGGTAAGGATGTAGAAGAAGGTGAGCTCTCATATGGTGATGATGGGAATGTAAAATGGTATGGTACAACCTCTTTGGAAAACAGTTCCATATTATCCAGCCATTCCACTCTTAGATATTTACCATAGAAAAAAGAAAGCATATACCCACATAAAGACTTGCACATGAATGTTCATAGTGCTTTATTTTTAATAGGAAAAGCTGGAAACAACCCAGATGTTCATTAACAACAATTTTGGTATATTCATATCATGGACTATCACTCAACAATAAAAGGAATAAACTATGATCTATACCACAAAAGTGTAGCAACATTAATGAGTCTCAAAACATTTGTGCTGAGTGAAAGAACCCAGACAAAAAAGAATATGTATGTTAAGATTTCATTTGTGTAACATTCTAGAAAATGCAAACTAATTTATAATGGCAGAGAGTAGATCAGTAGTTGCCTAACAATCAGGAAGACAGGGAGAGAAAAGAGGTAGGGGTTATGAAATAAATTTTTGATGGCGATGAATATGATCATTATCTTGCTTGGGATAAAGATTTCATGGATGTCAAAATATGTCAAAGCCTAGCAAATTATGTATTTGAAATATGTTGCTTATTATATGACAATTATACCTCCATAAAGCTGTTTTAAAAGTGAGTGGTGTGTCCATTTTACCTTCTTAAGAAACTTTCACTTGGAGCCCTCTCTCCTACTGCACCAATGTACCTGCTCAGGTTGCTCCTGTTGCTAGCTGTCCTCCTAGACATCTCCCTTCACTGTCATCCTAATAATTTATCTTTGCCTCTCCTGTATGTATCTCCTTTGTCTTGGATTCTGTATCTTCCTCTTTCGTGGTTTACTCCCTCAGTAAGGTGGATGAAATCATCAAGTTGCTTCCTCAGAAAAGGTACATATAATGTAAAATCCTTGAGCTCTCCTGAGAGAAAAAAGAGAACTTGTCCAAGACTTATATCTTATAAATTGACCTCCCAGAAAAAGAGTTGACTCTCTTTAAGCCTCAATTTAAATAGGGGATGCCTGATACTTCTGATCATCAACTTTCGGACCCCAGTCTTCCAACCATTATAGGGGAGGAGCGTTACTAACCATGAATGCTGATAATATAAGGTCTGACACTATTTGCCTCTTCATGTAGCTGCAACCTAAAGCTTGAATCCTAGCTCCTTGATCACCCCAGAGAAGAGGCTGATGCTAACTCCAACCAAAAATAGTGTCTTGGCAGAAAAGGGCTGGAGATAATTTTCTGCCAAGTACTACTGCCACTATATTCTGGCCTCTGATTACACAGATGACTTATTAATTCTTCCCTGTTTATGTAGTGTAAAAGTTCCAAAGCCCAAGTGTCTGAGTACATCTCCCCAAGTCTGACATCTCGCTCTGTCAGACTGTGCTCTCCCTTGGAATATGATAGACAATGGGAGAACTTCACTGTTCTGTTGCTGATGTTGCTACCATGAATTTCCCTAGTGAACATTGCTCCAGCAGCCAGCAGCCCTAATATGTATGCTCTCTAGATATTTGCCATTGTTTGCAGAACATCTTGAATATATAGAAAAGTCTTTATTCTCCTGCCCTACCCCCATTACTGCATCACCTTCACCACTATCTAATTGATAGTTTGGCTGGGTATAAAATTCTGGGTTGAAAATAATTTTCCCTTTATAATAAATAAACTCATTCATCAATCGTGTACTCAATTTCAGTGTTACTGCTCAACAGTTTAATTCACTCTGACTTCCAGTCTTTTGTATGTGTCTTGCTTTTGTTTTGCGTTTCTTTTTGGAAACTTAAGAGTCTTCCCACTGGTCCAGTATTCTGAAATTCTATACACATGTATCTTGGTATAAGTATTTTTTACATCTATTAAAAATAGATTCAAGAACACAGCTGTTAGGCCTTTTCTACCAGGAAATTCATGTGCTTTTGTTCTGGAAATTTTTCACTGGATTATTTCTTTGATGATGATGTCCTCTTTATTTTATCCTCATCTCTCTTATACTCAAATTTTGGACTTCCTGGGCTAATTCTTATGTTTTTTTCCTTTCCTATTTCTCATTTCTTTGTCCCCTCTTTCAACTTTCTGTGAGATGTACTAATTTTATCTATGAATCCTTCTTATTTTTCATGTCTGCCATCATAATTTTAATTTCTAAAAGCTCCTTTTTGTCTTCTGAATGCTCCTTTTTTGTAGCTTCTAGTTCACTGTTTCATGAAATATGGTCTTAATTTTCTGGGAATATTAATGAGTTATTTCTTGGCTGTTACTGCTTTTTTGTTCTTTATTTCTTCTCCCTTCTGTATCATTGTCTCTATCCTCTTTGTTTTGATTTCTGTCTTTCGTGTTAGAAGTTATTCTCAAGGGTCTGTTGATCTTTAGCAGACACTTTAGTCATGTTTAAGGGTGGGACCCAAAAGACCTAACTGGAAGCTTTACATGGAGAGTTGGAGTTAGTTAATTGGTTTGTCATGTACAAGAGGTTATGACAGAAAACAAAGGAAAAAAAGAAAAACGTCTCCACAGAAAATGTGCAGATACATAATAATTTTACATTCACATGTGGGAGCTCACAGATTAAGAACTCCTAGTTAACGAAGTAAAATATTCATTGTTGTTTTTATACCTTGAAACTAGTTAATAATGAACAAACACCTTTCTAGCCTTTGCTTGCATACTTAGAATGAAAAGGAGCCCACTATCAGTAAGTTCAGTTCATTTGACCCTGGAAAAGCTCTATTATTAGAAGATACTCTTACTTTGATCTAAAATATGTCTCTCCGTAATTTCTACCATTTTGTCTTATATATACTTACTGCATATATATTAACATTCAAATGATTTTTTTTTTACTTTGTCCTTGGAGCTTTTTAACATAAGTGTTGTTAATCCCACATCAATAATTTCAGCCTTTCTGGGATATTCCTATAAAAACAATGCCTCTGATTTCTCTGCAAATAACCCTGAGAAAAATCAGAAAATAAACTGTCTCCCACCTGGGCTTCTAAGGACATAGCTGGATTGCTGGGTGCTTAGACTTGTGTTCTGCTTCAGACGAGAGATCCCAACTGGAGTACTCAGAGAGTATAGATTAATTCACATTGGGAAAGAGTCGATAACTACTGGGAAGGGGTGGCAGTTGACAACTAGAACTGTTTAGGCTGGCATCAGAGCTATTCGGGACCAGCTGAAATTTGGGAGCTTTGAGAGAGCTATTTCCTATCCAGACTGGTCAGAACCCTAACTGTCAATTCTTCAGTGACAATAGGAAGCTCTTTAGCTTTTAATGTTTTATAACAGCTTAATATGTGGCTTTATTCCCTATCTACTCAACACTAACAGGGTTAAAGGAGATCAAACCTATTCATTCACTTTTACCTGTTCTTTCACTCCGATGTTCTGAAAACTTTCACCTTTTCTTTCATGCCACACAAATCCTGGAGTACTGTCCTTATGCAACAGAGTGCCCAGGCAGTTTGGTCAATCTTTCACAGGCAACAAAATCTATGTGTTTCTCCTACATTCAGCTGAAGAGGGGCTACCAACAAACATCCGTAAATACACAGAGTATGTTGCATTAGCACAGGTGGAAAACCCCTAGCATTCTTTAAGCTGCCATCTAATTCCCTTAAAAGCCAGTCCTTCCACAGTTCACCCTCAGAATGGAATCAAGGTTCCTTTAGCCTTTCTATCTCACCCGCTTCCCCCTTAGCTTTAATATCACAAAGGGAGATGTACTTCCAGTCTCTAATCTGGCTCCATCCCAGCACCTGGCTCTCTTGCCTTTGCGTGAGGACGGGCCAAGAATGAACTCAGTGGGAGAGGATATGCAGGGAGGGCTGGAGCCAGGGGCAGAAACAACCCTCCTTCCAGAGGCAACGGGCTCCACAGCTGTCCCAGGCTTCAGAGCCCTGCAGTGCCAGTCATGAGGCTGGCTCTGCCATGTCTCTCCACACTCCTGGCAAGGGATCTTTTTGTTGTTATTCCCCCTTCTTCCCTTCTGATTCCAGACCCAGTGTTTGCTTGTCTTGCAGCCAAAGATAAGCTCCAGGCATTCAGGAGGCCACATTTTAGACACCCAAATAGAGCATTGACTAAGGGAAAGGAAAAATTTGTCTTAGAAATTGCTTTCCCGTTTGCTTTCTCCTTCCTAGTTCATTTTGATTAGGCAACACTGTGTGTATGGATTCAATGAAATCTCAGGGTGAAAATATCATAAAATGCATTGAGACTAACCTCATGTAATCCTTGAACCCCATTCACCCCATTCCAAATCTACCTTCACTCACAATTGCCTGAAATTTACTGTCTACCCAGGAAACACCCATATTTGCAGCCAGTGTTATTAGAATTGTCTTCTTCCATGACATTCATTGAAGGCAAGATGATGTCTGTTTGAAAAGAAAAAAGTCAAATTTGTTGGTGTGTGTACTGTGGATAGGGATTGTGACTGCATTCTGGGGCTTGCATTTAATCAAGAAATCCTTTCCTATTCTTCCCTATCAAATGGCTTGGGCAGCCTTTCTTCAGCTTCTAGTATGTTAAAAACAAAAATCTAAAACAACATTGAAATTTGCCTCTTTAGAGGATTAGGACTGAAAATGAAATGCTACAGGATACTGTGGTGGCTTAGAGTTGTGTTCATTTTGGGGGAGTCCAGAAGAGAAAATGGGGGACAGAAGGGTTAACCATTGCCTTCTGGGCAGGTCAGTTGATCTAGCAGACACCATAGTCCACTTTGTCTCCGTAAGAAGCATTGCCTGTTCATTGACTTTTGAAATGCAAAACACGCACACTCTTTACTGAGTCATAAATAGATGCAAACAACCCCTAAAACCCACTAGAAAATGAGGCAGAAAGGACAGTGAACACAGGACAGACATTAAAGACAAAACATGGTATAAAACCAGAAGTGACTGGTGACTGTCCAAACCAGAGGAAGTCAAACCACACCTACAAGAGAAGGAAAAGCATGATTCTTTATGACCTGAGAATAGTTTGATCTCTGCTACACAGAGGATGTAAGGGATGTAAAGTAGGGATAGTCCCTGCTGCCTGTGCATTCAGCGTGCCAATTAGAAAACTGGGGGCTGGGGCAGCATCAAGACGGGGCACGGAGTTTTATGAATGATCCCCTGTCTCTGGGAAGACACCTGTGGGGCCTGGTGAGGACATAATGGATAGTGACTGAGCTTCATGGCCTCCCCAGCACAGGAGGTGAGGCTCACAAAGCCAAGGGCCCTAAGCACACAGGGGACTGGAGAACAGACATTTTCCTTCTGTTCTTCAACCATTCAGTGAACAGCTGGGCACCAAGAAAATGAGCAGGTGATTTCAGATTTACGAAGCTGCATTCTGACCCCCTAGGCAGAGTCTTCGAGAACAGAAGGTAGGAGGCTGACAGAGATAGGTAGGTGTGGGCATCTGAACCCAAAACACTAGCTCTGATTACATATGGACCCTTGAACCAGCTGCTAGAAAGGGTTGCCATGGTGCCAGGAAACACCCTTTCTCAGTGTGGAAAAGCCAAGTAGGGATCACCATTTGCTGAAGATTTCTGTTGAATATGCTAGTTCTTGAATTTAGAATGTAATTTAAAATTTCTGCTGCAAATACATCTAAATTTAGGCTTTGATAAAATTCTAGGATTTTCCTTAGATCCTATTGCTTTTTACAGATAATAAGCTCATTTCCACTAGTGATAGGGTCACCAACCCATCTCCCACCGTTCCCTTCCTATGGCAATGAGAACAAAGATGAGAAGAACCAAAGGCAGGAGATGTGCAAATATCCTCATACAGAGAAAGCAACATCACACGAGTTTTATGACAATTCCAGTGCTTACAAAGGAGCATGGAATAAACTAGTTAAGTGATATAAATATTATTGTTCAGAGATATTTGCCGCCCCTCCCTGAAGGAGGATCATATATTTTCTTACCCATTGACATTAGGCTTGGCCATATGAGTTAGTTACTTTCCAAAATGAAATGTAAGCAGAAATGACATGTATGTGTCATTCCAGGCAGAAGCTTTAGGGCCAGTACACGATCTGCCACGTTCTCCTTCCTCTCTGCCAAGAGGTTGTTTCAAATAGATGCTGCTCCTTTACTTTGGGTGCCTATAATGAACTCAATGTGAAGCAGGGCTGGAGCAGAACCATGAATGAGAAATAATCTTTATTACAAACCACTGAGATTTGAGGACTGTTCATTACAGTGGAATAACTTAGCCTACACTAGTTAATACAAAGTACCTTTAGAGGCCATATACATCGACCTTATTTTCAAAATATGCATATTTGAGTTTAAAGGATTAACAAGAACTACAGCAAAATCTTAATTGTGATAATTTCCTGAGTTAGGAAGTATGATTTTTTTCTACTTCATGCTTTTCTAATATTCCTAAAATTTCTACAGTGAAAAAATATTTTATTATTATTAAGGAAAACATAACTGTAATATTCTTTAAAAGACAAAGTTTCAATCCTTGCCTAGTGTGGAAGTTCTATTGAGTCTCACAAGTCATCATTAATTATATGAATTTGGGTGACAAGTATAACACTTTTAAAAGTATTATATTTCTAAGACCTGCAGCAGGTTTCTTTCATGAGCCATGGCTGGCATCTTACCCCGCTTCCTTCTACTTCCTGTCAATCTACAGTCTCCCACGGGTTCCTCCAGGGCAGTGCTAGACTCCAGTGCCCTGAAGTTATCTCCAGTGTGGGTGGCCTACAGCAACTAGCACTCAACATAGAAGAACCTCTATCCTTCTTAGGAGCTCTGTGCACACACTCTTCTCTTGTGTCTCATTTGAAATCATCAAAGTCAAGGGATTCTTTTCCAAGGTGTGTTCCTTCCCTATCAAATGCAAAAATCTGTATCCATGAATATGGGAATAGAGGAAATGCCTCTTTCCTGAAGACATATCAGGATATTGACATTGTATCCCAGCACTAAAACATCTGGGAACCCCTACTTCAAAAGACCAAAAATTAGGGCATGACCTAACTGCATTTGAAACTAGACTCCCATCACTGGGGTGGGCAAAAGTCCCTTGCCTAGACCCTGTTTCTATTTTTTTGGGAAGATCTCCTCTGCCCGTGTTCCCCATGGCCTCTGGCTCTGCCCCTGGGGACTCCTCTTGGTTTTTTACTCTCCTTGGCCACATTTGAGGAAGGCCTCATGGGAAGTAAATAACATTTGAAGCTGTCTTCTATTTTTGGAAGATAAAGGTGCCAGAGTAGTCAAAGGCTTTGGACAAATCAAAAGGCTTTTGTTTGTTTGTTTGTTTGTTTGTTTGTTTGTTTGTTTCCAGGTTAGTGGTTTTATTGACAATAGAACCCCCTGAAGAAATCAGTAGTCTTCTGACCTATTTGTCTCTAGTCAGTTTCAGATGTAGAAATCATACCTAAATTCTCTCTAATACATACTTCTCAAAACTGCCTTATTTCTATTTCTTCAGCTTAGTGGTGGTGACCTTTGAGCATGTCAGGCTTGAAGAGGAAGCCTATACCATTAAACTGATCTTCGTCTTGAAACCTAGTCAACTGATGATTTTTACTGTGCCATTGTGGCTCAAAGGCTTTTGTAAACCCTATCTGTTGCTGTCTGGAGTATAGAAATGGTTAACTTTTCCTAATTTGCAAAGCTCTGAATTTCTGAGATTTCTTCATTTCTTTTCATTTTTGCTTGCCACCTAGCCAGTGTCTTCCTGAGCTCTTCTTTTTTTTGTGAGAGTTATTAAGTACAGCCAATAATAATCAATACACGCCATCTCCCCCATGCTGCAGGCTGAATAGATATGTTGAGGTATACCTTCCAAGTGTTTTGTCACTACTTAACATTAGTTTTCTTCTTCCAGCTCCAGATATCAATTATTCTGCCACCCACTTGCTTCCCTATATGCCACTTCCTTTGAAGGAACACATTTCTGGAACTACCAGGCTACAATCCAGAAAACAGAAGCTGTTCTTGGTATTCTGAGTAGGAAAGAGCTTCATACAGGGAATTAGAGGAGACACAGCTATTGGAAAGTCAAGAGAGCATAGATCAGGAAGGTCGCTTTCAGGAAATCCAGAAGTACAGGATCATTGGAAAGCCACCACCAATGGCCTCAGCTTCTGCAGCATGAACATAGTTCATTTTCAGAAAGACCTGCATTGCGGTTGGAAGTCACTGCCAGTGATCCCAGCTGCCTACAGCACAGAAGCAGATTATTCTTAAGAAAATGCTCTAAAGCAAGCCACCAGTAAAATCCTACATTAGCTGTCTGCTCATGCTTCTATGAGGAAAACAGCATCTCTCTTCTTTCTGCCTTCCCAAATCTTTGGAAATCCCCCTTTGGAGGAATCCAACCAAGACCTTCCTGGCAAGGGAGACTGAGAATGCAGTTTCTGTTTTCTCCCCCTGCAGTTCAGATAAGACTGCTTAGATGGGTGATGATAATATTGAAAACCAAAAATAATATCCTGCACACTGAAGCTCACAGAAATTATTAAAGGTCACGACTGTTATATTTTTGACCATTTTAATTTTCCTGCACCATCTTATCCTGCTCTATGTATCTTGTTTAGCATGTTGATAGCATATAATAAATTATTTGAGGACAATAGCATAAGAAAAGTAAGGTTCCTTCAAGGTCTAAAGTTTTAGCCTATGAGCCTCAAATAAATCTGGACTTCGATAAACATTATTATTGAGTAGAAAAATTATGTGATGAGGAGAGAGGACAAGGCCCACTCCATAGTTTGCTACTAGATTCCACCTTAAAGAAACTGATATTCCTTCTCTAGGCCTCATTATTTCTCATCTGGAATAAAGGTTTTAGACTAGATATGTGGTTTCCAGACTTTCTGATAGCTATGGAGCCATTCTTGAAATGAAATCCCACAAGGAGTTCCAGTAAAGGGAGGATCTGGGCCGGGCACAGTGGCTCACACCTGTAATCCCAGCACTTTGAGAGGCTGAGGTGGCTGGATCACCTGAGGTCAGGAGTTCAAGACCAGCCTGGCCAATGTGGTAAAACCCCATCTCTACTAAAAATACAAAAATTAGCTGGGCATGGTGGCGTTCACCTGTAATCCCAGCTACTGGGGAGGCTGAGGCACAAGAATCACTTCAACCTGGGAGGCAGAGGTTGCAGTGACCCAAGATCTCACCACTGCTCTCCAGCCTGGGCAACAGAGTGAGACTCTGTCTTAGAAAAAAAAAAGTGGGGGAGAGGAGCTGCCCATTTGTAGTGGGATGGAGACCTGGAGCCCAGCCTTCCTGGGACAGCTCTGGAGAGTCCCTTCGGCTCCATCAGGCATAGTTTAAAAACTCCAGGATGGGCCTATCTGTAACATATCCCCCTCTACTTCTAAAGTCATATGACTGTAATCATTTTCCAAGCTTTGACTCTGTTGGAGGTAATGCCAAACACTCATCCTAAAACACATTTTCAGCAAGCTCTATAACTAATTTGTATTTGTAGGCACATCCAGTCAAAAAAAAAAATGCAGGGGAGAAGGGCTCTATTAAAGTGGGACACGCTCAACATTTTGAAAGCATTATGTTTGTGACCCAAAACTCAGGTTCCAAATGCTGTACGACTAACTTAAAAATTTGATGGATCATTATTCAGGTGTTACTCTGATCACCGAAATTATGCCACAGAAGAATGCCCCTAAGCACTGAAAAAGAAAAATGAACAGGTGCTGCTTAGGGGACAGCAATTAGACTTAACCAAAACCTGCTGATGTTGTCATGTGGAAACATAAAACCAATAATAATTTCAAAGGGAGACAGAATTCCACAGCATTCACCAGTCCTTTGCAGCTGTATTAAGTGGAGAACCAACCATGGTTAGGGTCCATTTGGAGTAATTTAAAAGACAGTTCATGCAAGAAAGCAGAGGGGACCAAAATGCATGATTACTAGAACTTTCTTGACAATTCTGTCTTCTTGCCCATTCCCAACTAAGCTTCCATGTTTTTCTTTTTCACTGTGTAATGACCTTATTTGAGCCACTACAAAGGCCAGATCATGAAATCTGCCACTGAGAGCTCAAGTAGGAATAGCCCATTGCAGCAACTTCAGGGAACCCATGAAGGTCTATAATTTTGCCATGTCCTGAGGACCATAAGTTTCTGCAAGCTGTGATGTACCTGGGATAACCCTGCACTTGGCCCTAAAGCCCTCTCACTTCTTTCTAAGATTGCCATGCAGCCATAAATCTGCAAAGCACCAGAAGTCATGTGTGGCTTTTTGTTTAATCGTGATTCCAACTGTGCCTCTAAATCCTTTTGATTCTGAAAAGATCAGCTCAAATCCCGTGTCTTGTTTGATTCCATCCCTAACAACCAAATCCATGATGCCTTCTCCTCTTGCCTTATTGCCTCTGACTTAGTTAAGCATTGTTAATGGTTGCTAGTGTTAACTCTATCTAGGTTGTATCCTCTCCCCTCACCAGAATAAAATAGAAAGCTTATAAACTTTGATATCATAAGCATCAGGATTTGAATCTAGGCTCTGCCCCTTTTTAGCCAATGACCCTCATGTCACCATGAACTTCAGGTTACTTGTACGTAAAGGGGATAATGATTCTGGCATTTCCCAGTGCACTTGCAAAATGCCTAGCATTAAGCTTAGCATATAGTGGCTGCTCAATAAATACAGTTACCTTCCTCTCCTTCCCCTTTTTCCCCCAAATTCCATGTATTTGTATCCTGGGCATATTTTACCTTATGGACAATGACGAATTCTTACTGTGTTTGATAATAAATCTGAAAACAGTATATCAGAAGCAGAGATGAGGAAGTCTTGTGGCAATAGAAGATCAACAGACTAATTTTCTTTCTCCTCCTCCTCTGTGATCTTCACACCAGAATACCCCATGGTAGAAGCCACTGTACAAACCTCCTGACTGGGCAAACCTAGAAGATGTGGCAGAAGTCACAAATTTTCCAAACCTGATTCAATCTACACTTATGGGGGATTAGTAATCTGATCATTATCAGTGGGGACTATCATAAGTGTAGACAAACCACAAGTGAGTGGTACAGATTTTTTCTTATTGATTATCTATAATATTACCTCAATTTTCTAAGTCTCTACTCTTTTTCTATTATGTGGGCAAAATATAATGAGTTTTTAAAATGTGACTAAGTAACACAACAAAATAAGAGTTTAACTCAGAATTTCCATCACCTCAAGCTTGTTTTCCCCTGAGGAAAGAACCACCAGCCCAGGATCCCAGCGTTTCATGGAAATCTAGATGTCTCCTTCAGCAAAGTGGTTAATTATCAAATATGTTTGGAAAAAGTAGTGCTTTTGTCCCTGGGCTTTGCTATGGTTTGAATAGCTCCCCTCCAAAATTCAGGTGTTGCCAATGTGATAGCATTAAGATGAGGGGTCTTTCGCAGATGGCTAGGCCATGAAGACTTCCCCCTCATTAATGACATGAAGGCCCTTGTAAAAGAGAATTCATGTAGCATTGCTCCAGTTTGCTCTTCCTCCTTCTGCTTTGTGAGGTTGCAGCAGGAAGGCCCTCACCAGAAAAAATGCCAGCACCTTGATCTTGGACTTTCCAGCCTCCAGAACTGTGAGAAAAACATTTCTGTTTTTCAGATACTGAGTAATTTGTAATCAGATACTGATTTGTAATCAGATACTGTTTTCAGATACTAAGTAATTTGTAATTTGCTGTAGCAGCACAAACACACTACAACAGGCTCCCTCTGGAAAGATGCCTGGTTGCATAATCACAGAAGACATTGGACAGCAGAAGCCACATATTTCCTAAGACCTCTCAGACTTATGGGATGCCAGGTATTCCTGGTGAATTTCGTTTCACATGGTGCTTGGTTTCTCTTGGTTGTTTGTGTCAGAAGAGCTATTAACACCTAGTAGACACTGGTGTCCACTGGAACACAATTTGGGAAAAGTACCTCTGGTCCACACCCCTCATTTTAGAAGTGAAGTTGCTGAGACCCAAAGATACTGTGACTAGTGACAGAAAATCCCAGTTTTTCAGATATTCAGTGTTCTTCCTAATCGCCCACATTTTCCTCAGGGCTAGATATGGTCTCATGAGAATATACTTCTTTCCTTTGTTACTCTTCTGTTGAATTATTTGCTGTGTGCATGTGCACGTGGATGTGTACACTGCAAAACAGGAGAGCACGCCCTTGAGAAATGTTGGCTCCCATCCTGAAGTGGACACTCATTCATACATTCATTCCACAGAACTAGAAGCCAACAGGACCACGTGAGGAGCACTGTCATGACTGCATGATCAGAAGAGGGAATGCCTGATTCCACCCAGTAGCTGAGATGACACAAGCTGGGTTGTGATCATTCACTCATTCATTATCTGTTGATTCCACAAAGCTTTCTTGAATGCTTGCTGTGTCAAACTGTGCACGGTGCTGTGGATACAAAGATAAGGAAGACACACTCCCTGCCTTCAAGAAGCTTACATTCTAGCATGAAAAACAGGCCTAGCCAGGCACGGTGGCTCACGCCTGTAATCCCAGCACTTTGGGAGGCTGAGACGGGCAGATCACAAGGTCAGGAGATCGAGACCATCGTGGCTAAAACAGTGAAACTCTGTCTCTACTAAAAAAATACAAAAAATTAGCCGGGCATGGTGGTGGGCACCTGTAGTCCCAGCTACTCGGGAAGCTGAGGCAGGAGAATGGTGTGAACCTGGGAGGCAAAGCTTGCAGTGAGCTGAGATCGAGCCACTGCATTCCAGCCTGGATGACAGAGAGAGACTCCGTCCCAAAAAAAAAAAAAAAAAGAAAAAAGTAAAACAGGCCTTCAATAGATAAGTTTAATGAAGTGATGGAACTGTTCTGAGATAAGCCAATTTCTACCTGAGACAACAGGAGATGGGAGAAGTGTGTTTTCTGGAAATAACACTTTGAGCACCTCCTAATAGTCACACACTGACTTTGTTTCCTACAGCACTTGGAGTTCTTTCCTCAAAAGCCCAAAGTATCTCAAGTTTCAATTGTTCAAATTAATCAGAGCAGCAGCAGAGATAATACAAAACAGGGACTAAGAGAAATGCCAATTCTTTGCTTTAGCACGCATCATATGAACATCCATCCACACCCCCACCAGCAGCTTGCCTTCCTAAGTGTGTTTTCTTAAAGCAAATGCTAACATTGGTTTATATCCCTTGAGCACACACCAGCTGGATAGTAGGAGGAAGCCAGTTCAGCATTAAAAATTAACTGCAGATAATTTAGAGGGCAGACAAGCCACAGGCAGATAACGGTGTGGAATATATCATTATAACCAGTGAGGGTCTGTCCAACCCTCCCTGCAACCTCATCTCCTGGCTCTGCTGAGGTTGTGGTCTTGTTACAGGTCTTAAGACACCCTTTTTACGAATATATCAGTAGGAGCATAAACAAGGTCACCTGAAATTTAGAGGACATTAATGAGATCTAGATAAATTCAGATGGCCCGGAATGCAGTTATTAGATCATTTTCAAGTGAATAAAAGGTGAAATTTGCTTTTTACTTTGCCAACCATCTTCTCGCCAGCAAATGCCCGCTGAAAACACTCTCCAAGGCCATAAAGCGATGGGCCTTGAAAGTATGTTTCAGAGAATAACTGAATCAAATTAAACTGCTGTTTATTTTTGCCATAGGAGCTCTGACAAATAAAAATGGAAGATGTTGTTGCCATTTTCATTGACTAAAACAAATCCTTACTGGGGAAAAAAAAGAGGAAAAAGAAACTAAAATGTCAGTTGCTCACATTGTCATTCCCTGCCACTCAGTAAATAAACATAACATCTATTAGTTGTCATGGAAACGTTCCGCCTGATTCTGAGCATCAGAGCTCCACAATAAAGAACCCCTGATATTTGACGCTGTGCACAAACGACTCTTTTGGCATTTCTCATGAGCTCATCAGCACAAGAGCTAACATTTTCCCTGTTTGTTTTCTTTTCAGACACGAATGCATTTGCTTCAGCAAAAGAGACATGTATCTTAGAAACCTATCAAAAATATTTGAATACAGCTACCTCGGCAATCTCTGCTCTACGGGCTCCTCCCCCCACCTTTCTTTTAACCTTTGCCTGAGAAGAATTTAAATGGCATATTTAGTGGCTGTATATTGTGCTTCCTGTACCCACTGCTGCATAAAAGGGATTGATTTAAATCGCTTACAGTAACCATGTGGGGGAGGAGGGTCTAGTTTTCTGCACCAAATGCTCCAGGATGCATAATAAGCAACCACAAATACAGACAACAAATGAGTGTGCTTGCATTTGTCTCTTCTCTGGTAAAGAATTATTCTTTAGTACGGATGGACTGCACACTTTTAGCATCAACAAGAGAGCAGCTCAGATGTGCGAGCACCAATAAAGGATACTTAAGCCTCCGTCCCCCAGGTAATGAGTCTCAGAAATGTTGGCTAAAAAAGTCAGAGAATGTTCCTATTTATAATTTTTTTGAATCATGAAATTTATAACACCTCCCAAAGCAGGAACGGACCAAGTTTAAAGATTACAGCTGAGTGCCAGTAAAGCGTTAAAGGCAACCATTGTTAATAACAATCGGCTGAAAAGCAAGACACAGCTCATGCTTTGGAGCCGTACTAAGAGATTCGGCATCTCTAAAATCGCTAGAGCCTTTGACAAGCCAGGCATAAATCAGGAGGGATTTAAATTCCTGATTTTCTGGCATTTTTTAAGCTATAAATCCTACACATTCCTAAAACCACATGGTCCCATAACTGGAGCTGAGGGCTAGAGTAGGTCCCTGGAACAGTTCAAAGGGTCAAACTGGAATTAGGAGCTCCTGCTTCTCTCTAGGCCTTAAGGCAATTTTTTCTGAAGGACATTTAAAGATTTTTTTTTTAAAGTCTTCTGAAATGAGGCCAAGAGGGTGTTACATTTATCCCAACAATCTACCAGGGCTTTCTCGTCTTTGGATGTAACCATGTTGGGATTTTTCTAGATCTTATTAATCCATGTCTATATACTCAAGATGGTTTGGATAGTCAGAGGTCAGAAAACAATTAAAGGAGGGAGACTAAATGGTCTATAAATGAATGTGATCTATTCAGGGTTTCTTAAAATGAGCTTAAGGACCATTTGCCTTCCTGGAGAGAGATGTGGATGGAAGAGGTGTCCTGCTCCAATCCATGACTTTAGCATGAGGAAAGCATTCAGGATGAATGAAAGAAAGAACAGAGCAGAATCAGGATGCCTGGGTAAGAGACAATAAGTCAAAATAAGATGAAATGAGAACCCAAACTACAGAGTGGCAGCGAAAATGCAGAGTGAATGTGGAAAACTTGATGAAGGTAAAATCTGAAGATCTTGGCACCTAATTGGATTCGCATGAGGAGAACCAGAGAAGGGAGAGTCACTCATGTCCGGGAGGAAAGAGCACAGCATTTGTAACCTAGAAACCTGGACTGAAGGTCTTTATTCTGCCATTTACTAGTTTTGTAAACTCTGGGAAGCCATTCACCTCTGAGTCTCATTTTTATCGGTTGCAAAACAAGGCTGGAAATACCTACAAAATAAATGAGAAAATGTATTAAATGTCTGAAAGATGATGAAATGGATCATTATTTAATAATAGTCACATTAATACTTATGACTTTGAAGTCATTTCTCTTTCTTGTGCCTCAGTTTCTTCATTTGTAAAAGGCAGACCAAAGTGAACCCTACAGGCCCTTCTGGCTCTAACATGTTTTCTATCTACCTGGAGGTGATCAGTTTGGTTTGTACTTAGTGAGTGTGGGCCAGCATTCATGTGAAAAGTTTCCTGATCAAGTTGGTAACACAGATCAGGACTTCTAGAGAGATATTTTTCAAATGGCCACACGGGCCCCAAGGCAGTATTGGGGAATTGCCTAGGGAGCATTTTTGATTGTCAAAATGATTTGGAGGGCACTCCTGAGGTTAGAGGATGGGAACCAGAGATATTAATTTGTTGCACTAGGTGCAGTATGAACACAACAATGAATTGTACTGTGCATGTCCCTCGAGATACTCGAGTAGGACATTGATACTCAAAGTGGGGTCTAGGGATCCCTGGAGGTCCCTGAGTCCTTTTCAAGGATAATTCAAGGTCAAAACCATTTTCACAGGAAGACCATCACATTATGTGCCTTTTTCATTGAGTTGATGTCTCCAATGATGACACAAAAAGAAATGGTAAGTGAAAATGTTGATGCTTTAGCATTAATCAAGGCAGCAGCACTCAACTGAACTATACTAGTGGTTACTGTATCATTCCCTACTATGCACTGGGTGTTAAACAAAATCACCAACAAAACCTTCTAGTTTCATTTAAGAATGTCCTTGATGAAGCAATAAAATTAACTTCATTGAATCTCAGCCCTTGAGTACATACCTTCTTAATATTGTGTCTGGCAAAATGCTGCATATCAAAATATAATTTTGTTTAAATTGCAAACTGAACTAGCCTCTTTTGTCATGCAACATCATTTTTTACTTGAAAAAAGAAGTGACATATGTACTATGATTATTCAGATGCATATCCAGCAGACTACTTTCTCAGAAACAACAAATAATTTTTTTCATTTCCAAGAAATTACTTCCAAGAAAACAACAAAAGTACTTGTTGCCAATGATAAAATTCAAGCATTAAAGAAAAAATTAGAATTATGGAAAATTTGTACCTACCACCATGAGCTTGGCTGCTTCTCAACACTAAAAGACCTTTCTGATGAGATAAGTGTCAGTATTAACTAATGTGATTTACTGATATTGTATAATGAACTGTGTCAACATTTGGAAGATCTGTATAACTCAGTGAGCCAATACTTTACAAATAACCAACGTGTGCTCTTATAAAATCATGCACGGTAAAAGAGCCACTCAAAGTGCAAACTAAGCCAATGGATTTTAATATAACAGAGTACAAAATGTTCACTGATATGGCTTCCAATTCAACATTGCAACTAACATTTAAGAAACTATCACTTGTTAAGTTTTGTGTGTTATCAAATAATATCTACATTACCTGAAAGATCTATTACACGCTCCTGTCTTTTCCAACTATTTCCCAGTGTGAGCCTGGATTTTCTTCAAACACTTCAAGCAAAATGCCATATGGCAACAGAATAAATACAGAAGTGGATAACAGAATTTAGGTGTCTTTAATTAAGCCAGACATTAGAGCGATTTCCAAAAATGTAAAACAATGCCACTCTTCTGATTAAATTATGTTTTGTTTAGGAAGATACAGATACTTTTTTAAAAAATACTATTTTAACATGTAATGGGGTTATTTTTAAAGATAATAAATACTGTTAACATTTCACTTTTAATTTCTAATACAGTAAATATCAGTACAACCTGCATAAATGAACCTTTGAGAAGGCTCTCAACAATCTTTGCGTGTAAAGAGGCGCTAAGACCAAAAAGTTCAAGAACTTTGTTTTCCCGATGTAGGAAAAATTCAATTATCTAAGCCAACAAACATTTTCTCAGAAAAAAAAATAATGTTTTCATTTCCAAGAAATTATTTTCTATAGAAACACAACATACTTTCATATGTTCTAATGTACACCAACATCCAGGATTGCAACTACCATGCAAGTCAATGGTAGATCATGTGTTCTTTGGTTCAAAACTTGACCAAGAATTGTTGACCATTTCATAAAATTACAGCACCAATGGCAACACTAATCATGACATTAGAGTTGTCGATATAGTATACCTGTATTGCCTACCACTGTAGTTGTCTCAGCCCTGTGATTTTTTGATAAGATGCAAACATCTGACATTTCATTTTGTGTTCTAGTGAAGTTGTGCCCAAGGTATTTGCACACTGAAATACACACTGTATTATTTTCTCTCTTTTTTATAATATAGTCAAGGCATTTTATTTTAATTATGTATATAGGTAATTTGTATTATTTATGAATTTCATGATAATAAAAAAGACATTACAAAATATGTGTTTTAAAAGGAGCATTAGGTCTGAGAATCACTGCTCTAGGACAATGAGACAGAGGCTGGTGCAAGATATTTGAGAGTTGACTACATAGAAGTATAGCTGCCGGGCACGGTGGCTCAAGCCTGTAATCCCAGCACTCAGGGAAGCTCAGGTGGGTGGATCACTTGACGTCAGGAGTCCAAGACCAGCCTGGCCAACATGGTGAAAGCCCATCTCTACTAAAAGTACAAAAAAGTTAGCTGGGCGTAGTGGTGTGCACTTGTAGCCCTAGCTACTTGAGAGGCTGTGGCAGGAGAATCACTTGAACCTGGGAGGTGGAGAGTGCAGTGACATGACCTCAGCTCACTGCAGCCTGGGTGACAGAGCAAGACTCCGTCTCAAAAAAAAAAAAAAAAAAAAAGGAAGTATAGCTGAAGCCACAGGGAAGACTCAGCTGCTTATGAGATGTCTAGTTTGGAGTGCCATGCTTTTAAAAATGATACAGGGGCCAGGCGCGGTGGCTCACGCCTGTAATCCCAGCACTTTGGGAGGCCGAGGCGGGTGGATCATGAGGTCAGGAGATCGAGACCATCCTGGCTAACAAGGTGAAACCCCTTCTCTACTAAAAATACAAAAAATTAGCCGGGCGCGGTGGCGGGCGCCTGTAGTCCCAGCTACTGGGGAGGCTGAGGCAGGAGAATGGCGTGAACCCGGGAAGCGGAGCTTGCAGTGAGCCGAGATTGCGCCACTGCAGTCCGCAGTCCGGCCTGGGCGACAGAGCGAGACTCCGTCTCAAAAAAAATAAAAATAAAAATAAATAAATAAATAAATAAATAAAAATGATACAGGACTATCCATTGGTGTATTAGTCCATTTTCACACTGCTATAAAGAACTACGTGAGACTGGGTAGTTTATGAAGAAAGGAGGTTTCATTGACTCACAGTTCCACAAGCTTAACAGGAAGCATGACTGGGAGGCCTCAGAAACTTACAAGTATGGTGGAAGGGGTAGCAAGCACATTGTACTATGGCTCGGGGAAAGAGAGTGAAGGGAGAAGTGCTACACATTTTTAAAATTTCAGATCCTGTAATAACTCACTCACTATCATGAGAACAGCAAAGGGTAAATCTGATCCAATCACCTCCCGTCAGGCCTCTCCTCAAATTCAACATGAGATTGGCGCAGGGACACAAATCCAAACCATATCAATTGGGTAGACACACAGTCCTAAAAGAATGCTGCTCATGAAAATTTGTCCAAAGTTCCCCCAATACTCTCTAGTTGCAAAGTGCTACCTCCTTGTCAATCTTATACTCCTCTTTGCCTACCACCTCTGCCTTGTATGCATTTCCTCCTTGGACTTGTCTGTTTTCTTCAATCAGTGGATACTTCGGCCCATCTCCAAAGTCTATTTTACTAGCCACACTTTCTTGGACACATGACCTCATTCCATTCCCGGTTTAGGCTCTGCTACTGCTGCCTGGGACTTTGAAAACTCCAGAAAACTGTCTGACCACAGAAAGGAAAGAGATCAAAGAGGACAAGTTTAAGAAGAGGAAATGTGAAAAACAAACTTCTTTGAGAAGAGGTTAGGCTCTTGCCACCCTGGGTCTCCCAGTCTCAGCAAAAGTCTTCGTTTCCTCCCTCCTATGAATTCTAAAATTCATCCAATTTCACATTTATGTAAAATGGCAAGATGTCTCACTCTCTTCGCCCATGATTAAAATCCAATTGTTTATTTATAGGGCCATTTGTTGCTGAAGCTTCTCCCTAAAAAATAATAATAATAATAATTGCTTCTTCAGATGGTTTGCTTCTATCTGCCAGAAGATGTCAGTTTGGGATGAGGCCATTCAAACTTGCTCAAATCTGAGCAATAACTCAACTAAAATGAGGTCAATGTAAATGACTACCCACAACGGGGAAAAACCTGTTAAATTAAATCCAGAGTAAGTAGCAACATATCATGTAGTGAGAGTTACATGTGTCAAATGAAGGAGTGTTATGAGGATTAATGAGTCCGTTATTAAAACACGCTTTGGGATTCTTGGATGAATGGCACTGTTGAAAGTGGGGGTAGGGCTGGTATTTACAGATTGCGTTATATCCAGGCCTTGCAACAGACTCTAGGGAAATATAGAGAAAGCAATGGAAGAACTTAAAACATATTTTTGTTGATTGTTGTATCTTATACCACATTTAGCAGTTAAATACTTAATTCAGCAAAATATGTAGACAGATGCCAGTGTGTACTTTGCAAAGTTCTATAAAATGTAGCGTAAGCTCATCGAGAATTTCAACATGGCATTGTGGCCTATGAAAGAAGCACTGGACAAAAGCAAGAACCAATTCAGAATAAATTTATTCTTATTCCCCACAATGGTTTGTGTAATAAGCAGATGTCAGAAATGAGAATGTCAGGGAATTCTCTGTTGGGTGAAGTACGGATCTAGCCTGAGGCAATGACATGATTCCAGGCCATTTCCCTACAATGCTTGATGTTGTCATAGATGGTGGAAAATGCAGTCAATTGCCTGAATGTTTCTAAATTCCTGCAGGTCTCAAGAAGGCTTCCAGATGACTGATTTTCTTTTCCACCTGGAAGTTTGCACATTACAATATGCACAACTGAGATCATCCTATCCTTTGAGATGTTTGTAAAATTGTGATAGGCAAGGCTCTTATCACCTTTCTTACAGAATCATACAGCCTCCATATCCCCCTGTGACTTCCCAGAGGCTGGATCTTCATGGTCCATGAGTCCTAGTGCAGCCAGATCCTCGTTCATAGTTCCCTGCTGCTGCTTGGCACCCCCAGCCTCACCAATCTAGCCACAAAGCCCAGTCCTTTCTTGGATTGCCCCACAGCCTGCTGACATAAAGCATTTGATGTATAGCAGCACATTTTACTGAAAAGTTGGGGTAGCAAATGGCATTTATCTCATAGGAGAAAAAGGAATTGAAAGTATAGTAATAGATATTTCTGTTCTCAAGAACCACCCCTGCCCAGTCACCCCAACCCCAATAATTTCTCATTGGCTGCTTTTCTCTTTACACTTCAGCCTCCTCTAACGCCACTCAGCTCCAGGATTCCTTCATTCCCTTCTTTGCCTCTCCTCTCTTCTGTTTGTTACTTCCAAATTCCTAGTTATTTTCTATGCAGAGCTGTTTTGCTTTTTCTTTGAGATCTCTTCCCAATCCATGCTCTCAGAGCATCATCTTCCATCCTTGATGCAGTTTATTAAGTTTTTTTTTTTTGACTAAAAACATTTTCTCAGGAACAGAAAACCATAATTCTTTTCCCAAATAGGAATTCTGTTGCCTTCCAGGGGAAGCCTTGACCATCTTGCAACTACTTAGGGTTAGGGCCTTTGGAGGGAGCCTCAGGCACCAGTTATGCTGAGAAATCACATCGTTGCCCTCCTTGCTACTTCCTAGTGTCAACCAACAAAATTTTAACAAATTGAGTTTTAAACAGTTAATTGGCTTTTTTTTTGTCGGGGGGACAGAGTCTCTCTGTCACCCAGGCTGGAGTGCAGTGGTGCAATCTCCACTCACTGCAACCTCTGTCTCCTGGGTTCAAGCAATTCTCTGCCTCAGCCTCCTGAGTAGCTGGGATTACAGGTGCCCACCACCACACCTGGCTAATTTTTGTATCTTTAGTAGAGATGAGGTTTCACTATCTTGGCCAGGCTGGTCTTGAACTCCTGACCTTGTGATCCACCCGCCTTGGCCTCCTAAAG
Organism: Homo sapiens; assembly: GCF_000001405.40. Classification (NCBI taxonomy): domain Eukaryota; kingdom Metazoa; phylum Chordata; class Mammalia; order Primates; family Hominidae; genus Homo; species Homo sapiens. The sequence continues at coordinate 25,352,131 of NC_000007.14, read as the reverse complement.
GCGTGATCCACCATGCCTGGCCGTTAATTGGCTTTTATTAGCAATTCCTGAACCAGGCAGCATCCAGTCTACAAAATAGACAGAGGCGCTCCACTGGGCATGGCAGAGGAGTCTGTTTTTATCAAGTAGCTTGAGCAGGAACAAGGAAATAGCATAGGGCAAAAAGTAAATTGGTTTACAGCAGGTTACATCTGGTTACCTTCCCTGTGTGTGTTAAAGCATAAGAGACATCCTTATCATGGTGGCTAAGGTTGATTGGGTCCCTTTTTTTTTATTGGTTGTTGTGAATCTCCTGTTTTTTAGAAAATTGGCCTGTGTGGGGATTTGGCTATCATCTCTCTCCTGATTTCTCACAAGTTGAGATCTTACAACTAAACAACTTAGGTTTTGGTCTGATAACGTGGAGCCTTAGCATGAGTGCCTCCATTTGGGGTTGGTCCATCAGGGACTAGTGTAGCAGCTCAGTCCATAACAATGATCTCCCATCATTTTATTTAACGCTAGTGAGGACCTTCCCCTTCCACTGAGCCATCCATGGATGGTCCAGGAGCAGAGATGCCATCCATGCTGAACTCCATCCACACTATACTGTGTAGACCGCTCGTTAACATTAACAAACATACAATTGTAGATCATTCCACGGTATAAGAGATACCTTGGCAGGACATGACAGATTCCAATACAAATTGCCACTATTCCTACTATGGAAAGAAGGACACAATCCCTACAGAAAATATGTCAAAAGGATCATTTGTTTGCTTCTTTGGGGTTTTTTTGAGTCAGAACTTTTTATAATTAAGTTTGATTTATTATTTTGAATAGGTAATATGTGAACAAGTTATAAAATTTTAAAGGTCAAAAGACCAAAAGTGAAAAGTCATTCTTCTTCTCTCTTTTGTCCAGTAAGAGTCCAGCCTTCCTTCCTAGGGGCAACCACAGGCAACAGCTTCTACTGGATCCTCCCAGAGATTTTCTGTGCATTTACAAACATAAATATTTATGCTTTTCCTTAGACAGCTTGTGCCCACTCTATATAGTCTAATGTACTTTTCAATATTTTTTCATTTAATGATGTATCTTGGACATCACTCCTCATCAGTAAATACAGAGACTCATTATTTATATTGGTGCTATAAATTTATATTGTATGTATAGGCCATAATTTATTGAACCACTGATGCACATTTAGATGGTTTTCAATATCTTCCTGTTACAGTCCTGAAAATGAGTACCCTTATGGATATGGTATTTTATACATGTGCAACATATGTATAGGATTAATACTTTGAAAATAAATTCTTAGGTTAAATGGTATGCACATTTTATCTTATTTATTTATTTTTTGAGACTGTGTTTCACTCTTTTTGCCCAGGCTGGAGTGCAATGGTGCAATCTCGGCTCACCACAACCTCCACCTCCCAGGTTCAGGCAATTCTCCTGCCTCAGCCTCCCAAGTAGCTGGGATTACAGGCATGCGCCACCATGCCTGACTAATTTTGTATTTTTACTAGAGATGGGGTTTCTCCATGCTGGTCAGGCTGGTCTTGAACTCCCGACCTCAGGTATCCTCTCATCTTGGTCTCCCAAAGTGCTGGGATTACAGGCGTGAGCCACTGCGCCCCACTGGTATGTGCATTTTATTAGAGATTACCCAATTGCCTGCCATAGAGATTCACTAATTTACCTTCCCAACAATATGTTGAAGAGACAAGAATTTGTCTGCACTTTAGGAGATGGACATGAGTTACAATGGCATATAAAGAGGCGAGAAGAATTCTAGTAAAAAGAAGCGGCTTGCTCCTAGTCTGTAAGCACCTTCAGGACAGTAACTGTGTTGTTCATCATCAGATAATGCAGCCCGTAGCACAAAACCTGGAATGTGTAAATATGCAGACACTGCTGGTAAGTGAGTGGCATGATAACAGTGCAGAGCTAGGAACTAAGCCTAAGCTGACTGGGGGACAGAGAGTAGAACCAACTACCCGGGATATTATGTTTAATGGACGAGAAGTGGCGAAAAAAAAAAAAGATTGAAAATGTAAGTTGCTTTTTCTCTGTCATCACCTAAAAAATAATTTGTGCTCTAACCACTGTTAAAAGTCACAATTAATAGAGAAAATGTGGTGAAATGTACCTTGGATATCATAGCCTTTCATGGGAAAATATGACCATGTCATCCAAGAAAGAACATTAGCTTCTGCTATTTTTCCAACCACCGGTCATTAGTTTTGTCACTATGTAGCCACTCGATCAGGATGTTGTAAGTCCAGATGAATGGTCTTGGCTGCCCTTAAGATCAGGCTAATTGCTGGAGCTGCCACACTGGCCAGCAATCCATCCTGATCATCACATTGGGAGAAATAATCAGATAAGCCTTTCTGGGGCCAATCCATTCTGTATGTATGAAGCCAACAGAGGGCTATGAAGGGAATGGAATACGTAAGCTTAGTTATTGGTTTAATAATCCAAGAAAATAAAGTCTTTTTTAGAAGGTGGGTAAATCAATTATCTAAAGATAGTATAAAGATCACACACAGACACACAAACACACCATATACTTGTACTTCATTGAATGCTACGACCTGCCAGGCACTGTCCCTAGTTTATTTCCAGACGTCACAATTCTAGGTGTTGACATTATTGTCTCCATTTACAGACCAGGAAACTGAAGTCTGGGTAAGTGAATTGTATCTCTCATGATTACTCAGCTAAAAAAGTGATAAGATAAGAATATACCAACCCAGGTATATAAGACGCTGAACCTATATTTCTACTATTCTGTGAGGCTTAAATTGCAAATATGACCTAATGCCATGGGTCATTCACCATTCATCCCTTTATTACATATTTTTTCTTCAAGCTGTCTCAGTAAGTCAGTGGGATGGCAATGTTTATGACATGCAATTAAATGTCAGTCTCACATGCAGGACAACTCCTCTAAATAATGTGTTATACCCTTTCCATATAGAATGAATTAGGCTTCAGATCTAGTAATGGCACATTTGTAGTACATTACTTTCTTTCCAGAACACAACTGATCACCGTGGGCACTGGGGATGCTTTAGCATTTAGGCCCTACATTTATCACAGTGTGTTGCCTGCAACATTTTTTTTTGGTACCTGGCTCATTAGAGAGACCACTAGACATTTTAAAACCAAATTGAGTTTAAATACATTTCCTTGACGCATCTGTTTTGTTAAATGTAGCCCATGAAGCCAACATTAAAAGCAATGCCATTAAGAGGGCATAAGGTAAGCTCATTTAGTTGACCAAATTGTATAACACAATGAATTAATATGGTAATATGCCTTTGGAGACCAGCAACAGATAATAGAGGTGAACAGAGGAGCTCGAGTCTGGTTTTGGAAAAGCAAAAGCAATTCATCATTATGCTGTAACAATATAGGAGAACATTTCTCATTTCCCAGTCTCCTGCCCCCAACTCTGAAAACCTCTGGTCGTACTTTTTGAACACCAACACTGAACAACACAACTTTGCTAACTCAGACTGCTGCATTTTCATTACCCAGAGAACTCTTTTGTTTGTATTTTGAAGCCTTGGTAAATAAGTGGAGATTTCAGTTATGAGTGAGAGTTGGTGAGACATGAAGCTGCCCTTCTCTCCCTGCAGAACAACTAGCAAAACACTCCTCAAATAGAGAGAAGGCAAAGCCAGGAGACGGAGTACAGCAGGTAGAACAAAAATACCATAAGAGATTCCAGCTGTCCCTCCCTCCGAGTCAAGCATTAGAAATTATGTGCTATGTGAATTGACAGTCCAATTTCTTGGCCTCAATCCTTCTCTCAGTGGCTTGAGTCTTGTTTTTATCCTGCCAGAAAGAACCTAATTAAAGCTTATTATGCCTGGTCAGCAAGAATATATCCCCTAGCCACTTTAAGAAAAAAAAAAAACCTATCTAAATAATGTTTTCCCCTGACTGTAAAATTACATATGCGCATTATAGAAAATTTTAGAGAACACAGAAAAGCATGAAGTAGAAAATGCAGTCTTACATAATCCCAATTCTGAGACACTATTAATATTTTAGTGTGTTTATTTCCATTTCACAAACCATTAAATACTTTTCAAAAACAGGATTTTTGTTGCTACATAAAATGATTTTAAAATATTTCTGAGGTTGAATGTTTAGGTTTTCAATTAGTTTGTTTTTTCTTTTTTACAATGCAAAACCATAGTTAAGCTTTTCGCCTCAGTTTCAGTTCCTTTTAGGAGGACATATTCCTAGAAGCAGGCTCCTGGACTGTGAGGTATGGATAATTTTAGAGTCTTTATGTTAAACCCAGTGGATGCTTTTCAATCCTTATTTCTTGACCTCTCAATAACTTCTAATATTGCTGACAGCTACTCCTTTTTTGAAATCTTTTTTCTTTTGCTCTCTGACACCAACTTATCCCAATTCCCTCCTACCTCACAGTCCCTCTCGGGGTCCCCTCCTCTGTCTCACCATCCATGTTGAAGTTCCTTAGGTTTCCATCCTATGCCCTTTCCCCTTTCAGATCTACATTCCTTCTAAGTGATCTCATCTACACTCAGGGTTTCACTTACCAGTTCCATATCTAAACTTCCCTGTTGTTTATCTCTGTTCCAGGCCCTTTTCTCAAGCTCTAGGATACACATCCCAGACACCTTCTCTTTTCCCACATCTGTGTCTCACAGGTATTTCAAACCCTGGATCTTATGACGCTGAGCCTACACTTCCTACTCTCTGTTTCAGAAGGACAAATAATAGTGACAATAGTGCGAATCATTTTCTTGTTCCTGATTTTAATGGAAATGCTTCCTGTTTATATTTAGCAGGATATTGGTCCAAGACAGATTGTGATTATGTAAGACTGTACCAAGGAAGACCTTTTCCTCCTATTTAGACATCACTATTTGTCGATAGTGTGTTAATCCTACCACATAGCCTGACTTTGTGCCTCTGTCCTACCAATGATCTTTGCTTTGGGCGCAAAATTTACCCGATTCATAATGAATGCTATAAAGTTGACAAAGCCTAAAACCACACAGTAAAATAGATTAAAATATTCAATAAAGAACCACAGTTTGTTGAAGACACTAAAAACTAATAAATTGAAAATAAAGAGTTCATAGAAATATCAAAGACAAGATCAATTTTAAAAGCGAGAATCATACCAAATGATCCAGCAATCTCACATCTGGGCATATATCCAAAAGAAGTGAAATTAAGAACTTGAAGAGATATCTACATTCCCATGTTTATTGCAGCATTATTCACAATAGCCAAGATGTGAATATCACCCTAGTATCCAACAGATGAATGGATTTTAAAAATTGTATACACATATAACAAAACATTATCTAGCCTTAAAAAAGAAGGCAATCTTGCCATTTGCAATAACTAGATGAATCTGAAGGACACTGTTCTAAGTGAAATAAGCCAGTCACAGAACAAATGCTTCTTGGTTCCACTTATACGAGATATGTCTGATAGTCAAATTCATAAAAGCAAAGAATAATACAATAGTTGTTCCCAGGTGCTGGGGGGTGGGGTAATTGGGGAGTTAGCTCAATAGGTATAAAGTTTCAGTTATGCTAGATGAATAAATTCTAGACATCGCCTGTAAAATGTAGTGCTTATAGTTAAAAATATGGAATTGTGCACTTAAGATTTGTTAGTTTAAGATCTCACGTTAAGTGTTATTGCCAAATACACACACACACACACACACACACACACACACACAATTAAGACGAAAACAAAAAAAATGAGGAAACTTTGGCAAGTGTTGAATATGTCCATTATCTTGATTGTGGTGATGGTACCATATATTTAGAAATGTCTAAATTCAATAATACACATTAAATTTGTAAAGTTCTTTGTATATAAATTATGCCTCAACAAAGCTGTTAAAAATAAAAACCCAACAAAACCAAACAAAAATCAACAAGCAGTTAAAGTGCACAGGGTAAGCATAGTGAGGATTTAAATTAATGAAAGAATTAACTCTTCTCTTCAAAATTGGGATCTGCAAAATTTGACCTATAGACTTGGAAAAAATAGTGGCCATAACAGATAACTCACAAAGGCAGAAATTATTATCTATAAGATTTGCTATGGGCCAAAGAGAGTGGAAGAGAAACAAAAACAACTAAACAATGAATCAAACTTCTGTGAAGTCAAAGAAAATAATTTCAGAAAAATTAAAATGGGAAAAAGGGAACCAGTTTAACTGTGCTATAAATAATTGATTAAGAAATTAGATCTTATCCATGGACTCTTCACAGAGCAAAAGATAAATGATTTCCTCTGAGGAGGATTCATATTGAGTGTGATGGCTTCTTTTCCTCTTCCTCCCCACACTCCATCCAGAATCAGCAAACAAACTGCACTCTGCATCCTCAGGCTTGCAGCAGGCTGGGTGGCAAGGCTGTTTCCCTGTATGTACAAGATTCTATTTGGAGCCCTGGGGACCTGGAGCCGAGCCTACCTGAACATTACTCATGCCCTTTGCATGGCTCTCCCACACTCTTTCTCTAATATCACACCTAAGCCTTCTATGAAGAAGTCAAAGTTGAAGACTTGCACTGTCACCTGGGCTGGAATGCAGTGGCATGATCTCGACTCATTGCAACCTCTGCCTCCCAGGTTCAAGTGATTCTTCTGCCTCAGCCTCCCGACTAGTTGGGATTACAGGTGCCCAATACCACGCCTGGCTAATTTTTTTTTTATTTTTAGTAGAAAGGGGGTTTCACTGTGTTGGCCAGGCTGGTCTCGAACCCCTGACCTCGTGATCCGCTCACCTTGGCTTCCCAAAGTGCCGGGATTGCAGGCGTGAGCCACCGCACCCAGCCTGAAGACTTTTAAAGCATCAAAGCATCTTGAAAACACCTGCTGCAGTGTTTTCAAGCTGGGGCCATGGCATCCTCAAAACTAAATGCCCATCTAACATTATCTGCAGGGTGAATAAATAATAGATGTTCTACTATTTATTAAAAAGTGCTACTAGATTAATTGTAGTGTTTTCTCATTTTGTGTCTTTTCAATTAACAGATTCTACAAGCCCAAGTTTTTTTATTGAGGAATATACGACATCTTTTTAAGATTAAACAAGGTCTTTAAAGCCAAAATTGATCCAATTCAATCCCTTCATTGCAGACGAGGAGCAGGTAAGTGAAGTGAGACTCACCCAGAGTCACTTATTGAATTAGTAACCAGGCTGGATCTAAATATTCATACCTCTGATTGCACACCAAGGGTTGCTTCTACTAGGTTACTTTCCTCTCTAAGGAAGGACAAACTCAAACATGACTTCAAATTTGCTTCTTTTGAGTTTTTTGTCGTTGTTGTTTTTATAATCAGTGGTAGCTAGGTCCAACTATCCTAGAGAAGCTGCAAAAGTAGACGACCACGCTGATCTTCAGAGAATAATTATAAGACAATCACACCTGAATTAATTGTAATTTATTGTTCATATGGGAAAAACATTTTTCTTTCCTCCTAAGCCACCTCACGTTGAGGACAATGACAACAAAGTCTCAATGATTGTGACCTATTCTTTTCTTCCTGGGCACATGGACCCCCTGGTAGAGACTACATTTCCTGACCTCCTTTGCAGCCAGGTGTGTCTATGGGACTAATGAGACTAAGTACTCACCAACAGGACATGAACAAAAGTGATGTGTCCTAGTATGCCTCACTTGCTTAGAAGAAAAATTCTTGCCTTGGATTTTTGTTTTCTGTCTCTTGCCTTCCCGTTAGCTGGAATGTGAACATACCTGTGTCCCAGCTTTGATTTAGTAGACAAACTTAATGCTCCCATGTGATGAAGGAGCAAAATTAAAAGGGATGGGGAAGCAGGCACTGAAGTCTCTGAGTGACTGCATGGAACTTAGCTACACACCAGTGCAGATCGCGAAAGCTTTGGCTCACATCACTCACTCTTAAGACACTATACTTTGGGGACCCTTTGTCACAGTCACTCTAACTTTACAGTGAGCAAACGTTTTCTTGCCCCTTGGGGGCATTGAGAGAGAAAACTAAAGTCATCAGTTTGCCACTGTGACCAAGTTATATTTAATTCGAGATTAATCTGTGAAGTGCCTGACTGAGGGGGGAAAATGCCAACTCTATTTTTGCAATCAATATGGTGGGTCTGGTTCATGTTACAAAAGTCAGCCATAGATGTCTGATGCATATTTTAGGGGTCTCTATTACCTAACAAATATTTTTTTAAATCCTTTCCTGTTTTTATAATTCCTAGTGAAAGAATTATATGAGTTGGCAGAAAAAAAAAACATAAGAATTTTGCTCTGCATTGCATTCAAAAAAAATATTCCTACCCCTGAAACCTTGATAGTGGATATTAATTTAAATCATGTATGGCATTGTTAAAATATTTTCATGTTGATCTTCTTGACTACTCCTGACATTTTCTCCTTTAAAGAAACTTTACAATGGACCTTCTGGCATATAAGGGGCATTCAAACTTCCTTAACCCTTTTTGCCACATTTTTGTCGAGTTCCCAATCTGACATTACATTTGGACTCACACCTGGCTGCAGCTGACTTGAGAGAATAGGCCCTGGAAGTGTGGGCTGTGGGTGCCTGGTTCTTCCTAGGGCATGCCTTAGGGCTCCTCTTTTTAGATACACAAGCGCCTGAGGCCAGCGCTATCAATGCTCCTGTCAGCCTCCAAAAGGAAGCAGCTGCCTTTCAATCGTGGGCATGGGTAGCTCTATGGAGCCCACACCCAGATTGAGAAGGCATAGTCACCTCTCTCTTGGTCTTCCTAACCCCTACCCCTGTCCTAGAAAGCACCACCCCTCCCCTCTTCCTCCAAGGCATCTTCATAGAATCACGGATTAAATGAGTTCTCCTAGTTCCTTCTGATTTAAAATCTCACACTTTCATTATTTCTAATTGGATTATTTCTTCACTACAATGGGAAAATAAAAGTACTTTTATTTCCCATCAGTTCTGTCTACCTGAATCTCTCTCTTTCTCTGATGATTTACAACTCCAATTGTTCCCAACAGGATTGAAGGTGGCCGACTACTGTCTAACATACAGTGCATGTTTTTGTTCTTGTCTAACCACACAGGTCAGGTAATGTCCTTTTTTAAAATTAGTGACCTGTTGATCTGAAACCCATAATCTTTGTTACTTTCAAAAAATTTGTTATTATAAATTTAATCCCACCACACCTCCAACATGAGGAAAAAAGACTGTTTGGTCCAGTTTGATCCATTACATCTATTCAAGTCCAGAAATATATAATAGGGTGCCCTCCCAAACCATGTGGAAAATATTTCTCACTCTTTTTCAGTTTCTCAACTTTGCTCCAAGGATGGTCCGAGACTTTTCCATCATTGCCTAAGGAACTTAAAGTCTGTCACAGAAAATAACCTCCCACCACTATTCCTGGTTCAGAATCCACCTGTAATACTCATTTTAGTCTTTTGAAGATGAGACAATATTGAATTTTGTTCCAAAAGGCTATATCATAATAGGTGATATATATTTAATTATTTGAAATATAATTCTTAAAGATAGGAATATTTTCAAAGAAACAGCAATTAAGAATACCATTATTTTATTGCTTTGTAATAGTGAACAAGGATGTGAAAATTTTTTTTCTTTATCAACTCTGTCTTATAACAGTTCCTCATATGAAGACAAAATCTTTGGTTGACTTTTATCATGACAATTATCCTCTAAAAAATGAATTATTGGCTCTTACATAAGGAGCTAACACAACCTAAATCTCATATCATATTATACACTGACATGGTAAGTCTTAACTAGACAAGTAGTAGTATAATTTTTGACAGCATTTTGGATTGTGTTAAAAATCACGTAAATGAAGAGTTCTGGTTAATTTTTTTTTTTTTTTTTTTTTTTGAGACAGAGTCTCACTCTGTCACCCAGGCTGGAGTGCAGGGGCACTATCTCAGCTCACTGCAACCTCCGCCTCCCAGGTTAAAGCAATTCTTCTGCCTCAGCCTCCCAAGTAGCTGGGACTACAGGTGTGTGCCACCACACCCAGCTAATGTTTGTATTTTTAGTACAGACAAGGTTTCACCATATTGGCTAGGCTGGTCTCGAACTCCTGACCTCATGATCTGCCTGCCTTTGCCTCCCAGAGTGCTGGGATTACAGGCATGAGCCACCTTGCCCAACCTAATTTATTTTTAAGATCACCCTTTCCATGAAATCTAAACACCAACTTCGATCATAGAAATTTCCTCCTTTTTTCTGTCAGAGGCAAAAGTCAACACAGCTTCTCTCCCAGCTATAAAACAGAGAAGCCAATATATTTTTGAAGACCATAGTTAGTGATAGTCAAACATTGATTATAAATAGTGCAATAATTCAAACATTCACCTCCCTTCCATTGTTTGACCACAAAATGTTAAGTATAAATATGTGATGTTCCTTCTAGACAAATGAGACTCCAGGAAACAAAATTACTTTGTGATCAAACTAAAATCTATTTAGTAAAAAACCTTTAATAAACCTATGGTTTAAAATAAGTCTAAAGCAATGACATGATAAATGCTCTGCTGCAAACATAAACATTATAATCAAATAAAAAGGAGAAGTCAGCTCAATGCTCACATTGTTCTTAGATTCACCATTTACATGTTGAAACTCCATGCTGTAACTCAGAGTGGATAGGAATTGATAAATAAAAACAAAAGAAGCAACGTTGCTTTCCTTACTTCATATGGAGAGAAGGTTGTCTGACTCTACTCACATGGCATACCTGTATGTGTGTGCCCCTCCCACACACACAGCTAAATATAAACACTTCCCAAGTGACTCTGGGAGCTTATTTTAAATGAAAGCTTTAGAAAGATGTATTAAATAATTCATTCACTCTTCAGCAGAAAACTTCCGACTCTCCATTTTTAATGGTTAAAAGATCCCTATTTTTGAAGTCAACTGTGAACACTTGTGCTAGCTTCAGGTTAGTCTTAAAGGGAAACATTTGCTAAATCATGGTCACAGCATAAATCAGGTTGAGATCCAGCTCGATAATATGAGATCACTTAAATGATGGTTGCCTCAAGACTAGAGGTTGGATCAGGCAGTGTTTCCAAATTCCTAACAGCTATTAATTAGGATTCAGGCTACAAAATCAAAATTCCTGAAAATTCTCAGAAAGTTTTCAAATGAGAAACTATTCTTAAAATACTTGTGTCTGGCAAGGTGGCTCACTCCTGTAATCCCAACACTTTGGGAGGCCAATGCGGGTGGATCACTTGAGGTCAGGAGTTCGAGACCAGCCTGGCCAACATAGTGAAACCCTCTCTCTACTAAAAATACAGAAATTAGCCAGGCATAGTAGCGGACACCTGTAGTCCCAGCTACTTGGGAGGTTGAGGCAGGAGAATTGCTTGAACCTGGGAGATGGATGTTGTATTAAGTCGAGATCATGCCACTGCACTCCAGCCTGGGCGACAGATCAAGACTCCGTCTCAAAGAAAACAAAACAAAACAAAAAAATTGTAAAATTTCTCAAACATTTTACTCATCATCGTGCATATCTAAAAATTTGTTTAGTTAATAACAAATATTAACCTTAGCAGGATTTACGAAAAACTGCAGCCTATAGAAGATATTCAAACATGGAAAAACAGCCGCAAATATTATTGGGTAGTATTCAAATAACATTCGGATCTCCCAACAAAGTTGGGAGATAGCACTACACAGAGTCACAGTCTAAGCTGCTCATTTAAAGTCTTATTCTGCTTCCAAAACCCATTATCTCTTGGAATATCACTCATAGGATTTGTATAAAGTACACTATACATACAAATTTATTAATATTTGTTTTACTTGCAAGAATGAGTTACCATTAGCAGCAGAGAGGTTCATAAACACATATTCATAGTGGCCGTGGCTACAAGCAAGGCTGGCTCATTCATTGAATGGTGTTATTTCTCTCTTCTGTGCTTCTAACTAGGTTTCTAGAAATGCCAACCCAAACCTCACAATCCACGTGCTCATGTTTTCTGCTCCTGTGTTCAATATGATATCAGTGAATTGCTTCTATTCAGTCATATCTCTACGTTGATTGTTAAGCTTTAATTTGTCAGAGAATACCCTTTTTTCTTTTCTTCCCAATTTCTCGACAGGTTTTTCTGGGGATTCAAAAGACATGTTTCCTAAGAAGTATAGGGAAGGAATTTCCATATGGAAACACTAGATTTGGCAGAAGAAATAGGTCAGTAAAAAGCACAGAGTTTCACAATAGCATTTTGCTGTATTTTCAAATGATACCCAGCAAAAATACTAGGAACATGGAAAATGGCCCTGCAGCCATCTTTTCTCTTAAAACCTCACCACCAGCTTTCTACCCTCAGCTCAGTTAACCTCACATAGACACCATCTCCTTTCCCTGATACCAAATCCCCTAGGAGCTTAGCTTGGCTCCAGCTCAGCCCTGGCCACAAAACTGATTCTGGCAAGGCCAGCCCTAGAACAGGGTATTCAAACCATGCTCCATGGAACCCTCTGGGCTCAGAACACCTGAGGGGTCCCTGGAGGCAGGGCTAATCAGGCTCCCCTCTGCTTTCAACCATGGTAGCTCCGTGTCTGCCAGTTTAACATATCTGGCTTTTTCCAAAAAGTATTTGTTTGCTTAAAGGATCTGTTCTGTGATGAGTTAATGGGTGCAGCACACCAACATGGCACCTGTATACATATGTAACAAACCTGCACTTTGTGCACATGTACCCTAGAACTTAAAGTATAATTTTAAAAAAAAAGGATCCGTTCTCCTGCTAAAAATATAAACTGAAAAAATTTGAAAATTGCTGACTTAGCCTTGTGAGGCCTGACAAGCAATTTTCAAACTTTTTCAGTGTCTGCTGTTGTCTGTCCCAAAAGTACTACTGTCTGTCCCAACGGCGGGAGCGATCTCTGGGGAACCAGATCAGTTTCAGGCCAGGACCTAAAAATCTAGTGTAGATGGAACCACAGGAAAGTAGTTCCTGGACTTTAAAGGCCAGGCCAGCGTTACCTCCCCTCCACTCAAACCTGAGGACAAATACAGAATGACTGAGCCTTCAGAAGCCCCACATTGGTCTGAACCAGACATGCCCATCTTTGTAGCCAGGCATAACCTATCCGACCCACACCAGCAGACCAGGGACACAGTCAGACTGGAAAGACCTGCAAACCCTCACTCTAGACATATTTCTAAAGTTTTTTTTTTCCCCAAAGTGAGTTTCCAGTGACCCTGCAAACACCTCCACGGAGATTGCAAACTGGGGCAAACCTTTCTTTTTCTTCTTTTCCCTCCTTCCCCATCCCTTTCCCTGTCACCCCTTTTCTCATCTCCTTTCTCATCTCCTTCCTCCTCCCTCTACTTTCTTTCTTCTGTTGCTTCTTCCCCGCCCCTCTACAAAAAAAAAGAATCATTTCACTCTCTATCACAACAACTTTTGGTTTCTCCCCATTTTTGATCCCCCCAAGTTTGATCCCCCAGTTATGGATCACACTTCCCAAATCATCATCCAGGATGCAGTCTACTTTGTCAGCTGATCAACTTATCCTCTCTCCCTTCCTCCTTGGTCCCCATGACCTCAAAACTCCAGGCCCACCACACCAGTCACCGAACACATTGCATTTTCCCTCCCCCATTCCCCTGCTCAGGCTGAGCCACACCACAGCTCTCTCTGTTAAGATCAAGGCTCTGCTCACACATGCTTGAGCTGCCAGTGTTCGAAGTCACTGTCAATTTCTTTGAATGTGGAATGATCCATCACAACACAAAATACCCTGCCTTACATGTAGTATATTCTCAATACACAGAAGAAAGGAATTACACTGAATCCCCTACTCCCAAAGCACACATAATGCTCTTTATATAGCAGGCTTGGAAAATAGGTTATTGACTAGCTAACCAAATAGGAGAAGACCAAGGAAGCATCTCAGGATATTTATGTTGCCTTAGGTCTTAACTTCGAGGCATGAATGTTCTCATACAGAATAAACAGAAACAAAAAGACGCTGGATTTTATTCAAGTGGAAAAGATTTCCAGGTTTTATTCATAGCTTCACATATACCCATTTTATAAATTTTTCAACTCTTAAGCTTCACATTGTCAGAATAAATCTCAGCAAAAACCCTATAGGCCCCCAGCGTAGCAAATTCATAGATGGTGTTACTAACAGGAGCACAAGGTGTGGAACACTGAGTGTGTCATCAGGACTGTGTTCCCTTATTACATATCTTACCATCCTGACCCAGTGACTTGGAATGCTAGATCTCCAAAATGCCAAGTGACATGAAAAATTGACTCTAGTGAATACATTAAACTGCAGAATCATAAGCACTGAATAATTCAAAACAAAAACAGTCTTGTTGAATAAGCTGCAACTTTGATGATAAAGAGGGATAGAATGGACCAATGTTTAAGATTAAGGGCTTTGGAGTCAGATAAACCTACTGTGAAATCTTGGTAAGCTAGCTGTGCCACTACTGGCTGACTCAATTTCCTCCTCTGGAAAATAGGAGTAAGTACCTGGTAGGGCTGTCATAAAGATTAGACGAGATATCTCGTAAGCTGTGTGAAAACAGAGATCACGTCTTGTTTACAATCATTGCCCCAGTGCCTAGCAAAGTGCCTGACACAGCGGGTACTCAAGAAATTTCTGGAGATTCAGAAAAATATACAAATTTCTGAGAAGTGTTGGAAAGGAATTCCCACATGGAAACACTAGGTTTGACAGGAGAAACAAATAAGCAAAATAACCGAGTTTCATAATAGCATTTTGCTGTAATTTCAAATACCACCAAGCAAAACTACTAAGAAAGTGGAAACTTGACGAGTAGATGAAAAAAAATGGACAAATGAATGAATGAACCCCATAGTACAATGCTTGGTATATGTTAAGAACTTTATAAATGGAAGCTTTAAAAGTACATTTTAAATCAGGCCATGTTGGGCTGATGCCTGCATTTATTGTCTTATTGTAAGGTAAAAGGATTTGACTTTTTTTAGTTTAAGATTTGGTACTTTTAATTTTATTTTCAATTATATAAAAACATTATATAATTTCAAATAAACAATCATGTAACAAGTTACATTTATAAAGTCTTACTTCTAACCTGTCCTTTCTTCCCTCTTCCCTTTCTTCTCCCATAGGAAAACTGTTTTAAAAATTTTTTATGGTTTTTTTTTTTCAACTTTTATTTTAGAATCAGAGGGTACAGGTGCAGATTTGTTACAAAGGTATATTGCATGATGCTGAGGTTTGGGGTATGATTGAACTCATCACCTAGGTAGTGAGCACAGTACCCAAAATGTAGTTTTTCAGCCCTTGCCCGCATCCCTGTCTTCTCCCTCTAGTAGTTCCAGTGTTCCAGTGTCTATTGTTCTTCTCTTTATGTTCATGTGTATTCAGTGTTTTGCTCCCACTGTTAAGCAAGAACATGCAGTATTTGGGTTTTTTTGTTTCTGCTTTAGTTTGCTTAGGATAATGGCCTCCAGCTGCATACATGTTGCTGCAATGGACATAATTTTATTCTTTTTTATGACTGCATAGTATTCCATGGTATGTATGTACCAGACTGTATTTACATAATCCACCATGTTTGTTCCACTTCTTTGCTATTGTGAATAGTGCTGCAATGAACATACGAGTGTGCATGTCTTTGGGTAGACCAACTTATTTTCCTTTGAGTATATACCCAGTAATGGGATTGCTGGGTTAAAAGGTAGCGCATCTCTTAGTTTGTTGAGAAATCTCCAAATTGCTCTCCACAGTGGCTGGACTAATTTACATTCCCACCAAGGGTGTGCAAGTATCCCCTTTTTCCATGGCCTTGCCAACATCTGTTATTTTTTTACTTTATTAACAAAAGCCATTCTGACTGGTGTGAGATGGTATCTTATTGTGGTTTTGATTTGCATTTCTCTGATGATTAGTGATGTTGAGTATTTTTTTGTATGTTTATTGGCTGCTTGTATATCTTCTTTTGAGAAGTATCTGTTCATGTCCTTTGCCCACTTTTTATGGGGTTATTTGTTTTTTGCTTGCTGATTTAAGTTCCTTATACATTCTGGATATTAGAGCTTTACTGGATTCATAGTTTGTGAATGTTTTCTCCCATTCTGTATGTTGTCTGTTTACTTCCTTGATAATTTATCTTGCTGTGCAGAAGCTCTTTAGTTTAATTAGATCCCAGTTATCAATTTTTGGTTTTGTTGCAACTGCTTTTGAGAACTTAGACATAAATTCTTTGGCAAGGCCAATAGCAAGAAAGCTATTTCCTAGGTTTTCTTCTGGGATTTTTATAGTTTGAGTTAACCTTTAAATCGAGGTAAGCATGTCTGCAGGTTACTTCATAAGGAGCTTTTACCAAACTTTGCCACTGTATTTGAAGAGCATCAGGACTTTTCCTTGAACCTGCAGAGAGCTGGGACATTCTGAAGAATTCTGAGACAATTTACACTTAATTCAAAGTTCTGGAGGCCTATTTTCCAATTTCTTATTGCCCTATTACCAGGTCCTCAAGGGCTGCTCACTCTCCTCCCAGCGCCTTCTTGTAAGATGACAAGAGGATAAAGTGAGAGTCAAAGAACTTCTTTCTCTTCTGGAAAATTTTGGGTGATTTACTCTGCTCTTTTGCCAAATATTTATGGATCCAAATATTTACGGAACGCCTACTAAGTGATGAGCCTTGTAAATGCAATGGTCATCAAGGCCAAATTGCTGCCTCAGGCAAGGAGGTGACAATCCTGCTGAAGTAGGATTTGAGGGCATACCAAGTGCCTTGACATATATTAACCCCCACAATGTTCGCAGCAACCCAAGAAGTAGTTAGGCACTATTATTATTTTCATTTTGCAACTAGGGAAACTGAGGAACTTGTCCACAGCTGCAGAGCAAGTTCGTGACAGAGCTAGGGTTCAGGCTCAAGTATGAGGCTCCAGAGTCAGTCTTCCATGCCCTGAACGATAATCTATACCAACTCCTGCCTATTATCTACTGATGCAGAAAAAACACTGCAGACAATACAAGTTGCATTTGTTCACAATTCTGCATGTGAGAAATTGGAGCAGGAAATAGCAGAGATAGCTCATCTCTGTTCCACATCTGTAGTTCAGCTGGGATAACTCAAATGACTTGAGAGGGGCTATATGTTTGAAGCCTTTGTTCTCCTTCATGTGGCTTCTCCATGAGGCTAGCCTGGGTTTCCCCACAGCATGGTGGTCTACAGTTCCAAGGGGCAGTGTGCCAATTGCAAATGTGTATCAAGTTCTGCTTGCATCAAACTTGCAAACTGGCCAAAGCAAGTCACATGGGTCAAGCCCAAAATCAATATGGGAGAGGTAAGGGGTGAACACCAGGAATTATGGTTCACCTGGGGCCACCAATGGAATGTCTTACTACAGTAGACAAGTGGGACATAAAAGTGGGGTGAGAATAGCAGGTCTTGGCTTAGGGTTTCTGCTTCTTCATTTTCCTGTATTTCCTTTTACAAAGAATATGCTCCCTACAGGACAGGAGCTTAAAGCTAGCGCATATTACATTACAAATAGTGAAAAAGTGGCCATCCAGCCTCAGAGACAGTTGTCATTTTAGGAGACAAAGGGCAGTATCAATCGATTCACAAACTAAATTGGTTTTCACCTCATTTGATTCACCTGATTTAGATAAGCTGCAGAATGCTAAGTAAGTTAATGGAAAGTTTTCTCGAAAATAATAAATTTCCAGATTTCAAAGCAGACTAGGTCAGTTGTAATATTTACCATTAATAAGGTAGATAAAAATCTGCGCATTTAGCAAATTTGTCACTCAACACAGTGTGATTGGAGGACCAACATGTAAGGAGGAAATGGTAGATGCCAAGAAGTGAAACAAACAAACAATAAAACCAGATAAATAACAGGTTGTTAAGATACCAGTTTCTAAAACAGGAAAATCCTTATTTTCTGAGATGATAAATAAAGGCCTTAAAAAATGACCCAAGTATCATTTCTTGGATACTTGGAAAACAATAGAACCACCTAGAAATTTTGGTCCCATGAGGTCTAATTCTACTTCTTTTCCCATAAGATCCTGATGAATCATTTATTTTTCTACTGCTTTGTTTTTGCAGTTTTAAGTAATCACTGACTGGGAAAAAAAAAATCCCAACTTTTAATTCTAAAAGCAGTTTTGGGCCCAATTTCTTACCTAAAACCAAAGTTAACCATAGGGTAGCAGATAACTTAACCATATGTTTGGTTTTTCTCACACAGGTATTTTTTTATCATTGCTAGAAGCATCATTTTAGCATATGAACTAATACATATGTACATCTACCTACATTGTATATTTATGAGTATGGACTTGCATTTATTCTGTTCTGAAGTATAACTGAAGTCGCATGAGGTAATGTGAATCAAAGATGTAAACCAGGACACAGAATGATCTGTTTGTGTTTATAACTCACTTGCCCCAGTACAATCATGCAGAAATAAAAGTACACACCCTTCAAAATATGAAACAGTTGAGTTCAATTATGTTTACCCTCAGCCAGTTAATTAAAAAGAGTTCATTGATGATGTAATTATGTCACACTTGGGATTAAATACATCAGAGGGATAAGACAAAACGTAGCAGCCAGAAGTTCTGGGGCTGAAGGGAGATGTGATGGTATTTTGCAGAAAGCGTTGCCAGATCAGTACAAGAAACTCTCCACGTCAGTTTTAACCGCCAACTCTTGTAATGTGAGAGCCGGTCACCAGCAAGTTCATAGAAGATTATTCTTCACCAACAGAGTTCCCTTCAGAAACTGTGATCTGTTGTGATTTAAGACTCTTGAAATACAAAGGAAATGTGCAATTTGTGTAAAGCCTTGGACTCTGTACATCTGGAAATGGAGATGTGTCTAAGTTTACAATGCCAGTTTTCTACAGTTCAATTAAGAGGGGCAAAAAGTACACACAGGGTGAGGTGAGTCTTAAGGGTTTCCTGGTGTTCTCACACATACCTAGGCACAGCATTGTGGAAAAGTCTAAATCCACTGGAGACAGCACTGTAATTTATGTCTATTAGGAAGCGGGACAACCCTTGCTCTATTAGAGCAGTGTACGCCTTACAGAGCTTCCATGTATGTGACCTCATCTGATACACAGGCCCATGCTTGAAAATGGGCATTAGAATGTCCCCATTGTGAGGTAAAGAACACAGGATAAAAGAATTTTAAGTGACTTGTCCAAGGTCACACTCTAGTGAATGGCAGTGCTACAACTTGATTCCCAGTAACCATGGTAGATGGTGGTCTTTCTGCCGAACACAGAGCCTTTTCCTACCACCTCTAGCTCCTCGTGGTTCTTAAAAGTGTTCTCAAAAGATCATCCCTAGTCGGGCATGGTGGCTCATGCATGTAATCCCAGGACTTTGGGAGCCCAAGACAGGTAGATGGCTTGAAGTTGGGAGTTTGAGAGCAGCCTGGCCAACATGGTGAAATCCCGTCTCTACTAAAAATACAAAAATTAGCTGTGTGTGGTGGCCCGTGCCTGTAATCCCAGCTACTCAGGAGGCTGAGGGACAGGAATCCCTTGAACCCAGGAGAAGGAGGTTGCAGTGAGCCAAGATCTCATCACTGCACTCCAGCCTGGGCAAAAGAGTGAGACTCTGTCTCGAAAAAAAAAAAAAAAGAAGAAGAAAGAAAGAAAAGAAAAAAAGACTATCCTCATTTCTGAAAACTCTTGACTCCCATATTTATTCAGCTTCCCATATCCATGGAGTAGGGATAAGTATTCTCAGAGAGATGAAATACTTTAAACAATAACTTTATAATGCTGTATGTTCTACAGGAACGTTGAGGCAAGTTGAATTAGAGGGACTGACTACTCAAGTCTCTTATAGCTCTAAGATTCAGAGTCTTTGACCTCACTGGGTCAAAGTTTTCTCATCAATACAGAAGGTTTCAACTAAAAGATCTCTCAGGCCCATTCTGAGCCTAATATTCTATGATGATAGCTATAATCCCTAAAGTTTCTTTGAGTTATGATAGCTAGAACCTGCCACCTCTACTCCAGCCAGAAATAACTGCGATCAAGATGCTTTCCCTCTTGGGAAAAGCTCTCTAGAATTGGGCTTCTCAAGAGGAAAGGGAAGGGAGCCCACATTTCTAACTGCCCACCTCGCAAGTTGGCTTATAGCCCACTCAATGTGACCCTCACAACCGTCCTATTAGTCTCACATTAGAGATGAAGAAAAGGAGGTGCAGAGAAACTAACTACTTTGCAGAGGTCAGAAAGCCATTATCAGTAGAGCTAGGATTCAACCTGTTTGCCTTCAAAGCCCCTGTTCTCTTTCCATAGAGCTATTTGGCAACAGACAAGCTAAAGATCAGAAATACAAACAAAATGAAACACTTTCCCCTAAATAAAACAAACTGTAGCATGGATAGGTGAAATTATTAAAATATGAGTACTCACAGGATTGAAAGAGTGTAGATTTTGTGGTGCGATGTTTCCCAGCCTGTCCAGGGGAAATGCCGGGAAAAGGCATTATCTTTGAGGCCAGAGGCCAAGATTCTGGTCCTGGCTCTTTTGATATTTGAGGAAATGTATTTTTAGATGCCATGATCTAAATAAGTAGTAGTTCTGCTACAAGCTAGAAAATCATGACCACAATAGTAGCAGTTCGCATTCTTGGGTGCTTACCTTGCTCCAGGCTCTGTACGCGGCACTATACTTGGCATTGCCTCATCTTCACCCCATGATAACACTAACAAGAGAGCATATGATTATCCTCATTTTCCAGGTGAGAAAACCAAAGCACATAAAAGTGATGTGGCTTCCCCCAGCCTACATGTCAAGTGGCGGAGCTGGGGTGCAAACCCAGGAGACTGATTGCAGTGCCCAAGCACTTTGCCACCACGTACACGTACTATATATGTGGCTAGACAAATGAGCAAATCCAAAAAGCAGATTAGGGAAGAAAGACTCCCCTTATCAAACACCAAATGCCCTCAACCAAGGGAAAGTTCTACATGGTGCCATTACTGTATTATCCAACTTTCTTCAAAAACTGGCTCTCCCAGAGGTTGCACTTGGGTATCTGAACATTTTGGACAAAGTACTTGCTGTGACCACATACAGCTGCATTGAACAGAAACCCAACATCAGTGGTATAACTAAATCAGGGTCTGTTTTTCTTGCATACCAAGCACTCCAGGGCTGCACGGCTGCCACACTGACTTGAGGACCTATAGGATGGGTTTCTCTTGGTTTTCCAGGCTGCCACTCTTAAGTGCATTGCTTTCATCCTCTTACTTGAAAGATGGATGCTATAGTTCCTTACACCGTTCAATATGGAGTGATTGCCACGTGTAGCTATTTAAGCTTAAATTATTTTAATAAAATTAAATTAAAAATTCTGCTCCTCAGTCACACTAGCCACATTTAAAGTGCTCCATAGACACAGGGGCTAGTGGCTACTCTATGGACAGTGCCAATGGAGCACATTTCCATCATCGCAGAGAGTTCTATCAAACAGTGCTGCTCCGGACAGCACATCTGCAAAGGTAGCAGGAACATGAGGAAGGAGAGAAAGCAACTGAGTGCTGAGGCTGTTCCTTTTTAACAAGAAAACAATAACTTTCCTGGCATCCTCAACCAGTAGAATTTTGCTTTCATCTCATTGGTCAGAATTACAGCACTGACCACTCCTAAATATAAGAGAGCTTTGTTTTCTGGGCCTATTGCTGCCTCGAACTAAAATGGGCTCTGTGGGTAAGGCAGAGAGGGGAATATATAATTAGCCACATAAGTAGCTGTCTTTGCCAGCCTCAGCATCACGTGTAAGTCCAGCTTTAAATGATAGTTGGGTTTACCAAAACAGAAAGAACAAGCCAGGTCATAAACATCTGTCTTTGGACAGCTATGGGGCCCAGGGCATGCAAAGGCATTGAGTACATGATTGCTGCCACCTGGCAGCTCTTTTCATGGGTGAGTGGACAATGAAGCAGGAAAAGCAAAATCAAGAAAGAAGGTATCCGTGTCTAGGCTCTGTGTCTAGCCTGTGGGGCCTTCACCAGGTGGGAGTTCCAGGAAAACAGACTGCAGTGGGCAAAAGGAGTGGTCCTTGTGTGGGGAAAATGCTGCCTGTGGTTTGCCCTACTGAACAATGTGGGTAGGGCCACCCAGCAGTAAACTTAGCTCAAGCTACATGGGCAATGGCCACCTTCTCTGAGGTCACCATGTGGCCTGCTATTGCCATGATGAAAGACTTTCATAAGGAGATGAGCCTTTTAACTGGGCTGTGGCTGTGCGTGGCATAGGAAAATTTGCCTAATGGATCCAATGGCAGGGAGAAGGCTGCAGATAGCTTTCAGGGCCCCAGCAGGCAAAGCCCTAAACCCTTATAGTAACAAATTCAAGTTTGAGTGGTGTAAAGATGGGAGGTAACAAACATGTAGCAGCCTGTGTAGGCACAAAAGGAAAGTGTCTTGAGATTACAGCAAACAAAAGGTGGAGTCAATTGTTGGGAAAACACAAACTTTGTTTCAACAATTTGTCTCTGGCCAGTCTTACAGAAAGATAGAAAATAATTATACATAAACATATAAAGAAAAAAGACAACAAACTTACATCTTCCTCTTTATTGCTACTACTCCTTTGATTGACTTCAGTTTTTGAAAAATGCTTGTTTTTGCTGTTGGTGAAACAAAAGGATGACTTAGTTTAAAATGCATCAGAAGAAAGGCAGAACAATTTGTTTGCCCCCAAGTAATTTCCATGAGGAAAAGTCATGATGCCACTTAGTTCCTTCATCTCTAACAGATGCAAACCTATCCCCCAAAAGACATCTGGAGGCTGGAACACCAAACGGATAACACTGCATCGGTGGTCATATGGTGGCTATTTCCAAATGAGGTGATGGCAAAGAGAAGTTTGCATTTGGACAATAAAATCTATTGCTATCTAGAACTTTTAGTAAATAAATGCCCAGCCCTGAAAGAGTGACTCAGTGTGAGATGAGAGTTGGGGAGAAGAAAGGAAGGGTTTCTGCCAACCTCTAAAACTTGGAAAACATAAAATATTCAGCTGCCCTTAAAGAGAGAGAAGCCCCAGTACTAAAGCTTAGACCCATGGCCAAGGTCATAGTTGCTGAATAAGGTAGAGATTGATTCATTTATTCAGATGTATTAGTTTTCTGGGGCTGCCATAACAAATATCACATACTGTGTGACTTGAGCAAGAGAATTTTATTGTCTCATAGTTCTGCAGGCCAGAAGCCAAAAATCTCAAGCAAGGTGTTGGCAGGGCTGGTTCCCTCTAAGAGGCACTATAGAATCTGTTACATGCTTCCCTCCTAGCTTCTGGTAGTTTGCTGGCAATCTGGCATTGCTTGGCTTGTGGCAACATACCTCCAATCTTTACCTGGCATTCTCCCTGTGTCTGTGTCCAAATTTCCCCCTTTTATTTTATTTATTTTTTTTTTGAGATGGCGTCTCACTCTGTTGCCCAGGCTGGAGTGAAGTGGCATGATCTTGGCTCACTGTGGCTCACTGCATCCTCCGCCTCCTGGGTTCAAGTGATTCTCCTACCTCAGCCTCTCAAGTAGCTGGGATTATAGGCACGCGCCACCACGCCCAGCTAATATTTTTATTTTTAGTAGAGATGGGGTTTCACCATGTTGTCCAGGCTTGTCTCAAACTCCTGATCTTGAGTGATCCGCTCGCTTTGGCCTCCAAAAGTGCTGGGATTACAGGCGTGAGGCACTGGACCTGGCCCAAATTTCCCCCTTTTATAAGGACAACAATCATATTGGATTAGGGCCTACCTTAATGACCTCATCTTCACTTGATCATCTGCAAAGACCTTATTTCCAAGTAAGGTCACATTCACAGGTGCTGGGTATTAAGATTCCAGCCTCTTCTTGGGAGACACAGTTGAAATCATAACAACAGGTTACCCTAGCCAAAGAGTACTTCACTTCACTTTGTCACTCTGGATGGGGCTATGTTAAAGGAAACTTGATGGTGCCATTTTGTTCCTTGGAAATTACTAATATAGAAAACCAACCCCTCTAATTTTCTGGGTGTTTTCAAGCTTCAATCATTTTCTTTATAAAATTGAAAACGTATTGTTCCAACCTTGGATTCTGTGTTAGAAATTTCCAATGGCTTTTTCTACCTCCACCACTTTCTACCCATTCCAGATATCAAGATCTTGGATTTACCATCCGCTCCTGAAAGCACACTGGTTCAAAAGTTTAGTATCTTCCTTAATCCCACTCAAAAACTGGGGAGTCTCGAAACTCAATTCAAGGCAACAAACTTTTATCAAGAAGCCTCACTGTGCCAGATATTATTCTGGGGATTTAAATGCAAGCTCCATGAGTTGGCCATTTTCATACTGCTAAAAAGATGGTCCAGTATGGCGGTCATTGTTGACCCAATTGTTCTCTGCCTTCACGAGGGGATGAGCACGGAGAAAGCTAGGGAGCTCTGCTTTTAAACAAGTTGCTGCATTTTAGGGAAGCAACAGATTTAGGAAAGTTGGGTGATTTTATTTTACAGGCCCAGAAATTCCATATTCTCAACCCCAACCACATGTTAATATGCTTTTCCTTTCCTGCTACTCAAAGTCTGTTCCCAAGCGTTCTAGAACATAGATTGGAACTGCCTTCCCTTTACCATACTCTCTTCATTTCCCACCCTCCCCACCCCCGAAATAAATGACAGAAAAATATTCAAAATTCTTCTCTGTAAAGAAGCCAAAAGACCATGGTCAAATGAGTGTTTTAGGAGCTGGTGATTGTCACCTATCATTATTCTCCTTTCAAAGCTAAATAATCTCAATTTCTTCAAACTTTTTTCCTCATCTTATTTCATAACCTTCTGATTCTCTGTGTTGCTCTCCTGGACTCTATTTTAATTCTTTTAAATTTTAGAGTCAAAACCTGGATGCTTAATTGACGAAGCGCTGAACACATGTGAAGAATGCTGTAAAGAGCACTAATAGATGCTGTGAGATGGGGGGGGGTGGATGTGGAATACACACAGTGCAAGAATGTAAAATGCTTGAGAAATGAAACATCCGCCATAAGTACCACATAGCACTGGCGCTAATTGGACAGGTGTCTTCCAGAAACAGCGGCATGCTATAGAAGGTGCAGGAAATGTTAGCACTGATGTCTTCTCTGTTAGGAACAGCCTTGTGTCAGCAGGGTTTGGGCAGCTTACCAGAAGGATGTCGCCGGCATGACAGGTGAGCTCATGGTCCTCTACTTACAACATAATCACGTTTGTTATGTGACAGCGATTCGACTGCACGGTTCACAGGGAGGTTTGTCAGTCTCGTCGAGGGCTTTCCAACAAGCAACTTGGAAATGAGCGACGGTGAGAATGTGTCTGCGCTGATGCCATCCTGCTGCAAACTCTTTTGGCTCTGAGACGCCATCGCAGGCTTAAATTGCATTCTGCAAAGCCTTTTGTGTGCTACTTACTAGAGCCTCACTGCTTTCCAGGCCCACTTTCCTTGTGCACTCTGAGCCTTGTGGGGACTTATTTTCCTTCTCCCTGCGCCAGTGAGCCTAAGTCCACCTCTCCCGTCCCCAGCCCTCCACTGGGGAGCTGGCAGCGGAGGGCTGGGGATGAAGAACCTGCTGAAGATACCACTTCTTATCTTCACCTCCTCATTTATTTCCCAGGGTGTCTCTTCATCTTGCTAGTCTTATTCTAATTTCATCCTATCCTCAATACAAATGGACAAAAATGATTAAAATGCCATCTTCAAAGTCTACTCTTTTTATTTAAACTACCCCTAATTTATTTTCTATCTTTCTTCCTCTCTCCTATCTCCATCTTATCCCTACACTCCTACACCCACACTCCCCTCCCCCTCAACACACACACACACACACACACACACACACACACACACACACACACACACCCTCCCTTCTTCATGCAACCATTTCCTCCCTGATTTGGGTCCCAGATAAACAAAATCTACCTTGTTTTAATCTCCTGTAGCAATCCATTCAAATCTTATCCCTAAGCATCCAGCGTTTATTTTGTTATTGTAATCTAGACTGGGGAGTAGATTATCCAGACACATGCAAACTCTTCTTTCAAGCATTCTAATTCATAAGCCTCAGTGAATGAGGTGGATGAGGGAGGCGAAATCTTGGGTAATAACAGAAAATTTCATGGAAATCCCCAGACGTTGCAGGGAGCAAATACTAAGTATAATCAACTCAAGCAACAAACAGGATTTACTGGGAGAACAAAGGTTATGAGAAAGGCTGCACTTATTTTTCATGATACAAACAATTCTATTGACTCTTTAAGTTTTCATTCCAAGACCTTTCAATATCATTCAGTATTTGATGAAGATAAAATGTAACAGGGTCACATGTCATGTCACTTATGATAACTTAGCATTATGGTTGGTTGGGAAATAATGCCAGGCATATGAGGCTCACAAATTTGCTTGCTATAAATTCCCAGCACCTGTTTATAATGCACCTTTACTGAAAAAATAGCTCCAATAACATTATATAGCATGGGTCATGAATGCTATTAACCATCCCTATTGCATGTTACAAATTTAAAAGGTTTTTAACTTTACAGAGAATCCATAGGTTTATGAATTGAAAGCCACTAATATAAATCATCCTTGGTAATGAAAAGTGAAAAAAAAGACATAATATAATTTCTATTTGTCAAGGTATAATGATGTCACCATCCATTTATCCTCTGCACTTAAAGGTTGAAGCTCTTCAACAAATCTCTCCTCAGCCAAATACATCTGGTACCTTAATGGAGGCGACAGCACAGGCTTCTGATTAGTTCACACATCACTCACCAATTAGAATAGAAGGTAAAACTTTTTTTTCTTATCTTGAGCAATTCGTTAAAACAATAACCTTTAATGTAGTGACTAATAGTGGGAACATAAAACAATAACTGTGTTATAGCTTTAAAATGATCATTTTGAAGGGCACACTTATACACTGCTGGTGGGAATGTAAACTAGTACAACCTCCATGGAAAACAGTATAGAGATTTCTTTAAAAACTAAAAGTAGACCTACCTTTTGATCTAGCAATCTCACTACAGTGTATCTACACAAAGGAAACGAAGTCATTATATCAAAAAGACACCTGCACACGTATGTTTATTGCAACACAATTCACAATTGCAAAGATATGGAACCAACCTGAGTGTCCATTGACCAATACTATTCAGCCAGAAAAAAGAATAATACAATGTCTTTTGC
Source organism: Homo sapiens (assembly GCF_000001405.40). Classification (NCBI taxonomy): domain Eukaryota; kingdom Metazoa; phylum Chordata; class Mammalia; order Primates; family Hominidae; genus Homo; species Homo sapiens. Next base: position 25,324,895 of record NC_000007.14, on the reverse strand, counting down.
AGCAACTTTAATGGAGCGGGAGGCCATTATTCTAAGTGAAGTAATCCAGGAATGGAAAACCAAATACTGTCTGTTCATATTTATAAGTGGTAGCTAAACTGTGGGTACACAAAATCATACAGAGTGGTATAATGGACACTGGAGACTCAGAAGGGGGAGGTGGGAGGTGGGTGAGAGATTTTTTTAAAACCACATATTGGGTACAACCTTCACTACTTGCATAACAGGTGAACTAAAATCTCAGACTTCACCACTCTACAGTTTATCCATGTAACCAAAAACTACTCGTACCCCAAAAACTATTGAAATTTAAAAATAAATTAAAAAATGATCTTTTTGAGTAGTTTATAAACTGCTTTGCTTCTAGAGGTGCTATTTTTATCTCAATCACTGCTTTAATTTATTGTTTCTTTAACCAATAATTCAATTCATCACTAAAAAGACAAAATATGGGGTAAGGGGCTCCTGGAAAACTTTTACCTTAAGGATAGCATATACTTATAGGGCTGTCATGAACAGTTGGGAAGGTTGTTCTCTGTCCAAGAAAAGGCCAAGCTGAAGGGCCAGTATGAGTTGAAATATAGCCATTAATCCAGTCAACAATCTTCAGGCACCGACATGTGTTCCATTTGCCAGGAGAATGGGGCACACGATATCACAGAGACCAGTGGTAGACTTTGTACTTATGGGGTTCTAGATATTGAGTAATCTTAGGGAAAGCTGTCTTAATTCTGCCTTTAAGGCTGCTAACTATCACAGAAGAATGGCTACTTGTTCTGGGGAATACAAGGCAGTTCTGATTCCTCACCTAGGGCTCAGTGATGGTTGATTGTGAATCAAACATGCCAAAGGGCCTGGGGAAGGACCTGGCATCCTTTAAGTTCCATCGGCTGGTGGAGAAGGTCACTCTTAGCGCTCCCCTGGGAGATCCATGTATTCTGGTTAGGAAAGTGTTTGAGAAGTGGTTGGGGTAAAAGTAGAGTCCAAGAACTTGAATCTTCAGAAAAAGGGAAATGTTACTCCAGACATTTGAAGGGAAAAATGGGAGTGTGGCTGGAAGAGGAGGAAGGAGAAGTTCTAAAAGGAAAACAGTTAGAAAAGAGAAGGGGGAGCAACATGGCAAATGCTTTATATAGTGCAATGCCACCCACTCCTATAATATCTCCCAAACATCAGTAAAGACTAGAAAAATCACGATACTTGGTATAATAGGGTTCTTGCAAAGAAACAAATACAATAAAGTGATTGAATTCTGCTTCCAGGTCAAGCTAGACCCAGCAAATGAGTCTGCAGGGACCAGAAAAACTCCAGGGATATGCCTTTGATTTTTCCAGTCATGAAATCTGCAGTCTGAAAGCAGTCTTAGAACAGGACAGACCCTACCCCAACATTTGCATTACACTCTCTTGTACTAAAGACAATTGCAATATAAAAATAAACCCTAAGAACTATACATGCACCGTCTCACTTACTCTTCTGAGCAATATCACCAGGCAGATGGAATTATTCATCCCATTTTGCAGCTGAGGAAACTCAGGCTTATGTGCCGAAGACACCAGCTATAATTTGCCAAATGTAATTTGCCCAGAGTGACACAGCTTATAAGAAGTAGAGCTGGAATTGGTATCCAGCACTTTCTGAATCTAGAAACCCCATTTTTTAAAATTGTAGTAAAATCTACATAACATAAAAGTCACCATGTTAACCATTTTTGAGTGTACAATTCATTGACATTTAGTACATTCACACTGTTTTGTCCCCATTACCACTATCTAGATCCAGAACCTTTTTGTCATCCCAAAGGAAACCCATACCCTTTAAGCAGCTCCCCTCCATTATCCCCTTCCCCAGCCCCTGGTAATCATTAATCTGCTTCCTATCCCTGCGGATTTGCAGAGGTCCTATCCTTACCCATGGGCTCTTTTGTACCCAGCACCGTGATGAAATACGGAAGAGGCCTTAGGGTGCTTGTAGCCATCCTGAACTGAATCAGAGGGACTAAGAGACAGAGCTGGGCAGAAAGAATATGAGGAGTAATGTGTCACAAGAGAGGCACTTCTGGTAGCTTTACTTGTAAACCTACATTTTCAATACCTCGTTCTCCTAGCAACATGCAGGTTAATTTAAGGATGTGAGGGAAGTAGAAAGTATCCATATCCTTAGGTTATGGAAAAGAATGATAAGATTCCCATGGATCTAGTTTGGCAAGTCATGGAGGTGAAGAAATGGAAAAATGATTAAGTGAATGTGAACACACATAGAAAGGCTTGCGAGGGAAAAGGGATGCCCTCCAGGCTATGGAAAATTATTCATGAAAGTGAGAACTTTTAAGGAACACACATGATTTAAAAAATGTTGTTTCAAAACATCATTTTGCTTCCGATACTGTTTGGCTGTCTTAAAACTCAGAATCCACTGCCCTCCTGGCTGCAGGAGGGGCACAGGCTGTGTGCTGGTGGTGTGAGCAAGCAAGGGCACCAGACACTCGGTGGGCAGCCCCCTAAATACAACAAGATGAGAAGGAGCTGCAGCCAGGGCTTTTGACTCTTCACAATTTGCAAAGCTACTGGAATTTTAAAAGTGAAAAAATTCTCTCTCTCTCTCTCTCTCTCTCTCTCTCTCTGCCCCCTCCCCCCACCTCCCCAACTCCCCCAGGTTCATGGATGGCTTTTGTGATGGTCATCTCCACTGGGACCGTTATTCAGGGCACTCCAGGAGTTGCTGTATATAAGTTTGTGTAAAGTTGAAACATAAACAGACATCTTATTCTTGACCCAAGTAAAAAGCTCAATGCTTACTTGATTCTCAAAAACTCTGGTTCCCTTACTTTTTCCCCAGGTTCTACTCTCAGTTCAAACTAAGCTACATTCTTAGGACACAGATTTTCAGCTTCTTTAAGAGAATACAACCCTCTCATTCCACCTTCCGTCTCTTTGTTATCTTCTGCCCACCACACACAAATCCCCGGGTCTCGCATGTCTTTGGTCCCTTCAGCTGTGGCTGCCTGCCCTCTAATGCTGCAAATCAGCCTAGGAACAGCTTCCACCTAGGAGTGAGAGAAGAGAGGAGCATCAGTTCCAGATGGGGTGCAGGAAGTTGGGAGGGAGAAAAGAAAAGGCAGCTTTTCTATGTGGTTACTTAGGACTCAGTGCTTACCTCTGCACAGGCAGGAGAGTGGACTTGACGGTGGCAGGGTCCTGTGTGGCACGTAAGCAGTCTCCTGCCAGGGAAGACCTGAATGCCCAGTGACAAAGCTCGCACTCCTCCTGCATTACACTATCATGTGTGCCCTATGACCCTGAGCCTTGTTCACGGTGCTTGGCTCTGCTTGCCCCCTTTGCTCTGCCAGCTCTCATACACACTTTCTTTATTTCTGTAGTGCATTTACAGTCTGCAAACAAGGATTCATCATGGGAAACTGTTTTTAAAGTCAGAAGATCTTGATTCAAGTCCAATTCTGCCCGTTACCATGTGACCTTGAGTGAATCTTGTAATCTCTCTTTTAAAAATACAGACAGCAACACTTGCCCCCTCCATTTACGGCATTACAAGCATCTGATGGGATCACACATTTGAAAATATATTGTAAAACATACATGAATATATGGTGTCTAGTTATCAAGACTCCAGGTCCTGTGCCTTCCAATGAAGTTGTGATTTCCTAACCAATATTAATTAATTAACTAATTTAAAAAAATAAACAATGGCATCTCCTTCTAAACTAGTTTTTAAGCCAAACTATTTACTTTATCCCTTTGCTGTAAATAAAATTTTAAATGCTAACTTCAGTATGCCAAATAATTAAACGTAGGCAATTCTTTTCAGATGTCTGTGTCTTATTAACCTTATGCTAAGAACCAAATTCTGGCTTATCTATGATGCTATGTGAGAAAAACCACACCCAACATGGAATTTGTATGGTTAGACAGAAACTGGAATGAGTGTATCTCTTAGAGGGTTAAAGCAGGCTAAAGGCTGCAAAACAACTAAGACTGAAAAGATTGCAAAAAAAAAAGATGTTTATACCGCTAAAGAGAACAAACTTCTTGAGCCTTCTGGAAGTGCCTTTTTATATACAATTTGTATGCTAATTATAAATCATTTGAATATATTAGATAAAGCAGTTTCCCTCAGGACCTAGTGTTTGGTAAAATTTGCCCTTGAAAAACACAAAGTCAGTGAAGTATTATAAAAGCCAAAGTCTTCGCAGTGGTCTCAAGAGCTTACAAAATCTGCCCCTACGTGCCCTGCAATGTTCTTCCTCATTGGGCCAGTTCCAGCCACATCAGCCTCCCTGGTGCTCCTTGAACAGATTCACCTGGAGCCTTGGCACTGGCTGTTTCCTCTGCTTGGGGTGCTCTATCCATGGACACCCACATGGCTGAATGCTTCCTTTCCTTCAAGTCCTTGCCCATACCCCTTCTCAACCAGGCCTACTCTGAACACACTTGTTGAATTTGCAGCTCTCCATCCTATATTCCATTTGTCTGTTCAATTTTCCATAGTACTTATCACCTTCTAACATACTAGATGATATTTCCTTATTAAATGTCTCTCTCCTTGGTAGAACATAAGCTCCACAGGGCAGAGACTTTTGTCTGTACAGTTTGCTACTGTACCCCAGCACCTAGAACAGTACATAGTACGTAGACACTCAATAAATTGTTTTGAATAAAAAGATGCTAAAAACCTTTGGTGTTTATAACATGGGACTTCAGAGAACTATCTGGAAAGAGAGGTTTCCAGGGACATTACAAAGATCTTCTAGTAAGAAAATGAAAAACAACAGAACAGAAAAATAATGGGACAGAAAAAATAGAACAGAGAAAATGAAAAACTATTATGGAGACAAAGAAATGGAAGCAGAACTGAGGAGGAAGATAAAACTGAGTCTCCTTTCCCTCATGGAACCCAAGAAGGCTTTCTCCACATGCTCTATCAAGACCAAGTTCAAGGTTGGTCTTTTTCAGTTTTGCTTTCTTCGAGGCTGACTGGCAAGGAAGTGAGAGTAGAGCTAAAAAGATCTAAAGACTTCTGGGTTGCCTGTTGATTTCTGGAGGTCAGGGAGTGGAGTAAATTGGCCAAGAGCCCAAAAGGGACCCAGTAGTGAAAGCCAGACTGGAGAAAATTCCCTCATCATCATCAAGAGGAGGGCACCTTCACCCCAAAACAGAAAAGGATGGGAGAGAGAAGGGACTGGCTGGCTCTTTGAAACAGTCACAATGTTCATAGTAAACACCTTTGGGTTAATTCAGCTCATTAATATGAATCCGATCCCACGGCGGTTGCAAAGAAAGGTTTGGTAGAAGAAGGAAAGGTACAGAAAGGGGGACTGTAACTGACATTCCTTTTTTAACTCATTCCTAGCAGAATTGGATATTCAAAGTCTTTATCTGGACCCCTGTGTTCTTCATGAGTGGACGCAGAAGTAGTGCTTTTTAAACAATCTATAATTCAGCATGCCAATGCACAGGTGAATCTAGTTGATAAAACTTGAGTATACCCTGATCTAAAATGTAAGCATGACCTTGGAGAAAAATGAAGGAATTAGGTTCCCTCACTTCAAATTGTATAAAGTTCCTTCTTAATCATTAAGATATATGTTAACTTCTTATTTTTCTCTATAAACCTAATATATTTCCCAAAGCATCCTAATTCATTTCCTTGGGGAGGGAAGAAAAGAGGGCAGGAAGAAGGACAGGGAAAAGGGAAAGAAGGATAAAGAAGCAAGGAAAGAAGGAAGGAAAGAAAGGAAAAATATCACCTATTTTCTTCCCCTGAAATACCATTTTCCCTTGGCCAGCTTCCTGCAGGGGTATGAAGCCAACTCTGCAGCAACCTGGCTTCTGCCACAGCCTAGAGCAGAGCTTCAAAAAGGAATTGAAACTGTTAGGAAGACTCTATATCAGTTATATTTCTCAAAAGAGAATTTAGCAAGATTCACAGACTCAGACTCTGCTAGTTACTTAGCAACTGCCCTCAGGTCAAAAAATGATCCCAAATAGTTGGGGCATGAGGCTGATATTTTTTTTGATCAAACACAGCAAGAGACATGCTGTTTCCTTATTTCTTGATATTCTCTGGTCTCATCCACTCCCAATAAGGTAAGCTTAATGCTGTTACACGTTATGGAAGTAGGTTTTCAAAAAGGAATTGTGTTACTATTGATTGCCGGCCAATGAAATTCTCATTGCTCACTACAAACCTCTAAGATGTTTCTTATGTCACTGCTCTGGGTGACATGGTGGACACTATGTTCTTTCGAGAAAGGCCACACATTGTAATATAGTGGCTGAAGTTTTTATCTTTTTCTATTAAGCAGGAGTTATTTCATTTCAACAAGCTCCCCTTGGAAAGAGAACATGACAAGTTAAACAACAGTCTGTCCTGGGCTGTTGGGCGCTCCTGTCACAGTAACTAGAGTTTCTTCAAGCACAGGCCTCTCTGTAGATTAAAACATATATCTTAAGAGCCCATGTTAAAGTTAATGCAAAAGTTCAGAGGGGCAAAATAATTTAAATGTGCCCAAGTGGTAGCAATAACATCTCTAAAATCTCAGCAGTGAATTATGGATATGTGGAATATTAAAAATGCAAAGCTAACTCAATTTGCATTTGCAATGCCACCTAGCTGTTACTGGGGAAGAGGAAATTGCTTTCTGCTGAATTCAAGGGCACACTACTTAGTGCTGTATTTAAGTCAAGGGGAAAAATTACTCATTTTTATTCTACCACTTAACTTGTGCTTATGTAATCTGTCTGGCACCGGAGTCAGTTGTTTGATATTATTTTCAATCACAGAAAGAGAATATGTAATTCAATCATCACACCTTTATTTTCACTTGCTTGGCAATCTCGCAGAGCCTTATTACCACCAGTAAATCCTAGTCTGTCATCAATCAGCGCTCAGCTGCCGGACTGTTCCCGACAGATCGCACCAACCATCAGTATTATTATTTTTATTTTGGTGAACGGGTCTGAGGGGAGGGCAGAGCCACATTTGTGCTATCAAAGGGGGCAGATAATGCATTCCTTTACCACAGACCTCCCCACCTTTTGCCATCTCTAGGCCACCTTTCCCCAGCAGGTAAATTTTCATGTATGCAAAGTAGCCACTAATATATGGCAAAGCAGAAACCCACTCTCAACTGTGTATCTTCTCCCACCTTGTTCTTCCTCTTTTCCAACTTGTCCTTCCTCCAACTGCTCCTTTTTGTCTTCCCTGCACACTCACCTTAGTCCATCCCTGGTAAATGAACAGGCATTGCCTACACTGCCCATTGGGCCATGACACTGACGTTACCTGCCACCACTCCTTGGCAAAGAGACCCTTAAAGAGCAGGCAGAAGAGGCAGCTATTAAAGTTTCTTATGATGGAAACCCAAAAAGAAAGACAATGTGAAGGACTGGAATCTGGTAAAGAGGGAATCAGAGGAAGGCACAAATAATGTGGGGTCCCTGGTTACAGGGCAAAGGAGAGGCCACACAGCTAGAGGGCCAGGTTGGCCAGAAACTCTGTTTCAGAGAAGACTCCATGCAGTTGGTCCATTTCTCCCTGATCTCTGTGATTATGTGTGATGGCCGTGTTGATCATAAGTTGCTTTGTTTCCCTTTCTTCACATTTCCTTGTATTGATCACTTTATCGGGGATCAGTTTTCTTTTTCACTTATCCCGAATGGAGGTGATATGATCTACTGCAGTGGATCTTAAACCGCAGCGTTGTAAGAACTGTGTAGGCCTCACACTCAGAAATTCTGACTCATTAGGTCTGGGGAGGAGCCTGAGGATCTGCATTTTTAATAAGAACTCCTACCCATGCCCACCGAGGGGTTCTATGTGCAGTTCAGCATTACTCTTTGTAAAAATGGCTTTTTTTTTTAAGACAGAGCCTCACCCTGTTGCCCAGGCTGGAGTGCAGTGGCGCAATCTTGGCTCACTGCATCCTCAGCCTCCTCGGTTCAAGCAATTCTCCTTCCTCAGCCTCCCGAGTAGCTAGGATTACAGGCATGCACCACCATGCCCAGCTAATTTTTGTATTTTTAGTAGAGACGGGGTTTCACCATGTTGGCCAGGCTGGTCTCGAAATCCCAACCTCAGGTGATCCACCCACCTCAGCTTCCCAAAGTGCTGAGATTAGAGGCATGAGCCACCACCCCAGGCCAAAATGGTTTTTTGAAAGCCGCAGAACAAGGGGGGTACTGTTGTGTAGCCTAGTCTAAACAGTCTTTCCCCTTGCATCCTTTTTCTTCTCCTTTTTCTCTCTCTCACTCACACACACACACATGCATGCACACACACACACACACAAACACACACACATGCATGCACACACACACACAAACACACACACATGCATGCACACACACACACACGCACATACTCACTTGCTTTGGTCAATGTGACTAAAAGGTCAAGGTTATCTCTTGGTTGCTGCCTTAAGAAATCAAATCTTTTTGGCAGAGTGTCATAATCAGCTAAAAACATTACCTTTACTTCCACAAAGAGGCAGAAATTACTCCCAAACATCAAAGATGAGGCACGGGGGATCCCTAGACAGTAGCCTATAAAAAACCGAATTGTAGATCAAGACCAGCTTCATAAAAACAATTCCCTTGTTTTTCTAACAAATGAAGCATCCTTGGATTTGGTGGTTTGGGACTTGGTAGTTCTATATAGAGCTCTCAGTAAGATGAATACTTGTAATTTGGGGTTTTTTTCAAAAGCCATGGAATTTCCTTATATATTTATAATGCATATGAGTGGTGAGACAGAATAATTAGGAGTATCTTAGACAACAGAAAGCTCATTTGGTCCTTGGAATTTCAAGCAAAGTCTCTAGTCAGATAATATTTTTAAAAGCAGAATTCAGGCTATTGTTTTGAAAAATACATCAGATGGAAATGAGAGTAGACAAATGAGAGATTTATAATCCCCGTGGTACGCAGTTCATAAATTGGCTGCCCTTTTATCTCTGCAGAAAAAGAAATGGGGAAATTCTGCAAACCCCAGAAGAAATAGGCAGGACATCTAAGTTAAGAATGCAAGGGGAAAGGGACTCCCTATTAAAGCAAAATACTACCCCCTGTGCCCTGCACATATCATAACTTACTTGTTTTATTCCATTCTAGCTGGGCTTTGCTAGGTGGTTTAGTAGTTAGTCTGTATGTGGCCCTAGAAGGAGGGGCGACTAGGAAGTGGCTCCCAGCTGTGCACTTCATGAATTTTACTTTCCTCTTGAGAATATTGTCAATATTGTGTCCCAAGATACAAGCAGCTTCCACCGGAGTTATGTAAACCAATTGACAAAAAGCACCTTATCATTTTAGCACAACTGAAATCAAACTCTGCCCGCACTAAAAAAAAAAAAAATATTGTACAATAAGGGGCTGCCTTAGTTCAAACCCACAGATTCCTTTGAGCAAGCGGCCTCTGTTCCTTCTGCTGGGTCCAGTCTGCCTATTCCCAAAGCTACTGGTGGTGCTGCTACTTCTTCAGGTGAGAAATTATCCTCTGCTTATTGGAAGGTCATTGCCCCCATGGGTCTAACGATATACCTATCCTGTAGCAATACAATATCATGCCATCCATACAACAGAAATTATTAATACATACATAAATAGGCTGGTCATTCCATCGCAAGGAAAAAGAAAAGGTTTAGATGCATGATATAGCTTGGGATGATTCATCGGAGAATGTTGCTAAAGATAGGGCAGTATAATATGGAAGCCGGCCCAAGGAGAAATTGTTACGACATAGATAACACTGGGTTAAAGCTACAGAAAAATGGAAAAGGAAAAATCAAGCTGTTTAAACATTAAACATTTGTTTAAATATTAAAGTAAAGTTAGCCTGACAGCAAAATCGATATTAAATCAGGCCTGGAAACTGTTTTACGACCTCAAACACTGGGCTTCTTAACTGCCAGTGTCATAAATGATGTCACTTTGCAGCATGATCGTGGCTGCCAGCAGCAGGTCAGAAATGCCAGCTTTAATTTTAAAATGTTAATTTGTGATGTAATTTACAGTTTGCTCCCAGGGACAAATGTCGCTCTCTGGGCATGAACCTCCCAAAGCGCTGTTGTGAGCAAAAGGCGTTCTCCCTCTTGATTTCCTCCTACCTTTAACAGCATGGTTTCACAGGGGCCTGCAGATTCTCCTGGGTTTGAATAAAGTATAGGAGGACAGTAATAAATGGGTCAAGGTTATTTTCCAGTCAGTGAGAACATTTTTGAGGAAATGCTTCTGGGGTAAAAGAAAAAAAAAAGCCATAGAAAGCTGTACCTGCTGTAAAACATTGCATGCACAGGCTGGAATTTCCTGCCAACGATATGGCCAGAGTGGGGTTGCAGCAGAGGAAACAACTTTGAGAGGCTTCCTGTACCATGTGACTTGCTGGACCTATGGACAAAGACTTCCTTTATTCCCAGCCTTGGCCCCTCCATTCTCCATTCTCCCACCTGAACCTGTCCTCTCTCTCCCAACACACTCCCCTGCTGGCCTTGTCTCAAAAGCAGCAATGTCTATGTTACTGACTTCTGAGGTCTCTCAGTGTCTCAAACCAAAATAAGCTTTGCCAGTGTGCCCTGTAGAAGCCGCTGGCTTCCCCAAGGTGGCACTGCCTGCCATGGGGACACTGCCTTCAGTAAGAAAGGGTGCACTTAGTTTACATTCCCCAGGTGTGGGTTGAGCAGATACAGCATGGGGTCCTTTGCTTATGGTGGTCCGGTCACAGCTGGCAGCTTTGTAGTTTAGGTGGTTGTCGATGAAGGCCGGGATACAAAGGACCATGGGAAAGCTGAAGTTTGGTGAGTGTGTGTTTGGAGGAGTGGTGATGATGAGAGACTGTGTTTGTCTGCTAGGGCTGCTGTAGCAAAGTACCACAGACTCAGTGGCCTAAACAGAACGTAGTGTCTTACAGTTCTGGTGCTAGAAGCCTGAAATCAAGGTGTTGGTGGGGCCACGTTTCCCCTCAAGGCTCTAGGGAAGCTTCTGTTCCAGGCCCTCTCTCCTAGCTTTGAAAGGTGGCAGTCTAACCCCAGCCTCTGCATGGTGTCCTCAGTGTGTCTGTCTCCATGTCCAAATGTCCCCCTTGTGTAAGGATGCCAGCCACATTGAAATAGCAGCCCATCCTACTCCAGTAGGACCTCATCTTAAATTAACTAATTGTGTTTGCAATAGCCTTATTTCCAAATGAGTTTACATTTTGAGGAAGTATGGGCTAGGATGTCAACACTGAATTTGGAAGCACTGTAACTGAACTTATAACAGTGACAAGCAGGGGTAGGAATCAGGAGGGGTCTAGATAAGAAAACCTGCAGAGATGAGCCCCGAGCAAGAAGGAAGTGTTTGCTGTCCAATAAGCAGGAGACTCAAAGGTAAGACCTAACTCAGAAAGGAATGCTGCTTGGAACAGAATTCCACCTGCCCATCCCCTTGTGGCAGGCCCTGAGATACCAGTGAACACTCCTCAAACAATGTAGCCATTTATGTTATAATTGTATTTTCTACTGAAATTGGATTGGCGTTCAGTTTTCTCTTCTGAAAAAAATCAAAGGACCATGAGAAAAAAAAAAAAAAACCAACACTGAAGCATTTGGGAAAGAGATCGGGGTCAATTTATGTTCCCCTCCAGAGGTAGAAGAAAACACAAACAAAAAGTATATGTGAAACCGAGAACCACACAGGATACATCACTGTGGCTGCAGCACCGCCACTCAGGAGCACCTCTTCCAGCAAACACACTGTCTTGACCCGAGGTGAGGACATGCCCAGGATGGGAGACAGGTCAGTGGGAAGCCACGGACCTCCAAACAACCACAGAGAAGAAGGCAAACAAAAGAAGTCGTTAGACACTACACTTGCAGTTATGGAAGCTCAGTTGTTACACTCTTGGAAGCAGTTCAGATTTCCACAAATGGCATGGAGTTGCTACGTGATAATTTTTTAAATCACAAAATTCATCTCAGCCCAAAAGTTCTAGACTAGAAATTTCTTTCTATAATTTTTATCCACTTGATTTTCTACACAGCTTAGAATAGGCTCCTCTGTCCCCCACTCCCCAGTAGATTTTCCTACACCTCTGCTCCTCTATAAACTTACAGACATCATCCTTCCTGTGAAAGAGATGTACAAGTTCCTACAAATATTGATTGCAATAAATGCCTGTTTTCTGTCTGCCCCAGTTCTGTCAAATTTGTGTTCACAAAGAGAGGTAGGCAAGAAAATTATTCAAGAAAGACACAATTTTTAATTAGAACAGAATAAAACAAAACACGGCCTTGTTTTACAGGTGAAAAGCAATGTCTTCAATTCATGTTCTATCCAAACAGTCCCCTGGAGAACATGCTGTTTTGATGTGCTTACCTGAAATATGAATGACTGATGTTTTGCTTTGGTGGTAGCAGTGGGGGGACTCTTGCAGAGGAGTTACGGGAAAGGGTAGCCTCTAAAGACTTTTGTAACAAAACAAAAAATAAAGTTTGGTTTTGGGTTTTTGTTTCTTTAAGTGTGTGCTCCAGCTTCCAATACAGCAAGGAAAGGCTATTCTGCAAACAAAAGGTGATTTTGCATTCAGGCTTATAAAAGCAAAAATACTTATCAACAGTTTTAAGAGTAAACAGTGTGGTGACATCCTATGGCCACATCACACGCAAACTCTTCCAGGTGACTCTGATGAAGGATTTAGCGTCTGCTTTGTGGAAATAATTATTTATGTGAAGTGTAGCTTAACCACTGTATTAGTCTGTTTTCACATTGCTATGAAGAATGCCACCTGAGACTGGGTCATTTATAAACAAAAGGTCAATTTATTAATTCACCTATGGTTCTACATAGATGGGGAGGCCCCAGGAAACTTACAATCATGGCGGAAGGGTAAGCAGGCATGTCTCACATCGCAGCAGGTGAGAGAGAGGGTGTGTAAAGGGGGAAGAGCCCCTTGTAAAACCATCAGATCTCATGAGAACTCACTCACTATCACGAGAACAGCATGGGGGAACCATCCCCATGAGCCAACCACCTCCCTCCCTCCACATATGAGGAATACAATTTGAGATGAGATTGGGTGAGGACACAGAGCCAAACCATATCAACCACTTTTGTCAACACTTACTAGATCCTATTTTAGTTTACATGGAGGTTAAGGCAAATAAGAACATTTATTTCATCTAGGATCCTAACGTATCAGGCTTTGCTTCTGAGAAGATCCAATGCTTTGCAAAATAAAGGTTATAATGCAAATTAGTGTAAATGTTTCTTTTCCTGATGATGCTAACTGAATCAGTCTGTATTAGTCATCAGATGAGACACATGGTAACTCCTGGCCTTAGAAGGAGCTACAGGTATGTAAATCAAGAGGAAGCCACTCATTGCTCATTGAATGGGCATGTGAAATAACACCAACTGCATACAGAAGAGCATTAACAGGGCTGGGATCCAATGTGTTCCAAATGGATTGTAGTGACCTATGCTCTGGATGAGCCCATTGGAGAGAGGAATCACCTGCTAATTACAGGCAACAGTGTCCTTTCTGGTCTTACAATCCAGGTACTTAAGTGGATTACCTTACCTGGGTTTTAGTGTAATAAAACCAAACGTCCATTTATTAATTGAGTTGCCTTTACTTATAAGTCACTGAAAACCCAACCAAACCTGCTCAAAGAGCAAAGAATGCATGTTAGCCTGGGTAACTGAAAAGTCCAGAGAGGTAGAATGGCTACAGCTGTGGAATCCTACTAAATCAAAGCACTCCTGGTGAGCCTGAAGCAGCCTTAGGACAGAAGCATCACCCTGGAGCATGTGATCATCCAGGCAGTTTGGGAGTGGCAGCTGTTGCCAAGATACTTGCCAAAGGTCCTCCTCTCCTTTTTAGCTGGAATAGCAGAGGTGTTCACTAAAGCAGCAGCTGGGTCTAATGAACCAACACAGGAATTGCAGCAAATTTCTGTGGCCTTACCAAAACCCTGGTGAATCATTTTTTTACTCAAGAACATTTATTTTCAGCAGTCTAGTTTTCTAGTTTTCAAAACTTTCAAAGATAGCATTCGACACAGCTAAGTAACACCCAACATGATAATAATAAATTTACAAAAATTGGGTTGGACTTGAGGTTGCCCTTGATCCACTCAAGAAATCCATCCAATCTCCATTCAGGAAGAGCCTGGGACCCTTAAGAAGGTTCCAGGTCACTGCTGTGCCCCGCCTTAACGGCCCACCAGAATGAACAGGGCCCTGCTGGCAACAGTGAAAATCATATTCATCTCAGCTATGCAGAGATGGCTCAATGTCCCTCCAAGAACACACAATGGCCTCTTCTGTTACCACATCCATGAGGATGCTAGTTTCCAATTTCAGAAGTCAAAGTTCTCATATGGTTGAAGCTAGAGGCTGAGTGGAGAAGGCTTCCAGGAAAGAAGATAGAACCTACAAAGTAGAGATAGATAACTCTACTTTGTAAGGACATTGAGTAAAAGGGTCAATGCCCCCACCAAGCTGGCCTCTCAATCTCTTTGACCCCTAAATAAGAAGAAGAGAAGACAGGGAACAGTTTCATACTTTGGCTGAGACATGGGGCTGGAGCTTTTTATGGACAAAAGATATTTGTTCCCCGCCAAGCCACCCACAGCTCGGGTCCCCTTCTCTGAACCCAAATGATACTGAGTGACTATAAAATACCCCTTTGCTCAAAAGCACCTGGTTTGCATGGTATCCTAATGCAGACTGTCATGCATTCTCCACTTTGGTGTATTTGGTGCCCAAGAATTTGTGTTTTTAACAAATTCCCAGATGGTGCTGATGCTGCTGGTTCAGGGACCACACCTTGGGGACCACTGCCCTATAATGGAGTATGCATCATTAATTGCACATTGGAATCATCTGGGGAACTTAATCCCCTGATGCCTGGGTTCAACCTCCAGAGATTCTAACTGGGTATTGGAATTTATAAAAAAAAAAAAACAGCAACACAGTACTTTTAGGCATAGAGGGTTATGACTGAAACTGTTGTGATTTACGGCGAGAAAGTCATTCACTGTAAACCCAAGATTTCTTCTCAAGGGTAGATCATAGAGGGAAGGAAAGAAACAGGCCGTTTTCATTAGCCATCCCCCTACCCCCATCCAAAGAAAAACCCTAGAAGCGGTTTTCTGGTGAGGATGACTACATTGGCCTAATGAGCCAAAGCATTTTTTCTTGGCTACCTTTGAGATCCACAGGAAAAGAAATCGCTGCTATAGTAACAGGAATGCTTGTACACAGTCAGTCATGGGGGGCAGTAGGATGAATAAATACTTCTGTTTGCACTATAACCCCACGGCCTTTTCTCAGCCATTCAATGTGAGGGGACACTCCCCTACTTTGTAACCTCAGAAACAGAGAGACTTATGCCTGCTGGCTTGCCATGGTAACCAGCAGGAAAGAATTGAGGTTTCTATTCACCCAGGGCAAGAGACTCTGGATTAGCTAGACAGAAGTTGGGCTATAAAATCCATTAATATAGTGTGGAAAAGGCTAATCATTATGCCTCTTGTCAGACTCTAGGATAGAGGCCGTGTGAAAAAAGAAGTTTAACTAGCTGTGGCCTTTACTGTATTTGATAAAGTGTAGTTTACTTTCTACTTGAGGTTTTTATTGACCATAATAATTCTAACTGAAATAAACATTTTGATTACAGCTCTGTTCTGCAACTGCTTAATAGGGAACTAAAATAACTTTCAATAATCATTTTGTGCAAATGGGATTCATTTAGCCTGACAGTTATTCCAGGCATTTATTGGCATGCAGCAGGCTGGGAGGGTTTCCGAGCATAATTACGGGAACGTTTTACACTGGGCTTAACCTTACCAAAATGACAGACTGAAAAGTGGTGTAAAGGAGCAAATAAAACCCATAATCTGCCATAGGAACTCATAAATGAATCCTCTTTCTCTACTGTTTCTGATGCCTAGGACTCTAGTTAAAATTAAAAGGAGTTTTCTTCTGAAACTGACAGTCTGGCCACAAGAGCACACTTTAATGAGGGTAAAATGCAAAGCTGGCACTTTGGGGCAAAGGGATATTTTATAGTCACTCAGTCAGTATTATTTGGGTTCAGCAGAGGAGACCTGAGCTGTGAGTGGCTTAGGGGTACAAACACCGTCTGTCCAGGAAAAGCTCCAGGCCCCTTGTCTCAGCCAAAATGTAAAACTGTTCCCTGTCTTCTCTTCTTAGTTAGGGGTCAAAAAGATTGAGAGGCCAGCTTGGTGAGGGCATTGACCCTTTTACTCAATGTCCTTACAAAGTAGAGTTACCTATCTCTACTTTGCAGGTTCTATCTTCTTTCATGCACGCCTTCTCCACCCAGCCTCTAGCCCCAGCCACATGAAACCTTGGAGATCTGAAGCATCCTCATGGATGGGATAACAGAAGAGACCATTGTGAATTCTTAGAGGAATACTGAGCCATCCCTGCACAGCTGAGATGAATATGATTACTCATCATTGCCAGCAGGGCTGTGTTCATTCTGGCGGGCAGTTAAGATAGGACAGAGCACTGATCTGGAACCTCCTGAAGGGCCCCGGCTCTTCTGTCTGAATGGATATAGGATGAAATCTTTGAGCAGTCCAAAAGCAATCTTAAGTCCAACGCAATTTAAGCAAGTTGATTATTTTCATGGCACTGGCTGATCTGCGTTTTAACAAGCCTCCATGTAAGTCCAATGCATGCTCAGGTTTGAGAACCACTACTGTAAGAGATTGTCCTTAAAGAGGAAAATAGAGCAAAGATGTTTATAAGTAACTCACCTGTAAAGAGAAGCCAGCATTAACCCCTAATGGAACAGATGCAAGATTATATGCCAACAATGTCCACTGACTGTCTGAATAGTAAGACAAAGGACATAAGAGAAGAGGTGCTAAAAATACCACTTAACTCTTACTTAGATGGGTGAGAAGGATCTCTGTGAATCATCATCATAAAAGCCAGCACCGGTTGATATAATAAGAAAATTATAAGAAATAATGAGTTAATAATACTGGCATATTATCTCATGATATAATATATATAATATAATTACATAATAATAATGGCATATTATTACTTATTATTTCTTATAATTTTCTTATCATTAAACCAGTGCTGAATGAATATTAGCATGAGTTAATAATAATAAAATAATAATAATGAGTTAACAATCATAAAAAATAGCAAGTTCACAGAAGCTAGAATGGACACACTAAAAGGCAGAGCTGGCTCAAAAGTAAAATCTTGAGTCAGGCAAATGTTTGCTTCCCCTTTCCTCCCTACCCTGTGTCAGTTCCTCTGATGTCTACTTCTAGGTTCCCAAGGTCCTCATAATTCCCAGAGGCTCTCAGAACAGAGAAAGGAATTCATTTATGCTAAGATCTAAATGACTAACAATTTTGTGCTCTAACTTTCTTTGAAGTATTTCGATTTTAAAGTTCCATGTTCAGAATCCTGTGCTGAACTTGGAGACCTACACAGCATTTCCCAAAGGCCAGGCCCTTTACATATATTAACTCCTTCACATTCATAACAATACTATGAGATCGATACTGGTTTACACCATTTCACAGGTGGAGAAATTGAGGCATGGAGATGTTAAGCAGTTCTCTCAGGGTCAAGCAGCTGAAGCATGACTTCGAACTTAGGTAGTCTGGCTATAAATTATAAGCTCTTAACTATAATATTCAACATCCTCTCAAACAAGTGGACTCTTAGGAAGATTTGGGAAGGAGACGCTCTGAGACAGATACTCACTCCACACCTTGTGAATAACTGCCAATTCTACCTACATATCGGGTCAGTTTTGGTCATGTATCACTTTGGGGTATTATTCCATCTTGGAAAATATGTGTATCACCCTTGTCTTCATAAACTTTTCCTGTCCCTACTGTTTCCATGAATATTTGCCTAATACAAATAAAAATCCTGAATTGTTTTTAAAGGATTTGTTTTTCTTATTAAAGAAAAAATATGATCCAAGTCAATGTAGTGCTTCCAAGATGTGTTTCTTCAAACTCTCAAGCATCCTAGAAATCGCAGGTTACATTAGTTTCTCTGAGAGATCCAACATCGGGACCAAACTCTAGCTTTTGGAGAGAGCTCCGTGGCCCAAGTGGAAGAGGGTTCAGATAAGGTTGGAACTTTTTTCCTCCCACATTTTCTCCGCAAGTCTTTGTCAAAGCCTCTTTCTAGATAAAGTCTTGAATTTGATGAAGGCATCATGCTCTGGCTTCTGACAAGTCTGTCAAAAATAGACTGTCATCCCATTTCAGTGTCATCTCACATCTAAAGACCACGGAATAGAGTGGCTCCGTGTTAGCCCATACAGGACTTACTAAATATTATACGTCTGAATCTTCTTGGCAAAAGCCTTCTCCAGTTGGCTGGGGAAGGGTGGGGTGGCAGCTCTGAGTAATCTTCAATTCTCATCCCTTGACACTTTAATTAAAGTAATTTAACAGCCTGTTAGGCACGATATGCAGAATTTCCTGCTAGGATCCCATGAAGAAAGAGTTGGGGCAACAGGAAGATATGTGTGAGGATGGAAATCCAGGCAGCCTAGGGTTGGAGGGAATCCTGGTTATTACTCAGCCCAGTGGCTGTGACTTTCCCAAGGTCACACAATTAATTAGTAGCCACTCTGGATCCTATACTGGATGAGGAGCTGTGGGATGTTAAATAGGACTATATAGGCATAACCGATTATGAATACTTTTCTAGAAAAGTACAGAGTCTAGGCTTCTCAAAAATTAATGGTCAGCCTAAGAGCACCTTGAGGTCTGAGAAAGGCTGGCAATAATACCAATGACTCAAGATCCTGTGTTTCTTCAGAGGAAAAGGATTGCCAAATGCAGCCTGAGATCCTTCTCATCCCTCCCCTAGTGATATGTCATGGGTACCCTGGAGACATACTGGGGAGTCCCCATGCCTCTCCTTGTTAGGTAGTTAAGAAAACTGCCTCCTATTCAGGCTGGTGCAATCACAAATAGCACCCATGCCATTAATCCTTTTAATCAAGGAGCACTGTCCAGTTCTGACATTCAAAAGTGTTATTCTTTGGCTAGACTTTTTTCCAAGACCTTAAAGAGCTTATTTTTTAATTCCACCATTTGAAAATAAGAATTTTTAGGCTGACAAATAATATGCATTTCATTCTAAAAGTGGATGACATTTACCCTGTTCTCCAGAAAGTATACCCATTAGTATTTCCATGTATGCTGAGCACGAATCAGGATTCAACTGGATTATTTCCATCTTGATTGGTCTGAGGCAGGTGTGAGAGTGTGTGTATATATATATGCATGTATATATAATCCCTATATATGTATGCATGCATATGTAAAATATGTATGCATATATATGCATACATATATAGGGATTATATACACATGCATATATATATATATATATATATATATATATGCACCAGACCAATCAAGCTGGAAATAATCCTATGTATATATGAGATATACATATGAATAGGGATTTTATATATACATATATGCATATATATGTATCAAAGCGATTATATATATAATCCTGAGACATGATGGATTTCAAATAGGCTTGTAATATACTGAGAACTTCATAATGCAAACTCTCAGATTGTGGTTATCACTCGCTCCTCCTTTCACATTTGAGAATCAAGATAAAGGAGAAGGCAGTTGAAGGCTGAGAGGCCAAGTCTGGTGAAGTCCAGGAGCAGAGTTAGCCAGTGGAGGCTGCTGGAGGGGGATATGCTGGAGAAGTGGGAGAATCATTAGTTCTGGCTTATTTTGCAGGCAAATGATCCACGGCTTTAAACAGTTCCTGATTCTATCATAGCTAGAAAAAAAATGCAGTGAAGGAAAGAATTGTGTGCTAAGTCATGAACCCGCAAAAGCAAAAGGGACTTCAGGGGACTGAGAAGCTCAGTTAGATGAGGTTGCTGGCTGGGAGATGGATGGTGGGAAGAGGCAATCAGAATGTGATGAGAAAGAAGTGAAACAAACTGGGTTTGGATCGTGACAGTCCCCCTACTCCCTTACGCTTTCTCTGGCTACACAGGCACAGAGTCACATCTTCCTGGGAAACCTCCAGCCTGTGTTATTGGAATCTTAAACCTGAACGGGATATGAAAGGTCACTAATACTTAGTCTTTGTGACAGATTCCATACTGTTACTCAACTCTGTACTTTGTGTTCTGTGTCTATAGTTTGACTCTTTAAATACATTATCAAAAATTTCATGGGAGGAACCTTCCCTTAATTGTAACTAATTAGGAACAGGCACAGTGACTTAATCAACAACAGTTGTTAAAGCATTTCTACATGCCAAGAGCTCCCTACATATTATATTTAATCCTCAAAATAATTCTGAGGCACATATTATAATTATTTCCATTTTATAAATGGGTAAACTAAGTCAGGAGAGCTTAGGTAATCTGCCCAAGATCACAGAGCTCATAAATGGAAGAATCAGGATTTGAAACCAGGTTGTCTCATCCTGGAGTTTGTGTTTTTAAACTTCAATACTCTACCTGCTTCCCTGGTAAATACTTAAGAAGGTGTTGTTGAATGAATAGAATAAGTGGATGTCGTCATTATTTTTTAATTGAATACTTGCTAATTGAAATACTCTTAGTACATTATTTAATTCTTCAACAACTAAGTGATTTCCTTTATCAAGTCACCAGTGGGCTCCATATTCAAAGAACATAAAGAGCCTACCAGTATTTCTCAGAGGTCTGTGAAAGAGAAACTGCTTCATTAGCTGGCAAAGCACCAACTCTGTCCAGACCACTGGGTTCTTTTCTCTAATACACATGAAAGCTCCCTGAGTGTTGAAGTTTCTCTCTTTCAGGGTGTTAGGCGATCTGATATTACTCTACATCTCAGAAGCATCTCAATCTTAAAAGCAAGAAAGCAAGCAAGATCAAGAGAGGGCTTGGGAATGTACGTCACTGACAGTTGGTGGTAGTGAAGGATCAGACAACTTTCAAATTCAGAGAATAGCCTGGGTGGGGTCCTCATATCTGGCCATCACCCAGAAACCACTAGGAGCCAGGAAACTCTGAGGGAAGGACACAGCTAAGATTTCTATTTAAACCCTAAAATAGGAGGGGTGGGGGTGAAAAGATTGCCCACTGCTATTTCAGAGCCAAATGCAGGCACTTGGGAATTTAAACCCATTATTACTTATCCTTGGCTGGGAAACAGGATGAGCAAAAAAATGAAGGTGCTGACAGCTCTGTTTTCAGACAAGTACCAGAGCAAAATCAAAGTCAGGACAAGCATCAAAGGAATGCAAGCAATGTGACATTCCTGCATTATTTAGGGATGTGAAGAGAAGGGGAGCTGTTCTCCTGAGGAAGGAAAAGCCCTCTCTCTCCTAACATTGGCCAAGAGGAGATGCCTTGCCATGCAATTCCCCTTCTGCAGAGCAGCTGTGCAGGAAAAGCGCCCTCCTTTCCCATGATTCTCATGTGTTTTGACTGATGCTTGTGGAATAGTTTAAACTCAGGCTTTCAAAGGTTGGCCAAACAAATCTTGGACAGAAATGTCAAACTTCAACAAACTATCATGTCCAATGTCTCAATTTCAGCTCAGTGTTTAGACTGGAAGGAAAGCAGATGAATAAAACAAACAATTTTGTATTTACATACATACATATTTGATCACCACGAAAATGACCCACTGCCAGATCACCAAAGGATATAGGTCACAACAGAAGCATGTGGAAGGTACAACTGCAAAGCAATGAGACTTTAATAAGTATGCCATAGTTTATCGTATGAATGAAAAATGTTGTCCTTGAGAATCACCATGGAAATAAGTCACTTATTCTAACAATAGTGCCATTAGTAAAAACATAGGAAGAGTTTGTGAAACATACATAAAAAAGTATTGCTTTACAACGATGAAAAGCTCAAACTCCACTCTGTCACCAACTAGCTGTGTGACCTTAGAAAATGTACTTAACCATAATCTTTCATATTTTCACTGATCAAATGTGAACATTAATTCCTTTGATGCCTGAATAAAATACAGGTGTATGTAAATTTTTGACATCTAGAAAGTACTCACAAATTGTGGCTATAATAATTATCATCATTAATGATGATAATAAGGAACAGGAATCAGCCATTTAAAAGCTATGGAAACTTGAGCAAGTGCCTCAGCCTCTCTGATTCTCAGGTTACTCATTTGAAAAGAAGGTAGAGGCTGAGCATGGTGGCTCCCGCCTGTAATCCCAGCACTTTGGGAGGCCGAGGCAGGCCTCCTACTTGATGTCAGGAGTTTGAGACCAGCCTGGCCAACATGGCAAAACCCTGTTTCTACTAAAAATACAAAAATTAGCTGGGTGTGCGTGCTACTTAGGAGGCTGAGGCAGGAGAATCACTCGAACCCAGGAGGCGGAGGTTGCAGTGAGCTGAGATTGTGCCACTATACTCCAGCCTGGGCAACAGAGCAAGACTCTGTCTCAAAAAAAAAAAAAAGGCGGACGGTGGGTGGGGGGAGGAGGCTTATAAAAAGAAGGTATAATAACATTTCATAAGGTTAATAGAGAGATACATGTGAACATATGAAAAGCATCTAACATAGTCTCAGCTACATATTTGATGCTTAATACAAATTCTCCTTTTTAGTGACACTTTATAGAGCATAATATGGTATTTACTCTGCAAATTAAAGAAAGGCCAGGATAAAGTATCAAATCCAGTTTTCTCCAGAAACTATCTTGCTGTTTAAAACCTTATTCTAATCTATTTAAAACTAAAAGTAAAAATTAAATCCTAGTACAGATTAAATTTGTAATTGGAAACACAACAGATAATACAAACTTCTTGTGTGTTACATTTATAATGCAAGCTAAATAAAATACTTATGAGTAGTAAGATATGAGAACATGGAAACTCTTAAAGATGATAATCATGAGAGTTTATAAGACCTTATATTCAAGTTATTACATAAATGTATTCCTCTTATTTCAGCAAGGAGGCTATAAAAGATGCAAACAACTACCAAAAAAAATCCAGGCTTTCACTTAGAGCGTAGGATGATCAGGAGTGCTAGAAAGAATGAATAAGTCTGTCTTCATTAACTAAGAGTCTAATCAGTTAAAGTCCCCATGGCTATGAAAAAGATCAAAAGATTTTGGAAGTCCTCTTCAAAAGCTTTTGACACCAACCTAGTGTGAAATTCTAAAGTATCTTTACAGTCCTCCACACTCTGGAGTGTTTTAATTCTAGGTTCAATCAGGTGATATTTTCAAAACAAAAGTTAGAGGTAGAGATAGTTATAGCAGTAATGGGAATGGATCAAGACTGGGAATAAAGACTCAATTGGACCTACTACTCAGTGATCATTTAAATAATACTTCTTAAATGTTCTATTTTCTTAGACATGAATACCATAATGTTTTAATATGTAATGATTTTTTATTATACAATTGTAGGAAATCCTTGAGAATGCTAGTTTCTCAGTTAACTAAGTTTACTCTTAGTAACTAAGCCTATCTGTTTAGATAATTAGGCAATCCATCCAAATTATAGAGAGCACACGGGAGAAAGTAGCCTCTTGATTGCTGAGTTTGTAAATTCAAACATGTAAATTGTTTGTCCTCAATATAGGAGATACGGTATCAGTATCACCCGTAGGGTGTTTTCAAACTACAGGCACATGTGTGCACACACACAACACACCCTACCCACCTTCCATCAGAGATTCTGGCCACCTATCTAGATACTATGTAATTTCCTCTGGGAAGGAGAGTGGCTTGTAGGTTAGGAAGAAAAAACCACACAGATGATTCTGATATAGTCTCTCTTCCCACCAGAGACCTACTGCTAAAAATTGATGGCTCGTGTCACAGTTATTTTTTGTATATTTCCGAAGAATCAACATATTTGCTATTATTGTAACAGACTCTTATTCCAGGAAAGGCTGTTGAGATGCAATTGAAATGATGGTAACCGACTTATTCAACCAAACACCCTGTCATTCTCTTAGCCGAAAAAGCCCAACCCAAGTATTTCATGTTCTTAGGCAGGGGCATCTGCAAAGCATGTGTCTGACCAAAAGTTGGTCACTTGAAGAAATACATGAGCAAGTTAAAATATAATTTATAGCACGCTTCTCACTACACATGGATCTGCTCTATGGTGTTTCTACCCTAGCCCCAAGTTTATAGTGCCTAGGATACCAGAAAGACTTTTAGGAGCATGTTGTCAGATCAAAAGCAGCAGAAAAAATGTTGAATTTCTTTTATATCAACTATTTCAATATATTACCACAAAAAAGTACGAGGGTCTACTAGAGATTTTTCATGCACACATCTTTTCTTTCAGTCTTGATATGCAATCTGTCAGCAAACTTTGATTTGCTTTATTAGGCCTCCTTGTTAACAGTTCATTGTCTCACAGCTTTCTGCCCATTTCTCTTGTGATTAATTTCTTCTTGGGTGCCTGTATGCCTGATTTGGGAAATGACACTGTTCACATTGAACTGTTAGTATTTTGTAATAATGAATGTAAATGAAATGTAATAAGAAACCACATACCCTGAAAAGTAAATGATGCTCAGAACCAGACAGGCTGGAGAGAGATGCTTGTGGTATGGAAGTCTTATCAGAAACCAGTTTTATTTTTATTTTAAAAATGTATTTGCCTAAAGAATAGCTATGGGACACTCCAGATGGGCCCATCACTAAGACTAAGGCCAAGTAAATCCATTCAGTTTCTCACATGATCTCCCTCTGACATTACATTCTTGTACTCTCTTCTGAGCCCATGTTTTCTCCCTAGTATATTAGTAAGAGCAAAGACCTTCTAAGGAACAAAATGGATCCACTTTGGAAGCTTAGCACTGAAAACTATTTAATCTGATGCCATAATGAGAAACTATTGCTCAATATTTTTTTCTTTCTATTGAGACAGGGTCTTACTCTGTCACCCAGGCTGGAGTACCATGACATGATCTCAGCTCATTGCAACCTCCACCTCCCAGGCTCAAGTGATCCTTCCACTTCAGCCTCCCGAGTAGCTGGGACCACAGGCGTGCACCACCATGCCTGGCTAATTTTTTGTGTGCTCAACATTTTAATAAGAGCTTTGATCACTGATTTAAGAAAAATTAAAGTGGTAGTATTTGTAGAATATCAGAACAACTAGTTGAAGAGATACATTTCTAGCCATAATTATCTCCCAGCCAGTCACTCCTTTAAGCTCTCTCAATTTACATGCGTTTTCAATGTGCAGTCCTAGCTATTGTTATAATAATTATTTTAACGAGGTTTGTAAAAATAATTTTCAGTTACTGGTAAGTCCCAATTGCCTGACTGGCTAAAAACTGTCAGCCAGATTTCAACCTTGCAGAAGGCAAAAGTCGTAGTTTCATATTCTGATGTCGAGACCCAGACAGGTAACAAAGACAATGATCAAGTACAAAATGTCATACTTCAGAGACATTTCAGGCACTCAAAACAACCTCTTCATACCCAGGAATTTTCAAAACATTGAGTCTGGCTTTCTCCACAACTCAACAGCAGTCCATATGGAGTATAAAATGTGCTTCACGCATGGGCTTTGAATTTTTTAACAAACCATTTATAGCAAAGGTGCTAAAGTTACGCTGGAATTTAAGACAAGAGTAATTGATAAGGCTGGAGTTACAAATACAAATATCCTCAGAGCTCGGATAGTTCCATCACCAAAATGTCTCTATTGGAGTGGAATTACACCTAAAAATCAGTTAGGAGACAAATAATGAATTGACTTAAGATTTTTTCTACAATGCTTTATATTTGCAAAGCCTACTGCAAAGTCTTCATATTTAGAACATCAATACATCTGGTCTGCACAATAAACCTTTTAGCATGAACAGATATGCAGGGCCATAATTCAAACATACAAAATATTAGACTCATTTCTGCTCCCTCTTAACCACACAGTACTGTGGCAAACTCTTCAGAAATGCCGATGGCTGAAAACCTCTCCTTCAACTCCTTCCTGATTTTCCAATATGGTTATGCCTATGACGGCAGTCTCTGCTGGGGGCACAGTGGTAAGTGAAAACAGTAAAATAAGGGTACTCATAAAAGATAGTAAAAGAAGGTGTTGTACACAATGTTCTTACTTCTTAATATTAATAATGTTTATTGGAATCGCTCCTGATTATAAAGTAATTATAGGCTCTTTGTGGGAAATATGAGGCAAGCATTTTTTTAACCTCATCTACTTAAAGAAAAGAAATACTTTTAAGGCTGGGTGCGGTGGCTTACGCCGGTAATGCCAGCACTTTGGGAGGCCGAGGCTGGCGGATCACCTGAGGTCAGGAGTTTGAGACGAGCCTGACCTATATGGAGAAACCCGTCTCTATTAAAAATGCAAAATTAGCCAGGTGTGGTGGCATATGCCTGTAATCCCAGCTACCCGGGAGGCTGAGGCAGGAGAATCACTTGAACCCGGGAGGCGGAGCTTGCAGTCAGCCGAAATCGCACCATTGCACTCCAGCCTGGGCAACAAGAGCGAAACTCCGTCTCAAAAAAAAAAAAAAAATGAAAAAGAAAAAAAACACTTTTAAGGTATGTTTTCCAACTCACTCATCATACCAAAGTTTAGGAACTGGCCAAAAATGAAGTCTCCCAGAATACAGGTCTAAGTTACCCCCGGGGGACTCCTATGCAAAATGTTGACTGACCTAAATATGAACCTTCTTTTGTCCTTACCCTTGTATTTTCTCTGAACCACAAATGCTAGCAGAAATAGGTACCTTAAACCCTTCGAGCAGGATGCCCAGTAAAAGCTAGGTAAGGAAGAAAAGAAAACGATTCCATGTGCTCTGGCAACAGCTTCCATGACCACTGCTCGTGGTGAGTTCTAATGGCTAATGGCTGACAGTGATGGCTAGAGAGCCAGGTCCATCATTATAGGAAGATGGGCTTACACAGGAGGTTGATATTGGTATTATCGCTTTGCCCATCTCCTGCTTTAGCAAATACTAGTACAATGAAAACTGGGAGCAGGACAGGGAAAGACATAATAAACAGTTATATTACCTAACATTCTAACTGTCAAAGGGTACATCATTTTCATCTTAAAATAAAATCTAAAACCTTCGTGACAATTTGAATGTAAAATGAAGACTCTCTTCATAAACCAAACTTCCCTTCTTTGACATTTCTATTATCACTAATTTTCAAAAATGTACAGTAGATCTTGCTAAGCAACAATAAAACCACCCATGTTACAAGTTTAGTTTTATGTAACACTCCATATGGTGGATTCATAATAAATTTCTACTGGGAATACAATCATAAACCACTATTTTCTGCTATAAAAAACCATTAAAGCACAGGCATGCACAAAAAGGTAATCTGCAATAAATTTGGAAATGTTAAAATACCACAAATGTAAATATATTCTGCCCCATTGCAATGCATGTAATTTCCATAGCTTTATTAGAAATCTTGCCTTAGCAGTGGTTTGGCCGATAGGTTATAAATATAGTAGGAATGAGTCAGCATGCAAATCCCTTCTGTGAAAAAACAATTTGAAAGGTTTTATAGCCCAAAGCTGTTTATTATTTTGTAGAATAGTAATGCAAGTTTCTGTTTGGAACCTGCTGAGAAGAGAATTCTCAAAATATCTTGTTTATAAAACAGCAAGGGGGAAACATCGGCAACTTTAAAATAAAAAAGAACATGATTTATGTAAGGCCATAGAAATAGGATGTCCCAAATAAAGTCTGTAACTGATGGAGTGTGCACACGTTAGGGTTGCACAAGAGGTGATCAACATATCCCACCGCGAAGAGGAAAGCAGCATTAACCTGGAACATTTGAATCCTGGGGCAGACAGGTAAATGTCTTTGGAGATGGGAGGAGATAAGGTCATAGAGGTAAGGAATTGAGAAGTGAATTAAGGAAAGAACTGTCAGGAACAACTGCAGGAGAGGATGGCATGAGGAAGAGAAATTGGCAGAGCAGGGGGTCACTGTGATACAAAGAATCTGAGGCCAACACAGGGGCTCTGAAGAGAGCAGCAAACTATAAAAAAGTTTATAGCCAGTGAAGGGGACAAGGCCAAAGATGCAAGAGACAGAAGGCATTCCCAACAGGGTGTGAGGTTCAGGTGGGACAAGAAGGAGGCAGGCTCAGAGACGCAGAGGGGGGGATTCCTTTAGACAGGAGGTGGAGCTGTTTTCTTAGAAAGGGCGAAACTACCAAAGATAAAATCTGCAGAGAGTAAGGAAAGAAGTTGGTGGAACTGAGGCCCGATGGCTTTGGACCAATTCAGAAAACCAAGAGGCAAACTCAGCTTATGACTTTCTTAAAGGTAAGAGTTCCTTTTTAAAAGGTATTCTCATTTTTGGGTGAATATAAAGAGGGTTTATGTGTATGTTGTCAAGGAGTCAAAGACTATAAAAGATTCCAAACCATCTAAGCACATATGGCCATGCACGGACACACGCACAGCAGAAATGCAAGCCCTTCCCAAAACTAGGTATCCCTGCTTATTGAACTGCTCATAGAACCAACTCATGACCTTTTCCCAATTTCTCCTTTCCCCTTGAGAGGCTCTTTCTAGAAAACTCCTGCCCATCTCAAGCAGGACAGAGCTGAGCACCCGCCATATACATAAGTGCATAAGAATCAGCACTTGTCTGCATACCAGGGCCAGGAAAGGACCCACTTAGCTCAAATTAGTTGTGGAAGGCCAGACATCTTTAAAGAATTGGAAAAGACAATGTTAAAAAAAAAAAAAAAAAAAGAGAGAGAGAGAGAAACAAATTAACCTCCCCAAATGAAAAAAATTGGTGCACTTTCTTATCTAATTGTATGAAAAGAGGAGGACAGTGTGAATATGACCAGAAGGATATATGGAGATACTATTTCAGAATTCTGACCAAAAAGAATTAACTATGACCAGAAGGATATATGGAGATACTATTTCAGCATTCTGACCAAAAAAAATTAACAGTCATTCTTTTATATTAAGAGGAAATTGGAGAGGATTGCAAGGGAATACACAAAAATACCAAGAGCTCTTTACTTAAAAGGAATTAAAAAAATTAATTAGAAGAAAATAAAGTGGTGATGTGGGTGAGCACAGAAAATTATTTAGGGAAGGGAAAAGTCAAAAGTATGAGCAAAAAGGTAACCAGAACTCACAGAGCTATTTTGAGAGTGAAAACCAAGTGAAAAATGTCAAGTATAAGATTATTCTTATTTGACATTTTTATACAGCAGCAACTTATAAAAACATCAAACACTGACATAATCCTTCCTCTAGCATTTTAACACATCATTATATCGTTAACAACGTCAAATGGCTGTAGCTATTCATGTGACTTTTTAATAGATTACTTTTATCATAAAAACGTCATTTTTAGGATAATCTGCATTCTCACATTTTTATGCTCAGCTATGGTCTTAAAATGTCAAGTATGAGAGATATCTGTGTCTGCAATTCTTGAAGTTGTCCTCGAGATCTTGAGAGTATCAGTATAAAACAAGCCTCAATCTGAGGCGGCTGCTGTACTCAAATTATTTTTTTTCTACAGTTTTTCTCCTTTTAAAAATAATTACAAGGTGCAAGGATCTGGTAAAGATGAGATTGTAGGTTAAAACCAGAATAGGCTGGAAATTAAGCCTGCTTTGACCCACATGAAAAGCATCTTATAACATGTCCAATCATCCAGGGTTACATTCCCATAAGCGTGATTATATATACGCAGCGTTTGACCCTCTTGCTCCGTTAGCAATGACGGTAATGTATCATTTCACTTCCAGGGGCTGACATGTGCCAAATGTCCAACCAAGTTTCTCTGACCATTCTTCTTAAATGTGAGGAAAACAAAGCAATTAAATAACGTATCAAAGATTAGGCAGCAAGTCGGCCGCAGAAGTGAGATTAGAACTCAACTGAGTCAATAGTCTAGTGCAAAGATTGGTAAAGGTTTTCAGGAAAGGGTGAACAGTCAGTTTTTTAGACTTTGCAGGCCAAACACACTCTATCACAACTACTCAACTCTGATGCTGCAGCACAAAAGACAGCAGGGACTGTACATAAACAAATGGGTGTGACTGTGTTCCAATAAAACTTTATTGACAAAAACAAGCAGTGAGCTGGATTTGGCCCATGGGCCGTAGTTTGCTGACCTCTGATCTCTTGGAGATCTATATACTCTTGGAGATCTATATATAGATATTCTTGACAGAGTATATACTCTGTCAAGATTGCAGCTCAATCCTAAGCAAACAGTAATTTCATTTAGATTCAATAACAGTATCTAACATTACTGAGATCTTATCAAATGCCAAGCACCATGCTAGGTAATTTATACAAATTATCTCATTTTCTCCTATTTCACTACTGTTACTATTCTTACTTTGCAGATGAGAAAATTCAAGTTCAGAGAGGTTATGTGAATTTCAGAAGGTCACTCAGCTTAAGTAATACAGACAGAATTTGAAACTGGGCATCTGGATCAAAGCCCAGGTTCTTAACCACCCACTGCCTGCTGTTCAATGCATGTAACTTATAGGTGTGAAGAAAACACGAAGCCATAGAAAACATGAGCATTTTCCCAAAAAGGGATCGTGGTGTGAAGCGACCTGTCCTCTTTAAACGGACAGAGCTAGACAGGAAACACTCTTACTGTCTAGGCATCTTGAGTCGGCCCCATCCTGATCTCCCTAATGCTGACTGTGCTACGTTAAGCCCATAAACACCACACTGGAAAACAAGAGCCTCCACAAGTTGAATTCTGCAGCCAGCTGATGCCCAGGTCAGTAGATGCTCTCAGCTGCCACTAGAAAGAGGCTGTTGACTAGGGCAGCAAGAAGAAACACAGTAATGAGTTTAAATAACAAACAAAACTGGGGAAGAACCTACCCCAGTACAGATACCTACAGAAGGGTTTGCATGCTAGATCTCTCATTTCATCCTCCACCACTCCATAGCCCCATGGAGATGAATGAAAGACTCTCCACATAACTGACAACCAGCATATGAGGTTTCCAGCACCTATTCGTCTAGCACATTCCTAACTCACAACACCCTCTGAAGCAGGCAAGTGTTATTTTATCTTTGTATTACAGATGGAATAAGAGGGGTCATTACGATTGAGTGAATTGCTTAAGGCCACATAAGAAAAGACTCAATCCTAGCCTTCTAAGTCAGTTTCGGGCCTCTTTCCACTCAGACTGCCTTCTCACCTTCCAAAGGGTCCCACAGTGATAATTCGGAAAGGCAAGCCACATCAAAAATCGAACGGCATTATACAAACATCGATATTTGTTCTTGTTCTTCAACTGAAAACACTGAAAAGACACGCGGAGTAATCCAAATCTTAGGTGATTCCCTCATCATAGTGAATTTCAGGCAGACTATCTATCATAATGAATAAAGGAGGGGGGATCTCTAGTTAAACTGAGTCCCAGAGGCCCAGAAAGTACAAGATCTGCTCTCAACCCTTTTCACCCAAAAATACTCCTGGGATCAGGGTGACCTTAGTTGCCTTGGTCATGTCAGGTCCAAGCCAATGTTTCAGTTGGAGGTCATAGGAGGAGGAGGGGGGCACCTCTATTCAGCCTCCCTGCACCTTTCCCATCATCACAAAAATTTACTCTTTGCCTACCTTCCCCAGCAACTCACTTCACTCCCAGACCCAAGGCGAAGAACACAAAACATCAAATCAAGATCTACTTTTTGTCAACTAGATTATTTGACTATTCCTTCAAACAGTGAGACAAGCTTCTAGTCTAAGCAAAGTTAGTGGGAGCTGCATATAAACAGCTGAGGACAAAGCTTGTCCCTATTTATACAAGATAAAAACTGTTTATCATTTCTCCTTAAAGCAGATGTGGGTGCTGTTTACGTGCACACAGAGGCATTGCTTTTTCAAGTTTCCTTATTGAAGAAGAAAATGCCTAATTTACATGTACAGCCCACAAATTATAGCCTTGCCAGACAAGGAAGCAGATGAAGATTGTGATTGATATTCCAAAATTTCCATCCTGATTCCCCCATCCTCCGAATTAGCCACTCTATAAATCAAACCGACATATGAACATCTGATGTCAAAACCAATAGGTCACATCTGCAAAAAGCATCAGAAACAAAGAACTAGATTCTGTTAGTCCAAAAACTACTTCTACTATCCCCACCACCACTTCCAACATTACCTTAAAATATCCTGTCTGTTCTCAGGAAATATAGTTTTTCATATGCATGTGGGTATAAATGATGGCCATTTTTTTTTCCTTCCTTGCTATGCAGAAAACTGGGATTGGCACTATTTTCCAGGGTAAACCTGAATGAAACCTCAGCTGTTTCTAGGTAAACAACTACTAGTGAAACACACATGTATATTGTTGACCAGTAACCTAACAGAGATGAAAATCCTCATCTATTATTTGGTAACAAACATTGCCTATTTCCCATTAGACTATGGATTCAATCTCTGAGGTCTATGAACTTTGACCCCTACTAACTGTGGAAATTCCTCATTTTTCAAGAGCATTTCTGCTGACCTGGGAACTAAAGTATTTTAAAGTTAAAGGCACAGACTACAAATACAGGAGCATCCCCTTAGGAAATTCACTTAGTGATTCTGAGCATCAGGTCTTCTCTCTCCAGAGGCTCTAAGCATGGAAAGCTGGGCTGTTCCTCCTGTGTAAGCACAAATTGTTGACCTGCCATCCTCAGAACATGTGTTCTGAGCTCTTTTCCAGTAGTGGTGATGGGTTTATAATAGTAAAACTTTTAAATTTCAGGCCTCTTTCCACTCAGACTGCCTTCTCACCTTCCAAAGTGTCCCACAGTGATAATTCAGAAAGGTAAACCACCTCAAAAGTCGAACGGCATTATACAAATATACTCACAGACCATCACAACCAAATTTCTCATTTACAGCTATGGAATCTGAGCTATGAAGAAGGTGACTTCAAGGTCATCTACCTTGTAGCCAAGCCACCCAGGTATCCTGATGTCCAAGTTCCATTCTTCCTCTCCTCTTTCTCCATTTTCAGCTGAGTTATCTGCACACTCACAAAGCCTGCTTGATGACCTTGGCACACACTTGCCAAATGGCTGGTAAGGATGAAAACAGCTCTGGTCTTTCTAAAGCTAACTAGCCCCCGAAGCATCATGAGGTGGTCCGTGCCTCACTCCTACTGCCTGAGCCAAATGACTATAGCAAGTTGCACATACTATGAACCCAGTAAATAATCATTCAGTAAATAAAATAAGCTAGTCAGCCCGGACCATAGAGCCAGATGGCTTATTTTGTGGTTATAATGAGGCGAACGTATTAGTCTGTTCTCTTGCTGCTAATAAAGACATACCCAAGTCTGGGTAATTTATAAAGGAAGAAGGTTTAATGGACTCACAGTTCTACATGGCTGGGGAGGCCTCGCAATTATGATGGAAGGCAAAGGAGAAGTAAAGGCATGTCTTACATGGCAGCAGGCACAACAGCATGTGCAGGGGAACTGCCCTTTTATAAAACCATCAGATCTCATGAGACTTATTCACTATCACAACAACAGCACAGGAAATCCCGCCCCCATGATTCAATTACCTCCCACTGGGTCCCTCCCATGACACGTGGGGATTATAGGAGCTACAGTTCAAGATGGGATTTGGATGGGGACACAGCCTAACCATATCAGCCAAAACATTGTATTATGGCACATTGTAGAAATGAATACACCTTTCCCCACATTGGGTTGGCTCTGTAGGAGCCATCACCAACTTCAGGGCCACAGAGGTCCTTGCTTTTTCATTTTATGGCTAAAGTTTCACCTATTATGGGAGAATTTAATGAAGTGCCTGTTGATCTGGGATTTGGAATCAGAGAATGACTAAACACATTAGAGAATTTTCAAGATCATGCTCTTATATGTTTAAAATTCACTGACTCAGCTGATGGAATTCACCATATTGACCCTGACCTCAAGTCCAACTGTCTTTCCACCAATGCAGGCTGCCTCCTATACACTGGAAGGCTTTTTTGCCCATGAGATTCAATCTCTGCAACATGGAAGCAGTGTCTAGAGTTCAATGTTCTACATAGAGCCCTTCAAACATCTACTGGCTAATTAAGGCTGGAAAGTCAGTCACTTTACTCAGCCCCCCACCACTGGCAGGATAAGACTCCAAGATTTCACTCTCTTATGATGTGTGGGTCAGCTAAAGCAAACTGAAGACTTCTTCCATCTGATTCGGACATGGCATCTGATTCAGCACCCCCTGAGAGACAAGCTTTGGTTTCTGCCTGCAGGTGGGCTGAAATGCAACTGCCTCCTTTTCTCCTTTCTTATACTTTCCTAAGACTCTGCAAATGGCACCCACAATGTGGGCAGTGAGAACATCCAGTCAATAATCACCAGGCTCATGATCATAAGTATGTCAGTCAGACCAGATGTTCTCTCCATAACCTCCTCCCCTAACCCCCCTCTTCACAAATATCTACAGGATAGATCGAGCTTTCTGCTCAAGGGGAATGGGGATGCTTTTCTTCTTGGCTAACAGCTGAGAAAACAAGAACTGTTTGTGTGGGAGTGTCCAGAAGACATGGAAGGGAAGACATCCTCCATACCTTCTTCTCTTTATCCTGGGCAAGGGTCAGTCTGTGAACAGGGTCAAGCCCAATCCAGGGAACTATAGACCTTCCCATCCCCTCCAACACAGCCTCCCCAGCTAGAGTTGGTATGTGTACATCCCTACCACCTTTGAAGGTATGAAGGGATTTACCTGTGTGCACATTGCATGTCCAAGAAAACCCCTGCTCTGCCAGCTTCTCAAATGCTGCACCTTCTTCGATAGTCTCACTGATTTACCAGAGCCTTCTGCTTATTGACTCTACATGACTTCAGTCCTTTATCTGAAAGACCCATCTTTTTTAATATGTATATTTCATGTTGACCTGCAAGTGTTGTCCAGCCAGATTATCCCAATCAACCTAGTGATGGGTGGAGTAACATTTTGCATCTAAATTGTTCTCATAATCCATTGGTTTGCTAACTGGCTTAAATTTTTTTTAAGTAGAGAAAAAACTCCTAAAGAAATAAGGTCAAGTAGGAAGGAACATTCTCGTGTTTGAGAAAAAAATTGGCAGTGTGGAGTCAGCAACCTGGGCTGCAGTGCCAACTCTATTAGGTAGTAATTAATAACAACAGCCAAGCAGAATGAGGGTGATGACAGGTGGCTGCATTTATTGCATATTACTTACATGCCAGGCTACATTCTTAGTGCTTTACACACAATCTCCTTTAATCATAGTTTTCAATGTAAGCAAATTGGTCTGATGCCTTTCTCTTTCTAAGGCTTTGAGCCTCAGGTCTGTCATGCTGAAGTAATAGTCACATCACAAGGTGGTTGTGAAAATTAAGTGAGGTAGTACAGACAAATGCAATTATTAAATGCTAAAGTGCCTTAAAATATGCCTTATTATTATCTTTGTTATTAGGAAAGTTCCATTTCTTCCAGGAACACTCAAATGTAAAGTCCCCAAGCCACCACTGAGTTCTGACCGAGTGTAGAGATCTTTGGGTTAAATGTCTCCTGACAGTGGGCCATGTACCCTCAAACATAAACCAAGGAGGCCAAGTACCATATTTTAAAAACCAGCTTTCACAACATTTGACAGAAGCTTCTGAACTGATCATTATAACATCAAGATTGGAAAAGTCAGTCTTCCAATGATGAAGCTAAAAGAATCTGCCTTGGTTTTGGCCCCCAGTAGATGTTTCCATGACAGCAGAAGGAGATGCCAGCATCCAAGTAGGCTTTGCTCTCTGGAAACTTTCCCAGACTGACCATGCCCTGGAAACCTGCTCCCTCCCACAGGCCCTCTCCAGCAGGGAAGGGCATCTTAAAGAGGCTTCAGGCCTGAGTGCTTCTCTCTGGGCTGCTTGCTCCAGAATAGAGTGTCCTGGTACGAATATACACCTTGTTTTTAAAAATGTTTTCAATGGATTTTTTTCCTGCTAGTTATGATTTTAAGTGTTTCCCCAGGGTTTATTTTTAAAAATAATCCCCTGTCCCTTCAAGAGCTGAATTGAAAACGTTCACATTTTCCCTTGTTCCTCCCAGCACTGAGTTCCTGAAAAAGTGCCAAACTGAATGGTGCAGTCCTGCCGAAAGAGACCCTGCGCTGTGCTGTGTTCTCAAAGGAAGGAATGTGTTTCACATCTCTACACCTCTGCAACTTGGGACAGTGTAGCTTTCCTATGTAAGTTGCCTGTTTAGGTAGAATGATTCACTTGAAGACATCAAGCCATATGTTCTACTCTGTTGGATTTTCAAGAGGCCTCATGACCACCGCGTTAAAGCACTGAACACCATCAACTGTGGTGGAGAAAAAAGTGCTGGTCCCCCTGACCAATAAAGAAAATACCACACAGAAGTATGATATTTTGCCACCATGATACTGATAGGGAGGAGGAAGACCTTAGAGGTATATTGTTTTTAAGGGGAGGGGGCTCTGGGTTTGAATCCTAGTTTCACTCCTTATTAGCTGTGTGACCTTGGGCCAGCTATTTAACTAACCTCTCTGAGCCTGAGTTTTCTAACCTGTAAAATGGAAATAATGACAGTACCTACTTCATCACATGGTCATTAAGAATAAAATAATGAATGTAAAACTTATTTAGGACTTGCAATAAATATTAGTGTTCCTGCTATACTCACTGTATTAGGTTCCCGTGGCTGTATTAGATTATCATAGACTAGGTGCCTTAAAGCAACAGAAACTTAGTCTCTCACAGTTCTGAAGGCCAGAAGTTCAAAATCAAGATGGTGTCAAGATTGGCTCTTTCTGGAGGTCCTGAGGGACTGCCCCCAGGCCCCACAGTTGTAAGATCACCTCCAGCTCTCTATAAGTCCATGGGGGAGGCCAACATGTTTCACACCTTACTCTATGCCCCTGGTTAATTCTAAAGGCAACACTGATTTGGCCATAACGGGGTTCAGAATGCACTACCCCAAAATATGGCACTTTGACATTTGAGAAGCAGGAAGAACTCTCTGACCTCCTCCTGCCCTTCTCCCATGAAGCAGGCCATAAAACCTAGCAAAGAGTCTTCTGACCATCTCCTGAAGTAGGTCACAGACCCTCAGGTGAGAGGTACCTGTTAAAAGGAAAACTTTAGCTGAATTAAATTTAAAAGAGTTTAATTGAGGAGGGGCACAGTAGCTCACGCCTATAATCCCAGCACTTTGGAAGGCCGACGCAGGTGGATCGCTTGAGCCCAGGAGTTCAGACAAGCCTGAGAAATATAGGGAGACTTTGTCTCTTAAAAAAAAAAAAAAAAAAAAAAAAAAAAGAGTTTAATTGAGCAAAGAACCAGGCAGCCTCCTGAGCCAGAGTAGGCTCAGATACTCCAGTTCAGCCATGTGGTGGAAGAAGATGATTTATGGACAGAAAAAGGAACATGACAAAGAGAAAATGGAAGTGAGGTACAGAAACAGCTGGATCGGTTGCAGTTTGTTGTTTGTCTTATTTGAACAGGGTTTGAACAGTTGGCCACTTTTGATCCACCAAAACTCGGTGATTGGCACAAGAGTAGGCTACAGTCTGTATACAACTCCATTTAGGTTATAGTTCACGATGTATAGAGAAGGCTTTAGGCCGAACTTAAAATATGTAAGGAGGCAGCTTTAGGCTAAACTTGATTTAACATACCCATCTTATACAGAGAGGAAAGGAACATTCTTATGTCTGAAGACACAGAGACAGAAGAATCTAAACTGGCCTCAATTCCTCCCTGCCACCCCAGTTTATTACCATTAGATCATGCTCCTTTTGCCTAATCCTACTTCTCCACAACTAACCACTTTTTCATCAAACAGCATAGAAATACACAGGTTTCCCTATTTCTTTGGGTCTTCA
Source organism: Homo sapiens (assembly GCF_000001405.40). Lineage (NCBI taxonomy): Eukaryota > Metazoa > Chordata > Mammalia > Primates > Hominidae > Homo > Homo sapiens. The sequence continues at coordinate 25,287,013 of NC_000007.14, read as the reverse complement.
TTTCTGAAGGCTTTTGTGTCACATAAAACTTGTATTAGATAAATGTGTATGCTTTTCTCTTGTTACTGTGTCTTTTGTTACAAGTGAGAAAAATAAACATTTTTCATCCTCTACAGTTTCTGGCACCCAAAAAGGGACAGCTGATACACCCCACTCACTCCAGACTCTGCAGATGAGATCTGGGACAACTGACAAAAAGCTGGAGACAGGTAAGAATTCTTGCCAAGGTCAGCTCTCCTGGATCTTTATCAGTAGCACCCCGTGGAGAGAAGAAGGTTAAAAACTTTTTCTTTTCCCCTACTTCCCAAATTCTGATTATCAAGAGAAAATCATTTGTTTGAATTGTGACTCCTATGTAAATGTGATTTGGGGTACCCATTCATTATTGATCCTTTCCCTCCCAGGGACAGCTATAACTTTCCTATTTGTCTTGTGTCCTGAGAACTTAGCTTGACTTTCTACCTGTCAGGGCATGCAAATTGTTGGCATTGTAGTCCATAAAATTAAGCTGTAAATAGCTAAAGTTAGACCAGCCAGGATGCCAATCAACTTTTGTTTTGCTTTGCTTTTCTGCATTTTGGGGTACATGGAGAAAGTCTGGAAGATGCTGCCCTGCCTACATAAGGACATGACGACCTTGTAACCTCACTTGAATCTTTGGTCATACAATCTCTCGTATTCTGAAGATTCACCTGGTACACCAATTGTTTGAAACTCAAATACTCTGTTCTCTTGAATCGATGTTAACCATGAGTAAGTTACTAGGCTACAGGCCCTACAAAACCATAACAACAAAAAAGAAATCAATATTAATACATAATTATAGAAGGAAAACTTAAATTAAATTAGAAAGTTAATTCTTTTATTAATTTGCCTGGAATTTTAGCTTGAGGAAAAATGGACTTAATGAAAGGAAAAGGAGGTGGAAGGGAGCTTTGGGTAAAGCAGATGAGGACTTCTGGGTATTTTCAAGGGCTTTAAAGGTCAGTTTTATTCCATTCCATTTTGAATTTATAGATTTTTTTTTCCAAATGAAGAAATATTTTATAACTCTTTACATTTTTTAAAACTGCTTTCAACATGAAGTTTCATTTGTGAGAGCAACAAAATGAGTGGAGATTTTATCAGGCAACCACACTAGATGAATTCCAGCAACTCATAAATTGGCAATTGGGAAGAGATTACTGCTGCCCTAGCTCAAAACCTCACTACCCAGAGTTGGTCAGGGGCATCAGCATCACCTAGGAGCTGGTTAACAATGCAGAATTGCAGCTCCTGGTCCTAGGGAATTGGAATCTGCATTTAACAAGATCCCAAAGGGGTTCACAGGCAGTTTGAGAAGCAATGCTTCTGCCACTGAACAAGCGTAACTTTATGAAATAAAATGGCTAACCAAGGGAAAGTGCTCATAAAGAATATACACTTGATTTTCATTTCCAACAACATGGCAAATTGAGCTAAGAAGATCCTCTTGACAAAGATACTAGAGGTGTAGATAAACTATTAAGTGTTTTCTAAAAGCCAAACTCAAAAGACAAAGGGAAATTTCCAGATACCCCCCAAAACACAATGAAATTCATAGCATGAACTAATGCAGCAGAATCCCAGGGGGTATCAGACATGGTGAGAGGCTCTAACAGCAAGGAACTAGAATCATGAAATCCCCCTGAAAAATCAGAGATGAGGCCTTGAACCCAAGTGTGAGCTAGAACTCACACACTGCCTGCTTTGTGTAAGGGGAACAGGAGAACTTCCCAAGAGGGCCCAGGGTAGAAGCAAAGAAGCTTCAGGTCTGGTGGGCTCCAAAGCCCTAGCATGTGCCACATGCAGATATGGACTCCAAATAAATATCATCCACATGGTGTTGGGATCTTAAACTCATAAAATACTGCAAAAATTCATCCTAGACAAATGAAACCCTTGGGATACTCAGCCATGGCAAATATAAAACCTATAAAGATATTTCCACAGAACTGAACATACATGATTCATACAAATCAAAAATAATTCCAGTTGAAAATAAGCCCACACACAAAAATTAAAGCCACATAAAAAAGGGATTCATTATAAGGAGACATTATCAGGTACTACAATCAGTGGATTAGCATGCCCCAGAACATGAGATAACAGAACAATTCAAAAGGGACTATTGTTTGAGTTTAGCTTCAGAGCAATTTACTAGCAGACAATTTATAGATTTTTTTAAAAAGTGAGGCTAACGGATAGCTTACAGATGAGGAAATTGAAGCTGAGAGAGACAGAGTGCTAATAAGGATTGAGAACTTATAATAAATTTAGTCCCAGTGCCTTTTCTACCACATCACATTATCTGTTTGTTTGTTTGTTTGTTTGTTTGTTTGTTTGTTTGTTTCTGTCTTGTTTCATTTTTTATTTTTATTTTTTGTAGATACAGGATCTCACTATGTTGCCCAGGCTGGTCTTGAACTCCCGACCTCAAGCCATCCTTCCTCCTGGGCATCCCAAAGTGCTGGAATTACAAGTGTGAGCCACCATGCCGTGACACATTATTTGTTTCTAATAAGTGTGTAACTCATACCTACTAGTTGAATCAATTCTTTGACTTGTGGAAAACAAAAGAGAGAAGTGATTCTTAGATGTAGAAAGGAGAATTCACATCCAGTTTATTTGGTCTCCATCAGTCCTATTTCATATACACAGAAAGCAAACAAATTAGTAGGAATCTTTGTGTGCCCAAGAATTTTTGTTGAGAGAAAAAGGAGGTGACAACAATTTTGAGGCAGTTGAACAAAATGGGAGGTAATAGGTAATTAGACATCTGAATGTCCAGGATGTTCAAATGACAAGGATTTATACTTAGGAGTTGCTTTTATTTTTCCAAAGCAGGATGTCAGGTAATCGCTATACCCTGAGCTGAGCTGAGCTGAGCTTTTGCCTTTACTTCCAGAGCATTGGCATGGTGTCTCTGAAAACCTACTGCAAGCAGCAGCTCTAACCCACAAACCCTCATACAGGGTGCTAAGGAACTGTTGTATAGCTCAGGCATTGCTGCAAAGCTGTAATTTCTCATTTCTTACCCCTTCGCTAAATTATAATTTAAATTCCATCATTCAAAACTGCCTGATCTTGGGCCAGATGCATATATCACAAAAAGGCATTAAAATCTGACTTTTTATATCCCCAATAAGAAATGTCATGAGTCCATCACAGAATCATAACTCCCTCTCGAATTAGAGCTAAGAAAGATTTGAACTTCAAAGGGGAACTCTTCAATTACAGGCAAATCTGAGGGCTTTTCTGGTAACCTCTTAAAATTCTGAATTCAAAAAAAAAAGAAGATGACTTGTATTTCAGAGCAAAAGCAACCATGAGTAAATAGCAGTCTGTCAAAGGATGCTACATGTGAAAGTGAGAGAGGAGCTCATTGGTTCATTTCTTTGAAGGCAGTCCCAGGATAACTGGCAACTCAAAACTCAGTAACATTTCAGCGGAGGCCCTAAAACCCAAAACAATTACCCACTGGCTCTTCTGCTGGCTAAGATTTACATCTAGTGGGTTCATCAGGACAGATACCACAGAGGCTCTGCAAAGAGTACTATGGAGCTTAGTGACTTCAGAGCTTGCTCTTGGAATATTTATCATTTTAGCTCAGTCAATAGCTAGTCCTTTGCCAGTGAGGAGATAAGCAAGCAGTCTTAACAGTCTTGATCCTTTCAAAAGATTTTTGTTCCACAGAACACTGGGGAGCAACCATCTTCCCTCCAATGCCCATCCAAGCCTGGGAGAGCGAACAGGAGATATTTTAGACCTTTATAAAAATGATTCACTTATATAAGAAAGAAAAATCTTAACTAAATAGGAAGAGATCAGGATAGAAAACATCCAGAGAGAGAGGTTTAAGAGCAGTGCCAGTTTGTTTTGGCATGATGGACAACAAGGCGGCTTGTTCTAATTGCGACTTGTGGGGCAGTTCTAGTTGAGGAAGGTAGACGGAGGCACTTCCACCTACAGCCACATAAAAGCAGAACTGGCGTCCAAGGGAAAACTGTGACAGAGCAGGATGGGTTTCTCACAATCCATTTTTGTCTTCATTCATTTAATAAATAAAACTCCAACTCTGTATAGATTCACCTCTGACATATGTAAAATAATATTTGAGCTGGGCTTTAAAGCATAGGTAAGATTTGGACCTACAGACAGACTATTGGAAAGTACAGTATTTTTCTCTGCATGACAAACAAGAAGCCAACTAAATCATTGGGTAGAGTATTTGTCAACCTTCGCTGCATCTATGAAACCCCTGGGGAGAATTTTTAAAAACCAATGCTTGGGCCTCACCCTCAGCTATTTTGATCTAATTAATCTGGGATGAGACCCAGGCATGAGTAGTTTCATTTTTTTGAGGGCTGCCCAGGTGATTCTAACGTGCAGCCAGCACTGAGCATCTTGAGCTAGAACACAGCAAACATGGAACCAGTATTTACCTTTGGAAGTAAGTATGTTCCTACTAAAACTTGATAAGAATCCAACTGCCAGTGTGTCATGGCTCACGAATTGACACAATTTCCTTATAGATAAGAGTAGGGGGAAAGACAATAATAAAACACTGACTTCAACATAGCCAAAGTCCTCCGGGAATTCCATGTGTCAGAAGAGGCAATAACACAGGAACTTTATGGGCACCATTTGATGCTCTGGTGGACTCGCTGCCAGAACAGCTCCTAGCGAGAGGAGCTGAGGGAGAAACTGGCCACGTGGAGTCGTAGTGGGCAAATTCAGGGTGTGCACACGCTGCTTTGAAACCAGAGTCAGGAGCACCTGATGGTCTCACCATTGCGGTGGCCTCTGTGAGAATTTAACAATGAAAACATGGGATTTTCTCAGTGAGAAGGAATCTTTCAAAGTTTGAACTTTAAGAGGTTTTAATATCCCAATCTTAGATGAGCCGAGTGCTTGCACTGGGCAACAACAGGGAGTGTTAAGTGTGAGGCTTGGGACTATGTCTGCAGTGGATTCACATTGCTTTCAAGTGGTCTCCTACTATAAATAGGGTAACTTGTGTTCCAGTTATCTATTGCTACATAACCTTCCACCCCAAACATCCAGTGGCTTAATGTGTTGTTCTCTCTGAGTTCTGTGAGTTGCCTGGCTCAGCTGGCTAGTTCTCCCTTGGTTCTGTTACACAGCTGTGGTCAGATAGTAGCTAGAGTCTTCTGAAGCCTCAACTGGACTGGACGGACATCCAAGATGAAGCACTCACATGGTTGGTTAGCCATTAGCTGGCAACTCAGTGAGGACTGTCCACTGTAGTGACCATGTGAAGCCTCTTTATGTGGCTCAGTTCTAAGAGACAGGAAGTAGAAGCTTCCAGTCTCTAAAATCCTAGGCTCAGAAACTGGCAAATACTGCTTCCACCATATTCTATTGGTCAAAGCAGTCACAGAGCCTGCCCATATTTACAAAGAAGAGATGAGACATAGACCCCATGTCTCAAGGGTGAAATGTCAAAAAATGTATAGCAGTCTTTAATTCTCCACAACTTGTGAATAGATTAGCCCTTCTTATTCTCAACACTGTATATTTGAGCTTTAAAAAGTTATTTTTACATGGTTCTCTGATAGCAACTCCCGCAGCAAATATAAAAGGGCAATAACTATACTATTCTTCATTGCAGATGCGTTGCCTGTAAGTTTGAGTTGTTTTTTCCAGCAGTCAGGATGAGTTGGCATCAAGCATTTCTTCTCTCTGTTCAGTCCCCTTTTTGGCCAAAAGCAAAAGTCTGCAAAGACAGGTGACCCGGGTGAAAAACAGTCAGTGGACCAGGGCACAGGTCAGAGCCACACGCAAGGGCCAAACCCATAGCTTGGGCCTTATAGCCACTCTGGAATTTTTCCACAAATTGTGACTGTTGGAATTCTGCCAACGTCAGCCCCACAGTCCATAATGATCCAGTGCCCAACAGTTTCTGCATCGCTAAATGTTTGTGGGGCTCAGAAATCAATATTTAATCACACTTAGCCAGAGCCCAATATTCTGTGAACTCAGCAGTGTATGTTTTTGGTTGCTGGGTATATAAAAGCTAACATGAGAAGCAGAACATTCGTTGGAATGAACTGCATTAAAAATATTACCACTGTGGTACAAATCACTGTTAATGACATTGATCAAGTGCTCATTTTGCAAGGGTCCCACCCTACCAAGAGTTTCAAGATGGTAGAAAGGAAATGGAAGACAGTTTTTTTTTTAACCTCAGAAGATAATGTTTCTCCTTTTCCCCACCCCCCGCCTCAGCTCTTCACTAGGAACATAACAGCTGGATTACTTTCCAAAATCTTTGTCAGCTTTAAAATCCTGTTCAGAGTAATGGGAATATCAGCTACACTTGATTTCCTGGTAGGCAATTGCTAGTTCAGCGAGGAGCGTATTGAGAGACCAAAAAGGCTTTCTCAACCATCAAACCTTCTAAACTATTTGAAAATCACAAAGATCTGAGAATCCTGATGTTACAGTCCAGTCCAGGGCTGGTTGGCACGGGTGTTTCAGGCAACATGCTAATGAGGTAAGTCCAGTCTTCAAGTGCCTTAACCCAAAATTCACATAGCAGGTCCTATAGTTAAAACATAAATGATGGGAGTTTACGTGAGGAAGTGAGAGTAATTAGCACAAGGGCTCCACTGTGCTTAGCAAACCCACCCAAAATTCACACTGCACAACTGCAGATATTGACGTGGAGATCAGTGGAAACACACACACTCACAACTTTGGAAGTTATATTCTGCAACTTTGCCTTGTTTCTCCACATAAATTCATCCTGAGAAAGAGAAAAGTAGGACTCTGACATCCCAGGAGATAAACTAGTATGATTGGGTAGGGCTTGGCCTTCTCCTGTTGACCATAAACAATTTCACAAGAAATCAACATCAGACAAGATCACTCCATGGCCATATTAGACCAAGAAGAAACAGGACCACTCGGTAACTACATCTGAACAAAACCAAACCACAAAATACCAAAAATCCCTCTCTCCCTGCTTACGTGAGTGACTCCTGCTTTGTTCCCAGTTACAGCTTTAGCTTTGCTGCTCTCCCTCAAGATTTACTGATAAACGTCCAATTCAGAGTGAACTTCCAATCCTTGGATCCTCCCCAAGTTACCCAACTAAAGCCCAGATCCTACAAATCCTTTCCAGCATTCTCTTACTGAAACTTTCCAGGCTCCCCATGGAGAGATGAGTAATAAACGCAACTTTTTCAAGCACAGGTATGGTCCTTCACCAGAGGGCATTGACAGGAAATATAGACTTGGAGTGAAGGTTGGAAAAGTAGGACCATGGATGTCTTGCCTTTGGCAGAATAGGGCACTAATAGTAGTGTAGCATAGCTGGTGTTTTAGTCAGGGTTCCCCAGAAAAATAGAACCTATAGGATACATAGTGAAATATCAAAGGGGGCTTATTAGGGGAATTGGCTCACTTGATTATGGAGGCTGAGAAAACCCATGATAGGCCATATGCAAGCTGGAGAACCAAGAGAGCCAGTAGCATGGCTCAGTTCAGGTCTGAAAGCCTCAGAACCAGGGAAGCTGGTGGTGTAAGTTTCAGTCCAAGGCTGAAGGCCTTTTGATGCAAGTCCCAGAGTCCAAAGACCAGAGAACCTGAAGAGTTTACATCCAAGTGAAGAAGGGCATCCCAGTTCTGGCAGAGAAATAAAATTCACCCTTCCTCTGCCTGCCTTTTTGTTCCATCTGAGCCCTCAGCTGTTTGGATGGTGCCTGCCCACGTTGAGGACATATCTTCCCCACTCAGTCCACCAACTCACACACCAATCTCCTCTAAAATACCTGCACAGGCACACTTGGGGCAGCCCAATCATTCTAATCTAATGCAAAACCACCCTGGTTTCCCTTTCAGCAGAAGTATGGGCTCAGTGCCTACTGAGTATTGGGAATAATTATTGCTTTACCTGCTATCCAAGTATTCCTTAACCCAGCCAAGTAGGCATGCAAAATCAACCACCACAGCTGGAATGGTGGTTATGTAGCCATTTTCTTCCAGGTTGCCATTTTGCAACCGCATAAAAACATCACTACTACCATTGATACAATCTGTATGAGTCTATGTAAATATTGGCTGTGCAGTTGGAATCTGCCTTCACCCCTTAAAAAGTAGATGTTCTCTTCAGTCCAAATTGGATTTCTTCACACATATAATCTGCACACCTTACATGCTATGATGTATCTTTATACTCAAAGACTTCTACATTTTTCATTTTGAATACAAAATAATGACATCCAGACTCTCATTTGAAGATTCCTGGCAGACTAGAGCACCACCTGTTCTTGATGTTTTTTCCCCAATCAATTAAGCATTTAAATTGTTTCTCATCTAAATTGAATTTGCCTTTTTTTTCAAATCCTTTTTCTTTCCCACAGCCATCAGCCATATCTTCGTAAGCAACTGTTTAATATGCTAAAGAAACAAAAGTGTAGTTGTAGGGAGGTGGAAATCAGAGAGGATAGGATAGAATGGTGAAGAAAAACTGTAACCTAGTTCTAGACCTGGAACTCACCTTATATAAGGTGAGCTTGGACAGGACACTTGGCCTCTTTAGACTCTAGTTTCCTCCTCCATAAAATGAGGTGAAGATGAGGTCACTAAACTTTCACAAGGTAAAATTGTCACTGTACTCTTATTGCCCACTTTTACTTCCTCATGTCTCAGAAGAAGAGCAGGAGCCCCATCTTCATTCTAAGACTTTCCCTTCCATTTGAGACCCAAGTTCATCCTCCCTGGCTTCCATCAGGATGTTGTTCTTTCTTTTGAATCTTTAATTCCTTTTTTTTTTTCATTAGCTTCTTCCTTTTTTCTACCAAAAGCCCAGCTTCCAATTCACTGTCAAGAACCGTTAACCACACCTGTGGTCTGTGGTTCACACCTGTAATCTCAGCACTCTTCAAAGCTGAGGTGGGCAGATAACTTGAGGTCAGAAGTTTGAGACCTGCCTGGCCAACATGGCAAAACCCTGTCTCTACTAAAAATACAAAAATTCACCAGGTGTGGTGGTACATGACTGTAATCCCAGCTATTTGGGAGGCTGAGGCATGAGAATCACTTGAACCTAGGAGGCAGATGTTGCAGTGAGCCAAGATTGCACCATTGCATTCCAGCCTGGGCAACAGAGGGAGACTCTGTCAAAAAAAAAAAAAAAAAAAAAAAAAAAAACAACCAATAACAGTTGACTTTCTATGGCTTCTTTCTCCATAATTCAACTAGTAGATTGCCCACTGATTCCACATTCCTTCCTTCACAAATGGATCCCGCAGATCCATTTGAAACCATCCCAGTTTTCAAGTGACTGGGAAAACAGGAATCAGAGATTCTGATGGCTCAGTATAGACTAAAGGAAACATTTTGTGTTCAAAGTCACATGTGTTGGAAATGAATTAACACAGCAGCATTACAAGGTATAGTAATCAATATATAATTGTGTTCAATTATTTGTTTGAAGCAGACCATATTTCTATTTTTCCATTAAATTAATTAGAAGCCTTAATGAAAACGTGTTTGGAACACATAATTTGCATGAATTCAATTTTTAAAACTTAATTGGCATTTAAGCAAGTGTTTTTTTTTCAACCAGCTACCAATTCATTTCTCTTGGTTTATGGTTTTATTTATAGTTGATTTTGTTAAACTAGAAAAATTATGGTAATTTAGCTCTTCCCTAAAAGAAGCTAGGCGGAACTTACAAGGCCTATGCTGGTGAAAGTAACAGAAAATCCGTTTTTTATAATTTTCTTTAAGATAGAAAGTATGGCATTTACCCATACCCATATTTTGGGTGTTATCCAAAATAGCAGGTAAGGAAACTCTAGGTTTGTCTCCTCTGCTCCCACACTAACCAAGCCCTGAACCTACTTTCCTGACAATCCTCAGAACTATGGAATTGGCAATGAACAGCACTGGCCAAAGCTATCGCAGCTTTCAAGTGCTTTTAGTAAATAATCTCATTCTATCCTCATCACCCTGGGGAATCAAAAGGGGCAGGTAAGCAATCTATTTTCTCTTCCCAGTTTCCTAGTATCATATAAAAGATCATCTTCCTCACCTTCATTCATGAATTCCAAAGACATTTATTGTGCATTTGCTGTATGCCAGCAGCTGCTCCAGGTCAGTGGTTCTCAAAGTGTGGTCCCCAGACCAACACCATCAACAACACCTGGGAACTTGTTAGGCACATTTTCAGCCCTTCCCCATATGCCAGACTTTGAGAATGGCTATTCTAGACTTTCAGCTACAAAGGTGAGTACTCAAGCCGTGGCTTCGAAAGATTCTCTGGGTCAGTGGAATAGACAGACAAGTGAATAAATCATTGCAATATAATGAGCTATATCCACAATAAGAACATAGAAGAAAAGCAAAGTGAGACAACCAATAGCATTCAAGAGAAGGCCCACCAACCTAAAGCATGCCTTGTGAAGACCACAAAAAAAGGAGTAGAACAAGCAAAAGCCCTCTAATCAGGTGTGGGGTCTCAGGTAACCATCTACCTCCCTGGGTCCCAGGGTGCTCATCAAGGAAGCAATGACCACATCAAAGGTGCTGAAGCGGAATCTAGTCCAAATAGATGATCTGTGAAGCTCCTTCCATGTTCTGTGACTCTCTGCCCTCATTTCCAAGGAGATTATGGTCAAACCTGAGGTCAAATATCAAGAATACATGAAAGGATAAATGAAGAGGTTGTTGTGGTTCATTTTCTTTGGGGAAATCCTCTGTGTCGATGGAAGATGGGAACCTTTCACTTTGTTCAATACCAGTCCCTTATAACACCAACAGCTTCCTATTGGGTAAAAATGCAGCAACCACCCTCATCTTTCTGACCTTGACTATGAGAAAAGCGGCCTGAAGACCTTTCTGTAGTGCTCATCCATGCGGACTTCTTGATGGGACACTCCGTGCAAACGTAAACACATATTCCTTAGGAACAGCTGCCATCTGGATAGCACTTTTCCATTTGGAAAGTGACTCATCTGTGTTATCTTTTTTATGCTTATCAACAGTCCTGTGACCCAAACATCTCTTTCATTTCTCACTAAGAAAAAAACTCAAAAAAGGAGTGGTGTTATGAGTTCAATTGTGCCACCCCCTCCAAAAAAAATCCTTCATATGAGGAAGTTGTAACCCCCAATGCCTCAGAATGTGACCATATTTGAAAAATGGTCATTGCAGATATAATTAGTTAAGATGAGGTCATATGGAGTAGGGTGAGCTCCTAATTCAATATGGCTGCTGTCCTTATAAAAGGGAAGATTTGAGCACATATGTGCACACAGGCAAAATGCTATGTGACAGATGAAGGCAGGGATGGAGATGATGTTTCTGCAAGCCAAGGAACGCCAAAGATGGCCAGCAAACCACCAGGACTGAGACAAGAAACATAGGTCAGATTCTTCTTCACAGCCCTCAGAACGCATCCTACCCACACCTTCATGTTGGACTTCATTCCTCCAGAAGTGTGAAATGATAAAGTTCTGTGGTTTAAGCCACCAGGTTGTGGTACTTGGTTATGGCAGCCTTCACAAACTAATACAAGCAGATTCACCAAAATCTCTGAGGGGCATTGGGCACAAGTGGCTTTCGTGCTGCCCCATTGGAGAAGACACAAAGAAGAGTCAGTGCCCCCCAACTCTGCTGCAGGCCACACGAAGCTCCCATGTCTCAGGGACTCCCTGTCATTAGCAGTCATGCCCAGGGCCATACTCAAAGGAAACAGCAGAACCGGCTGGCACACTGGCGTGCTTGAGGGACCTGGCAGTACCCCAGAAGGAAGAATACAAGTTGAAGGAAAGAGGGGGCGCTGAGGCTGCTACTTGTCTGGGAAGGAGTGTGACAACCTCGTGCCCCATGGGAGTCCCATGAACACATTTGGGGGTCTTTACTTAGCAGGAGGCACAATTTCCCCATCAATGAAGAGACTAAAAGTCACTGAAACAACCAGTTTAATCTGATCAACATTTTTATTAAGAAAATGACCCATAACTGTGAGTTCTCTGCTGGGATTGCTCTGTTCTTCTTGGGAAAAGCAGTATACTCTCACTTCCTATATCATTAAGAGAAAGTTGTTAACCGGAATCTTTTTGTGTCTGGAGAACACGGCAGTTTGGCAGGATTGCAGAGAGGATGGGAGGAAATGGATTCTGAAAATATTAACAACTTCAGTCAGCTATTTTGACCACCAGTCAAGTACAGCTTATACAACTGTTTCAAGATGAAAAATGGGAAATAAAATGAGAAAGGAAGAAAGAAAAAATAAAACAAAATTATGATGTAAAAATATCGAGTCAGTCACTTGCAATTTTCTATGTATCCTAAATAAAATGTATGCTTCATTGCAAGGTAGGGCATTGTTTAATAATGCAAGATCTTGTTCTTTTTACAGAGTGTTAGAGCAGACCCATAAAAAGGAGTGCAGGGAACATTCAGAGGGAAGCAACAGGCTGGATAATTAAGCTGTCAATACATGTAAAAAAAAAAAATATATATATATGTATGTATGTATGTATGTAAATTCAGGGCCCCCCAAATCAGTTTGTGATCAGAGACTGTCATGGAGCACTTGAGAATATTAGCTTAAGTTCACAGCAGACACACAGGAAATGAAGATTCTGGTGGTTTAAAAGAAGATATAATTTACAAATATTATTAAAAGTATAACATTTCAGGGTGTGTATTAATTATATAGTTTTAAAAGATACTTGAAATTATTTAATTACAATTATATAATACTATAAGAAATAAGTATCATAGAGGTTTTCATAATCCAGTATTGAAAAATTGCTAAAAACTATCAATTCTGGGTGTTAGAAATATTTGTTACTTATATTATTCTTCGCCATCTTCTGTTTTCAAAAACATATCTCTAAAGCATTCTTATAAAGATCTTTTATCCTCATATCTAACAAACATTCTGACTGCAGATCTGACATTTACTAGCATTGTGAGTTGGGGCAAATGTTTTACTCTTTCTGCATTGGTTCTTCATACGCAAAGTGAAGTTCATAATAACGTAAGGTTACTATGAGGATTAGATGTGTTGCATATAAAGAGGTGATGTTAAATAGCAAGGATGCCCCAAATAGTGATTACTCTTATTCCTGAATCTCCTCCCCAATGTATAGTCATTCAGCCCCGCCAGGAACACTTTGAACTGTGATGAGAAAATCTCACCTTCTAGGCCAGTCTGTTATGTTTTTAAATTCTTCATTGTCAGAAAGTCCATTTAATGGTCTTCCTATAACTGTCACCAGTGGTCCTTGGGGTTACAGTGTTCTTCCACTCAACATTATTTTGGCATTAAATTCAGCTAAGAACCTTCCACTCAGCTATACCTTTCCCTATCTCCAAAGCTTCTCTTTTCCAGGTTAAAATGTCTCAATATCTTTATCATCTTAAAAGATATTTAATTTTGAGTTCCTGTACCATGATGGTGAGTTTCCTCCAAGCATACTTCCTCTGCCCTTTATCTCTTTAAATTGCAATACCTGGAGGTCAGAATGAAGCTGAACTTCCCTTTCCATCCCATATCTTTACTCTCAATCATGGATGGGCAAACATTTTTTATAAATGGCCAGATGGTAAATATCTTCAGCTTTACCACCCATACAATCGTTATTAAACTACTCAACTTTGCCATTGTAATGCAAAAGCAGCCATAGACAGTACCCTGATACATGGGCATGACTGTGCTTCAATAAAAGGTTTTTTGGGTTTTTTTTACAAAAACAGTAGGCGGGCTGTATTTGACCAACACGTCATAATTTGCTGAACTCTGTGTTTGATGATATTCTCCCAGTAAAGAAGGAGTCCCAATGGCCTTTTTCAATAGCTTCATCACACTATCATATCTTTTGTCATACTTGCCACTGAACTATGTCTCCAACAATATGGCATCAATTTGAGCGCCCTTCTAGGTGCAAAGAAGGACATAGATAAAAGAATAAGAGTTCGCCAACCTCATCTCTGTAGCAGAGAGGAGCATGTCAGAATACTGCAGAACAGATCCTTACTGCCAGTTTCTGCACAGATACGGCAGCAACCAGTCTGCACATATCCATCCAGATGCCACCATAACTGAGTTTAACACAGACAGAAGTTAATGAAAGTTTTCTACAGATATGCAGGAGATTTGGAGATCACAAATGGAGACCTTTGCCTTCATCTGTTACACATCATCTTGATAGATTCAGCTCACCTCTCCAAACTGTTGGGTCGTTCTTGGATAATCATTTTATTATCTAAATGTGTAGAGTCACATCTGTTCTTCTCTTTTGTTTATAAATTATTTTCTTCATTATTCATAAGATGTTTGCATCATCCAGGTATTTACATGGTACCAATTAATTAGTTGCTAATGAGGCACAAAAAGCCATCCAATTACTTTCAGCAGTAGTTCATAATTCAATCCAATATTTTTTGTTTACTCAGACTCAAGAATGCCCTTAATTAAGATTTGCTGTAATTTCCTACCTTGATGATTCAGCTTCTATAGCGTCACTTCCCTATTATCAGCACGCAAGTGAAAAGAACACTGGAGTGTGAGTCAAAATGCAAATACCAGTCCCATTTCCGTTATTTTTTAATTTGAGAGCTTAAGTAAGCTAATTAAGTTCTCTTCAACTGTATCTCTTCATGCATAAAATAGAGAAAATAATACTTTCCCTTCCTTCCTCACAAGTTTCATTTAATTGTCAAACATGGACATGGATTTGAAGGTTATTTTCTCCGTATATGTAATATGCTTATTATATAGAAAGATACTTACATATACTGTTAGCAGGGAAAGTAGGTCACAGACCAGTACTACCATATAATCTTAATTTTTCTAGAGAGAACCACACAAAAATGTTAATAATGGTCATCTCTCTGTAGTAGAATCATGAGTGAAATTTATCTTGCTGCATTTTGTTTATTTGTAATTTCTGTTTTTGTACAATTAGCAATTACTACTCGCATAAAAATAAAAGGGCAAATTTTAGAACAATTGTTTATTGAATTATAAAATAACACATGTTAATTCATAACATTAGAAAACTACAGAATTGTATAAAAAATCACAGATATTAAAATGCCCTTGCTGGACTGTTAATACAACCCAGAAAAGAGTTGCAGTAAGCCATCTCTAAGGCTGAGTTCTTACATCCCATGGTTCTTGATACTCGGTGAGTTATCCTAAGCAGCTGAATAACTATATGCATCAGTCAACATTTTTAGTAAATTTCCACGGCAATTTAAATAAGGAATTAAAACTGCCATGGCCCATGTAATTACAGTTGAATCATAGAGAGCTATTTGGGTTGGCACTGCTAAAACTTCTGTTGTGATACTCTTAAAATGAACAACAAATAAAAAGGTTGGTTTTTGGAGGACCTACATTTTAAATAATTTGGAACAAGTAAACTTAAATGTATAAAGAATATATTTTTAAAAACCAGAGTAAACAAGACACTAATTCCCTTAAAGAGAAGTAAGTTAAGGGTAAACTTTGAAAAAGTCAGATCTTAAATTCTGTGCTGGAATGTTTTCAAATGGCTTTTAAAGCCTAGCTATTCCATCAGAGTCACAGTCACAAAGTCTAGCTATTCCATCAGAGTTGCTCTAAATCAGCTTCTAAGATTAAATATGGATAAAAACACTAAGGCTAATGCAGAGTAATAGGAGCTTATATACGGTACAAACAAATTTCCTCTACCTCTTGTATTATCACCAAATGGGAAACAGAATGAAATTTGTGATTGACTTTTTTAATACAGGAAGTGCATTTTTCATTCTCCTTAAACCAAAAACTCTTGGATGGAAGAATTACATTGTGATCATAAATGCGGACAGAATCACAGCATTTTTTTTCTTTAATTCTTTTCAGAAGGCTTTCTGCATTAGCTAAAGCTATTAACTAAAAATAAATGCAGAGGGAGAAAATATTTGCAAATTATATATCTGATAACAAACTTGTGTTTAGGTAGGGTGCATTAAAAAAACCCTTACAACTCAATAAGAACACAAATAACTCAATTTTAAAATGAGCAAAGGATCTGAATAGACATTTCTCTAAAGAATATAAACAAATGGCCAGTAAGCACACAAAAATATGTTCAGTATCATTGCCCATCAGGGAAATACAAATTGAAACCACAATAAGACACTACTTTATATCCACTGGATGGCAATAATCAGTAATATGGAGAATATCATGTTGGCAAAGATGTGGAGAAATTAGAACCTGCATACTCTGCTTGTTGGAATGTAAAATGGTAACAGCCACTTTGGAGAACAGTCTGGCAGTGCCTCAAAAGGTTAAACATAGAGTTACTATCTGACCCAGCAATTCCCCTTTTAGGTATTTACCCCAGAAAAAGAAAAACTTATGTCTGCACACAAATATGTTGACGATGATCATAGCAGCATTACTCACAGTAGCCAAAAAGTGTAAACAAGTCCATCAAGTGATGAATGGATAACATGAATAGCCATACAATGAAATATTACTCTGACATTAAAAAGAACAATGTACTGATCTATGCTACAACATGAATAAACCTTGGAAATGTGCTAAGTGAAAGAAGCCAGTCACAAAAGACTACATATTGTATGATCCTATTCACATAAAATGTCCAGGATTCGCACCACTGCACTCCAGCCTTGGAAATAAGAGTGAAACTCTGTCTCAAAAAAAAAAAAAAAAAAAAGTAAAATATCCAGGATAAGAAAATCTATAGAGACAAAAAAATTAGTGATTGCCTAGGGCTGGGAATTTTTTTTTTTTTTTTTTTTTTTTTTTTTTGAGACGGAGTCTCGTTCTGTCGCCCAGGCTGGAATGCAATGGTGCAATCTCGGCTCACTCCAACCTCCGCCTCCTGGTTTCAAGTGATTCTCCTGCCTCAGCCTCCTGAGTAGCTGAGATTACAGGCGCATGTCACCACACCGGCTAATTTTTGTATTTTTAGTAGAGACGAGCTTTCACCATGTTGGTCAGGCTGGTCTCGAACTCCTGACCTCGCGATCCACCCGCCTCAGCCTCCCAAAGTTCTGGGATTACAGGTGTGAACCACCACGCCTGGCACTATACAGAAATTGTCTAACTTCTTTCCCTATCTTTATTCCCATTCTCCATACTCAAAAGTTCCACCTCACTTACCAACTATAGAGTCTTCAGGACCCACTCACTGAGGAGCTGGCTTCCTCTCAATCCTCAGTCTAAGGGACTTAAGATAACCCCATCTCTGTTCCCATGGAAATACAGACTTCTTTTTGAGAAAGGAAAATGTCATTTGGATCTAAATTTAAGTATTTTGCTTATTCAGACACTGTACTATAAATCCACCATCTAAGTTTATAAAGAAGCCGTATTTATGATTAAGGAATCTCAGCAAAGACTAAGGTCAAGGTCTCAAGTAAGATTAAATTGAACACTCTATCTTACGTGGCAGATTTTCCCTGTTACGTATCCCTGTAAAGAGATTTGGATTCCCCTATGGCAAATTATTTTACTACGGAACTTATCTTTACCCATTTGAAATGTAAACCTTTATGTTTATATGAACAGCCATGTCAAGATTTGTATCTACTGCTATAAATAGTAATAGCTCAGGAACCGCTTTTTAATGCACATGTAAGGTGTTACTGAACTTACTGGTTTATTAAATTATTATTATTATTATTCATTTCTTACCTAGCCCTAAGCCCTTTGCTTTTTAATACTATAAAAGCCGCTACACATCTTCTGGTTTTTGAAATGGCTGTTTTAAAACTGTTAACTGTCTGCTGAAGCATTTTGCTAAAAGTTTGAATCAAAAGTGCTCCTACTCCAGTGGCCTTCAGCCCCTCTTCTCTGCAGACTGTCATGCCCATAGTCACACCTTAGACTCTCCTCTTGCTGCTAGATGTTGGAGACAGCTGTCCATGCTATAGAGAAGATATTTACCAACAACCTGTGGTCTTGGCCATCCTTTCCCAAACCCCGTGAAGCAAATACCTTGGGTTGGGCTAGAGCATGGGGAGCACCTTTTCCCCAGGATCTAGTAAGCCTCACACTAAAGCAGACTATGAGGCCCAATCTGCATCTTGGATCTCTCCACACCCCAGGCAGCTACAAAGAAGAAAAAGACAGAGTGTGAGCCCAGAGTGCTAACCTTTTAAAGCTGCATAGACAAGAAAGAGAGAGGAAGAAAAGATGGGCAGTGGTCCTACAGAATAAACCCTGGTCAGCTAACCACTTTGGTCACTTGGGTAGAAGAGAGAAGAGAGTAAGTCATATCCATGAGCTGACATCTTTTCTCAAATTGACTTCACCATGAGTAAATATGGCCTCATCAGTACCGTGGAATTTGACCGAGCAGATTAGCATGTCTTCTACCTTGAGGACCCTACCTAGGGTAGGGTGTAAGAGAGCCTCCCCTCTCCTAGAGGTCTATGATTTGGAATATTCAACTTCTGAAATCCAATGAAACCAATAAATCTAATAAATCCAATAGATCGCCAACCTCCTTCAACCCCTCCGTTTCACTTCCATGATTCCTTTCCAGCATTCTTGCCCTTTGTCTCTCCATCTGATCTACCCTGGAATCTCCAGCCTTTGTGAAGACAAATGAACAGCTGAGCCGAGCTATAGGAGACCACATTGCACAGACTGGAAACTCAGAGACACCTTGCACCACTTCTTTTCAGATTAACACCTTCTTCCATTCCACACAGATGTTTTTCCAACTTTCCAACACTCTTATGAGCCTTCTTCCTTTTTTTCTATCCACCATCCTTTCCCCTAGCAGATGTGCTTGACTCCCTCTCTACAGCAGAAATAGGCTTGTGAAGGAAAAGCTGGTGAAGTTGATGAAATTCTTGTATCTGAACCAGTTGTACTTTCTTCCCTCCAGTCTCACACAAAAAGCTCCTCTTCAAATCACTAAGCAATATCCATGTTGTCTCTGAGTAGCATCTACTTATGCTTTTGTGATGTTGCTAAATATAGAAGTCCTTAACTTAATGTATGTTTGATGTGCATTTCTTTTACTATGAAGGAGGTTGAGCATTTTTAAATAGTTTTGTGTACACCGAATCTTCTTTACCAATTCCTTCCATCCAGCATTTTTCTCTCATTCTTTTTCTTTCCTTTTTATTTTTCTTCTTTTCTTAGTTGGCTCTCTATGTTCTTTACCATGTTTGAGCACTGTCTATTCTCATTTGCTTTCTTTCACTTTTGCCTTCATTTCTGTGATGGTTTTACCTTTTTCTTACATTTCTTTGTTGAGTTCTTCCAGCTTACATTTTATCATCTCCTATATCTCACTACATTTTCCTTGGGCTCTTACATATCTGAAGTTCCTGTTTCATAAAAGCTGTTGCTTTAGTGATTATTTTGAATTCATACAATATATATGCAGTGTTCATCTGTTTCAAGGCAATATTTTTCTCATGAGTATTTCTTGTCTAACATTTTTTTTGTTCCTTCTTCCCTTTCCCTTGGTTCATAGTTACGTGGATTTTCACTTTTTGGTTCTTCATTATTGAAAGAGATAGTTTTTTTCAGACCAATTCTTTACCGGTGGGGACCAGTGCCAGGCTCCAACCTGGCTAGAATTTCCTCATTCCCCAGGGTTTTGTGAATGGTGATGATGGGCAGCAGTGGTTTTTTCTCACAATAACAACTTTCTCTTCTCCCCTGATGTCATAGAGATGGTCCTTTTTCTCTACATACAACCTTTCTGTGTGACTTCTCATTTGGCTCTGCTTCCTCCAATTTTTAAAAGCAAATAGTGTGCAGAAGCACCTCTGCCCCTTATCTGTGCACCCTGTTGCAGTGAGGATTTGGAGTTTTGCACCTCAAGGAGTACCCCTTTTACCTTTGATGGCTCTTTGAGACCTGCAATCTCTGCATCCTCTCTCTCCATTCTTGTCAATTCTTACCTTCTCTATCATTGCTTTGGGAATTCACAGCTCCTTACTTTAATCATAGTGGAGTTTGTATTTTTGGTTTTTGCATTCATTTTTTGCCTTTGGATGATTTTTAGGAAGAGCTAGAGGAAATGCCAAATATATGCTTTAATATCTACGGCTGTCCTTTTATACTTTAATATCTAGGTCTGTCCTTTTATACTTTCTCTGAAACCTCGCTCTGTGTATATTTTTAAGCTCTTCTATTTTTTTCTCAAGTTTATGTAAGGAAATAAAAAACCTCCCTGGTATCCCTTGTACTTAATGTCCTTATCTACCACTGTGTCTCCTCTCATTCACTAAATATTTATTAAATGCCTACCATGGATGGGGCATAGCATTTGATATTAGGGTTTTAATGTTGATCAAGGTCAATGTCGCCTCTGCTCCCTCTGAGCTTATAATCTAGGAGAGAAAGCTGAGAATTAAACAAGCAATACAAATACTTTAAATTCACTCTCCCACGTTTCATTTACTTTTCAGTTGTCTGCAATCAAGCTTCTGCCCCTCAGCTCTGCTATATTGTTCAGGCAAAGGTGCCAGAGAAAATTCCATTAACAAATCCAGTGGAAGATCTTCAGTTTCAGCTCACCTTTCTCCTCCATGGGGCAGTTCACCATTCCTCTCTCATTGAAACGTACCCCAGATTTCTGTGATCTCTCATACTCTTTGCCCTTGTCATCTGCCCTTGATTTCTCTGTCTACTGGCAGCTCCTCCTGCTTCTCATTAGCAGCAGGTGTTCTGGAAGCACTACACTAGCCATCATGGAGGAACATGGCGATTCTGAGCTGACCCCCGGCTGCAGCAGGCTGGGCCCTGGCAGCGTTCACAGCAGCTGTGCCCCCTCATGGGCCCTTCAAGGTTGGCTGGATGGGCACCAACCCTAAGTATTTAGAAATGATAGAATGAAGTACAGGAGATGACATCCAAGTTTATATAGCATTCTTAGTTTACCTGGACCTCATGGACAGTAAAAGTTGGCATGAAGTCAATTGTGTGTGGGAATGCTGGAACTGCAGCTCATCTGCCTTGTTCTGAGCTAGAAGGGGAGGGGCTGCAGACTGTGGTGTCTACCCCCTTCACTACTTCCCTCAGCCGTAACTGCTCAAGGGAGATCTTGAAGGCATCTTAGAACACAAAGATGTTCCCAGTGGCATTACTTTTAATAGCCCAAATTACAAACCACCTAAAAATTTAGGTCAGGAATCAGCAAACTTTTTCTATAAAAGATCAGAAAATAAATATTTTAGGATTTGCAGGCCATACTCTCTCAGTCATAAGTTGCCAACACTGCTGTATGTAACACAAAGCAGCCACAGAAAATATGTAAGCAATATGGGCATGGCTGTGTCCCAATAAAACTATCTATAAATGTGGTCCCATAGTTTGCCATCCCCTCGTCCAGGAACTAGTCAATAAAAGGATATATATGAGTGGTACATTAAGTACTCTTTGAAAATTAGTAATCAATATTATTTAAAACATGAGAAAATGTTATATTAAATAAAAATTGCAAGATACAAAAGCGTATGAATGGCTGTAATCATGATTGAAATAACACACCCATCATACGATAAAAAGATGACAAAGGAAATCAAATTACTAACTGTGGTTGCAGTAGGATGGCAGGACAGTAAATAGATAACTTTGTCTTTTCTCAATATTTGTTTTCATTTGTATTACTTTTATAATAAGAATATTTTACCTTAAAAAATTTTTTTAAGTGGGTATGCACTCAAGAGCTTCGTTCTTGGCCATTTTCTCTTTTCATTCTGTGTGTCTTCCGTAAATATCTTCCTGCACCCTTACAGGTTAGCTCTACTTTCAATGACAAACAACTGCCAAATCTATGTCTTTAGCTCAGGCTTCTCTTCTGAGCTCCAGATTCATATTTCAGCCACTTACTAGACCTCGATACCAGGGTGTCCCTCCTTCAATTCCAACTAGACAGATATAAAACTTCAAAAGTAATAATATTTGAAGTAATATCTCTGACGTAATATCTCCAAAATGATTACTAAGCCAATATCCCCTTGCCTGGTTTAGTGGCTTTTCTGTATTCTGCACCTCCCAAAACTAAAGCCAAGCATTTACTCTAAATCTTTGCCATTTTCTGATAACTTTCAACGTATTTTATTTATTTTTCCTTTTTCCTTCTTTTTTTAACTGGAACCACTCCAACTGCTTTCTCCCCCTCTTCCTCTCCCAAAGGAAGAGAAGAACGATCATCAATGGCAAGTGACAGTAGCAGCAAAGCAACTCCATGAGCCAGCTTCATGCTCAGGATCATCCTGCGCCTTCTCCTCATGGGTTCTGCTGCTCTTCTGCAGGTCTGTACGCATTCAGAGAAACTTCCCTAGTAACAAACTATAGAATTGATCCCTGAAAGTATAATCTCTCAGTGTATTTTAATTCTGCTCCCTGGCCTCCAAGCCCACCTTGACTGCCCTGGTCCAATCCCTGGTTGTCCCAGGCCCAGACGACTGCCATTGTCTCTCAGCTGGTCTTCCTGCCTCAGTCTCACTCCCTTCCAGGCAATATTTCCACCAATCTCAGGGTGATCTTCCTAAAATCCAAATTTAATCACAACAGACTCCTATTTAAACCCTTTAATTCCCCCCCCTTCTTCTGGATAAAATATAAACTCTTATCATAATTTTAAAAACCTTGCATGATCTGGCCTCTGCCTACCATCCCAGGATGATGTCCTGCTGCTCCCATTTCTCCCCTGCCCTATACCTTATGTGCTACTATGCCTCATTACTCCTTCTCAAACCCAACATGACAGTTCAGCCCTGTTCCATCCAACATGCTTTTTCCTGGGATACACTTCCTGAAATATTTCTTTTCCTGGGATACACTTCCTGAAATATTTCTTTTCCTGGAACACACTTCCTCTATGTTTCTACCTACGTGAATCATTCTACAGGATTCACCTCAGTGGCTGCCTCCCCATGGAAACCTGGCCTGCCCCACAGCCCACCCTACCACCTTGTCTCCTCTGAGCACCTGTTTGATGTCCTAGATGCATCTGCCCCATTGCATTGGAATTCAGTTTTTGTTCATCTGGCTTTGACTAGGCTGAGAGCTTCTTGAGAGCAAGGACAGGGTCTTACTCATCACTGCACACTTAGTATGTTCCAAAGAGCCTAGGGCTTAAACGCGTGTGAATGAATGAAGGAGCAAGTGACTGAATGAACTGTGGTGAGATTACGATGCGGGGAACAACCTACACTAGTCAGTGGGGAAAGGCATTTTGTAACATTGATGGTGTTGAAAGATGGGAAATACAGTCTTTCTCTCTGGCTATTTAGTATTTTACAGCAGATATTTTCTGAAGTGTTAAAAGTTAAATCAGTTTCCAGGAAAACATGACTGGTGATGTAAAATATGTCATGAGGGGAATATTTCCCCTCCTAATACTTTCCATGCACATGAAAGGGAAAAGTGCACCCACCACATATGCATGATGCTGTCATCTAGAAGTTCATGCTCTCATGTTTCTCCAGGCCCTTATGTGCAGGGTAGCAAATGAGTATGTTGGCTAGGGATCAGTCCACGCACAAAGTTGGCGTGCTCTTTGCCGTGTAATGAGTCATCTCCCTGTCGGTACCTGGTCAGCCCCAGCTCTGAGACAGAGCAGACAAGAAGGGACCCATCTGATGTCCTAGATGCATCTGTCTCATCGTGTTTGAATTATACTGGGCTGATCTGACCAGGCATGAGGAATAGTGCTCCATTTAGGCATGGAGTCACCCCTAGAGCCCGGTCTACTATAAAAGACAGCTATTGGATCCTGGGAGTGCCCATGATGAAGCCAAAACAGGTATCAGGTCACACACATAAGGAATCCATGGGTATTGAAAAATATTGATAAGATGGACATTGTGTCCTATGATGGAAGTCCCACATGAGAGCAAAGGCAGAACCTAAGGCCGTGGTCAGAAGTCAAGGTACAGGTTCAAAGTGGATCCCAGGGAGCAGGAAAGGCAACAGCAGTTTCCTTAAGAAACAAAACCTACACTACAAAACAATGGCAATATGGTATTGATCCTGGTATTTTTATATATATAGATAAGGACTGTGTACGGAACATTTTTTTGGTTTTGGGTGCCCAGAACCATTTCCTCTTATGGTAGGTAATAGAACCTATCTTTCCATCTTTCCTGTGGAAAGCGCATTCCTGTGGCTTGAGTGAAGCTAACCTCACCCTGCCTTGACCCCACGGCGGGCACATGGCCCAGACCTGACCTCACATTCCTCCCCAGGATGCTGGATCTCCAAGGTGGTTGATTGTAAGTCCCAGACTTCTGGCAGCCATGTTGCTTTCCCATCTGAAGGATGAACAGGCAGAAACAAATACAAGTGTGAGACACAGAGAGAGTCAGAGACTGGAGAAGAGCATTTGACCCCTGAAGCAAGAAGCAGCCCTGGAATTTCTTTTAAAGTCTGGATTTGGGGTCTGTGGCTTGCAGCCAAAGGAGTCCTCCCACTAGAGGCCAACGTGTGTTGCTCTTGAGAGGAGGCTGGACTTGGTCGATACTTGGGGCTGGGTTTGCAGTGTGGGCAGAGCACCAGATCTTCTGAGAAATTTTCACAATTCTCTATGTTACCACCACATTTGACGCTGAGATTTTTGTTTCCCAAAAGATAAGTCTAGATGTTTAGTCACTGCTGTTATATTCTTTCCTATGTCTTTGTGTTTCTCATCCTTTTCACACTCATGCTGAACCCTCTGAATGAGAGGAGGGGAAGGCATTGGCTGTATAGCAACTTTTAAGACCACTTGAAGCCACTTATCCAAAGGATACTAGAAGTCATCCTCTGAATATCCGGGGCCTTCTTGTTTAGTGGAGGGCAAGGGACTCCTAGACCAGAATTACTTGTGATCTGAGAAGTCAGCCTAGGCCTGATTTCCCTTAGGATTTCATTTCCCCCTGAAACTAAAGCTGGAAATAGAGCTCTCCTTAGTCCTCCTCCTGCAGAATCACATAATGGTCCTGTATAATTAGCCTGAAGACATTCCCTGCTGTTAGTTTGTCACAAAAACAAGCAGAAAGCACTAGAAAGAAGAGTAGTTATTTAGAAGTAAATAGCAAGGGAAGGTTGGAAATGTTTGATCTCATATATAGATACGGCTTTGTGTTCTCCAAGTAATTACTTTTGGTTTACTTTTTTCTTAAAGTGCATTGAGATTGGAAGGTTAGTAAGAATGAACAATAAAATTAGGTACTAAAAACAAATGAGGCTCTCAAGGGATAGAGTCAAATAAGAGAGAGAAAGTCTTGGCCCTACACTAGTTGCAAAACAGAGTTTTGTCAGCCCCTTCGGTATTTATCAGACCTTCCCTGCTAACACCAATTAAATGAGAGAGGGGATCTCAAAGTTTGGGTCAAAGCCTTTGATTTTCAGATAAGAGATCACATCAACTTTCAGAGAAAATCTCAGATGTCTCTAATATTTCTTTACTATAAAACCTCCTCCAAGGTTTCGATTCCAGAAACGTTTGAATCGCATTTCTGCAAGGTACAAATTAATAGCTCTTACAAAGACGGTCAGAGATTTCATTTTAAAACACTATTAAACCTAGAAGGTAGTAGCCAAATTGGAGAGGATGTTTGATCCTCTCCCAATTTTCCACTGCTGCAAAGCAGAGACTGATAGTAAATCATTCTTTGCAGTCACTTCTCCTGTTTTTTAAGAAGAAGAAATCATTTTAGAAGTTTTTCTCTTTTTTTCCTTGCAAGAGCTTCATAACATCGGCACACAGCTTGTGAAACAGAGGGAGAGAACAGAAACCACATCCGGAAGTAATCATCTCTGCAGCACTGTAATGGATTATATGTGTTAAAGGGGCCGTGGACTAAATTAGCGTGAAGGTATTTCATAAAAAGTTATGTAAATCTTAAGTGGAGGTAATGCTCTTCTCCTTAAACTTAGGAATGAGGAAACCGTAGGCCCCAAGACCTTGCTACAAAACAGTAGCTTTGCTACTTCTTGTGCCACCAGATTAAACAGACAATTGGAATGAAACCACTACCTCATATACTCACATAAACTAAATTTTATTGTTAACCTGGACACACTGAAAATCATGAGACTGATGGAACCAAACTTCCCACAATTGTCCAGTCAATTTGCTATCCTTCTATTTTTTAATTTTTGGGGGGGGGGAATAGGGAATAGCAAAATTGCCTTTTTCTCAGCACTTACTCAGTCTGTAGATAATAGAAAGTTCTTATTCCTTTTAAACTTGCAAATGAGATTCTTTATCTCAGAGGCCCAATCACCATTCCAAAGAGAATATTTTTATTTTCAAGAGATTCTGTTTTTAATTGGCTACTTAGAAAATCTATTTTAGAAAACATACATACTTGCTGGAGTTAACTTGTTCTATATTGTTCAAAAAAGAAAAAAATCTACCAAAAGGAAAACAAAATGGACATTGAAATGCTGTTTTCAGGGATAATAATATTTAACAACTTGGGGGTTGGAGGAAATCGGTCCCCTTTAATATCTCAGTTGGCACTTCGCCCTGTTAGCCCTATGCTAGTTGCATTGTGCTCAGAGGCAACCAGACACTTGCAACGATTGCTTCTGAAGCACCACAGAACTACCTGCAGTAATTTGGTTGTTTTCAACCATTCTCCAAATAAAAATATCCCTTTAACGCAAAGGCTCAGGGTTTATGAGTTGTTTTTTTTTTTAAGAAACTAACGTACACATTCCCATGCATTTTTATCACCTTAGGCTAAAAATATAACAAGCAAAGACTGAGAAGGAGCTGGAAGAAATTAAGAAGAATGCTTTCCAACGTTTGGAAATTCCTTGAACGATGCACATATAATGTATATGCAATAACTCTTCAGTAAAGGAAAAGACATAAAGAAATGAGAGACTGCATAAAAGCCTGGGCAATTCTATATTTTAAATAATAAGGTGAAACGGCAAAATGTTTTGTTCTACGTGGTATCTGTTCAACTGTAATTCTGTACTCCACATGATGTGAAAATCTAAGTTTGAGCAAAGTTGGCCTTCTTTTTTTCTTTAATCCACACTGACATTGTGCCCAGAGATGGGGCTCCAGCTGTTGAGGGACTAGAAGAACCTCAGGGAGTGAGTGATCAGCTCAATACCGAATCCTCCGTGTGCCAAGAGGATCCCTTTGACCCTGAAGCCATTGCAAATTGTTGCTTTTTCTTGTAAGTAGAGTCTGCCCCCACGTGGTGAAAGTGAGAGGCTGCTTTTACACACCAGGACGCCTTCCTCTCGCTTCTAGGGCAGCAATTTTTGTAGCGACTGGCGCCCTTTTACCACCATTCTATCTTTGAACTGCTCTTCCTTCTTCCCTTCCCTCTGTCCTACTTCCCCCTTTTCCTCTTCTCCTTCCTTTCGTCTTCTTTCTGTTTCATCCCCTCTACTTCTTCCTTCCCCTTTGCTTTCCTGAGCCCTCCACTGTATTATTCAGTGGCCCAGACCCCGTGTCTGGGGGAGGATCTGGACTCTGATTTGAGGAATTCAGGAAAGA
Source organism: Homo sapiens (assembly GCF_000001405.40). Classification (NCBI taxonomy): domain Eukaryota; kingdom Metazoa; phylum Chordata; class Mammalia; order Primates; family Hominidae; genus Homo; species Homo sapiens. The sequence continues at coordinate 25,259,525 of NC_000007.14, read as the reverse complement.
CAATTTCAATAAATAATTAGAGAATAATCACTTTAAGGGATAACAACATGACATCGTAGATCCTGAACCAGAGATTGAGATACCTGGCTTTCACACGCCGTGGCTCTGTCCCAGAAATAGGATACAGATATGACATGTTTATATGCAAAGTAAGAAATCTAGGCGTAAGCATAGCTTCATAGAGAACCAGGAGGCAGAAAGACAAAATGGGTTCATCTGCCCTCTTTTTAAAAAAAGCAGTAAAGACACCTAATGCTGATCCCACCAGCTCCCGCTGAGCCACTCCAAATACATGCAATCTAAGCAATCGAAAACCAATGCTCATGTGGCAATACAGCCTCAAGATAAAGCTCCTTGCTTCCCTCGTGGTCCTATTACAGGCAGCCCGTCATCCCTAGGGCCATCCTGAGCAACCAGTCCACCCTGGACATCATTTTCATCATGTCACATCCCTACCCAGAAATCTTCAAAGGTATGTTGCCTTCAAAGTCCAAATACCTCGTGCATTATTCAGGATCTCTCTCTCTCTCTCTCTCTCTCTCTCTCTCTCTCTCTCTCTCTCTCTCTCGCAAACACACACACACACAAACACACACACACACACACACACACACACACACACACACACACACACACACACCATAGTCTCAACCTACTCAAGTTCTCTACTTCAGCCACATTTCTCTCCTGGGCATCCCCTAATGTCCATCTTTTTCTTGCCTCTGTACTTTTACATTTGCTGATTCCCAGCACAGCCTTTTGTGGTGCTTCTGTCAGTCTGGAAGTCCTTTTTTTTTCAACACTGAAACTGCATTAGTACACAAAGCAAGACATGTCACCTAGGGAGATGGAAGTTGAGGGTGCTTTCATACCCATATGAAAGCCTCATATCAAGATACAATACATATATTTTAATACAACTGTAATTTACAGAGCTATTAATCTTCCAAGGCAGGAGGTGGGGTGAGGGTAGGGAGGGCAAAGTGTTCATAAACTACCAAGGAAGAGTTCTAGTGGTTTATGCTATTGCCAGAATCCTGAGATGGAATTATGACCCTATAACTCAGTTAGCCAGCTCTTTCCATTCTCTAATGGATGCCTTGGAGACGTGGCTTCCTGCTCAATTTCCCTGTATACTCTGTAGCTTTCACTCCCTTCCAAATGCACCGGGGAGCCTCCTAACCACCTCATGTGACAAGCTGTTTGAGCTATGTCTTTGTTTGGGAAATGTAGAAGGAAGACTCCCATACCCCTCTCAATCTAAAGATTCTGCATAGGATGGGGGCGGGAAGAGCTCTCTTCCATAGCAGCAGATAGAAATGCCATGAAGTGCCCACCCATGGCCTCCAAATCGGCACAAAATATCCGCAGGTAAGGGAAGAACTAAACACCACTCAAGTATTGCCCATCGTTTACCTTCTGGATGCACAACTAGTATAGTATTACTCGTTGTAATCCATGAACCCTCTGCATTGTAATCACCTGGCATGGTCCTTGGAAATGCTGGTTCCTAGGCTGCACCTCAGACCTATACAATCAGAATCCAGGGGGTAGAGCCTTGAAATATGGAGGTGTTATAAATAATTGAAGTCATTCGTATCCATTTGAGCATTTGAGCATCTCTTTTTCAGGTATTCACTGTGTTTTTCTTCATTGTGCTGAATGCAGTACTCCAGACAGGGCCTGCCTCAAACAAAATCACAAAGGGCTAAATGTGTCAAAACTCCTGCTTCATGAACCCACATCTGCCCTTGGACCTGCTGCTCCTGATCTCTGGCCCTGTGGCTATGTCAGTGCACTCATCCTGACCCTGGGCCCCCTGAATGCCAGCCTGGACTTATCTTGCCCATGCGAACATGTGTGAGCACCTAGGCCATTCCTTTCACCTTCCTGTCTAACAAATTGATTTGATTTGTGCCTGGTTTCCTCAAGATTTTGCTATTCATTAGATGACAGTTAACCAATATAATTTAACGACTAATCCATATTAAAGGGTTAATGTAGGTATTTGTTACTCTTTGGCTGAGTCGAGGGACATATTCTGAGGCAGATGAAGAGGGGCTTGGCCTTCTCAATCACACCAGTTAGGTTTATCCTGTCTCTACCATTTGCTAGGAGGTCTCAAATTCTATGCAATTTTATTTCTAAAGTGGATAAATAATCCCCCCACTTATCCCCAAAGAGTGGAGCTTAAAAGCACTTTAGGAACTGAAAAGTAGTACATAAGCAAAAGAATTTGTTATAATTCATCTCAAGATCAGCCCCAATTTATGGATACCATGGAAATTGTTTTCCTGATTTTCACTCTCCTGGTAGTAATAAAAAAAATTCTGATGAAGGTCCTTCCAGCCAAGTCTATGTGGAATATGTCCTTTGATAAGGTGGCCAGCGTTCCCAGAGCTGGCCCTGCCTGGGCTCATCCTCTGTGTCCTCTCCATCCTCATGACACTTGGGCTTAGACCAGCCGCACCATGTGAATATGGCCTATTGAGAATCACCTAGGGAGTCTTACCCACCACACTGCACAGAAAGGAAACAGCTCCAGAGAGGTGATTGGAGGTACTGGCAGGGAAGGAACCAGAACCTGGACCACACTGCCTTGAGGTACGGTTTCCAAATGTATTTTCAGATGTCTTTGGGACATTTTTATGGTTCTTGGGGATGTGCCCACCTCATCCGTTTCCATCCCTTGATGTCTCCCATTCTCCTCATCTCCATGCTATGACCAAATTGCCCTCTAGATAGTTCTTCTCCTCAGCTGTCGCTTTCGATGTTAAGAACATCCTCTAGGAGTAGCACAACACATCTAGATGCTCTGTGAGCAAAACCCATACCCTGTGCTTTGCTGGCCCTTATCTGTGTAGACTGTGCTTTCTCTGGAGTTTCATGCCACGCTGACATTTGGCTGCCTACTCGCTGCTGAAAGGCTTATGTGATGGATGAGTGGTTAGACTGCACTAATCTGCTCTGTACACAGCTACGGCCTCACATGGATGATGGGAAGAGCTGGAAGGATGAGAAAAGATCTTAAAAGTCATGACCAACTCCTCCAAAGAGACGGACAAGAATCCCACATGGAGTGTGTTGCAGTATGTTCAAGGAGCTTTTCTAAAACCTATATTTCAAAAAGACTAAGCTCAAGCCTCTGCCTTTTAGGCTACATCAGCACACTGAAATGAGCCCCACAGATGGCCTTTGTACATGAACTCCTGGCATACTGGTTTTTTTTCAGCCCCAGAATTCCCTTGAACTTTGGAAAATGCTAATTGAAATACAAGGCATATGTTCTTTAGCGTGAGCCAGTGAGAGAAATCTAAGGACTGGACAATGCTGTCAAGTAAATATGATGCACAGTAACAGTGGCGGTGTGTAACTAGTAGCGAATTTGAAAACCAAATCTGAGAACATTTGGTGGCTTGATTAATTTGCTTTGCCCATCCGCCATCTGTTGTTGTCTCCAGGAGCCCAGGATGGGGCACCCTGCTTGATTCTGCTGACTTAGGCCACCTGGAAGCTCTCCTTCTATAGGGAGTGGGGGTGGACTCTGCGGAACAAAAGTCCCCGGCCCTGCTCCTCTGATCCCACTGTGCAGCTGGGAAATCAGGTTTGTAGAAGCAGCTCCTCCCATATGCTTCAGAATGACTTTTACATCCTCTATCTCTGTTTAAAACCAGTGTACATTCACAGGTTCACCTGTTTTATATCTTCCCATGCTGATAACTGCAGAGCAAAGTGAGGTCACTTGGTGACAATCAGCCAATTGCTTCTTTTGAGCTGAACTGTAGAATGTCACATTTGAATTGTGCTACCCGCCCCACCCTTTTTGGCTGAGTTAACTCATTCTTTTCAGAGCAAAGCTTTTCACCAAATGCCTTATACAAACTTGGTGTGTAGTGCCATTGATAAGTAAGCTCAGCTTTGCTTTCTGAACTAGGTCATGAAAATGATGCTCATCTTTGCCCTTGTCCTGCTCCCCCAACCCAGACACTTAAGTGCCCCATTCATTTTTCAATAGAAACATAGTGAGTGTTCACATGTGAGCTAGATACTGGGAAGTCAGAAGTGAGAGCTTAGTCCTTGGTCCTCATGGGGCTCACAGGCTAGTGGGGAAACTTAAATAAATAAAACTACGCTGCAGATATTTTGACAGAGATTTACACAGGCTACTTGTAGCAAAGGTTTATTGTAGCCCACCAAACGGATTCCACTCCTCTTCCATATTAATTGAGTTGCCCAGCTCCACATCACACCTCCTTCCCTTCCCACAAATTCCCTCCCTGCAACTTGGTGTGGTCATATGACCAAGACCTCCCCATCAGGAATATGAGTTAGAAGTGACGTGTGCCACTTCCAGGCCTGGGCCTTCAACCGTGGCACACGTGCTCTACCACTTTCTTACCCTTTCTGGTGAGCTGGAACATGATAAGGCCTGTAAGCTAGCATCAACCATGTGAAAGAGGATGGTGCTCCAGGTGATGGGGAGAAATGAGATGGAAGGAGCCCTCGTGACTGCACGGAGCAAATGGGCCCCTCTGCCGGTTCTGGATTGCTTCGAGAATGAGAATAAAGGGCCTTGTTTCTTAAGCCACTGTGTTGTTGGGCCTCTTTGTTACTGCAGCTTAGCTTTCACTCTAATCAGTACAACTCTGTGTTCCACACTGAAGCACTGTCTGAAATGGGAGTAAACGATCTTCATCTGAGATTACACACAAAGAATCTCCATATTTCCTTGATTCAGATTCACCAGATGTTAATGCTTTCCCATATTTGTCTATCTCTGTTTGCATATGTAAATATATATACATTTGTGTGTGTATTTCCCCTGAACTGTTCATGAGAAAGTTACAGACATAAATAGTTAAGTGTGTATTTCTATCAAAAACAAGGACATGCTCTTACATACAATAGTACAGTTGTTAAAATCTGAAAAAGTAACATTGATACCCACCTTATTATGTTACCTAAGGACCTTATTTCATTATTAGACTAATTGTCCTAATAATATCTTTTATAGTAAAAGAGAGAAAAAATGTATTACTCAAGGATCCAATCCAAGATCATGTCTTGAGTGATCGTTGTCTCCTTTTCTTCTTTAATCTGTAATAATTTCTCAGTTTGTCTTTGTCTTTTATGACTTTGACATCTGAAAGAATACAGACCAGTTATTTTAGAGTTTGTCTCTCTCAATTTGAGTTTGTCCTCAAGGTTAGATTCAGATTATATTTTTGACAGGAATCTCACAGAAGTGATACTGTGTTCTCATTGCCTCCTATCAGGTGGCACAAAATTTCCATCTGTCCCATTACTGATAATGTTAACTTTGATTACTTGGTTAAGGTGCCAGATTTATCCATTGTAGTTACTATTTTTTTCCTTCATAATAAAGATGAAAAAGGGAGAGAAAATAAAAGGAAAGGATTCCTTTTATTTATAGGGATTCATACCATTAGACAAGAAGGTGCTTTTCCTTTACAGATCTTTCTTTGATAACCCCATCTCTATTCCTGGTTTCTTCTTAGATGGCTTATGGGACCCATGAATCACATCTAATCTCCTCACAGAGCCCTCTGTATGACTGAATACTCTGGCCTTTTGGCCCCTCTGATGCACTGGCAAGAGGTTGTCCAGCCACACCCTTGGCTTTCCCTTCAAGACGTACTTTCTTGACAGTAAATCTCCTCATTTTAGTGTCTTTTGCAATATGGATTGGCTGAGAATTTCCCAAACTATCAAGTCCTGGTTCCTTTTTGCTTAACAGTTCTTTCTTCAATCCCTCTGTTTCCTTTTACATCTTATTGTAAGCAGCAGGAAGAAACAAGGCTGCATCTTCAACTATTTGCTTTCAACACTAAGCTTTCTGCTACTATATAGCAAGGGTCACCTTTCTTGCAGTTTTCAATAAGGTGTTCCTCATTTCCTTTGTGCCTCCATCAGCAGTGATGCTAGCATCCATATTTCTATCAATGGCCTATTTATGGTAATTGACGTATTCCCTTAGAAAACATAGGTTTTCTCTACCGTGCTCCCCAATTCCTTCTGAACCCTCACAAGCAAATTCTTTAATATCAATGTTTTACTTGCAATCTATTCAAGACAATCTAGGCTTCTTCTATTATATTCCTCAAAATTCTTCTAGCATCCACTTATTACCTATTCCAAAGCAACTTTCACATTTTTAGGTATTTGTTACGGCGGCACCCCACCCTTGGTACCAAAATCTGTATTCATTTCTTAGTACTGCTGTAACAAATTGCCACAAACTTTGTGACTGAAAGCAACACAAATTTATTATCTTATGGTTCTAGTGGTCAGAAGTGTAAAATGGATCCATAGGACTGCATTCGTTTTGGGGACTTTAGGGGAGAATTTGTTTCCTTACCTTTTCCAGCTTCTAGAGGCCTCCTATATTCTTTGGCTCATGACGTCTTCCTCCATCTTTAAATCATCTTCCTCCTCCCTGACCTCTGCTTCCATTCTTAAATATTCACTCACATTTCTGTCCCTTCTGCCTTCCTCTTATAAGACCACTGTGGTTACCTTGGGCCCACCCAGATAATCCAGGATAATCTCCCCATATCAATATCCTTAACTCAATCACATCTGCAAAGTCCCTTTTCCCTATCATGTCTCATATTCACAGGTTCTGGGGATTAGGATGTGGACATTTTTGGGTGGCCAGCTAGAATGGTCTTGAAGGTCTGTCTATTGTCCATAATGACCCACACAAAAGAAGGTAGTTAATTCATCAACTTAAAGGTGAATTCATTGAATTAGAGGTTAATTCATCAGTCCTTGGTATAATCGCCAATAATTACAGGGAGAATAGTTGGGTCAAAAAGGAGCCCCCAACACAAATGGTGAGACAATTCATGGTCCATTCTCTTCCACATACAAACATAGAACCTGAAAGTCTCCCAGTTACTCCAATTTGATATTTGTTGTTAAACTTGATCTCAATCACAAGTATGTTGAGTTAAAAAACATGGGCAGTGCCACTGAGTAGTTACAGTCATACATTATTTAACCTAACACTGCTCAGGCAGCGGGAGAAGCATATGAATTTATAATCAGTCAGATTGAAACAATGTTGTGCCAGACTGTGTGTTTGTAACCATTCATAACATCAGACATAGCAGAATAATCCAGGACCAGTCATGTCCCAGGTTTCTTTTGCCCAGGCTGCCACCTGGAAAATGTACCAATCAGGCTGACCCGGATTTGCTATTAGGGGAAGGAAAGACATACCATGTCCATGATTAGTCAGAATGGAGTCCCAAGCTTTCATAACGGATCTATATAACTCTGTACTCCTTTTGTACTAATTATTACTCAGAAGTAACCAAAAAGGATGACCTTTTCTTGAGACAGCCAAATCAAGTGACCAAATTGCCTTACTAAAATATGTAGACCAGGAAAATGTACTGGACAAAGAGTCAGAAACACTTTTGAGTTAGTTTTTGAGAATGCCATTCTAGCACTCAGCAATACTGGATATAGTAAGGAATATGGAATGTCCATTTAAGTATTTGACTATTATCTCATTGTTAGATGTTCTTTGCAAATGATTCAGAAAGCCTAATGCATGACACAATTTCACTTTAAAGCACAATGGTGTGGCTAGAGTCAGCTGATTGGACTGAAACAGCAATAGCATAACCTTAAAAAGAAAAATGTCAAAGCATTGAGACAACAATGGTAGTCTCAAAAGGGGGTCAAAGATTTGATATAGTCAATTTGCCAGGAATAGACAGAGGTAATGTCCTGTGCAATGTGGCCTACTTTACCACAGAACAAACAGGCCAAAATTCGGCAGGAGTCACAAGTCTGGTATACAGTGGAAGCTTCTGCATCAGAAACACATGGTCCTTTACAGTGTCTAGTCTGCAATGGTGGATCTGTTGCCATTTCTGATGAGGTGAGGACACCAGGCAGCAATAGGAGCAATCTGGGCATTGCACACTCAATCAACAGCTCAATTCTCATTGTTCCCATCAGACAACAGGCCCTTACAATGCCATCAACACAAGGGACCCAGACTATCTACTTGGGAGACACAATTTGTTTATACAGTTCATGGCCGCAGAGAGGAATATCTTTATCTGCCCGTGTTAGTCTTCCAAGTGGCAGACCACATGGCTAGGCCATTGGTAACAGCCTAAGAGTCAGAAATAGTCCTTAGGAGTACTGTCTAAGGCGAGGGTGTGGCTTTCAATTCAGCCCATTGTGCTGCAGTTGGTCTTACAGAATTGTCACTGAGGCTGGATGGTTGCTTCCACCCAGTGGACATCATCAGATGTCATCTTAGCTAAACCATCATCAGTGAAAGAGCTCAGGGTTACAGACCAACCTTGATGAATCAAGGGCCCTATTGAGCCAGCAGCTTTCCTTCAGGCAGTGGAGGGGGAGATAAAAGTTTCTTCCAAAGAGATGACTGCTACTGTTTCACGTAAAACTCAGTGGCCTCTCAGATGCCACTAGAGCAGCACTCTTAAATATACTATTTCTATTTGACAAGACAGGCTCACTGGGCGCTTCCCACCTTGTTTTGTTGAGTTCTGTTTGACCCATCCCAAATGGGAATATCCAGCCTGAGAGTCACAGGCTTCTGTTGGAAAGATTTTCAGTTTAAACAAGAGCTTAGTAGCAGGTTAATAGCTGCCAATAGGGAAGAGTGTGGTGGGAGGAGTACTTGGTGGCTGTGTGAGAGAAGTGGAGCTAATGTACTGAAGAATGGCCTCTCTTAGTATTCCAGCAGTCATTATCCCTCACTAAAGCTGACATTTCCCTTTCTCCCTCAGGTTTATATATTGTTTCTGTTGGACTTGCTGGACAGTACATGTGGTCATCCCCGAACAGGAAAATTCCCTCTGATATTTGTGGACATTCACAGTACAAGCATATAAAATATCATTACCAATCATGCATTCAGCCGTGCAAACCACAACAGGATATTGAATTAGCCCAGAATTTCCACCCAGTAGGCCACATTAGCTCCCCCTCCCTACTTCCAACTTTGTCCAAATCCCACAGGCTGCAAGGAGCTGACCTGAGTACATGTCAGGATCTACAGCAACAGCCTCTAGACCACGCTATTTCCCAGCTGAGAGGGCAGGGTTGAATGCCAGCAGGGAGGATAAGGCTATGGTGTTAGCCTTTTCATTTTACCTCTTTTGACCCTTCACCCCCAGGTTGGTGCCCAAGCACTGGCACTACTTCCTCCTCATATACCCCTGGCATCCAGCGAGCACCAGGGCTCAGGGTCCCCTTTCATTCTACCCTGTAAACACCCTGGCTACAGCTCCACCATGCTGTTCTGAAGGCTTTGGAGACCCCTGTGCCTAGTGCCCATCTCTCACTGGTGAAGTTGAACTGTGGCAAGGACCAGGGACATGACTGCAGCACCTCAGTGCTACTAAGCAAGGTTCTGTGTTCACTTTTCCTTCTGAGCACTCTCCCGCTCATGGCTTAACCAATGTTTTCAGCTCATATAAACCAATGGTTTTGGTTCATGGAAAGCTCTATGTAAATAGCAAAGTCCTCATTGCTAACATCAGTTGTTTGGCTTTGAGGACTCCTGGCTCAATGTCCATAGAGACATTGTGTTTCAGCCGGGGCCAAGGAGCTTGCTCGCCCATTGTCCTGATAACATTTCTGACTCTGCCCACCAAGAGGAGAGAATGAGCAACAATCAAGCACCATTCAGGTGGCTTGTTTAGTCCTGGTTTTTGCTGCTTAGCCTCTAAGCATTAATTCAACTCATGTTTATTAAGAGATAGGACAGTGGGAAACCCCTCCTCCACCGCCACCTTCCACACGCACAATCCTCCCCCTCCCAACTACTTGGGGCAGGAACATTTGCTACCAGATCCCAGGGAGTTTTCTCATCTATCTGATCCTGGTTTATGGAATCCTTGTTCTTCCTTTTCAAGAAAGCCAAGTCCCTTGGGCTGGGCGTGGTGGCTCATGCCTGTAATCCCAGCACCTTGGGAGGCTGAGGCAGGAGGATCACGAGGTCAGAAGTTCAAGACCAGCCTGGCCAGCATGGTGAAACCCTGTCTCTACTAAAAATGCATGGTGGTGTGTGCCTGTAGTCCCAGCTACTCAGAAGGCTGAGGCAGGAGGATCGCTTAAACCTGGCAGGCACAGGTTGCAGTGAGCAGAGAGCACGCCACTGAACTTCAGCCTGGGCGACAGAGCGAGACTCTGTCTCAAAAGTAAATAAATAAATAAATTTTAATTAAAACAAAAAAAGAAAGCCAAGTTCCCATCTGCATTCCTTCCTTATCACCAAAACTGTCAAGGCTGCAATTTTATTTTACCCTACTTTTTTAAGCTACTAAGTTAACCTGTTACAGTGTCATGGATACTGGCAGAAAACACAAGACTCTGGGGTCAGAGACAACAGACTTTATTACTCACAGCATAGCAAGCATCATAAGCATCAGCATGTTTACACTGGCTCCCTTTGCTTTTATGTCCCATGACGGCTACATGGCAGGCCTGCATATGCAGCATGCTGTGTTATGGGAGAAAAACACTGAACTTCAAAAATCTGCCACTTTTATAGCAAACAGTAAGCAAGCCTGTTCTTTGTCTCAGAGGGAGATATCACCTCATCTTTCAAAGTTGTTCACTACAGATGAAACCCTGAGAAATTACCTAGGTAAAGAGAAGCCAAGGCACATTTTTGGCATACCCAGCAAGACGTGTAAAAGCACAAGAGACCTATGGAGGGGTTTCTCAACAACAACCAGCACTCTTGTAACCTCCCGATGGGTTCGCCTTGCTTGTTCCCTAGACAAAGCCCATTTATCAAGACGGGGGAATTGCAATGGGGAAAGAGTAATTCATGCAGAGCCAGCTGTGTGGGAGATGGGAGTTTTATTAGTACTCAAATCACGGTAGGGGCTTGGAAGTGGGGCGTGCTGATTTGTCAGGGTGGAGATGGAATCATAGGGGGTCGAAGTGAGGTTTGCTGCTGTCTTCTATTCCAGGGTGGGATGGCAGAACTGGTTGAGCCAGATTACCACGGTCTGGGTGTTCCCAGTGTCAGGTGATCCGTCCAGTGCAGGGTCTGCAAAATATCTCAAGAACTGATCTTAGGTTTTACAATAATGATGTTACCCCCAGAAGTAATTTGGGGAGGTTCAGACTCTTGCAGTCAGAGGTTGCATACCCCCTAAACCATAATTTCTATTCTTATAGCTAATTTGGTAGTCCTGCAAAGGCAGACTGGTGCCCAGGCAAGAAGTGGGTCTTTTCAGGAAAGGGCTATTATCAATTTTGTTTTAAAGTCAAACCATAAACTGAATTCCTTCCCAAAGTTAGTTCAGCCTATGTCCAGGAATGAGCAAGGATAGCTTAAATGTCAGAAGCAAGATGGAGTCGATTAGCTCTGATCTCTTTCACTGCCATAATTTCCTCAGTTATAATCTTTGCAATGGCAGTTTCAATCTGGGAAAAAAGAATAGTAATTTGTAAAGGCCTGCATTGTCATCTTTGCCAACTTCCTGGTTTAAATACTCCCACCGTGGCTGACTTCACTATGTTATCACTCAACTCAGAGTCGGGAAGAGATGTGCACATGTGCTGGCTTGACCAACCTTTGGTAATTCTTGCTTAAATCAATTATTACTATGATTGTTGTCCTTGACTTTAAAATCCATATCTGAATCTTTCATCAAACATATACATGCATCATGTGACATACAATCATCTCACCTGTTTTCAAAATGTATCCCTGCATAACTTTCCAACTGTATATTATCATCTCTTTGTAGTTTGCTTACAAGACTGAATACAAGAGCATTTCTCCCCTGAGGATCTCAAAACAATTTCTGGAGAGGTTTGGAGGGGAAATCTTGGGTTATAGTCATGGCTAAAATAGAACCCAGAAAATCAAAATGCTAAGAACTGGGATGTGACAGATCCAGCCTCTGGCTAGTGGTGAATCTCCCTCAGTTCTTCTTTGCATCTTTAGTAAACCATTATACCTGTGTTTTTAAGTTTCTGAATCTGTGATCATCTTCTATAACATTATCTGATGTTAATTTTCTTCATAGTATTTATCATTCTCTTACATTTACTGGGTTTTGTTTTTGTTTGTTTGTTTGTCTAACATATTCATTGATTGTCTCACTGCCTTTAGGGTACAAAAACAAGAATTTTGTCTATCTTGTTTACCACTTTTTCCCCAGCACCAAGAACAGTGCCTAGCATGTGGAAGATACTCGATAAATATAGGATAAATAAATAAATTCTGATTCCTGATTTGGTATCTATTCCACTTCATTATCTGGCTTTTTTGATAGCAGGCATGGCAGATGGCAATCAAGATGGCAAACAGAAGCTCTAAATTTTTCCTCCTGTAATTAAAATTTCATTGAATTTCAGGACATCTGATATCCTAATGCTGCCTCTCATACACTATATAAAATCAAAGAAGTCATTTAACCATTCCATGCCTCAGCTTCTCCCATCTAAAGTGCTCAAGGATCTCTGAAAGAATTGTTTCCATTTTCATTGTTTCTGGAACCGTGCCATGCTGGGTACATACCAACAAGTTTTTGTCTCATTCTGACAACATTCATCTTTCTGGAGGGTAGTGGGAAGTAGAGATGAACAGCTGTAGTCTTACATTTCTGTCACCCATTGGAGAAATTCAGAAATTCTTTGAAGGCAATTTCTCAGCTTCTCTGTAACCAGGGTCTAAACCATCACTCTGAAAAATTTCCCAAGCTTACCACTCATCCATTTTCTCATCTATAAAATGGGGCTAATAACACCTACATCACAGGGTTGTGGCATTAATTAGATAACCTAAATCAATGGTTCTCAAAGTGGGGTCCCTGGACCAGCAACACTGGCCTCACCCGTCAGCTAGTTAGCAGTGCAAATTTTTGAATCCCACTCCAGACCTACTGAAGCAGAAATGCTAGGGTCACCACCTGCAGCTGTGTTTTAATAGGTATTCCAGGTAATTCTGATACATACTAAAGTCTGAGAATTGCTGACAGATGAAGTCATCTGACACTTAACCCACAAATGTTTGCTTTTCATTTATTCATTCAGGTTCATTAGCCACCCAAACCAATCCCAGATATACTACAGAATTATTCATCCTCACCCCACTTGGTAGATGTAAACAATGGGTGGGAGACTTGGGAGCAGACCCTGCTCTAGAACCCAACTGTAAATGTTTGCTTCAATTGCTGTTCCTCTTCTCCACAATTTTTGCAACTTGACTAAATGTTACCTCCATGATTATACTTTTCTTTCTCCTATATCTTGTTTCAATAGGCCATTTTACACATACATGAGTAGCTAATAGGTCAACTGCACAGTCATATTCTAAGAAGGCCAGTAATGCTTAGGGCTGCTGGCTTCAGAATCAACCACCCTGGGGCTCACACCATCCAGGTAGCACTAGACAAGTTAGTCTTGGTGGAACCTGAGTTTTTCAAATGAAAAATTGAGTTAACAACAATAAAAGTCTCCATTTATTGAGTGACTACTATGGGCCAGGCACTATGCTAGGTATTTTACATTTGGTGTACATTGTCTCTTTGAAGCAAAACAATGAATTATCTTTTCTTTTCTTCAAACATCTCTTAGTTAAATACTTCTAACATTTTCATAATGGTGTTGCAATATTCAGGACCCATCATATCTTTGTTTTCATAACCAAATGATAGTAAAGATATTTTGCAGGAAAACAAGAACTTCATTAATTACTAGCTTTTCAGCAAACCTGTTAGAGTGCCCCAGTTCCATTAAGCGAGCTATATTAGTTGGAAAAATGGGTTTAATTTTGCTGCAGGTTTAGAGAAAGTGGAAATAACTTCTAAATAGTGGTGTGTCTGTGCTTTGTGGTAGAAGGTTCCTAGTTCATACTTAATTGAAAAGGCAAGTCACTGTTGAATTGTGAAAATCCTGGAAGAGTTTTTAAAGTAATTTAATGTAGCATTTTATGGTAGCTTTTGTAAGTTTCAAATTTGCGATGGATATCAAGGGATGTATATGCCTTCTGATCCCTTAGATTTAATCAGACTTCTCGCTTGCTTGCATAATGGTTTATGGTACCTTTGATGATTTGCAGCCAACCTAGCACTTTTAATAATTTACTGTAAAAGCATTTAATTTTTAATGGACAAGAATGGGCTAGAGGTAACTTTTGCATTGGTAAGTGCTCTCATGAAGAGTGGGAAAAAGAAACAGTATATTTAAATTCCAAACGTTATTGAAAAGCATTCGTCTTTTATTACCAAAATCAAATGCATAATTGAAGAACATACCTAACCCAAAATTATTGTTCATGCTTTATTTAACTATAAGATAACATTGCTTTCATGATGCTATCATGAGAACATTTTTTCAAATTCTCATGTTTTTCTTATCTTCCATAGTTTTCAATATGCTGTCCCCCTAGAAAAAGCATAATTGCCACACTTTGTTACAGCTTGCTAATCGAGAAGAGCCCAACAAAAGAATGGCTTGTAATGTCTGGTACATATTAATAAAAAAAACTATCGTTTTATATTCATTGTCCTTCAAAGTTTTTCTAAGAGCTCCATATAATGTGCATACCCAGGAATGACTTCACAACTAGTCTTAAAAATATGAGAGTTTCCATGTGGAAAGAAAAATGGGAAGATGCCAGGATAAATATTTTTTAAAGACTTGATGGAAGACAAAACATATCTTGCCTGCAGAGGCACATAAAACAAAAAATGTTGCAATCACCAAATAATCCCTTTTTCAGATATGCCATATGTAAAAATAAGAATAGCTTCACAGAACTGCTTTCTGGGGAATCAACTAACAACCTACAGCCCTGGAAAGTTTTCTGCTCATCTAACATTCCACAACTGACTGTCCCCACACTTACCCTGAAAGGGGCTACAGGGAGAACTCTGATGGTCAAGGGTTAGAGTCTGTGAGCTCTGTTTCTGGAACACCTTTTAGAATTCAGGCATCAGAGCAGTTGCTTGAGAATGTGAAACTCATTCTCTTTGTTTTGGCTTTCAAATAGCCTTAAAGCTAAACCCTGCTACAGAGGATTGGCTCCCAGGAACACTTGGTCCTTAGCCAAGGAATTTGTGCTCAGTCAAAATTAGCCCATCTAAAGATAAAAGTTCCAGGATACAATCCCCATTTCCATGCATGGTTTCCCGGGGTGAACCTGCAGGTGCGAGACTTAACTGGTTAAGAAGGACTCTATCTACTGCCTGTGATCTATTGGCTTCCTGGCAGGGGTTATATATAACAATTCCTTTCTCTATTAGCCAGATTCTCAGCTCCACCCCAGCTAATGAACAGAAACTTCTAGAGCTAGTCAATTGTCTCCTGGATTTGAGGAAGCAGGAATTGCCCCTGAGCAATTCAGGGGCAATTGCCTGTCAATTTAGCCATTTTGAACTGACAAGTTCAGGGGCACCTGAGTTGGATGATCTTTACCAATCCTATCCACACATCTCTTTTCTCCAGCTCTCTCAAACTCTTTATCTCACATCACCAACACACAGACTTTTGGAGGTAGAGAGCCCTTAAAGATTATCCCACAATCCACAGATTTTTTGCAGGAAGAAACTACAAGCTAAATAACTTGCTCAAGGTTACCCAGAAGCTAGAAACTAGAAGGCAGACTCCCTAACTTCCAAATCAAGTGCTTGTCCCATTACTTCATATGGTCTCTTTCTCTCCTCCCTCGCCTCCCCAACTACTATCATCCATTTTGCTTTGGTTTTAGGCCTTGCCATGGTGCCAGGGGTACTCAGGAGTGTCACTTCCCTGCAGTGGTAGACTTCATTGCTGTGGGGGAGGAAATAATGGGTGTTCCTGACCCCAAGCTAACAACCTTTCTGGCTTAACTTTTTTTCCCTCTTCCTCTTCTAATCAGATATGCTACCTATTTTTTACATTCTGACAACCTACAGAAAGAGTTGACTTATCCCTACCTAATTTGCCATCCTAGTCTGTACGACAGAAACATAATTAATTTTCTTGGACACATGGATTCTTCTTAATATCCTTACCAGGTTATAAGTTTATAAACCATCTTCAAAAAGAGAACACAGAACTGTAGAAAAGGATGTTATAAATGTAGCCTTCTAGCCAAGCTGCATCTTGGCCTGAGTCCTTACATTTCCCCAAATCTATGCCAACCAAATACCTGAAGCCATATACCACAGTGTTAACATTCGTCATGCATGGGCATAGAACTGAAGTGTAGTAGAGCCAGAGAGGGAGATTATTATCTTCATTCTTGCACATCTTTTAAAAGGTTTTTTAAAATGAATGAAGGAAGGGAGGGAGTGGGGAGAGCGGAAGGAAGGAAGGAAAAAAAGTGAGAAAAATGTGCCCAACCCACAATAAAATTTGAAGCCTGAAACCTAGAATATATCAGGAAAAAAAATTAACTATTATAAATTAAAAGGCTAAAAGCATAATATAGTCAAATCTGTAATTCCATAAATCTATAATGCCAGCTTTTTAATGAAAGGTAAAGAGGTCTATAAATTCAATATTTTCCCTTAGCAGGTAAAAAAAAAAAAGAGGAAATTCTGAGTTATAGACTGGTAGTGAGTATACACCAAAAAGGTCTCCATTATGAATAGGTACTATGTTCATACAAGGCGGAAAACAGACTGAGTAACAGTCAATCTTGCTTTTTTGGCAGACTAAATGATTAACCATTTCACAACAGAGTCTATCTCAATCCAATCAACTCTATGGAAATTAGTCACTATAATGGAGAAAGTACTTAACTCAAAAGGTTCATTCATTAATCACACATCAACACACCAGAAAGATAATCTTTCTGCTTAAGCTCCCAGGTTCTACTTATTCATCCATTCCTTCGGCAGATCTTTGTTGAGCTCTTACAATGACCCAGCCACTCTGTAGGGCACTGACAATAAAAATACACTCCTTAAAATAAAGGCAATTATAGATCAGAAGGGGAAAATAAAAATAAATAAGTTAGTTAATGATCTGAACATTAACATAGATCTGACACACACACACAAAAAAATGCTAAAGGAGTAGGAGGCAAAAGGGAAAAACTGCACATCCATTCTAGGGCAAGTGGAGAAATCTTCACAGAGGAAGTAACATCTGAATCACGACTCGAAGGATGAATAGGAGTTCATCACAAAGTTTCCAATGAAAATCAAACCCTGAAAACAAAAAAGAAGAGGCCAAGTTTATGAATACCTCCAGTAGGCCAAGATTTCCCAATTGTTTACAGATCTTACCTATAAAAAGGGATTCCACGACTGGCGCAGTGGCTCACGCCTGTGATCTCAGCACTTTGGGAGGCCAAGGTAGGCAAATCACCTGAGGTCAGGAGTTCAAGACCAGCCTGGCCAACATGGCAAAACCCTGTCTCTACTAAAAATACAAAAATTAGCCAGGTGTGGTAGTGGGCACCTCTAATCCCAGCTACTCGGGAGGCTGAGGCTGGAGAATCACTTGAACCCGGGAGGCAGAGTTTGTAGTGAGCCAAGATTGCACCACCGCACTCCAACCTGGCCAACAAGGTGAGATTTTGTCTCAAAAAAAGAAAGGGATTCCACCATCAAAATAAAATTTAGAAAATGCTGGATTCTGCAACATTAAACAGTTTTCTTCACAGCAGGACTTCTCAGAACCTTCACATCTCACAGAATACATGCCATAGGTTAACACTGGTTACTCCATGGGCATAAAACTGCAGTGGAGGATAGTCCGTGCACATTATGAATTTAGAAAAGAGGGGCACAGTATGCAGTGATATCCAGGCTTAAGGAAAGCCCAGCTTTTTGATAGAACTGAGGATCTGCTTTTCTGTGTATATACTTTTAAGTCTGTATTTGTAGTCTGAACTTATTTTCATGCATGTTTTAGACTAAGATAAGAAAAGATGACTGTATGCTCCATTAATGAATGTTGGAGTCCCTCTTGAAAAAAAAAGTAGCAGCCAAGCCTTATTTATTATTGCTAACTTCAACATTGCGAATATTCTCATTCCAGAAAGGTTGTCCTTGCCTTACAAGATCCTAGGGAGGATGTGCTACCATGTTGTTTGGCTTTCATTGTTACAAGAAGACTAGAAAACCCAGAGTAAGATGCTGAACAATGCAATGCATATAATTGGTGATTGTGTACTAGACAGCTATACCAAATAGCAACGCAGGAATTACTTTTCTTCTTCGGATAATCCTTAACAAATAGATGAATAATCGATTTTTTCCTTCATATCCACTTCATGTGTGTGAAATAGTTTTTATTGAATTCTGCTTTTTTTAATTTGTGAAAAAAGTACAACTTAAGTATATTTTAAAGAGTGCTAAATATTAATAAAAAGTAAAGGGGAGAAATGCAGATGGCCCAGGTAATATTGTGAAAGACAAATGACTCAGTCAGTCACTATTCCTGTGAACAGAACTTCAGAAACTGCAGCTAAAGAAAGACTTCAGCCCTGTTATATGATGCTATTTAAAACCTGTACTACCTGTATAATAGGCTGGAAAGGAACTATTCAATTGATGAAAGGAGATTTAGATCTATGACTTACATTACCATGATGAATCCTCCATTAATATTAAAGTTCTATCCATCATATGGGAAATTTCCCTGTAGAGTTTTTAACATGTCCCTGGTGCCTGACTTAATATATAAATCATTGCCGTCCTGAGAAGTCAGCACAGGATCTCTGCTTATAGCTTTTTCTGTATTACACCTTTTCCCGTTTTACTTCTGTGCAAATTTAGTCCTTTTTAGTTTTAGAACACAGAAAGTCGCCCTCTTCCAATTATCCGTGTTCACCTCGTGCTCACAGATACTCTCCTTCCGCATTTGATACTGTTTCCCCTTTCCCTTTTGTTTGCTGATAGTAAAATTAGCAGCAGTAAGAAGTCTGCCCTGTAGGCTTAGGAAACTTGGCTCAAGCTGTCAGTTCAAGCAATAAATGCTGGCCAGCTTCGATTTTGTAGCCTGTAAAATTTTGGATACCATAGCTCAGATTCTTTGGTCAGCGGCCACAGTCTGCAAATGTCACATTTCATCAAAATCGTTTCAGCAACTGCTGTTCACAGGCATGTCCAAAGACAGGGGGTGATGCAATAGGATCCTGTGGGACTGGACTTGGAGTCTCTCGGCACTCATTTATCCGGTAGTAAGAACAACGCTGTCGCAGGTTCTCAAGTGTGACAATAATTTGGGAATCTCCAAATTCAAGATGCTCCAAATTCAACTACTTTTGAGATTTTGGGCGGAGGTTGGGGAGGAAGAATAACAGGCCA